>NC_000013.11:60908106-63408106 GCF_000001405.40 Homo sapiens | reverse complement strand
ACCACGTAAGAGGAATCCATAAGATATTTAGATATTAATTAACTAATCTATAAGATATTTAGATATTAACTACTTGAAAGTCATGCCAGAGAGAGAATATGATATAGAAATCCTGACATAAATATGTATGAATGACTTTCAATATTAGCAATTATTTCTTCAGAATTTTTTTAATGGACTAAGTGGGGATTTTCATTTTGATACCCAACAACAGTAAACATAATTGCCTCAGAAGTGCAACCAATCAAATTATTCAAACCATATGTTTCGTTTTTTTGAGATTATGGTTGTAAATTTTTTATTTATCTGGAGAAGAGTTTATAAAACTTTGTCAGTAAAAGGCCAGATAGAAAATATTTTAGTGTTAGGGGGCTGTGTGGCCTACTGTCTCCTTGCAATTACTCAACTTTGCCATTTTAGTGTGAAAGAAGAATGAAGATCATGCACCCCCATAAAGTTTTATTTACCAAAAAACTTTGGCAAACCAGATTTAGATAGAGGTCTATAGTTTGTTGATGTTTATTCTATTGGCACGATATGAAATTTATAGGAAAAATGCTTGAAAGTTACCTAAAATAAACTTCAACTGCATTTCTTCTTAATGATATCCCATACCACCTACTTTACTTTTCATACTTAATTATTAGGTTGATCTTTCCTGTAAGCTACCCAATTGTTGACTATAAGGAGAAGTTATTTCTATGTTATTTAGTGATGCATCTCCATATATAATTCCTGGCCAATTAATTTACAAAAACAATAACAAGAATACATTTCTGATTTGTTTTTGCTCAGTTTTTAAAAAACACTTATTAATCCTCTACTACATTTTTGGCACTATACATGCAATAGGGATACAAAGGTGATTAAGAAAATGATCATGTTAAAAGGAGTTTAGAGTAAGTGGCATATTTATTTCTCTTCAGAGAATGGAATAAGCAAAAAGGTATTTCAGCAAGCAAAGACCCAAAAGTAAGAAATCTTTGAGTACTTACACAGTAAAGGATTAATTTATTAGATCTTGGTTGTCTAAAATCTACCTGTACATTCCAAAATAAAGTCAAACATTTTCCAGCCTCTGGAAAACAATGTCTAATGCCTTGGACTATCATGCCTGTTAATAATGTCTCTGTTTACCTAAGACCAGGCCATGCCAGATAATTTATGCTAAAAATGTGATTTATGTTTGAGCCTTGAGCTACACAATAGTAGTTTGAACTTGTGAGATGAAATAACTAACATTAAACATTCAGGTAGTCATCCATGTCTACATAACCTATCCCACCCCCAAAAAATCTGGACAAGAATGCTTGTATGAGCTTCCATTACTGTCAATAATTCATGCATGTTTATATACATTGTTGCTAGGAGAATTAGCACTCTTTATATGATTTCACTGGTAAAGGACAATTGGAAGCTTGCACCTGGTCTCTCCCAGAGTCTGCACTGTGCATTTTTTTCCGTTGCAGATTTCTTTTTTTTTTTTTTTAGATTCTCGCTCTGTTGCCCAGGCTGGAGTGCAGTGGTGCAATCTTGGCTCACTGCAACCTCCGCCTCCTGGGTTCAAGCGATTCTCCTGCCTCAGCCTCCTGAAGAGCTGGGACTACAGGCACCTACCACCAGGCCCAGCTAATTTTTGTATTTTTAGTAGAGACGGGATTTTACCATATTGGCCAGGCTGGTCTCGAACTCTTGACCTTGTGATCCACCCGCCTTGGCCTTCCAAAGTGTTGGGATTGTAGGCGTGAGCCACCGCGCCCAGCCTCTGTTGCAGATTTTAAGTTGTATCCATTTATTGTAGTAAAATATAACTTTCAGAATATAAGATCTCTGCTGAGTTCTGTGATTCTATCTAGTGAATCATTGACTATGAAATGGTCTTAGATATCCCCCGTCATAGTGCCTTTAAAGGAAAACTGATACACCAACCCCCTCTTCACCTTCTGCCATGACTTTAAGCTTTCTGAGGCCCTCATCAAAAGCAGATGCTGGTACTAGAATTGTTGTACAACCTGCAGACTGCGAGCCTATAAAACCTCTTTTCTTTAACAATTACCCAGTCTCTGATATTTCTTTATAGCATTGCAAGAACAGACTGACACAGAAAATTGATACCAAAACGATTATAATTGTCTAGGCTATTACAATCAGAAGCAGAGGCTGGTGGTTACTGTGAATAAATTCTGCAGGTTCTGCGGGTTGGGAATGTACTAAAGTGTTTAGTAAAGCATTCTTAAGATTGTGGATTTTTCTCATTATGTGTTAGAGGTTTTCAAATCTGCCCTGCCACCTTTTTTATAAACAAAGTTTCATTGGAATGCAGCCATATTCTTTCATGGAAGTATTGGCTATGACTGCATTTATGCTACAACAGAGTTACATGTTTGTGACAAAGACTGTATCCTCCATAAAGCCTAAGATATTTATTATCTGGCCCTGACAGAAACAGTCAGCAATCTCTTCCATATATAATGGGAAGTTACTGCAAGATATATGCATGGGAAACACATGATAATATGGTTTGGCTATTTTGTCCTCTCTAAATCTCATGCTGAAATGTGACCTCCAGCATTGCAGCTGGGCCAAGTGGGAGGTTGATATTATTTGGCTCTGTGTCCCCACCCAAATCTCACCTTGAATTTTAATAATCCCCACATATCAAGGGCAGGTCCAGGTGGAGATAATTGAATCATAGGGGCACTTTCCCCTGTACTGTTCTCATGATAGTGAGTGAATTCTCATGGGATCTGATGGTTTTATGAAGGGTTTTTCTCTTCTCTTGGTTTTCCATTCTCTCTTGTCTGCCACCATGTAAGACATGCCTTTGCTCTTCCTTCACCTTCTACCATGATTGTGAGGCCTCTCCAACCATGTGAAACTGTAAGTCCATTAAATATCTTTTTCTTTATAAGTTATCCAGTCTTGGGTATTTGTTTATTAGCAGCATGAAAATGTACTAATACAGTAAATTGGTACTGGTATAGAGTGGGGTGCTGCTGTAAGGATACCTCAAAATGTGGAAGGTGACTTTGGAACTGGGTAACAGGCAGAGGCTGGAATGGTTTTGAAGGCTTAGAAGAAAAAAGGAAAATGTGGGAAAGTTTGGAACTTCCAAGAGACTTGTTGAATGGCTTTGATCCAAATGCTGATAATGATATGGTCAATGAAATTCAGGCTGAGGTGGTCCTCAGATGCAGATGAGGAACTTGACAACTGAAATAAAGGTTAGTCTTGCTGTGTTTTAGCAAAGAGACTGGTGGCATTTTGCCCCTGCCCAAGAGATCTGTTGGACTTTGAACTTGAGGGAGATGATTTAGGGTATGTAGCAGGAGAAATTTCTAAGCAGCAAAGCATTCAAGAAGTGACTTGGGTGCTGTTAAAAGCATTCAATTTTAAAAGAAAAACAGAGCATAAAAGTTCGGAAAATTTGCAGCCTTGTGATGCTATAGAAAAGAAAAACCCATTTTCTGAGGGGAAATTCAAGCCGGCTGCAGAAATTTGCATAAGTAACAAGGAGCCAAATGTTAATTGCCAAGACAATGGAGAAAATGTCACTAGAGCATGTCAGAAACCTTTGAGGCAGCCCCTCCCATCACAGGTCCAGAGGCCTAGGAGGAAAACAAGATTTCCAGAGCTAGGCCCAGGGCCCCTCTGCTCTGTGCAGCCTAGGAACTTTGTGCCCTGAATCTCAGCAGTTCTAGCCATGTCTAAAAGGGGTCAAGGTACAGCTCAGGCCATGGCATCAGAGGGTGCAAGCCCCAAGACTTGGCAGCTTCCACGTGGTGTTGAGCCTGCGGGTGCACAGAAGTCAAGAATTGAGGTTTGGAAACCTCCATCTAGATTTCAGAGAATATATGGAAATGCCTAGATGTCCATGCAAAAGTTTGCTGGAGGGGAGAGACCCTCATAGAGAACCTCTGCTAGGGCAGTGCAAAAGGGAAATGTGGGGTTGAAGTCCCCACACTGAGTCCCTGCTGGGGCACCATCTAGTGGAGCTGTGAGAAGAGGGCCACTGTCCTCCAGCATGGTGGAGCTGTGAGAAGAGAGCCACAATTCTCCAGATCCTAGGAAGGTAGATGCACTGACAGTTTGCACAGTGCTCTTGAAAAAGCCTCAGACACTCAATGCCAGCCTGTGAAAGCAGCTAGGAGGGAGGCTGTACCCTGCAAAGTCACTGGGGTGGAGCTGCCAAAGACCATGACTTTGCATTTTAAACATCAAAGTATCTGACACAAATTTAATACATATGCATGAAGTTTGCTTTTTTTCCCTAAAAACTAAAAAATTAACAGAGATGAATGTGCATAATCAACAAGATTTTATTGTACATGTGTTTTGATAAGAAAGTAGGAAGGCAAAGGATAATAACTGCAATGGTTTGTGTCTCCTCCAAAATTCAGTTGTTTCCAACGTGGTAGTATTAATAGTGGAAGCCTTTAAAAGATGATTTGACTGTGAGTGCTCTTCCTTCGTGAATGGGATGAAAGCCCTTAGATAAGAAGCTTCATGTAGCATTTGGTCCTCTTCTCTTTCCAACTTCTAGCATGTGAATACACAGCAAGAAAACCCTCACCAGATGCTGACACTTTATGGACTTCTCAGCACCAGAGCAGCAATAAAGAAATTTCTTTTCCTTATAAATTACCTAGTCTCAGGTATTTTATTACAGCAGCACAAGCAGATTAAGATAATGACTAAGTCATCTGCATTTAAATGATTTCTCCATTCACTGAGATAAGGAAAATAAGAGGAATAGTGTTGGAGTAAATATGTGGCAAGTTCTATTTGAACACCTGAGATGTGGGTACTCAAGGGACATTGCAATGAAGATTTCCTATAGGTAGGTCACTTAAGTTTAAAGAATGAGCAGAAGAAGGGAAACCATTAAAGCAAAAGTTCAAATAAAATGTAAAAGAGGTCCGGACAAAGTCAGGTGGTGAGAAAATATACAAGTCAAGAGAAGAGAGTGTTTTAAGGTAAATGGAATTGATCAACAGTGTCAAAGGCTATTTCCACCAGTAAATTTTAAGACACTTAAGAAATAAAAGCTGAATATAAAAATGAGTTGGTTCTTGATGACATTGATAAAGGTAGTTTCAGTGTAGTGGTAATACAGATGTCTAAGTACAGTATATGGTTTGTCTCTGTGTCTGTACCTAAATCTCATCTTGAATTGTAATCCCCATATTTCAAGGAAGGAACCTGTTGGGAGGTGATTGGATCATGGGGGCATTTTTCCCCATGCTGTTCTCATGATATTTAGTGAGTTCTCACAAGAGCTGATGGTTTTAAATTGTGGCACTTGCTCACTTTTTTATTCCTGCCACCATGTAAGATGTGCCTGCGTCCCCTTTGCCTTCTGCCATTATTGTAAGTTTCCTGAGGCCTCCCAGCCATGCAGATCTGTGAGTCAATTAAACCTCCTTTCTTTATAAATTACCCAGTCTCAGGTAGTCTCCTTATAACAGTATGAGAATAGACTAATTCATGTGGCTTTAGTACTGAGTAGAAAGTGAGAAAGTAAATTTTAATTAATTTTTTATGAAATATGGGAGTGATGAAGAGGAGCAAAACAAGACAGTCTGAGGAAGTCAGTTGAAATGAGGGAATATTTATTTTTATTATAATATTTTAATAGAATAAACTTGAGCAAGCTTAAAGAGAAAACTATTAGGAGAGAGAGGGTGCAGTTTTACAGGAAAGGGCAAAAATTACTGAGTTATGGTCCTTAAATCTGGGAAGAGATGGGATTCAAAGTGTAGAGGAGATACATTGTAGAGGAGGTAAAGGACAATTCTTACCTTTCAAGAAGAAACAGTAAGTAGATTGCACATGGAGTAAGAGTGATTTGAAATACTTTTGTAGAAAATAAATAAATTTTTCTTATCATGTCTTTTTAATTAATTTAAAGAAACAATACATATCATCTACTGAAAATGAAGTTAACAGTTGTAACAACTGATGTTTGAGCAATGGAAGACTATTTTTGCAATAGTGTTGAAGAACAGACTGGAGTCTTGAAGAACAAACTAGAGTTGAGATCCTGGCAAAAAAACAAAGAAAGCAAGAAAGAAAGAAAGGAAGGAGGGAAGGAAGGAAGAAGGAAGGAAGGAAGGAAGGAAACACATGATTTTTTCCATGGCTGACCATAGCCAATGACAAAGGCTTTACCTAACAGGCATCTTGAGGAAAAGCTGCCCTCTCCAAACAAACTTGGTGACAATGCTTTGAAGTAGTTGTGGGGTCAGCATTAGGAACTCAGGCCCCCCTGACCAGCCATGCTCTGAAGCATTCTTGCTTCCCTAGCCCAGGCACTTTCATCAGGAGCTCTTTTGATCTCAGGAGTTTGGCCAAGGCCTTCCTTGGGCACCATTGTTGAGACCTCCTTATCAGAAAGAGGGGGTAGAAACCATGAAAACAAAACTTTCCACTGTAACTCAGTACTCCATACTTTTCTACACCTAACCCTCTCCACCTTTTCTCCAGGAGCCTTTCTTTCAGGGCTCCCACAGCAGTGCGATGACCCTTTCTACCAGTCCATTTTATGGTGGAAAATGGAACTGAGAAGAGTTAGAGCTTTGTGAATTTTATCACAGTGAGTAATTAAAATACTGACTGTTATTTCATTTTGGCTTGTAATTTTAATTGACTATGTTGACACCTTGCATCTTAGCTCTCTCTTCAGCTCAACTATGCTTCTGACCACCTGACTAGAAAGAGAAAAACCTATGTCTGGAGAGAACATCTGAAATAAAGAACTGATTAATGGCTACGGTAGCTGAGGCTAAGTAAGTAAGATCAAAATTTGTTCTCAAATAGTGGGCCATTTGAATTTAATTTTACAGTTGTAGAATTGTCCTAGGTGAAGGTAATTATAAGAGTATGGCTAAGAAAATGAATATTTGAGGAGAAATCAAGTTAATTTTATTTGATATTGCTTGCCCTTAAGAGACACGATATTAACAGGAAAGTCCACATATTATCTAGTTTGTCGTTCTACAATACTTTCATTGAGAAACAGATGTTGATATATGGCAACATTTTTTAAAGTAGATATTGATGAAGTTTTATGGCCTAAGCCATAAAGAAGCAAGGATTTATATAGTAGCTGCAATGTAATTAAGGAAACCACACACTTACCCTGAGATATCCATTTTTATAAAAGATAAACAGGCAAATGGAACACTTACTGAAAGAGGTTGAAGATGTGAGTGTTCCAGAGCACATAAAATGTTGGAATGTAAGTGAAAAACAATAGAAATTTGGGTTGTAAACAAGAACGTACAACAGGAAGGCATATCAACAAGAAGGTATAAAAGTGAGACATAATAACTTATTGGTCATACATCTTTGACAATTGTTGAGTATTAACAAGAAGCGATGTATGGTGTTTTTAGTTGACTACAAAGTAGTTGAAGCTACTGCTGTAACTAGGCCATAGTCTTCAGATTCAGGAGACACTAGAAAAGGAAGGTCAATCACTATTCTAAAAACTAGGTTTTATAAAACCTTTGGCAGAGGCTCTACTTCAGGAATCATGAATTCTTGTAGCAATATCCTGAAATACATGTATGGTCATCATGAGTTATCCTTTTTTTTTTTTTTTTTTCCAGATGGAGTTTCACTCCCATTGCTCAGGCAGGAGTGCAATGGTGCAATCTGAGCCCACTGCAACCTCCACCTCCCAGCTTCAAGCAATTCTCCTGCCTCAGCCTCATGAGTAGTTGGGATTACAGGTGCATGCCACCACGCCCAGCTAATTTTTTGTATTTTAGGTAGAGTTGGGATTTCACCAAGTTGGCCAGGCTGGTCTTGAACTCCTGACATCAGATGATCCACCCGCCTTGGGCTCCTAAAGTGCTGGGATTATAGGCGTGGGATTATAAAGTGCCCGGCAGATCCTTACTTTGAAAGTAAAACAGTTACTAGAACCAACACAAGATCTTGTTAAAGAAGCATATACATTTCCACATCACAAATTCCCCCCACTTAACATTTTGCAAACCATACTTAAATAATATTATTTCCCTTAATAATGTTATATATTTTTATTAACTTAAAACTGTGTATGAGTCTCTGAATGGGTCCATAGTTTTCACCAGACTACCAAAGGATTCCGTGGCACAAGAAAAGATGAATTAACCCTGTTTTTAGACGGGATATTTGGGCATTTTAAGCTCAAAATAGTTGCATTGAGATCTGAAGCCTAAGCACTGAGGTCAGCAATAGGAAGATGCCCCAAATTGAAAGTTCATATATTTATATATGTATTAAGCTTTCCATAGTATCTGTAATCCACAACAGACAGGAGAGTGAGCAGTAAAAATCAGGTCTTCTGAAGTGAGAGTGTTGAGTTTGAATTTTAACTTTACCATTAGCCCTCCACACTTTATCTGAAAATGTTAGCAATAATATTCATAGTAGAGATTTTTAATGATTAAATTAGTGGATATATGCAAAACACTGAGAAAAATACTTGTTCTACAATAATCACTCACTAAATACTTTCTCTTATTATTTTTTGAAGACTAGATGTTTTTACCATTTCTGTTTTATTCAACACTTTGTGAATTCTTCCTCAAAATCAGCAATATCTGATGCTCTAAAAAGTTTTAATAAGTTAAATTTGGAGATATCACATTTTACTTTGCATTTCTTAAGTAATGAGTTTGCTGTATTAGTTTTCCTATGACATGTTTTGATATGTAAAGTATGATTTATATTGTTTACCCATTTTTACATTATAGAATTTATCTCTGGTCTTTTCTTCTTACTTTTTTTGTGTGTTTCTACATATTGCTTTAGTGTGAATTCCAAGAAAATAGAGCCTGAGTCAAAGGTATATCTGGTTTATAAACACCAGGAGCACTAAAATTTTTTCATAAATGTTGTAGTTTTTCTATTTTATGTTTTAAATTGGAGAGATGAAAGTATTTAAATGCATATAATCTGATATGTCTATTTTAAAAATGTTTTATTGGATTGAATTTATAGCCCATCTAGTTGTGTATATCATATATTGCTAGCATAAGCTTAGAACTTTTCCTTAAGGGCAATTAAAAAAAAGTCATCTCCCTGTTAAGATTGGTGTTTCTAATATTTGAAAACATAATTTCATTCAAAAAGTGATATTCTGTTACTGTTAAAGAAAAATAATTGAAAACATTAATATATCATGACAGAAATGGTGATGAATTTAACATTTCTTGACTACTTATGGTTATGAAATAAGAATGATATTTATAGATTTAATTAATTAAATAACATTTTTTCAATAGCTACTTTTCTAGTACCACTGAGCAGGTACATATTTGTCTTATTTTCCTCTCTTCTGAAATATGTTTTAAAATAAAATGCTGATAATGATCCCACAGTAAAATATTTCACCAAAATAATGACATGAGCATTTAAAAATAATTATTATTTCTTACTATGAAGGGCTATTGAATTCCCTATTCCTTTGTTATACGTGACATTAGAAATGGAATTGAGTTCTCTAATTATTGCTGTAAATTCTTGTCTTTTATAGGAGGGATATTTTATGGTTGATTGCAAGCTCAATGTCCTATATTAGCAATTCATCATTTTATAATATTAATATTCATTTTTACTAAATATAGAAACCTCATATAATCAGCAATTTCCTCATCAATTTGAGGAAATCAAATTCATTATTAAGAGTTAGTATAATATTAACAACAAAATGCCTTTCCTGGTAAAAATAAACAAATCTTGATTCACCTATTATGTTTAATTTTGCATAATACGACAGAAAATTATAATGTGATTCTTAAATAATCTTAAATGTATCTAGTGAAATAACTCATTCAACCTATAGGCTAAATAAATGGGAGAAAAACAGAGAGAGAGAAAGAAAGAAAAAAGAGAGAAAGAGAAAGAGAGAGACAAAGTGAAAGAAAGAAACTAAAAATAATGTTTATTTTTTTCTAAAGATATTAACAAGAAGTACAGAAGTCTTCCAGATCATCTAAAAACTAACCTTGCTCTTAGTTAATATGTCTTTTTCTTGCCAATGTAAATCCAAAATTTATACTTAATTTTATTTAGTTACTTTGAGAACTATCTAGGGGTTTGAGGGTAAAACTATTAACACTAGAGCAATATGTATTTTTATTCAAGGAGTATACAAGGCTGGAAAGGGTATAATTATGCATATTCAAGTGAAAGCAAAGGTCTCATACTGCTGAAGATAAAGAATAAAGTGGTCAGAGATATTTCACAGAAACTTTGTGGATATATATCAACATTCTATTGCCATATTCTGCAATTCCCTAATGCATAGTTAATTAAATTGGAGTTTACATGAAAAAAAATAGTTATGCTTATTCACAAGACAGCCCCAATGCTTATTTTTAGTCAGAAATTAACAGCTTTTATCCCTTCTGAAAGAGGCATTCAAGGACCTTTCCAAAGAAAAAAAACCCAATGCATAACTAAGTTTTTCATTTTTAGAAAGGTAATTCCATGATTATTTTTAATAAACAGATTTAAGAAAGAGACAATGTAAATACTATTTTATAGGACAATCAAAATTTAAGTGAATAAAGTGAATTAGGTACTTACCCATAATATGCAAATTCTCAGTGATTCCTCAGACTTTTGAACAGGATTTACTGTTATTTGCTTTGGATGGCTAACTACTAAAATCCCTGGTTTCAGCGCAGCTTCTTGGTTTTTCTACCAATCAAAAGTTAGACTTTGCTAATATTTAGAATCTATAAGAAACTTAAAAAAATCACCAAGCAAAAATCAATTTACCCCATTAAAAAATGGGCAAAGAATATGAACAAACATTCTCAAAGGAAAACATACAAGGAGTCAGAGAACATATAAAAAATGCTCCACATCACTAATCATCAGAGAAATGCAAATCAAAACCACAATGAGATGCCATTGTCATAGGGTCCTTAGGGTTTTACTTTTCCAGCCAGAAACCTCCATGGCCAGTGGCACCTTTGCGCTAGTTTGGCTTGGGTCCACAGGGCTTGTTCTGCCCACTTGGCCCAGAAGGCTGCACTCAGCATGCACTATCAGCATGAATACCACACCTGCCAAGGGTGAGTCAGGTGGGAAGTGATGAGGGATGTGTGAGCGAGCACGGGGTCCAGCTGCTGCACACAGGCAGGTGTGCTGGTTGCAGTGGGGTGGGCAGCTCCAGGTGCCAGTACAGACCCCGGCCCTGTGCAAGGTTGCAGCTAGATCAGGCATACTTTAAGCGGCTTCCACTGTGGGCACCAGGGAATATGGTGGTGCCCCGGGAGCTTGGAGACATCAGGAATCACAAAGCCCGAAAGAAGGTGTCACAAGGCTGGCTCACAGAGCCCGTAGGTCCGGGCTCCCCAAAGGGCCACATCTCTTCTCTCCTTGTTGCCTGCAATGTGGTGAGCAGGCGACATGTTTCAGCCTTGTTTCTGTTACAGCTCTTTCAGTCCCGCCATTTGGTGGGTCCTGAGTTCTTGTCCCATGTCTAGGAAGAAGGAGGTAGGCAAACAACTGGAGAGTGAGCAATATACCTAACTTCAGAATATACCTAACCAGGAAGGTGAAAGACCTTTACAAGGAAAACTACAAAACACTACTGAAGGAAATCATACACGACACAAGCAAACATAATTACAGATATCTTGCTAGTATTTTTATTCCTTTTCTATTATATATATTTAAGATGTGCAACATGCTGTTTTGATATATGTACATATAGTGAAATGATTGCTACATGTTGCCAGCAGTTTTGAACATTTAGATGAAATAAGTATTTTGGAAAAAATATAAATAATAAAAGACTAATAAATTGTTAACACAAGAATACACCAATAACCTTTAAATTAAAAAAAATCTCAGAAATATTCTACCATCTGTCATTAAGGAAGCAGCAGCAACCAGTTTTAATGCAGAATTTTAAAACATCTTCAAGGAACAAGTAATAATTCTACATAAACCATCTACCCAAATCACCATATAAATAAGAAAAGCTATTCAAGTTTAGCAAAAATGGTACTAGTAATGCTGATATATATGTAAAAGAGTTATACTTGCTATCAACATTTTGATAAATATATGTCATACTTCTCACAAAAGTAAATCTAACAACAGTTGCACTACTTTTATGTCAAATATTTAAATATTTACTGAAGCATAAACAAAGATCTTATGAAATAGAAAGACAACCATGTTTGTTGTTTGGAAGACCCAAAGTCATAAAGATGTAAATGATTTTCAAATAATCTATGAATTAAAACAAACTTCCAATAAAAATCCCAGCACAATTTTTCATGAAATTTAACAAATTGATTCTGAATTACATAAGATATGATGAAATGTCAAAAAAGAATCTACATTTAAAAAGCAAGTTGTCAGATCTTACCTATCTGACAGCATTATTTTAAAAATTTATATTTAAAATAATATTGTCACTGTTATGTGACTTAAAAATGATATCAATAAAACAAAACAGAAAGCACAGGACTAGGTCCACAAATACATTGATATTGGTAGAGTGCTAGCATTGAAAACCTGTATAGAAAATCCAATTCAATATGTAGCTGGGGACAATACATTATGCATATGGGATAAAATGTTACTAAAACACTATCTCATAGCATGTCCTCAAACAAATTCCACAAGAGCTAAATTTGCTAAAAATTGAAAATATTCATAAGAAAATGTAAAGAAATATTTCTATGAATTGTAGAAAAAGACATGTTTAGAAATCATGAGCAGCATAAATCATAAAGTAATAGATTAAAAAGTTTTACATGTAAAAAAACTTCATTAAAAGGCATAATATTCCAAGACTAGAAACAGATAAAAAATTGTGTATCCACAATATTTAAAAAACTCATGAATCAATAAGAAAAGAGAAAAATGATCCAATAAATTTTGACAAAGTTAATAAATAAAAAATTTACCCAGAAATAGATACAAATGAGAAAAGCACATTAAAATGATATCCAACTAATCAGAGAAATCAAAATTAAATCAGGTCACTGTTGTCAGATTAAAAAAAAAAGAGCATGATAATACTCAGTTTTGGTAATGATGATGTAGTACAATAAAAGCTCTCATAATCTGATTTGAAAATTAGAATTTGTATAAACATTTAGGAGATAAAATTGGCACTACTGTATCTTGTAAACTGCTATATGTGCAGTGTGAATCAATGCATATATATTACATATACATTCATATATTCCCTTTCTCATTTATATATGTGTGTATATCTCTTTGTGTGTGTGTAATTCTTGTTCATATGCACTAGCAAAGTGTTCAAAGAAGGGCATTGCAGTGTTACTTTCTCTAATAGCCAAACTTGGAACTAAAGTAAGTAATTATCATGAAGAAATGAATAAATCAATATGATATACTCATGTAATAGTAGTTAAATTGAGAACTATATGAAACAGATCTATGAGTATAAAAATGCATAGATAATACAAAAGGTAGTGGAAAATATGTAAATCTCATAGAGATGTCAGACATGTATAATTTAACATATATACGTTATTGCATACATCTTTAAAAATATGTCTATAAATGTGGACTGAAAAGAGATACACAAAATTCTTATTGCTCATTTAAGAATATAAAAGAGGAATGGGAATTAATAGATACAAAGGGTACATTACACCTGAGTTAAAATACATACATAAATATGTCAATATCAAAATTATGCCCTATGTATGTTTATATGTATTAAGAGAAGGAAAGTTTTTACTTCCTTCCTTGCTTCCTCCCTTCCTCCATCCCCTTCTTCCTTTTTTCTGTCAGAAAACTTTACTACGCGTAGAGTATTGACAGTCACTGTTACAAATGCAAAGAATTTAGCAGTGAGTAAAATCCCTTCCCTCAAGTATTTCATATACTGTGGTGGTAAAAAAATAAGTATGTAAACAAAATAGATAGCATTTCAGATATCATAAGCTCTATAAATAAATTAATAGAGAAGGGGCATAGAGAGTACTGAAGGGGATGTGGGAATATGACATTTTACTATTCAGTGACAGCCTTAAACATAAATTGGCATTTGAAGTGAAAGATATGTATGCTTTTTCCTTAAATAATTAGCCTTAAGAAAATATGTTTATAATTCATAAAACAGTCCCAATTTTTGATCCCATGAAAAATTGAGCAATTAAAATTTGATTTGTTTTCAATAATCCCAAATCTTAAATGAATTATGTTATGCCCCAAGAAAGCACTAATTGATTAATCGCAATTTTTAAATGATAGTTACATGCAAAGATTGCTCATGACAACATATTAATATACACCTTAGGCATTTTTTTCTAATTTAGATATGATACATTCTTATTACAGATTTCTTCAGCAAGCAAATGGAAGAAACTTTATTCTTGTCCATTCTACTATAATACTAAGCTTAGGTTATTTTAAGGTTATACTGTATTTCCTACAAGGTTAATTTGAAAGCATTTATAATCTTTTAATCCTTGTGTAACACTAAAATTATTATAATTTGACATGTTAATAGTTGATGTCTGAAAATTTTAATTTGTTGGAAAGTTTGTGATAATTTCTTCTTTTGGTAGCTAATTCAGCAATAGTTATAGAATGATGAATAGTATAGTAGAATAAATTATCTGACTTATGGCATTGGACTTTTCTCACACTTGCTATCAAGAAATACCCCAAAATGGGAAATTTATAAAGAAAAGTGGTTTAATTGACTCACAGTTCCACAGGGCTGAGGGTGCTTCAGGAAACTTACAATCAGGGCAGAAGGCGAAGCAGGCATCTCCTTCACAAGACCGCAGGAGGGAGACAAGCATATCTGAGTGCAGGAAAAACTACCATTTATAAAACCATCAAATCTTGTGAGAATTCACTCACTGTCACGAGAACAGCATGGGGAAAACTGCCCCCAAAATTCAATCATTTCTCAACAGGTCTCTCCCTAAACACCTAGGGACTACAATTTAAAATGAGATTTGGGTAGAGACACAAAACCTAACTATATCACTTATATTAAAACAGTTTTCCACAAACTTGCCAAAGTATATGATTTTAAATGTTGTTTTTTCCCTATCCCATTCATTTTACTTGTGTGTTTTGGGTTACTTTAGTCTTAAATTTAGAGATCAACTCGTTTGGGGTGAATTGGTTATATTTAATACCTATTATATTTTCATTTAATTGCAACCCTGTTTAATTTGTTGAATAATACAAGATAATAATATTTACCTAGTAGCAGGAATACTAAAAATACTACTTGTATTTATTAATACTGCTATTAATACTGAGTCTAAAACTAAGACAAAGTCTAATAACAAATAGCTAACTAGATGTTAAAAGTATGTTTATTTGAACTGTATTATTATTGAATAAGCTGCTATTCTACAAATGTACATGATATTGTTATTTCCCCCTCTAAAACAGAATTTATCAATAAATTATTAAGATCAGCAAAAAAACAGGAGCAATGTTTATTAAGCTATCATTATTTTATAATAATTTTATTGAGATAAAATGGACATACCACAAACTCACTCACTTAAAGTATAAAATTCAGTTGTTTTTATTGCATTCACAGTTATGCAGGCATTATAACTACCTAATTTTTGAAAATATACATCACCCAAGAGGAGTCTCCATATCTGTTAACAGTCATTTTCTTTTCTTTTTGCTCACTTCTCCTACCAACCACTACTCAACTTTCTGTTACTATGGATTTGTGTATATTCTGAACATTTTATATACATTGAATTATATGATATGTAGTCTTTTTTTAGCTGGCTTATTTTACAGAGTGTAATGTTTTCAAGGTACATCCATGTCGTAGCATGTATAAGTGCTTCATTGCATTTTATTGCTGAATAATAGCCTATTGTATGAATATACCATATTTGTTTATGCAAAATCAGTTGATAGATATTTGGGCTTTTTATAAATTTTTGCTAGTATGACTAATGCTGCTATAAACTTCATTTACAAGCTTGGAAATATATTTTCATTTCTATTGACTATGTGCTAAAGAGTGAAACTGGTCATATGGAGACCTTATGTATAAAATTTCATATTTTCATCAGCAATATCTGAGCTATTCAATTTCTGTATATCCTGGCCAGCACTTATAATTATCTGTCTTTTTAGTCATGACTAATGAATATAAAATTAATTAGTCTGCATTTCTGAGACAGCTAATGATTTTAAGCATCCTTTCATGGCATTTTGTATTTACTTTTGGAGAAACATCTATTTATATCATTTTTGCATTTTTAATTAGGCTTTTTTTTAAGGTATCATTGTAAGAATTTTGTATATATTCTGGATACAAGTCCTTTGTTGGATATATAATTTGCAATTTTTTTCATCCTGAGTTGTCTTTTTTGCTTTCCTGATGGTGTGCTTTGAATCATAAACATTTTTAACATTGATGAAGTTCAATTCATGTATTTTTCTTTGTCACTTGTGATTTTGTTCCCACATCTAAGAAACAAAATGAACTGATATACACATATAATAGGAGAAAATATAATTTTTGCATTATTAAATACCTCTAATATCATGGTGGTAATTTTAACAGGTACAATTACATCTGTTGCACAATTTAGAATCACAACATTATCACGGCCAAAAAGTCAACTTAAAAGTTTGAACTCACAATGCAAAACCAAAGAAATTTATCTATTGAGTACTTTACATTTTGTATAAATACCCCCAGAGACTGTCATAGCAATAGCTAAAATTAATAAAGAATGTAAAACTCATAATGCTATGAGATCAATTAAAATAATTTTGTCAAATAAAGTTTTAAAGAAAATTTCTCATGATTGTCTCAAAATAAATCATTAGCTGGTTATAAAATCTGAGGAGTGATTAGACTGTTACTCTTACAAAATAGTAAAAATTATTCTAAGACTTTCTTTTGGAATTTCATCCTAAAACTGAAAGGTATTCTCTAAGATGAATCTTTTTATTTATACTTTCTTTTTTATTTTAAAATGTATTTTACTAATATGAATACTATATAAGGAGAATAGAATAGAGAAATGTAGTAGAAGATGTAAGTTCCTCTATCAGATATTTCAAAGTTTGTTGTTTACAAAAATAGTCTACAATTATTAATATGCTTTCCGGAGAAAGGTACTCATGATTTTTACCTTACTCGTAAACTACATTTATCTTAATAAAATGCAAATTTTGTATGTTATTTGTTGTATATTGAATTGAATTCCCTCTAGTTGAGGGAATTCAACTAGAATTTTAAAAGACAAGTGCTTTTAAAAATATAATTAAGGGCCGGATGCCGTGGCTCATGCCTGTAATCCCAGCACTTTGGGAGGCCGAAGCGGGTGAACCATGAGGTCAGGAGATCAAGAGCATGCTGGCTAACACGGTGAAACCCTGTCTCTCCTAAAAAAAAAAAAAAAAATACAAAAACGAAATTAGCCAGGCGTGGTGTCAGGCGCCTGTAGCTACTTGGGAAGCTGAGGCAGGAGAATGGCATGAACCTGGGAGGTGGAGCTTGCAGTGAGCCGAGATCGTGCCACTGCACTCCAGCCTGGGCGACAGAGTGAGACTCAGTCTCAAAATATATATTTATATGTTTATATATATTTTATATGTATGTTTATATATTTTTATATATGTTTATATATTTATATATGTTTATATATATTTTATATGTATGTTTATATATTTATATATGTTTATATATTTATATATGTTTATATATATTTTTATATATGTTTATATATATTTATATATGTTTATATATATTTATATATATAAAATTAAGGAAGCTAGGTGCAGTGGCTCACATCTGTAATCCCAGCACTTTGGGAGGCCAAGGTGGATGGATCACTTAAAGCCAGGAGTTTGAGACCGGCTTGGCCAACACGACGAAACCCTGTCTCTACTAAAAATACAAAAATTAGCCAGGCATGGTGGTATGCTTGTAGTCCCAGCTACTCGAGTGGCTGAGACATAGGAATCACTTGAATTCAGAAGGTGGAGGTTGCAGTGAGCCAAGATTGTACCACTGCACTCCAGCCTGGGCGACAGAGGAGACACTGTTTCAAAAAAAAAAAAAAAATTAAGTTTAAATGAGGTCATTAGGGTATGGCCCTAAACCAGCAGGGTATGCTTCTTATAAGAAGAGGAAGAGACACAAAAGAGCTCTTTCTCTCCATGAGCATGCACAGAAGGCCATGTGAGGAGACAGTGAAAAGGCAGCCATCTGCAAGCAAGGCAGAGTGCCCTCAGCAGAAACCAATCCTGCTGGCACCTTGATCTTGGACTTCTAGTTATCTGTTTTGTTTTGGATTTTGGAATTTGGACTTCCCAACTATGGGAAAACAAATTTCTGTTGTTATAATCACCTATTCTGTAGGATTTTGTTGTGGCATCCTAAGCTGACTTATACATCAATTATATCTCATTCGTAGGCAGAGAACAAGATCAGATTTTATTCGATATAAAATTTGGGGAAAAACATTTTCAGAGGAGTCACGTTTATTTATATGTATTGAAGCCAACTCTTGCTGGAAAATGTATGAGAATTTTAGGAGAGGTTTTCAATGCTGCACTTAAGACACTAATTTATTTTAGCAAATTTACTAGTTTTAATAATGTCTATTGTTTTCTCAACAGCATTATTTGCTCCTATCAATGAAATAAGAAATTTATTTTATTAGAGCTATATATCAAATAAACTTCACAAAGTATTGTTAGTTTAATTGAAATGTGGTTCCAGAAATAGCAACCAAATAGCAAACCAATTATAGTTTTTATCAACTTTGATTAGACCACTATAAAGAAAGCTTTACCATATTTGTCAATCAACAATAGTCATCAAATGATATCACAAACTAATTGTCACGAAAAAAATTTATAAACTAAACGGTCAACAAGTGTAGTTATTCCATTCTTCTTACTTTTCATCTTTTTTTTTGAGACAGAGTCTCTCACTGTCGCCTGGGCTGGAGTGTAGTGGCGCCATCTCGGCTCACTGCAGCCTCCGCCTCCCAGATTCCAGTGATTCTCCTGCCTCAGACTCTCGAGTAGCTGGGATTACAGGCACCCGCCATGACACTCGGCTAATTTTTTTTTTGTATTTTTAGTAGAGACGGGGTTTCACCATGTTGGCCAGGCTGGTCTCGAACTCCTCACCTCATTATCTGCCCGCCTCAGTCTCCCAAAGTGCTAGGATTACAGGTGTGAGCCATTGCTACCGGCCTTTTATTTTCTTTATAGACAATGTTATTTTCTCTCTCGCCAAATCTCAAATTATGCTGGTTGTCTTCCATTTACTCATCCAGATCTATTCGTCACCATTCTCCACCCAACTTTGCTCTGGAAGGTTGGCTTCCTTATTTTCTAGCTGACAGTTTAGTTCAGTCAATGATATCCCTGGCAAGAGATGAACTAGGAGTAGGAGAGTGAAGTAAGAACATTTATTCTTCTGGCTCTTTCTTGCAGAATACTCTAGTTTGGTTGGGTTCCATGATTGAAAGTCATTGCTCTTCACAAGACAGCCTTCTCTGTGTCTTTTTTTTCCCAAGTCTTGGTAATGATTCCTTCCCTTTCTTCTTTTAGTGCTAGAAGTAGTAATAGCTTTGCGGCTATAAGCTCCTCAGAACTATATCATTCTTTCAGATTTGCTTATACTCTGCTCACATGTTTATAAATATTATATTTATTAAATACTCCCTGAAATATTCTAATTTGACTCTGCCTTCTGTTTCATGTTGGTACCCAGTCTGAACAGAGAAGTAACTTCCAAAACAGATATTTTAGATTTTGAGGAAATTTATTTAAGTTGTGTTAATAATGTGATACTTATGCAGTCAAATTAAAGGATAATCTAAACATTTATTTAACCTGATTTTCTCCAAATTATGTATGTGCCAGCTTAGCATTACTAACCTCAGTAATCAAAAAGTATGAGCTTTATTTCTGTTGAGTCTTGCAGGACTTTCCTGTTACTGAAAATGTGTTCTGAAATCTAATATGTAACAATGTTCAACAAAATAATTAAAGTTCATGATTTATACTTGTGAGGTTTAGGATTCTACTGTGTGTGATTAAAATGATGATTTTTCATATTGACTTGATTTGAAAATGCATTTTATGCAGCTCCTTATACTATTAAATGAATGGTTTGTGAACCAGATAAAGTAGAACATTCTTTTCATGATACAGAGACCTGTATAAAATGCAGATTCCAGGGTACTATATTTGACAAGTTTCCTTTTGTGGATGTAGTGTACAACCTGGTGTTTATAGTTACAAAAAAGAAACTCAAGATGTCGATGAGCTACTTTTGGAAATCAATACAATACTTAGGCTTTCTATTGTAGAAAATATTTGTTTGTCTTTTAAGTCTGAGTTTACATTCTATCATTTCTGCCTAACTTTCTGTAAGAACTTCAACCAAAATATATTTTCTCAGGGTATTTAGTATTTTCTTCTTGTGCAGCACTGATTCTTTTGTCTGTGCTGCTCTTTCCTCTCCTCTGCTGTATCCGGGGGGGAAAAAGAGGAAAGAAGCAAAAAGTTTGCAATGTAGTATGGAGGGTACTATTAGACATCAGATAATTCTAATTCCCTAAATTTCCCAGCCTCTGGTGAGAATAGTTATAGCTATATGACAAGCTCTGTGATGGAAAATTTGAGTACAAGTGATACAGTAATTGGTACCAAAAGGTGGTACAGCTCTCAAAAACAATATTAATAGAAGGCTAGAATAATGATTGAATTAGGCAATGACAAAAATATTTAGTAATATGCCATTTGTTCTAATTAGGAAAGAATATTGTTTTCTCACTCAGCTGGGAGTTTTAAAAGAACAAATTAGAAAACAGAGTGGGAAAAATATAAGTTGGTTGCTATTGACTATATAGAACAAGATACCGTCTAAAAGAGATTGGTTTGGGGAAAAAAACAACAGATTCAATAACATAAATGAAAAGGCAGGCAGGAGTTTGCAGGGCTACACAAAATTACTGTTCCTCGATCCCAAATTGGTTGAAAATAGATTGACACAATCTTTGAATAAAATGATTAAAATAACTCAAGAATAAAATCAATTAAGGATGAAGAATTTACATCCTGATATTCTCATTGTAGGCAACATTAGTTTGGGAGAGACATGAACCGAGAAATCCAAGAAATAAAGCAAAATTAATCATTGCATCTCTAACAGACCATTGAATTTGGCTATTATATTTCCAAATAAACTACAAGTTGGGAAAGAAAAGTCTTTGGTGTGACTTAAAATCACCTTTGACCCCTGAAACTGGATTGCTGCTGTTGGCTCCTGGTGTTCCTCTTCCCCTTGGGCAACTCTTCTCATTTTCCTACTGGCTTCTGCCTGCCTCCCAGCTTGATTACGCACCCAAAATACTCTCTACATTTCCTTTGTAAACAAGGTTACATAATCTTATATTTTTAACTACAAATAGATTTTGACTATTTTTTAACAATATTAAAATGTACAAACTCATAAGCTCCACAACAAATATTCAAATGTCTATGTGACCTATCCACTTTGTTATATAATGCTCTCAAATTTAAGACGTCTAAAACAGAGCTCTTGTTTTTTCTCACTCCACATTTTACTACTTCAGAGATGTCCTGTAGGTCCCTAAGGACCTGTACTCTGGGTTTCCCATCTCAGGAAACAGTGCCACAACAAACCCATATTCTCAAAACAAAATGGAAAAAAAAAAGGAAAAATAAAACCTCTTCTGGGACTATAATCATAGATTCTTCTTATTCCCACAGTATAGAGAGGTCATATCATTTTTCCACATATAAACTCATGTTACTCCACCCATAGAACTTGAAATAAACTTGGTACCTTCACTTTCTTGACCTTTTATAAACCTAATCTCAGTGTATAGCCTCAGTGTTTAAATTTCCAATTTATTCAATCCCTTGCTTTTATTTCCTTTAGTCCAGCTAAACCAGTTACTCTCCCTATTTTCCTTCATCATAACATACCATTCATATTCCTTGCCTTAGTATTCATATTTTATAGCAATCCAATCTCATTCATCAAGTTTCAGGTCATATGACACCTCCTCAAAGAGGCTTCCCAGATTGCTTCATATAAGATAGCAACATTATCCCTTTGGAATTTCATCGTTCTATTAATTTCCTTCAGCATTAATTAAAACTTGAATCAGCTAATTTATTTATTCATTGTTAGTTTTTAAAGCTTGAATAATGATCTACTTGGGGCCAAGTTCTTGATTGTGTTGTTTAGTACTACGTCCCTAATGCCTTACTTTGGGAAACAAAACAAAACAAACAAACAAACAAACAAAACTCCAATACATTTTGAATGAAGGAAGAAAGATGATTATTAGATTGAATATAATTCATATTCTATACTCAATTATTATAGAATAAGCAATAATATGATGAACAAAACTATTACTCTTTTTGGCTTAAGTTTAATTATTCTATTATATTCTATTATGATATTGGATAACATTTAATTTTTTTTAAATTAAATTGTAGATTCTTTCATTATATAGAAATTTGATGACCTTTCATTGAGGACAATATCCAGAGTCCAGTAATAAATGTTTATATGTTTAGGAATCCATAAGTTCTGTTTTTAAGAGATTTTGTATATCTGACTCTCTGTAAATAGACATATAGTTTTTGTACTAGCTAATAAATATAATAATAAATCCACCTGCCAATGACATGAGTAAATATATATTCTGTCATATCAAGAGTACTCAGTACATAATATGAAGAAATCTTATATCCAAGGAGGTATAAAGTAGGGATAAGTTTCTGTCTATTTCATAGTGTTACTGCAGGAACTACATGAGTAAAAAGAGGTATATATAGCACTAGGAATTCTCACTACTCACTCATACTGGTTTAAACCCATACAGAAAAATAGCTTTTCTTAAATGTTTCATGAGATATTATGCTTGATTTTCTTTTTACAATTCTGTAAAAAATAAATGTCCATTGAAATAAGCACAGAAACTACATATCAACTTTACCTAGATTTCTACTAAAACAGTATATTACCATATTGTCTCTGATTCTTATATAATAAAAAATCAATGCAAAATAGACACTGAATAATGTAACTTTTAAAGTATATCTGAACATCAGCTATACTTGTAGAAAAACAGATCTGTATTTTATTCTTAAAACAAGTTCACTTAACGATCACTTTAAGATGAGGACAAAATGCTCTTGAATGACCTAACAAACGGCCCAATGTATAAATTCTGATTTATTTATTATTTTTTAAATATGAGCTTGGGCCTTGCTCATTCCTGTAATCGCAGGGTTTGAGAGGCGAAGGCAGGAAGATTGTTTGATGCCAGGAGTTCAAGACTAGCCTGGGCAGTGTAGTGAGACCTCATCTCCACAAAAAAATAGTAGTTAAAAAAATGAGTCAACCATGGTGGCACAATTCCTGTAGTCATAGCTACTTGGGAGGCTGAGGCAGGAGGATCCCCTAAATCCTGGAGTTAGAGGCTGCAGTGAACTATGTTTGTACCACTCCACTCACCTTGGGTAACAAAGTGACATCCTGTCTCTAAAAATAAATAAATAAATAAATAAAATAAATTTAAAGTTCATGAGTTTATAGATTCATGAAGCATGCAGTTTTTTTTCTAAATTAGATATATTGATAAAGCCAATAATATTCTCTAAATGCTAAACATTTTAATGATGAATATGAAATTTTTCTAAATGTTGCCATTAATAAGAATCATGGGGATTTTTCTTAAAAATCATTGTGGAGAGGGAAGCAAAGGAGGAGGGAAGGAAGAAGATTAAGTGTTTTTGGTAATTCAGATACAATAGATATGCAGTGGTACCCAAAAATGTGTGTTTTCTGTAAGCATGTCAGACATCTACAGAAGTTACTATATGGTAAGGAAACTTGCTTTAACTCTTATAGTAATTTATAAGACATATTTTAAAGGATCATTACAAGTTAATAAATTATAAGGACTAAAATTCATTACCTGTCTTTTGTTTTAAAATAGAATTTGTCAAATCCTTTACCTTTTAAGATGTAGACTTTAGCACATCTTAAAAATTTTTTGTTAGAAAGAAAATAGTTTAATAAAATATTTCCCCATTTGAGTTATCAAATGATATAAAATTTATTCTGAAACTATCTCTTTAGCTATTTAATACCAATTCTATTTGTTTGACAAAGATGTATATTTATTTGTTAAAATATGAAAAGTAGAATTAATAAAATTAAATATATTTTATATAACCTGCCTGTGATTGTCTAAGGAATCTATTTAACATATGAGTTAATATTTTATTCATCATTTAATGTTCCACAATAGTTTATAATTTAGCAATGATCATAAAAATGTACTACTGCTTATATATCAAGTTCCAACACAATGGTTTGTAGATTAGGAAACAGGTCTAGAAAATATGAAGTGATTTCCTTTCCAGGGATTGGATTGCAAATCTCTACATCATATTGCATATTAAAATATTATAATCTCCATATATGTATTAGTTTATATATATATATATATATAGCAGTAGTACTTCAAAATAAAATTGAACATAATGAAAAGTAAAAGAATTAAAATTAATCCCATAGGTACTGCGTTGTATAAAAAAGTTAAATAAAAAACAACTTAATTTTATAATATATATTTCAGAAGCTTTTTAAGGATCCCACCGATCATAGAAATACATCATATGGTCATAAAGATTTATAAGCTTTTAAATGAATTTCAGGGCAGATGCAGAGAACATGTAACACCTGGCATAGATGGTATGTCTAACGATAATGCAAATCCTTTATGGTACATTAACACCTTCAAAAAATGAGTAATGTCCTAAGATTAACTCCAGAGAAAGTTACAGATGAGGGTAAAAATAAAATGTAATTTTGTGAAACAGAATCAGCAATATAATTCATTTTATGTTGTTCTGTTAGATCTGTTGCCATTAATATTTTCCAATAAACTTGATTTAAGGTGTGTCTATGATGGATGATATTTATTTCTTTTAGAATCTGGGCTATTTTGCTATTTATCTGAATTTGGAATATTATGTATTCTATTCCTCATTATGTGCCTAATTAATTCACTGTATTAAAAATTCATCTTGCTTTGCTCAGATCAGGGAAGCTAAAACCTTTTAATTTCATTGTGCTCAAAATTAATTCATTTTGCTACTTTAAGAGCAAATTACTTATTCATATTACTCAAGTCAATCAGAAAAATCATACATTTTTCTCTTAATTTTTTGTGAAACTAAAATATTTTATGTAAGTTCTTTTTTCCTTTTTTGCTTCTCATAAAATATTCAAGTTTAATGACAGATAGCTTGGAATTGTTAACCAAATAATCCAGTATTTTACTTTATCTTATTTTTAATGTGTATTGTAGTATTATAGAATATAATATGAAGAATGATTTCATTTGGTTAAATTGCCAAAAATCTCCTTATAATCACTTTTTAATATAAATTGATATTTAAGTTAAAATATCAATATTCTGCCTTTTAAACATTTGTAGAAAGTTATATCCTATTTATTGCATATCTATAAATGAATTAAAATAGACAAGAAGAGATTTTGTTAAGCTTAAATAGCAATAGTTATCCATAGAAACAACTGCATGATAAAATATGAATATGGTATTAAAATTGTTATAAAAAATGCCAAAAGAAATCTTTTTCATTGACTATTTGTCTCTTGAAAGCACTTAACTTTAAAATTGGTTTCTTACAGTCTTATCACAATGACTGTTAAGCTAATTGCTGTGATAGACTTAAGGTTTTAGTAAAATCTGTTTCCTTCTCTGATTATACACTATGTAGTCTTTTGTCAGTGATTCTAGGGCCTAGAATTACTCGTTGTTTGAAGATTACAGATTGAATAATACAGAACACAAATGAAATCAACTCTTTCTGTATATAAGTTCTACCATTAGTAGAGGAACACCGAACATAGTATTTTTTTGTTAGTGTGGTATGAACTTTTTAAAAGATATTTTGTGTATTTGCCTGGTTGTTTCTGATTTCACAGTTGTCTATGATTCCCTTTATGTGAAATGTCCAAAGTAGACAAATCCTTAGAGACAAAAAGTAGGTTAATGGTTGTCAGATATCAACTTGTGAGAGAGGAGTGGGAAGCGAATATTAATGTGCATGAGGATTTTTGGGGAGGGATGAAATGTTATGAAATCAGCGATGATGCGATCATGATCACACAATCTGTGTCTATACCAAAATCATCAGGCTGCATGCGTTAGAAAAAGGTCTATATTGTGGTACATAATGATGTCACAATAAAACTAATAAAATGAATAGGCATTGGAACATCTCTATCAGTTGGTGAGGAAGAGTAGGTGACAAATGATAAATGGACATGAAAAATATAACCTAAATATAGCAGGAAATGTGTACTGTAGGGAAGTGAAATTTCGGAACTGTGCAATTTGGTAAGAATAAATCAGGAAGAAAGTTATGTTGTAATCTGAAACCAATTAGTCATGATATTTTTTTCCATGGAGGTAGGATGAGTGTATGATGTAACATAAGGCCCAAAGAATGGTTTAAAAATGCATGTTGTTGTCTCAGGTAATCTTAGGACAATATTGCAAATTCTATGTAGGTTAAAATATAAGAGAATACAGTAAAATAAACCTGTTCAATTAAGAATTATTGTCAATATGGTATTCAACTGCAGAATTTTTTTGTGATACTTGAGATTCTCAATGAAAGAGTCATGAATTTTCAGGTGTGTGTGTGTGTGTGTGTGTGTGTGTGTAAGACAGAGAGTGTATGTATGTTTTAGCATATTTTGGAGAGTGAGAAATTGAATGGTAGGTTAGGAGGAAGGAAGCTGGGGCTTTTCCTTGGGCTCACACATTACTCATCTATAGAAATGAAACATTCAGAGTAAAATATTAAATCACTGAATATGACAGAGAAAGACAAATATTTTGAGAATTCTGTAGCTAGACAAAAATGTAAGAATACAGTAAGGTTGTAAATAAGGAGAAAGATCAAGTTCACTTTCCAGTAAAATTTTTAATTCAAATTTAACTTTTTAAGTAACTTTTTAAATCTATTCTTTTATATTTGAATTTCAAGCACCTGTCCTCTCCTGCAAGCGTTTTGTATTAAATCTGATAACAAACCTGTTGGTACGCTGGTGAAACCAAATTTATTAAGTTGTTATGTCCTGCGGATATAATCTTTAGGTAAGAAATTTATTTTATGTACAGAAATTCAGTTTATTTTATTGATTAATTAAAATATATTCCTCTCTAAAAATATGTATTTATATACAAGCAGGATATAGATAAGAATCACCCCATCCTCGAAATTAAAGATAAGATTTTATAATGAGAATGAACCAAAACAATGAGAGTGGAAATAGAAGACTAAATATGTTATAGATTTTTGTTGTTGAAATTAATTTAGTTTGGCTGTTAATGTATCAGTAAGGATAGATTATAATGTGGTTTTTTAGAAAATAGAGCCCTACATATTATGGCTAAACAACAACAAAGCTTATTTCGTATTTATACCACATGACTAAGAGGGAATAGTCACAATGGAATCAAACTTGACGGAGGCCCTGTAACAATACAATAATCCACATAAGGCTGGTCAGGGAAATGTCTGACACTGAAAGTTTCCACAGGACACTGAAAACTAGTTTTTGTTCTCAGACAGTGGAAGTCACAAGGCCATGCTTATTTTCAAGAGTGTTGGGAAAGTAAAATTTTGTGTAAAGCGGGGAAAATAAGGTTAAGATCACCTTGATAATTTCTGAGGTCCAATCTTCATCTAATAATTCAGGCTGGAGATAAACTTTCTGTCTTTCTTTTTATAAGACAATTTGAGAGATGAGGAACAAGGCAAGGGTACCTACTCTTACCACTTCTATTCAACATATTATAATATTGAAAGTACTAGCCACAGCAATTAGGCAAGAAGAATAAATAAGAAGCATCCAAATCAGAATGAAAGAAGTATAATTATATATTTTTTTTGCTGATGACATGACTCACATGTGGAAAATCCTAGAGTCTACAAAAACTGTAAGAACTAATAAATGAATTAAGTAAAATTACAGAATACATAAACATACAAATATCAGTTATAATGCTATATAATAGTAATGAATCATTCCAAAACGAAATTTTAAAAAATTCCCAAATGAATGAAATAGGAATAAAATTAATCAAGGAAGTTTAAGACCTACGCAGTAAAAATTACAAAACATTGATGAAAGAAATTAAGGAAGACACAAATATATGAAAAGACATCCCACATTCATAAATTGGAAGACTTATTATTGTTAAAATATCCATATCACCCAAAGTTATCTACAGGGTCAATGCTATTTCCATCAAATTCCAATAGCATCTTTTAACAAAATTGAGAAAAATGAATGTTAAAATTCTTATGGAACCTTGAAAGACACAAAATCACCAAAACAATTTGAGGAAGAAAAACAAAACTGGAGGTGACATCCTTTCTGATTTCAAAATATATCACAAACCTATAGTAATTAAAGAAGTATGGTACTGACACAAAGACAGACATACAGACCAACAGAAAAGAATAAAGAGTCTAGAAATAAACCCACACACATATTATCAACTGATATTTGACAAGTGCACCAACAGTATCCAACAGGGAAAGGATTGTCTGTTCAACAAATGATGTTGAGAACACTGGATATCTACATGCAAAAGAAGGAAATAGGACTGTAATCTCTTTTTTTTTTTTTTTTTTTTTGAGACAGAGTCTCGCTCAGTCACCCAGGCTGGAGTGCACTGGCCCGATCTTGGCTCACTGCAAGCTCCGCCTCCCGGGTTCACGTTATTCTCCTGCCTCAGCCTCCAGAGTAGCTGGGACTACAGGTATTCAGGCAATTTTTTTTTTTGCCTCTCCTTTAAACATTGTATTAATAATATGTACTTTTTTTTTTTTTTTGAGACAGAGTCTCGCTCAGTCGCCCAGGTTGGAGTGCAGTTGTACGATCTCGGCTCACGGCAAGCTCCGCCTCCCGGGTTCACGCTATTCTCCTGCCTCAGCCTCCCGAGTAGCTGGGACTACAGGCGCCTGCCACCACCCCCGGCTAATTTTTTAGTATTTTTAGTAGAGACGAGGTTTCACCGTGTTAGCCAAGATGGTCTCGATCTGCTGACCTCGTGATCTGCCCGTCTCGGCCTCCCAAAGTGCTGGGATTACAGGCGTGAGCCACCGTGCCCAGCCCAGGACTGTTATCTTATACCATGCAGAAAAGTAAACCAAGAATGGCTTAAAGACATAAACATATGTCCTAAAACTGTAAACTCCTAGAAGAAAATGAGAAAAGCTTTTTGACATCGGTCTTGAAAATGATTCCTTGGATGTGGGACCAAAAGCACAGGCTTTGGTAAAAAACAAAACAAAACAACAACAACAAAAAAACGTTGGCCAGAGGTGGTGACTCATGACTGTAATCTTAGTAATTTGGGATACAAGGGCAGGAGGATAGCTTGAAACCAGGTGTTTGAGACAGGCCTAGGCAACATAGCAAGACCCTGTCTCTATTAAAAAATATGTGTATACCTGGGTGTGGTGGCATGTGCCTGTAGTTCTAGTTACTCTGGAGACTGAGGCAGGAGGATCACTGGAGCCCAAGAATTAGAGTCTGCAGTGAGCTATGATCATGCCATTGCACTGAAGCCTGGGTAACAGAGGAGATCCTGTTTCTAAAAAAGAAAAAGAAAAAGAAAAAAGAAAGAAAGAAAAGAAAGAAAGAGAGAAAGAAGGAAAAAGAAAGAAAAAGAGAAAGAAAGAGAAAGAAAGAAAGCAGATAAAAAGGAAAGAGAAAAAGAAAGAGAGAAAGGAAAAAGAAAGAAAGAGCAAGAAAAGAGAGAGAAAGAAGAGAGCAAGAAAGAGAAAAAAGGAAAGAGAAAGAGAAAGAGAAAGAAAAAGAAAGAGAAAGAAAAAGGAAAGAGAGAAAGAGAGAAAAAAAGAAAGAAAGAGAAAGAAAGAAAGGAAAAAAGAAAGGAAGGAAGAAAATTCCGTATGTGGCAGTGTAGACAAACTTGGAGAACATGTTAAGGGAAATAAACCACAAAACGGTAAATTCACCATATTTTCACTTATATAAGTTATTTGAAATAGTCAAGTTCATTAAAAAAAAATAAAAAGTGGTTGCTAGGAACTGAGAGGGGGAGAGGAAATGGAGAGCTGCTATCAACACATATACAGGTATAAAGTTTTAGTTATGGGAAACAAGTTCTAGGAATTTGCTGTACATTGTGCTTATAGTTAACAATACTGTAGTGTACACATAAACATTTCTTATAAGGATTGATATCAAGTTATATTAAATAGTCAAATTCATAGAAGCAGCAAATAAAAAGAGGTTGCCAAGAGCTGAGAGGGGAAATAAATGGAGAGATGCTGTCCAACAGGTGTGAAGTTTCTGTTATGCAAGATAAATTCAAAAAAATCTCTGTACACTGTGCTTATAGTTGACAATATTGTCATACACATTTAAAAATTTATTAAAACGGTAGACCTTATGTTATTTGTTCGTACCAAAATAAAAAACAAACAAACCAATTTCCAGATGTTTGAGCCTGAAAAATGTAATAATAATACATCATTTTATGTTTAAAGCTCACCATACCACCAAGAACATTTAGGGTTACAGTAAGGGTTAAGTTCTCTAAATAGGGTGTAAGAGTAATTAAAACAAGTAAACATCCTTGTAATGAAGACCCCTTTTTATTGTATCTAGGTAGTAACAACTAAACATACATCTAAATATATCTAAGTGGGCTGGGCACAGTGGCTCATGCCTGTAATCCTGGCACTTTGGGAGGCCAAGGTGGGCAATCACTTCAAGTCAGGAGTTCGGCATGAGCATGGCCAACATGGTGAAACCCTGTCGCTATTAAAAATACAAAAATTAGCTGGGTATGTTGGCTCATACCTGTGGTCCCAGCTACTTGGGAGGCTGAGGCACAAGAATCTATCACTCCACTGCACTCCAATCTGTGTGAAGGAGGGAGACTGTCTCAACAACAACAACAACAAAATATATGTATATATACACACATCACATATGCATACATATACACACACATATGTACATATATATACACACACAAATATATACACACATATATACATATACATTTCAATTCTTTTAATTGCTATAAGAGCAAATTGCTACCAAAAAAATCTGGATATATTTTAAAAATCTCTTTAGTCTTTGGAATATTAATTGAGATAAGTGATTAGCAAAAAGGTGCTTCACAAGTGCTTATTAAATGAAAGCTAGAATTATAAACAAAACCATTGAATCAATTTAACCCTTGCTTTATATAAGTAATTGCAAAGTTTGGTTTTTCAGTGTATTAATTTTCTGTGGTTGTTATAACAAATTATCATAAATGTAGTGGCTTAAAATAAAACTGTAGTACCTTCTAGTTAAGAAGGTCAGAAGACCTAAAATCAAGGTGTTGGTTGTATTCCTTCTAGAGGTTCTAAGGGATAATTTGTTTTCCTGTCCTTTCCAACTTTGATGGACCACTTGCATTTCTTGGCAAGTGGTCCCTTTTGTTTTCTTCCCTTCTTTCTTTTTTCACTTTCTTTCTTCCTTTCTTTCTTCCCTACTAAGGGACAACTTACATTTCTAGGCAAGTGGCCCCTTCCTTCATTTCCAAGGTCAGCAATGTAGCATCTTCCGATTTCTTTCACCTCTGCTTCCATCAGCAGATCTACTACTGTTTTACAGACTCTCTTATCTCTCTCTTATTAGGACCCTTGTGATTACATTGGGCCCAATGAGATAATCAAGAACATTGAGTTCCTTATCTTAATTACATCAACTAAAGAGATTTTGCCATCTAAGATAACATATTTGCAGACACCAAGAATTAAGATGTGGTCATTTTTGGAGGGGGCAGAGGTATTTTTCTATCTACCATATTTGGCAAGACATATTTTTGAATAGGATTTTAATTTGAGAAGCAAACATGCTTTGTAGCATACTTAAAAATACTGCCTTTCCTATGTTTTCTATTTTTTTACGATTTAAAGGATGCCCTTTAAAAACAGTACTTAAATGTTATTCTTTTAAATAAGTAACATAGCTAGGCATGGTGGCTACATCTGTAATCACAGAATTTTGGAAGGCCAAAGTGGGCAGATTGCTTAAGTCCAGGTGTTTGAGACCAGCTTGGGCAATGTAGTGAAACTCTGTCTCTACAAAAAAAAAAAAAAAAAAATTAGCCAGATGTGGTGGCATGTGCCTGTAATCCCAGCTACTGAGGTGGCTGAGGTGGGAGGATCGCTTGAGCCCAGGAGGTTGAATAGAAGTGGAGAGAGTGGACATTCTTGCCTTGCTCTTGATCTTGGGGGAAAAGTTTTCAGTCTTTGAGCATTAAGTATTATGTTGGCTGTGGATTTTATATTTGGTATTTGTTTTGTAGCATAGTTTACTTTTCTTCCTATTTTGTTGAAGACAACTTTCCAACAAAAATTCCTAGTTTTTAAATTAAAATATATTGAATTTGTCAAATGCATATTCTGCATAAATATACATGATTATGTTTTTCACTTAATTTTATTATTACGAAGTATTCCATCAATTGATTTCCACATTTTAAAAAATACTTGCATTTAAAAAATAAATCCCACTTGGTCATAATGTATAATCCTTTTAAGATTCCGTAAATTTCGTTTCCTAGTATATTTTTTGAGGATTTTTGCATTAATGTTTATAGGAGATATTGGTCTATAAGTTTGTTGTAGTGTCTTTTTCTAGCTTGGATTTCAGGGCAATGCTGGTCTCATACAATGAATTAGAGAGAGGTCTTTTCCTGCTCTTCATTTTTTTTTTTTTTCTTTTGGAAAACTTTGAGAAATATTGGCATTTACTCTTTTGATGTTTGGTAAAATTCAACAATGAAGCCATCTGGCTGCAGGCTTTTCTTCACTTGTAGGTTTTTAATTATGAATTCAATATTCTTACTAGTTATATGCTTCTTCAGAGTCTCTATTTCTTCATGATGCAGTCTTGGTAGATTGTCTGTTTCTAGTAATGTCATTTCTTCTAGATTGTTAATTTGTCGATATGCAATTTTTATAGTCCTTTTCTATAATCCTTTTTAGTGGTATGTGTTACTTCAGGATATTCAGTCTACAAATGAGCAACTAAGATTATAAGAATTAGATTGTTGTCTTTTTTCATTATGTTGCTCAGGATGCTAAGGGAAGAATTATCCTGGTACCAGGAATTGCCTAGCACAATAAAAAGTGATGATAAAATTGCAATCTTGGATAAAATAAAAGTGTATCCCTACATAAAGTCAATCTGACATTTTTATAGACTGTTTTAGTTTCAGAACAAAACAGGCACATCCAAAAATAGATATGTTCTTAGCATACAACACTTAGAAGACAGTACTCATCATAAAATTAAATATAAAAACAAAGGTGAAAAGAAACATACAAGCTGGTAATGGCCCTTGATTTAAATACTTACTATTTTTCCCTCTTCTGTAGGAGGGTGTAGGGATAAGGATAACTTATTACCAACATATTAATTTTTCTTACACTTGTTTGTGTTTGAATTTTTAAAAAATGTACAGTTATTCTCAATTGGAATTTTTTCTCTGACTACAAAGTTTACTAGAATTTTCATTTGTGATTTTTAAAAAATGTATCAATCTGAGTCTTTAATTACAAGTACTAGAGAAGAGTTTCAATGCATCAGGAAGATTAGCTGAAGAAAGAGGATGGGCAGTAAATGAGTATTGTATTTTCCTGTGAAAGTCCTTTTTTCTTATTTTTTTAACAAAAACAAACAAGAAAAATAAGCAAAAATATAACTGCAAATGGTTGCTACTATTACTCTCTTCTTTAAAAATTTTAATTGAACCATAAATCCTTTTCTTTTAGTTTTCCAAACCGTCTTAGTTTAGAAAACTAAAAATCATTTAGTTAAGTTTAGAAAACTATTTACTTAACCATCCAGTGAGATTAAAGTCATATTGCCAATTGCTGAATCTAGTAGTTGTTTTTCTAAGATATGTCACTTTGTCTCTAATAGCATAAGGATAAAGAGTACCACATCTACAGATTAAGTATTCCAATGAAATAGACAATTAATAACTGAAGTAAATACTCTGAATAATGCTTGAAAACAAACTGCTAACAAATGACCTGTATTGACCATTAATATATGTTCTCTGCAATTCATTCTTTTTATCTTTGCCTTGTTATCTGAATTGATTATAATTAATGCTAATGAAACCAAGGTGATGCAATCAATTTCTCTACACGCTAAATGAATCACTTTAATACTCCAAGTGATAATACTAGAAAGAAAACTCACTAAATTTTGGAGCATACATCAGGGAATATTGGCATAAAATTATTATGAAATTGTAATGTGTGAATACAAATATGAACCTAATAGTAGTAGTAGTAGCAGCAGTGGTGGTGGTGGTAGTAGTGGTGATGATACTAGTATTAAGTTAAAAATGCATGGAGACCACAAGGGAGGCTATGGATTGATGCAGCTAGATGGTTATTAGTTTAGAAAACAACACCAAACTATATCCCATCAGGCATTATGCAAAGTGAAAAATTATATGGGGCCAAAAAGTAGTTTAAAACATAATTATGTGAATTTCTGAAATTTGTTTTCCAGTTAGGAAGATGTAACTATGGAAGAGAAAATATTTGGAGAATCCTCAGAAACTTAGTCCTGCTACACAGAAAGTAAATATAAAATAAATTAAGTCTGACATAGAATAAGGTTTGGAGTATCTTTTCACAGAAAATGAGAAGTCCGAATATTCTTAAAGTTTTGGTTTATGAATAATGTCTAAAGCATAATTTTAAAATGTAAGAATTTGTTTTGTGTGAATATACATTTTGGCTATGCTCAAAAATAAGTTAACAAGTATATGCCTATATATGTTTCCAACAGTTACCATGTTACACACAGCACTAATGAACAACAGGAAAAAATTAAATTTAATTTTTTTCTTACAAAAATATTGGGAAGTTAGTAATTCCCTAAAATTATTGTGTAGCATGTGTCATCACTATTTTTAACATCTTTTTACTTTTAAAAATTTAAATTTTTCAATAAATGCAAAATAAATCTAACCATCAATTCTTCATTTGTAAATAGTAAACAATATTCATTTTATATTTAATATACTGACCCTAATTTACATATTCATATAAATGTATGTGCACTGTATTTCCAGCTATGCCACACAATAACCTCACAAATACTTAATGGTTTTTATTCAGAAGGTACATAGTTCCCCATTGCTGCATAAACAGTTCATAAAACCAGCAGAATCTGACTGTGCAAGTGCATTTTAAAATCTATCTGCTAGTAAATTTTAATTATGTAACCAAGTGATATTATCCTGCTTATATTTTGCCCATAGATTTTAAAGGCAATTTTGTGACTAGCCTTAGATTCTTTTATAATATAGGTTATATAAAATAAAATATAAAATATCTTTGTGTTATTGTAGAAGTATGCTATGATTCTTGGACCCTTATTAGAAATAATTAATAGAAGCATATTGCTAGAGTAATATATATGGTAATTATTTCTCTCTCTAACATGAAATGTATACTGACATCATACTGTGAAAAGAGAGAGAATAAGAGAAAAATCCCACCTGGCACTCTTATAAAAAATCATCCTACGTAATGATTGTGATTGGACATGATTACATGATCGATGCTTTCAGTATTTTCTTTTCAGCTTGTTTACCATTTAGCAGTCAATTGGGTTATTTTGTATGAGAGATCTATTTCCTGATGCAGAGTCCAAATCACGTCAACAGTCCACTGAGTGAAGAGAAACTATGTGATGTAACAATAGAACATTTTTCTATATATATTTATCAAACTTAGCAATAAGGGTAAAACTTACAATTCTTCAACAGTAGTGAATTCTGCCTAAATAATGACAAATTGCAATAGTCTGGGTAGTGAATGAGGCCATTACAGCTGACAAGAAAGTGACAGTAGTGCTAGAGAAGCAATATTTCTAGAGAATAACAAAATTAAGTGGAATCAACTATCATAAAATGAGGCGCACTGAAAGAATTCAGAGAAGAATACAACTTGTGTTAGTGGTAACAGTTTCTGGCAATATCTACTTGATAATGGATTTTATTACACAACTTCTAATAGAATGTCCTGCTGAATGCAGTTAATAGCCATTTAAGCTGAAAGATAATAATTCTATATCATCATGCTTTGTATTCGATACAAGGGAGAAAAATAATAGCTTGAAACATTGTATTTTCAATGAGTAAATAGACAGTAAGACAATCGTTAGGTACCTGCTTTTAGATCCCTTGCCCGACACATCATCTGCTATTTATATCACTTCTCCATTTGCATGCAAACATTGAAAGCTACTGATTTTGTTTGTAATAATGGAAATGCAATATTGTAAGCTTTATCGTGTCATTGTGTACATTTTATGACAAATAAATAACAACACTAGCAGACATTTGAAGACAACTAATAATCTTTATCAACAGCTGAAAATTAAAAGTAAATGACTTTACATTATTTTACTTATTTTATACTTTGACTCACTACATTTAATTTGTTTATTTTTCAGATCTATATATCAAAATCTTAGTTCAAATCCACACTTGGAAGATAACAGTTCCCAAAGTTTGTGATTCTCAAAATTGGCTGCCCAGTAGAATCACCATGGGAAGTGTCGGGTTAAGGAGAAATCAAAATGTTTTGTCAAGCTCTACAGCCTTTGATCTTTTCAATTTTTGAGTTTCTTAGGTGAAATAATATATTGTCAAATGGTCGAGATGTAGTAATTAGAAGATGGTTTTCACCTCATAGTGGTATAAAACCATAGGATAGTGGGTGTCCTGTATGGTGAAACATGAATAGGGAAATACATATATATATATATATATGTGTATATATATATATATAAATGTATATATGAGAATTGACTTTAGTGATACAAATACTTGTATTCTTAATACAAACAACAGTGTTAAGAGTAGTAGTCTCTTAATGCTGCCGCTAATAACTCAGCATCCAAATGAGGGCAACTGCTTAAACCTAATGTAACTGGAATTGTATGGAGTAAACAAATCACCATATAGATTATGGGCAGAGATATAGATATGGATATATTAAAGTTGTCTGTTATTATAACATTTTAATATATTCCAAATGGAAAGATCACTAAGTTTTCAATTAGGATTGGAAGTCTATTTCTATTTACTAAATCACTTGTTATGTCCTATATGATAAAATCTAAGTTTCACTGTATAAAATCACTAAAAGTTTTTAATAGCCTGGTTCCAAACTGCTTTTCTAAACATGTCTGGCTATGTATAGTTATCCAAAATACTATGAACTTGCACATATCTGTTAGTAATAATTTCTCTGCTGTTCCCTCCCCATCTCAACTTAGAAATATAACGTTCATTTCTAAGCACAAATATTATTTCTGCAAATTGTTCTAGTTCAAGGCAGAAGTAACCATGGCCCTTCTAAATCTATACCCCCCATCATGGTCTTTGCTTAAGTGGGTTTCATGCTTGCCAGTGTTGTGAAATGTTCAAGCCCAGAACCTTAGCTTAAAATCCTGACTTAAAATCCTGACTTAACAACTTTTTAGATGTTTGATTTTGGACAAGTTACTTCAACTAGATAAATTTTACTTTTCTCATTCTAAATGAAGAGTTTGTACTTCATAAAGACGTTGCAAAAAATAAATATGGTGAATCCCATCAAATGCACATTACATTGTGCATTATCAGCAAATTATATCAATTAATTATTTTTTAAAGAATTTTATGGCAAAGTCAACCTTTTGAGACATCACTATATAATCTAGTAGATATAAAATTATATATATAATGTATGAATATAGTTTAAAACTTTTTTGAACCCATATTTTCAATTTGTTTCACTTGTTTGAAGAAAATAATTTCCATAGTTTTAGCATCTCTTTCAATCACCAAGTATGAGGTTTTCCAAGATTGGGAGACTTTTTTTACAAGTTCAGTTCACTATATTTATTATCTTTAATTTGTCCAAAGACAAAAAAGAAAATTTCTGCTGCCCTTTCCAAGTTCAACAACATCAGTAAACTAAAGCAACTCCTGCACTAATGGACCAAATTCAAATTCCCTATTTTACTGACTGCTTAATTCCTACAAAATTAAGCCACCTGCTTATTTAGTACAATATTCCATTAACTCATTTTGATTATACTGCAGACTGTAAGTGCCAATGTAAATAGGGAGTAGGCATTTCTCCAAAGTATTTTCTAGCAGAATATTCTGTGCTCTATGGACACTTTCAACCAACCTATGATTCGATAGTTATTCAGTAGTAGGCAGCAAAAATGGTAGCATAAAATAAAATCACTAAAAGTGGGGAAAAGCAACAAGCAAAAGTCAGTCAGCAATAATAAAAAAATTTGCATGAAATGGGGAAATTTAACATGTAGAATGTTACCTCAATTTACTCCCTAAAGACTAAAATCAATACGTCATATAATGATGTTCATGTGTAGTGAGTTGCATCCTCTTTGATCAACTTGTTTATAACAATACACTTCAGAGGCTACAAAAACTATAGACATATACTCAAATGTTTAACAAATAATAATCCTGAATTTTCATGACCTAAATTCATCAATATACTGCCAAATTATTTAATTTTTTTTGCTTTTTAGAAAACATGCTTTCATGTATGTAATGTCTTTTATTTTTTTAAATTGACAAATTAGAATTGTATATATTTATGGTGTACAACATGTTTGAAAATATACTTATTATTCAATGATTAACTCAAGCTAATTAACATATGTACTACCACACGTAGTTATCATTTAATGTGAAGAAAATACTTAAAATCTACTCTCTTCATTTTCACGTATACAATATATTATTATTAACTATGGTCACCATATTGTACAAGAGATCTCTTGAACTTAACTGAACTTTTGTATCTTTTCACCAACATCTTCCCAATCACTACCTCCCCTGCCACCCACTCCCCAGAACATACCCCCTGGTTGTCTTATATTTCAGGGATTTGCAGGAACCATCTACATTATATTCATCCAGATTTTCCCCCGACTACCTAAATTATCTTTTATTAAATTGTTTTTGAAATGACAGACAAAATTGTGTGTATCTACCGTGTATAAAATGATGCTTTGAAGTACATATGCATTGTGGAATGGCTAAAGCTTGCTAATTAATATACACATTAATTCACACAGTTAGTTTAGTGGTGAGAACACTTTCATTCACTCAGCATTTTTAAGAATGCAATATATTATTAACAATAATCACCACATTTTACAATAGATATCTTAACCTTACTCCTCCTATCAAATCAAAATTTTGTATTTTTTAATCAGCATCTCCCCAACCCTGCCCCCCAGCCCTGGTGACATGCTTTTATCATTTTTAATTGACACATAAAAATTGTACATATTTATGGGGTACAGTTTAATATTTTGATACATGTATACAATATACAATTATCAAATCAGGGTAATTGACATATCTATCACTTCAGACATTTATCTTTTTTTTGTATTGAGAAATTTGAGAATCCCCTCTTCTAGCTATTTGAAAATATTCAACATATTGTTTTTAATTATGGTGCTATAGAACATGAGAATGTATTCCTCCTATATAGCTGTAATTTTGTATATGTTACTCTCTGGCTATCCACTCTCTCACCTGTGTCACCTCTAATAACCACTCTTCTACTTCCTACTTCTTTGAGCTTGATAGTGGCAGGAGGCAGACAAATCCTAGGAAGACAGGGCAGGTCGCCAGTGAAACCCAGCCTTTAAGCCGAAGACAGTTTAAAGCACAGCTACAAGTTCTGGATAAATCCATGGACCAGATTGAGAACCTCTCTTACTGTTTGGTGTGCTTTTCTCTGTTTGATCCCCACTCTTCACCTATTTTACATATACCTACCATTCCTAATTGGTTTTTTTACACTATTGTGCCCACCTTTCAGTGGTGCTTTTGCTTTAGCCTCTTTTGCACACTCACAAACCAGTCAGCATGCACTTCCTCATTCTGAGCCCATAAAAGCCCCAGACCCAGACACACTGAGAAAAAGACCACCTGACTTAGGTGGGGGACCACCCTCGAGTCCCTTCTCTGTTGAGAGCTGTTTTCTCACTCAATAAAACTCTTCTCCCTCCTCACCCTCTGGTTGTCAGTGTAATGTCATTCTTCTTGGATGCAGAACAAGAACTCAGGACTCTGCCAAATGTGGGTATGAATAAGACAGTAACACTGTAGGTCTCCACCCCACCAACCCCTGTCAGCACTTAGCAGTTGCCCCATGTGATGGGAAGCAGCAGTGAGGTCAGACCAGCCCCAGAGCCACGGGCCAGAGGGTGGCAACAGGACTGACAAAGTTGTTAACATGCCCCCATTCATTGAGCTGCAGATGGAGGAGCTAAAAGAGCTGTTAGCATGCTGTAACACCCTTTCTGCGGCTTTGGGCTCATGGGTATTCCTGTTTGGGAAACACCATGTTCCCCTTATCTGGACACCGAAGTCCACCACAGGGTTCAATTGTGACATGCTGGACATGCTGTCTAGCCACAAGCTCCTCACAGAGCCCACTCTTGTTCCAGAACTTAGAGCAGCCAGCCTGACCCTGCACTCACTTGCTCACACACCCCTTCCCACTAGGGACTGAGTGCATAGTCACAGTGGTCACGGGGATCCACACCAGGGCACAAGCCAGGCACAGCCTGGCAGGCTGAGTGGACCAGTGCCTTCTGTGACAAGCCCAGGCCCGAGTGAGGCCCAGGCAGGGGCTTCACCAGCTGCAAAGGTCTCAGACCGGCAAAGTGTCACTGAAAAAAATTCTGCTTCAAGATAAACTTTTTTTAGATTCCACATATGAATACCATCCTGTGATATTTGTCTTTCTATGCCTGGCTTTCTTCATCTAACATAATATTCTCCAGGTTCATCCTTGTTACAAATGACAGGATACACTATCTTTGACTGTTTAAAAGTATTTATTATCAACAACGTGATCAGTGATCATAGGCACTCATTTGCATTCCAAAACTATTGACAAATTTGATTGAAACAATAATAATTCACACTTATCTATAAGGCAGAAAACAAAATGCACCCCTCCTTCCAATATGAAACATATCAACTTTTATAAACTATAATGGTTTCTTCAGAAAGTCACTCATAGACTATACATTCAAAGCTATAGTTTATAGTTTGCAGATATAAATTATAATCTATAGAGATGATAATAATTTATAAAACCTAAAGATCTATTTTCCAGGTTTGCTTTAAATACATAAAATCAGCATTGTTTATTAAATTGCAGACCTGAATTTCTAAATCAAATATTTTGCATAAGGATCAAGAATATTTGTAGCAGAACTAATGTAGAAATAAGTATCATTTAACCTATCAAACTATTGAGTTGACCTTTTGGACAAAACAGATTAAATATAATATGAATTTTATGAATAATACCCTGTAATTGTGGAAAAATAACTTGTACTTGATATAATCTCCTATTAAATCTCCTAACTCCTAGATTAAGTGTTATTAGAAAGCATTCTTGAAAATGGATTAGTCATAAATATTATAAACTGAGGTTGTGCCATTGCCCCTTTTTATCATTTAAATTCTGATAATTTGGCAAAGTTGGATACATGTTCTGTTGCCATAAGAAGCAGTAAAGCAGGCATCTTTTATACTCCATGATCTTTCAGTCATATTCTAAGAATGTTGTGAATATGCAAAAAATTGGTGTCATTACTGACTGAAAGTATAACTCACTATCAAGTATGTTAAAAACATGGTTTGGTAGACATTTCATTTACAATAATTTGTAAACAATATAATATTTTATTTGATATTGATAATATCAAACAAACATACTTTGTATCTAATGATGGAATTTATATGTCTCAGCTTCCTCTCATTAACTGTAGAATTATACTGACTTTCCTCACACATTTTGAATCACAGTGATCAGTTTCATTACACTTTGCCTCCTTCCTTCATTTACTTTCCCCCTTCTAGAATGTACATCTTTCAATGTCTAACTTAATTATAAGTACCTTCTTTAGTCTGTTTTGTTATAAATATTGTCTATTATAAACTCATTCATTTTTATTTCTTATTAGTGGTAAAATTAAGATAACATAAAATTCACCATTTGAATCACTTATAAATGTAGTATTCAGTAGCCATAAGTGCATTCATGATTCAGTGTAACCATTGCCACTATTATTCTTCAAGATTTAAAAAATTACCCCAAATAAAAACTCTATACCCTGTAAGCAATAACTCCACATTCTTCTCTCCCCTCATACCTAGCAAACTCTGTATTCTACTTTCTGTGTTGATGAATTTTACTAGTCTAGATACCTTATACAAGTGGAATCATATGCTATTTGTCTGTTTGTGACTGATATTTCACTTAGCGTAATGTCCTTAAGGTTTATCCATCCTCTAGGTAGCATGTCTCAGAATTCCTTTTATTTTTAAGACTGAATAATATTTCATTATGTGTGTATACCACATTTTCATTATCCGTTCACTCACCAATGAATTTTTGGGTTACTTTCACCTTTTGGCTATTGTGAATCATGTTGCTAAGAATACAGCTGTAAAAATATCTGTGTGAGTCTCTTTTTTCTGTTCTTTTGGGTATATACATAGAAGTGAAATTGGCAAATTGCAAGGGAATTATAATTCTATTCTTAATTTTTTGAAGAACTACCATAATGTGTTTCATAGAGGCCGCACTATTTTAGATTCCTACTAACAGTGCAGGAGGGTTCCAGTTTTCCATACCCTTCACTAGTTATTTTTCTTTCTTTTTATTTTAAATAATAGCCACCCTAACACATATAACTTGGTATCTCATTGTGCTTTTGACTTCCATGGCTCTAATGGCTAATGATGTTGGGCATTTTTTAATGTACTTACTGGCCATTTTTATATCTTCTTTGGATAAATGTCTATTCAAAGGTTTTGTCCATTTTTTTTTTTTTCTAAGATGGTCTCATTCTGTCACCCAGGCTGGAGTGCAGTGGCTTAATCTTGGCTCACTTCAGACTCAGCTTCCTAGGCTCAGATGATTCTCCCATCTCAGCCCCCTGAGTAGCGGGGACTATAGGCATGTGCCACCGTGCCCAGCTAATTTATATATATTTTTTGTAGAGACAGAGTTTCACCATGTTGCCCAAGCTTGTCTCCCTCTCTTGGGCTCAAGTGATCCTCCCATCTGGACTTCTCAAAATGATGAGATTACATGCGTGAGCCACCACAGCTGGCTGAAGCCAGCATTTGCCCATTTTTAAAGTGAATTTCTGTTGTTGTCCTTGTTGAGTTGTGGAAGTTCTTTGCATGTTCTGGAATTTAATTTATTCTCCAGAATTTGATTTGTAAATATTTTTCACTTTTTACAGGTTGCGTTTTCATTCTTTAGATAGTATCCTTCATTTATAAAAGGTTTCAGAAAATGACACAAAAAGCACATGCAATAAAAGAAAACAATACTTCCATTGGAATTTATTTGTTCCCTTTTTGCTACTAATCTATTATCTGCTTTCCAACCATTTGATTTTATATTTAAATGTAGCAATGCATGACTTTTTCATACATTAATGTATCAGTACTGTCAACAAATAGTGATTACTACATGTCAGCATTAATAGATAATTATTTGCTACTCAGGTATTTAATTCAACTTACATACACTTTTCATAGTCTGCTTTTGTTCATTATGGTGGGTCATAAAAATAAACTCAACATATAACACACACACACATATGAATACACACACATGTCAAAAGGAAAATAAAACTTGGCCTACACATGTGATAATTATATAAAGCACAATGGAAAATAGGCCTCATTTGTCCTGAATTATCATGATGAATAAGCTACAGACAAATTGTGAAGTATATGGATTGCTTTTCAAGTTGTCTTATAAAAGACAAAATTTGGGGGTTTAACACAGTTACAGTTATTAGCACTTTATTCGCAGCTTGTATATATATAAATATAAAAGTACATGAACTGATTTGTAGGACCCTTCTATGAGAAATTTCTTGGTGTGTATGTACCAGGAAAAAGACCAGCTCACCATGTCCTCTCTTGCTGCAGCCTCTTTCACTGTTTATTCTTCAGTTCCACCAAGTGGTTAAACTTGAATGCTTATGTGTGTTAGGTGCTAGTAGGTAATAGGAATGTAGTCAATGGAAACTAGCCAGTTTTCCTTACAAATCACATAAATAAATATAAAATTACAATTAGCGTAAAGGCTATAAGCATGAAGTGTTAATGCATAGTACCAAGGAATGTATAAAAGGGAGAATAGATCATGTCAAGTATTAAGGGACACCTATTTTTTTGTCTCAACCATCTACTGAAGATTAGGTAGTAAGAAATTGGGTTAATTTTACTCTATAAAAATAATATTATAGGTTCCAGATTATAATTGTGCTAAAAAATTAATGTTGAATTAAACTAAGTGTGTTTTGCAGTCTTTCATTCAGTTAATAAGAATTAGAAAACTAAGCAGATTGCTGAATCTAGAAAGAACTTCTTGAAAATAATTTGCTTCTTTTTTTACCACTCTTCTTCTTTTTTTTTTTTTTTTTAAATAGAGTCTCACTCTGTTGCCCAGGCTGGAGTGCAGCAGTGAGATCTCGGCTCACTGCAACCTCCACCTCCTGGGTTCAAGCGATTCCCCTGCCTCAGCCTTCTGAGTAGCTGGGACTACAGACACATGCCACTACGCCCGGCTATTTTTTTTTTTTTGTATTTTTAGTAGAGGTGGGGTTTCACCGTGTTAGCCAGGATGGTCTCGATCTCCTGACCTCATGATCCACCCTCCTTGGCCTCTCAAAGTGCTGGGATTACAGGCATGAGCCGCGGCGTCTGGCACTTCATTCTTATTTTAAGAAATACCTCATGATATTCTGTTAGATCCTTCTGCTATATGTTTTCTAAAACAAATTCTCTCAATTTGTATTTTATATTATATACATAGCAAAATGAAGCAAATAAAAATCATTTGAATGTTTTAGGTATAGCAATTTGAAATTATTTTTCAGATTCATTGACTCCTGGGGATCCTTAGAATTTAGGGTATTCCAAGGATCCTTAAGAATCTAATAGGAAAAGTAAGGTCATTTATTCAGTAGACATGTTCTGAGTGTCTCCTATGATCTAAGCCAGGTGCTAGGTGCTAGGTCCTACAGACACAGAGATCAATTTTTACCCAGTTAACAGGAAAACACCAAACAAACAAAATCCCTTTTCTTAATTTAAACTACTTGATAGAAAACATTACTAAATTATTTTTTTTCCTTTTTTTCTTTTCTGTAAAGCTTTGCTTGATATAATCACAGGACTCTTCTTTTTATAACCATTTTATTTATTTAATTCCAATTCTGGATCAAGCAGTGTGTTATATGCTATATGATAACAAATAAGATAGCCAGGATCTCTGCCATTACAGAACATATAAAGTCTGGGGCCAGGCTGGGCATGGTGGCTCATACCTGTAATCCAAACACTTTGGGAGGCTGAGCTGGGTCTATTACTTGAGGTCAGGAGTTCAAGACCAACCTAGCCAATGTGGTGAAACCCCATCTCTACTAAAAATACAAAAATTCACCAGGCGTCATGGCACATGCCTGCAATCCCAGCTACTTGGGAGGCTGAGGCAGGAGAATCGCTAGAACCCAGGAGGTGGAGGTTCCAGTGAGCCAAGATTGCACCACTGCACTCCAACCTGGGTGACAGAGGGAAACTCTGTCTTAAAAAAAAAAAAGAAAAAAAAAGTATGAGGCCAATAAAGAAGGCTATGTTGAAAAATTATTAAACTGAATTATTGTCAAAATGATTTTTTAATATTTAGGCATCCTCGTCTTTAAAAAGATTCTCCTTAACTAGAGTATTCAGGCTCATAAGCATTAATTTATCAATCAAGCCAACTATCCAAGAGTTAATTCGGTGTTTATTCCTCAGAAATATTTGCTAAGCATGTCTGCCATAAGGAGAAATCTTTCATCTTTCTGAATGCCAAGTATTGGTATTTAATACAGATGCTTACATTTTAACTTCTATCTAACAAAATTCACAGACTTTTCTACGAAAATTTTTTACTAGCTACTAACAATGTTTCTATTCTCTACTCCAGTGAGAATTAAATATGCATGTACCTAGTTTATTTTGGAAATTTTAATTTAATCATGTATTTATTATAATTAGAAAAATAAGTTACAGTATGTTGGGTATTGCAAAATAGGTAGAAGAGAGAATTACGAATGTTCTCACCAAAAAGAAATAATGAATATTTGAAGTGATAAATATGTTAATTATTCTAACTTAATCATTACATATTGTAAACATGTATGAAAGGACTACACTGTACCCAATAAATATATACAATTACTATGTCAATTTAAAATAAAATAAAAAAGAATACTGTTAACAGTGGAGGGTATCCAGGTTCTTGGCATCTTGAACAAAGAATTGGACAAAACGCACAAACAAAGCAAGGAAGGAATGAAGGAATTTATTAAAAATGAAAGTACACTCTACAGTGTGGGAGCGGGCCTGAGCATAGGGGCTCAAAAGGTCCTGTTACAGAGTTTTTGTGAGTTTAAATACCCTCTACTTGGGGTATGCCCTGTGTAAAAGGAGAGGATGAAGTAAAGTTAGTAAGTCATTTACTTGGCCTACACTCCATGGAGTGGATATTTCCTGTCATAGCTCAAGAGTGAACTGGCCTTATGTTCTCTGCCTCCAAACCCTATTTTCCTGCCTCAGTACCACATTTGAGTTTTTAAAAACAACTATTTTATATGTGCCCATTATTTAACTGCCAACCACTATACTCTTTGAATGCCTACTATATCTGGGTAGAATATAACTAGGAACTGCTTCAGGTTGCATTGATGCCTTACAGATTTTGTTCTCTGCCTGACAAGCCTCCTTCTAAAAACTTGAAATCATAAATGTTTACCTTAATTCATAATTGAAAAAAATCTATAATCTAAATATAAAATATATAATTCAAAATAGTGTGTCTGTATTTCTGATTAATAAAAATAAATTCCTTTTGGAGATATCTTTTGGCTATTTTATGGAACAATTAACTTTATACAATTGGTTTCTGCCAAGATAGACTTTAGTACAGCCCCAAAATACACATTATCTTCATAAGAACTTTTTTTTTTACATTAGTGAGAATTTCAGTTAAAATCATATTTTAGCATGTAGGTAATGACAATGAATTTATTGATGGTAACTTTACAATTAAGATCTCAGGTTTCCCCAGATCCTACACATTTGGTTCAATTTTAGTATGATTTTAAAGATTATATTACTATATTTTTAAATTGTTTAATTGACAATCAATCTTGAGTCCACACACCTTTCCCTCTCACTTTCTATTTATCACTCTAAATAAAAGAGTGACACATAAGTTTTTGTACTTTTTTATTCTTTTCAATTCTAATTAATATAGATGGGGTAGTCTTTAATTTTAATAAAATTCAACCTATCAAATTTTTCTTTTATGGATTGTGCTTTTGATGTTGTACCTAAAAATTCACTGGCAAATTCTAGGTCACGTAGTTTTTCTCCTATGTTATGTTCTAGGAATTTTATTATTTTATACTTTACATTTAATTCTAAGATTCTGCCTTGATTTAATCTTCGTGAAAGGTGTAATGATCGACTAAAAGTTTTTTTTTTAACATGAAAATGTCCAATTATTCCAGCACCATTTGTCAAAAAGACTGCTTTAGCTAATTATAATTTTGTGGGTCTGTATCTTTTCCATTGATCAGCTGAAATATTCTTTCACCAATTCCATGTTGACTTGATTGTGGTAGCTTTGTAGTAAGTGACAGTCCTCTGACTTTGTTCTTCTGTAATACATTGGCTTTTATGGGTCTTTTACCTTTTCATATAAACTTTAAAATTAGTTTGTCAATAACCACAAAATAACTTCCTGGGGTTTTGATTAAGATTTTACTGAATCTGTAGATCAAAGTGGAAAGAATTAAACTGCCTAATAATATTGAGTCATCCTAACCATGAAAATGGCTCTCCTTCATTATAGTTTTGTAAGTTTTCTTCATACAAATTCTGTACATATTTTGTTAGATTTATTCCTAAGCATTTATTTTATTTTGGTGCAAATTTATATGGTTTTATAATTTTAATTTCAAATTCCAATTGTTCATTGCTGGTATATAGAAAAATGATTGTCTTTTGATATTGTATCCTGTAAACTTACTATAGTAACTTATTAATTCAAAACTTCATTATTGATTCATTGAGATGTGCCTTTTTAGATATTTCAAAAATATTTTAAAGAGTTATGAGATTATAAATTATCTTCTGTAAGCATTTTTTTTGTTTTAATTAAGCTTGTTCATTACCCTCATTCAAACTTTTAGCATAGTTTTTTGAGTAGTCTCTATTACAACTATAGCTACCAAAAATAGCATATGTGAAATTCAATTACAAGCAAGTGAAGGCAATATATTTTCCACTAGTCTAGAGTAATTATTAAAATAAGGAAATCTTTGTCTTTGATTTATTAATCTTTGCTGTTTGAACGATTTGATGTTTCCTTTAACAAAATTCTGGACTTTAAAATTTGCTGAAAACACAACTTAGTAATTACAACAAAACTTGAGATGCTTTATTTTCATTGGGAGTAAACAAGTTGCTAATATAACATATTCTATGTCAATATCAGCTTTGTTTCACATCCTTTGGTGTTATTGACTAGTTTGGAGATAAAGTTAGTGATAAAGGAATGTAAAATCACTTCATAAATATATCCAAATTTGTAGTGAATTTTTCTGAAATATTATAGTTTTTTATATCATTTCTTTTGTTTCTTTTTTTTTTTTTTTTTTTGAGATGGAGTCTTGCTCTGTCGCTCAGGCTGGAGTGCAATGGCACAGTATAGGCTTACTGCAACCTTCGCCTCCCGGGTTCAAGTGATTCTCCTGCCTCAGCCTCCTGAGTAGTTGGGACTACAGGTGCATGCCACCGCACTCAACTTATTTTTTGTATTTTAGGTAGAGACGGTGTTTCACCACGTTGGCCAGGCTAGTCTCAAACCCCTGACCTCGTGATCTGCCTGCCTCAGCCTCCCAAACTGCTGGGATTATAGGAGTGAGCCACCGCACCCAGCCTATATCATTTCTTAAATGGAGGGAACATTTCTATCTCTGTGATACCCTTGTATCTATCTTCTTATTTTTAGTAGGAAGCATGCCTTTAACTGGGAAACCTGTTACTCATATTGAATGCCAGTAAACAGTTCCCTTATTCCCTAATGATAGTTACCTCACTTTTTTTTTCTATAAAGCTAAAAATAAAAAGACTAGAATAAGTTGTGCCCTGCTTCCTTTAACAGACTTGTGGCATAAATATTGCATTCCTCTATAGAAAAGCAAGTTTTAAAATCTTCGCTATTTCACATCTTCTGGCAACTAAGTCTGCATTCTATGATAAATATTTATCTTTGACCTATACATTAATACCCATTAGTGAACAACATGGGACAACCTTTAACATAACTAAATTGACAATTGTTAATAACATCAAACGTGTAGTTGTTATTTGATGTAACTGCCTTGGCAATATTGCTATCTGAAGTTCAATGGAGTTTTTACTTATCACAGTTTTACTTTGATTTTCTAATATATTACTTTGAACCTTAAGAAATGGCATCTAAGACACTCGTTACTTTTGACTACAGACAGCTTCTGAATTGATGGGAAAGCTAATTTAGATGGTATAGTCAATAAAGAGGCCCCTTTTAAGATGCTTTGATGACAGACCTTAATGGCAAGAAATTCATGTGTCTTCCTGCATAATATAAAACAGAATTCTACATTGCAATTTTAACTTCTAGAGAAATAAAGATAAAATTGAAGATTATACATTGATTTCTGGCATAATCATGATATTCAGTGTAAAATAATCTAATAGAATACATCTCAGAATAAATTTAATACTAAAATTAAACAAATTCACTTATACTTGGCAACAAAATAAGAAGTGATGAAAACACAAGTTCTGAAATTAAAATAAAACATGGAAAAAAGTCACATGTATATTTATTACCCAGTGCTAATGTTAAGACGACAAGGACCTGAATGGCCAATGTCCATGTTAAACAAGAGGAAGAAAAAAAGTAGAGCTTAAATTAGAACAATTACACCAGATCCATATGTTCCTAAGTAGTGAGGTTAATTCACTTGATCAAATACTTCAGCAATGGCATTATCATGTGCTAATTTTGGTGATATTCTCAATCAAAACTTCTAATATTGAAATTAAGTAATCTTAAGTAAAATCAGTAGATAAAAGTCCTACTCTTTTACTTTTAGGGACCACTATTTTTTTTATTTATGAGTTTTATTGAGGGATGATTTCTATACAAAAAAAAGTATGTGTTTAATATATTTAACTTTATAAGTTTAGACAGATGCATACTTTCATGAAACCATCACCACAATCACAGTGATAGATATATTCAACACCTCTGAGAGTTCTCTCCTATTCATTTGTAGACTGAAGAATGGGGCTGCTGAAGTCTATGGAAAGCCATTAAATTTCTATATTTATAATTTTTAAAGACTGCAGAATGATTTAATTATTGTTAAAGGTAAAACATTTTTTAGCAACAGAATTATGTTTACACTTGTATTTTTTTGGTTGGAAAGGGAGAAATAAAGATTGTTTGAAAAACTGTCATCATATCAAACAGTTGAATACAAATTAAAAACTGCTGGAATCAGACAAAAAATAAATAAACCAGTGGTCTGATTTAAGTACTATTAACCTTATAGTAACCGTAGTAATATAGAGGTAGTAATTGAAGTAATATTGATAGTAGCATTCATTATCATAGTCAAAATAAATATTCCTATCAATAGTAATACAGGATAGTAAATCTTATTTTATTGGAGTTGGATAAAGTAAAGTTGGATATTTTTTAAATGATAAAATACAATTACATTTAAATTTACTAAACAAAGTTACACTTATGTTTGAAAATTAATTTTTTAATTTTTAAATATATACTTGTATGCCTTCACAACTACTCCGCAATTATATTTTTCTATAAGTAGCCAGAAAGAAATGCAAAGTCTGTGGCTTATCATTCAGCAGATGTGCCTCCAACACTGCTGCAGTGGTTGAAATGTAAACCAGGCAAGCATCCGGTTTCCCTATCGCAATTTCAACATTGTATACTTTTGTAAACTGCTGATACCATTTCATATGATTTAATTAAAAAACAACTGAGTACCAAGGTATTTCAATATTTCTATCTTATTAGATATATCAGCAAGTGTAATAATGCTATCTCATCCTGCTCAATTACTGTTGATCAATATTAATATCATCAGTATTATTACTATTACTAGTACCACCATCTTCCCAGGATTAGAAAGAGAAAAAAGAAGAAAAGCATATTGAAAACAGATTTTTAGGGTGAGAAGACTCAAGGAAGACACTGAACTGGATTTCTGAGAGTTAGCTATGTTTGGAGCTAATGTAATTAAATAAAAAAAAGGCATCTATTAACTTCTTAAAACCATAGCTGTTTATCATATGTGCTTGTGACATGTCAATTATATACAATGATGAATCGAATAAATGATATGAAAATCTTTTATAGTTACAACAATAGTTCCCCATTTTTTGGCATCTGTCACAGAGAGAGGGTGCAGGTACTTGAGCATAGTGTTGCAATAGACAACTTAAACATTGCAGTATTGCAGATGTGACTATGGAACTCTCCAGAAATTCACAAAATCCACTGTAATTTCATCACTTCTTTTCAAATATAAAAATATGAAACATAGCTTTTATGTTTTGCACTTATGTATTCTACACATACATTTTTTATTTTAAGTTGGGAAGAACCAAATTTTATATATTATGTAATTTGGTGTTGACCAAGTGCATGCTTTATAACCAAGCCTTGACTGCTTTGCATCATTTTCAAGTATCTGAAAGATTTTAGCAGGTGATTTCACCATGGGATACAATTTAACACTACAAGAATACTATTTAACATTATCTTACCTTTTTCCTTTATTATTTCATATTGGTAATGAACATAGTGTCTCCTTTTGAAGTATTCATTATGTTTACATTTCTCAAAATGCTTTAAGGGGGAAAAAGTCACTTTGTCAAATAAATTTAGATAAAAACCACAAAAGAAAAACCCTTTTAAAACTTAAAGAATCTGAGAACACCTACAAGAGAAAAACTTTTAAATATACTTCTTAACCTAAAATTTTACAAAAGTTCTGGAATATGGGCTACTTTTACTGTTCAGATTATTTCTTAACATGTGTTCTTTAGAACAAATGGGAAAATACTTTTTGATTATAAATATGAAACATACTAGTTGGGAACAAAATTTTTAATAATCTCATGGCTACGTAGGTTAGGACCAATTAGCACCGTGCCATGTTCAAAATCCTATCGCCCAAGTGACTTCATAAAGTGTGTACATTTACATTTATGGCTAAAGTCATAGAGGCTTTATTCTTAAACTGCACTATGAAAATATTTTTTCAGCTTTAACATATGCAATGATTTAAAGCTGGAATCATAACAATTGAATTTTTTAAATAAACAATAATATGAAGAAATATTTAGGTCTTTTTTTTAGTTTTGGTTGTACTTTGGTTGTCTTATCATCTTATGTTTTTTTCTAAATATTTAAATACATACTAAGTGTATATGTAAAGGTTGTTTCCCCTTCATATTATTAAATTTACTTGTCTTTTTATTCAAGTACTCCAGCAAATAATATTTAAGATACTTAAAAGACAAGATAAACTTATATTTATTATTTTTTAGCAACAATGTAATTTGGATTTGCAAAATTGCTTTCCATAATTAAATATTTCATAAACTTTATTTATTATATGTCCATGTCAGAATATCAAGCCCAAATGAAATATACGCCTATGTCAAAATCATATAACAAATATTCCTCAAATATTAAATATTTATTATTTAATAATTATTGTCATGATATTACTAAAAGTCATAACAATGTGGCCTATTTTATTATTTATCTTAAAATTGGAAGACATAAATACAAAATCACACCATCAAATTTAATTTGTGCTGAAGTTCTCAAGTAATTGAAGGAAAAGAAAGAAAAATTTTAAGAAATGTTTTCAAAAGTTTACCAAGTTGAGGCAACAATTTGTTGAAAGTTGAAAAATAGCCAGAAAAATCTTTATTTCCCTTCTTACTATTGATACTAACCTAGAAAAAGTGAATCTATATTGTTGTTCACAAGCAAGTGACTAAGATATAAAATTTATATTTATTCAATGCAAACTTTATCAAAACGTAGCGTTTCGAAAATCACGCAATTTACATATTATCTCCACAATAGCAAAGAGACATCAAACAAAGTATTTTAAGGACTGCAAGTGTTTAATAATGTCAAGTATGTGGTAATGGAATGGCATTGTAAGGGCATCAAGGTATAAATCATAACTAGGGTGGCTATCTTCCCAATATCAGTAATAGTACTTTAAAAAAGTATCCTATAATCTGCTTTGGGTTTTAAGTAATAACAGTGACTCTGTAATAAGAAAGTGAAAATTGGATTTGTCTTGAAGGATAACCATATTCATAAACTAAAAGTAGGTAGCGTCCCCAAATTAAACTTCAGTTTCAAAATTGTCTTCCTTCAGTGTGGCATTTCCTCAGGGATCTAGAACTAGAAAGACCATTTGACCCAGCCATCCCATTACTGGGTATATACCCAAAAGATTATAAATCATGCTGCTATAAAGACACATGCACCCATATGCTTACTGCATCACTATTCACAATAGCAAAGACTTGGAACCAACCCAAATATCCAACAATGATAGATTGGATTAAGAAAATGTGGCACATATACACCACGGAATACTATGCAGCCATAAAAAAGGATGAGTTCATGTCCTTTGTAGGGACATGGATGAAGCTGGAAACCATCATTCTCAGCAAACTATCACAAGGACAAAAAACCAAACACCACATGTTCTCACTCATAGGTGGGAATTGAACAATGAGAACACATGGACACAGGAAGGGGAACATCACACACCGGGGCCTGTTGTGGGGTAGAGGGAGGGGGGAGGGATAGCATTAGGTATATCTATACCTAATGTAAATGACAAGTTAATGGGTGCAGCACACCAACACGGCACATGTATACATATGTAACAAACCTGCACGTTGTGCACATGTACCCTAGAACCTAAAGTATAATTAAAAATATATATATTTTAAAAAAAAGATTGTCGATTTTATTAAAAAAAATTGTCTTCCCTGATGCATGGTTTTTGGATGCTATAGAGGGCGCCTGGAGCACCCATAGAGAGGTAAACAGGATTACCTGACATGTTTAGATACATGGGATTGCTAAAATGTTGTTTAGTCTCCCTCATGTTATATTTTAGGGAATATTATTAATATATGTTCCAAAATTGTATGGAGTTTTAAAAATTCTAATGACTAATGCTATCAATCATAATTAAGGTTGTTATGTTAAATCACTGTGAACCACAAAGATAGCCAAATTTCTTTGTCAATCATGTTTCTGACTGTTGCTACCCTGGACATTTTGTTATTCACTGACAATTGTCTTGTTTTGATTCCCTTCAAAGGGTGGTTTATAATCATTTATAGAACTTTGACAGGTGCTCTCAAATGCAGATTTCTGGTAACTTTGGAGATTGTGACATTGGAATAAAAGAAAAATGTACAGGACGTGTGAAGAGCTGAAATGCTCACGAATATCTAGCAAAACAAGAGTTAACAGAATGAACTGAACGAATAGAAAACTGAAGTAATCTTTTTGACTTCTTCTTGGAACATTGCTGATCCTTATTTTGATTTTCAGAGTCAAGGAAACTTATTTTGAGCTATTTATGGCCTTTAATAATTGAGTATGTTATAATCCTGTAAACAGAATTTGGAGCATGTATTAGTCCGTTTTCACACTGCTGATAAAGACATACCTGAGACCAAGATGAAAAATATATTTAACGGACTTAAAGTTCCACATGGCTGAGGAGGCCTCACAATCATGATAGAAGGCAAGGAGGAGCAAGTCACATCTGAAATGGATGGAGGCAGGCAAAGAGAAGGAGAGCTAGTGCATGGAAACTCCAGTTTTTAAAACCATCAGATCTCATGAGACTTAATCACTATCAGAAGAACAGCGAAATATCTGCCCCTATAATTCAATTACCTCCCACTGGGTTCCTCCCACAACATGTAGAAACTGTGGGAGTTACAATTCAAGATGAGATTTGAGTGGGGATACAGCCAAACCAGATCAGAACATATTTGTTTCTTTCTCTGCCTGACTTCTTCAGAATTTGGAAACTTAATTCTATAAATTCTGTTTGGTTCTTCTTTAAGATATGAATCTCCTTAGTACATTTTTTATTCACATTCTGAATTGATTTTTTGCTTTCTTTGTATGGTTTTCAGATTTCTCTTGGGTCTCATTGAACTTTTTAAAATTACTATTTTGAATTTTTTTTTTTTTTTTTTTTGAGATGGAGTCTCACTCTGTCACCCAGGCTGGAGTGCAGTGGCACAATCTCGGTTCACTACAACCTCTGCCTCCCGAGTTCAAGCAATTCTCCTGTCTCAGCCTCCCAAGTAGCTTGGACTACAGGCTCATGCAACCACACCTGGTTAACTTTTTGTATTTTTAGTAGAGACGAGGTTTCACCATATTGTTCAGGCTGGTCTCAGAATCCTGACCTCCAGTGATCCATCCACCTCGGCCTCCCAAAGTGCTGGAATTACAGGCATGAGCCACCCCACCCAGCTATTTTTAATTCTTTATCTGGCATTTCACAGATTTCATTTCTGTTAGAATCCATTGCTAGAGAGTTAGTGTGATCCTTTGGGGGTATCATCATAACACCTTGCTTTTACATATTTCCAATATTATTATGCTTATTCCTTCACATCTGAATTAAAAGATATTTCCTGTTTTTTAGTTTACTTTCATCTGAGTAGAGCTGCTTTTTTCTTTTTGTTCTTTCTTTCTTAAGGATGTGATTATAAAGTATGTTGAATAGAGCTATTTTGCTTTGTTTCTGGGAGCGTTCAGTGGTACAATGTCTGTATAAATCCCTTTGTAATACATCACTTTAGTGTAGTAGCTTTCTCAAATGCCAGAAGTAGTAGTCAACTCAAGTCCTCTTTAGTAGCTGGGGTGGTGTGAGTGATGATGTTAACAGAGGTCACACAAAGCTTGTCTGTTTCCTAAGCATTGTGTCAGTGTTTCAGCACGTGTTATAATTGACCTCTTCACTAGTAGGTCACTGTAGTGGTTGCACTGGGTTTATACTTGACCTGTGTTAATCAGAAATACTCTGTGTTTCAGGCAGTGGGCTGTGCTATGGAATCCCAGGGGTCCTGGACCCATGCTCTGACTTTGAAGCAGGTGATAGAGGAGCAAAGCCATGCAAGGCTGGGCTGGGTTGGGCTGGACGAGTCTGGCTTTGAATCCTCCAATGACAGATGCAAACACTGGCCCTAATGGGGTTCAGAAGGCAGTTTTTAGGCCCCAGGGGCAATGCTCCAGGAAAGAGCTGAGTAACTGCTGCTGCACCGAAGAACTAGCATAGGGAAGACTAGTTGGCTCTGGTTCTACAGCCTAACAGGCCATAGTAGAACCTTATTCCAAGACTGTCAATTGGCAGGACTCCCTCCCACTATTTGCTGCTGGGAGCAAGCTAAAACAGCCAGCCAAGTCACAAGACTTCTGTACTCAGATTGTGAAACCTTCCTGCCCAGCAAATCCATGGCTTCCAGGCCACACACCTTCTCACTGGGTATCACAAAAGGAGTCACCCAATTCTCATGCTTCTGACTAGAGCACATGCCATACCCACTCTCAATTCTGGCCATGAGAGCTTCTTCTCCACTTGATACTAGATCACAAATTCTAGTCTGGAGACTCCTCAAACCTGTGACTGCTGCTTATGCTGGCTGGCAGGTTTCTGCTCAGCCACCTACAAGTGAGGATCAGGAATGGCTTCCTTCTATTGGGACTGGGGTCTTGGGAGTACATGTGTAGGACCTCCTGCTGCTGCTCCTTCTTACATTCTCCCCACTGCTCCCCAGGTCAGATCCAGTGCTTGGTAGGAGCAAGAATCTCCCCTGTGGCCTGGATTGCCTAGCTCCTAAGTGGAAATTTGTATCACAGAGACATTCTGTTCCCATCACACACTGTGGATTCACTCATATTTTTTCCACCAGACCCACAGTGCAGGCTGCTTCCTGACTTATATTTCAAAGTATCTGAAGTTTCTTTAGCTTTTATGTTGAGCTCCCATCTTCCTTATTGTATATAAGTTCACACTGTGAATTTCTATACACTATTTTTCTATTTCCTAGTGAATGAGACATCTAACAAAGCTTCTAAGCCGACATGTTGGAGGAAAAAAATAAAAACTAAGTTCATATATTTATATACATTACAGCATGAAAAAAAATCTCAAAATAATGCTGAATTAAAGAAGCCATACAAACAAGTAACCATTGTATAATTTTATTTTCTCATAATCTAGAAAATGCAAGCTAATCTATAGTAACACAAAGCCTATCACTGTTTGCCTGGGGTGGAGGGCAAGTGTGAGTGTTGGTGCAAGAAAACAACGGAAGAAAAAAGTATAAAGTTATGGAAACATCCAGGTGTGATGTATCTACAAATTATCTTGATTGTTGTGATGTTTTGCTTGTGTACACATCACATATGTCAACACTTTTCAAATTCTATACTTCAAGAATGTATATTTTACTGCGTGTCAAATGCACCTCAATAAAGTTGTTTTAAAAAGATGGCAGTGATAAGCTGGGTTTAGAGTGGTTGTGATAAAAAATTGAAAAATAAAGAGTATTCATTTAATTAGGTAACAGGTTAGTTATCATACATGTAGCATGAATGACTGATAGTGGTGGGTGGGATGGGAAGCTAGATGAGAGAGGAATGAAGGGTGTGTAAGAATAATGTTAGAAACTAGACAATTATTGTCTCAGGACATGTGATGGTAGGAAACCATAGGAGGGTGTCAGGGAATGGAGAATGTCTACAAATTGTTATGGAGTTTCTTCATTGGATGATGAAAATATTCTAAAATTGATTGTGGTAAAGATTATGCAGCTCTGTGACATACTAAAAATGATTGGACTATTCATTTTAAATGGATAAGTTGTAGGACATGCAAATTATAGCTCAACAAATCTCTTAAAATGAATAATTACAATATTAAATAAAGAACAATGTAAGTTGATCTTTATGGAAATATAAACTTCAAAAAGGACTTTTCTGCATATGTTGAATCTGAGAGTAACAGAAGAAGATAAGGAAATATTGCTCCCATGTTTGTTTGCTTATTTTGAGGTTATAATTTTTTAGTGTATTTTAGAATTAAATAGCAGACTTTTAAACTACACTACGTACCTAATAAATATGTACGCTATTATATGTCAATTAAAAATAAAATGTAAAAAAATTAAAATAAAATAGTAGAAAGAGAGACTTAGAAATCCTGCGAAGAAAAATTTAAAAGAAAGTGAATTTTATTGGAGTTTAATTGCACAATGAAAAAATCGCGAATTGAGCAGATGCCAGAATCCCTGCAGATTCAGAGAGATTCCAGGGATGTCTCATGGTCAGAACAAATTTATAGGCACAAAAAGGGAAGTGATATACAGAAATCGGCAATGAAGTACAGAAACAGCTGGATTGGTCACAGGTTGACGTTTGCCTTATTTAAACTCAGTCTATGAATGGGGGAAGTATGGCTGCTGGGATTGGCCCAAACTCAGCAACTGTTACAGACGCCTACTCCTAGGTTAGGTTTTCTGTCTTGTCTACCTAAAGCTAAGTTATAGTTCATCCACAAAGACTCAAATATAGAAGTATGGAGTCCTTCACAGGCCGTATTTATTTTGCTTTAACCAGTCATTGAGAAGATGTTGAGGATATATGACTTTCAGGATGAAGCGATTTAATTTGGATAGGGGAAAGAACACATCTTCCATTGTAACTGGAAAGATGAAAAGGAACAGAAAATCAGTCAATAAAAGATTGACAAAAATAAGCAAACTTCTTTATGGTACACCAAGTAGTATATGATACATCAAGTAATCTTTGGCATAGAGACTATAGAAAATAATTTTAAGTAAATTTAAAAAATACTTTTCTAAAATAAAGATCATACTAAATATTTATATAGCTATTATAAGAAATATTTTCAGAATCTGCTTTAATGAAATATTCCCATTAAAAGTGATTTTTGTGTGACCCAACAATTTGTGTAAGTTACACAAATTCTATAAATTCACTTCTCTACAAACATAAAATATAAGGGCAATAAAGGTAAATACACTGTGGATTGTGAAGCTAAATTATTTTAAAATTATGAATGTCTCATATAAAAGGCACTGTGAGAAAAGAGAGACATGCTAAATATCATTTTATTATTCAAGGATGCTAAAATATATACACAATATTTAAAACAGCAAATTCAAAGTATTGAGAAATGTTTTAAAATTGTATTTTTAAAAGTATGCATATTTTAGTCCACTGAATCAGATGTGGAAACTAAAAAGGTACTGTAATTACCTGGAGCACATAATTAATACACTCTGTTGATCAATTCGATTGTTTAATTAGGTAATCAGGTAAGTACAGCTTGACTAAGCCTGCCAAATTGTGGGCTTATAATATAAAGAATAATATTGTATTCAAACTGAGCAACTAAACATAATTGATAATTATAAAGTCAATGTAAACTTTCTATCTCCATTTAATAACCAATAGAGTTATGAGTAATAATCAGGAATTCAATATATCCTTTCTATACATTAATAATAATCACCTCAAATGCACTTTCTTTCTTTGATTTCAATAGCAGAAAAAAGGCAATTTAATTGTTGATACAGAAGAAATACATGAACATGTTTTTTGATTAAATATGATGTAAAACTCTACTCTTTTGTTTGATACATCTTAAATTACCTGACCGCTTTTAAAATTTTATAAACTTGGTTATTTGTGGTGACTTACATGAATGGTATTTAGCACAATAAAAATAGCATCTGACAAAAAAAAGACATAAAAGAAGTGATACCTAATCAAAAAGTTAATTACTAATAACAGTAATTTATTAGTCTCCATATCAATTGCCTTATTATGTTTTCTGTATATCCACTGCTATACACAGACAGAAATAAACAAAAAAGTGAGATATTCAGATTCACAGGGTTTCTAAAGCAGACTTAATTAAAAATATTTTCATATGATCTACTAAAACTCAAAAGTTGTTTAGAGTAAATGAGCCATTTTTTTCAGTTAAACTAAGAAAAAAAATTATGCCTTATTATTTTAAAATTAAGCATTTGTAAACTGCAGATTCATATGCTTCCAAATAATTATATTTAAAATTTCTCCAGTGTTAGTCACTGAAGGTGTTCTTTGAATTTTTTGGTTGAATTATTCGGTTTACTATACAGTACTCAAAATGGTAAATAACAGATGGAAGAAATGCATCTTCCTACAAAACCATGGGGGAAAAAAGCATAAAGCAGAGAAAATGTTGGTTAAAAAATCTAAATATCGTACAATTCATCAAGCTCTTTTCTTCATAAAACTTTTGATCACTAAATATGTGTTTTAATTACTTCCTAGAGGGTTACAATGATTCCAAATTCACAGTTTGCTTCGTGGGTCATTCCATATGTTTATGGGTCTCTGTATGATGAAAGATTTCTTGACATCTGTTCTACATTCTTCCTAAACCCATTTGTGACACATTGTTTTGTTCATGGTGGAAATAGGAGAGTATCAACTTGAGTTCATTGTGCTTTTCAGAAACACTAAGTTATGAAAAACTTATTTGCTCTTTCGGCTTCAAGCCTCATTTCTTATGTAACTTTTCCTTCTCCTATATATCACCAGTTATTCTTCCCTGCCTGTTTCTATAAATGAAGAGTCCTTGTTCTTATTTAAAGCCAATGCCTCCATTTGTGCATTGCATCTTTATCTTCCCCTACGCCTTCTGAAAGACCTGGTTCCAGCAATTCTCCCTTCTTCCTCTCAGAATATTTTCTCTCTTTACTTGACTATTTCCATTGACAGAAATTTGTTTTTATCTCTCCCATTTTTTAAAAAAGCAATATTCTCTTTTCCCCTGTTAGTTACAGTTCCAATCGATATCTCTTATTTGCCAGGAGTTTACAAAAGTCCTGGAAAAGGTTTTCTGTACTCTGTTTGTAATTTTACTTATCCCTTTTTTCTTGCTCTGTTGACCACACTGGAGGGCAGTGAAATGATCTCGGCTCACTGCAACCTCTGCCACCTGGGTTCAAGCGATTCTCCTGCCTCAGCCTCCCGAATAGCTGGGATTACAGCCACTGTGCCCAGCTAATTTTTTGTATTTTTAGTAGAGACGAGGTTTCACCATGTTTGCCAGGCTGGTCTTGAACCCCTGACTTCAGGTAATCCGGCAGCCTTGGCCTCCCAAAGTGCTGGGATTTCAGGCATGAGCCACCGTACCCAGCCCCTTTTTTCCTTAAATTTACTTTAAAAAGGAATTTACAGCCATCACTCTAGTGAATTTTTTTTTTTTTTAAACAAGGTCATGAATGATCTCTGCATGTTTCAGCCTAGTGGTGTTTTTACCTTATTTGGCATACCATCAGCATTTGAGCCTTCTACTCACTTTCTTTACCTGACATTTTTTAATATGCTACCTCTTGGTTGTCTTCTTATATAATTGGCCTCTCCTTCTAAGTCTCCTGTGTTTGTTCCTGTCTTCTCTTTTTCTCTTTATTTTGAAATGTCACAAACTATTCTCTGTTCCACTTTGTTCTCTCTATGTACTTTTACTGGCTAGGTGATCATGTTCAATTCTGTGGTTTAAAACACAAACAAACAAAACCATAAACTGAAGATAAACAAATCTGTTTGTGTAATTTGGCTCACCCTCCCTACAATAAAATGTAAGCTCAACTATAAAAGGTTTTGTGTTACTGAACCATTCCAGTGACCTAAAACTATTTATCCCAAAGTAGATGTCCAGTATATATTTGTGTAATGAGCTTATTAATCTTGTGTTTTGAATGCCTAACAAAAACAACTGGTATAAAACAGACACTAAATTAATATTAGGGTATATATGCATACACGTATTCATAAATGAATGAGAGTTTCAACAAAAGAGACTTGGTGACATATAATGAAAGGTGGCTTAGAATATTTAGAAAATTTTATTAGTAGTAAATGTTAATTAATATTAATTGAAAAAATATTAATTGAAATTTAAAAACCATTATATTCAATAAATATGGAATATTAGTTGAATTTGTAAACACTACAATAAATGTTAGCTTTGTTAGCAAAATGGATAGATTAAATGAAAAGAGAAAAAATGACATAAATATGTCATAGAATGGTTTCATAGTTGAGGAATTTGAGCCAATATGTGCAGACGGGGCTTTAAAAATTATGAAAAGCATAATTAAGAGGAAAATGTTCATGGACTTTGTAGGGGACTTTTTACTTTTAATTTGTGGGCAAAAATGAGGGAGTATCTAGAGAAAAATACTAAAGTTGTATTGAAGACTGAAAAGAACTAGAATAGCATTCTGATAAACAGAGGGATTAAAAAGTATCTGGAAAGAGAGAAATACAGAACAAAACAAACATGGAAACATTGTTTATTGCTTGGATGGCTCTGTGATATGATATGTGTATCATTTTGCTTTTATTTAATGCTACTATAATGCCTGCAAACTAGACATTATTATCTCAAATGAAAATCATCCTCCTCCTCAATATCCCTGGACTATTTTTTTTCTTCTCTGGGTTCTTATCTTAATTAAATGGCTCCAATGTTTCACTTAGTTTCTCAGTCTTGAAAGTTTGTGGTCACAGTTGATTCCTTTCTCTTCATTAATTTATTCACAACCCATGATTTGCATTATTATAGTAACTATATTTACAGCCTGTAGTTGTACAATATAATTGGTGACAAAGTGCTTTGTAAGCATTAACTAATTTAATCCACATGACACAATATAATTGGTGACAAAGTACTTTGTAAGCATTAACTAATTTAATCCACATGACCACCCTGTGTTTGATATATTATTATTATTTAATAGATAAGAGTGATTTCGATTGTAGTTCAGAATACATATTAAAGCATAGATACCTAATACATTACAAAATCAAAGTTTAAACTCTAATTTTTCTGCCACCAAAGTCCACATGGCTGATCATTCTGTGGTATTGCTACATAGTGTTTCTAGATTCTACTTAGATCTATTTTAATTGCCCTTTTATAGTCTCAATTAGCATTATATCTCATTTGTATATTACAACAATTTACTAACTTGGCTTTCTACATCCGCTCTTGTTCCCCTCAAGCACGTCCCTCCCACTGAACTCAGACAGATATTTGTAAATTTAAAATATAATCATGTTATCCCTGTTCCAAAACACATCAAATGGCTACTTTCTTTCTTTAGGAAAAAAGCTTAAACAAAAACTCATGGTGGACATAATTTTGAGCTTTGCGATAACTGTTGACAACTTTGTCTTGGGTCAATCAGCTTTCATTTCTCACTCAAAGTAGGACTTTCTTCCTTTTGTTGCTCTTTCAAGCTATTCACATAGTTCCTTTTGCCCAAATTAAAAGCTCTTTGCCCATACCTTTTGGTTACCTAAATATGCTCAATCTCTAAATTTCAGTTTAAACATTGTTTCCTCACAGATGGCTAAGATTTCACTGTCATGTGACCCAAAGCACTGTGCAGGTTTTCATAACCTTCATTCCCTTTCTAAATGACTATCTGATTTCTGGTTTTCCCATTAGTTAATAGCCTCTGTGAAGACAGGAACCAAATTTATCTTGTTCATTGATCCCCGACTCCACACTCCTAATACCTAGCCCGTCACTTGTTCAGAGTTCTCAGTGAAGAATAAATCAATTGCAATTAGAAACACATTGGAAGTTCTAAATTTCTTCATCTTATATTGTAATAGCTACAACATTGTGAATATACATCTTTCATTCTGTAATCATGTGCTAAATATTAAATGTTCATAATATGTAGAATTTATTTTTGTATTATCAGTGTGTACATCTCAAACTAATTTGAAAACACCAAAAATATAATGTTGCAAAACCACTGAGCAACATTGTTCTGTCATTAATTATAGAAATTACAATGTTTCACTTTTTCAGCAAAAATAATATTTCCATTATTTTTTCTTCTGAAAATTGCAAGCTCATATGTACATACAGGCATGCCTTGTGTTATTGCACTTTGCTTATTACATTTTGTAGATGTTACAGTTTTTAGAAATTGAAGCTTTCTGGCTACCAGGTGTGGAACATGCATCTATCAGCACCAGTTTTCCAACAGCGTGTGCTCACTTTGTGTTGCTATGTCACATTTCGGTAAGTCTTCAATATTTCAAACTTTTTTGTTGTTGTTATATCTGTTTTAATGACCTATGATCAGCGATCTCTGATATTATTATTGTAGTTGTTTTGATGGCAGTCCATAAGATGGAAAACTTAATCAACAAATGTGTGTGTTCTGACTCCTCCACAGGCTGGCCATTGTCCTCTCTGTAATCCTTTCTTCCACCCTCCCTATTTGCTGAGAAACAATAATACTGAAATTAGGCCAATTAATAAACCTACAAACATTTCTAAGCGTTCAAGAAAGAGCTGCATGTCTCCCACTTTTAAGCAGAAGCTTGAAATGATTAAGCTGATGTGAAGAAAGCATCTTGAAAGCCAAGATATGTTGAAAGCCAGGCCTCTTGCACTACAATTAGCCAAGTTGTGAATGCAAATGAAAAGTTATTGAAGACACTTAAACATATTACTCCATTGCACACAAGTGATAAGAAAGCAAAACTATGTAATTGCCGATGTGGAGAAAGTTCTAATGGTCTCAATAGAAGCTCAAACCAGTCACAAGAATCCCTTTAGCCAAAGACCAAAACGGAGCAAGGCCCTAACTCTTTTCAATTCTACAAAGGCTGTGAGAGGTGAGGAAGCTGCAGAAAAAAACCTTGAAGCTAGCAGCTATTGGTTTATGAGGCTTAAAAAAGAAGCCATCTCTATGTCATCAAAGTTAAGCAGCAAGTGTTAATGTATATGCTACAGCAAGTTACCCAGAAGATTTAGCTAAGATAATTGATGAAGGTGGCTACTTTAAACAACATATATTCAATATAGATCGAACAGCCTCCTCTTGGAAGAAGATGCCAGCTGGGACTTTCACAGCTAGAAAGAAATCAATGCCCGACTTCAAAGCTTCTAAGGACAGTTTGACTCTCATTAGAGGATAATGCAGATGATGGCTTTGGATGAAGCAAATGCTTATTTACCATTTTTAAAATCCTAGGGCCCTTAATAATGATGCTAAAATCTATCCTGCCTATGGTCTAGAAATGGAACGACTCCTGGATGAGAGCACATCTTTTTTACAGCATATTTTACTGAATATTTTAACCCCACTGTTAAGATCTACTGCTCAGAATTTTTTTTTTTCAAAATGTTACTGCTCTTCGACAATGTATTTGGTCACCCAAGAGCTTTGATGCAGATGTATAAAATTAATGGTTTTTTTATACCTCCAAACACAACATTCTTTCTGAAGCACATGGATCAAAGAGTAATTTTGACTTTTAAGTCATAGAGTTTAATAAATATATCTTTTAAGTCTATAGCAGCCATAGATAGTAATTACACTGATGTTTCTGGACAAAGTAAACTGGAAACCTACTGGAAGTGCTGCAGCATTTTAACTGCCATTAAGAACATTCAAAAACAAAATTAGCCAGGAGTCGTGGCAGGCACTTTGTAGTCCCAGCTACTCGGGAGGCTGAGGCAGGAGAATGGCGTGAAGCCAGGAGGCGGCGCTTGCAATGTAGCCGAGATCGTGCCACTGCACTCCAGCCTGGGCGACAGAGCAAGACTCCATCTCAAAAAAAAAAAAAAAATTCATAATTCATAGGCAGTTGTCAAAATATCAAAATTAACAGGAGTTTGGATGAAGTAGATTACAACCTACAGGAATGACTTCAAGCAGCTCAAGACTTCAGTGAAGGAAGTGACCTGCAGATGTGGTAAAAATAGCAAGAGAACTAGAATTAGAAGTGGAATTTAAAGATGTGACTGAGTTGCTGCAATCTCACAATTAAAACAAATGAGGAGTTGCTTCTTATGGAAGAACAAAGAGAGTTGTTTCTTGAGATGGGAACAACTCCTGGTGAGCATGCTGTGAACATTGTTGAAAAGACAGAAAAAGATTTAGAATATTCCATAAACTTTGTTAACAAAGCAGTGGCAGGGTTTGAAAGGATTTGTTCTAATTTTGAAAGAAGTTCTACTCTGGGTAAAATTCTATCAAACAGCATCACATGCTAACAAAATAAAGGATAAATGCTTCAGGTGATGGACACTCCATTTACTCTAATATGCTTTCAGACATTGCATGCCTGTTTCAAAATATCTTATGTACTCCATACATATATACATCTACCATATACCCACCAAGACAAGTTACTTGATATAGCAAATGTGATTGTTGCCCTTTTTTAAGAAATTTCTCACCTACTTCAACCTTCAACAAACACCTCTCTAATCAATCAGATTGGTCAACACTGAGATAAGACCTTCCACCAGCAAAAAGATGACAACTCATCGAAGACTCAGATAACAGCAATTTTTTAAGAAATAAAATAGATTTAATTAATGCATGCACATTGATGTTTAGATATAATGCTATAGTACACTTAATAGATAATGGTATAGTGTAAACATAACTCTCATATGCAATGGGAAACCAACTCACTTTAATGTGATATTTACTTCACTGTGGTGGTCTGGAACCTACCCACAATATACCTAAGGTATGCCTGTATTTTCTATATTTTTATTAAATTAATCTTCAACAATATCCATTGTTTGAATTGGTGATGATAGCATAAAATCAAGGCTGCTAAGCAGCACACACCATAGCCACCACTACACCTTTTGTGAGATAAGATGACACATGATCATTACAAGAATGTACATTTTATATTTAACATCCTGAAAGGAAAACATTGACTATGAATCATTCTTTTTATTGTACTTATTAGAAGCATACCAGCTAATATTTTGAATTGATAATTATGCATCAGGCAGTGTCCTAAATATTTTTGAATGTATTAATATCTTAAACCTCATAAAACCCCCATGATATTGTACAGCATTTATAAAAACTTGATAACTAAAGAAGAGACAGCTGGTTGGTTTGTTCAAGGTGGTGTTGTAAGGGTGGTTTGCTGCAGAGCCAGAGTCCTTAAACTCTGTTTCATAATCACAAAATGTTATATTTAACCATTTTTAAATAAAAGGTTAAGATTAAATGCTATATTCAACCATTAAAAAATAACTTTATAATTTATTTTCCACATCTGAATGTCATATATATAAATATATACTATATACACACACCTAAATATATATACACACACACATATTACATTACTTTATTTTTTATCTTAAATTTCAGTTCACGATTATGAATTTACTCCCTAAATTCACTTTGTAAATTATTAATCATTACTTATTATATAGACATTTTAGACATATTAACGTTTTTAAAAATTATGTTTTATCATTTTATTTGCTGATTAAATTGTCTTAATATATCATGGCATCCTCATACTTAAATTTATTATAAATTTTACTAAAATGTTTTCCAAGAATATTCATGACTTGCATGAAATAAAGAGAAATAAAATGCAACAAAATGAATATCTATGAAATGAATATCTAGAAGCAGATTTTAGAAGAAATTCATAACCTTGGACGGGGTATGCTTAATGTGTTCTCGAAAAAGCATAGATACTGTTTAGTTGGAGTAGAATAAAGGAAAGCATTGGCCAAAAACACATTTAAAAAGTCACTATTCTCCTTGAATAACCTTGTAAATTCAGGCAAGGCTTTGCATTTATATCTAAATATCTGGAGAAGTCTCTGAAGAGATTTAAGTGGAGAAGCATCTCATTGGAGGTTTATTTTTATTCCTTATTGGAGAATGTGTAATAGGAGGCTGGACTCAAGAATGAAGAATGACAGACTAATTGAATGTAAGTAATAGTAGTGGCTTGAACTTGCAAATAATTTTGAAATTTTTGAAACAATTATCTGACAAGATGTATCATTCAAAAATATAATTTGAACTCCTGGCTCTCTTTTCTCTCTTCCCTGACACCGTATGAGATGTGACTTGCTCCTCCTTGTCTTCCACCATGATTGTGAGACCTCCCCAGCCATGTGAAACTGAGTCCATTAAACCTTTTTTTATATATAAATTACCCAATCTCAGATATGTCTTAATATATTATCAGCATGACAATGGACTAATACATAGGGAATGACTATATAAAGATCTTTGAGATATCCCAGTTCTGGTTAACCAGAACTGCTAATGGATGAGCTATGGTGTAGTAGAAGAGAGGAAAAAAAAATGATGATAACTACATTTGGAAAGGATGGGGCTTAAACAACCAGGTAGGGTCATTTTCAGAAATTGTGAACTGTGGAAAAGGAACTGATAGGTGGAGGGAAATGAAAGAATAATTTTGGAAATGTCAGGACAGACTTTTAATTAACTTATTTATTATTTGTATATATTTAAAGGGTACAAATGAAATAAGATATCCTAGCATCTAAAAGAGACAAAGAGACCACAGCACTGGAATCTAAGAAGGAATGGCAAATGTTGTACTGAAAAATTTTGGTATATGAGTGAAGTAAAAAAAGAAGTTCAAGTATAATTAACTAGTTATAATGAATCTGATTCTGATTGCAGTTAATTCAGGTGTGACTGAATGATAAGAAAAGTGAACTAGTCTTAAGAAAACTACAAGTTTTACTGAAGACTGACAGAAAATTAAGGGGAACATGGAAAAAGGAGAGGATTAAGTTTAAGGCTGATCATAACATCTGTATCTACATCTATATCTATCTAATATGTCTATCTATCTATCTATCATCTATCTTTTTGTTTTTTGAGACACGGTCTTACTCTGTCACTGAGGCTGGAATGCAGTGGTGCAAACATGGCTCACTGCAGCCTCAACATCTCAGGCTCAAGCAATCCTCCCACCTCAGCTTTCTGAGTAGCTAGGACCACAAGTGGACACCATCACACACTGCTAATCTTTTATTTTTTTATTATTTGTAGAGGCGGAGTCTCACTATGTTGACCAGGCTAGTCTCAAACTCCTGGGCTCAAGTGATCCTCCCACTTCAACCTCCCAAAGTGCTGAGATTACAGGCATGAGCCACCTTGCCTGGGCTATCTATCTAAAAAAAGAATGTAGAAGACAAAGAATGTTTATAGAAATAAACTCCCAAAAGTATAAAAATAAAAGGAATCTGAGTTCCCATCTCCACCGTTTCATCTCCTCCATTCCAGGAGCTCCTGGGTGACTCTACCATAGCACCTGCCATCCTGTGACTTGCAGGTAATGGGAGATCCATAGGGAGGATGCTGGAACATCTGGAGGCTGATAAATGGTCTTGCTACCTCTAAGCCAGACTTATTCATCTGTCTGCAGCAAAGAAAAGAGCCCTGGAATTTAAAGAGATAATGTGTCTGGAATTTATTACTTCTGGTGGGTTCTTGGTCTCGCTGACTTCAAGAATGAAGCTGTGGACCTTGTGGTGAGTGTTACAGCTCTTAAAGGTGGCACATCCGGAGTTGTTTGTTCCTTCCAGTGGGTTCGTGGTCTTGCTGACTTCAGGAAAGAAGCCACAGACCCACCCTCACAGTGAGTGTCACAGCTCTTAAAGGTGGCACAGACCTAAACAGTGAGCAGCAGCAAGATTTATTATGAAGAGTGAAGGAACAAAGCTGGAAGGGTACCGAGCAGGTTACTGCTGCTGGCTCGAGTGGCCAGCTTTTATTCCCTTATTTGGCCCTGCCTATGTCCTACTGATTGGTCCATTTTACAGAGTGCTGATTAGTCCCTTTTTACACAATGCTAATTGGTGCATTTACAATCCTCTAGCTAGACAGAAAAGTTCTCCAAGTCCCCACTGGACCCAGAAGCCCAGCTGGCTTCACCTCTCAATAGGAGACAGTAGCCAAGCACACAGTTGGGTATGGGGGTAAATGCCTATTGTCCTAACTGCTCAAAAATACAAGATTTATGTTTGGGATCATCATGACAGACAGGAGGCAGGACTAGATTGCAGCTCCAATTCGAATGGACAGAACAGCATGCAGAGGCTTGCATCATGAACTTTAGCTCCATAATGACTGCAAGAACGAACCAGGAATTCCAAGAGGACCCATAGACCCTGCGAAGGAAGTGGACTGCCACTGTAGGACCCAGGAGACACCCCAAACACTGTGAGTGCCCAAACTGTGGAAGTGGGAAAGGGAGACTCTCAGCTCCTGAATATATGCCCCAATGGGGAAACTGAAGGCCTGGTTTGCAGGAGAAGTTTCCAACCTTACCAGGAGTTGAGTCAATGTAGATAGTTGAGCGAAATACAAGGGTAAAGGAAGTAGTGGGAAAAGCCTTGGGAGCTCATTGAGTCCCCAAGCAGGCCATTACTGCCTGGCAACAAAGGGATCCATTGGGAGGGCAGCCAGAGGCGTGGGGGGGAATGCCACAGGGAGAAGGAATTCCCCAGCTGAACTTTGTAACAATTTGAACTGGGAGGGAAGCCTCCTGGCCAGAACACAGGGGAGGGAGTGAATCCAGTGTGCGGACTCCACAGCCACTGCCTGGAAAGAGACTTCTGGCTGTTAAGGGGAGCATGGTGGGAGTGAAATCGGCCCTTTGGATAGTATGGGAGCCAGGTGAAGCTTGTGACTACCGGTTTTTGCTCACTTGCCTGACAACCTGCATGACTAAGCAGAGGCAGCCATCATCCTCCTAGGTACACAACTCCATTGACCTGGGAAATTCGCCCCCATCCCCTACAGCAGCCACAGCAAGACCTGCCCAAGGAGAATCTGAGCTCAGACACACCTAGCCCTGCCCCTACCCAATGGTCCTTCTCTACCTACCCTAGTAGCTGAAGAAAAAGGGTATATACTCTTGGTAATTCTGAGGCCCTGCCCACCACCAGTTCCTCTCCATAATACCACAGCTGATACTCTCTGGAAAATGCCACATCCTGGCAGGAGGCCAACCAGCACAAAAACCATCAAAGCTAAAAATGCTCACGGAGTCCATTTCACCCCCCTGCCACCTTCACCAGAACAGGTGCTGGTATCCACAGCTGAGAGACCCATAGATGGTTTATATCACAGGACTCTGTGTAGACAGCCCCCAGTACCAGCCCAGAGTCTGGTAGACTTGTTGGGTTGCTAGACCCAGAAGAGAGATAATCTCTACAGCTTGGCTCTCAGTAAACCACATCCATAGGAAAAGGGAGAGAGTTGCTACATCAAGGGAGCACCCCATGGGACAAAAGAATCTGAACAGCAGCCTTCAGCCCTAGACCTTCCCTCTGACAGAGCCTCTGCAAATAAGAAGGAACCAGAAAACCAACTCTGGTAATATGACAAAACAAGGCTTTTTAGTACCCCTAAAATATCACAGTGGCTCACCAGCAGTGGATCCAAACCAAGAAGAAATCCCTAATTTACTTGAAAAAGAATTCAGGAGGATGGTTACCAAGCTAATCAAGGAGGCACCAGAAAAAGGCAAAGCCCAATGCAAGGAAATCCAAAAAATAATACAAGAAGTGAAGGGAGAAATATTCAAGGAAATAGATGGCATAAAGAAAAAACAATCAAAACTTTAGTAAACATTGGACACACTTGTAGAAATGCAAAATGCTCTGAAAAATCTCGGCAATAGAATTGAACAAGTGGAAGAAAGAAATTCAGAGCTCAAACACAAGGTCTTTGAATTAACTCAATCAAACAAAGACAAATAAAAAAAATAAGAAAACATGAACAAAGCCTCCAAGAAGTCTGGGATTATGTTAAACAACCAAACCTAAGAATAATTGGGGAAGAAGAGCAATCTAAAAATTTGGAAAACATATTTGGGGGAATAATGTGAAAACTTCCCCAGCCTTGCTAGAGACTTAGACATCCAAATACAAGAAGCACAAAGAACATCTGGGAAATTCATCTCAAAACGATCATTGCCTAGGCACATTGTCATCAGGTTATCTAAAGTTAAGATGAAGGAAAGAATCTTAAGAGCTGTGAGACAAAAGCACCATGTAACCTAAAAAGGAAAACCTATCAGATTAACAGCAGATTTATCAGCAGAAACCCTACAAGCTAAAAGAGATTGGAGCCCTATCTTCAAAACAAAACAAAACAAAACAAAATCAAAAACAAAAAACAAAACAATTCCTAAAACAAAACAATTATCAGCCATGAATTTTGTTTCCAGTGAAACTAAGCATCACATATGAAGGAAAGATAGTCTTTTTCAGACAAACAAATGTTGAGATAATTCACCACTACCAAGCTACCACTACAAGAGCTGCTAAAAGCTCTAAATCTTGAAACAGATCCTAGAAGCACATCAAAACAGAAACTTTTTTGGTTTGTTTGTTTGTTGTTTAGATAGAATCCAACTCTGTTGCCTAGGTTGGAATGCAGTGGTGCAATACCAGCTCACTGCAAACTCTGCCTCCCGGATTCAAGCGATTCTCCTGCCTCAACCTCCTGAGTAGCTGAGGCTACAGGCAACTGCCACCATGGCTGGCTATTTTTTGTATTTTTAGTGGAGATGGGATTTCACCATGTTGGCTAGGCTGGTCTTGAACTTGTGACCTAAGGTGATTCACCCTCCTCAGCCTCCCATGGTGCTTGGACTACAGGTGTGAACTACTGTGCCTGCACAAACCAGAACCTCTTTAAAGCATAAATCACACAAGACCTATCAAACAAAAATACAATTTAAAAAGGAAAAGAAAAAACAAACAAAAAAACAAGGTACACAGGCAACAAATACCATGATGAATGGAATGGTACCACACATCTCAACACTAAAATTCAATGTAAATGTCCTCAGTGCTCCACTTAAAAGATACAGAACTGCAGAATGGATAAGAACTCACTAACCAACTACATGCTGCCTTCAGGAGACTCACCTAACACATAAGAACTCACATAAATTTAAAGTAAAGGGGTGGAAAAAGGCATTTCATGCAAATGGATACCAAAAGTGTAGGGGTGGTTATTGTTACATCAGACATAACAAACTTTAAAGAAATAGTAGTTAAAAGAGACAAAGAGGGATATTATATAATGGTAAAAGACCTTGTCCGACAGGAAAATATCACAATCCTAAATATATATGCACCTAACACTGGAGTTTCCAAATTTATCAAACAATTACTAACAAACCTAAGAAATGAGATCATCAGCAACACAATAATAGTGAGGGACTTCAATACTCCACTGACAGCACCAGACAGGTCGTCAAGACAGAAAGTCAAACAAGAAACAATAGATTTAAACTACACCTTGGAACAAATGGACTTAACAGATATATGCAAAACATTTCATCTAACAAACACAGAAAACACGTTCTATTCAACAGCACATAGAACTTTCTCCAAGATAGACCATATGATAGGCCATAAAATGAGCCTTGATAAATTTTAAGAAAATTAAAATTATATCAAACACTCTCTAAGACCACAGTGGAATAAAACTGGAAATCAACTCCAAAAGGAACTTTCAAAACCATGCAAGTACATGGAAATTAAATCACCTGCTCTTGAATGAGCATTGGGTCGAAAACAAAATCAACATGGAAATCAAAAAATTCTTCAAACTAAATGGCAATAATGACACAACCTATCAAAACCTCTGGGATACAGGAAAGTTGGTGCTAAGAGGAAAATTCATAACCTTAAACACCTACATCAAAAAGACTGAAAAAGCACAAACTGACATTTTAAGTCATACCTCAAGGAACTAGAGAAACAAACAAGGACAAACCACACCCACACCAAGCAGACAAAAGGAAATAACCAAGATCAGAGCAGAATTAAAAGAAATTTAAATGAAAAAAAATACAAAAGATAAATAAAAAGCTGGTTCTTTGAAAAGATAAATAAAATTGATAGACAATTAGCAGGATTAACCAAGAAAAGAGAGAAAATCCAAATAACCTCTGTGAGAAATGAAACAGGAGATACTACAACTGACACCTCTGAAACACAAAAGATTATTCAAGCTTACTATGAACATCTTTATGCACATAAACTAGAAAACCCAGAAGAGATGGATAAATTCCTGGAAAATACAATCCTCCTAGTGTAAATCAGGAAAAACTGGATACCCTGAACAGACCAATAACAAGCAGGGAGATTTAAATGGTAACTTAAAAATTAGCAACAAAAAAAGGTCCAGGACCAGATGGATTCACAGCAGAATTCTACCAGACATTCAAAGAAGAATTGGTACCAATCCTTTTGACACTATTCCACAAGATAAAGAGGGAACCCTCCCTAATTCATTCTGTGAAGCCAGCATCACTCTAATACTGAAATCAGGAAAGGACATAACCAAAAAATAAAACTACAGACTGATATCCCTGATGAACATGGACACTGAAATCCTTAACAAAATACTAGCTAACCAAATCCAACAACATATCAAAAAGATAATCCACCAAGATCAAGTGGATTTCATACCAGGGATGCAGGGATGGTTTAACATATGTAAGTTAATAAATGTGATATACCACATAAACAGAATAAAAACAAAAATCACATGATCACCTCAATAGGTGCAGAAAAGACATACAACAAAATCCAGCATCCCTTTATGATTAAAACTCTCAGCAAAATTGACATACTAGGGACACACCTCAATGTAATAAAAGTCACCTATGACAAACCCACAGTCAACATAATACTGAATGGAGAAAAGTTGAAGGCTTTTCCTCTGAGAACTGGAACAAGAGAAGGAGGCCCACTCTCACTGCTCCTCTTCAACATACTACTGGATGTCCTAGCCAGAGCAAGCAGACAAGAGAAAGAAATAAAGGACATTCAAATCAGTAAAGAGAAAGTCAAACTGTCACTGTTTGCTGATAATATGATTGCTTACCTCAAAAAATCCAAAGGCTCCTCCAGAAAGTTCCTAGAACTGATGAAAGAATTCAGCAAAGTTTCTGGATACAAGATAAATGTACCCAATTCAGTAGCTCTTCTATATACAAACAGCAACCAAGCAGAGAATCAAATCAAGAACTCAACCCTGTTTACAATAGCTGCAAAAATAAATAAATAAATAAAATGCTTAGGAATATACCTAACCAAGGAGGCTAAAGACCACTACAAGGAAAACTACAAAATGCTGCTGAAAGAAATCATAGATGACACAAACAAATGGAAACACATCCCATGGTCACGGATGGGTAGAATCAACATTGGGAAAATGACCATACTGCCAAAAGCGTTCTAGAAATTTAATGCGATACCCATCAAAATACCACCATCATTCTTCACAGAATTAGAAAAAAAAAACCCTAAAATTCATATGGAACCAAAATAAAGCCTGCATAGCCAAAGCAAGACTAAGCAAAAAGAACAAATCTGGAGGCATAACACTACCTGATTTCAAACTATACTATAAGGCCATAGTCACCAAAACAACATGGTACTGGTATAAAAATGGGCACACAGACCAATGGGACAGAATAAAGAACCCAGAAATAAACCCAAATACTTATGACCAACTGACCTTGGACAAAGCAAACTAAAACATAAAATGGGAAAAGGACAACTTTTTTCAGCAAATGGTGCTGGGATAATTGGCTAGCCACAGGTAGGAGAATGAAACTGTATCCTCATCTCTCACCTTAAACAAAAATTAGCTCAAGATTGATTAAGGACTTAAATCTAAGACCTGAAACTGTAAAAATTATAGAAGATAATATCAGAAAAATCCTTCTAGACATTGGCTTAGGCAAGGATTTCATGAACAAGAACCCAAAAGCAAATGAAATAAAAACAAATATACATAGTTAGGACTTAATTAAACTAAAGAGCTTTTGCATAGCAAAAGAAACAGTCAGTAGAGTAAACAGACAACACACAGAGTGGGTCTTCATAATCTGTACATCTGAAAAAGGACTAATATCAAAAATCTACAATGAACTCAAACAAATCAGTAAGAAAAAAGCAAACAATCCCATTAAAAAGTAGGCTAAGGACATGACTGGACAATTCTGAAAAGAAGATATACAAATGGCCAACAAACATATGAAAAGTGCTCAACATCACTAATGATCAGGGAAATGCAAATCAAAACCACAATATGATACCACCTTACTCCTGGAAGAACAGCCACAATCAAAAAATCAAAAACAGTAGATGCTGGCTTGGATGCAGTGATCAGGGAACACTTCTACACTGCTGGTGGGAATGTAAACTAGTACAGCCACTATGGAAAACAGTGTGGGGATTCCTTAAAGAACTAAAAGTAGAACTACCATTTGATTCAGCAATCTCACTACTGTGTATCTATACAAAGGAAAATAAGTTATTAAAGAAATTTGCACATGCTTGTTTATAGCAGCACAATTTGCAGTTGAAAAATTGTGTAACCAACCCAAATGCCCATCAATCAATGACTGATCAATGAGTGGATAGAGAATCTGTGAGATACATACATATATATATATATATATATATATATTCAATACTGCTCAGCCATAAAAAGGAATGAATTAACGGCATTTGCAACAACCTGGATGAAATTGGAAACTATTATTCTAAGTGAAGTAACTCAGGAATGGAAAACCAAACACTGTATGTTCTCACTGATATGTGGGAGCTAAGCTCTGAGGACAAAAAGGCATAAGAATGATACAATGGACTCTGGGGACTTGAGGGGAAGGGTGGGAAGGGTGAGAAGGGGGCCAGGGATAAAATACTACAAACAGGGTGCAGTGTACACTGCTCAGGTGATGGGTGCACCAAAATCTCACAAATCACCACTAAAGAACTTACTCATGTAACCAAATACCACCTGTACCCCAATAACTGATAAGAAAAAAAATGAGGTAGGTGAATTATTTGAGCCCAAGAGTTTGAGGCTGTATTGAGCTATAATCACACCACTGCACTCCTGCCTAAATGACTGAGAGACCCTTCTCTAAAAAAAAAAAAAAAAAAAAAGAAAAGATATTATATTTTGAGACAATAGTTAGATAAATTCTAAATAAATAAATAAATAAAAATGAAAGGAATCCAGCATGCTAATGAGAGTGGTTTGGCTTAAATTGAAATATAAACATTGTTCATCATAATAACAAAGGTTGATCTTATATGTGTTCAAAAGAAAGTAGTTTTGTAAATTTGGTGGCAGAGGATGAGTGAATTGTCTTTACGGTGCTTCCATTTTCTTAGAGAAATAAAAACAAAGTCAACAGTTGAGAAAAGAAGAGTCAGTGTTATAGATTGGCAATAAGAGAATTTGTAAATTAATGTATTGCTAGAGTAGGAGGACAATTGACTAAAAGCAGTAATAGGATGCTGGTGAATGCTGAGATTTCACTTGAATCCTTCAGTCATAAATTTAAAGTAAGATCAGTAAACAAAGTTATGCACTTCTCTTCAGCTCTGTGTCGCTGCTTCAGTATAGACATAAAGATCTCAAAAAGCCAGTTTTCATCAGAGTTAGGATTTTCTAGTAAGTAGGATGAGGCAAAGAGGAAGAAAACTAGGTATGCGTAAAAGAGTCTTACTTAGAGCAATGTGTTATAATATATCTAATTTCAATTGAAAAGGAAATTAACAATACTGTATTGTGTGTATGTTTTTAAGATGGTAGATCTTATGTTAAGTGTTCTTATTGAAAAAAATAAAAATAAAAATAATTTAGGACATGAGAACTTCGACAAAGGATTGAGTGAGTTTGAAAGAAAATTGGGGAAGTCGAACAAAATTGATTAACTACAGGTACAGGATATATAAAAAATTAACTAGAGATATAGGCTATAGTTCTAAAATACAGTGTCATATATTAAGTTCATCCATTGTGCTAGTCAGTGTTCTCTAGAGAAATAGAACCTATAGCATACACACACACAAACATATAACATAGAGGTGTGTCTGAACATATATATATATGTATGTATACATAGATGTATAAAATATGTATGTATTTATTTACTTATGTCACTATATACTATATACCAGCTTGTAGATGGTAGAGAATGGGATATCTAACCTTCCACAATCACTTGAGCATATATTTATTTATTTATTATAAGGTATTTATTTTAAGGTATTTGCTTATGTAATTATGAAAGCTGAAAAGTCCCATGATGTACCTTCTGCAAGATGAAGATCCAGGAAAGCTGGAGGTGTAGTGTAAAGGGCTAATGATGTAAATTCCAGTCCAGGTCTGAAGACCTGAGAACTAAGTATGCCTAGCACAGGAAAAGATCAATGTTCCAGTTCATGTTGTCAAGCAGAGAAAGGGAGAATTCCCCCTTCCCCTATCTTTTTGCTCTATTCAGGAATTCAATGTATTGGATGGTGTCTACCCACATAAGTGAGTACGATGTACTGTACTCAGTCTAATTCAAATACTACCTCCTCTGGAAACACCCTCACAGACACACCCAGAAATAACATTTAACTAAATGTCTGTGCATCTTGTGAGCCCATCAGTTTGACACATAAAATTAACTATTACAATCATCAACCAATAAATAATTCTTGAGTATGTAACAGGTGTCAAACACTATATCATATTTGGAAATACAGTTTTGAACAAGCAGAAGGGTAAGTGTCCTGGCCTAATGAAGGTTATATATTATTTGGCTAGAAAATACAATAAACATGACAAATAATAATTATCTTTTGCTATGTTAAAAATAAAAAGACCATTTATGTCTTAAAACAAACAAGAAGCCAGAATATATTTTTCTCTTTTAGGTATCTGTGGAATGTCTAGGCTCTGAAGAGCAGTTCTTACTTGGAATTTCTCTCACTGCTGCATTTTGTTGTTTGCTGAGTCTGAAGTAGACATTTGAAAGCTTAATTAGGCTGGATATCCAAGAGAGTTCATTTATGTGTGTATTAGTCCATTCTTGCATTGCTATAAAGAAATGCCTGAGACTGGGTAATTTATAAAGAAAGGAGGATTAATTGGCTCACAATTCTGCAGGCTGTATAGGAAACATAATGCTGGCATCTGCTTGATTTCCGGGAAGGCCTCAGGAAATTTTCAATTGTGGCAGAAGGGATAGGGGAAGCAGGAATGTCTTACATGGTGGGAGCAGGAGAAAGAGAGAGAGGAGAGAAGTGCTACACACTTAAAAACAACCAGGTATCATGATAACTCACTCACTATCATGAGTATAGCACTGAGGGTATGTCACTAAACCATTCTTGAGAACTCGGCCCCCATGATTCAATCACCTCCCACCAGGCCCCACCTCCAACACTGAGGACTACAATTCAACATAAAATTTGGGTGGAGTCACAGATTCAAAACCTATCAGTGTCTGGCAGTAAATGTTGGATGTCATTTGAGAGCTCAGCTGAACCTTGGATTGGTGCAAATATTAAAAGCAATGGCAAGAACGACAGTTACTTTTGCACTAACCTAATATATTTAACCATTCCATGTGACTTGAGCATCACATAGCATGGTGCTTGCATTTTAAAAGGGAGAGTTCCAAGAACAAGAATTCTAAGAGAATTGTGTGGAGGCTACAAGACATCTTATGACATAGTCATAGAATTCTCAGAATATGGCTTCTCCTGCATTCTATAGTTCAAGCAGTCACTTGAATGCCAGTTTAGATTCAAGAGGAGAACAATTAGACTCCACCAATGTCAGACTGCTAAAATGTAAAAGTGAGATTGTGCCATCTTTGGAAAATACGATTGGTCACAGATTGTATATTAGAAGTTGATAAGCATAAATGGGTGGTGGGAGGATAAATTAGGAATGATGAAAAGAAAGAATCTCAGGAGATGTAATTTTAAATAGGGAGGTCAGGGTAGAGCTCATTGAAAATGCAAAATATTAGTGACAATCTTGTAGTAAAGTACTGCTCAGCACATAATTTGCATGTCCTTCAACATTGCCTCAACACCTTGCCACAAAATAAATTGAAGTCACATTTTCACTTTCAATCTTTGGCAGCTGTATATAGATATTAGTTCATCACTAAAACACCACACATTAGTATCTTGAAATCAATGTGGCTATAGTGAAGTAAGTGAAAAGAGTAAAATAACACAATGATGTCAGAGTCGTAACTGATGTTCTATTCAGTTAGAGTCCTTTAGGCATTACATGACTTTAGCTTTTTTTTTCTTTGAGTTAACTGTGTTTTGAACACAACCGACATCATATTCTAACTTGCCTTATGTTTAAATTGGAATATAGCTGCTCTTGACAATGATCAATGATCAAAAGTGGACAGGATATAACTAGGAAAACCAGTTAAGAAGCGATTGGAATAAAACAGTAGATAAGAGTGGCATGTACGAAGGTGCTATAAAGAGAAGCGATGAGAGGTAGTAATATTATGAACGTATTTTGACAGAATGGCCATCAGGATTTTCTAGGGCAGCATAATTATTCTGCGAGTAGGTAAAGGAGTTTTGATTGAGATGAAGAGGTCATAGAAGTGAGAAGCACTGAAAGACACAGAGTAAGTAGATATAAATCTCTAGAGATAGAGGTGATACCTAAATCTGTCTGCTTAGTATCATTTTTAACTTTATATTAATGGTGATACAATATTATATATGTGATACTATGTCTAATTTTACCAAAATTTCTTATCTAACTAAAAATATTGTGGAATTGGCTGTTTTTCAAAAGTGATGAAAATCTCTGCATTAGTTTCTCACATTTTCCTACAATTTCACACTATATAACCTCTTCGAGGATATGATTACATTGAAAGTGCAGTCCCATAGGAAATGAGTTTTAAGTTCTGATTAACTTTCCCGACAGATTTTTTTTGATGCAATTAACAATGACTTCACTAACCCACTCCTTCTTTATTACACATAAGTTCAATTATTTTAAAAACTCAGAGGAATCAAAACATACATACTACTTAATTGCCAGTAAATTTGGCCAACAATTAGAATGAAATGTAAGGTGCTTAACATGTCAGCTGTGTATACACTCTGAAAACACTAATATATTCCTAAAGAAAAATTAAAAAGTTGGAAGAGGCATTCATAAAAGAGAAGCATTTCCAGGTGGCTGTAGATTTGTTTGGTTAGGTGGCTTGTAGTTATATAGCTGTTTGTTTAACAGTTCATTATCACCGTCAAGAGGAGTCAGAGGATGCAATGTAAGAAATGTAGTTAGAGAAGATAATATGACAAATTTCTTTTCTGTTCCATCCACTATTTATGCCATAATAAACTATAAATATGCTGGGTTTTGGTGCATTTGATTACCATTATACTTCATTATCTTCATTTACCTTTAAATGGACATTTAATTCATTTCTACGTTGAGATATTATAATCAACATATTAATACATAAGTATATTTTTATGGATATAGACTATGATTTCTATGAAATGCTGGCTGAACCAAGTTGTATGTCACTGTAGATTTTGGATACTGAGCAATTTTCCTCCAAAAAAAATAAAGTAACTATCAATAGCAGTTTTTCTAGCAATGTAGGAAAATTAACCTCTTTTTATAGCACAGCCAACTTAAATATTGCAACTTTTCAGATTTCTATCTTATTTTAAATTATGTTTATTTTTAAATTTTAACCTAGTTGGCTTGAGAATTTATTCACAAATATATTGATTATTTGAAACTTTGATTGAAGGTTTTAACTTTTTAACCATTTTTATTTAGATTTATTTTCAATTACATTTTAATAGCTATTGATATTAATATATGTACTAGAATATTTGAGGATGAATTTTATCTTAAAAAAAGGAAGAAGGCCAGTGTGACAGGAACAAATAGAGAGAGAGAGAGAGAGAGAGAGAGAGAGAGAGACATTAAGCTGAAAGACAGAGGTCATTTAAAGTGGTGCCCTTATTTGCCACAAGATAAAAGTGAGGCTATTGAAAGAAATTAAGCATAGAAGAAAAATAATCAGATTTGCATTTTGCAAAGATTTTTCTGGGTTACTCTCTAAATAATAGATTAGAGGAGTTGGTCTTGTGTATGCACAGTTAATCATCTATTGCAGTAGTCTGGGAGATAGAAGTTGGTAGCTTAAACTAGCTTATGGAGGTGGTAATAAAGATAATTAAATGGATTTTAGGGATGCTTACAAAGCAGATTACCATGTTATGCTGTTCTATTGTAAAATAAATGTGAGAAGTAGAGGTGTTTCTCCATTTTTAACTTGTGGACCTGGATGCATGATAGTGACTTTTCAAATGTAGTAACTCAGAAAAAACTAGTGTGACCGTAACTGAGACTTGGAAAAAGATAAATGTTATTAAATTTTAAAAATTTATTAAAAATTTCCTCTTATTCACCCTTTAAATTTATGTCCTATGTGTTATTTCAGGTGGGGTCACTCTCTCAGTTTTTTTTTAAGGGTTAGTACTTCATCGTAATCCTCAGGGGATACTTTCCAATACCCCCAATGGATGCCGGAAACCACAGATAGCAGCAAACCCTATGTATGCTATGTGTTTTCCTATACAAACATATCTATGATAAAGTTTAACTTATAATTAGGTGCAGTAAGAAATTAAAAACAATAATATTAAATAATAAAATAAAATTATAAAAATATACTGTAACAAAAGTTATGTGAATGTAGTCTCTTTCTCTCTGCTCTCAAAATATCTTATTGTACTGTACTGCAATTAACTGAAATCATGGGAAGCCAAATTGCAGATTAGGGGGTAATTCTGTAGTCTTTGCATTTAAATTTTATAAATTTTCTTTATTAATGTTATCTGCCATTTTACTTAGGTTTATGATTTTGTAACTGGCTATATTCATCATTACATAATGCAAGGATTCTAATTTTGAAGTGACAAAGTTTCATCTTATCCAAATATACTCCCATTTTGAATTAGGTTAATAAATGTGGAAATTCAGAGTTTCTTCTAACTAATACTTAATCTTATTCCTTCTTAGTACCCACCTTCTTTTGAAAATGTTTCTTATAGAGAATCAGTTAGTGTCCTGGGAAATTGCTATTGATTAATAATTTGTGCTGTTAGGTGGCAAACAAAGCGATGGACCTGACAGCCAAAAATATACAGTCATTATACCTGAGAGAAAGGGAAGTTCTCTCCATAGTAACAAAACTCTGGAAGTCTTTGCTTCCAAGCTTTCACAAAACATAGATCTTTGAATACAGCTGTAAAACAAATGGTTTACATATACAAACTGCCTCAATTTTAGGTACCTTAAAATAAAAACTTATACTACTTAGACTAAACTTTGTGCTACTCTGTTCAGATTTATCTTTGATTTCTCTGTAACAAAAATCTTTATGTAGCAATTGACCCCAGTTGGCTAATGCCACCACATAATTCCATATTATTTAAAACGCCATTGGGCTATCTGGGCCGAAAGTATAAAATTGTGTGTTTGACAAGTATTAGGATTATAATATAAAAATTTATTGATCAATAACTTGCTTTTGGGCTAGGCTATTTTATATTAGTATGCTTATGTCTATCTTCAAGGCAGTCTATGATAACATCTACAATCAATTTTGGCTCAATTTTATATCATTATTGATTTTTTTCTGGGGAAAAAATACTTAGATAATTTAGTGCAGGAAGAAGGAAAAAGAAAAGGAAAAGAAGAAAAACTTGAACAGGATTTGAGTTTATACATTTTAACTACTGAAGTGTAATTTTGGACTCTTCTGCTCTCAAATCTGTTTATTTCATGTTTTACAATAATCCTGAAAGATAAAGAATCTTACACATTATCCTCCAGAAATATGAAGCACAACTAAAATTCTAAAATTTTGTCAACCAAAATTAGCTACAGCTGATTTTTTAGCATCTATATTGAGATTGTATTGACATACAAAAATCTGTAAAGACTTATTGTATACCGTTTGATGTGTTTGGAGATATGTCTACACCCATGAAATCATCATCATAAGCAATGCCAGAAATTTATCCATCACCTCAAAAGTTTCCTTCTGCCCGCTTTGGTTTTATGTTCTTGTTTTGTTTCTTTCTTTTATGTAAGATCTCTTAACATAAGATCTATGCTCTTAGCAAATTTTTGTTTATACAATGCAATATTTTTGGTCGTAGGCCCTATGTTGTACAGTAGCTTTCCAGAACTTATTTATCTTGCATGCCTGAATGTTTACACCCTTTTACCAACACCTCCTCATTACATCCTCCTCCCAGGACCTGGCAACAAAGTTCTACTTTCTGTTTTATGAGTTTGACTGTTTTAAATTCCACACAATATTTGTCTTTCTGTGTCTAACTTATTCCATTTAGCAAAATATTCTCCAAGCCCATTCATATTGTTACAAACGTCAGGATTTTCTTCTTTTTAAATACTGAATAATACACTATTGTGTATGTATACCACATTTCCTTTAACTATTCCTTTGTGATGGGCATTTAGGTTGTTTCCATATCTTGGCTATTGTGAATAATTACATCTAATGTTTAGGTGAATATTTTCTATAGTCAATCAAATGAGCATATTTTACTTGCACTAAATATTGTAATCAATGTTGTATAACTTGTATTTTAAATCTTCATATTTATATTTTCATATAAATAATTTCCTCAATTCATTAACAGTATTGACAGTATGGTCATTTCATATAAATAAATGGGCTTAAGACTACTTTGGTTTCTGAAATCCTGTATTAGTTAACATACTGTAATTATAAACTGTTAATATGGTCAGTAGGCACTGCCATATTTGGATACATATATAGCCTCAAATAATTAGACATTAATTAGCAAAATTCTAAACAGAATTTTTAAAATAAATTTCTGAAACATAAATAAGTTATGTTCATTAATCTGTGTTCCTGAGAATTAAAATAAAATATAAGTAGTATAAGATTATTTATTAAAATTTTATCTTCTTTCTCTAACAGTCTCTTTCTCTCTCTTTCACTGTCAGCTAAAAACTAATGTTTCGAAACAGTTGCAAATTTGTTTCTAATTGCTCAAGACAGGCCTAGATTCATTATACTTTGGGACTCAATTGTGCAGGCAAATGGACATTATCTGTTTCATAAAACTTCCCTTTCAATGAATTATGAGTTATGTGTACAGTTTACTCGATAAAGATTTTAGCAAGAAGTAAGTGTGTTACTAGATGATATGCTGTTTAGTCAGTAAAGGAAAGAAAAATAACTTTCCGATTTGAATAGTACGTGCCTTGTTGTTCATATGAGATTATTACACCTACTTTTCAGTATGATTTCAGGGTATATTTTATTCCAAGATACTGTATTTTATTCAATCAGTTTTATTACTGAGAAAATAATGAAAAATCTAAGTAAACTATAAGCTGGAGAATGTTGTATCATTTTCCACTAGAGAGAACAAAAGTCCCCATTCATATGTACTTTGCATTCATAAAAAAGATAAAATAAGAAAACATGGATTTTTATCGTCTTTAGGATTTTTATTATTTTTATACCTATGGTTTGTAAAATTCTGTTTTAAATTTCACAGTAACTAAAAATGAAAACAAACATCAGGAAATGAAGTGTTCAAATAAAAATTATGCTTTAATCTCACCATTAGTGAAAATATGATTTAATCATACATTTGACATGAATGATTCTATTTGGTTAAAACCAAACTTCTGAATAAAACACGATCCATATCTTATGTGTCCTGTCCACACGAGGTTTATATTTATTGCCATTGTTAATATTTATAAGTTAAGGTCAATTAATTGTTACTGATCTTAATTTTATTTTAATAGTCTTTTTAAAAATATTTTGAAAATATATACACTTTCCTGTCTTTCCTAAGACAATTATACTTTTGGTTATCTGTTGTTTTTAATAAGTAAACATTAAGTTTGTGGAATATTGATTCTAAAATTTTTATCAGTTCCAGACTCAAAATCTAAATAGTAAATATACTTTTGTTGAGAATGTGCAGCCATGGATGGGTTTTGACTGCATTAGCTTACAAGTTCAATCTTCAGCTCTGATAAAGGCATGATGTCAACATCCAAATTACCTTGACCTTCTAGCTGCTAGGATACTACTAGTTCCACTTTCCTGCAAGCAATCACATTAAAAAAGCTAACTGGCTCATGTTAGTGTCCCTAACAATTAAGTTAGATTGCCACATGAAATTTTAATTGATTCAGATGTGGCACCTAATCAAGAAACTAATGAAAATGCTAAGATGCCCTGTGTCAGCAGCTTTTGTTGTTAGGTTTGCTAAAATACTCTGTTCTTCAGTTAAATACATTATAATAATAATGTCAGTACAACAAAGGCATGTGGAAATACCTATTGAAGACAGTATATACAGTACTTCCACAGTAATATATAAATCCAGTTTGAGTTTATAATGTAACTGTCTATAAAATATACCCTGAAATCCTTTCAAAGTTTAAAGTAAGTTAAAACAAAAGCCTTTGTGCCATTGTTGAAACATACTTCAAAATGGAATTTTAAACTCTTGACAAGGTCATTCAATTAAAGGAAACCAAATGCATTTTGCACAACCAGTAAATACACAGTAATAATAAATATTTAGATACTAATTTTTGGAATTAACATATATAAGTAGGTATTTCTATTTTTAAAATACGTATACAAATAAGAGCTTCTTAAATTATTTTTTTTAATGTTTTGGGAATTCACTCTATCGAATGTTTTGGGAATTCACTCAGCCTAGAAATACTATGAAATTTAACAGTACTAAGCACTAAATGTAGAACATTAAATATATCATGCCTTACTAATAAGGCCCCTAGTGATGCTGAACTGTGTCTATGACACTAAAGTTGAGTTTACTGTATTCTATCATTACCGAAGATGTTTAAATGATCCCTTGGATATAAAGTGTAACATTTCGAGGGGAGAGAAAATAAATCCTAACAAATACATTATGCCAGTTTGAATGGGATGACATTGTCAAAAAGCAGAGGGTTTTATTCATTTGCTTGTTTTACTGAGATAACCATGTGTGTTAGTATGGCATTACAAAATACCAGAAAATAATTTAACAACATAAATTGAAATATGATTAAGAATAGCCATAGAAGGACCCAATGAGAACTGGCCAAATGCTGCTCATTTTTGAAATGTATTTTTTGTTAGCAAACAGTCAAAGATAAATTGCCTACCTTCATTTGTAGTAATTATTAAGAATATAGTGAATTGGAATATCAAGACAACATCCTCTAGAGATAAAAAATTTAATGAAGAAAGTGCTCATTAGAATAAGTTGCTAATATGCTCAATGTATTAATAAAAGGTGAAAAATACACAAAATTACATTGGATTTCTCAAATATCTAAGACATATACCTCTAGTCTATTTACAATCAAAAAAGTAAAACATTTACACTACAAAATGAAGTGTAATAAAAAACCTACGTGTAGTTAGGCTTTGAATTCTGAAATCAACATTAAGAAAAATACATTTTTCACTGTTGAAAAAAAACTTTCTACCTTTTATCTAATATGTTGCAATTAAGTAATACTAGCAATAATACTTGTTTAAAAACAGATGTCAGAATAGGAACACAAAACCTAGAAGAGACTTATGTCTTCTTCTAAAAGTTATCCACCTTTCTGGGCTTGAGTAATTAAATAAGTTTAACTTTTAGATGGTAAGTAGTTATAGAAATCATATGTGGTAAATGGAATAATGGTTTCCCAAATATATCCATGTCCTAATCCCTGGAGCCTGTGAGTGTATTACCTCATATGTTAAAAATAACTGGTTGAAGTATAGGCTGAATTATATTAGGCAGAATTATATTCCTCCTAAATTTATATGTTGCCTCCCTACACCCAGTACTTCAGAATGTGATTGTATTTAGAAATTGGGCCTTTAGAGATGTTATTAAGTTAGAATGTGGCTGTCAGAATTGGGCCGAATCCAATCTGTTTTCCTTATAAAAAGAGGAAATTTGACAGGCGAGGGGACAGCAGAGATGCATGCATGTAGGAATGACCATGCGAGGCTGGAAAAAGAAGATGCCACCTGCAAGCCAAGAAGAGAGGCCTCAGGAAAATTCAAATTTGCCAACACCTTGCTCTTTGTCTTTTTGCATCCAGAACTGTAAGAAAATAAATTTTTGTTGTTTAAGCCACGTATTCTGTGGTAGTTTGTTATGGCAGCCCTAGCAAACTGATATGGGAACTTTGTAGTTAGATTAAATTAAAGATGCTGATACAGGAAGATTATGCTGGACTGTCTGAGTGGGCCTAATGGAATCATGGGAGTTCTTTTAAGAGGAAAGGAGGAGATTCAGGGAGGAGGGTGAGAATCAGAAAGATAAAGGAAACAGAGATTTGATGCACAAAGTAATGCATTTAAAATGCAGGAAAGGCCCATGGGCAATGGGATGCAGGTGTTCTGTAAAAGCCGAAAATATCCATGATGGATTCGCCCATAATATCTCTAGGAGGAACACAACTCTCTTGACGCCTTGATTTTAACCTGTAATTTATACTTCATACTTTTGACCTTCAGAACTGTAAGATGATACATTTGTGTTGTTTTAAGCCACAAATTTTGTGGTAATTTGTTACAGTAGCAATAGGAAGCTAATACACCATAGTAAGTTAGTCTCCAAAATTCAGGAGAAAAATATTTCAACAAAATACTAATGAAAATAATTACTTTTAGATTAGAGAATAAATTTATTTAATTGAACTAATACAAATTCAGGCACTATTTATAGTGTTCTATATTTTTTCATAAGGAGCGCATCAGATAGTATACTGTACTCAGTATTCATGAGCAGTTACATCACATTATTCATGAGTTTACGGAGCTTACTAGACATTACCTGAATGTAGTACCAATAAATTTTGTCAGCATTTTAACATTTTTATAACATCATGTTGAAATCAAGAGAGATATAAAAAAGTTCCAAAAAAGGTCATGGTAATCATTTCTAGAAAAAAGACAGTAAGAATTTGTAACTCATATATTGTACATCTTGCTTTTAAAAATTTTCCAGCTTAGAAAGAATATTGAATATTGAGGAAATTTGAGCCATCTTACAAGTTTTTTTTCTGACGCTTGAAAAGAATATTTAATTAATTTCCTAGATCCTGTGTCTGGTATGTAGTAGGCTTTCAAATAATAAGTAGTTTAGCTGACTAACATTTTTGATGGTAATATTAAAATTGAATATAATCTAATTTAACTTACTGAAATTCAATATTTACTAAGAAATGTCATCATAGTATTAGGTATATTTGCTGGGAAGAAAATAAAATAAAAAGTCCCTGCATATGCTATGTTCCTTGATCATTAAGTATTTCATTTTAAAATAATAAACATTGTTAAGTTACAATTCAATTCAATAGGTGTCTAGTGAGTATTTGCCACAGTCCAGGGCCTGGGTAAATAGTGGGAGGCAGCAATAATCAAAACAATCAATAGGTTAACAGAAGTAGAGATAAACAATGAAAATACCAGTTACAAAAATACAGTCACAATATTATTTTTATGGTATATATACGTTCAAGCAGAGAAAGGAGACACCTTCCATTGTAGGCTCAAGAAAGACAATACAATTTTATTAAAAGAACATCTAATTTGTGCTGTGTCTTAATGGCTGAATAGAATAGAAAAGAGAAACAGAGAGCTTCCCATGATCAATACTAGAAAATATGAGAATCTGACTAAAGATATTTTAGTATTAGTGCACTGTTTATAAAGATAGAAATATATGCTGGGAAAATTAATGTAAAGCTGCAAAGAAAATATTTTGTAATTAGAATTTTATTCTGAATGAAACATAGGTAACGTACAATTTATGGTAAAAAAAGAGGTCTCAAAAATGTCTAAGGCAAAGTTTATACCCTCCTTATATAGCTCTCTTTGGACTGTGAGCCCATGCTACAGTTGTCTTTGTCTGTTGGGATTCAGTTATCATGTTTTCAATTTTCTTACTTAACTAAGAATTATTTTATGGATTATTGCATGATCTATCTTGGTGAATATACCATGTATGTTTGAAAATAGTGCATTTTGTGCAGTGTGTGTAGTATTCTATAAATACAAATTAGATTTAGAAGATGAATAATTCTCAGATATACAGTTTTGTTAAATTTGTAAACAATGTTCTCTCAATTGCTGAATGATGAGTACTAATATTGATAATAATACAGATTTGTGTGATAATCTAAGTCATATTCATTTCATGAGGCTAATATAACCATGACACTAAGTACTAACAAATATGTAATAAAACAGAAATTAGGGGCCAAAAATTATTTTTCAGAAGTCCAAATGACAAAATAATTCTAATAAGATGTTAGAATAGGTAGATAACATGTGGCTTAAGCAAAAACTAAAAAGATTGAAATTAACTACTCTTAGAGCATATATATACTTGGTCAATTATACTTCCTCTTTGCAAGTATCTAAGTCTTGTTCTTATTAATTGTTTGAAGATTCTAAGCTATAATTTGTATAAAAGTACCTTGTCATATGTATTGTGAGTATATCTTTTTAATTTTGAATTGTATTTTTACTGTTTTAATGCTTTCGTTTGATAAACAATCAATTGTTGCACAGCTTATGCTTCTCATTTTCACCTGTTTTGTTTACAGAATCTTTGCCTAATCCAGTGTTAGTAATATGTTCTCCTGTGTTATTCTTCAAAGCTTTATTGTTTTATTATTAATGTTCAACTATGAAATTCGATGGGAATTTATTTTTGCACAGGTGAAAAATCTGCAAGATTGTACCGTGAGGAATTACTAAAAATTAAGTGCTTTGGGTCTATTTAAACAATTTCATTTATTTACTTTTCTTTGTACAATTTTTTAAAGTTTTGGTATAAAAACTTGGTGTCATTAAAGTAGTTAGAACATGACACATTTTACTCTGTAGGAGATAGACCTAACATAAATGACGAATTAATGGGTGCAGCACACCAACGTGGCACATGTATACATATGTAACAAACCTGCATGTTGTGCACATGTACCCTAGAACTTAAAGTATAATAATAATAAGAAAAAGTTGACAAAATAAATAAATAAATGAATAAAATAAAATAAAAAGGCACATGATATGTATTCCCCGAAAGTTGCAAGATGTTCTCGTGAGCCTCTTTACAACTGGCAAATTTGGAGATTTGTGGTAATTTTTCAGTGGTTCAAAGATGATTTAACTTATGATAAGATTTCTTCTATGATATGAAATATATATGATGGGAATTAAACAATATGTTGCTGTAACTTCTTCATTCTTAAAAGTATTTTTAAATCCTGACATATAGGGTTATTACATTTCACGCTCAGAAGTACTCTATCGTTCCACTTCCAGCAAGTCTATTCTTAAAGGTGTATCCCTGAAATTCCCTCATATTTATTTACAAGAAAACATACATGATAATTTTCATAAATTTATTTATAACATTAAAAACCTGGGAATAATTAAAGAGAATAAAATGATAAAATTTGATATGTCCACACAAGGTGAAACAATTTAATCTATCCAAATCTTAACTAAATTATATTTAGTTAAAAAAAGTATTAATGTATTTTTGGTGAATATGGGTAAGCCATAGAAAAGGAACACAGAATTTAGGGGAGGGCTTCCCTGAGGAATAGGATGAAGCAATACTCAGGAAGTTCACAGAGTGGAGTTGGGAATATTATCTCATGTTGGTCATTAGATTCATCTGTGTTCTTTTTTTATTTTGCTTGCCTGGCATGTCATAAATATTTGTTGGATATATCAAATATAATACAGAGCCTACAGTTTTAAAATAACAATTCTAAGATTGTAGGTAGTGTAATTTATCTATTTTCCAATTAATAGATATTCAGATTGTTTTTATTGCTTTGCACCAAGGTGATTCTGAGCAATAATTTGATACTTTTAAAGCCTTGTGTATATAAATCTTTGTGCCCATATATTCACAATTAGAGCAAAAAATGTTAATTTGAATTTTTGCTTAAAAACATTAAAATGCCTTACTAAGTGACATTGCATATTTTTTAGTATTATCAGCATTGTATGAAAGTGACCATTTATGTGTATGTGCTCTAACAGTAGTTAATTTCAGTCTGTTTAATTTTTGCTAAAGCCACATGTTATCTACTTATTTTAACATCTTATTAGAATTATTTTGTTATTTGGACTTCTGAAAAATAATTTTTGGCCCCTAATTTCTGTTTTTATTACGTATTTGTTAGTACTTAGTGTCATGGTTATATTAGCCTCATGAAATGAATATGTAATAATTTTGCAGATTTTCTATACTCAGAAACTTTTTAAAAAACACATTTACCTGTTTATTATATATGTATATATGCATATATTAAAATGTGTGGAAAACTATTTAATATAATTTACTCTTTTTCTTTTTAGAAACACCAATTCTACATTTATGGAATTGTCTATGGTTCATATCTAATATTTTCTTCAGGACTGTTTTTTACTAGATTCTACTTTTGTCTGTTCTGTGGATATATTTCCCATAATTGGAGTTTGTTAATTTATCTGCTCATTTATTTATGTATTTTAGAGCTCTACCAGTTTACTTTTCGGATGTTGTGTCTTCTTGAAATCTACTCTTCTTTTCTAGGATCTGTGTTTCCATTTATGGAGAAGTATTTGTGAAACGTTATTTCTACACCTCTTAGCTTTAATTTTATTACCATTTAAAAGAAAGGAAATAATTCAGAAGCTCAGAATTCAGAAGGTTTTATGAAAAAGTATTCTAAGTTATTGAAAATAATTGGAGAAAACACAATAATAGTTTTCTTTTTTTTGGTCTTAAAATATTTTGTGCTTACCATGGCTGACTTTGATCAGCAGCTGCAGGTGATGGCTGTGATTATTCTGAACTTCCTCTTACATCTCCAAGGACTTTTTAAAGTTTAAAGTATGAATTATAGAATTTAAATATATAATATCTAAGTAGTTTAATTTTAATCTTAGCCTGTTACATTCATATTTTAGTGTGGTAATGTGGAAATAGTACTACAGGGATAGTACTACAGTATTCCACTTCCTGTGGCCCTTTCAGTTCCTTCTAAAACATATCATTTTATATAGAATTAAATAATTTATTGAGACTTTTAGAAATGTTCATTTACATTTCAAGACATTGTCAGTCTTTTATAAGTCACTGTTGTTCATTCTCCCTGATTTAAAAACAAATAATAGATATTCTTCATTATTGTCACCATTTTTTGTGGTGATTTTAACCTTTCATGGATCGTATCATTATTTCATCTCCTTCACACTACTTTTGTTGTTTTCTGTATGTTATAGAATCAAGAAGCGTAAAACATGCCCTTATTCTGCAATCTTTAACTGCGGTTGTTAGCCCATAGATTTTGAACTTCATCTCTATTGTTGTTATTATCCTGACAGTCTTTTGAGCGTCATAACCTCATGAGTTATACTTTTCTATTCTGTTTAGCATTCTCAAAATGTCAGTTTTCCCCCAATTTTATTACCAATATGTACGTATGCTTGTACTGTAACCACAAAACAAGTTCTTGTGATTCCAGTTTTCACAATTCAAATTTTACTCTTAGTTCAATACAACTTCCTTGATAATTATATGTAAGCAAAATCGAGTCTCTACTAGTAAGAAGAAAGGTCTTTTTAAACAATTTAGTTTCTTTTTACAGATTCAGGGTGTATACACGAAGGTTTGTTACATGAATATGTTGCATAATGGTGACGTCTGAGCTTTTAGTATATCCATTATCCAAATAGTTAACATCATACTCAATAGATAATTTTTCAGTCCTCACCCCCATCAAAACTTCCCCCTTTTTGGAGTCCCCAGTAACTCAGAAACAAAAAAATCAAAAACTACATGCTCTCACTTATAAGTGGTAGCTAAACAATGGGTACACATGGACATACAGAGGAGGAAGGTCATAAATGGATTTTTGATAACCTAGAGAGAATGTCTACAATGCCTGTATAAGAAATATATATACAACAAGTATGCCCACTGTCATCACTGTTATTCAAGATAATGCTGGAATCCCTAGCTAGAGCAATCATACAAGAGAAAGAAATACAGGCATCCAAATTGCAAAGGAAGCAGTCAAATTATCCTTGTTTGCAGATGATTGGATCTTATATTTGAAAAAAAACTAAAGAGTCCATCAGAAAAAGAAAAAAAATTAGAACTGATAAATTTAGTAAAGTTGCAGAATACATAATCAACATTTCAGTGGCCTATAAGGTTTCCACTGGAAAGTCTGCTGCCAGACATATTGGAACTCCATAGTAAGTTATTTGTTCCTTTTCTCTTGCTGCATTTACGATCCTTTCTTTATCCTTGACCTTTTGGAATTTGATTATTAAATGCCTTGAGGTACTCTTTCTTAGGTTACATGCGCTTGGTGTTCCATAAGATTCTTGTGCTTGGATATTGATATCTTTCTCTAGGTTTGGAAAGTACTCTGTTATTGAATAAACTTCCTACCACTATCTCTCTTTCTACCTCCTTTTTAAGGCCAATTACTCTTACATTTGTCCTTTTGAGGATATTTTCTAGATCCTGTAGGCATGCTTCATTTTTTTTATTATTTTTTCTTTTATCTCCTATGATTGCATATTTTCAAATAGCCTGTCTTCCAGCTCACTAAATCAATACTGCTACTAAAACACTCTGATCACCTCAGTATGTCAATTGCATTTTTCAGCTCCAGAGTTTCTGTTTGATTCTTTTTAATTATTTCAATCTCTTTGTTAAATTTATCTGAAAGAATTCTGAATTTCTTCCTTATGCTATCTTGAATTTCTTTGTGTTTCGCAAAAAAAATTTTGAGTTCTCTGTCTTAAGGGTAAAATATCTCTGTTTCTGTAGGATCGGTCCCTGACACCTTTTTTATTTCCTTTGGGTGAGGTCAGGTTTTCCCAGATGGTATTGAAGTTTGTAGATGTTCATCTGTGTCCAGGCATTGAAGAGTTATGTCTTTATTGCAGTCATTGTAGTCTGGGCTTATTTTTACGCGTTTTTCATAGGAAGGCTTTCCATGTTTTTAAAAGGACTTGGGCATTGTGATCTGAGCCATATCTGCTTAGGGGGCACCTCAAGACCAATAATGTCATGTTCTTGTAGTCTTGTAGAGGTACCACCTTGGTGGTCATGGATAAGGTCCAGAAGAACCTCAGGATCACAAGACAGAGACTCTTGTTCTCTTCCCTTACTTTTTCCCAAACAAATTGACTCTCTCTCTCTCTCTCTCTCTCTCTCTCTCTCTCTCTCTCTCTGTCTCCTTTGTTCTGAGTAGACTGAAGCTAGGGGTGGGGTGACACAAGAACACCTGTGGCCACCACCACTGGGACTGTACTGGCTAAGACCTGAAGCCAGTGCAGCACTGGATCTTGCCAAAAGCCCACTGTAACTACTAACTGGCTACCATCTATGTTTGCTCAACGTCCTAGGGCTGTACAATCAGAACGTGGAGAAGCCACATAGACTTGTATTTTTGTCTTCCCAAAGTACTCTGCATTGCCCTAGGCCCAGGTGAATCCAGTGATGCCATCCAGGAGCCAAGGACTAGAGCCAAAAACCTTAAAAATTACTTGGTATCCTATTGTGCTGCTGCTGAGCTGGCACTCACACTACAAGATGCAGTTATTGCCACTCTTCTCTCTCCTTTCCACAGGCAGAGGAGGCTCACCGCATGTCTACCACCGCACAGGCCCATGGAAAGTATTGACGGGCTTTCGTCAGTGTTCACTTAAGCCCCAAGAGCTCTTCAGTTAGCTTGTGGTAATGTTGCCAGGCCTGAGATTCAGTGTTCAGGGAAGCATGCTCCCTTCTGGCCCACATCTAGGTCTGTAAATGTTATCCAATTGCCGAGGCCTGGAGCTAGTTCCTAAGGTACAAGTTTTTTTGCTGAGCTAGTTCCTAAGGTACAAGAAAAAGACTGCTTTACTTTTCCTTTTGCTTTTCTCAAGCAGATAGAGTCTCTCACCACAGCCACCACAGCTTTGTATGTGCTGTGTCCCACCTGAAGCTAGCAGGTTTCAGAGTTTCACCCAAGGCCCATGACCTAGTACCTGGTTATCTCTGCTGGTTATTCAGGGCCCAAGGACTCTTTAGTAAGCAGGTGATGGGCCCTGCCAGGAATGGGTTCTTCCCTTCTAGGTAACAGGCTCACTTCTGGCCCAGGGTGTGTACAGAAATGTTGTCTGTGAGCTAGGGCCTGGAATGGGGGCCTCATGACTTTGCTTGGTATCCTATTCTATTATGGCTTAGCTGGTATCCAAGATGCAAGAAAAAAGTCATCTTTGCTCTTCCCTGTCCTCTCCTCAAGCAGAAGGAAGGGGTCTCTTTTGGAACTGTGAGCTGTACAGGTTGGGGTTGGGAAAAATGTGGCACTAACACTCCCTTAGCCGCTGTTGCTGGTATCTCAGCATGTTGTCTGCCCCCTACCACAGTCCATTGGCTCTAAACCCAGCTCAGCACTATGACTTACCTAGGAGTTGCAGTCCTTGTGGCCTAGACTGTCTTTCAAGTTTGCACAGGGACTCATGTGGTGAGGCTTGCTGGAACTCAAGTTCCAACAACTAAGGTGGACAACTCCCCTCTGTGTGGCTAGGGCTGTTTTAAATGCTCCTTCTGTGGGTGGGCATCAGCTAAATATAGCCTGGTTTTGCTATAACAAGGCGGCACTGAATTTACTGCAAAGTCTCACCATCACTGTATTCTGCCTCCTGAAGCATACAGACTCTCTTTCCACGCGGCCACTGCCAGGGGATGAGGAAGAGATGGTGTCAACAATTCAAGACTGTCTCTCTTGCTCTCTTCAGTGTATCTTTCAGTAACATGAAGTTATAATCAGGTACTGTGAGTGACTACTCACCTAATTTTTGGTACTTATGAAGTTTCCTTTTTTTGTGTAGATAGATGTCAAGTTTGGTCTTCCTGCAGGGAGGACAATTGATAGAGCCTCTTAATTCTGCCATCTTGCTCCAGCCCACCTAAATTTGAAAATTCAGATTTGTGTGTTAAATTGAGATTTTTTATAGCATTTAAAGCTAAAAATTTTGCTCCAAACACAGCTTATTTATATAGCATAAATTTGGCTGTGGTGTGTTCTCATTTGTCTTGTAATTTCTTTAACAAAAGGGTTATTTAGAACTGTGTTATTTTCCAAATATTTTCAGAGATCCCAAATTTCTTTCTATCAGTTTCCAATTTTATTTCATTGTAATCAGAGAAAATACTTTGAATATCTCAATTCTTTTAAGTTGATTCAGACTTTTCAACTTATTGGTCTCTGAACCTAAAGTGCATCTCTTGTAGACAACATATAATTGGAGCCTGTCTTTTTTCTTTTAATCTAGATTGATAATCTTAGCATTTACTCAAAAAAGTTTACATTAAATATAATTATTGATAGGTTATTGATTACAACTACTTGTTATTTACATGCTATGTTTTTCACTATGGCATGCTTTTTTCCTTTCCTTCCTCCATTGCTGCCTTATTTTGTGTTATGTGTTTTTTTTTTTTTTGGTGTATATTTTAAGTTGCTTTTATTAACTATATGTTTTAATCATATTCTAAGTCATTTCTCAGGAATTTTTTTTTTTTTTTGAGACGGAGTTTTGCTCTCGTTGCCCAGGCTGGAGTGCAATGGTGCGATCTTGGCTCACTGCAACCTGCACCTACTGAGTTCAAGCGATTCTCCTGCCTCAGACTCCCAAGTAGCAGAGATTACAGGGTGCCCACCAACACACCCAGCTTTTTTTTTTTGTATTTTTAGTAGAGACAGGGCTTCACCATGTTGGCCAGGCTGGTCTCAAACTCCTGACCTCACTCAGGTGATCCACCCACCTTGGCCTCCCAAAGTGCTGAGATTACAGGCATGAGACACCGTGCTTGGCCATTTCTCAGGATATTAAGCACATCTTAACTTTTTAAAAAGTCTAATTCAGATTAATAATAACAATTACAATAGTACATATAAATGTTTTTCTGATATATGTTTTTCCCCCTCCTTTGTGCTACTTTAGACATGCAGATTTATACCTTGTAAGTCCATTAGACTGTTTTGTAACTAATTGTGTAAAACATCAGTTACAGTTATATCTACCTATGTAATTAACCTTGCCAGTGCTATTTATTCGGCTCTTTCAGCCTGAAGGACTCCCTTTAGAATTTCTTAAAGACCACTTCTGGTGACAGATTTTCTTTATTTTAGTTTATGTGAGAATGTCTTTATTTCTCCTTCATTAAAAAAATTAAAAATAGGCCAGACACGGTGGCTTATGCCTGTAGTTCCAGCACTTTGGGAGGCTGAGATTGGAGGATAACTGGAGGTCAGGAGTTTGAGACCAGTCTGGTCAACATGGTGTAACCACGTCTCTACTAAAAATACAAAATTAACTGGGCATGGTGGTGGGTGCCTGTAGTCCCAGCTACTCGGGAGGCTAAGGCAGGACAATCACCTGAACCTGGGAGGTGGAGATTCCAGCCAGCAGAGATCACACCACTGCGCTCCAGCCTGGGCAGCAAAGTGAGACTCTGTCTAAAAAAAAAAAAAAAAAAAAAAATTAAAAATAGTCCTTTCACACAGAGTTCTTCATACTATTAACATTTTACTGTAGGGTTGTAAATTTTTAACAATTGATGAGCCTATATTGATACAATTTTATTTGCTGAAGTATACTCTTCTGTTTTGAAAAATGGATAATGTTAAATATGCACCATCAAAATATACAGAATAGTTTCATCACCCTAGAACTCCCCTCTGTGCTTCTTTATCCTCTGTGCACCTCTCCCTTTGCCACCAAACCTCTGACAATGACTGATCATTTTACTGTCCCTACAGTGTCTTTTCCAGAGCTTTATATGATTGAAGTAAAATGTAGCCTTTCAAACTGGCTTCTTTCATTTAGCAACATTCATTTAAGTTTCCTCTATGCCTTTTTGTGGCTTCATAGCTACGATTTATTGCTATGTAATATCCCCTTGTGCGGAAGTACTACAGGGATTCTTAAATCCATTTACATATTGGTTGCCTCCAGTTACGGAAACTATAAATAGCTGCTATAAACATTCGTGTGCAGGTTTTGTTTTGACATCAGTGTTAATCTCATTTGAGTAAATACCTAGGAGCATGATTGCCGGATCATAGGATAAAGCTATGTTTAGCTTTTTAAGAAATTGTCAAACTATATTCCAGAGTGGCTGTATCATTTTGCATTCATACCAGCAATGAATGACAGCTCCAGTTCTACGTTCTTGCCAGCAGTTGATATTGTTCCCTTTCATTTTTGAAGGGTAGTTTTGCTAGACATGGAATTCTTGATTTCTTAGCCTTTTTCTTCCACACATTTTAATATGTCATCTCACTGTCTTCTGACTCCAATGATTTCTGATAAGAAGTCAGCCATTTATCTTATTAAGGATCACTTATAAATGATAACATTGTTTTACTATTGCCTCTTATTCTGGGACTTCAACTATCCATACTTAGGTATGTTTCATGATTTCCCACAGGTCTCTGAGATTTTGCTTATTTTTCTTCCTTTTCTGTGGCTCCCCAAAGTGGATAATCTGTATTTACTGGTTCTTACTTCTGCCAGTTAAAATACATTGGTAATCTCCTGGAGTTAATATTATTTACAGTTATTTTAATTTTGCCCTTCAGAATTTCTATTTGGTTTTTAAAAATATTTTCTATCCATTGGTTGATAGGCTCTATTTGGTAAAACAGAGTTTCATACTTTGTTTTAATTATTTTTACATAGTTTTCTTTAGTTTTATGAACACGTTAATCAGAGGTGATTAAAATATTTATCTCTAAATCTATCATCTGATCTCCTTCAGCGACTTTTTTTTTCTGTGTGTGAAGAATAATTTTCAATATTTGCATATTATGTTATCTTTTCTTAAAAAGTGGACTTTTGGATAAATAATAGAATAATTATGGTATCAGATCTCTTTCCCCATAACAGTTTGTTGTTTTAGCTGTGATTGTAATTGTTGTTGTTTTTCTTTTTTCTTTTTTTTTGGTCACTTTCTAAACTAATTCTGTACAGTCCATATTGTCTGCAATCTGCAGCCACTGAGTTCTGTGCTACCAATTTTCTCTTAAGTGTATCTTTTCTTTTAAAACTGGCTTCCTAATGGTGTTTATTAGATCAGTATAATTTAATGTTCAGCCAAATGTCTTTTGGTAAGACATTTTTCTTAAAATCTTTCAGAATGTAAAAGTCCTCCACCTTTAGCCAAGGGATCAATTCTATTGGAATATGTACACTTTTGAAAAACAGGCAGTTAAATCAGCCTCAACTTTCACTTCCTGCTTGTTCAAGGCCTCCAGTTCACCTGGAGGTGAGTAACTGGGGCCTTCCTTTTTCTTAGGTCTTTCCTGTGTGCACACACAGCTGTGTACATACAAGTCAACTTCCAGATCCCCGTGAATTTGTCAGAGCTTTTCAAAGTTCCCCATGGTAACGTGGTTCTCCAGATATTCCTTTTAACTGTTTGGTCAGACTCTTATTTGCCCTAACTGAACCAGCAGACTATTAATGCTTTTAGTAAAACGTGAGGATAGCATTCTCATCCCCCATCCCAGAACTAAACTCCAAATTATTAAACAGTAAGAACACCTTTGAATGGAGATTTTCTAGCTTGATCAAATTTCTAAATGCACTCTTGTGATGGTGTGTCCAGAACTGGTGGGTTGCTGGTCTCACTGACTTCAAGAATGAACCCACAGACCCTCGCAGTGAGTGTTACAGTTCTTAAAGACGGCATGTCTGGAGTTTATTCCTTCTGTTGTTGAGATGTGTTCAGAGTTTCTTCCTTCTGGTGGGTTCCTGGTCTCGCTGGCTTCAGGAGTGAAGCTGCAGACCTTCGCTGTGAGTGTTACAGCTCTTAAGGTGGCGCATCTGAAGTTGTTCTTTCCTCTCGGTGGGTTCGTGGTCTGGCTGGCTTCAGGAGTGAAGCTCAGACCTTCCCGGTGAGTGTTACAGCTCATAAAGGCAGTGTGGACCCAAAGAGTGAGCAGCAGCAAGATTTATTGCAAAGAGCGAAAAAACAAACCTTCCACAGCATAGAAGGGGACCTGACTAGGTTGCCACTGCTGGCTAGGGCAGCCTGCTTTTATTCCCTTATCTGGCCCCTCCCACATCCTGCTGATTGGTCCATTTTACACAGAGCCAATTGGTCTGTTTTACAGAGAGCTGATTTTGACAGGGTGCTGATTGGTGCCTTTACAATCCCTGAGCTAGACAAAAAAGTTCTCCACCTCCTCACTAGATTAGCTAGATACAGAGTGTCCATTGGTGTACTTACAAACCCTGAGCTAGACACAGAGCGCTGATTGGTGCATTTACAAAACTTGAGTTAGATACACAGTGCCAACTGGTGCATTCACAGTCCCTTAGCTAGACATAAAGATTCTCCAAGTCCCCACCAGATTAACTAGATACAGAGTGCAGATTGGTGCATCCACAAACACTGAGCTAGACACAGGGTGCTGATTGGTGTGTTTACAAACCTTGAGCTAGATACAGAGTGCTGATTGGTGTATTTACAATCCCTTAGCGAGACATAAACGTTCTCCAAGTCCCCGCTAGACTCAGGGGCCCAGCTGGCTTCACCTTGTGGATCTGGCACAGGGGCCGCAGGTGGAGCTGCCTGCGAGTCCCACCCAGTGCGCCCGCACTCCTCAGCCCTTGGGCGGTCGATGGGACCGGGCGCGGTGGAGCAGGGGGCGGCACTCGCTGGGGAGGCTCAGGCGCAGGAGCCCAGGGCAGTGCAGGGAGACTCAGGCATGGCGGGCTGCAGGTCCCGAGCTCTGCCCTGCAGGGAGGCAGCTAAGGTCCAGCGAGAAATCAAACGCAGCGCCGGTGGGCCAACACTGCTGGGGAAACCGGCGCACCCTCCGCAGCTGCTGGCCCGGGTGCTAAGCCCCTCACTTCCCCGGGGCCCGCCGCTCCGAGTGCCGGGCCGCCAAGCCCACGCCCACCCAGAACTCCAGCTGGCCCGCAAGCGCTGCGCGCAGCCCCGGTTCCCGCCCGTGCCTCTCCCTCCATACCTCCCAGCAAGCTGAGGGAGCTGGCTCCGGCCTCGGCCAGTCTAGAGAAGGGCTCCCATGGTGCAGCGGCGGGCTGAAGGGCTCCTCAGGCGCGGCCAGAATGGGCGCTGAGGCGGAAGAGACGCAGAGAGCGAGTGAGGGCTGCAACGGCTGCCAGCACAGCACGCTGTCACCTCTCAATGGTACTTATAATGGAGACTCAAAATAGGTAAATACTCATTGTTGGATGTAAGGTTGTTAAGTTTTGATGACTACCATATCAATGAGGTGGGAGGGAGGAGAAATGGGAATAACCCATGTTAAAAACCACTGTCTCTGCTGGTCAGTAGACTTTTTTTTTACTTTCTTGAAGAGATACTTTTCAATTTGTGAAAACCATAGCTACGATTTATTGCTGTGTAATATCCCCTTGTGCGGAAGTACTATAGCTTTTCTTACTACAGGTTTTCATACTCTGTGTGAAAGGACTGTTTTTAAATTTTTTTTTTTTTTGACAGAGTCTCACTTTGTTGCCCAGAGTTCTAAATTGCTGATGTATATTGTATTTTCATTGATCTGGGGGAAAGTGAGTGAAGCCAAATTCTTACTTTTTCCACTCAAAGGCTGTCTCCTCTATGGAGTTTTTCAAATGCCTATTTGGTTAGGGCAATTATAAATTAAGAAAATGGAAAACAAGTTAAAGGTTTTAGATCGCGGACAGAAGAATGCAAATCTGCATCAGAGTTTTAAAAAGTACTGCACAGAAGAAGACTCCTAATCAGAAAGTAATTCATAAAAATATTCTGTTATCAAGACATAGCAATAGAGAAAAAGACAAATTACATGCATTTTAACAAATCACATACTTTTCAATTTGACATTATAACAGTCTGACATCTCTGAGTACTAAAGAGACAGACAAAAGAATGAAAAATAGATTTAAAAGATGACTCTTGGGCATGAATTATATAAGATGAGACATGGATAAATAATTTTTGCTTAAATCACACACACACAGTGTGTGTCACACAAGTGTCAATGACGAGATCTGTTCTGAGAAATGCGTCATTAGGCAATTTCTTCATTGCGCAAACATCATAGAGTGTACGTACACAGACTAACACAATGTAGCCTACTACATGTCTAGGTTGCATGGCACAGCCTATTGTTCCTAGGCTATAAACCTGTACAGCATTTTGTTTTACTGAACACTGTAGGCAATTATAACACATGGTAAGTATTTGTATATCTAGATATACCTACGCATAGAAAAGGTACAGGAAAAATACACTATAAAAGATAAAAAATTTAAACCTGTATAGGACATGTACCATGAATGAATCTTGTAGGACTGGAAGTTGTTCTGGGTTAGTCTGTGAGTGAGTGGTGAGTGAATGAACGTGAAGGCCCAGGATATTGTTTTACACTGCTGTAGACTTTATAAATGCTTTAATCTTAGGGTACATAAATTTATTTTTAAAATTTATTTTTTTCAATGATAAATTAATCTGGCCAGGTGCGGTGGCTCAAGCCTGTAGTCCCAGCACTCTGGGAGGCAGAGGCGGGGTGGATCACCTGAGATCAGGAGTTTGAAGCCAGCCTGGCCAACATGGTGAAACCGTCTCTCCACTAAAAATACAAAAATTAGCCAGGTTTGGTGGCGGGTGCTTGTAATACTAGCTACTAGGGAGGCTGAGACAGGAGAATCTCTTGAACTCGGGAGGCGGAGGTTGCGGTGAGCTGAGATTGTGCCACTGCACTCCAGCCTGGGCGACAGAGCAAGACTCTGTCTCAAAATAAATAAATAAATAAACAAACAATCTTAGCTTACTTGTAACATTTTTACTTTGTTAACTTTTAATTTTTTAACTTTTTTGTTATGTAATAACATAAAGTTGTACAAAAATATATAGCCCTCTTTAAATTCTTATTCTATAAGTGGTTATTTTTAAATTAAAATTTTTTTCTGTTTTTTCTTTTTGAACTGTTGTGTTGAAAACTAACAAACACACGCCCTAGCCTAAGCTTACGCAGGTCCAGGATTATTAATGTCACTGTCTTCCATCTCCACATCTTGTCCCACTGGAAGGTCTTCAGGAGCAAGAACACGCATGGAGCTGTCATCCCCTATGATAACAATGCCTTCTGCTGGAATAGCTCCTGAAAGACCTGCATGAGGCTGTTTCACAATTACTTTTTTTTATAAGTAGAAGGAGTCAGTACACTCCAAAATAATAATAAAATATAGTATTGTGTATATCAAAACCTGTAATGTAGTTGTTTATAATTGTTATCAAGTATTATGTACTGTATGTGATTGTATGTGCTGTACTTTTATACAATAGGTAGTGCAATAGGTTTCTTTACACCAACATCACCCAAAAAAAGTGAGTAATGTGTTGTGCTGTGACAGCTGCACCTTCCTTAGGCAATAGGAATTTTTTTGCTCCATTATAACCTTGTGGAACCACCATTGTATATGTGGTCTGCTGTTCACTGGACATTGTTATGCTGCATATAACTCGTGTGTGTGTGTGTGTGTGTGTGTGTCTGTGTAATTTGTATATACTACCTTCCCTTTGTCTAGTTATAAATTTAGGTTTATGTGGTTTTCACAATTAGGCAAGTTTTGTGTTCCCTAATGACTCAATTTTCCCAAAGATCTTGGTGATATTTTCAGTTTTCATGGTAAGAATTCATTGCACAATGTGGATACAAAATATTGTTGAACTAAAATCTACAGAGATATACTCAAAAGTATGAGAGGATGGAAAATTTTAAATGTCTGCCATCTTCTCATCATTCTAACATAATAAAAGGTATTTCTGAAATTTGTAAAATTGAAGAGAACATTGTATGATGTTTTATTAACAAAAATTACCTAAAATTAAATAAATTGATAATATATGCTACCATTAAATATGATGAAATAGCGATCATTTTACAGACAGCTCTTCTTTTTTTAAGGAGTTATCAGTTCACTGCTACATTTCATATAGAAAAATTAAACACATTGCCTTACAAAATGTGATAATTCTGAAAAACTGCTCCTTGAGCTTCACTTTCATGAATTAGGAACAACTCTATCTCATTTTAAATAGGACACCATTGTACAATTTGGAAATCCATTATAGAAAACAAATTTCTATATTTATTCTATTTTCCTCAACTGTGATAGAGTACATGAGTATAAATGCATGTGAAATTAATTCAGCCTGTAACACCTTTGAAAGATGTTGGAGTGTTTGAAATATTTACAGCTATCTAGGGCATAATTTGCCTTTTAACATCATAAAAATTTTGCCAAATATATTGATGTTTCTCGTATAATAAGTTCAATTTTATTTCAAAATAGCCAATCTTTACTTTCAGCTTAAGTCCTGGCTTTCATTTCAAATTAGAATTTAAGTGGATAATACTGCATCGTCATAATTTTATCTTAATGCAGTAACATGCTAGTAATTGGTGTCATGTTACTGAAATTATAAAATCTTTTTCTATGACTATTAATACTAACCCCATTTCTGTAAAAGAGAAGACCTAAATATTAAATTCATCAAGATAAAAGAACAGTAATGGAAAGGACATTTCTCATCAATTAATTTTGAATGGCAAAATTACTAGTGAACACCTCAAAGACTGGCTGGTTCTACTTAAAAGATTTTATTTTTAACTTGAAGAACAGAATGAAATCATCACTTGAAAAATATCCTAATTCACTCTTCCATGTTTGGAGTACGATATTGGTAGGACTATTTTCAGCACTAACTTCAGCAGCTGGCTGTGAAGCTAAAGGTCAAATAAAACCCATTAGAAATGTATGTCCCATAACACTTGATTTTTAAATACACATGAGGATTCCACACACCTAGTAAGTTTAGCTTCTGTTCCCCTTAGGACAGAATAGGAAGAAGAGTTTAACTCCGTGTATTGATGTTAAGTATTCTTGCACTGAGGTTGAGGTTGCTAATGAGAAAAGCCCAAGAGTTCATTATAAGTTCTGCCATTAACTACCTGTGTAATTTTGGGGAGGTTACTTAAAAATATGTGCCTCAATTCCTTTATTTGTAAGAAGGAAGATTGAAAATAACATTTATCTCATAAAACTTAGAAGAATATAATGAGTATGTACATAATCATTCAGAAAAGTGAGTAGTGTATAACTAAGTTAGCATTATCTGTAATGCCTTTGCTCTACCTTGCAATGTGTGGCAGAGCTTATAGGTACAGTCTATTACTAATGAGGATACAATATTAGTAATAGATTAATATAAAGACACATGCAATCTTGTTTGTTACTACCAAATTCCATTGAGTTCCAACAGGCACAGTGTAGAATTAGTTAACTAATGAGAGTCCATTTTCTGGCTTTAGTTTCCATTTGTTCTCCTTTCAATGTCTCTTCTATTATTATCCCTCTCTGGTCTCTAAGCAAAGAATACAAATTTCCTATTTCATTATGCACTAGGAGAGTCATTGCACATTCATCTGGAGGGTTTGACATTCCATCTCCATTGCTCCAGGAATATTTTACTTCTGTTTCCCTCAAGGAGTCCTGGGCCCTCTCCGCCACCTTTTGCACAATATGCGATTGTAGATGGAGAATTTGTGTCTGCTTTCTTAACCAGCTTGAAGCATTTGTAGCCTATATGACACAGTTTTACCCTTGTACCGAGGATATCTCTCTATACCACTGATCTCCAAAGGCTAACATGTTGTTGCCCTACATTATCTTAATAACTCAGGCTGTCATTGCAACCATTATTATCCTTAGAAGTAAACATGGATCCTCACCAGTGTACATCAGAGATAAGAGTTTGCTCTCAGTAGACCACTACCAATGCTCATTTTGAAATCACAAATGTTGTAACAAAATGCCACATGAGCTTTATTCTTGTTAGCCTTTCTGTAGGGCAGAGTGTCTTTTTGTCATTTGCTATTATAATTAGCAGCCATATTCACCAGTAGATGCGATACTTAGAGATTAATCACCAATTTAGTTACATACTAGGTGAGACACTGTATTAGCTTTTACATCTGCTTCTTTCCACAAGTTTCCAAAATAGTATGGGCTAGCATTTCTGAAGCCTGCTAATATTGCTTCCACTCCTTTCTTCCCATATTGCTCAGTTTAATAGGACACAAGTTGCTTTTCTCCCCTTGGACCAATGTCTTCTGCTTCACTGCTCAAGAGAGTCTTGGCGCCTGCCAGAGGATCTCAAGCTAAATTAGGTAGAGTTTTCTAAGTTTCCATGCCGGGGTCAGTTTAATGGGGGCAGAAATAATTCTTGGATTTATATTTATACATTTTTTTTGAAAATGGAAACATTTCTTACACTTAATAAATTATGGCAGGTTTAACACTTATTAAGTGTTGATTTTAACCAGTGTACCTCAAGGTGCTTTTGCAATTTTAATGGTCACTTTTTATTTTTTTCAAAGTCCTCAAAGACATAGTTATATTGTATAGAGATAGAAATACTTCAAATAATTAACTGTTTTGGCTATTTAAAGAGACTAGGGTTTCAGAAAAGCTATGAGGCAATCTCTTAATCATCACCCACTTTGTAGCAGAGCGCTATAGGAATGTTCTCCCTATCTTTACCAGTAAACAATTAAATAGCACACACTTCTTCGGTTCTGCTGGGAAACACCTGCTGTCTGCAATTGAGGCTAAGGCATTCCAAATTCAATGAAGGGTGCACTAATTAGTCTCAGTCAATTGGTCCACAGGCTGACTGCTTTTCCCAAATTTCCTTATAGCACTACAGGCTGCTGTTGAAAGCCTTTTCTTAACCATCTTTGGCATGATTCCAGGTTTCTAGCGTTATAGATAAATTTGTAAACCCTTGTCTTAGTTTGCCTGGGCTGCTACAAAAAATTATTATTTACTAGGTAGCTTAAAACACAAAACATTTTTTATAGTTCTGCAGGCTGGAAGTCCAAGTTTAGAGTGCCAGCATGGTCAGGTTCTTGCTGAAGGGCTTTCCTCCTTGTTGAAGACTCTCTTTTGTTGAAATGACCATCTTCTCATTGTATTCTCACATGGTGTAGAGCAGAGAGAAAGATCATCTCTCTCCTGTATTTTCTCATAAGAGCATGATTCCACTCATGACTCTTCCACCCTCATCACCTACTTACCTCCCAAGGCACAATCTTTAAAATGTCATTACGTTGAGGTTTTAGGCTTCAACATAAAAATGTTTGAGATACACATACCTTCAGTACCCCTGTTCTTCTATCTTTCTTTAAGGGACAGAAGTTTGAGTTTGTTTGGGGTCCCATTCATTTCTTCCATAAAGGAGAGATGTAAGTGTCTTTAATTCTGACATTGCAGTATTCTAGTCATTTTATTTTTTTATTCTCGATGAGAAAGATTACCTAAAACCTTTTCCACTGCCTGGAGTAACTAATTTTTTGTTCTTTTTTCTGAAAGAAAGGATTTATCCTTTCCATTTTCTTTTCTTTTGGATGGTCAAAGATTTAGTTTATGATTCCAATGCATTGTTTACAGTGGTAAAGTCTATTAGAATCAACAGTTTCTACTTTTTTCACCACCTTGAAGACCACATCCTTAAATTTGTAATATAAACATAAAGTTTGTCTCTAGTATATTCCATTCATAGACTATTTCTATAGTTTATTAAATTCATAGTTAAAATATTGTCCTGTTATGACCATAAATTACTGCCAATCAAATGCTGAGGTTTCAGTACCTCTCTACAATAGTTGGCTGAGTCTATTATTGTGCTTCTTTTCCAGGGCTCTTCATGCATGTTCCAGATTTAATATAGGTAGCATTTTAACAAATAATTTTATAATTTACTAAGAGATTTTCCTGGCTTCTCCAAGACCAATGATTCAAACTTTTTTTATATTTCAAAATCACTAAAAAAGTTAATCATAATGTTCTCATCACAAAGAAATGCTAAGTATGTGAGGTGACAGATATGCTAATTAGCCTGATGTAACAATTCCAGAATGTATGCATACATCCTAACAGTGTACCCACATACATATATACAAATATTTGTCGATTAAAAATAAAATAAGTCTGGGCATGGTGGCTCACGCCTGTAATTTCAGCACTTTGGGAGCCTGAGACAGGTGGATCACATGAGGCCAGGAGTTTGAGACGAGCCTGGCCAACGTAGCAAAACCCTGTCTCTACTAAAAATACAAAAATTAGCTGGGTGTGGTGGTGCACACCTGTAATCCCAGCTGCTCAGGAGGCTGAGGTACAAGAATTTCTTGAACGTGAGAGGTGGAGATTGCAGTGAGCTGAGATCGTATCACTGTACTCCAGCTTGGGAGACAGAGAGAGACTCTGTCTCCAAAAATAAATAAATAAAAAACATTATAATAAAATAAAATAAAATGTTTTAAAAAATTAAGTTATAGCCCGCAGAATGACCCTTGAGCTTTGCAATAAATACTATTATTGAAAACAATTTTATTTTGAAATGAAAAAAGAAGAAACTGTCTTCATAGATCATCTTCCTATGAAATCCTTTTGTATAAGAAATTTTCTGTGAAGTTTTTATAACTTCCTATGAGATCCTTTGTTTCTTGTTTGCTTTTCTAATACTGCAAAGAAGCAGCCAAGATTTTTCACTGAGTTATCTTTCTATACTTTTTCTACTTTAGCATCTAATTCCATACATGTATTTAGAGGGCGTTCCTCAAAATAGGTCTAATTCCATTTTTCTGCATAATTATTCTACCATTTTACAAATCTTAGATATGCATTCTTTATTCATTTCTACAATATGCTTTTACATGGATGCCACAAAAACAAATTTAAAACATTTCTAGAGAGTAGAGCCCCTAAATGTATACTACTCACTCATCTTTAAAAATACCCAGATTGTTCAAACCACCATTTTATTTTTAACTGACCACAAACATGCACATGTTCTTACTTTTGTTACCAAATAATCTTTTGGTTCATTTCTAGTCATTTTCGACTAGATTTTTAGAAGTTTCTTTCCCTCATCTTCTTCCAATTCTCCTTGATCAAATGTGTTTGCTTTTACCCTGGGACTCTAGGTCCATCATTAACAAACTTCAGAAAAACATAAAATGAGATTAAATCATTACGAGTATTCATGCACATATTTATTGCTTCCATAAGAGCTTCTAGAAAGAACTAGCTGTAAGACCAAATTTACTTAGAAAAAATGATCACATCTTTAAAAACTCTTGTGCTACATTGTCCGTCAATAGACTCCTTCTCGTGATGTGAAAGTTAAAATTAAAGAACAGGCTAGGCAGAGAGACAATCTTGTTTAATCTTGAAGAAATATCTGCTCCCTGCAAGCCTCTTGAATGGTATTTTCAATTCCTCTTCAAAGTTACACATGAAATATTTATGACACAGGAGGCATTATGTCACTACATAGCCTGTCAGTTTATAAGCACAGATTGTGAAGAGTAGTAAAATAAATTGTCTTCAAAGTAATAGCTCCAATAATGAGAATGCCTGAAATTAATTCCATTTTAACTCTTATACTTTATTGTGTATAAATTAGACCATATATCTTTGAGTGTCACTCTTTTCAACTTATTACTATGTTTCATAGAGATATAAAAATGCAACTATTTTGTGGATAAAATATCAAATTTATTTCCAAGGATTATATTGGGGACTTCTGTTCTCCCTCCCTGATATATATTATGCATCTCAATAACATTAAACTACACACTGTTTTCTCTATTTCAGTATATGCCTTTATGATATTTCTTTCATGTCCTTGCTTGGATTGGAAGGGAATAAAGGAAGAGGAGAGGGGAAGATTAAAAAAAAATAATTTTCTGATTTGCTAAGCAAATATGCATTTATATTTTTCTTAACATGAGGAAGCATTAAAAATGAATTAACATTATTTACTACTGCTTAATTTATAAAGGCAAGCTAATAAGCAACACTTAAACTGTTTCTTATGGACAACAAAAATTATCTTTTTCCATTTATCAATGTAGTTTCTGAGAATCTTTAGACAAAATTCGCAGCATATTCTTGTCTAGATGCTTGGGAGTCAAGAAGATGAAAAGTATATGAATATTATAAGAATGTGATTATCTCTTGCAGGAATGAATCAAAGCCTGGCATTTACAGCTGTAGAATGAAGGATATATAGATTTAGGATAAACTCAGCCCAGAGTAATGGAATGACAAATGTAATTCTACTAAAAAGACAAAGTTTGAATTCCAGATTTGATACTTACATGATAGGAGGTTACAAAGTAATTGTTTAGGCCATCTGAGCTTTAATTGTTCTTAAAAATGAGAAAATTGATTATTTCTAAGTTTAATAAAGCATTTAAATTTGTTTATATACTTTTATGACATATAACTTATATAAGCAAATATATAATGTTACATTTGTTAATATATGAAGTATTTTATTAATAAGTGTATTTATAAAATTTATTAATTTTATAAATTTCATAAATTTATAAGGCAATTCATAATTATGTATACACGATCTCATTCATATGTTAAAATAGCAAGTAAGTCTTGAGAGCAAGCATTCAACTCACAACTGACTACCTCCAGATTGAGACACATTTAAAGGATATCAAACTGTGTCTTGTTTAATGTAAAATGTAAAAATTAGAGAAAACTATAGTATGAGCAGTTTTCTTTCTTTCCTATGCTTTATTTCCTCATGTTTACATTTTAATAAAAACATTGTAGCCTATCAAATAGGAGTGTTATTGACTTTTATCTTTATTGAAATTAATAACTTTTAAAGTCAACTACTTCTAAGCATTCTATTCAAATATAAAGCTTGTTTAACAGATATAGTACCAAATAATTAATTTTCAAATAACTAATTTGCTTTTATGAAAGTGATGGCTTACATTATTAATGTAATTTATGTGTATAAATAATTTAATGCCAAATTATGTTTTATAGTATGTGTAGATTACATTTTCAAGTACCTTACATTACTTGCAAAATATAGAATATTGTGAAATCACAAAATTTGCAAATAAACATACTGAAAGTAATAGTAAATGGTAGCAATAGGCATATATTATGTAGTGTTATAGTGAGAAGGTTAGAGGGAAGTATTTAGAAAGATTTATTCTTCACTAGGTAAATGTGGTTGCTTTGATTTATTTAAAATTCTGTGATGAATACTGAAACAAATCTATCTACATGAAAATATTAATTTTTGCTTTTCTGTGTCTTCTACTATCTTATATTCTACAAAAGTCGTATGTAAAGTATATAAAATTACCTGCATTCAGGGTGATGAAAAATTTGGGCTGATTATGAAGGGTAAGTTGTTAAAATCTTACCTGAATTTGTTAAGATTTACTTACTTATTCATTTGCATTTCTTTTTTGGTCATAGTGACAAAAAAAATCAACGAAGTGCACTTTCCAACCGAGCTACATCAGGGTTTGCGCCTGCTGATTATTGTTTGATATGATTATATTTATAAAAAACAACATATATGTAAAAGATGTTTAGTCCATTATGCTCCTCTTTTTACAGAGATGTGCTTGTAAACATTTTTTAGCTAATTTAGCTGAGCCCCAGGATGTGACATTTACTAAAAACCCAGGATAAAATACTTATGGAGTTAATACATTTGTAACTAGCTTGTCACATTATGAACAAGGAGAAGAAGACAGAAAGAAGATAAAAAAGAGAAGATTGTGTGGTCTTTCATAAATAAACACAAAAAATTGCACTGAAAAGACGTAGTGACAATCTTAATATTTACTTTTGAAAATACCTTTAATACAACTGTCAGATACTATTTGAAGTAGCGTTTTTGGTTACTTAAACTTTTCAGATTGTTTTAGATTAGGTTAAATTACAGTCATGCACTGCATAACAACATTCTGGTCAATGATGGCCCATATATACAATGAAATCTCATAAGATTATAATAGAGCTGAAAAAATGTCTATTACCTAATGTCATAGGCATCATAAAGTCATAACACAGTGCATTACTCACATGTATGTGGTGATGTTGGTGTAAACAAGCCTATTGTGATGCCACTTTTAAAAAAGTGTGGCAGGTAGAATTATGTACATTACATAATACTTGATAATTATAATAAATAACTATGTTGCTAGTACATATATTTACTATACTATACATTTTATCATTATTTTAGTATGTATGTCTTGTACTTATTTTTAAAAGTTAACTGTAAAACAGCCTCAGGCAGGTATTCCAGGTACTCAGGAGATATTCCAGAGGAAGTCATTTTTATCATAGGAGATGACAGCTCTATGAATGTTACTGCCCCTGAAGACCTACCAGTGGGACAAGATATGGAGGTGGAAGACAGTGATATTGTTAATACTGACCCGGTATATGCCTAGGCCAAAATGTGTGTTTGTGTATTAGTCTTTAACAAAACATTTATAAAGCAGAAAAAGAAAATTTAAAAACATAAAAATAGAAAGCTTACAGAATAAAGATATAAATAGGGGAATATATTTTTACACAGCTGTACATTGTATTGTTTTTTTAAACGTAGTGTTATTACCAAAGAGTTAAAATGTTAAAAAATAGTTTATAAAGTGAAAAAAGTTACAGTATGCTAATGATAACTTATCATGATAGAAAAAAAAATCTTATTCATTTATTTTTTTTTTTGAGATGGAGTCTCACTCTGTTGCCCAGGCTGGAGTGCAGTGGCACAATCTCAGCTCACTGCAACCTCCGCCTCCTGGGTTCAAGCGATTTCCATCCTCAGCCTCCCGAGTAGCTGAGACTACAGGCACGTGCCACCATGCCTGGCTAATTTTTTGTGTTTTTAGTAGAGACGGGCTTTCACCATGTTAGCCAGGATGGTTTCGAAATCCTGACCTTGTGATCGGCCCCCCTCGGCCTCCCAAAGTGCTGGGTTTACAGGCGTGAGCCACCACACCCAGTCAAAAAATATTATTTTATAAATTTAGTTTAGCCTAAGTTTACAGCATTTATAAAATCTGCAGTAATAGCATACAGTAATGACTTAGGCATTCACATTTACTTATCACTTAACTCACTGACTCACCCACAGCAACTTCCAGACCTGCAAGCTCCACTTACGGTACATGTCCTATACAGGTACCATTTTTTATCTTTTATACCTAATTTTTACTAAACCTTTCCTATGTTTAGATATATAAATAATTATCATTATGTTACAGTTGCCTACAGTATTTAGTACAGTAACATGCTGTACAGGTTTGTAGCCTAGGAGCAATAGGTTATACCATACAGCCTACATGTGTAGTAGACTATACCACCTAAGTTTGTGTAAGTACATTCTATGATGTTTGTACAATCATAAAAATCATTTAATGATGCATTTCTCAGACAGGAATGATACATTTCTGTCTTTACGAAACACATAACTGTAAATTCTCTAAAAACATGGATAAAGAAGTATCTTTCCTTATTTTTAATTGGGATAATTTTTTGATATTTAATTTGTACTTTTTAAAAACAGTATCTATATTCACAAAATAGAAACTAGCTTCAGAAACATTTCCTATTGATAACACATTTTATCTATTAGTTTAAAAAATGTTTGACTTTTTTTAACTACAATTTGTAATATTTTCAGGACTTTTTGTGAAACACCCATGAGATAATATTTTGCTTATCACTTCACTGAAAATGCTTAGGGGACATCAATATCAAATATCCAAAGGAGTAAGCAGCATTGTAATATAGTATTGCATATGAAAATATGAACAAGTGGTCGGGCACGATGGCTCATGTCTGTAATCTCAGAACTTTGGAAGGCCAAGATGGGTGGATCACCTGAGGTCAGGAGTTGAGACCAGCCTGGCCAACATGGTGAAACCCCATCTCTACTAAAAATATAAAAACTAGCTGGGTGTGTTGGTGTGCGCCTGTAGTCCCAGCTACCCAGGAGGCTGAGGAAGGAGAATAGCTGGAACCTGGGAGGCAGAGGTTGCAGTGAGCCGAGATTGCACCATTGCACTCCAGCCTGGGCAGCGAAACTCCATCTCAAACAAAACAAAACAAAACAAAACAAATATATATATACATGAACAAGTATTAAATGATAGTGATAAAGAGTTCTGGGTATGAGTAAAGTGAGATTATTTATGCAATGTCTGAGTGCTTCTATTTGTCTAATGTTCAATAATATTAACTATGAAACAGGACAAATAATACTTTTCATTTCATTAATTATCAAGACTAATTTTCAGAGATTTTTCAATATGTATATTAAGAAAGTTACTGGAAGAAATAGTTTCCAAAATTCATCAGCTATGTCTTTCCTCATTTACTAGAGATAATGCCTAGATATTTTGGAACAATCAAAAATTTAATCAGTTTGGAATATTTATACAGATATTGTAGAACCTCATCATTTCTACTGATGCAACAACAATTTTTTAAATTGAATGAGTACAGAATATTTAATTGTTGCAGTTGATTTAAATTTAAGACCTTACTATTTATTGTAGGGACTAATATTAAATTAAGAGGCTAAATTATCCTTGTTGAAAATAAAATCTCTCTCCCCCACCTATTCTGTAGAACATTTACGGTAGAAAACTTAAAATTCTAAGTACTTCTTCCCCTCTTTGAAATACATGTAAATGTTTCTAAAAACTAGATTGGCCGTTTGTAAATTGTATAACTCAGGAATATCTTTTCTAGGGACCTAGGAGAGATCTTTGAATTGTAATCATGAAGGGAGATAACTCCACTACATTTCACTTTCTCCGGTATGATTGGAGTCTAACTTTTGTAGCCTTTTACTCTAAGTTTGAAAACTGTCTTCTCTCATAAAGATACGAGAAGTTTGTTTTTCATCTAGGTAAAGCCAATTAGCTAACACAGGAGGTCACCTCAATTACCAGGTAATGTTAGAATAAACTACGATTGACAAATGGTGCTGTCAAGTCCTCTTACTTGAGGAGTAATTATTGTTTATCTTAAGGACGTGTACGAAATGGGCTATAGCTGCTTAGCTATATAGTTTGAGTATTTTTGTTTGTTTGTTTTTGCAATACTTTAACTTTGGAAATGAGAAAATATTTATATATTTCTGCAGTTAGGGGTTTCTGAGTAATTCTTACTGAAACTTGAAAACTGCACAGAAAAACAAGCCTTGAAAGTTCATTTAAGACTGAGTATATAAAGAGAGAACCCCAGAGATATTTAACTCTCCTGAGTTTTGCATTTCTATTGCAAGGAGTGATGAGATCCTGTGGATACGTTCTTGGGTGACAAAGTTGGCAACTCTGGTTTTATCTTTTCCCTGGGGAGATTTATTTATGTACTAAACAGAATAGGAAACCAAGGATTTTTCCCATTATGTTTCAAAGAAATTTTCTCAGATAAGAAGGTACAGCTGTCTCTTTCTACTATGTATACATAGAAAAATTATTTTGTGGATGTCTCTTGACTATGATATAGAACCTAAAAGTATAGGGTGTTATCTGGATTTCATCATGTCACTCCAGAGGTAAGAACTGGGACACGGGTTATGAAGATATTATTTCCTCTAAGGAAGGAAAAATAAACTGTTCTGCTCCATAAACATTGTGTATATTGAGAATAATGTTAATAAATATAGATACTAAAAACAAAGTTTTATGAATATGATTTGTGCTTATTCTATGAGTAAATATCTATGTATGACTAGGTTATTTTATTTTTAGTAAGTCTACAGAAATGTTTAGCAACAGTGTAAAATATATGGATAATAATTGTTATTGAAACAAATATGGAATTGCAATAACATTTTCAAAATGCATTTGTGTAAGTTATTTTTTAATAGCAATCATAAAAATTTAACATAGCATTTTAAACTTTACAAAAGACATTCAATTAGTTATAAGTTTAAATTATTTTCATTTTTATTCTTAACTTCTCATACCCTGCAGAGACCAAAGGGAAAGTTTAGAAAGATATAAAGAATATTATTGAGGTTTTGAACCTCAAAATAATAAAAAAATTACATATATAATATGCATCAAGCTGTGCATCTGGTTTATATAGCTTAATTAACTTGAAAACAAATGTTTTAATTAATATTATTTTGTAATATGTTTATTTCTTTTATTTGAAGATGAAGCTGTCTATATTTGCCTGGAGATATGACTAAAATAGCACAGATCAGCTTCTGCTTTGGAATTCCTTAGGCATAAGATATACATTTGTAACTAAGGTAGCATTTTATGATGTGCATCTTTTTTTTTCTTTCCTGTCTGTATGCTGTATTTTTCCAGAGGGTTTTATTCTTATAGCTCTAGGAAAGAGACAAGGCAGGCCATTGTTGGATATGATTTGCTTATCAAACACTTCCTTTTCTAGTTTTCTCTTCCAAAATCTTAAATAATTGGGGATATTTGGAGGGTATTCTTCTCCTTTTGCTCAAACTGAGGATTAAGATTCTAGTTTCAGGCCGTTTTCCTTTATTTCTCCCTCAGCATGACATTAGTTAATAGTATTTATTGTACCTGTAAGATAACTAGGTTCAGGGAGTTGGGAAAAGAGAGGATTGAGTAATAGAATGTGGAATTCTAGCAGAACACCTTAAAGTCCTTACTTTTTCTGCTTTTCCTTGCAGAGTTTCTTTAGCCTCTTCTATCTCCTTTAATGCCTCAATCTTTTGTTACCTACCTGTGGAATTGAGGGCGGGAGGCCATGTATGCAGACTCCATGTGTGTCCCCAAGTGTCTCTCTCTTACAACCTGCCTGGACACTCTACTGTGATGAATTTCTAAACTGAGGATAAAAATTCCATCACCTAAATTATTTTGAGTATCCTTAAAATAATTCTTAATTTTTAATATTATTTATTTTACTTTTATACAAGTTTAATTTATATAGAGTGATGTGCACACATTTTAAGTATACAACTTAGTTCTTTTTTACATATATTTATAGATCTCAAAAATCCACTCAGTTCAAGATATAGAACATTTTCATAACCTCAGATAGTTCCTATATTCCCTATTCCAATCAATGCTTCCACTGTATCCCCATCTCACAGAAATATCTATTCTGATTCCTGTCTCTGTGGTTTAATGATGAAGAGAATTAAAGCCATTTCCCCTCCTTGCCTCATAATGCAAGTAACTGCCTAAAACACTGTGATAAGAGATTGCAAGATATTTCTCTTTGGAAAATAAAGCAACCTAGGTAGATGACTTATTGAAAATAATATTTTTGGTCTATTTTTCAAAAAGTGGCTGACTATCCAGTTTGTCTATAAAGAGCTCTTGATAGAGAGTTTAAACCAATGCACACAGAAGTGCAAGTAAATTATGTTTTCAAGGGTTTTTATCATATGAGAAACAAAATTAATAGAACAACAGAAAAAAAGAAAACATAAATGAAATAAAACAGAGAGCATGCTAAGAAAACAGGAAGTAAGAGAAAAACAACTTCATAAAATAGATTATCTTTATAAAATGGGAAATTTAATCAGATATATAAGAAAAGACACAGAATCTGTCATGTAAGAATAGAATACTATATAAAAATCAGTTAAAAGAACAAATCAGAATTATAGGAAATACTAAGCAAGTCTTTGTACCAATGGAAATCAATGAGAGTAGATAATGTTTTTTAGAAAATCTCAAAAAATATAAGAAAAATTTAAAAAGAATAATTATTTGAAATACCTATCAATTCAGGGGTTCTACATTTCACTGATCGTTTCCCAAAATGAGAGAACAGAGAAAATCATAAGTAATAAATGATTAAAATCATAGGTGCTGATGGATGTGAATCTGCAGATAAATGTCCTCTGAGTGTGCAGACCTGCTAATGTGGCAACATCCAGACTGAGACACATTACTGTGTGCTTTTAGAGACTATAAAATAAATAAACTATCTTTAAAACTTTTAGAGAGGAAATGGGAGACACACCAAAAAAAGAGATGTTGATGAGAGATTATATGAAGAAACATTGAGAAGGAATGGCGTGAGTCATTGCAGAATAAGAAAAATGGAAAAATGTGTCTAAATATCTGAGTATAACTGATGAATGTTAGCAGGAAACTTAAGACTCTGGCTGTAAAACTAGACAGAAATAGAGGAATCACAAGACAGGGGTCTTGTGAGCTGAAGGAAGACTTCTATGTTCTGTGTGTACATTTGCATGTTCTGTCGTTTTGTAGTTGTTGTTTGTGGAAAGAAGGAAGATTGAGATGTTCAAGCATTTATAAAATATGTAAAAAAAAAAAAAAGTGATGTTGTGGTGGATAGCAGGTAGTGTACTGTACCCTGTCATTTAATTTCTCTTTCTTTCTTTCTTCTTTTTCTTTCTCTTTCTTTCTTCTCTTTCTTTCTTTCTTTCTTTCTTTCTTTCTTTCTTTCTTTCTTTCTTTCTTTCTTTCTTTCTTTCTTATTTCTTTCCCTCCCTTCCTTCCTCCCTTCCTCCCATCCTTCCTTCCTTTCCTCCCTCTTCCTTTCTTCTTTTCCTTCTTTCTATCCTTTCTTCTTTCTTTTTTCTTTCTTTTCTTTTCTTTCTTCTTTCTTTCTTTTTCTTCTTTCTTTCTCTTTCTTTCTTTCTCTCTCTCTCTCTCTCTCTCTCTCTCTCTGTTTGAGCCAAGGTCTCCATCCCCCAGGATGAAATGCAGTGGCACAATCATGACTCACTGTAGCCGCAAAATCCTGGGCTCCACTGACCCTCCCAACTCAGCCTCTAAGTAGTCAGGACTTCAGGCACCACCTTGCCCAGCAAATTTTCTTTTTCAAAGATAGATACAAGGTCTTGCTATGTTGCCTAGACTAGTATTGAACTCTTGGCCTCAAGCTGTTATCTTCCCACTTCAGCTTCACAAAATACTGGGATTACAGGCATGAGCCTCCACACCCAGCCAACTTTTATTTTTCTAAATAAATCAGACATGTTTTAATTTAGTTAATAAGTTTAATTATGTTAATCATAGTTATTGCTTGCAGACATTACCTAGCATCAACCCAGAGTCTGGTAGCCCCACTGGGTGGCTATACCTAGAAGAGCAATAATAATCACTGTAGTCCAGTTCTGAAGATGTCCCATTTCTAGGGTAGAAGAGAATGCCACATTAAGGGAACCCCTTAAAGGACAAAAGAATCTGAACAGCAGGCTGTGAGTCCAAGATCTTTCCACTTGTGGGAATTTTCTCACCACAGACACATAATTGCAGTGCTAGGCACAGTAGGGACAATCTGCACACCTACCCCAACAGGCAGGCAGTCTCTGTAATCATAAAGGGTCTTAGATAAGGGGCCCTAGTTTTCCCCTTGCAAACCACTGCAGCACAGCTGGGGCTTCTCCCACAGGAACACAGCATGGATACACATATAGACAGCCTTCCTGGAACAATTCAGGGTGATTGCAGACCCACAGGAGGGGTGCTCTCCAGATTCAGGCTCACACGAGAGGCAGAGTCACAATTCCTCCTTACTTGGAATGTCAACATTCTTACAGTTTAAAAAAAAAAAAAAAAAAGTGCCTGTCTGACCGTAATAGCCTGAACACTGGGACAGGAGTGAGGCTGTGAGGTAGATAGCTTTCCTGCTAGCCTGGAAAGGAAGCTGATGTGGCTCCCTCTCTTCACTCTTATAAAACCTCAGCACCTATAATTGAGAGCTCCCCCATCCACCTTGATCAAGGCTGAGACCGCTGCCCACAATTGGATATTATACCTATCCACCTGCTTTAGCTACAACCAGTTTTTACATAGGGGTGCCTCCTCTATTGGCCTGAAGCCTGAATCACCAACTCAGTAAATGAAATAACTGGGGAAAAATAAATAAACAAACAAACAAATAAATAAATAGTATACACTATGAAAAAATGCAATAAGATTTAAGAGATCACTGCCATTCCAACCCCATAGGGGACAGTGAACTTGCCCATACTCCAAGTACATGACTACTACAACCAGCATTTGGGAAACCGGTGCACAAAGACTTACTATAACTAAGAAACTCATACAGAATCTATACCTCTAAAATCATCAAGAATCAAGTTAAACTATAATAAACTATAAACATTAAAGTCTGGTCCTTAAGAGGGGAAAAGAAAAGAAATTAAAAAGAAACACAGTTCAATCAAAAATAACTTCCAGAACAATTTGAAGAGATAGTCTACCCAAATGACAAGAAATCAGAAAAGTAATTCTAGTAATATGAAAAACAAGGTTCCATAACACCAAAAAAAGATCACACTAGCTACCCAGCAATGGATCCAAGCCAAGATGAAATCTTTAAAATGAAAAACAAATAATTCAGAAGGTTGATTTTCTTCTTTTTTGGAGACAATGTCTTACTCTGGTGCCCACGCCGGAGTGCAGTGATGCAACCTTGGCTCACTGTGTCCTCTGCCTCCCAGGTTCAAGTGATTCTCCTGCCTCAGCCTCGTGAGTAGCTGGGATTACAGGCACCTGCCAGCACGCCTGGCTAATTTTTGTATTTTTAGTAGAGATGGGGTTTTGCCATATTGGCCAGGCTGGTCTCAAACTCCTGACCTCATGCAATTCACCCACCTCAGCCTTCCAAAGTGCTGGGATTACAGGTGCTAGCCACCATGGCTGGGCTCAGAAGGTTGATTATTAAGTTACTCAAGGAGATACCAGAGAAAAAAATCTAGGATATGAATGAAAATTTTTCCTGGGAGATAGATATTATAAAGAAAAACCAATCAGAACATCTGGAAATTAAATACACACATAGGGAAATAGAAAATGCAGTGGAAAGTTAAAATAGACTATAACGAGTAGAGGAAACAATTTCAGAGCTCAAAACAAGACTTTTGAACTAACACAATCAGAAAGAGATAAAGAAAAAGAACCAAAAGAAATGAACAAAGTCTCCAAAAATTATGGAATTATGTAAAATGGCCATACATAAGAATAATTGGTGTTTCTGGGGGAGAAGAGAAGTCTAAAAGTTTGGAAAACTTATATGATGAAATAATTGAAGAAAATCTCCCTGGTCTTGCTAAAGATCTAGATATTCAAATACAAGAAGCTCGAAGAACTGGAAAATTCATTGCAAAAAGATCATCACCAAGGTTCATAGTCATCAGGCTATCTAAAGGCTAAACAAAGGAAATAATTTTAAAGCTGTGAGACAAAAGCATTAGGTAACCTTTAAAGGAAAACCTATAAGACTAACAGCAGATTTCTCAGGCAAAACCATACAAGCTGGAAGGAACTAGGGAAACAAGAATAAACTAAACCCAAACTGAGCAGAAGAAAAGAAATAACAAAGATCAGTGCAGAGCTAAATGAAATTGAAACAAAAAAAATTACAAAAGATAAAACAGAAAGGTGATTCTTTGAAAAGATAAACAAAATTGACAGGCCATTAGTGAGATTAACCAAGAGAGTGAGAGAGAGGTTCCAAATAAGCTAATTAGACTTGAAACTGGGGATATTACAAGTCACAGAAATACAAAGGATTGTTCAAGGCAACTATGAATACCTTTACATTCACAAACTAGAAAATCTAGAGTAAACAGATAAATTCCTGGCAATATATAATCCTCCTACATTAAATAGGGAAGAAATAGATACCCTGAACAGACCAATAACAGTGGGATTGAATTAGCTATAGAAAAATTATTGGCCGGGTGCGGTGGCTTACGCCTGTAATCCCAGCACTTTGGGAGGCTGAGGCAGGCAGATCACAAGGTCAGGAGCTCCAGACCAGCCTGACCAACATGGTGAAACCCCCTGTCTACTAAAAATACAAAAATTAGCTGATTGTGGTGGTGTGCTCCTGTAATCCCAGCTACTCAGGAGGCTTAGGCAGGAGAATGGCTTGAACCTGGGAGGTAGAGGTTGCAGTGAGCTGAGATTGTGCTATTGCACTCCAGTCTAGGTGAGAGAGTGAGATTCTATCTCAAAATGAAATAAAATAAAATAAAAATTGTCAACAAAAAAATTCTTGGACCAGATGGATTCACAGCTGAATTCTGTAAGACATTCAAAGAAAAATTGGTACCAATCTTACTGAAACTATTTAAAAAGACAGAGAAAGAGAATTCTCCCTACCTCATTCTATGAAGCCAGTATCACCCTAACACCAAAACCAGGAAAGGACATAATAAAAAAAGGAAACTACAGACCAATATTCCTGATGAACTTCAATGCAAAAGTCCTCAACGAAATACTAGGTAATGAAATTCAACAGCATATCAAAAAGATAATACATGATGAACAACTGGATTTCATCCCAAGGATGCAGGGATGGTGTAACATACACAAGTCAATAAACAGAATTAAAAACAAAAACCATATGATTATGTCAATAGATGTAGAAAAAGCATTTGGTAAAATTCAGTAGTCCTTCATGATAACAACCCTCAACAAAGTAGGCATACGAGGGACTTATTTTGTAATAAAACTTTTTGTAATAAAACCCGTATATGACAAACCCACAGCCAACATCATACTAAATGGGGAAAAGTTGAAAGCATTTCCTCTGAGAACTGGAACAAGATTGGGATACCTACTTTCACCACTTCCATTCAATATAATACTGGAAGTCCTAGCCAGAGCAATCAGACAAGGAAAATAGATAAAGGACATCCAAATTGGAAAATAGGAAGTCAAATTCTTGCTGTTCATCAAGGACGTGATCATACACCTAGAAACCCTGAAAACTCAGCCAAAACATTTCTAGATCTGATACATGAATTTAGTAAAGTCTAACGATAAAAAAATCAATGGACACAAATCAGTAGCTCTGCTGTACATCAATGACAACCAAGATGAGAATCAAATTAAGAACTCAATTCCTTTTACAACAGCTGCAATAAAATAACATAGTTAGAAATATACTTAACCTTAACTAAGGAGGTAAAAGATCTCTACAAGAAAAACTACACAACACTGCTGAAAGAAATTATAGATAACACAACAAATGAAAAGATCCCATGCTCAGGGATGGGAAGAATCAATATTGTGAAAACGACCATACTGCCAAAAGCAATCTACAGATTTAATGCAATTTGCATTAAAATACCATCATCGCTCTTCACAGAGCTAGAAAAAAAATCCTAAAATTCATAGAACCAAAAAAGAGCCTGCATAGCCAAAGCAATACTAAGCAAAGAGAACAAATCTGGAGACATCACATTATCTGATTTCAAGTTATACTACAAGGCTATAGTTACCAAAACAGCATGGTTTTTATATAAAAATAAGCACATAGACCAATGGAACAGCATAGACAAACCAGAAATAAAGCCAAACACTTAACAGCCAACTGATCTTTGATGAAGCATACAAAAACATAAATTGGGGAAAGGATACCCTATTTATTAAATGGTATTGGGAAAACCGGCAAGCCACATGTAGAAGAATGTAATTGAATCCCCATGTTTCACCTTACACAAAAGTCAACTAAAGATGGATCAAAGGCTTAAATCTAAAACCTAACACCATAAAAATTGTAGAAGATAACATTGGAAAAACTCTTCTGGACATTGGCTTAGGCAACGCATTCATGACTAAGACCCCGAATGCAAATGCAACAAAACAAAAATAAATAACTGGGACCTAATTAAACTAAAATATTCTGCACAGCAAAATAAATAATCAGCAGGGTAGAGAGACAACTCACAGAGTGGGAGATAATATTTGCAAACTATGCATCCAACGAAGGTCTAATATCCAGAATTGACAAGGAACTGAAACAAATCAGCAAGAAAAACAATTCCATCAAAAAATGGGTAAGGGACATGAACAGACATTTTTGCAAAGAATATATACAAACAGCTAACAAACATGTAAAAACTGCTTAACATCACTGATCAGGGAAATGAAAATCAAAACCAAAATGAGATTCCACCTTACTCCTGCAAGAACAGCCATAATTAAAAAGTCAAAAAACAATAGATATTGGCATAGATGTGGTGAAAAGGGAACACTTTTACACGGCTGATGAAAATGTAAATTAGCACAACCACTATGGAAAACATTATGGAGATCCCTTAAGTAACTAAAACTGGAAATACCATTCAATCTAGCAATCCCTCTACTGGGTATCTACCTAAAAGAAATGAAATCATTATATGAGAAAAGACACTTACACAGGCATGTTTACAGCAGCAAAATTAGGAATTGCAAAGATATTGAACCAATTTAAGTGCCCATCAACCAAAGAGTGGATAAGGAAAATTTGGTATTTATATATACCATGGAATACTACTCAGTCATAAAAGGAACAGAATAATGTCTTTTGCAGCAATTTGGATGGAGCTGGAGGCTATCATTCTAAGTGAAGTAACTCAGGAATGGAAAACAAAGTGTCATATGTTCTCACTTATAAGTGGGAGTTAAGTTCTGAGGATGCAAAAGCATAAGAATGATATAATGGACTTTGGAGACCTGCTGGGGGATGTTGAGAGGGAGGTGAGGGATAAAAGACTACATATTAGGTACAGTGTACACTTCTTGGGTGACAGGTACACTAAAACCTTAGAAATCACCACTAAAGAATTTATCCATGTAACCAAAAGCAACTGCACCCCAAAACCTATTGAAATAAAAATAATTATTGCCTTATATGTAATTCTAACATAAGTATATAGAGGTTATATTTAATTCAGTCATTCAACTCAATATTAACAGAATACATATACAGAATACATGCAAGGACAAATAATTCTGTTCATAATTTAGAGCATGTGAAAATACACTGTGGATAAATGTTTATTACTTCTTAATTATAATTAGACATTCATTTCAAGGGAATATATGGAGTATACCACTACAAAAGTTGTAACTTGAAAGAGGGTGCTTTAGTTGTAATGTTTGAAAGAATTCAAATACAACATTGAATGGCTTTTAATATCATTCCTTTGTATGTCAAGTTTAAAAATTATTTTTAAAGCATAGATTTCATGTGCCAAATATTTTTGGTGAAATATGGGAGAATTCAAAGACAACATTAAATGGCTTCTAATATCATACCTGTGTATGGCAAGTTTAAAAACTATATTTTCAAGGCATAGACTTTATGTGGTAAATATACTGCTGATATATTAAAATAAAACTGAACAATACCACAAATTCTATTTCAGCCAGTAACCTGTCTGCTTCAATTTTTACTGTTATTTCTACATTCTTAACTGTTTCCAACAACTCAAACCAAGTGTCTAGCAGATCCATGAGAAGAACAATTTTATAGTCGATCAAAGATGAAACAGTAGGCATGAATTGCACTGAAAATATTGTTTGGTTGCCTTTCCTGTTTCATCTTCAGAAACACCTATCATCACTAAAGACATCCTTAATTCACTGAAAATTGCATTCAACTTGACATTCAAAAGTCTTGGATTCCAGATCTACTGTTCCCTACATGTGTGAACTTGATAAACTCACTGATGATTATGAGTCTCCTTTGCTTTTTATATAAAGAAAATTATGTTACTTTGAACAATATAAAATTGTCTGTATTTTAGTTTTGATCTTCAAAATAATAATTTCATATAGTACAATTTTACGGAAGTTGTTTCACTCTATTGCTCTGTGTAATCAGAAAATACATGGGGAAAATTTTAATAAAGTCCCATGTATGAACATAAAGTTGGTTTACTCGAAAATTTTCTATTTAAATGAAAGTTCTATTATTGGTATCATAATTTGTCTTTAAACATTTTTTCCAAAGTAAAAGAATAAGAAAGAAATAAACTGAAATCATAGTAGTACTAGTTGGTTGAAATATTGCTACCATTCATCATTAGTTGTGGAATTCTTGAAACTCAAAAACTTCAGAGTATCTAACTGATGGGTAGCACAATTCAGTGGCAAGCACAAGTGTATTAGAATCAAATAGATCGGAGCTCAGATTCCTACTTCTACACTTACTAGTTGCTTTATTTTCCGAAAATCACATAATCTCATCAAAATCAATCTCCTTACTTATAAAATATCAAATTTGTAGCTTGTAAAGGATATATCAGATTATATATGCAAATAACTTACATACAGCATGCATTCAATAAGTATTGATTTATTTAACTTCCCCTTCTTTTTTCATTTTATTTTATATTAACTTGAAATTTCTTTGATGACTTAAGATTCTCTTGCACCCTAAGTCTTCAATGAGATTCTCTAAGAAATCCTGAATATGTGGGTCATATCTCATAGGGCTATTCAATAGATGTTAGTTAATTAATATATTAAATAATAAGTATATAATTATGCCTTGAAAACATAAATCATACAGTGGTTCAGGGTTAGTAATTTATGAATAATTACAGACACAGATACATTTGAGATTTTGTAAATTCAGTCAATTGCCTCAAGACACAAACATATATTATAAAACACGTGTAAGGAATTGATTCTATTAATGTCATATTATTCAAATAATTTGTGAAGTTAAATCCTGTCATTCAGGACTAACTGCCAAACAGAAATCAGAGTATTTATGTAAGAATATATATAATGTTTGCATTTGAAATTTTTCAGCACATTTACTAATATGGTTTTACTGATGTGGTTTGGCTCTGTTTCCCCACCCAAATCCCATCTCAAATTGTAATTCCCATGTGTTGAGGGAGGGACCTGTAATCTCCACATTTCCAGGGAGGGAGGTCATTGGATAATGGGGGGTGGTTTCCCCCATGCTGTTCTCATGATAGTGAGTGAGTTCTCATGAGATTGGCTGGTTTTATAAGTGTTTGGAAGTTCCTCCCTCACTTTTCTCTCTCCTCTTGCCTTTTGAAGAAGGTGTTTGCTTCCTCTTCGCCTTCAGCCATAATTGTAAGTTTCCTGAGGCCTCCCAAATGATGAGGAACTGTGAGTCAATTAAACCTGTTTCCTTTATCAATTACCCAGTCTTGGATACTCTTTATAGCAATGTGAAAACAGACTAATACAATACTGAGTATTAGTCTTTATTATTTTATTATATAAATCATATATAACTTTTAAGGAAACATGTAGATCCAGTCTGCTGAATATTTCATGAGGGGTTCAGTTTTATATATTTTAAGTATAGGCCTGTAGTGAAAAAATTATTCCAAAGAAGGTGTAATGCACTTCTGTGACCCCAGTATCTCATCATTATTGTTAATGCCCTGATCCTGGGCTGAACCTCTTTTCTTAAAATGAGGGAAGCTGGACACCAACTCAAATAATTTTCCAAGGAAATATTGAGGTTATTTTAATTACTCCTTTACAGCTCAGTTACACACAAAAAGAGACTACAGTCAACCCCCTTGTCTGTGAAGGATACACTCGAAGACCCACAGTGGGTGCCTAAAACTGTGAATAGTACTGCATCCTAGGTAGACCATGATTTTTCAATCTATTAACTGACATGGCTACTCAGTGACTAAGGGGCAGGTAGCATATATAGTGTGGATATGCTGGACAAAGGGATTATTCACATCCAGTTCCTATGACGTAGGATCATGCTACACAGAACAAAGGGCAGTTAAGAACTTACAACATTTCTGAAAACTATCTATTTAATATTTTAAGACTGAAGTTGATCATGTGTTACTTAGCCTGTCGAAAGTGAAACTGCAAATTAAGGGGACTTCTATACACACACACACACACACACACACACATTTAGTTATGAAATAAGTTATTTTTATTTTACTTTGGAATCTTCTAAATAATAATGATCATGATATTGCCCATAAACTCTTTATTGTTAGAAGACAACAATATATTATCTATGAATGACAAAAAAGTTTAATGCTAATGGTGAATTTATTTTATACTTAGGGGAAAATCTATCTAGTTCATCCACTCTGATTAAGCAATATAGTCTTTTTGCATTTTTCATTTGTATAAATTAAGGAGGCACAAGTGCAATTTTGTGTATGGATATATTACATGGTGATAAAGTCTGGGTTTTAATGTAACCATCACCTGAATGGTGTACTTCGTATTTATTAAGTAATTTCTCATAGCTCACTCCCACTCTGACCCTCCCACACTTTAGAATATCCAGTGATTATTATCCCACACCCTATGTCCATGTATATAATTTATTTTGCTCTCATTTATAACTGAGAACATGTGATATTTGATTTTCTGATTCTGAGTTGTTTCACTCAATATAACGGTTTCCATGTTGATGCAAAAGATATGATTTCATTCCTTTATATGGCTGAATAATATTCCCATTGTGTGTGTGTATATATGTAGGTTAATATAGATATATATAGTGTATAATCCATTGGATATATATGTGTGTGTGTAGATTGTGTCTATATATGTGTGTATATTGTGTATTTACACATAATACATTTACTTCATCCATTGATCTGTTGATGGATACTTAGGTTATCTTAATGATATTGGTTCTTCCAATCCCTGATCACAGGATGCTTTTCCATTTCTTTGTGTCATCCACAATTTTTTTATTAGTGTTTTATACTTTTCTTTTTAGAGGTCTTTTACCTCCTTGGTTAAATATTCTCTTAGGCTTTTTTTGTAACTATTGTAAGTGGGAATGTATTCCTGATTTTTTTCTAAGCTTGATTGCTATGGTGTGTAGAAATGCCACTAAGTTTTGTATGTTGATTTTGTATGCTGAAACTTTCCCGAATTTTTTTTTTTTTTTTATCAATTCTAAGAGTTTTTTTGAAAGAGTCTTTAGGGATTTCTAGGTATAAGATCATACAGTCAGTGAACAGAAATAATTTGACCTTCCCTTTTTCATTCAGATGCCTTTAATTTCTTGCCTGATTTCTCTGGCTAGGACTTCCAATACTAGTGGTGAAAGTGGGTATCCTTGTTCTATTCCAGTTCTTACGGTGATTGCTTTCAACACTTTCCTCTTCAGTATGGTGTTGGCGATGAGTTTGTTGTATATGAGCCTTATTGTTTTCAGTTTTCTTCTCTCTATACCTAGGTTATTGAGGATTTTTATTATTAAGGGATGCTGACTTTTGTTGAATGCTTATCTCTAACTGTTGAGATAATTATGGTTTTTGTCTTTAATTCTGTTTAGGTGATGAATGATATTGATTTGCATATGTTGAACCATCCTTGCATACCTGGAAAAAAGCCCACTTGATTGTGGTGTATTATTGTTTTGATGTGCTGTTGGATCCAGTTTTCTAGTTGAGAATTTTTACATCTGTTTATTAAATATGTTGGTCTGTAATTTTCTCTTTTGTTGTGTCCTTGTATGGCTTTGGTATCAAAATGATACTGGCTTTGTAGAATGTATTATGGAGGATTCCTTCCTCTGTAATTTTTTGGAATGCTTTCTATAGGATTCATGCAAGTTATCCTTTGTACATTTGGTAGAATTTGGCTCTGAATCTGTTTGGCTGTAGGCTTATTTTAATTTGGAAGTTTTCTTATTGCTGATTCAATCCCACTACTCATTATTGGTCCCTTTTGATTTCTTCCTGTTTCAATTATGGGAAGGTGTATGTTTCCAGGAACTTACTACTTTTCTCTGGGTTTTCAAGTTTGTGAATGCAGAGTTGTTCATAGCATTCTCTAGTGATCTTTTGCATTTTTGTGATATTAATTATAACGGTTTCCCTTTTATTTTTTACTATGTTTATTTTGAGCTTTTCCTTTCTTGGTTAGTCTAGCTACCAATTTAAAAATTAATTTTTAAATTATTTGCATTTTTTGTTGCAATTTTATTTAGTTTTTCTCTGATGCTTGTTGTTCTTTAATTTTTCCAGCTTTGAGTTTGTTTTATAATTTGATGTGTGATGTTCAGTTAATTTAAGACCTTTCAATCTTCTTAAAGTTCATTTAATGCTATATACTTTTTACTTGGGGTTGCTTTTTTTTGTAACCTGGAGGTTTCTGTATGTTGTATTCCCATTTTTATTCATTTCAAAGAGTTAGGAGTGTGATGTTTAATTTTTATGTTTTTGCATGGCTTTGAGTATTTCTCTTGGTATTAATTTATACTTTTCTTCCACTGTGGTCTGTGAAGATATAATTTTGAATTAAAAAATGTATTGACATGTTAGTTTTATGGCCTAACATATGATCCATCTTAGAGAATGTTTCTTGTGCTAATGAGAAGAATATATATTCTGAAGTTGTTTAGAGCAGTTTGTAAATATCTATTAGGTCTATTTGTTCTAAAATCCAATTTAATTCCCATGTTTCCTTGAACTTTTTCTGTCTCAATAATCTCTCTAGTGCTGTGAGTGGGATGTCAAAACCTCACTATTATTTAATTGTTGTATATATCTTCCTTTAGGTCTAGTAATATTTGTTTGATTAATCTGAGTGCTCTGGTGTTTGGTGAATATATATTTAAAATTATTATATCCTCTTCCTAAGTTGATCCTTCTTTCAGTCTATAAGGACTTTCTTTGTATTTCTTTCACTGTTTTTGGTTTAAAGTTTGTTTTATCTGATGTACGTTGAGCTACTCCTGCTTGCTTTTGGTTTGCGTTTGTGTAGAATATTTTCTCACCTCTTTACCTTCCGTCTATAAGTGTGTTTACCAGTAAGGTGAATTTCTTGTAAGCAGCAAATGGTTGGATTGTTATTATTTTTTTAAACCCAGTTTGCACACTACATGTTTTTATGTGTAGCATTTAATCTATTTATAGTAAAAGTTAATATCAACATGTAAGAGTTGTTCTTTTCATAATGTTCATTTTTATCTGTCATTTTGTGGGTTATCTTTTTTCTTTTATATCTCCTGTCTGTCTGTCTTTGTGGTTTGGTGGAGTACTGTTGTGTTGCCATTTAATTTCTTTCTCTCTTTCTCCTTATGTTATTATTTTATAAGATCTGTGAGTTTTGCACTTTCACGTATTTTTATAATAGTGAGTATTTATCTTTTGTTTCTATGTTTAGAATTCCAAAATTGAAGCATTTCTGGTACAGCTGATCTAGTGATGACAAATTCCTTCAGAGTTTGTCTAGGAAACACTTTGTTGTGCCTTCATTTGTAAAAATTATTTTAGCAGGATATATATTTTATGGTTGACATTTTTTAATTTAAGCACCCTAAAAATAGGTTCACAATCATTTGGAAGGTTTCTTCTGAGAAATCCATTATGAGTCTGATGGAGTTTCCTTTTAGGTGGATAGACAATTTTCTCTTGCTGATTGTAGTATTTTCTTTCTTCACATTATTTTAGACAGTCTGATGACTATGTATTATGGTGATACCAACGTTACTGGTGTTTGTTGGGTCTCTTGTATATGGATGTCTATATGTCTTGCAAGACTTGGGAGGTTTTACCAATTATTTCCTTAAATAGATTTTTCAAACATTTTGTTTATTTCTCCTCAATAAAACCAATCATTCATAAATTTTAAGACTTTAGTAGGTCTCATTTTTATTGAACACTTTGTTCATTCCTTCTTATTCTTCTTAAAATTTTCGTCTTACTGGATTAATTCAAAAGACCTTTCTTCAAGTTCCGAGATTGTTCTGCTTGGTCAGTCTTTGTTGGAGATTTCTACTGTATTGTATATTTTCTTCAATATTTTTTATTTCCAGAAGTGCTATTTTTTTATATCTGTGTCCTTGGTTAATTTCTTATTCATATTCTGAGTTTAATTTTCTAATGTCTTTGAATTGGTTTTCTGATTTCTCTTGGATCTAATTGATCTTCTTTAAAACATGATTTTGAATTTATCTGGCATTAAAATTTTTCATTTTTCTTAGAATCCATTGTGAATTTTGCTACCCCCTGCTTTTTCATAAATAATTATTATGCTGAATTTTTTCTCATCTGGAGAAACTGTCATTTCTTGTTTTTTAATTTACATTCATTAGGATGGGACTTTTTTCTTGAGGATGTGACTATAATGTGTCTTGAGCAGGGACATTTGGGTTTGTTTCTGCATGTGTTCAATGGTTTCTGCACGTGTTCAATTATTTGGTTATAGAAAGCTTGAGTGTGCTGACTTTCTCAAATGCCAGTTTTAGTTGAAATGTACTTGGAGTGTCAGCAGGCCAGTCTCCTGTGAAGCCAGTGTGGCAGTGGTCACAAGAGACATATTATTCCCAAGTGCTATGCACTTGTGTCAATGTAATTTTTATAGGGTGTGCAGATCAACCACCAGGCAAGTAGGTGACACAGGTAAGGGTAGAAGAGGAGTTCTTCTGTGTCACAGACAGTGAGCTAGGCTGTGGAATACACTTGAGTTTCACACTCAGTCTCAAAGTGGAGGCAAAGCTGGGTTCAGCTGGGCTGGGCAATTCCACAATTGGGCCCCCCAGTAGTGAATGCAAGCACCACCTCTGCCGGAATCTGGAGGGCAGTTGCCAAAAGCCTGGTGAAGACTGAAGAAACTGCTGCTGCACCAAGTTTCTTGTATGGAAAAGGAGAAGTGGCCTAGGCTCCTAGTTCAGGCAAGTAGATATAGGACCTGCCTCCCTGTTACTCCTCATAATTTATGGAATTTCCTTCTCAATCTGACAAGAAAGCAAGCTGGAGCACATGCAGACTTGCCTTAAATTGCAAAGTGATCTCTTTCTCCAAATCTTGCCTCCCAGGCAAAACTGAAGCTGCAGTGAATCTTTTATTGCTCTGGTTCCATGAAGTAGAAGAGCCCAAATCCAGAACTTACAACTAAAATGCACTTCACACTCATCACTCAGTTCTGGCTGCTCAGGCCCTTCTCATGCTCCACTTAGTACTCCAATCTTCTTCCTGTAATAGTCTAATGCCTGCAGAAGCTGCCACTTCTAGATCACAAATACTACTAGCTTGCTATGAGCAAAGATTAAAAATTGTGTCCTCCTGTTATTCCTGGGTCTGGTAAAGTGTCTGAAGCTGTTCTCAGGGCCTTTCCTTCACACAGTCTCCCACACTCTCCCCAGGATAACTCTAGGGCTTGGAAATTGCAAGGTATTCTTCCATGGCTTGGGCTGCATGGTTTTCCAGTGGAATGGTGGATTATAGAGGGAACTGGAGAATTAAAAAGATGGCCATATAGAGCATGGTCCTGTGGAAATTTGGGGGGTCTCTTAGCATAGCACAAGTCAATGCCCATGGAAAGAGTTCCCCTGTAGGACCAAAAAGTGACTGGAATTTTTACAAACATATATCCCTGTGTATTCTTTTGACATGGTCACTTGGGTCCATGGAATGAGCAAATACACAAATAATTATCACTGTGTTACAAATGCCTATAGTATTTGGTACAGTAACATGCTGTATGGGTTTGTAACCTAGGAGCAATTGGTTATATCATAATCCTAGGTGTATAGTAGGCTATCCCATCTAGGTTTGTGTAAGTACGCTTTATGACATTCACACAATAATAAAATCATAAACAACACATTTTTCAGAATGTATCTACATTGTTAAGTGACACATAACTGTGTACTTTTCTGACTATTATGAAACCACAAGGAAAATTGCTGGATAATTATCCAAGATTTCTTTCTATTATCTATAGGAACCCTAACATAGACATTGATTTTTTTATATAGACTTTTTTGTTATATTCAATGAAGCAAGTTTTGGGTTGAAGATGATGGAAGAAATGTAGCCCTGGGTGATACTATTGCATCTGAATTAGGCTAAATTATGTAAAAAGAGTTGAAAGAATAACAAAGGAAGAGTATAATCATGTTTACATTGACAAACATGTCATATTACGTAGGGAGATAAATACTCACATGGAAGTCCATGTTAGGACAGGTAATATGATTACAAACCTGTCCTCTACCCCCATTAAACCTAAAGCATATAATTAACTATTTTAACTATAAGAAATCTATCTCAGCCGGGCGCGGTGGCTCACGCCTGTAATCCCAGCACTTTGGGAGGCCGAGGCAGGCGGATCACGAGGTCCAGAGATTGAGACCATGGTGAAACTGCGTCTCTACTAAAAATACAAAAAATTAGCCGGGCGCGGTGGCGGGCGCCTGTAGTCCCAGCTACTCCGGAGGCTGAGGCAGGAGAATGGCGTGAACCCGGGAGACGGAGCTTTCAGTGAGCCGAGATTGCGCCACTGCGCTCCAGCCTGGGCGACAGAGCGAGACTCCAGCTCAAAAAAACAATAAAAATAAAGAAATCTATCTCAAAGGCTTGAGACAAGAAAGGAAAACATCACTAAAAATAATGCTTTCATTATGACCTCGTGAAAATATTTAGGTAATGTATTTCTAGAGATGCCTATGACCTAGTAGCAAATAAATAAAATGTCATATATAATCCCAAACAAATGTCACTGTATTTCTTGGCCCTACCCAGCTGAATTCAGCTTTTCAGGTATGAAGGATCAGCCATTCGGATCCAGAAAAGATCTGAACTTTACTAACACATAACCTTTCTTAACACATGGACACTTCACACATCATACTTACTGGTGTAGTTGTGATTCAGGTTAAAACAATTACTTGGCGAGGCATTCTAAAAATTTATTAATCTTTTCACTATGTTCATATGATAAGGTAAACAAAATAATAGTCTGGATCTTTTTATCTCTCTCATTAAATTAAACATTGACTGAAAAATATGCTGTATACAACTGTCATACATTTCCCTTTCAAGTGATTAAAAATCACATTGATTTTATTACTTGCTTCAATAATTTACTTTTCAGAAAGACATATTTATGAAATTGTATTAGATATATTAAAGTACATACTCCAGAAGATTAAAACCTAAGTATACTTATTAAAAATGAATTTATCTAAAAGGTATTATAAGTAGTAATAACAAAAGGGAAAAATGTCCCCTTGATTTCTAATCAGAAAAATGTATATGAAAATTACTTTGAAACATCATTATATTATTTATGAACTAGCAAATATTTTGACAATAATGAGAAATGAGAGTACATAATAAAGTCATTAAAATAATGACACTTTGCTAAGACTAACTTTACTGACCTTCTTACTTCTGAGAGCAGTATATGTTGTTTCTCTTATAGAAATATAGTTCTTCATATATTCTTGATAAAGTTATTTGATATATGTAGTGTGTATATATTTTTCCACACCAAGATTATGTCTTTATTTAGTGAAGTCTGTGAAGTTTTTAATTTTGATAAAATGCAATTTATTATTTTTTCTTACATTATTATGCTTTTTGTGACTTTTCTAATTCATATTGCCTAACTTGAGATCTAATTCATATTGCCTAACTTCTGTTTTTCTGGTAAACATATCTTAGATTTAGCTTTAACAATAAAGCCCATAGCCATTTTGAGATAATGTTAATGACATATTTGAAGACAGATTTGAGGTTCATTATTTTCCATGTAGATAACCAATTGTTTCAGTATAGTTTGCTTGAAAATCTATTTCTCCATGAATTGCATTGGTATATTTGTTTAAAATCACTTGAGCATTGAACATATGTGTGTATATCCATAGCTATGAATTCTCTTCTCTGTTCCATTAATCTTTAAGTTATTGTGATATGGTTTGGATGTGTGTCCCTGCCCAAATCTCATGTTGAAATTTAATTCCTCATTTTGGAGATGCAGCCTGGTGGGAGGTAATTAGATTATAGATACAGATTTCTTATGAATGATTTAGCACTATCACACTTGGTACTGTCCTTGCAATAGTGAGTTATCATGAGTTCTGATCATTTAGCTCCTGCTTTCACCATGTGATGTGCCTGTTCATGCTTTGCCTTCACCATGATGGTAAGCTTCCTGAGGCCTTCCCAGTAGCAGATGCTGCTATTCTTCCTGTACAGCCTGCAGAAACATGAGCCAATTAAATCTATTTTCTTATAATTTACCCAGGCTCAGGAATTTCTTTATAGTAATTCAAGAATGGATTAACATAGGAAATTGGTACCAAGGAGCGGGGCATTACTATAAAGATACCTGACAATGTGGAAGTAACTTTGTAACTGGGTAACAGACACAGGTAAGAAGAGCTTGGAGGGCTCAGAATAAGACAGGAAGATGAGGGGAAGTTTGGAACTTCCTAGAGACTAGTTAAGTGGTTGTGACCAAAATGCTGTTAGCGATATGAACAATGAAGTCCAGGCTGATGAGTTCTCAAGTTGAAATAAGAAACTTACCAGCAAGTGGAGCAAAGGTCACTTTTGTTATGCCTTAGCAAAGAACTTGACTGCACTGTGCCCCTACCCTAGGGATCTGTGGAACTTTGAACTTGGGAGTGATGAGTTATGGTATCTGGAAAAAGATATTTCTAAGCAGCAAAGCATTCAAGATATAGCCTGCTGCTCCTAATACCCAAGCTCATATGCAGAAGCAAAGGAATGACTTAAAACTGGAACTTATATTTAAAAGGGAAGCAGGGAATACAAGTTTGGTAAATTTGCAGCTTGGCCATGTGATAGAAAAGATTAGCCCATTTTCAGGAGAAGAATTCAAATGGGCTTCTGAGCAATCACTTGATAGAGAAATTTGTATAATTAAAATGGAGGCAAGTGGTGAGAACAAAGACAATGAGAAAAAAGCCTCAAAATCTTTTCAGAGATCTAAGAAGCAGTCCTTCCTATCACAGGCTCTGAGGCTTAGGAGAACAGAATGGTTTTATGGGCCAGGCACAGGGTTCTGCTGTCCTGCACAGCCTTGAGACATGGCTTCCAGCATCCTGGCTGATCTAGCTCCAACTGTGGTTTAAAGAGGCCCAGGTACAGCTTGGGCCACAGTTCCAGAGGGTGCAAGACGTAAGCCTCAATGGCTTCCACCTAATGTTAAGCTTTCAAGTGTGTGCACAGTGAAAGAATGAATGAAGCTTTTTGATTATGGCTCTTCTTGAAGGAGTAAGGTGGTATTGCACTGTGGTTTTGATTTGCATTTCCATGATCATTAGTGATGTTGAGCATTTTTTCATATGTTTGTTGGCCATTTGTGTATATTATCTTGAGAATTTTCTATTCATGTCCTTAGCCCACTTTTTCATGGGATTGTTTGTGTTTTTCTTACTGATTTGTTTGAGTTTGTTGTAGATTCTGGATATTAGTCCTTTGTCAGATGTAAAGGGTGTGAAGACCCACTTTGGGGGTTGTCTGTTTACTCTGCTGACTGTTCTTTTTGCTGTGCAAAAGTGCTCTAGCTTAATTAAGTCCCAGCTATTTATCTTTGTTTTTATTGCATTTGCTTTTGGGTTCTTGGTCATGAAATCCTAGCCTAAGCTAATGTCTAGAAGGGTTTTTCCAATGTTATCTTCTAGAATTTTTAGAGTTTCAGGTCTTATATTTAAGTCCTTATTCCATCTTGAGCTAATTTTTGTATAAAGTGAGAGATGAGGATCCAGTTTTATTCTCCTACATGTGACTAGTCAATTATTCCCTCACCATTTGTTGAAAAGGGTGTCCTTTCCCCACTTTATGTTTTTGTTTCCTTTGTCGCAGATCAGTTGGCCTGTAAGTGTTTGGGTTTATTTCTGGGTTCTCTATTCTGTTTAATTGGTCTATGTGCTTATTTTTATACAAGTACCATGCTGTTTTGGTGACTATGGCCTTACAGTATAGTTTGAAATCAGGTAGTATGATGTCTCCACATTTGCTCTTTTGTTTAGTCTTGCCTTTGCTATGTGGGTTCTTTCTTGGTTTCATATGAATTTTAGAATTTTTTTTCTAATTCTGTGAAAATTGATGGTGATATTTTGATGGAGACTGCATTGACTTTGTAGATTGCTTTGGGCAGTATGGTCATTTTCACAATATTGATTCCACTCATCCATGAGCATAGGATGTTTCCATTTGTTTGTGTTTCCTGTGATTTCTTTCAGCAGTAATACATAGTTCTCCTCGTAGAGGCTAAGGATTTAATTTTTTGCAGCTATTGTAAAAGGGGTTGAATTCTTGAATTGATTCTCTGCTTGGTTGCTGTTGGTGTATAGAAGAGCTACTGATTTCTGTATATTAATCTTGTATCTGAAAACTGCCGAATTTTTTAAATCAGTTCTAGGAGCTTTATGGAGGAGTCTTTAGGGTTTTTTGGGTAAATGATCATATCATCAGCAAAACAGTGACAGCCTGACTTTCTCTTTAACAATTTGGATTCCTTTATTTCTTTCTTTTGTCTGATAGCTGTGGCTAGGACTTCCAGTACTATGTTGAAGAGGAGTGGTTAGAGTGGGCATCCTTGTCTTGTTCCGGTACTCACAGGGAATGCTTTCAACTTTTCCCCATTCAGTATTATGTTGGCTGTGGGTTTGTCATACATGACTTTTATTACATTAAGGTATGTCCCTTGTATGCCAATTTTGCTGAGCATTTTAATCATAAAGGGATGCTGGATTTTGTCTAATGATTTTTCTGCATCTATTGAGATGATCATGTGATTTTTGTTTTTAAGTCTGTTTATGTGGTGTATCACATTTATTGACTTGTGTATGTTAAACCATCCCTGCATCCCTGGTATGAAATCCACTTGATCATGGTGGATTATATTTCTGATAGGTTGTTTGATTCAGTCAAAAAAATTTAAAAAAACAGTAGATGTTGGCGTGGATGCAGTTAACATGGAAACTTCTACACTGCTGGTGGGAATGTAAACTCACACAACCACTATGAAATACAGTGTGGAGATTCCTTAAAGAACTAAAATTAGAACTATCATTTGATCCAGCAATCCCACTACTGGATATCTACCCAGAGGAAAATAAGTCATTATAAGGAAAAGATACTTGCACAATTGCAAAATCATGGAACCAACCCAAATGCCCATCAATGGAGTGGAAAAAAGAAATTATGATGTGTATATATACATATATATATATAATGGAATACTACTCAGTCATAAAAATAAATGAGTCAGTGGCATTGCTGTGACATGGATGAGATTGGAGACTATCATTTTAAGTGAAGTAACTCAGAAATGAAAAGCCAAACATCGTATGTTCTAGCTGATGTGTGCAAGCTAAGCTATGAGGATGCAAAAGTATAAGGATAAAACAATGGACTTTGGGGACTTGGGGGGAAGGGTAGAAGTGGGGCAAGAAATAAAAGACTACAAATAGGTTGCAGTGTATACTGCTCTGGTGATGGGTGCAGCAAAACTTCACAAATCACCACTAAAGAACAACTTACTCATGTAACCAAACACCACTTGTACCCCAATAAAGTATGGAAAATAAAGAATGAAGCTTAAGAGCCTCTGCCTGGATTTCAGAGGATATATGGAATATCTTCGGTGTCCAGGCAGAAGTCTGCTTCAGGGTTGGAGCTCTCACAGAGAACCTCTACTAGAGCAGTGTGGAAGGAAAATGTGGGTTAAGAGCTCCCCCAAGTCTCCACTGGGGCACCTCCTAGTTAAGCTTCAATAAAAGGGCCACCATCCTCCAGACCCCCACATAGTAAATCTACCAGCAGCTGGTACCCTGAGTTTGGAAAAGCTGCATGTGCTCAACAACCTGTGAGAGCAGCCTCCGGGGATGAACACTGCAAAGCCACAGGGGCAGAGGTACTCTTTGGATTCCCTTTATTTCTTTCTCATCTGATAGCTGTGGCTAGGACTTCCAGCACTATGTTGAAGAGGAGTGGTGAGAGTGGGCATCCTTGTCTTGGTCCAGTACTCTCAGGGAATGCTTTCAACTTTTCCCCATTCAGTATTATGTTGGCTGTGGGTTTGTCATACATGACTTTTATTACATTAAGGTATGTCCTTAATGTAAGGTGGGCCTTGGGAGCCCACCCATTGCATCAGTGTGCCCTGGGTGTTGAACATAGAGTCAAAGGAGATTATTATAGAGCTTTAAGATTTAATGACTGCCCTACTGGGTTTTGGACTTTCCAGGACTTTTAGCCAATTCCTTTTGCCTAATTTCTCCCTTTTGGAATGGGAAGGTTTACCCAATGCTGGTGCCTCATTGTATCTTGGAAGTAACTAACTTGTTTTTTTATTTTATGGGCTCATATGTGGAAGTGACTTGCTTTGTCTCAGGTGATACTTCTGACTTTGGACTTTTGAGTAAATGTTTGAATGAGTTAAGACTTTAGGGGATTATTTGGAAGGCATGATTGTGTTTTGAAATGTGAGAACATAAGATTTATGAGGGGCCAGGACTGGAATGATATAGTTTGGATGTGTGCCCCTACCCAAATCTCATATTGAAGTGTAATCCCCAATGTTGGAGGTGGGGCTTGCTGGGAAGTATTTGGACCATGGGGGAAGACTTCTTATCTTGACTCACTGCAACCTCCACCTATGGGGTTCCAGAGATTCTCGTGCCTCAGTCTCCTGAGTAGCTGGGGCTACAGGTGTGTGCCACCATGCCTGGCTAATTTTTGTATTTTTAGTGGAGTCGGAGTTTCGCCATGTTGCCCAGCCTGGTCTGAAACTCTTGACCTCAAGTGATCTGCCCGTCTTGGCCTCTCAAAGTGCTGAGATTACAAGTGTGAGACACTGTGCCTGGCAGAGACTTCTTATAAATGGGTTAGCACCATTTCCCTCTTTATTGTCCTCATGAGAGTGAGTTATTTCTCATGAGATCTGATTATTTAATAGTGTGTAGCACCTCTCCCCTTAATCTCTTGCTCCTGCTTTCACCATGTGATATGCCAGCTCTTGCTTCACCTTCTGCCATGATTGTAAGCTTCCTGAGACCTCCCCAGAAGCAGATTCTGCTGTGCTTCCTGTATAGTCTGAAGAACTCTGAGCCAATTAAAACTATTTTCTTTATAACTTATTCAGTATCAGGCCTTTCTTTATAGCAACACAAGAATGGACTAATATATATCCTTATGTAAATTCTACCTTGTATATATTGCATTAGTTTTTAAGTAAGTTCTAATATCAAGCAACAAAATTCCTCAATTTTATTTTCCAAATAATGTTGACTATTCTAAGTTCTTTGCATTTTTATGTAATTTTATAATCAGCTTAACAATTCCTATATGAAAAAAGTATGCTGGGATTTGGATTGGAACTGTGGTTGATTTATGGATGACTTTCAAAAAAGTTGGCACGTAACAATACTAAATTAAATTGAATTAGGCCTAAAGCTGCCTCTGCATTTTGCATTTCTTCATAGTGAAATGAAACCTAACTATTGTGCAAACAAACTGCAACCTAACTTGAGTGTATACTCTTATAACAAATAACTGAGTCTCAGTCAATCACAGCAGTTGAGCTTCAGCCAAACTCAGGCTCCCAACTGATCAGACTATGTCTATATAACACAAATACCTCATTACATGATACCCATAAAGGTAAAAAATTCAGCTGTAACCAATCCAGCTGTTCCTATATCTCACTTGCTTTTTCTGTCTATGAATGCTGCCTGTGAAACTGTCTGGAGCTTTCTGAACTTTTCCTAGTTTTGAGTACTGCCCCATTCATAAATCATTCTTTGCTCAAATGAACACTGCTAAATAAAATTTGTCTAAAGTTTTTCTTTTAACAACAATGTTAAGTCTTCTCATTCAAAAACATGGTTTGTCTCTTCATTAATTCATGCCTTCCTTAATTTATTCAACAATGTCTTCAGTATATTAGGTTTGTGTAAGTTTTAATACGTTTATTTCTCAAGATTTCTTATTTACTGAGAATGTGAAAATATATTTTATTTACTTTTCCAATTGTTTCTTGCTAGTATGTAAAAATATAATTTTATAAGTTGCCTTTTTATTTTGGAGTATTCCAAATGTTATTTATTATGTCTCAGAGCTTCTCTGTACTTTCATTAACATTTTTTACATAGACAATAATCTTTAATTATTATATTTTCTTTTTTATACTCAACATTTAGTTTATCTTTTTCTTGTTTCCTTTCATAGACTAAAGTATTTGGAAAATTAAGTATATATTGGTGAGAAAAGACAATTTTATTTTTTTACAAGAACATACTATACCACCTGGGTTTGTCCTTAATAAAGTTGAGGACGTTTTCTTTTATTCCTAGTCTGCTGAGAATATTTTCCATGAATTATTAGTACATGTTTGGCTGAAGTATTCTTGCACAATGAAAAGTTGCATGGACCTGCAAAAGTCTTAAACTCTAACACTTGGAAAAATTAAATTTATTGAGGGTATGCTCTCAGATGTTTCTAAGGAGGAAAAAAGCATACTTTTGGAATATTGAAGGAAAGATGAATACTTGTCTATAATGTAGTATCTCAGAGTATTAAGAACTTATGTAAACATCCTCATGACCAGATATGTAAAATAATTTTGGAATAAAACATTGTACCTGATGTCGATACCATAGTAAGGATAGTAAAGATATATACTAAGTATAGTTGAAGTTGACTTTCTTTTAAAGTGCTTATATTTCAATTGTGGTATAGAAATAATATGTATTCGAAATTCAATGGATCTTACTATTTGCAACAAAGAAATATTATATTGACTGCAGACGAGAGGCTTTTTCCTCATTGTTAAAGAATTATCCCACATAAATATTCCTTATAAGGGTAGAGTCTGAGAAGAGAAACACATATAAAAATCCTACTTGATGCAGAAAAATGGTATTTTACATAATTACACATACATTTATAATAAAATTTCTTAGAAATCTAGAAATCAATGTGGCTTTCCTAAATATGATAAAGGAAATTTATAAAAAAACTGTAGATAATATCATATTCAATGAATATGAATGATTTCCTCCCAACATTGGCATTAAGAAAATATTTTTGATTTTATCATTTCTGTGTCCAGAGTTTGTTCCTTCCAGTGGGTTCGTGGTCTCACTGACTTCAAGAATGAAGCCACGGACCCTCGCGGTGAGTGTTACAGCTCTTAAAGATGGTGCAGACCCAAAGAGTAAGCAGCAGCCAGATTTATTGTGAAGAATGAAAGAACAAAGTTTCCACAGCATGAAAGGGGACTGGAGCAGGAAGCCGCTGCTGGCTGGGGTGGCCAGCTTTTATTCCCTTATTTGTCCCCACCCATGTCCTGCTGATTGGTCCATTTTACAGAGTGCTGATTGGTCCCTTTTACAGAGCACTGAGTGGTCCATTTTACAGTGTGCTGAGTGGTCCATTTTACAGTGTGCTGAATGATCCATTTTACAGGGTGCTGATTGGTCCATTTTACAAACCTCTAGCTAGTCACAGAGTGCTGATTGGTGCATTTTTACAGAGTGCTGATTGGCACATTTTACAAACCTGTAGCTAGCCACAGAGCACTGATTGGTGCATTTTACAAACCTCTCGTAAGGCAGAAAAGTTCTTCAAGTCCCCACCTGACCCAGAAGTCCAGCTGGCTTCACCTCTCAATTTCAACTAATATCATGCAGAGACCCTAGCTAGTGCAATAATGCAACAAAAAGAAATAATAACATACATCAGAAAGAAAAAAAAAATCAATGATTTGCTAAGTACAAGATTTTCTTCATAGAAAATGCTATACCACCTGCAAAAACCCACCATAACTAAAAAGTTAATTTAGTAACATTTCAAAGCACAAAGTTGTATATAAGAAACCAGTTACATTTAAATATATTAGCAATGAGCAATTGAAAACTGAAATTAGAAAAAAGTATCATATATTGATACAAAACCTTAATATATATGTACGTATAAATCAAATAAAATACATGCAATCTTTGTATATAGAAAACCAAAAACCAATCATGACAGAAATTAAAGAAGATCTAAATAAATGGAAAATCAAAATAATACGTTCTTGGATTGGAAATCTCAATACTATTAATACAAATTCTTCCAAATAACAAGCTGATGGTAAAATTTAAATGGAAAAGAAAACTACTTAAATTAATTTTAAAAAACGTAGACCAACCTTAGAAGGCTCATTCTACCTTATTTTACATAATATTATAAAGCTATTACAGTATAGTGTGGTACAGATGACAGAGTAAACATAAAGATCAATAAAATAACATATAACCCAGAAATGGATCCACTTATATAATACATAGTTAACTGTTTTTCCAAAAAGTGGTAGAGACAGCTTGGTGGAGAAAGGGTAGTCTTTCAAACAAATGGTAGTGGAATAATCAACATGCACAAAAAATAAGAAAGAAAAAGAAACCCAAACCATATCTTGAACCACATATAAAAAATTAGGTAGAAATAAATCACACAAAAATGTAAATCCTAAATGCATACAGCTTCATACAAAGAAAAAATTATTGCTATTCTTAATTTGTCCATTATATTTTATGTAGGACAAGAAAAGCATGAAGCATAAAGAAAATATTCAGAAATTGGACTTCATTAAAATTAACACTACTGCTTTTCAAAAGTCTCTAAAAAATGAAAGGATAAGCCACAGTTTGGGAAAAATATCTGCAAAATACATATTTGACATAGGACTAGTATCTAAAATTTATAAATAACTTTCATAACAAAAAATGTAAGAGCAAAACAATCCAATTTTTAAAGGGGAAAATGATTTCGATGCTAAAAGAATTTTATGTGTTGCAAATAAAAACATGAAAAATTGTGCAACATTATTAACCACGAGAAAAATATAGATTGAAACTATAGAGAATACCAGTAAACATCCACCTCAGTCAACACGTTATTTAAATAAGTGGCAATATCTATTTTTGGCAAAGATACAGGGCTTCTGGAACTCTGAAACCTTCTTGGTTGGAGTGCAAAATATTAGAGCAACTTTGCAAAATATTTGAGTCTTTTTAAAAATATCTAAAAATACACAATGCACAAATGATAATTTTTGCTACTAGATATTTACTCAAGATTAATGAAAACAAATAATCAAAGATCTGCACATACATGTTTACATCACTTTTACTCATCATTGCCAAAAATTGGAAATATCTATCAACTGACGAAAGAATAACTAGTCTATGATTTTTCAATATAGTTAATTTTATTTAGCAATAAAATGGAATGGATTAATGTTGCCTGTAACAACATAAAAGAATTTCACATTAATTATGGTGAGGGAAAGAAGTCTGGAAAAAAAAATTATATAAAGACAGACTACAAATCAGAGGTTTCCAGAGTACTTTCAGGAGTATGAAGTGGGGTGAGGAATTGACAGAAACTATGACAACATGCAATTTAAATTAAACTATGTATTATAATAAAATATTCATTACTAAAATTATCTCTGCTAATCTTAGTAAAATATTTTGCCATAAAATTACAAGGTAATAATGCACCAAAACTATTGGTGCATTAATAGAAAAAAAACTATTAAGAACACTGGTGGTGATATAGCAGATTTCTGTCAACATGATCAATACCTGTACCAGAATCAAATATAGGTTTTTCTCAAATAAACCCAAAATCGCAAATTTAGAAATGGTCAAAGTATATATTGTTTTATTTACTTTTGAAATGTCACTTTGCTTCCTACATAGTAAAGGTGTATGTAGGGATAAAAATATATTCATGGCAATGCATTAGAAAATCATTTCAGTAGTCCAGGCTAGCAACATTATGAGTTAGAAAAGAGTAAAGCGGCCACCTCTTCTCAGAGGTGGAAGTGACAGAGTTTACAGTTGAATTATTTTTGGGTCCAAGGGAAAGCGTGAGATGAAGAATGAATTTAAGACTAGACTTGAAAACCAGTAAATGTTGAGGTAATTTATTCAGAGGGAAAAGTGAGAGGTGATGAAAGTATTGATGTTGGTTTGTTTTGTTTGTTTTTCATTTATTGAAAAACAATAAATGAAAATTTTTATTTCATTTTATTATTTCTTCCCCCAGAGGGTAAGTGAGGAGTGGTATTTGAAAGAGGGGAAGAACATTTCAACAGTTTCATTTTGGACATGCTAAATTTGAGATACCAGTGGAGGATACAAGTGCACAGTGAGACATGAAAATCCCCTATTAAAGCTCAAGTTGAATGGAAGGATTCAGACTGAGGATAGTTATTTGAGATAAATAAATATATTTATTTACATATGTATTTTAAAATATGAGCCTGTTTAAGATCACATTACAGCACGTAGAAAGAAAAATAAAGGAGATTCAAGATAAACTCTGGAACATTCTAAAATCTAAATATTTAGTAAGGTAGAGCAGTCAACAATTGGACACTGAAAAGAAGCATTCAGAAAAAAAAATCAGAATATGAGGAAAATTAGAGAGATATGGTGTCAAAGAATCCAAAAAAACTGTCAAAACTTTGAAAAATTAAGTAATATATTATTAGAAAGTGTCTTTGCTGAATTAATGACAGTCCTAGGCTGTTAGATTCTTGTTCCCTTGTGAAGTGGGTTGATGTCCTTCCTCTTGAAACAAAATGTGCTATGTGAGCACTTGACAAGTATGATATGGCAAAATTGACACCCTTCCAGTGTCTGGGCCTGAGTGTTAGGAGCCTGGAAGTTTCCTCTTTCTATCTCATAGAATACTTTTCTTGGGAAAACCAATCAACAGAAAAAGAATGTATATTTATCCTGTGGCCACCATACTGTGAGGAATCCAAGCTAGCTACATGAAAGGTCACACTGAGAGATACACATATATACAGAAGCCTTTGGGAGATTCGAGTCTCAACTACCATATGCAGCAGTCATATCAGAAAAAAGCAAGACCAGCCCAACTGAGTTCATGAATATCCAGAAATACGAGATTATAATAAGTGATTATTTTAAGTCACTAAATTTTTTTACTTTAAAAATTAACCCAGAGCCTGGGTGCGGTGGCTCGCGCCTGTAATCCCAGCACTTTGGGAGGCTGAGGCGGGTGGATCACGAGGTCAGGAGATCGAGACCATCCTGGCTAACACGATGAAACCCCGTCTGTACTAAAAATACAAAAAAAATTAGCTGGGCGTGGTAGCAGGTGCCTGTAGTCCCAGCTACTCGGGAGGCTGAGGCAAAAGAATGGCGTGAACCCAGGAGGCGGAGCTTGCAGTGAGCCGAGATCCTGCCACTGCCCTCCAGCCTGGGCGACAGAGCAAGACTCCATTTCAAAAAAAAAAAAAAAAAAAAAAATTAACCCAGTATTAGAGCAAATTTTTGCATCTTAATCGGCTTTTCAACAACCACCTTTTAAAATGTTTAGTCATCTTTAATGTTTGTCAGATTATTATTTTTAACATTTGTTTTGTGGTAATTTCATTGCCTTTACTAATATGCATCTTCTTATTTGATCACACTTATTTTCAAATTTTGCCATTTCATATAATTTATTTCCTACTTGTTAGGTTGTCTTTTGTTTCCAACTTATGTTTGACTCTCCCAGAAGTTATCATTTATTTTATATGGAGTATTAAGTACAATACTTGTATTGATATCTTCATCATTATTGCTAATTTTACTTTCCTTTACATAAAAATAAATTGCCTTTTTGTTAAATTACACAGTTTACATATTTCATATGGTTAGGCTTTGTGTCCCCACCCAAATCTCATCTTAAATTATAATCCCCAAAAACCCCATAATCACCATGTGTCAAGGGAGAGACCAGGTGGAGGTATTGGATCATGGGGGAGGTTTCTCCCATGCCGTTCTCATGATAGTGAGTGAGTTTTCAAGAGATCTGATGGTTTTATAAGTGTTTGTTTGTCCCTCCTATGTTCATTCTCCTACCTGCCACCTTGTGAATAAGGTGTGTTGCTCTCCCTTCAACTTCCACCATGATTGTGACTTTCCTGAGGCCTCCCCAGCCATGCTGAACTGTGAATCAATTAAACCTCTTTCCTTTATAAATTACCCAGTCCAGGGCAGTTCTTTATAGCAGAGTAAAACAGACTAATACAGTGTTCTTTCAGACAGCATTGGTGAATTATTTTCCTCTTATATGATGTTTGAAAACTCACCACTTTATTAAATGACAGAGTATCTGGATACAGAATTCATGGTAAGGCAAGATATTAGGATTTTTTTCAAACCTTTCACTTAGAAATTTTATTTTGTGTTATTTTTTCTAATGAAAATTTTTGTCTGTTGGTCATTTATTCAGCTATTCTTTTTTGCCTGCTTTGCTTCCATTTATATTTGAAGTTCAGTAGTTTCAGGGTACTGTAATTAGTTATGCATATGTTTATTTAATTCCCCTAACGAAGTTTTGATCTAGAAACACGCATTGCCTTCACATTCTTTTTTTTAACTTTTAAATTTTCTTTAATCTGGAATTGTTTTTAATTTCTCTATATCATTCATGACATTTATTTTCAAATTTAATTTCTCCAGAGTACAAACCACTTGTTTTGTAAATTGCTGTTTAGTTTATATTTATCTAGCGTCTTCTTGTGATTATGTTAATATTTCTCATTTTTGGCAATAATACTGTATTTATAGATACTGTGTCTTCATGTCAAGAGACAGCATGACATCAGTTTGCCTGTTATGAATTATATAACTATAATCACATACTTATAATCAAATTCCAGTCTTATGCCAATCCTTGCCTTTGTATCTCTCTGTTCTTTTATATTGAGAATTGTGGCTCTAATCATCAATATATTTGCTTATTTTCTCAATCCTACAACACACACAGAAAGTAGTGTTAAAATGGTATTCTACTGTAAAAAGGAAACCCAAGATGTTAAAAACAAACAAGCAAAAACTTATTCCAGATGGAATCACATGCAGGTTGAAAGTTATCCATGCTGCCCATTATATACAAATTTGCTACAGTTATTTGTGATTACACATTCTTGACATTTATAACAGACATAGTTTTAGAAAAGACATGCAGAAATAAATAAGAACCTCAAAGCCAGAAGAGTAATCAGGAGCAAAAGTATGGCTCTTGGAGATTTGGGATCATCTATAAACCTACAGAAACTCAAGGTGCTTATAGAAATGAGCTTTTTATGTAAAGCTAAGAGGAAGCCCTGCCTCATTTATCAAATTAGGATTAGGCATACCTTGCACAACTGCATAGAAGCTCAGCATAAGACTTGGTCTTGCTTATTTCTGAGTGAATAAAGGAGTCACTCACTTGAAGACTAAATCTGAATAGTGTACATGGGAGAATAGAGTTTAAATTCCACTATCTCAGTAGGTTGAGCCCCCTAACTGAGATGTTCATGTGAAACTTGATTGGATGATGGTGTCTTAGATTGATGGTGTATGTAGAAAACTGGCAGAAGCAAATTAAAAAAAAATACTTCCCCAAAGGGACACAAACAAAGCATGTGTTACAATATACTTCTCCTGAAGATGAGTTCACTCCTAAATACAAAATACATGAGGAAATAAACTCAAATGTACAAAGTCAGCTGTCCCAATCATCAGAATCATTTGATACTATGAGCTAGGGTATAAATAAAATAAATCATTGTTCAGTGTATGAAGCAGTTGGAATACATGGTTTTTATTGCAGCCATGTGGCAGAAGCCACAATTATCTAGTGAAAGCTGAGTTCAGGCTCTGCCTTAGGCATATGTATTACATAGCCTTATACTATCAGAGGAATGAAGAACACTTTTCAGATTTCAAAATATCAGTTATCAAATGAATTTTAGTCATATTACCAGTATTTTAGTTAAATTAAGAATAAAACACTTGCTTCTTTTCCTAGCTGTGTAAAAGCATAAATCACAATGAGAGAGTTAGCTTTTGCTATTAACTTGGGTGGTATATTTGTGATATATATTATTGTTATAGACTAACCTTTTTGTCTCCTCAAATTTGTATGTTAAAGCCTTAAGAAATAATGTGATGGTATTTGAAGATGGGGCTGTTGGGATGTAATTAAGTTAATATGAGGTCATGAGGACATGTCTCCCATGAGGGAATTAGTATCCTTTTAAGAACAGGAGGAGATCAGAGTTCTTTTTCCAACATGTGGGGACACAGTGAAAAAGAACCAATTTGCCAGCCAGCAAGAGGCCTTCACCAAAAACTGTCTGTTGTTTCAGCCACCCAGTCTATGGCGAATTGTTATAGCAGCTCAAGCTGATTAGGACAATTATTTTAAGGTAAATAAATGCATTGAATGTTGATATGGTTTGGATCTGTGTCTCCACCAAATATCATGTCATGTTTTAATCCCAAATGTTGGAGATAGGGCCTGGTGGGAGGTGAATGGATCATGGGGCCAGGTTTCTCCTGAATGGTTTGGCACTATCCTACTTGGTATTGTCCTTGCAATGGTGAGTGAGTTCTTATGAGATCTGGTTGTTGTAAAAGTGTGTATCACCTACCCCTTTCTCTTTCGTGGATCTTCCTGAGCCAAGTGAGTAGCCTGGCCTTTGTCTTCTGCCATAATTAGAAGCTTCCTGAGGCCTCTCCAGAAGCTGAGCAGGTGCCAGCATTATGCTTCCTGTACAGTGTGCAGAACAATGAGCCAATTAAATCTCTTCTCTTATAAATTACCTAGTCTCAGGCATTTCTTTATAGCAATGCAACATAGACTAATACAGAAAATTGATACCAAAGAGTGGAGCATTGCTATAATGCTGGAAATGTAGAAGTAGCTTTGGAATGGGATAACAGGCAGAGGTTTGAAGAGTTTGGAAGTTTCAGAAGACAAGAAGATTAAGGAAAGTTTGAAACTTTCGAGGTTGGTCAAATGATTGTGACCAAAATTGTGATAGTGCTGTGGACAGTGAAGTCCAGACTGATGAGTTCTTAGATGGGAATGAGGAATTCTTTGGCAACTGGAACAAAGGTAACTTTTATTATGCCTTAGCAAAGGACTTGGCTGCATTGTGCCCATGGTCTAGGGATATGTGGAACTTTGAACTTGAGAATGATAATTTAGGGTATCTGCTTCAAGAAATTTCTGAGCAGCAAAAATGTTCAAGAAGTAGCCTGACTGCTTATAAGAGTGTATGCTCATATGCATGAGCAAAGAAATGACCTGAATTTGAAAATTATATTTAAAAGGGAAGCAGAGCCTAAAAGTTTGAAAAATTGGTAGCCTGCTCATGTTGTAGAAAAGAAAAGCTCATTTTCAGGACAGGAATTCAAGCATACTGTAGAAATTAATTTAAGTAAAGTGGAGCCAAGTGCTAATAGCCAAGACAATGAGGAAAAGGATTTAAAGGTAGAGACCCTCACACCTCCCCCTATTACAGATCCTGAGGCTTAGGAGGACTGAATGGTTTTATGGGCCAGACCCAGGGCCCCTTTGCTCTGTGCAGACTTGGAACATGATTTCCTGCTTCCCAGACACTCTAGCTCCAGAAGTGGCTCAAAGGGGCCCACATATATCTCAAGCTGCTGCTTCAGAAGGAGAAAGCCTTAAGGCTTGGGGTCTTCCATGTGGTATTAAGCCTGCAGGTGTGCAGAATTCATGAGTCGAGGCTAGGGAGCCTTCAACTAGATTTTACAAGATGTATGGAAAGCCTGGGTGTCCAGACAGAAGCCTGCTACGGGGTAGAGCCCTCATGGAGAACCACCACTAGGGCACAGTGGAGAGGAAATGTGGGATTGGATCCTCCACACAGAGTCCCCACTGGGTCGCTGCCTAGTGGAGCTGTTAGAAGAGGACCACCATTCTCCAGATTCCAGAATGGTAGATCCACCAACAGATTATACCATGTGCCTCGAAAAGTCACAGTCACTCAATGCCAGCCTGTGAGAACAGCCTCAGAGGCTGAAGCCTGCAAAGCCACAGGAGTGGAGCTACTCATGGCTTTGGAAGCCCACCCCTCAGACCAGTGTACCCTGAATGTTGGACATGGAGTCAAGAAAGATTATTTTGGAGCTTTCAGATTTAATAATTGCCATTCTGGACTTTGGGGGTTCTGCATAGGGCCTGTAGCCCCTTTCTTGTGGCAAATTAGTCCATTGTGTAATGAGAGTCTTTACCTGATGCTTGTACCCCCATTGAATCTTGGAAGTAAGTAACTTGTTTTGATTTTTATAGGCTCATAGGCAGAAGGAACTTATCTGCAGATGAGATGTGGGACCTTGGAATTTTGAGTTAATGCTGAAATGAGTTAAGATTTTGGGGGACTATTGAGAGGAGATGATTGTATTTTGCAATGTGAGAAGGACATGAGATATGGGAGGGGCCACAGGTAGAATGATATGGTTTGATCTATGTCCCCATCAAATATCATGTCAAATTATAATCCCCGTTGTTGGAAGTGGGGCTTGGTGGGAGGTGTTTGGACCATAAGGGTGGGTTTCTCATGAATGGTTTAGCCCCATCCCACTTGCTACTGTCCTCATGATAATGTGTGAGTTCTTGTGAGACTTCATTGCTTAAAAATGTTCATCCCCTCCGCCCTGTCTCTTGCTACTTCTCTGGCCATGTGATGTGCCTACTTCCCCTTCCCCTTCTGCCATGATTGGAAGCTTCCTGAAGCCTCCCGAGAAGCCAAACAGATGCTTTCTGTACAGCCTGTGGAGCCATAAGCCAATTAAACCTCTTTTCTTTATAAATTACCCAGTCTGAAGTATACTTTATAATAATACAAGAATAGAGTAATACAAATGTACAAATTGTGATTTTCTGCTAAAAAGGATTTCTTCATTCCAACCTGATTTCTATGTTAAAACTAGATTTGCATAAAAGTATTCCTATTCTATTTACTTTTCCTTATTTGTGAAGGCATTTGAAGATATTCTCAAATCCTTTCTATAGGAGCTTTAAGGCAATATTTATTATCAAAAAAGAGGAAATAGTGAATGTAAAATCAAAAGGACAACCATTGTAAATCTTTTAAGATGGCTTTTCATAAGATACTTTGTGAATTACAAGTGTAGTACTGACTAGGGTAACTGTCTTCAGAAAAATGTCCAAAGCTGGACAAATTTGTTAGCAAGCTGAAATGTTTCTATATTGGCTTCAGTGGAGAATGCATGACATTCAATTTTGTTTGGTTATACCAGTCATGTCAAAGTTTCATTTTAAAATTTTCTAATACAATTTTTGGGTAAAATGCTAATTGTTCAAAAAGCCCTGGGAAGCTTTATTTTTTCCAATTTGTTTATCTCTAATCATAATATAAGTAATCACATAGCCTAATGAAACTTTAAGTTTTTGTTATTTCTTCTAGATCTTTGTCTGGAATTATTATTGTATATGTGATTGTGTTCAATGACTTCTCATATAATACAAAATCTCATTACAGTTTTAGTTTTCAATTAAAAGGTAGAATGTTATAAGCCTATTTTCCAGCTAATAACAAAGCCTGATTATATGGGACTGAATAAGCAAAAGCAGGGATTACAGTATTTTTACAATTTTAAGGGAAAACTATTTTGAATGAAATTTTATTGACAATGAAAAGATGCTATTTAGCATAGTAGCTGTATACAAGGAATATAGTAGTAAAAAGCCATTTCCAGATTTAAAACTATCTATTCTTATGTTTCAAAGATTGATTAGAAGTTAAGGAAAAAATATCCCTGTAAAAATGTGTTGGTGGTTTGTTATTTGAGTAATCTAAAAGCAGTTATGTAGGTGGGATTGCCTTCACAGAAACTTGTCTTATGGGTGAAATTATTGCATACACACAGTGGTTTCCACAACTATAAAACTCATTGTCTACTTGTCAACATTTATATTTTACTGCTTATTAGCAAAATCTACTCCCCAAGATAATATTTTTTGTTTTACTATAAGTTTCATGCTTGCTATACAGTAGTCTGTCTGGTGGAAATATTGATGGAGCTCAGACCTTGATGCACATTGATTAGTTCATGTACACATATTTAGCAAATAGATTAATTTCTTACAGAGTCAGTTGTTACTTTCTAAATCCATTCAGTAATGAACACGATTTTATAGTGTGAAAATTGTGGATGAATTATTTGTTTTACTGTATTTAATTTGTGGTCTGTGGTCTGGCACTAAACTTAAATTATTTAAATTAGTTCTATCCCCAAGGAAAGATGACTGAGATTATTGGTAGCTTGATTTTCTAAAGAGCCCCTGAATTTGGTTTTGGGATGCCTAGTCAGCTAGTGTCTCCTAAAACAGAATATAGCTGTTAATGATAAAGTGAGCAGGTCAGGATTTTGAGTGGTAATCAACTCTGGAAATGTGATGTATGTAACACATGATGTGTCTACAGCAAATCTGGATCAGTCAGTGGCCTATTCACATCCTTGGAAGCCAATTAGTATGGAAAAATCCAGCTGGCTGGGAACTTGTTCAACTAAGGTTCTTGGTATAGTAGCATTGTATCTTCTACAAGAAGCAAAATAACCAAAAATAATCATAGAAACATGTATTCAAGAAAACAGAATAAATGCACAGATACCATTATGAAGAGGAAATATCAGGCCATCCACTGACTGTTACATATACCTTCTTGAAGTAAGAGGCACATCCTGGACCTTAATCCAAGTCCCTTTTAATAGTGGGCTTGATTAGAACAACTTGGTAAAGTTTACTACATGGTTTGAATCATTAAAAAGTAACTGATGTCCAGAGTTTTTAGAGGAGACTCACAGTGATCTCCAGATCTATAAAAAGTAGGATCTTTCCCAATTAATTAGTGTCTTGCAATAATTTGGAGGAATATTATTAGTAGAATGCTGTTGCTGCTTTTGAGATGACATGTGGGTTTCTCCTTAAATATTTCACTGGAGGTCAAAAGCAGATTTTGGTTCTCCTATGTGTTAAGGTTTCACCTTGCTCCAAAGATTATAGCTTACTTTTTTCTAAGAATTTCACTTTTTTTCTACTGCTCTTGTCAATAAGGATGACAGTGACACCCAATTTATGTTTGGAAGAATTTTAAGAACTCTCAAATTAACTTTACAATAAAATAAGTGACATTTCCCTCTTCCTATCCTCTGTGGGGAGATTCAAGAAAAGCTAATATGGCTGAAGTTTGTAAGGGCTTAACAAGTGAGGCATGGTCAAAATACACCCAGGAATCCAGTATGATAAGGTATTAAGTCTGGGTCCAGTCATGACTGGATAATATCAGCCCCACAGAAGGTGCTAACAAAGAGATCATATCCCAGATCTTGTGCCTAGGTTGGAAACAGTTGAATTTGCATAGCTGGTTTGTGGACTTGCTATAATAAAGTAGCCATAAATAGATAATAATCTCTGGTATACATAATAGAAATATAACAAAATATGAGATTATCAATATACAGAACTCATATAAACTCAGGGATAAAAACATCAAGTTGAAATTATTTCCAAAGAGGGAGAGAGGAAAGAAAAAGGATAGGGATTCACAAAATCCCTACTGTTATACAGTTTAAACAATGTATCTCTTAGCTAAAAGCAAAGAGGTACTAGTTGTCAATGTGAATAGTCATGCACACACAACATACAGGTGAGCACTAAAAACCAAGCAAACAAAACCCTACACATAAAGTATCAGTAAGGATGGGGGTTCAGTTAGTGACTTCAAGAAAAGAGAGGAACACTGTTTTAATTATACCTAAAAGATCCCAGAAAAATAGGTACACCTGTCTCTCAGGTTTTTTTTAAATTAGGAAAATTATGGTTTTGTAAGGACTGTTTTAAAGACTACAATATCTTTCCACAGATGAGAGCCATTGATGGGTTGAATACTATCTTCTGTCAGGCAGGGTATTGAGGAAGACAAAGAGAGATGTTATTGAACTCATTCTATGAGTAACATGTCACATAAATTAGAATGATTAAATTTACAAGAAACTAGACTGGTTATTTTTCTGATTCTAAAAGAGAGAATACATCTGGCATTCTGATGAGAATGTATGTGAGTAGAACCCGAGCTACCTCTTCAGAGAAAAGGAAAACATTTAGATTGATATCATCTGTCAATCTAAAATCACATGTCTCAAATGGTTTAAATGGTCTCGCTAATGTGATTAACCTGTGAGTAAGAAAAAATTCATGATAAAAGAGATCAAAAGGCATAGAAAATTTTCTCATGAAAAAATTTACTATGTGGTTAGAAAATCTATGAGTATGGACAATTTAGAGGGGAAAGTAATTCAAAATTTTTTCTTTATGCCATATAATATTGTTATTGTCATTGTCTGAGAAAATAGATTTGATGAGCTGCAATTTCATAATGGAAAAAAACCTTCCTTCTTTAGAAATACAAGAATAGTTAAATCGAAGTGATTTCAATAGGCTGCCCAACAGGGTGATTGTCAGTTTTTTCAGCATATTTTGGAGAAGTTTTTTTTAATAGAATTATTGGCACACTTGACTTTGTTGTCCTTCTTGCTCAATGGAATGATACACTCCAGGTGCAATTAAAAACCTATTAACTCTTCGATTTTCCTCTCTTTTCATCGAACTTCCCTTGTTCTTGAAAGCCCTGTATCACCTTCATCAGTTATTTAGATTGAAATGTGAAATTTCACATGCGATTAACTTAGCCCCGATATCTCTTCTGATTTAGTTACATCCTTCACAGTGTTCTGCTAGTTTTGCCTATTTGTCCATGAGTTGTGATGATCAGCTTTTCAGACGGTTGCAGTGATCTTAAATTGCTCTTGAAATTTAAATGAACGACTGTGGATTTAAATTTTAGATAAAATTTTAGATAAAATATCTAAAACCCAAAGAGGCTTAAAAAAAAGTGTTTTAGGACTTTCATCCACCTATTAATTTTGTCCATTTAAAAAAACTTGTTAATATTTTAAGAATAGAATGTAAATAATATATTCACCCATTTATCTTTCTCTCCTTCTAGAAATCCCCATAATTCCACAGGATTAGTTTATTGGTCAGTCCACTTTTGTATATACTTTGAAGAATTTGTCTGCTGGGAGAAAACTTTTAGTAATTAATTATAATCTAGTCAGTGAAGAACATAACAGTACACAATGGTTTGTAACTCCTCCTGAAAATGTTCAGGGTCATTGGTAATTTGGAGAAAATTGAGGACATGAAGTTTTATAAATCTGTGACAGACCATGGATTTTTAATCTGTTGCAGAAAAGTGAACATATTCTTGGATGTGCATAATTATGTAGCTGAGAGGGGCCTGACACTTGGCCCTAAAGGCTTACATTTAATAATGATGCAGAATTCAGCTAAATCAGGCTTCTTATCTCACAATCAGGAAAAATTAGGAATGCAGGCGTCCTGCACGGAGGTTTCCACCTCATGAATTGAATACCAGGCCACCACAGGCCAGTTGAAGAGGCCAGGATCCTTCCCAGCATAACGCGTGAACTCCTTGTGGCTCTATCCCATTTCCCCAGTGCCTGTGGGCCTTCAGCCCGTTCTGACCATGCCCAGGCAAGACCCTCGGCAGTTTCCCTTATCTGCACAAAATCATCTGGCATAAACACTTGTGGGGTAAGGTGGAGATTCTCCAGGGACCCTTCCTTATCTGCCTAGGCATTTGTCTGCCTCCTGCATTTATCAATAAGATAAATATAAACTTGTGTGTTTATATTTGAGTCAAAAAATGCATTTCACATCCTACTGTGATGTACCAGTTGAAGACAGATTTTTGCAGGTCCTGTTTCAGAAAAGACAAAGATGAATGTATGAGTCCTGAAATGAGTCTAGAGCAAATCTTGACAGAGGGTGAGGGAGGCAGCCATAAGCAGGAGCCTCTGAGATCTCTGAGTAGAGAGAGTGAAACTGACATACAATATCAGCTGTCTCTTGGGTCCATCTCTATGTTTCTGCTGAGGCTTCATTTCTCACAGGTTTCTCCCAACCACGAATGATGTGGCAGGGATAGTGAAGTAGTCTCTTTCCGAGAAGATGCTGGACTCTTCTAATGAGACATTGGTTCAACGACTTTTCATTGGCTGTGCTGGAACTTTCCTCAGAAGTACACCACAGTCTACTATGCTTCCATTAAATCCTCCTTCCATTCCTTTCACCTTCACTCAAGCTCCCATCTTCATGGCTTTCAGCTCTCCTAGCCACTCCTGCGTCTCTCTTTACTTTTTCTTAAAGGCAGTTCACCTCATACATTGTGTGTGTGTGTGTGTGTGTGTGTGTGTGTGCATCTCACCACATCTTGGCATTTGCTTTTCAGGGGACCTGGACTGAAAAGTGATGGGCAAAGCCTTTGGGACATTGTTTATTATAGAAATATATGGCCTTAAACCAGTTTAAGGAACTCCTCTAGGTTTAAGATGTGTGTGTGTGTCCACACGCGCGCGTGTGTGCTGTTTGTGTTTTACTTTTAAGAATAGATCAGAGTTGCGTGTATGACTTCTAGCTGGCAAAAAACATGTTTTCTCTTCAAATTATTTTTTTGAAATATTTTTTGTTTCTAACATGTGTTTTTTGTAAAACTTGGTTCCTGGTACCAATTAATCTAGTGTGACCAATGAAAAGACGTTAAAAAATATAAGTAGACCAACAGAGGGCATAGCTGGGTCCTGACATCAGTCGACATTTATAAACCACTGAAAAAATGGGCTTGATCTGTAATCTTCCAAGGTCACACTAAGGTTGATAAGTATACTTGAGTCAATAGGACAGTTGGGAATAAAGCTATAGGCATTGATTATTTCTGTTATTCAAATCTATTTTTAAGAAAACCAATGATGATTTTTTGATAATTTTTAAGTGTAAATTAAGCTTAGAAGACTTTACAAGGAATTGTGATTTTTTAAATACTGTATATTACCCATGGTGCAGTATATACAATTATTTGTATTTTTACTTTACCTACATTCTTGAAGAAACACAATTAAAAGCCTTTCTTTGCCAAAGATAGTAGAAAACACAAATGAGTTTTAAATTACCACTAAAAGATATTTTGATTGAAGTATCTCATTTATATTTTTCTGAAAATATCATTGGGTCTTTCTTTTGCCACTCAGAGAAATTTTTGAAAATTTCCTTGGTGACCTGATAGCATATCAATTCTGCTATTTAAGTGGATAAAATAGCTTCCTATGTTGGCTCACAATTTAAATTAAGGCCGTCTCCCAGTTGTAGCCAAAGTAAAAGAATTTTCATTCTCCATAATAGTTCACAAACATGCAGAACTATGCTAGCATCCAATTAGTGGGTTAAAAGAGGTAATGTTCTCTAACTTTGGTTTATGCAATGCACAGTTTTATACAACTAGACAAACCTTCCCCTTCACGTATTTCAGGATTTAGCAGAATTTATGTGCATGTGTGTTTTAGTGTGCGTGTGTATATATAATTCATAAAGAGACAGATTGAATATGTACTTAAGTTTCTCAGCTTTTCAAAGACTTATAAGGTCTTATTTAAATAAGGTGAATTGAAAAATGTTCTGACGAATTCTTCCTGACCTACTTCGTGTTTTTGTTCACACATAGTTCATTAAAAGTTTATCTAGACTTACTATTAGATAGCTACTGAAGTAGGCCTTAGAGATATAAAGGTAGATAAGATTTCCTTTCCTTGGAAGAGTTCATAGGCCAGAAGAAATATACATAAGCATGCACTTGGACTAAATTATAAGAATGTTGTATTTTGAAGGTTTTTGATAAGCACATTTTAAATATCTGTATACAATATTTAAGGCTTGAAGAAATTAGATAAATTTCTGAAAGAATAATTGGTTATCCATTATTTTCTTTGTGTATTTATCTTGTATATACTTTATGCCAGGTACTATGTTAGGTGCTGCAGATACAGTGGTGGATAAGGCAGAAATTATTTGTGTAAATAAAGAGCATACAGACTAGAACAGAAAGTGGTAACTTTATTATAATGATGTCTACTGAGAGCTAGATTTAGGGAGTTACTTGATGCAATGACAACGATAGTAAGGATGCCTACTTTAGTTTGGGAATTCATGAAAGATCTCCCAGATGAAAGACTGGAACAACTCCAGGTGTTTATCATGTTACTCATTCTCTACCAATTACTTCAGTGGGGCTTCTACTTCAACAGGCAGGTGCTGGAAATTGTCATTCTTATAGAAAACTGTTACACAGCATTGATTTTACAGGTGACTTTATAAGAAGGCACAATAGAGGAATGTTACTAGGCTTCTCCATGGTAGTAGCTTTGCTAATCTCTGAATTTTACAATAGTGGTAAATAATCAAAAAGAAATGTTCTTGATTATTAATCAAATTTACCAAAAAATCTGTATACCTAATATTATAAATAAAGCATTGTCAGTTTGTCTATATTATTTTTTCTGACTTATGACTGATAAGGTATATTAAACACTGCTTCTAGACTTTGTTTTTATATGGATGGTTTTCTTTCATAGTTACTTTAACTTTGTAGGTATATTACTTTTTTCTTGCCTGTTTTTAAAATGTCTCTAGTGCAGAGAAAAGCATACATAACAGGAAAGTACTCCAAAGTTGTTTTAATCAAGAAGAAAAAAGGCAGCTAGGTATAAACCAGGTGGTCCAAAGTCAATGATATTTTAAGAGAAAAAAAATCCAACTATTGAAAAGTTAAATGAAAGTTAGTAACAATTAGAAAATGTTGTCTTAAAATGTTCCTTTAGAGGGTGAGCATACTTTTGAAATGCCAATTATTAGCTACATATTTGCTTGCATTATCCATGCAATCTTATCTGGAAAATTAGTTTTCTTAAAGTTGTTAATTTACAATACAGATTCTAATTACCTTAATGGTATTGCTGAATATTGTTTTCAATTAGAACAGTGTAGCACATTTAGTGGATAGATGTTATCACTTCGTGAGGTTCAGCTCAACACTATACCAGGCTTTTTATTCGTATAATGTTAAAGGTTCAAAAGAGAAGGGAAAATTGTCTTGATAACAAATTTTACTTTTTAAAAAAGTTACTACTTTAAATGTTAGGTAAGAGCACACCCCTGCTTTTGTCTTATGTCACTACTTTGTTATTTTATTGATGAAACCCTAGGGTAGGGGGACACATGGAGCCCACATTAAAAATGTAATTTTAACAACTATATGGAAACATAATTAAATTAAGCTAAACTGTTTATGTGGCTGTTCTTTCTATTGAATTAATATTACATTTTGTTAAATGTTTAAGCAGCCAATTTTATGACAGATATCCTGTCAGGTACAATGGACAAAAAAATAAGTAAATAAACTTCTGACTCTGTAAGTGGATAATATTCTAGAATAGGAGAAAGAAGGTGTAAATAAACAGACTTCAGAATTATTAATTTTGTATTTCTTTTCAATGTAGTTTTTCAAAAAAATTTCAACTGGGAATTAGTACAAAGTTATATAATTTAAAATAAAACAATAAAATAAATAATATTATGATAAACCATATCATGTCTCCAAAAGTTCATCTGTCAGTTATTCACTATGCCACACATTTTAACAATACAATAGACCCCTCTATGCATTAGCTCTTACTAGTTATGATTTCTACAATTTGCCCCATTCTTGTATTTGTGCTGATAACATTATATTGAAGTTTGCTGATTTTCAGTTACCATAAATAACACAGATTTAATATTGTTTGCTAAAATGCAAATTATTTCCCTCTCAATCCAACAATTTGTTCTCATAAAAGTCTCTGTTAACATGCACACACACAGGTTCAAGTGCATGTATGCAGGATAAAGAGAGATCTTCAGTCTATGACATCCTTCTTCAACAAAATCTTGTGTTATATAGCTAAATTGTCGATGCTAGTTAGATATAGTTCTGAAACCTAGCCTGGCCCTTAGCTGTACAAACTTATTGCCTAATTAATAAAATAATATTATCTCAAAATGTAGAAATGAGGTATAAGCTTTAAATATCAAGTGACTAGTCAAGTGTCTGTTATACTGAAGGTAGATACAATATATTGTTTCTTTCATATAAGTGTCATTTGGCTACAAATCTGTTTATATAATTTAATAAATCCTAGACAAATAGGAAAGAATCTAAAACAATATGCTTTATGATATATACAAATTTATTTTTAAATCCTATAAAACAATTATTTCAAACAGAGTAAACTGGAAATCTTCCCATTGCTTCAGGAAGGTCTGATGCAGACCGTAATGCAATGTGAGTATATTTAACATTTTCTAAGTAAAGAAAGAATCCAAACCACACAAAGAAAATTGTCAATGGAAAGAAAGCAGAGCTGAAGGCCAAAGGAAGAATAACTAAGAATACAGATTGAATAGAGAGGTTCCTTTTCTCTCTTAATATTTCCATACACCAGGTAAAACAAAACATAACATGTTCTGAAAATAACAAAACAGGCTATGATGGTCTAAACCCCAAATGCAGTTGGCAATGATAATATTAAAAAGAAAACAGAAGATCTTCTTTAAGGGTTATCGCAATAAAAATCAAACTACTTTTATCAGAAAATCATGAAAAGCACCTAAATTATTAGTGAAACACCAAGGCATTTTCATTAAAGTCAAACCAAAAAAGAAGTATAAGAGTTGTTAAAAAAAAATAAAGATACCAATTGCATAAATAATTTGGGAAAAGCAAGATAATATATTATTGTATTGATAGAGTAAGTTAGTAAATTAGTTGGTTTGCTTTAAACAAGGTCAACATAAAAATATCAAAATATTTCCAGGACAGTAATAACCAATCATCAATGTAATGATCAAAAAGTTCATTGAAATAAGAGCAAAACATAAATCACAATGTAGAATGGTATTTGTAAGGCTTAACAATAAATGATAATCTCAAAATTTTAAAATATTGCCATATCTTTGTTTGGAAAAGTTGTAATTACTTTATTTTTTATTTTTCTCCTTGCTAATTTCTTTAATCACCATTCAAAGTTTGTTGGTTACATGTTTTTTTTTTTATTTTCTAGGAATAGAACAATTATATATTTTACCATTTTTCTATTATTTTTTGTCTTTTTTTCTCATTAATTTCCCTTACACTGATGATAAATTTTTTGCCCAGAAGGCTTTGTCCATTTGAGGTAACTACTTTAAATGAGATTGAATAATTTAATTACTTTCTCATTATGCTTATTCTTGACATGAAATTAAATCCAAATAATTTTTGCCTCAATAAAATCCAATTTTTAAAAAATATGATTGGAATTAGGAAGATCAATTATGTTACAAAAATGGGCATGCCTACATAACAAAATGTTAAAATTAGAAATGTAATTGTGGTAGAATTGTGAAATAAGAACACCTTGTTGAACAATACAGTGGATGCCATTTATATAGTGGACCAACAATGTTTCTGCTGGAATTGTGGAATAAACAGACACTCTTACAGATGACAATGTCTGTGGTATCTCCTGGCATAACACTTTCATGAGCTCACATTGCGTATTATATTTGATTTGCTAAACATTAGTTATAAAAATTATTGCTCCGTTCAAATTTTATATTTTATTTTCTGAAGTATACATTTATTTCCTATAAATATAAATTTGTTTGCAAGTATTTGAGAAGTCCCAAATTCATTACACATATTTGTTACAAGTAAAATCTAAATGAGACTGTTTTTTCAAATGTAATGTATTCCATTTAACACAAAATTGGCAGATATTGTTTTCAACTGAATTATGTGTTAAATATTCATCTACACAAGATTCAATATAATCACTTTAATTTAAAAAAAATTGGTTCCCTGCTATATTATTTTCAACGTGTAAAAGATTATTTATAGAAGTGTTTTAACAGCAAGGTACCGGCCGGGCATGGTGGCTCATGCCTGTAATCCCAACACTTTGGGAGGTTGAGGCGGGTGGATCACCAGAGGTCGGAAGTTCGAGATCAGCCTGGCTAACATGGTGAAACCCCTTCTCTACTAAATATAAAAAATTAGCTGGGTGTGGTGACACATGCCTATAATCCCAGCTACTCAGGAGGTTGAGGCAGGAGAATCGCTTGAACATGTGAGGCGGAGGTTGCAGTGGGCCAGGATCAAGCCACTGCACTCCAGCCTGGGCGACAGAGCGAGACTCGGTCTCAAAAAACAAACAAAAACAGCAAGGTGCCATAAAATTTTTATGGAGGTAACAGAATTGAAGAATATTCTATGATTTCTGTCTTTATCTATGCCCACAATATTAATAAAAGGTGTATCTCTTAATAATTAATCAACACAGCAATGGTTGCATTTAGTAACCCGAAGTTTAGTATTTTAGGATTATCACTTTACATGTGTAATTTTATGGCGTATTACCCGTAAGATATTAAAAATGAATGGATTCTGCATTGAACCACAGTATAAGAATTTATTAGGCACCTCATTTTGACATGGGTTATATTTTAAAGCTGTGTTAATATTTTCTATATTGGCAATCACAAATTATAACTTAGAAATATATTTAAGTTCTAACAAATATATAAAGTTTAACAAGACTCAGCTTGTAGTTCTTAATTATAGATTATATCTTTTTTTATATTGTGGCTATATTTGTTTTAATTAATTTTAATTAATTGACCTGCGTTAATACTTGTTTGAAAATAAGTTCACAATGCCTATGATGTTTTGTGATTGTTTTTAGCCTTTTGACTGGTTTGTTTTAACTTAACTTTTTAAAAGTACATACGTTTTATTTTTAAAAGAGCCTTTAAATATAAATTATTTTGGCACATTTACATCTATCAATATGGCATACATTTAGTTTTAGATATAATATATTTTATGTTATGAATTCTAAATTTGTTGGTTTTTTCAAATTATGTATAGATATTATAATAATATTTGTAAAAAGCAACAAATTTAGAAATTGAAAAAGGGTGTGCTTTTATTCCAGTCTTTATAAATAGAATTTTTTGTGTGTGAGGAATAAGTATTAAAACCTGATTATATAAAACTGTCTCTTCTGGATTCTGAAACTTGAGCTATAAACAAAACAGACAAATCTTGTGCTGTCATGGAGACAATAAACCATTATACAAATTCATATTCATTCATATGCATATCTTTTTTTAAGGAATGACATTTTATTTCAAAAGTATCATGGCATCAAATGAAATAGATATGAATAATGGAGAAAACTACATTCTTTTTATTTATTTTACATTTTATTTATTTTTTTAATCCTTGTTTTTTACACCCAGAGGTAAAATTACTGGGTAATATGGTAATTCTATATTTAATTTTTTTGAAAAACCACCATAGTATTTTCCATAGAGGCTGCATCATTTTACATTGCTACTAGCAATACAAATGCTTTTTAAAAAATAGATAATAGCCACCCTATTTGGGTGTTTAATTATATCCCATGATGTTTTCTTTTAGGTAAACTTTATTTTTTTAAAGTAGTTTTAGGTTAACAGCTAAATTGAACAGAAAGTGCAGAGAATTTTCATACACTCCCTGTATCCTCAAATGCACAGCCTCCCCATTATCAACATCCCCCACCAGAGTAGTATATTTGTTATAATGGATAAGCCTGCATTGACACATCATTATAACCCAGAGTCTGTAGTTTATATTAAGGTTCACTCTTGGTGTTGTACATTGTGTGTTTTAATGAATGTATAATGACATGCATCTACCATTATAGTATGAAATAGTTTCACTGCCCTAAAATCTCCTCTCTGTGTGGAATAATAGACATGGGACACTCCAAAGGGTGGAGTGATGAGTGGGGTGAAGAATGAGAAATTGCCTGTTTGGTATACTAAACACTATTCAGGTGATGGTTACACTAAAAGCTCAGACTTCACCACTACACAAAATATGCATGTAACCATAACGCACTTGTATTCTGTAAATCTATAAAAGAAATCTTCTGTGCTCCGCATACTCATCTCTTTCTCCCCCATAACCCCCTGTAACCTCTGATGTTTTTACTGTCTCCATAGTTGTCTAAGAGAGAGACTCTCTTGCTCCACATCCTTGCCACTATTTTATGTTGTCATTGTTCTGGATTTTAACTATTCCAATAGGGATGTAGTAGTATCTTGTTTTAATTTGCATTTCCCTGATGGCATATGATAATGAGCATCTTTTACAGGCTTATTTGTCATCTTTATATCTTCTTTGTAAAGTGTCTATTGAGGTCTTTGGCCCATTTTTTAATAAGGTTGTTTATTTTCCCATTGTTGAGTTATCATAAGCCTACCAAAATTTCCCTGTTGAGAGAAGGTGGTAGGTTGTTTTAATTACAACTGTTAAAATTTTATTTATTTTAGCTTGAGGATATTGAAATGTATTATTAAACTGATTATTATGGAATTAAAATGAAATACTGATAATAGGAAGAAGTAAAGCTCTTGGGCAGGTGAGAGGAAAAAAGAAACAATGAATGAAGTAAGGAAGCAGAAGACATAGCATGTAGGTACAGATATCAGAGACTTAAAAATTCAGTAGTGAGAAAGGATCAGGTTAATTATGAGTAGCTTTGTTCTTTTAGTCTCATTCAACACCCAACTGGAATAGAAAATAATAAAGGAAACAATAGAGAATCAAAATGGGCAAACCTCTCACATCAATATGGGGATGACCCCAGTGGCAGCAGATGCATATTTCTGTTATCCCTTTCTCACCCCTGGAAGTATTTTCAGATGCTGAAAGACAAGGACTTCTGCAGGATGAGTTAACCCAGGGATGCTACTAGGTTTTAGTGTCTCTCAGCTTATACACTTCACTAGTCAGGTGTATGTAGTGCATAAGTTACAAGTTTATTTACAATAAACAACTTCAAGGGACCAGGCATATCATTTAAAATCATTCCTAGATCAGTAATCAGTAAAGTGCCCATGAGGCACTCAATTATCTTTCAATTACTAAGTTTCATTGGTCAATATTTACAAGGAATTCTAGTTAAGATAAAAACCACCTCAGCTGTAGCCAAGTCATCAAATACCTTACCTGCCTACCACTTCTCCATCCCATCCCAGTGTACACTCTGACCCGGAGCAGTATCACTTTGCCTCATGTACCTTAATCATCTTAAGACAATAACTGCATCATTTCATACTATGCAGGACACTGTTTACCATTCCTGTATTAAGACAATTACTGCTTTATTTTATAGAATGCAGGACACTTTTTACCATGTTGATGATCACGAGGATTTGTATCACGTGAGGAAAAGCAAAAACTTATTCTAAAAAACAAAAATAAATGAACTATGAACTTCTCACTTTACAAGTCCATTGATCATATTTTACCATTTGGAATATTATTTTTCCTCGTGTGTTAACAAGTACATTTTTACGTGTATTGATGGAGGCATTGTATTGCATCCTAATTTTACTAAGGTCAGGTCACACTGACCTCTTTTTCTGACTAATCCAGTTACCCAGGTATGGTATCAATTAGAGGCTTCAATTCAGTTTTTCCAAATACTTTCGTATCCTGTGGTTTATCATCTCCATTTAATTTTGCTAATAATACTATAAAACTTTTTATACTGCATAGCTATAGAAGGAAGTTTAGATAAATAGATTAATATCTAACATACCAAATGGTTAAAATTAGAGTACAATTTTTATTCATATCTAATAGAAATACTTTTAACCATTAACTACACATTTACAGTGTCTGGGATAGTAACAGAAAGGTATTGTTTAGTACATTGTAGTTTGAATCTGGGTGATGGATATAACTATATTCTAGATATTATAATCCAGATTCTCACCAATACAAACTTTCAGATATTATTTTGAAATACTGCCCATCCATCTCACCTGGGAATACAACTCTGTTGGCCCACTTTTAACTGGTTGAAATTAACTGGTTAAAATTATCTTTTAAACCATTATGTTCCAGCCATTGAAAACAATAATAAAAGCCACACTACCATAGTGTAATTTTACCAGTAATATTTCTACAAATTATTCTTATTTCACTACACTCTGGCTCAGTTGCTATAATGTCTAGTCACTGACCTTTAAAACTTCAGATTCTATAGTGATATAGATATCTCTAATAGAATTTGAGGGTACAAACCCTTTCTTTGGTTTGTTGAAAAGTTGTGTTGTTGACAGAGATGTTTCTTCAGTGAAGTAGTGCATTCAGTCCACACATGAATTCTTTTATTTTCTTATCAAACTGCCAGCCTTGGCAAGCCTCCTTGAAGAGCTCCCCTTATAATACCCCTATTTCCATTAGAAAATGCCTGGACTATGTACTCCAAGTCCAATCCATAAGGTTCTCATTATTTGTGTGTCAGTAAAGACTAGGGATGTCCAATTTTCTACATATGTTGTTGCCATCAGATGCCCATGCAGGTGTGTAGTTTGAGTAAGCAATAAACTCCCTGAAATATGAAGCATGTGGTTCCACAAGTGGCTGTCAGTTGGCTATATATTATTTCTAATAATTTGCATCTGGGAATGTCAGAAGGCTTCTTACAGTGGCCCTTTGGAAGAAACAAGGACCATTACAAGCAAAATGCCACCAAAATAGCACCACTCTCTTCATGCCATCCGAGTTCTTCTTTCTCTAAATTTCTGCTGTTCACATTTGCTTTTATCGTATTTGTTACCAAAACTCCAAGGGTTTGATCTAGGACCTGCTGCTTGATGTACAAAAAGCAATGACTAAGACAATGAGTTTTGCCAGGGAAGAAGGCTTTATTTGAGTGCTACAGCCAAGGAGCTGGGAGATCAGCCTCAAACCTGTCTCCTTGTCTAACTAAAATTAGGGGTTTATATAGCAGAGAAGAAATGTAATCATGTGTGGGAAAACAGGAATTAGGGAAAAGAAAGGAAAAGGAATTGGTCAACAGGAAGCAGGAGTTAGATAGGCAGTTATGACAAGTGAGCGGTCTGGCATCTCATTGTCTAAATGTAGTGATCCAGTAAGTTTCAGCTGCTTGATGCTATCTGGGAGGACTTATAGTTGGTTTCCTGACAAAGAAACTTACATGAAACGAATATAACTTTTTCAAGTTTTAAGACTGGGAGGATCAATTTCTATGTTTATTCAAAGAAACCACGAACATCGGTTGTGTGGAACAACTGGACCTGTTTCATATTCAGAAGAGCAGAGTAGGCTCTGCCCTACTGCTCAGGTGGCAACAGCGTGATTTGAGCTCTACTCAGGGAGCTGTCACAGCGAAGTCTCATCATGCTTCGCAGACATACAGAATGTAGACACTTGCCTCTCCAGTATCTTCCATTCTGACAGATATAAAGATAGTATCTTTCTCAAGATCTCTGAAAAATAACCATACTACGAAACATATTTCTCAAACTGTAAGATGAGTACAAAGACAATTTCTATTCTCGCATTCCATCTGCCACGAGAATCATGTTTTCTAAAGTCTACACTCAAAAGTTTCTTTGTTTTAGGGTTGATGACTTCAGATACGTGCATTACACTTTCTCTGCTGAACTATTATCAAGTGAATTTCTCATGGCTTCTAACTTAGGACAGAACTTTAGAAATAAATGACTGTTTAGTTTAGAGTTGTACTCATTTTCTATTGCTGTTCTAACAAATTACCACCAACTTCAGGGCTTAAAACAACACTTAAAAAATATATAGTTCTGGAGGTTAGACGTCTGAAATATGCCTCATGGGGATAAAATCATGGTGTTGGTAGGGCTGTACTACATTAGGAGGCTCTTGTCTTTCTTAGCTTCTAGTGGCCAACTTCATTCCCTGAGTTGTGATCCCTCTATCTTCAAACTCAGCAATAGCATCTCTCCAAACTTTGCGTCAGCCATCACGTCTCCTTGTCAGGCTTTGACTCTTCTGTCTCCCACTCACAAGAAACACTGATTACACCTGGCCTCATTACAAGATCCTCATTTAAAGGCTCATTAAAAGATCCTCATTTAAAGATCTGAGAAAGAAAAAACACAAAATGCTCTTTATTTTACAATTTAAAAATTTACCTTCACTTCTTATTCTTATACATTTTAGAACTTCTGTAGAGTAACAGAAAATGAAAATGTCTTTACATGATGTTAATATTTTTGTTTATTTTTGACTCTTTACATTTTGTAAAGCCAATATAAAATGTGTTCTCATGATGTGTCCAGAATTGGTTCTTTCCGTTGGGTTCTTGGTCTCGCTGACTTCAAGAATGAAGCCACAGACCCTCGCGGTGAGTGTTACAGTTCTTAAAAATGGTGTTTCCGGAGTTTGTTTCTTCAGATGTTCAGATGTGTCCAAAGTTTGTTCCTTCTGGTAGGTTTGTGGTCTCGCTTGACTTCAGCAGTGAAGCCATAGACCTTCGCAGTGAGTGTTACAGCTCTTAAAGGTGGTGCGTCCAGAATTGTTTGTTCCTCCCGGTCGGTTCGTGGTCTCGCTGACTTCAGGAGTGAAGCCGCAGATGTTTCCAGTGAGTGTTACAGCTCATAAAGGTAGTGTGGACCCAAAGAGTGAGCAGCAGCAAGATTTATTGTGAAGAGCAAAAGAACAAAGCTTCCACAGCATGGAAGGGGACTGGAATAGGTTGCCACTGCTGGCTGGGGTGGCCAATCTTTTTTAAAGTGTCTTTGTAAACCACACTGATAGCAAGCCCTACCGGGTGATTGGCCTGCTCCATTTTCTGTCCTCTCTGAACCACCCAGGTTTGTTTGCCTGAGGGCCATGACTAAGGCTGCGGTCTTTCTCTGATCTCACTTTCCCTTTTGGGCCTGCTCTTCTTGGTCCCTATTATAGAATACTGAGGTTGCCAGGTTTAATAATGCCTCCAGATTTTGTTCAGGGCCCAGAGCTTGCTTTTGGAGCTTTCTCCTGATATCTGTGGCTGACTGGGTAATAAACTTATCTTTAGAATCAATTGACCCTCAAGTGACTCTGGTGGCAGGGGAGTGTATTTTCTTCAGGCTCCCTGTGGCCACTTGAGGAAGGCAGAAGGATTTTCTTCCTTTCCCTGAGTTATGGTGGACATCATTGAATAATTCATGGGCTTTTTCCTACTTCTCCTTAGTCCTTCTAGAACACAGGTCAGCAGATGTTTACGACTCCAGTCCCTATGATCTGAGTTGAGGTCCCAGTGGGGATCCATACTGCTGATGGTTTGCTGGTTGGTAGGGAATTTGTCCCTTTCTTCAGCTGTCATTCCATCATTTACTTGACTAAGGTACCAGGTATCTCCAAAGTCTCAGGCTGCAGCTAAAGCTGTATTCTTTTCATTAAAGGCCAGGGTTTGATCTAACAATAGCATGACTTCTCTCCAAGTGAGATTGGAGGTTTGCCCTAGACCCTGTAGGACATCTATGTACCTAACAGGATCATCTGAAAACTTCACCAGGTCTGCATTGATCTGCTTTAAATCAGAGAGGGAGAAAGGGACATGTACCCAGGTTGGGCCAAATTCTCCTCCCCCTACAGCTTGAAGGGGACATAAAGGATAGCTCGAGCGTTTTTGTGGTCCTTTGAGGATTTCTTTGTTTGTTTCCTTCTGGGTGGGGAGATTAGAGGAGGCTTATCATTAATAGGAAGGGGAGCTATAGGGAGGCTAGGACATGGGGGTAAACTGAGAGGTCCTCCTGTGGAATGTAAATTGCAAGTTTTCATAGTTGTGGATTCTCCTTCAATGAAAAGAAAGCTTGGACATAAGGTATTTCACTCCATTTGCCTTCCCTCTTACAGAAAAGGTCAAGCAGCAGGATAGTATTGTAATTTATACTTCCCTCAGGTGGCCATTTTTCCCCATCAGAGAGAGAGAATATTGGGGCCCATCCATAGTGCAGAAAAAAATGAGCTGCCTCTTTTTCAGGGTTTGTAGGTCAAAATTGTCCAAATGGATTAGGATGCATTTCAAAGGTGAGCCTGTTGATGCCTGAGTGTTTCCCATCTGAAAGACAAAACTGCCCATGGTTTTGGTTTGTTTGTTTGTTTCTCCCCTTGCCCAAGAACCTGCAACAGTCCCTGGACCCTGCTGATTGGAATAGTTGCGCTCACTGATGCAGCAGCAGAAACACCTCTTAACCAAGAAGCCTCAGTGGTTCCTCGACTCTGCTGATCAGAATAGTTGTGCTCACCAACACAGCAACAGAAACACTACTTTTCCCCTAGACCACAAGGAGGATGGTAGAATGTCGGATTTAGTGGCCCTTACCAATGCATTCTTGAAAACCTGCACCATTGCCTGTCCTCCTAGACCACAAGGAGGACTGAGAAAAATCAGATTTAGTGGTCCTTACCAATGCATTCTCAAAAACCCGTTAGAGTCCTAAGCATTCTCCTGTTAGTATTGTGACTTTACCCCTGTCCTTTAAAGATGTTATGCCACAAAAATGAAGGGGAGGGCCATACCCTCAGTGAGGGGAGGGATCTCCAGAGTTGGAAGAGTGATGCCTTTTGTCCTCACTTATATGAATAGAAAGGATACAGTTTCTGAGGATCCCCATATCCTAGCTTCAGGAATAGCTTTTGTTAGCCCCCTGCTAGTCTGAGGAGGGATCCTAAAATTCCAGATAGTCCCCCCTACGATGGGGCTTTGGGCAAAAATTATGTCTTTCTGATTGGTGAGCCCGGGTGCCTAAAGAAGGTAACAGAGTCCTGGAGTTTATACTAGAAATCATTCTTCTAGGAGAAACTAGAAAAACACCAGAGACAGGGAGTGGTATTTAGAAGTGGGACTAGCCTCGAAGAAGAGAGGCAAGAGGAAGTTTGTCTGATAGGCATTAGGATGCAGGAGGCAAGGGTCAGGACAGATAGGATAGATGGGCGAGTGTCACTTGGGCAAGATGACTTTGAGAGTTGCGTTCATGGCCACAGGGTCAACCAACTTTTTGGCGGGACCCCGGAGCTGAATGGCTTTCCTCTCTGTTGACCCTCGGCTCAGCCCAGAAGTACAGGAGAAGCAGAAGCTGGTTCCAGGCAAAACCAACCCTCCCAACTCTGAAGAGTCAGGGGTTGTTAGAGAGCACTTTCCCAGAAAGCCTGACACCCGTGTCTTTAGTCTGGCAGCCACACTAGTCACTTTTAACTGGCCGACAAGTGCCTGGTATTTAGCCCCCGAATTCTCAGGAAAAATAGGACAGAATAGCAAGCGAAACGGGTCTGATGGTACTCACCGCTTGGTGATAGTCCCTTCGTGGTTGCCAAAATGTGTCCGGAATTGGTTCCTTCTGGTGGGTTCTTGGTCTCACTGACTTCAAGAATGAAGCCTCAGATCCTCGCGGTGAGTGTTACAGTTCTTAAAAATGGTGTGTCCAGAGTTTGTTCCTTCAGATGTTCACATGTGTCCAGAGTTTCTTCCTTCTGGTGGATTCATGGTCTCGCTTGACTTCAGGAATGAAGCCGCAGACCTTCACAGTGAGTGTTACAGCTCTTAAAGCTGGCACATCCAGAGTTGTTTGTTCCTCCCAGTGGGTTCGTGGTCTCACTGACTTCAGGAGTGAAGCTGCACGTTCGCAGTGAGTGTTACAGTCCATAAAGGTAGTCCGGACCCAAAGAGTGAGCAGAAGCAAGATTTATTGTGAAGAGCAAAAGAATAAAGCTTCCACAGTGTGGAAGGGGACCTGAGCGGGTTGCTGCTGCTGGCTCAGATGGCCAGCTTTTATTCCCTTATTTGGCCCTGCCCACATCCTGCTGATTGATCCATTTTACAGAGCGCTAATTGGTCCATTTTATAGAGTGCTGATTGGTCCATTTTACAGAGTGCTGATTGGTGTGTTTACAATCCTTTAGCTAGACACAGAGTGCTGATTGGTGCATTTTTACAGAGTGCTGATTGATGCATTACAATCCTTTAGCTAGACACGGAGCACTGATTGGTGCATTTAAAATTCTTTAGCTAGACAGAAAAGTTCTCCAGTTCCCCACCCGACCCAGAAGCCCAGCCAGCTTCACCTCTCTATGGGGGAAACACTTCATGAGAGTTTCAAGTTTTCCATCTCCATTTCATGAACCTAAGTTTGTTAAAAACAAAAGTTAGTCACTATGGTTAAGGTGGTATTTAAGATAAAAGTTGAGATTCTACTAGATATAAAATAGTTATTTGATGTGCAGATACATAGAAGATAAAAATGATATATTTTTTCTGTTTCATAATAAAATTATTTCAATTGATTGAGATAAAATATAATACGTATATTATTGACATTATGATGAAACTAAATTAAAATTATGTTTCTATAATTATGCATTTGCATATGTCTAACAAGATACATTTAGAAATATATTTAGTTAAAAAAACAAGAAAAACCTGCATATATTTAGATTAATTGTATACAAAATGAGACAAATGAAAGGTTTGTTTCTTTCTATAAAATGACTTAGTTATTCTGTGCTCCAGAGAACTGCATTTTATCATCAAACTATTGCTAATTTTTATACTAAACCTTTTAAAATAATTTTAGTAAAACATGCCTTCATTTTTAAAATTGGAGTTCCTAAAAATTATTTATTGTTGTAGATTTTGAAAATATTACCTATAGATTGTTTTGCTTTTGTTCCTAAGAATGTAGCTCCTTATGTTGTCCCCTCTGATAACTATTTCTAGGTATGCCTTTTTTCCCAGTAAAAGTCTCACATTTAGAGCACTAAAACTGGTAAAATGTATTTTATATGTAAATTCATTATGAGGTTGCGAGAATGGCCAGCTGGTAACAGAAACATTTGTTATTCATTTCATATTAAGAAAGGTAATAGAAATACATATACTCACTTGACATTTTCAAATCTTAGTTAACTCAACACTATTTTCAGCCTTTTTTTTTCCTTTTCAACAAATTTAATAGTAGAAAACACTGATTTGACTTCTGGGCTAATCTAGATTGAATGTGTCCACATCAGCTCATCTCTCCCACTCATTACGTCTAAAAGTCTGGAAAGAGCAAAAACAACTCTCTGAGGACTCTTTAAAACTAAAGAATATCAGGTAGATTGAGAGAGAAATCAAAATTGAAGAATCTACATAAAAGTAAATTTACATTATTTTCTTTCCTTTATTTACTGGTTTCATGTATAAAGAATATCAGGTAGATAGAGAAATCAAAATTGAAGAATCTACATAAAAGTAGGTTTACATTTTTTTCTTTCCTTCTTTATTTACTGGTTTTGCCTATAAAGAATATCAGGTAGATAGAGAAATCAAAATTGAAGAATCTACATAAAAGTAAATTTACATTTTTTTATTTCCTTCTTTATTTACTGGTTTCACTTATGAATTGGCCAAATCGTGAAAATGGCCAGTGACTGTGGACAGCAAAAAAAAGTCAGAGGGGAAACCACACTTTCTAGCCAAAGAAATAGGAAAAAGGGCCTATGTGTAGAGGAGAGTGTGGGAGAGAACTCTTTTTCCTCTCTTTCTCCCTAACCAGAAAGGACCAGAACCAGGGGCAAAATCTCACAGCTGCAGTATCATTTAAGACTCAGAGACAGCCTATCCTTCTGGGCAAAGGGGCTGAAAAGAAGGACCCTGTGATCCAAAGAGTTGGGGGTAGGTGGAGATTCCTGTTGTTATTATTATTTTTCTCCTCTCTTTTCTCTGACTACCTTACCACAGCTCTCTCCTGGTTGCATATAACTGCACAACAGGGGGAGAGGGCTTGAGTGGATACAATTCTGACAGAACTCCAGCTTCCTGCTTTGTGGACCAAGCAGAGGGCCTATCAGACTGGAGAGTGTGAAGGAATATCTGCAGTAGAGAGATAAACACAAGGAAAACAATGTCAATAGCATCATAATCCAACTGCTAAAACAAATAACTAATAACTCAGAATTTTATGAATAGTGATCATATTTATGAGGAATAAAGGTTAAATAAATAAATACTTTGCAGTTTAAGGAAAACTATGAAAGTTTGGGACCAGCAGATTTACTCTATAAGAAATGCAATAGGAAGGTTTTCAGGTTGAAGACAAATTATGTAAGATGGAAACCTGGAATTTCTGAATAAAGGGAGAGCAATCAAATTTATAAATAGCTGGATAAATGGAGGATACTACATTAGGAAGCAAACATTATATCATTTTCTTAAAACTGTAATGCATGCAGATATAGTATATGGGACAGCAATATACAGTAGAATAAAAGGATTTATATGATTTTAAAAACTCTAAGTTTTAGTTGAACTGGTAAAATATATTACCTCTAAATAGTCTGAGAAAAATAGATTTTGAGGTTGTAATCTCTAAGCAAAAATTATAATAAATAAAAAATACAGCAGTAGCTCGTGCCTGTAATCCCAAAACTTTGGGAGGCTGAGGCAGCAGATCACTTGAGGACAGGAGTTTGAGACCAGCCTTGGTAGCATAGTGAAACCTTATCTCCACAGAAAATACAAAAATTAGCCAGTCTCAAAACATGGTCGCAAAATAAATAAATATATTGAAATTAAAAAATAAAATTTAATTGTTTTTTTTTAAAATACCAAAACCAATCCAAATGTAGTAAGTTAAAATTTTAAAAATACTGTGAATTGCCAAAACATATCAATCACAAAACACAAGTTACCAAATGGAATAAAAATATAATACCCAATTATATGTTGCCTACAGGAAACTAAATTTAATTATGAAAGTATCTTAGATTAAAAGTAAAAGCTGGCAAAAGATGTACCATGCAAACATTATCAAAAGATGTACCATGCAAATACATGCAAAGCTGACAAAAGATGTACCATGCAAATAATATACAGAGATGTTCCATGCAAATACTATCAAAGATATACCATGCAAATACTATTCCAGAAAGCTGGAATGAATATATCATCATACAAAATAGACTTCAGAAGCAGGAAAACCACCAGGTATAAAGCATGACACTGCACAAATCTGAGCACATTATATTTTAAAAAGGTACAACAGCAAAGATAGTATTTTCAATTAGATATCCATACATGAAATATATATCTAAATTTATACCTCAGTCTTGTACAGATATTGGATCATAACACTAAATGTAATAAATGAAAATATGGAAGTTTTAGAAGAAAACTTAGGAAAATGTACTTCAGGACATAGATTTGTTATTTGTTTTTGAGACAGGGTCTCCCTTGATCACCTAGGCTGGAGTACAGTGGAACCATCGTAGTTCACTGCAGCCTCAAACTCTGGGTGCAAGCAATTCTTTTGCTTCAGCCTCCCTAGTAGCTGAGACCACAGGTTCATACCACTAGGCCCAGTTGACTCTTTTGCAGAGACAGGTTCTCTCTATGTTGACCATACTGGCCTCAAACTCCTCCCTAAAGCAATCCTCCCACCTTAGCCTTCCAAAGTGTTGGAACTACAGATATGAGCCACTGTGCCCAGCCAGGGCTTGGATTTAGCAAAGAATTTTATATGTGTTACCGAAATCATCTTATATAAAAAAAAAAAGATAAACTACACTTCATCAACATTTAAAGTTCTTGCTCTGAAAAGTATAATGCTAAGAGAATGAAGCGACAAGGTAAAAAATAAAAAAAAAAGATTTTAAATATCCTACTGACAAAGGATTTATATCTAGACTATAAGAAGGAAACTTAAAATGCAATAGTAAGTAAACAACTAGACATATACAAATGGGGAAAATATTAGACACTACTCCAAAGGAGACATAGTGATAACAAATATATCCATTAAAATATTCTTCACATCATTAGTTATTCAGAAAAAACAAAGTAACACCACAATGCAATATCACTACACAGCTATTAGAAAGGAGAAGAAAAACAGGTAATGCCAATTACTGGTGAGGATACAGGGTAACAGGGAATCTTATACATTGTTAGTGAAAATGGGAAATGGTACAGCAAATCTAGAACACAGTTGAGAAGTTTCTTATAAACATGCATTACTATATTACCATGTATGCCCACAATTACACTTCTAGGTTTTTACCCAAGTGAAATAAAAGCCTATGAATACACACACACACACACACACACACACACACACACTCAAGTATTGAGTGTTCAGAGTTACTTCATTCAAAATTACCAAACACTGTAAACAATTGAAAAGTACATCAATTGGTAAATAGATGTTAACAATAGTATACCAATTAAATTCTCCTTAGCAATAAACAGGCATAAACTATTGATAAACACAATAAGGTCAATGAGTTCAGATAAGTTTTGCTGAATACCAGAAGAACTAAAGGCTGCATAAGCTATGATTTCAATTATATGACATACTGGAAGACATAAAAGTATAATGATTGATAAAAGATCAGTGGCTACTGACAGCAAAGGGGTGGAAGAGGCTTGAACTCAAAAGGCAGTAGCAAAGGGGTGTCATTGTTGTGATTATTGAACTGTTTTCTATCTTGATAGTGATAGTTGTTACATTTGCCAATACTCATAGAACTATACACTGAGCACTTTTTTGTATGTAATTTTAAAAATTTAAGTAATTATATATACTTATGTTTATGTATGCTATATATGTATAAATGCATATATAATCTATATCTCTAGATTTCATATATGTGTACATATCCCTAGGAAACTACTATAGAAATAATTCAAAAAGACATAGCCAAATAAACCAATATTAAAATTGAAGTGGAACATTTAAAATATTTACATAATCCCCCCAAAAAAGCAGAAGAGAGGAAACAGAAAATCAAAAACAAAAAGACAAACACGAAACCCAAACAAAATAGTATACATAAGTCCAACCACACCAATAAATATATTAATAAAAATAACCTAAAAACACAAGTTAAAAGACTGAGATTTTTGAGTTGGATTAAGAAAATATGGCCCAGCAATGGGTTGTGAATAAGAAAAATATTTTAAGAGTGAAACTTCTATTGCAAAAATAATATATCATGCATATATAATCCAAAGAAAGCTAGAGTGGCTCTATCAATGTCAACAATGTAGTCATTAAACAAGGAAATTGCAATGAATAACAAGAACATCTAAAAATAATTAGAAGGGTTAATTTACTAAGAAGACATAACAATTTTAAATATATATGCACCTAACAACAGAGTCTCAATGTATATGTAATAAAACCTGATAAAACTTTGAAAGGAGAAATGGACCTATTTATAAGATAATCTTCTCTTAGTAACCAATAGAAGGAGTAGGCAGAAAATCATCAAAGATTAAAAGACCAGAAAAACTCTATCAACCAGTTAGTCTAATTGATACCTATAAATGAACACTTCTCACAGTAAGAGCAGTTTACTTTTTTTCTGTACATTGGATATTATAATAGAGTACCCCATAAAGAAGTTAAGAAGAATAGGCCCGAGACACCTCTGATGCAGACTAGCTTGGAGGACCAATGGTTTTAAATCCATTAGACAGGAGAACAAATTGTGCCGAGATGCATGTCTCATCAAACTCTGAAAGGAAGTCACTTGGTTTAGTCCAAATTCTGAGGACAATGCTTAGAGCTTTTCCTAGTCTCTGTTCATAAACGCAGACTTATGACTAACTGTGGTCCTATACTCACACTGACTAGTTTAATAAAGTGGTTAGGTTAACTTCTTGAAAGGAAAATATAGTTAAAAGTAGTAAGATGGAAAAAATTGGGAAAAATGTCAATAACCCAAAATGTGCATAAGTGAAAAATGGCATTGAGTTCCTTTTTAGAAGCCCTTCTCTTAGTGGCAGAAACAGCAACCATTTAAAATTTTCAACAAAAATTTGAGACTCTAAGAATATATTTTAGGAATACTTTAAACAATTTTATGGCTATGGCCAGTAGCAAAAACAAAGAGCTCCTTGTTTTTGTTGTTTTGTTTTGTTTTAATTGAACTCGTATCTGAAACAGAGAACCTAGAAAAAAATAAATTACAATAGGATTGTAACAATTTAGAAATAGTGTGCATATGTTTGGGCATTATTAAAAAGTCTTAGACTAGCTTAGAAAAGAGCTTAGAACAAAGTACAAAATCAAAATATTCTGTTTCTTAAAGAATCATGGGCTTGAGGCTTTGGAAAACAGTAGATAATAAAAGCAGAGTCCACTGCAAGAAGTTATATTGGCTAAGGATAAGAAAGACAGATGTGCAAAATAATATTTATTTTCAGGAAATCATTGGACCAGAAAATGGTGCATTGTTTATAAATACATTTTGAAAATGAAAGGGCTTTTTTGGTGACATACATGCTACTACCACTATCATGGAAAATGATACGGTTTTGCAATACAAAAACCTCAAGTACTGGACATGTCTAAACGTTCTAAGTCCATTCTGTGTTTCAAATGTTCCAATCTTTGTGGCCCTTATTAGGGAAATCTTTTTTCTTCTGTGGGGCCCACCCTATGCAATGTAATGGGCAGGAAACTGTAATACAAAACTAATTGCTAGATAAAATCTAATGCCAAATGAACATTTTGTGTTAAAAAACTCTCATTACCATCAACTGGGTAGTTCCAGTCCCATCCATGTCTTTGATTCCAAACCTGATTTTTTTTTTTTTTTTTTTTTTTTTTTTTAGAATTCTTCGGATCCGTATTGAAGTGATTCAGCTAGAAATTGATAATCTTCATTTTAACACTGCTCTGAGTTAATGGCTGCTCTTGAAAAGGTTTGTACATTATTTGTGAAAAAAACTTTACTTCTGCCATTCTTTGCCATGTCAGATCCTTTTCCTTGATGTAATGTCCAATACTCCTTCCACATGTAATTCGTTATTACACTTGCAGACACTTCTTCCAGAATGGAAGTCCAACATTAAGACTGTATTACTATGACTGAAATCCTGATTCTGACTTCTATTTCCTTTATAACATTAGACAATTATCCCATTGTTATATTCAACTTATTGACTTTTGATTGTTCATGCTATAAGTTGTATATATTGTTTTATTATATTGTTTCAAGTTGGGTTCTGTCCTCTACTTTCTGACTAGATTTCTTTTATATTACTCAGTTTGGCCCAGATTTATTCAAATTCCCAAATCCAAGTTTTATATTTCTCCAATTTTCCTTACTGCATTATAGTAGCCCCTTATGTGATATATAAATCAGAAAAGAATGTCTATAAGTGTTCAAAAGTTTAAAAGGCTAATATTACATAGGCTGCTTTAATTTTAGAAATACATCAACCCAATAACGTGTATTCTCAAAGCGTAAGCATGTTTGGAATTTCGAATAATGATACCTAAAATTGCAAAGGCATAATAAAATTTTGACATATATTTCAAGGGGGAGTGAACTAATCATATATGACCATGGGGGACTTTAGATAAAGAAATCCTTTCAGTGAACAGAGTCTGGGTTCATGGAGATCAAAAGACAATCTTGAGCAACAGATTTAACCCTGAAGCAGAGGATGGAGTGACCTTCCTGAGAATCACATTGAGTGGGGCAGGAGACCTGAGAGAAAGCAAGGTCCCACTAGCAAGACAGGAAAGGAAAAAAAAATGTTTGTTGGACAGGTGATTACCAGTGTTTTCTATATTAAATAAAACAGTATTTTACACATATTATTTTGCTTGGTAATAATTAATTTTTAATTTGTCTTGCAGAAATATAACTTGACTCTAAGTTCTTACATCTATAAAAATTTTACTATATGCTGTCATAGTGTTATGATTTATCCCTAATGTGCTTTTCATTGCAGCCATATTATAAGCACAATTCTATGCTGTTCTGCAATTGCACAGAATTAGTACTCCAAGGTAGTAGATAAAAAATATTTCAGAGGGAAAAAAATGAAGGGTGTTATGTCTTTTAAGCTTTATAATACAAGATAAATCGTTTCTATTACACGTGGGTTGTGAAAATTGATGGTTATTCTTTATTCAAAGCCCTGATATTAACAAATCCCCAAAAGATGGAATGAATAGAAACAGAACAAATGAAAAAGTATAGATTGTTTGGCAAGTAGTCATTTGCATATATTCTTAGACAAAATTGATTTAAAGAATCTCCACGGATTAATGGATAAAGAACTTTTAATGAAATACAATATTCAATTTGGAAACACATTAACTTATAAATGATAAATTATAATAAATAAATGTTAATATTAATTTTCCTATATAGAAAAGAGTTCAATTCTCCCAAAGAATCACTGAAGGAGAATTGATAAGAAATATGTGTGAAATTCTCAAATATGTTGCTTGACATGGTTTACATCTTTACATAAAACTTTCCCAAACAAGTTTAGAAATAGCATTATTATTTATGAATATGAACTGATATATGGTCTAAATTAAGAGGAAACTAAAAGTTATGATACATATAATACTACCATGGTATAAACACTAGTGGGAATCAAATTCCATTTAAGAAATGTTTTATTGTAAAAAATAAGAGAAAATCTTTATATACTCACCCCCTATACACATTTTTGAAATTGCTCCACCAAACTTTTCTGGGATAACATATTTCTTTAAATAAAAGTACATCTTTTTGAGACACATCTTTATTTTACATGCCAAAAGAAATTACTTTAAAGCTAAAAATCAGGCTACACATGTGATACAATACTAACATTATTTCTGGTTTTAAAATTATATTTAAAGTATATTTTCAATTAATGCTTTGTAGATATAATTTATATATGTTAGCTATATGTGTGTTAATCTAAGCCTGTTATTTTTCAATTAAAAATAAAAATACTGTATAAACAATGTTATTTTTAAAACGAATGATTTTTTTAAATAAAATGATTTTTTTCAGGAATCTGATATTTAGAACATAAGCCATTTCTTATACTCAATTCCATTTATCTTTCCATCCTATAATTCCATTGCATTTTGAAGCATCAATAGATCTGTTTCAGTAATGGGGTAAGGACCCGTTATTCAATAAATGGTACTGGAATAACTGGCTAGTCAAAGGCAGAAGAATGAAACTAGACCCTTGCCTTTCACTGTATGCAAAAATTAACTCCAAATGGATTAAAGATTTAAATGTAAGATCTCAACTATAGAAATCCTAGAAGAAAACCTAGGAAACATCCTTCTTGACATCAGCCTTAGCAAGTAATTTTTGGCTAACTTCTCAAAGCAATTGCAACAAAAACAAAAATTAGCAAGTGGGACCCAATTAAACTAAAGAACTTCTGTACAGTAAAATCAATCATCCATAGAGTTGCAAACCTACAGAATATGATAAAATATTCAGAAACTATGCATCCGACAAAGGTCTAATGTCCAGAACATATCAGGAACATAAATCACCAAGCAAAAAACAACCATATTTAAAAAGGACAGAGGACATGAACAGACACTTCTAAAAAGAAGACATACACAAGGCCAACAAACATATGAACAAATGCTCATCATAGTAAAAAACAAATCAAAACCACAGTGAGATAGCAGCTCACATCAGTCAGAATGGCTATTATTAAAAAGTCAAAAACAACAGATACTGGCAAGGCTGCAGAGAAAAGGGAACTATTATGCATTGTTGATGGGAATGTAAATTAGTTCAACCACTGTGGAAAGCAGTTTGGAAATTTCCCAAATTACTTAAAACAGAGCTACCATTTGACCCAGAAATCTCATTACTGGATATATACACAAAGGAAAATAGATCAGTCAACCAAAAAGACACATGTACTTGTATGTTCGTCAAAAAGCTATTCAGAATAGCAAAGACACATAATCAACCTAGGTGTCTATCAATGGTGGACTGAATAAAGAAAAAGTTCACTATGGAATACTATGGAGCCATTAAAAAGAATAAAATTATGTTCTTTGAAGCAACATAGTTGGACTAGAGGCCATAATCTTAAGATAATTAATGCAAGAACAGAAAACCAAATACTGCATGTTTTCACTTATAAGTGGGAGCTAAACATTAAACACACATAGACATAAACACAAGAACAACAAACACTGTGGACTACTAGAGGGGGAAGGGAAGGGGGAAGACATGGGTTGAAAAACTACCTGTTGGGCACTATGCTGACTACCTGAGTGCAATATACCCATGAAACAAACCTGCACATGCACCCCCTGTGTCTAAAATAAAAGATGAAGTTTAAAAAAATAACATGAAACCTCAGAAGTAATGATAAACAAGAACAGAAACAAAATTCCATCATTTATGTTTTGTGTTTTGCTTTGCTATTATGAATAAGTAATAGATGTTTATATATATATTTAAGTTAAATTCATCTAAATTTAAGCTTATTTATATTTAAATTAAATTCAGCTAAATTCATCTGTATTTTATTTCATTTTATTCAAATTTATCTAAAATTAAAATTGTTTTATTTTATTGATAATTGCTCTACAAAACATTTTTGAGATAAAACATTTCTTTAAATACAAGTACAGCATTTTAAAACACATCTTTATTTTATATGCCAAAAGAAATTTACTTTAAATTTAAAGCTAAAATGTAGGCTATGCATGATACAATACTAAAATGCCACTAACTTTGAACTTCATTACTTCACACATTTAAAGGTTGAGAAATTTTTATCTCAGAATTTATAAAATATTACATATAACCATGGGTAAGTCACTTATATGACTAAAGGTATAGTCTGAATAACATTGTATCAGATACAAGTATTTGATTGAATGCAAAACATGATCATACATTTGAATGTCCATTAAATACAAAAATTTGGGTGGATGACACTGAAATCATCTCAGAATGTCTCTTATTGACTTTCATAATACAATAACAAAATATATAGATGTTGAACTTTTAAGGTTTTCTCACACTTATGTGTCTATCTATATGTTGAAATTTAGATACTCATTCTATTAAAAAAAAAAAAACTCATTCTCTGCCCAGAAAGTTTATATTATGCTATTTTATCTAAACCTAAGTAGGGTAACCAAGAAGATACCAGTTCACTTAATTTCAGTTATTGGTGATATAATCAATTCATCTTTGTGTTTTCAGAATTAGTATTGCCTTTTTAATATATTAATATAAATAGGTGCATAGGATTATAACCAGATTTTTAAACACTTAAAATAGATATTACTTGATTAATTATAGTCTATATAAGAAATAACATATTAAAGGTAATTCCTTTTAAATGTACAGTGTTAACCACAGTCACCCTACTGTGCAATAGAACACCAGAACTTGTTCCTCCCATGTAAATATAATTTTATACCTCTTGATAAATCTCTCCCGGTTCCCCTCTCCTTCCTACCTTCCCCAGGCTATGGTAACCACTGTTCTACTCTCTACTGCTTTCAGATCAGCTTCTTTAGACTCTATATATGTAAATGAGATCACACATTTGTCTTTCTGTACCTTGCGTATGTCACTTAACATAATGTCTTCCAGGTACATCTGTGTTGCTGCAAATTACAGGATTTCATTCTTTATCATGTACCTCGAAGAAAAGATTTTGGATGTTCTCACCACAAATAAATAATAAATGTATGAGGTGACTGAATAAATACTCTGATTTGATCGTTACACCATATGTATATGTATTGAAACATCTCAGTGAACCCTATAAATATGTAATTATTACTTGCGAATTAAAAACAAAATTTTAAAAAGCTTATTAGTTTTAAACACTAAGCCCTTCATGTTGTTACTTTTCATAGTTTGCAAACATAATGGCTACCAAAGACATATCAAAGTTCCTTATCTTTGCTATCTTCTTGTAACATTTATTAATGCATTTTACAAGACTATTGCAGATATGTTAGAAAGTTGCTCTGTTTTCTGTAATTATCATCTCTAGGCTTGTGTTACATTATCTGCAGTACTTTTTGGGTTACATTTTTCTTCTTCTTTATGTCTTTCTTATGCATTCTTACTCCTTTACACATAATTTATTTGATACTTCCTCTTCTTTACAAGAACACAGTGCATTCTCCATGCACTGCTTGTTTGCATTCTACTCTGCTTAAAGTTTTTCTATCATAACTCTCTTGTTATGTTGATTTCTGCATTTCCTTTGCATTTCAAGTTAAATGTTGCTTATTGACGGTCAGTAAGTGTTCCCAATAGATAAAGAGATTTAAAAGGGACATTTCTCAGATTGTGTGCTGCTGGAGATATGATACCTCTGTGAAATAAGATTTTCCTTTTTATGCAGTGTTTTTTTTTTCTTCAGTTAAGTCTGCCACCCCCCTACCCCCAGCCTATAAACAGTCTTTCTTCAAAGGACTATAAGAGATCAGCCAAATGCTATTTCAGCACGTTCATTTTTAAAATCTCTATCGACTATTGAAGGTAGGTTACACTCGATGTTAAACATGATTTAAAAGTCCACATTTGGCATATTAAAATATTAGTAAACCATACTCAATGAAAGAGTCTGATAAATATTGAGGATGGATTGTAGTTTATATTCTCATGTACACGCATTTTCAAACGTTAGCTTTTGTCTGAGTTGGCAAGTCTAAAATGTGTAAAAATGGATGAGTCCAGCAAATCTATTTTCAGAGATTATTTTTCCTACTATTAGAACTAATTTCTGCTGATGTGAAAGTATTATTTGCTTGACCTAGCAAGTGTGAGTGTTTAATGGACTTAGCCAAGCTAAGGATGTGACTTGGTTATCTGAGTCCTAAACCTGAGAGCTTGGCTAATTCCCTGATAGATTCAGCCAACACATTTTGCCATTTTAGACCCAAAGGACATTATTAATAAATTGGAACTAATGACACTGACCTGCTGTGTAATGGCCTAGCAAGAAATAGCTAATCAATAGATGTTTTTTGGAAGTATAAAGTACTAAAAAGTAACCCCCAAGTTGCCCCAGAGTTATAAAACTCAGTTATTTATTTCATTTTTCTAAATGTTAGAAAAATGTGGAGGGTCATTTGTTAAAAAGGAATCCTGCAAGAAATAAAACAGGTGCTATGGTTAATGGTGCTGTAATTTAGCAGATTCCTGTTAATTCCATCTCACTATATCAGCATAACATTGAATTGCTGATTTTTAGAGGTCTTCATGAAGCTATAATTTCACATGAAATCTTGGTAGTGTGAGGCTACCACATGTCTTCTACAAACTCTATTTAGAGACATGCTATTTTCAATTTCTTAAGCAAATAATAAGGCACATTGCTTTCCTTTTTAATAAGAATATAGCATTCAAAAAAGTGTTTCTTAAAAATGGCAAAATTGATGGATTTCTTCTGTCAATTATTTCTAACACAAATAAAGTAGAATTGAAGATTATACTCCAAAATCTTATAGCTGTTAGTATATTGCATTCAGTGATTTTTTTTCTAAAATTGCCTTAAAATATGAACTATTTAGAAAATGTCACAGATGTGTGATATAGTATTTTGAAATTAAAAATGCATCAATCTTCAACAATACCATAAGCAGTTTTACTTTCAATTTTTAAAATTCTATACTGTAAAAACTTTTTTCTTGAAATCATTAGAATGATAAATATTTTTTCTCAGATCCTTTCTAAAATGATTAAGATCATGATTCTTGGTTAATGTTCCTTTTAACCACAAAACAAATAGCAATGCTAGTGAACATCCATCATTGATTTTCTACTGGAATGGTATTGTGGTATTGTAACACGAATAAATGAGTAGACATTTTACTATTGGTCCATCTAACGTCATGTGCATATACATATATATACATAATAATGATACATATATACAGTCTGTTGTCTTCTTTCTTACAGTTTTGCTGTTGAAGTGCCAAAATGATTCCTTTATAATGAAACTTATGAGTTAAGAAGTTACACAGTAAAGCCATAAAAGTTAACATTCTAGGTAAATATGGTTTATCAAAGTAATAAAAATAATTTTACTATTTTTAGAAAACTTTTTGTCCCACCCAAATTATTTCATTACATTATTCACTCTTCTTTAACACCTTGCACTGTACCTTTCACATATTTTGGAGATTCTCTCATGTCAGTCTCTAAAACTGTTTCTAAATTATCAATTTAGATAGATCATGTTTCCGTATATGAGTGTACCTCAAATTAGTGTATTCCCTACCAACAGGCACGTATGTAGTTTATAATCTATCATTAATTATGGTGCTGCAATGTATATAGTTGTACCTATATCATTATTACATTTGTGAGTACATTTACAGGGATAAAGTAACTGGAATTAATATAGCTACATCAAAAGGATTTAGTTTTTATGGATATAATTACCTAAGAGTGAAATAATTGGATAATATTTAAGCATATATTTAACTTTTTAAATAAATGGCCAGAACTATGTCATAATGTTGTATTATGTTACATTGACACTAGAAGTGCATATAAAGATGTAAACATGAGCATTCATAGCAGCCTTATTTATAATAACTGAAAACTGGAAACTGCCCAGATGTTCTCCAACAGATGAGTGGATAAAGAACCTCTATATACCCATAAAATGGAATGCTATTCAGCAATAAAAGAGAACAAACTATTAGATACATACGAACAGCATTGATATATCTGAAAGTAATTATGCTAAGTGAAGGAAACCACACAAAAAAAGAAAAAAGTGTGCATTTTCATGTGTGTCCGTGTGAAGACACCACCAAACAGGCTTTGTGTGAGCAATAAAGCTGTTTATTTCACCTGGGTGCAGGTGGGCTGAGTCTGAAAAGAGAGTCAGTGAAGGGAGATGGGGTGGGGCCGTTTTATAGGATTTGGGTAGGTAAAGGAAAATTACAGTCAAAGGGGGGTTGTTCTCTGGCAGGCAGAGTGGAGGTCACAAGGTGCTCAGTAGGGGAACTTTTGAGCCAGGATGAGCCAGGAGAAGGAATTTCACAAGACAATGTCATCAGTTAAGGCATGAACAGGACATTTTCACTTCTTTTGTGGTGGAATATCATCAGTTAAGGCAGGAACCGGCCATCTGGATGTGATCTGGATGTGTACGTGCAGGTCACAGGGATGGCTTAGCTTGGGCTCAGAGGCCTGTCATTCCTATCCTCTTATATTAATAAGAAAAATAAAATGAAATAGTGGTAAAGTGTTGGGACGGTGAGAATTTTTGGGGGTGGTATGGAGAGATAATGGGTGATGTTTCTCAGGGCTGCTTTGAGCAGGATTAGGGGCGGCGTGGGAACCTAGAGTGGGAGAGATTAAGCTGAAGGAAGATTTTGTGGTAAGGGGTGATATTGTGGGACTGTTAGAAGAAACATTTGTCATTTAGAATTATTGGTGATGGCCTGGATAAGGTTTTGTATGAATTGAAAAACTAAACGGATTAAGAGAAGGAGAAAAACAGGTATTAATGGTCTAAGAATTGGGAGGACCTAGGACATTTAATTAGAGAGTGCCTAAGGAAATTCAGCATAGTCCTGTCAGCAAAGATTATTTATTTACTTCAAGAGTTAAGAGTGGCAGTTTGGGGATAGAACCAGGAGATATCAGCTGTGATGGCTTGGAGAAACAGTGTAAACCGGCAGTGTAAACAAGAGCAGGGCATGTATGAGTAGTTGAGACCGGTGAATAGGAGTATGACTAGACAGAAGATAGTAGGGATGACAAGTTCTTTTGGGGCACAGTCTAAGTTAGTCTGGTGTCTGTAATGAGACTGGGGCCTAATAAATAGGAGCATCTATACAGGAGCTCAAATGGGCTGTACCCTGTAGCATTCTGAGGACAGGTCTGACTTCTGAGAACGGAAAGTAGTAAAAGTATTGTCTAGTCCTTTTTAAGCTGGAGCTTCGTGAGGTGTTTTTTTTTTTTTTTTTTTTTTTTTGAGACGGAGTCTTGCTCTTTCACCCAGGCTGGAGTGCAGTGGCGCGATCTTGGCTCACTGCAAGCTCCGCCTCCCGGGTTCATGCCATTCTCCTGCCTCAGCCTCCCAAGTAGCTGGGACTACAGGCGCCCGCCATCACACCCGGCTAATTTTTTCGTATTTTTAGTAGAGACGGGGTTTCACCATGTTAGCCAGAATGGTCTCGATTTCCTGACCTCGTGATCCACCCGCCTCAGCCTCCCAAAGTGCTGGGATTACAGGCATGAGCCACCACGCCCGGTAGTGAGGTATGTTTTTAAAAGACCGTTAGTCTGTTCTACTTTTCCTGAAGACTGAGGACTGTAAGGGATATAAAGGTTTCACTCAATACTAAGTGCCTGGAAAACTGCTTGGCTGATTTGACTAATAAAGGCTGGTCCATTATCAGACTGTATAGAGGTGGGAAGGCTAAACTGAGGAATTATGTCTGACAGAAGGGAAGAAATGACTGAGGTGGCCTTCTCAGACCCTGTAGGAAAGGACTCTACCTATCCAGTGAAAGTGTCTACCTAGACTAAGAGGTATTTTAGTTATCTGACTTGGGGCATGTTGAGTAAAGCTAATTTTCCAGTCCTGGGTGGGGGCAAATCCTCGAGCTTGATGTGTAGGGAAGGGAGGGGGGGCCTGAATAATCCTTGAGGAGTAGTAGCATAGCAGATGGAACACTGAGAAGTTATTTCCTTGAGGATAGATTTCCACGATGGAAAGGAAATGAGAGGTTTTAAGAGGTGGGCTAGTGACTTGTACTATAGCATAGCCTGCCTTTGCTGGTGTGTGGCGATTAGGCCTGGTGGAACCACCATTAATAAATCAAGTGTGATCAGGGTGAGGAACAGGAAAGAAGGAAATATGGGGAAATGGGGTGAATGTCAGGTGGATCAGAGAGATACAGTCATGAGGGTCAGGTGTGGTATCCAGAATAATGTGGGAGGCCAGATTGAGGTCCCGGCCAGTAACAATGGTAATTGTGGGACTTAACAAAGAGTGAGTACAGCTGAAGTGGCTGGGGAGCAGAAAGTATATGTGTCAGGTATGAGGAAGAAAATAGATTTTGGAAGTTATGAGAAATGTAGAGAGTAAGTTGAGCATAGTTTGTGATTTTGAGGGCCTCTAAAAGTATTAGGGCGGCAGCAGCCACTGCACGGAGACATGATGGCTAGGCTAAAACAGTAAGGTCAAGTTGTTTGGACAGAAAGGCTACAGGGTGCAGTCCTGGCTCTTGTGTAAGAATTCTGACCACACTAACCATGCCTAGGAAGGAAGGGAGTTGTTGTTTTGTAAGGGATTGAGGTTTGGGAGATTAATCAGACACAATCAGCAGGGAAAGCACGTGTGTTTTTGAGCATTATGCTGATAGGTAACAGATGAGGATGAAATTTGGGCTTGACTGAAGTAATGGGGGCTGTCTGTGAAGCCTTGCGGCAATATAGCCCAGGTAATTTGCGAGCCTAACGGGTGTCAGGGTCAGTCTAAGTGAAAGCAAAGAGAGGCTGGGATGAGGGGTGCAGGGGAATAGTGAAAAAAGCATCTTTAAGATCCAGAATGGAATAGTGAGTTGTGGAGGAAGGTATTGAGGACAAAAGAGTGTACGGGTTGGGCACCACAGGGTGGATAGCCAAAACAATTTGGTTGATAAGGCGCAGATCCTGAACTAACTTGTAAGGCTTGTCTGGTTTTAGGACAGGTAAAATGGGGGAATTGTAAGGAGAGTTTATAGGTTTTAGAAGCCCATGCTGTAGCAGGCGAGTGATAACAGGCTTTAATCCTTTTAAAGCGTGCTGTGGGATGGGATATTGGCATTGAGCGGGGTAAGGGTGATTAGGTTTTAATGGGATGGTAATGGGCATGTGATCGGTTGCCAGGGAAGGAGTAGAGATGTCCCATACTTGTGGGTTAAGGTAGGGGGATACGAGAGGAAGACACGAAGGAGGCTTTGGGTTGGGGAGAAGGGCAGCAATGAGATGCGGCTGTAGTCCAGGAATAGTCAGGGAAGCAGTTAATTTGGTTAAAATATCTCGGCCTAATAAGGGAACTGGGCAGGTGGGGATAATTAAAAAAGAGTGCATAAAAGAGTGTTGTCCAAGTTGGCACCAGAGTGGGGGAGTTTTCAGGGGTTTAGAAGCCTGGCTGTCAATACCCACAACAGTTATGGAGGCAAGGGAAACAGGCCCTTGAAAATAAGGTAACGTGGAGTGGGTAGCCTCCGTATTGACTAACGGGACAGACTTATCTTCCACTGTGAGAGTTACCTGAAGCTCGGCATCCATGATGGTCTACGGGGCTTCTGAGGCAATGGGGCAGCATCAGTCTTCAGCTGCTAAGCTGAGAAGGAGTCAGTCAGAGAGCCTCGGGCCAGAGTTCCAGGGGCTCTGGGAGTGGCTGCCAGGTGAGTTGAACAGTCCGATTTCCAGTGGGGTCCTGCACAGATGGGACACGGCTTAGGAGGAAACCTGGGCTGCAGGCATTCCTTGGCCTGGTGGTCAGATTTCTGGCACTTATAGCAAGCTCCTAGGGGAGGAGGTTCTGGAGGAACGCCTGGCTGCTGCGGTTCAGGCGTTTGGAAGTTCTTGTGTGCTGGAGATGTGGCTGGAGTTTGTCTCACAGTGGAGGCAAGTAATTGCAACTTTTTTATATTATTGTATACCTTGAAGGCGAGGTTAATTAAATCCTTTTGTGGGGTTTGAGGGCCGGAATTTAATTTTTGGAGTTTTATTTAATGTCGGGAGCAGATTGGGTAATAAAATGTATTTTGAGAATAAGACAGCCTTTTGATCTTTTAGGGTCTAGGGCTGTAAAGTGTCTCAGGGTTGCTGCCAAACGAGCCATGAACTGGGCTGGATTTTTATATTTGATGAAAAAGAGCCTAAACACTATCTGATTTGGGATAAAGAAAAAGGAGCGTTAACTTTGACTGTGGCTTTAGCTCCAGCCACCTTTTTAAGAGTAAATTGCTGGGCAGGTGGGGGAGGGCTAGTCATGGAATGAAACTGTAAGCCAGACCAGGTGTGAGGAGGGGAGGTGATAAAAGGATTATAGGGTGGAGGAGCTGAGGCTGAGGAAGAATTGGGACCTAGGTCGGCCTGGCGAGGAGCAGCCTGGGGAGGAGGGGAGAGGTCAGATGGGTCTGTAGAAAAGGAAGAGTAGAAAGACTCAGCAACGCTTGGGGTTGGGACCGAGGGGACAGGTGGGAGGGAAAGAAGGAATATTTGGGACGAGTTGCACTGGGCACAGAGACTAGGGAGGGACCAATGTGTAAAAGAATGCCTGGACATCAGGCACCTCAGACCGTTTGCCAATTTTACGACAAGAATTATTTAGATCTTGCAGGATGGAAAAATTGAAATGCCATTTTCTGGCTATTTGGAACTACTGTTGAGTTTGTATTGGGGTCAAGCAACATTGCAGAAGAAAATAAGATGCTTAGATTTTAGGTCAGGTGAGAGTTGAAGAGGTTTTAAGTTCTTAAGAACACAGGCTAAGGGAGAAGAAGGAGGAATGGAGGGTGTACGGTTGCCCATAGTGAAGGAGGCAAGCCCAGAGAAAAGAGAGAGTAGAGACACGGAGGGAAGGGGTTCGGGGGTTCTTACCCTCCAGAAAAGCGGGAAGGGGGTCGGGGCACAGAGATACGAGGTCGGGGTGCAGAAATAAGGGATTGGAGTGCAGAGATATAAGAGGCTGGGGCACAGAAATAAGGGATCGGGGTGCAGAGATATAAGAGGTTGGGGAGCGGAAATAAGGGATCGGGGCACAGAGATATAAGGGTTTGGGGTACTTTCCCCTCCCCCAGAAAAGCGGGACTTGCCGCTAAGGGTGAAGGAGAAGGGGTTGGGGGTTTCTTGCCCCCTAGAAGGTGGAGAAGGGGTAGAGACATGGAGAGAAGGGATTGGGGTACTTGCCCCTTCCCCAGAAAAGTGGGACTTGCTGCTAAGGGTGAAGGACCAAGGCAGGCGTCCTTGCATGGTCTGACACCTCTGAAACCTGGGTAAATAATCAGAGAGGCGTCCCTGCAATGATTAAACACCGGCGCCGGAGTTTTGGGTCCACGGATAAAACGTGTCTCCTTTGTCTCTACCAGAAAATGAAAGGAATTGAAATTAAGAGAAGGGAGAGATTGAAGTGTGGTGCCAAGATTGAAAGGAGAAAGAGGTTGAGGGATAGTGAGGGAGGCTGGAGAAGAGAGTAAAAAGAGGCCGCTTACCGGTTTTGAAATTGGTGAGATGTTTCTTGGCCTGGTTGGTCTGAGGACCTGAGGTCCTAGGTGGATCTTTCTCAGGGAGCAAAGAGCAGGAGGACAGGGGATTGATCTCCCAAGGGAGGTCCCCCAATCCGAGTTACAGCACCAAATTTCATGCACGTCCGTGGGAAGAGACCACCAAACAGGCTTTGTGTGAGCAACGAAGCTGTTTATTTCACCTGGGTGCAGGTGGGCTGAGTCCGAAAAGAGAGTCAGCAAAGGGAGATAGGGGTGGGGCCAATAGGATTTGGGTAGGTGAAGGAAAATTACAGTCAAAGGGGGGTTGTTCTCTGGTGGGCAGAGTGGGGGTCACAAGGTGCTCAGTAGGGGAACTTTTGAGCCAGGATGAGCCAGGAGAAGGAGTTTCACAAGACAATGTCATCAGTTAAGGCAGGAACCGGCCATCTGGATATGTACATGCAGGTCACAGGAGATATGATGGCTTAGTTTGGGCTCAGAGGCCTGACATGCATACTCTATAATTCCACTGATATACATTTCTATGAAATGTAAACTAATCAGAAAGCAGATTAATAGTTGGCTGGGAATGCAGGAGTTGGGTATAATAAAACAAAGGGGCATGAGGAAAATTTGGGGGTGATTATGTTCAAAAGCTTGATTGTGATGATGACTTTACACGTGTGTCAAATCTTATCAAATTGTATGCTTTAAATGCATGCAGTTTTTATGTCAATTATTCCTTAAAAAGGCTGTTAAAATATATAAAAACATATTCTGGCACAAAGGAGAATAAAATAAGTTCTCCAGGGCCTTGTTATTCAAAGCATTAAACCATATAATTTTTCTTATAGGTCTGCAACAGATTAAGAAGCTTATACCAGAATGTAGCGCATTGCCTTGTACCTTTCATTGAGAAAGTCTTTCTGTGAGAAAAATATATAAACAGAACTAAACAGTCAGCTTAGTCACATGCTACTTATCTTGCTGCAGACCTACTGCACACAGTTCACAGACTAAATAAACTTTCCATAGAATTAAGATGCCATCTTTATCATACACTAAAAATGTATTTGTTTTTGTGGATATATGTGCATGTGTATAATCATATGTATGATCCCACTTCAAACTTTACCTTGTTCTACTGATTTGTCTTTTTCTTCATGTTCCATTACCAGACTATGCCAAATATTAAAACAAGTTTTAAATTCAATCAGGGTTTGTACACCTTGATTACATTTTTTAAAATATTCACTGGCCATTCCTTTATATTTTTTCTAATTCATCTTAGAATGATTCTCTGTAGTTCCAAATATAAGATCTCCTTATATTTTTTATTGAGATCATATGAGACTTTTTGTAACATATTAGAAAAAATGTACATTTTTTGATATTGAAATATCAGAACATAGTATGTTTTTAAATTTCATTAAACGTTTTTCCATGAGATTTATAGAGATTTTTCTTTTCTCTTTTTTTTTTTTTTTTTTTTTTTTGAGACTGAGTCTCACTCTGTTGCCCAGGCTGGAGTGCAGTGGTGCAATCTCGGCTCACTGCAAGCTCCGCATCCCAGGTTCACGCCATTCTCCTGCCTCAGCCTACCTAGTAGCTGGGACTACAGGCGCCTGCCACCACACCTGGCTAATTTTGTTGTTGTTGTTGTTGTTGTTTTTGTTTTTTTAGTAGAGACGGGGTTTCACCATGTTAGCCAGGATGGTCTCAATCTCCTGACCTCGTGATCCGCCTGCCTCGGCCTCCCAAAGTGCTGGGATTACAGGCATGAGCCACGGTGCCTGGCCGAGATTTTTCATACACATCAATATTTCTTTTGGGCACTTATTCATATTGTTTGTATTAAATGGCATTGTTCACTGTATATTTTCTGCTATGTTTTGTATTAGGTAATTCATTTATTTAGTCAATAGATATTTATTTATTTAGTCAATAGATATTTATTTATGTTTCTGGCATCATTCTGGGCACTAGGGATAAGCCAAGAAACAAAGCAGATATAAATTCTTCACTCAAGCAACATTTGGTCCTGATAAACATGTTTGAGGGTTGCAGTTTTGCCTAGGATGGCCTGGAAATGCTTGACTGAGAAGAAGTTTAGAGAAACAAACTGATTAAACGTGAGAGGTAGCCATCTGGGTATCAAAGGGACACTATTCTAAGCAGAAAAAAAGAGCAAGTATAGGGCTACACCATTACTGGAAGGTTTGAGGAACATCGAGAAAATCCATGTGGCTAGAATAGAGTGAGCAGAAGTATAATGTGTTCTAAGAACTAATGGGGATGGTGATCGTGTAGTATTTTCAATATGAATAAAACGGGATGCCATTTTCCATATGTATTTTCAATATGAATAAAACGGGATGAGTGCTTTGAGCAGAGGAATAACAATATATATGTTTTGAGAAGATCAATCTGGTGGTTATATTGAGAATAAATTTAAGGCAGTAAGGGTAGAAACAGGAAGAACAGTAATTAGGTGATTTTAAAAGTCTTTATAGAAAAATGCAGTGGTTTTAGTCAGGATAGTACCAGTGGGTTTGGTGAGAAGTAGTCTCATCTTGAATATATTTTAAAAATAAATATTGAGATTTCCTGCTGGACCAGATGCATGAAGATAAAACAAAAAGGAGGAAGGAAAGTCAAGGGTAAAACTCAGGTGTACCAGGTGTAGGTGTGTGCAATTAGAAGAATAATGTTATCACTAGCTGTGATGATGAAGACTACAGGAAGAGGAGCAGGGTTGGAGAGAAATAAAAGAAGCTCAGATTTGGGCATGCTATGCTTGAGATTCCTATGATGAATCCAAAGAGAAATGTCATATAGGTAGTTAGACATACATATCAGAAATTTAGAGAACACTGGATTGAATTCTTCAGCATACGGATGGTGTATAAAGCCAGGAGACTATATAAGATAAACTAAAATGGGAGTATAGATAGAAAAATAATCATATAGTTGATCCCTGGGCCAACGTAAACATTCACAGTTGGGAGAAACAAAGAGGAAACAGAAAAGTCACCAAAAAAAGAAATCATAGTTAGAAGATGAGCTCTCCATGAAGTCAAGGAAATGCATTATTCACAAAGGAAAAGCAATTAGCAAATCTGAGTGCTTACAGATAGTTCAAGAAGGATAACAACAGAGCAATTACAATTGCATTTAGTAAAGTGGAGGTAATTGATGACCTTGATCACAGCAGTTTGGGTAGGATGTTGAGGATGAAATGTAATTTTAATGAAGACAAGTTTAGACAATCCTTTCAAGTAAAAATGACAGAAATGAGGGGGTAGTTAGAAGAAGAGGCAGATACAAAACAAATTTTCATCTTAATGCACTAATGGGAATAATTCAGTCTAGAAAGAAATAAATAACAGAGGATAAATGGGAAAATTCTGGGGTAAGAAAGCAAGAGGGGATGGAATCTAGGATACTTTTGCAGAGGCTGATATTATCTAGGCTCTTAGTGCTACAATTCATGGTGGCAAGAAGAAAGGAAGGACAGATATATAACCACAGGTGCAGGTAGATGGCTCGATGAAATTAATTTTTCTGTCTATTAGCAAGATTGTCAGCTGCAATTTAAAATAAGAGGAGGAGGATTCAAAGTTTGATGAAAGAGGAGAAAATATGAAAAAAATGAGAAAGTTAATGGGCTAAGAAAATAGTGTCAGGCAGGAGTAAAGGTTCACTTAAGATTATTGAACATCAATTTGAAATGAGAAGTGTGTTTGTGTGTGTGTGTGTGTGTGTGTGTGTGTTTGCCAGTCATGAATAACTTTGTCAGCCCAGGCATGAGATGGGCAGAGAGTTGGATTAACCAGGGTTATGTTTTATCTTAATGAGCACAACCACAAGTCTGATTTACACAAATTCTGATTTACACAGGTCTGACGCAATTGTACCCGGTCTACAAACAAAGATATATCTGATGATAGATATGCTTCGTTGGGTGTCATTCTTTACAGAATAGGATTGATCAGAAACTTGGTTCCAGTTTATCTCATTTAAAGAGCAGGACCTTGATGTTAGTATCTACAGAATTGACTCAGATGATTCAATTAGCAGCAGCAATTTATTTTGAGTTTGCGGCCCCAGAAAGGGATGCTTCTAATCTGCCATACTATAGTTTTTCAAGTGAATTCCAGAGGCCTAAGTCATTGGCAACAGCTCCGGAGTCAAGAAACATATTCGTCCTGTCATTCACCAAAGCTCTTCCTCATAGTTCTTAGCACTTTCAGCCTCCTGAGTCCAGCATCTCTTTCCCCCATGGGAGGGGGTATACTGATGACTTTGGTGCCTATATGCAATAGAGCTATAACAGTTTGAGTCCTTCCCCTCCTCCCAAATTTTCCAGGATTCTCAGTGTTTTCTTTAAAGTACCCAAAATAGTGGGAGACAAGGAGGGCATCATCAGATGGCGTAGAGGGAGATAGAGGCTTAGCTCTATTAAGTAAAACTTCTCATTCACTTACAGGTTCAAGTGGCTATACATTTTCAACAAATGAACATCTGGGTTTGGTTCATTCAAAGCTCTCTATCATTATTACTGACACCATTGATTTTAACTTTGGGGATCTTTGACTCAGCAGCCACAACCATATTGCCTTTACTTTGAGGCCTCAGACCTTTGTGGTGTTCACATTCTTTCCTCCTCTTTTCCAAAGGAGGGTGAGTAACAACTAAGGGTGGTGAACAACCAAGCAGAGTGAATAACAGTCGATCAGGAGGCTGGTTTCAGTTCTAACTCTCCCTCTTTAGCCTTTAAACATTCATTAACAGATAAGACAGTGGAAAACACTCATTCTGAGAGCCAGCCTTCCCATACTCGTGAACATTCACTCGTCCTGGAGAGTCTTTTTATTCCCATTCTCTCCATCTCTTCTCTTCTAAGAAGCCATGTCTCTGTGAGGTATCACATGCTTGTCACCAAAATTGTCCAGAACAGTGCAGGGTCTGAGATTTTATCTTTTTAAAAAGCTAAGAAGCTCTCTTATTGATGTTTCATGGATGCAGAATGCCTGTTGTGATGCCTGCGCACATGGTAGAATTTTTCGTAGGAGAGAAGCACTGAGCTTCTGGAATCATCACATTTATAGAAGGCTGAAGTTAGTCTGATCTTCACCTGGGCATAGACATAACCTCAACCCTCAAGATGGCTTGCTGTAAACACAGGACAAATGGTCTGAGTGAAAAGTACACAGGACCTTGCACATTTGGCTGTCACAGCAAGAAGGTGCAAGGGCATGCAAGGTTTCTAGCAGTTTTCCCATCTCAAAAAAGAGATATGCTAAAGAAATCTATGACATGATGACAAAAGGAATCTAATTGGTCTGCGTTGGCCAATTAAATCTAGAAAAAGAAAAATAACATTAAATACTCATAAATTGAGTAGAAGTCTTGGGTCATTATTTTAACACACAGAAGCATAAAAGCATTCACCTCATTCACCTTCAGATTTAACAGAAGAACTAGAGAGTCCAGGGCCATTGAAATGGTAAAGATGAATAATGTATATCAGAAGTCAGTGAACTTGGCCCCCAAATCAGTTGCCTGTTTCCATAAACACAGATTTCACAGAATGTGGCCATGCACATTCATGTACTTATTATCTATGGCTGATTTTTGTTTGCTTTATTTTTCTTGAGAGGAAAAAATAGTGATGTTGTAACAGTGATAGTGAAGCCTACAGATTTAAACTGTATGCTATTTGGCTTTTTGTTTCTTTTTTCTTTTTTTGAGACAGAGTCTTGCTCTGTTGCTCGGGCTGGCACAATCTTGGCTCAGTGCAACCTCTGCCTTCCAGGCTCAAGCTATTCTCTTGCCTCAGCCTCCTGAGTAGCTGTGTTTGCAGGCATGTGCCGCAACAGCCAGCTAATTTTTTGTATTTTCAGAAGAGACGGGGTTTCACTATGTTGGCCAGGCTGGTCTCAAACTCTGGCCTCGAGTGATCTGCCCACCTCGGCCTCCCAATGTGCTGAGATTACAGGAGTGAGCCACTATTCTTGGCCCTATTTGGCTTTTTAAGTGAATATTTGTTGACTGCTGATGTATGTTTACATGTACGTAATGGAGAATGAGAGATTTTTTAAACATCTATATAATTCTCTGTTGTTCTCCTAATCATTTTTAGGTTATAAAACCAGGTGACCAAACAACAGCCCTATATTCTTAGCTAAATTCATGAACTCATCTCTCTTCAGATAATTGAACTCTACAAACTTTAAAATGAAACATCAATGCTGTGATCAGTATATGATTAGAGGGGAGGAAAATATGATCAACATTTAGGCAGTTTGGTGACTTCTGTCTTTCAACACCACATTTCTGAAATAAATCATATGCAATGCTGAACTGGTTTGGGTATTCACAATCTGTTAAGGCAAGCAGCTTGAAAGACGCCTGAGGCTAGCCTAAGGTCAAAGCCACTAACGTGAACTAAAATCATCAATAAATGAGATTTTTTATGATATTTTAATTAAGCTCATTCTGTCATTATATGCATTGCAAATTTGACCTTTAGTATCAAACCAACTTATTATGTGCATTTGGCATTTTCTCCATGTAAATTTTAAAATAAAAAAATAAAATTGTATTCTTCATGCTATTTCAAAAGTAAGGTTTTAACTGAAATGGGCAGTTTTGATTTTTTTTTATGATAAATGAAACTGGAATGCAAACTAGATTCATATCCTAGAGCATTTGTGATATGATTTGTTATAAGTACACTCATAGAAATAAAGCCTGTAAGAGCAATATTTTCTACTTAGAGTTTTTAATAGTGTTCTTATACTCTTTAAGAGAAAAAATGAAGTAACTAGACACCACTCCTGGTGATACTTAATTCTATTTCATTTTTTAAAAAACCATAGAAATGCCATAGATACTTCCTTAATGTTCTAAGGAATTTTCTTGTTTTCTACCCTCCAAGCCTCAGACTTCACTCTTTCCGAGAAAATTTAGAAAGAAAAATTATTTGGAATTTTAACCATCAGAAAACTTCATCTGTTTTTTTAATGACTAAGAAGCCCCAAAGGACTGTATTTTCTGACCTACCATACATTTTCTTGATGAGGCCAATAAATCTTGTTGCATAGTGAAGCTAAAATTTCTCTGTAGGGAAATCCCCATCTGTTACTGTATCTTCAACACAATGTTGCAGCCAGTTTTAAAATTAATAACTACAGAAAATAATCACATGCTTGATGCCATTATTAAAATCTTCTCATTTTTCAATTATGTGTTTTCACACAGCATTATGTTTAACATAATGTAACAATACATTTTAAAGCAAATTTCACATTTGATTACATTGATATCTCATGTAATATAGATGAATTAATTCAATCAAAATGATGAGACTGTTTATGAGTTTGGATATTCAATCCATATTCTTCTACATTGACTTTATTTAGTATTGGTCTTGTCATATCCTATGTAGTTTATGGGAAAATGAGCCAGGGAAACACCCTAACAGATTCCTAGAATTCCACCACCGTTAATTGTACTACAGTTAATCTCCTACTGATTCAATTTCTCTGGAGAACCTTGACTAATACAATAAATTTTCACACCATAAAGTTATTATTTCTTCTTCTTTACTTAACTTTATTGATGATCCCCCTCCAATGTTGACTTTTTATAGAGTTGGTAATTAGCAAGTTCACTAATGGAAGCTGAAAAGACTACTTATATCATGTGATGACAATTAACATGCTTCTCGAAACTACAAACTTCAGGCTAAATATGTTTAAAGTATAAGTTAGGCATGATCACCAAAGAGCAGCTGAATCCTGCTTTTCTTGATGGCCTCCATTCCTCCAGTTTCTTCAATAGACAATTGGGACTAAATTCATGATGCCTCACAAAAATATTCTCTTGCCTCCAGTACCTGCATACTCTTTTTTTTTAATTGTTCAACTGCTACTCTCATAATCTTTTGTAAATTTTCTATTTGAATTTGCACTTCTCTTTAATATAATATTTCCCTGGACTCACCAAAGTGTCATCTCACATTGAGAAAATTATTCTCTAGTATCAACTGTTTTGATAATATTGACTTCTTTATCTCAATGGAAATCTTACTGTCTGTCGATACTTTACTCCAAGACCATGGCTTTCCTTATAAGGATGTGTAGATTAATTTTTGCTATTTGCCATAAATTTAAAAAAAAACTCAAATTCAAAATTCCACTCTGGTAACTTCCTTCAATACTTCCAACTTGTTTGCTCACACAGTTTTCAACTTCATTAGTATCTTATTCTGATTCTTATATCTTCTTCTTATCCACTATAGCCATTTATCGTTAACCTTTCATTAATTCAACATTTATTTATTTAATAACTACTATATACTCATTGTGATTTTGATCTATAATTTTCTGAAAACTAAAGATGTTGAACATCTTTTTATGTTCTTATAGGTCATTTGTATATCTGCTCTGGAAAAAAAATGTTTATTCAAGTCCTTTGCCTATTTTAAAAAATAGATTATTAGTCTTTTTATAATTGTATTATAAAGGTTCCTTGTATATTCTAAATATAAGTTGCTTATCTTATAAATGACTTTGAAATCTTTACTTCCATCCAGTGGGTTTTCTAAGTTTAGTGACAGTCCTTTGATATACAGAAGTTTTAAAATTTTGAAGTCCTATGTATCTGTATTTTAAAGTTGTGTGACTCATGCATTTAGTGTCAAATCTAAGAATCATTTGCCAAATTAATGGTCATTAAGATTCACTCCGTGTTTTCTCATAAGAATTTTATAGTTTTAGCTCTTACATTTAGGTCTTTGATTCATTTTGAATTAATTTTTGTATATGATGTGAGGTAAGGACCCAATTTCATCCTTTGGCTATCCTGTCTCACAGCATTTGTTGAAAAGGCTATTCTTTCCTTTTTACATGGTCTTGTTACACCTATAGAAAAATCAGTTAACCATAGATGTAACAGTTAATTTTTGCATTTTCAATTCTATTCCATTGATCTATAAAATTTTCTTTGTGTGACTAACACAATGTCTTGATTACTGTTACTTTAAGTAAGTTTTGAAATTGGAATGTGAGTGGTCTCCTACTTTGTTCTTTTTCAAGATTATTTTGAGTTTCTGAATCCCTTTCAATTGTACGTTAATTTGAAAAATCAACTTGTCATTTTTTAAGAAAGAAGTCAGCAGGGGTTCTAGTAGAGATCGCATTCAATCTGTACATCAAATTTGGGGAGTATTGCCGCTGTGAAGTAGGTTCACTGATTATGAATCCTAAAGGAAGACTCCCATTGCATGCAAGCTAGCAAAAATCACCACCATGCCAACCTTCAGGAACAGTAGTCTAAATTTCAGTCCACTAACTCTTGAGTTACACTTTTCTTACTTGCTCAAATCTGATGACACAGATCACACACAAACCAAGTTATATGAAGCAGATTTATTGTTTACAGATAGAAAGGTAGCCGAGGACAATGGAAACCTAAAATTCGTGATGATCCAGTACCCCAATGCTCAGGAAAATTGCCAAGGGTAGATAGAGTTTCATCTGCATATGCCCCACTTGCCGCACAGCTGAGTTACCTCAAAAAGTAGCCTGCCCTTGGTTTTATACCCTGCAGGAAACATGTTTGGCTAAAGTACTGAATGACATCCTGTTTCTAGGGAAACAGAAACAGAGGCCAGGTTGTCCCCAGCAGTCTTCCCTAACTCATGATGTGAGGTTCCTGAGGAGTGACAGGAACAAAGTCCGGGCTATTTCAGGCAGTTTCTCCCCATCTCAGGATGCATTCCCTGTGTACTCTATGGTTATTCTGAGAACCACAATTAAGAAGAGAGGAGAGAAACTGGGTCAGCCAAACCTACTCAAGGATCATCATGCAGTCAGATTAACAACTTTAAGTCTTCTGACCCATAAACATGGGATATATTTCCATTTATTTAGGTGTTACTTACTTTTCCATAATGTTTTCTAATTTTCAGGGTATATGTTTTATATTATCTTAGTTAAATTTATTCCCAAGTATTAGATTCTTTTTTATGCTATTTTATTTTATTAATTTTATTTCCAGAATGTTCATTGCTAATATATAAACATATATGTGATTTCATATATTGATTGTGTGTCCTGAAAACTTTCTTAATTTATTAATTTTAATTTACTTTAGTGGATTTCTTATGATTTTCTATATACAGTTTACTCTTGAACAATGTTAGGGGTGCTGAGCTCTATGCAGTTGAAAATTCATGTATAATTTTTAGCTCCCCCAAAACTAAACTACTAATAGCCTACTGTTAACTGGAAGCCTTTCTGATAACATAAACAATTAACACATATTCTGTATGTTTTATATACTATATACTGTATTTTTGCAATAAAGTAACCTATAAAAAAGGAAATGTCATCAAGAAAATCATAACAGAGAAAATATAATTATTATTCATTACGTGGATGTAACTCATCATTGTGTTACGCTGAGTAGGCTGAGGAGGAGGATGAAGAGGAGCAGTTGTTCTTGCTGTCTTGGGGTGATAGAGGTTGAAGAGAGTTTGAAGAGGATGTGGAAGGGGAGGCAGGAGTGGCAGACACATTTTGTGTATTTTTATTGCAAAAAAATTCATATACAAGTGATATAAGTGGACCCCACAGTTCAAACTTAGGTTGTTTTGAAGGGTCAACTGCATAAGATCATATTATCTCCAAATACGAATTGTTTTACTTCCTCTTTTTCAATCTAGATAAATATTTACTGACTCTTTACTCTGGCTACAACCCCTAATACAATGTTGAATATCAGTAGTGAGAGCAGACCACTTTGTCTGACCTTAAAAGGAAAAGTGTCAGTCTTTCACCACTAAATGCAATGTTACAATATCAGCTGTGTGTTTTTCATAGATGACCTTCATCACATTGAGTGTATTCATTAATATTCTACTCTGTGAGTGTTTTTTAATCATCAAAGGGATTTAGATGCTGTCAAATTGTTTTTCTGCACTTGTTGATATGATGATGTAATTCTTGTATTTTATTCTATTAATATGATGCATCATACTGATTGATTTCCTCATCTTGATCCATCTTTGTAGTCCTGAGGTACATTCCACTTCATCAGGGAGCATCATTTTCTTTTTATGTTGTCAGATTTGGTTTGATGATTTTGTTGAGGATGAATGCATCTATATACATAAGAGATTTGGTTTATAATTTTCTTCCTTGGGGATCTTTTTTATCAGGGTAATACTAAGCTAATAAAATAAGTTGGCATGCATTTTCTCTGTATCTTCGAAAGACGTTGTGAGGAATTTGAATTAATTATTTGTTAAATGTGTAGTAGAATTTAGTGTGAAACCACTGGGCCAGGGCTCCTATTTGGATAGGTTTTGATTATTCATTCTAACTCTTCATTTTTTACAGGTATATTCAGATAGCTGTTTCTTCTTCAGTCTCTTGTAGCTTGCATTTTTTTTTTCAGAACCTGTCTATTTAACCTTTCCAATTTGTTGTAGTAAAATTATTTCTATCATTCCTTTATAATCCTTTTATTTCTGTAAGGGCAATAGTAATATCCCCTCTTTCATTTCTAACTTTACAATTTTTTCTTGGTTATTCTAGTTACGGTTTATCAATTTTGCTGATCTTTTAAATGAACCAGCCTTTCATTTTATTGATTTTTTTGCTACAACTTTTCTATTTTTAATTTCATTAATTTAGGTTTAGTTTGCTTTTCTTTTCTAGTGTCTTAAGGTAGATGACTAGATTAATAGTTTGAGATTTTTCCTCTTTCATAATGTAGTTATGATAAGAGCAAATTTCCTTTTAAGTGCTACCTTAGCTGATTCCCAAATGTATTGATATGTGTGTCTTCCTTTTCATTCTTCTGAAAATATTTTTAAATTATTTTTGATTTTTTATTTGACCAATTGTTTAAAAGTGTTTCACTTAATTTTCACATATTGGTAAGTTTCCAAAAACTTACTTCTGTTACTGTTTTTATTTTGTTTTATTTTATTTTGTTTTATTTTATTTTATTTTATTTTAATTTATTTTATTTTGTTTTATTTTATTTTATTTTATTTTATTTTATTTTATTCCATTGTTGTCAGAGCACTGTTTTTTAACATATTGAAGTTTGTTTTATAATCTAGCTTATGGGCCGGAGAATGATCTATGTATGCTTGAGAAGAATGTATATTCTGTCATTGTTAGCCTTAGTATTCTGTACTATTAGATTTAGTTGGCTTTTCGTTTTAAGTGTCCTATTTATCTGTTGATCTTTTGTCTTGTTGTTGTTTCCATTATTGAGTAGATTATTGAAATCTCCAACTATTATTTTTGAATTTTCTATTTCTTCATTTGTGTTAGTTTATGTTATATATTCTGGTGTTCTCTTATTAGATGTATACATGTCTATAATTGATATATCTTCTTTGTGGATTAGCCTTTTGGTCATTAGGAAATGTTCATATTTATTTCTCACAATATTTTTGTCTGTTTTAAAGTTAATTTGGACTGGGCGTGGTGGCTCACGCCTGTAATCCCAGCACTCTGGGAGGCCAAAGTGGGCAGATCACGAGGCCACGAGATCCAGACCATCCTGGCCAATGTGATGAAACCCTGCTCTACTAAAAATACAAAAATTAGCTGGGCGTGGTGGCACGCACCTGTAGTCCCAGCTACTCAGGAGACTGAGGCAAAATAATCATTTGAACCCGGGACGTGGAGGTTGCAGTGAGCTGAGATTGTGTGCCACTGCACTCCAGCCTGGCAAAAGAGCGAGACTCTGTCTCAAAAAAAAAAAAAAAAGTTTATTTATATGTTAATATAACCACTCCAGCTTTCTTGTAGTTGCTGTTTACATAATATACATTTTTTCCATCTATTTGCATTGAATGTGTTTCTATCTTGAAACTAAAGTGTGCCTTCTATATGTACACATAGGCAAATCATGGTTTTTGGCTTTTTAAAATTTTTTAGCTAAAGTTTTCTGCATTTTGTTGGATTATTTAATCCATTCACATTAAATATTAATATTGTTATTGATATAGTTGAGTTTATGTTTAATATTTTATTTTATGAAAGTTTCATGCCCTCTGTGGCATGACACCTTACATGTACTCTGCACATATGCAGAGGTCCCTAAACCCTGTAGTTCAGGGATTTTTACAGAGGCTTCATTGTGTAGACATGATAGGTGATTAACTCCATAGCCAGCTACTCTTTCCCTTCCTGGAGGATGAAAAGTGAGGCTAAACATTTTAAGCTTCTAATCATAACTTGGTCTTTTTGGTTACCAATTCCCATCCAGGGGCCTACCAAGGTCACCTCATGAGAACAAAAGACATTCCTATTACTCAAGAAAATCCAAGTGATTAGAAGTTCTGTGTCAGGAACCAGGATCAAAGACCAAATATTAGAACAAAAGATTCTCTTAGCAACCCTATTTCCACAGGTAATTGCAAGAATTTTAGGCCTTCTGTACAAGGAACTGGAGACAAAGTTTTATATATATATATATATATATATATATATGTATATATATGTATATATTTATATTTTTATATATGTATATATTTGTATTTATATGTATATCTCATATATGTGTGCATGTAATATATATATTATATATATGCAATATGCATTTAAATTTATTCCTTATCTTTTCATGGCTCGATAGACTTTTTTTTGGAACTAAGATTTAGTTTCCTGAATCTACCACCGTTTGTTTATCTATTTACCTATTGAAGGATATCTTGTTTGCTTCCATGTTTTGACAGTTGTATAAATCTGCTATAAAATTTCATCTGCAGGTTTTTGTGTGAGCATAAATTTTCAACTTATTTAGACAAATACAAAAGAGCATGAATGCTGCATAATATGGTAAATGTATGCTTAGTTTTGTAAGAAACTGCCAAATTACTTTGCAAAGTAGCTGTATATTTGCATTTCCACCAGCAATAAATAAGAATTTCTGTTGCTTCATATCCTCACCAGCATTTTAGCAATTCTAATAGGTTTGTCATGTTGTCTTTTGGTTCTTTTAATGTGCAGTTCCCTAATGGCATGTGATAGAGAGTATCTTTTCATATGTTTATTTGCCATCCATATATCATCTTTGATGAGGTATCTGTTCAAATATTTTATACATTTTCCTCCTCCCAATAAGGTTTTTCATGAATTGAAAGCTGGAAAAAATAGCATTTCTTCATGAGAAAGTTAAAAAAATTACATTTTATTGTGATGCAATCACCTGACGAAGAAAAAAATAATAATTTTGTTTTATATAAATATTTAAATCTTTATTTTCAATTTACTTAATATCTTTACATTTTGTTTTACTTTACCATTTTCTTCAATTTTCTTTGATTTAATAGAAAATCAATGTGTTTATGATTTTAACTTAGGCTCAGGCTATTTTAATTATACAATCTATTCTTTTAGTATGTTCAAATAAAAAGAGACCCACTCAAACAGGAACATCCCTGATAAACATCATTTTAACAGGTGACCTTTTTCTTTGACATCAGATTTTATTTTAATAGCAACTATCTTCCACGATGCTTTTACTAATATGCTTCCATCTAACATATAAGAATAGTTGTGTCATAGGTAACTTAATCATCAACTACATTAATATTAATAAAAACACAAAACTAAGAGCCACAGTGGTGAAGCACTGTAACATAATGATTAAATGCATGGATTCTGGCACCAGACCCTCTATATTTCAATACTGAACGTATTTTTTAATGTTTGTAACTTTGAAAAAATTTCATATTATCTCTGCACCATAGCTTTTCAATCTCTAATATAAAGATGAGTGATAACATTTTAAAAAGTTAGTACAGAGGTAACATGGTTTAATATTGAAATTCTAAAGAACTTATGAAATTCTACTATCTGTTGATTAAAGATAACCCTGCATGTCATATGCACTGTGATTTCTACTAGCAGAATTCCATAGTAGACTAAATTTTGAAATTAAATAATTTAAGTAGGAGTATTGCCAGAAATTTGCATTCCTAATGTGAAAACTATTCTAGAGGTATGTGCACTCCAAAATAAAAGGGAATGCTGCTGAGAATTCAAATTTTGAGTGCATAGCTTATGAGAAAATACTTATATTCCTGGCACTGAGAGAAGAATTAAGTATTTTTGAGATTAAAATTATTGCTGACTGTGATTCTACTCCCCTTATGTGATAATAATGGCTTATCAAATAGAAAACATGGGCTCTTCCTCTAACTTCAAGACTTTAACTGAGTCTATTAAACATTCATGCTTTTTGTGCGACTTTCCTGGCATGTAAGAAACTCAAAAAGGCTCTGTAGCAGCAGCAGCCAATTCCACTTTTAAAAATTGCTCAACAGTTCTCCCATCATGGTCTCAGGGAAACCAAATATGCAGAACAAATAATCCACCCAATTAGAATTCACTATTGGAGAGTCTCAAGCAGCACTTCTGCTGAGTTGGCACAGAGCCACCTGCTGTAGTACCTCATCATGCTTTTGGAGCGTTTCCTGTGAAAAGAGGAGGGAATAGTGCATCCTGCAGTGCTATATCATGAAGATTGCCAGTTACAATGAAGTTTGTAGAAAATCATAATATATATATTTTTATTATCATACTTTAAGTTTTAGGGTACATGTGCACAACATGCAGGTTTGTTACATATGTATACATGTGCCATGTTGGTGTGCTGCACCCATTAACTTGTCATTTAGCATTAGGTGTATCTCCTAATGCTATCCCTCCCCCTTCCCCCCGACCCCACAACAGGCCCCGGTGTGTGATGTTCCCCTTCCTGTGTCCATGTGTTCTCATTGTTCAATTCCCACCTATGAGTGAGAACATGCGGTGTTTGGTTTTTTGTCCTTGCGATAGTTTGCTGAGAATGATGGTTTCCAGTTTCATCCATGTGCCTACAAAGGACATGAACTCGTCATTTTTTATGGCTGCATAGTATTCCATGGTGTATATGTGCCACATTTTCTTAATCCAGTCTATCATTGATGGACATTTGGGTTGGTTCCAAGTCTTTGCTATTGTGAATAGTGCCGCAATAAACATACATGTGCATGTGTCTTTATAGCAGCATGATTTATAATCCTTTGGGTATATACCCAGTAATGGGATGGCTGGGTCAAATAGTATTTCTAGTTCTAGATCCCTGAGGAATTGCCACACTGACTTCCACAATGACTGAACTAGTTTACAGTCCAACCAACAATGTAAAAGTGTTCCTATTTCTCCACATCCTCTCCAGCACCTGTTGTTTCCTGACTTTTTAATGATCGCCATTCTAACTGGTGTGAGATGGTATCTCATTGTGGTTTTGATTTGCATTTCTCTGATGGCCAGTGATGATGAGCATTTTTTCATGTGTTTTTTGGCTGCATAAATGTCTTCTTTTGAGAAGTGTCTGTTCATATCCTTCACCCACTTTTTGATGGGGTTGTTTGCCTTTTTCTTGTAAATGTGTTTGAGTTCATTGTAGATTCTGGATATGAGCCCTTTGTCAGATGAGTAGGTTGCAAAAATTTTCTCCCATTCTGCAGGTTGCCTGTTCACTCTGATGGTAATTTCTTTTGCTGTGCAGAAGCTCTTTAGTTTAATTAGATCCCATTTGTCAGTTTTGGCTTTTGTTGCCATTGCTTTTGGTGTTTTAGACATGAAGTCCATGCCCATGCCTATGCCCTGAATGGTATTGCCTAGGTTTTCTTCTAGGGTTTTTATGGTTTTAGGTCTGACATGTAAGTCTTTAATCCATCTTGAATTAATTTTTGTATAAGTTGTAAGGAAGGGATCCAGTTTCAGCTTTCTACATATGGGTAGCCAGTTTTCCCAGCACCATTTATTAAATAGGGAATCCTTTCCCCATTTCTTCTTTTTGTCAGGTTTGTCAAAGATCAGATAGTTGTAGATATGTGGCATTATTTCTGAGGGCTCTGTTCTGTTCCATTGGTCTATATCTCTGTTTTGGTACCAGTACCATGCTGTTTTGGTTACTGTAGCCTTGTAGTATAGTTTGAAGTCAGGTAGCGTGATGCCTCCAGCTTTGTTCTTTTGGCTTAGGATTGACTTGGCAATGCAGGCTCTTTTTTGGTTCCATATGAACTTCAAAGTAGTTTTTTCCAATTCTGTGAAGAAAGTCATTGGTAGCTTGATGGGGATGGCATTGAATCTATAAATTACCTTGGGCAATATGGCCATTTTCACCATATTGATTCTTCCTACCCATGAGCAGGGAATGTTCTTCCATTTGTTTGTATCCTCTTTTATTTCATTGAGCAGTGGTTTGTAGTTCTCCTTGAAGAGGTCCTTCACATCCCTTGTAAGTTGGATTCCTAGGTATTTTATTCTCTTTGAAGCAATTGTGAATGGGAGTTCACTCATGATTTGTCTCTCTGTTTGTCTGTTATTGGTGTATAAGAATGCCTGTGATTTTTGCACATTGATTTTATATCCTGAAACTTTGCTGAAGTTGCTTATCAGCTTAAGGAGACAATTAGGAAAAGAGGAAGTCAAATTGTCCCTGTTTGCAGATGACATGATTATATATCTAGAAAATCCCATCGTCTCAGCCCAAAATCTAGTCTATTGTTTTATAGTATTAACTATACCATGAAACATTGAACAATATAAGAGATAAGCACTTGGGAATATTCCAAACACTTTCTCCTTGAACTGACTGTGAGTGACTGGATGTGGGGCAAGTCATATTAAAGTTATCTATCCAACACCTGGTGAAATTGCAGTGTATACAGGCAGAGTCAATGTACAAAGTCTATTTCAGCCAGCAATTTTCTTTGGAAGTACTAAAATATCGCAATTGCTTTTTACTCTTCTAGTCTAGAGAAGTTCACTTTTTTATTTTCTAACACACAATTGTGTGAAGTCTACTCTTTTTATGTGTCATATTCAGGGGGAAAATTTTTCTTCAAGGGGGTTTATTGTAATAAAAACCTTTTAGATTTATTGTTACAAGATCCATTATGATATGTTGTCCGAATTCCATTTCATTTTAAAGTTGTTCAGAATCTTACATATCTTTTAAGTCTTTATGGCTAGGGAAGGAAGTATTTTATTGTACATTCCCAGATGGATAATTTACCATTTAAGTAGTGCCTTTATATAATGCAAGTCCTTCTTATCCCACATGCTTACTTACCTTTCCCAGTAGGTCTCTTATTTTTAAAAATTATGTAATCTGGAGGAAATATATCTTCATAACTTGGATTGTCTGCAGTAAAATTTGTCTTCCCTTTGCAATCTGGCAGTAGGATTACGTAGTCATCAGAGGACACTAGTGATTGCTTTTCTTTATATCATTTTAAAAGGAACCATTTTTGCAACACTTAAGATCTTTTCTCCACAATTCTGAGGGATGGGGAAACAAAAGGCAAAATCAAAACACATGTGATTCGAAAGATATAACTTACTAGCATCAGCAGAAAAAACAAAGATAGACCCTTTTCTTTTTGTGGACACATGCTGCCGGACAGTCAGATGCAGAACACTACAGAAATTATAGTGGGTAATATTTCTCATATGTGAAATAAATTCATATTCCAGAAATTATTTATTTTTGATCTGATATTAAAATTATTAAGTATTTGAACTTATTTTTATTTCTATATTATTGTGAGACCTGAATTATCCAATTTTAATGGTAATTTCCAAGCACAGTAAAATAAGTGTACTTAGAAAAAAATTACAATCTAGATTAAGAATGAACTGACTCTTCAGAGAATCAGGTGACCCTTTAGACTGAAAATACCTAATTATTGCAGTTCTTACATAAGGAATGTAACTAAAAGTAATTTAATTGTGTAAAAAATGCTTAGCAAAAATATAATCAAATGTTTACCTATTTGCTATCATCTGTAGTGAGAGGAATATTCAAATATCTGAAAGTAGATCTACAAAATACACATGGGAAACAAGATTAAGATTTAAAAAAGCATGTCTAAATAACATTTTAATTGTAAGTCATTTTTATGTATGTGTATCTATTTTTCTTAACAAAGTGAAATTACATTGCAAAAAACAGATTACTAAAACTTTTATTGTATTATATTACAGAGGAGTGCATAAAAACATATAATTTCATAAATATTAAGTAAACACATATTCTTCTACATTCTAAATGCTTCATAAATTTACTTTTCATTTAGGTATTGAATCCACCTGGAATTTCCTTGTGTTTATGGTTCAAGGTAGGAGTCAAATTTCATTGTTTCCATATAGAAATCTGATATTGCCAGTAAATTTTATTGAAATGACCAACAAATGATTATTGATATCCTGTACCATCGCTGCCATAAATGAAGTGTCCATATATGCATAGGTTTATTTGGGGAGGTATTCTCTGACATCCTGCATTTTCATGGTTTGCATCAGTTTATCAATTTCTACTCAAAACTTTGGGATTTTAACTGAGACTGAAGTGAAACTATAAATAAATTGCAGGAAAAATGGCACATTTATATTCTTGTGTTTACTAACCCATGATGTAAAATGTCTTTTTTGCAAATTTTTTCTATATGTGTATTCTCTGGAAGAATTTAAGTATTGCATATACATTATTTTATTTGAAATTTAATTTTTTAAATCACAAAACATAAATTTTTATTTAATTCAGTTTATATATATTCTATTTTACACTTTGTAAACCCAATGAAGTTTTAAGGTTACCATATATATAAACCACATGTGATTGTATTGTGTATATATATATATATATATATATATCACATACACTCTCATATTGTATATGGTATACACAATCACATATATACTCATATATATATACTCATATATACTCATATACATATTCATATATATACTCTCATATATATACATACTCATATATATATATGAGTTAAGATAGTGCAACATTCCATTTCCTTCTGGTTTACCAATCTCACTACCGTTCATTTAAATGTAATCTACGCCTCCACCCTCACCTCATCCTTGACTGTAGGATTTTCTCTTGCTTTTCTGCAGTGAAGTTTCTCTTTTTGGTGTAGATTTTTAAAAATTTGTTCTATTTGAATTTATTGGATTCCTAAACCTATGAATTGCTAGGTTTTTCTAATTATAGAAAATAAAGAAGTATCTTCAATGTTGATAGACTGGATTTGCCCCAACTCCTGTTTTTCTCCTGAGACCAGCTATGCTTTTGATGCTTTCAATTTTTTTTACATTATTACTCTCTTTCAAATTTTCTTTTATCTTAATCTATATATGCTTCATTCTGGATAATTCCTGATCTATCTTCTGGTAAACTAATTCTATCTTCTGAGTTTCAAAATATGTCCAGTGGGTTTTTAGATATTGCATTTTTTACTTTCTAGGAGAGTCACTTTCAGTTTTCTTTTTATGAAAACTAGGTTCTCACTTATTTCTTTCCTTTAACATGGCAAACATGTTTTAATAAGCAGATTTCTTTAATTATCTTTCAAATATAGTCTGGTTATTGCTTGGGGAGTAGATTGATAGTAATAAGTTAAAATTCCAAAGATAATTCAACAAATTCTAATACAGATACACTTCTAATTTTGGCAGTATGGTTGACAAAATATTCTAAAAAACTTTCTGCTCAACTGCAACATAATTATGAACATATTACCATAGGAAAAAAAACATACTTTTTAAAGAATTGATTTTCTGTTGAGAAAATGAGTGAACACTTCAAGAATAAAAATAAAAACAATAAAACAAGCTAAAAATTAAAATGAGAAGCATAACTGTCAGGTCATGCACTGTTTTAATTGTGTCAGCTTTAACATCTGCAAACATAGAAATATAATTTATCATACTAACTGTTCAAAGGAATAATATATAAAATCATCTTTACACATGTAGAAAACCACTGACTCAATTTTTTAAAGGTCCTTAGCAAACTAGAAATAAAAGAAATTCCTTAACCTAATGAACAAGTATATTTTAAAATTTTAACATTTATAATATGTCACAAGCAAAATCTGTTTATATTTATGGACAATGTTAGAATGCCTACTGATAATGGATTTACTCAATTTTCATGGAAAGCCCTAGCAAATAAAATAAAACAAGATTTTAAATGTGAGATTTTGGAAATGAAGGGGCAAATCTGTCATTCCTTAAAGATGGTGTGACTATCTACATAGTAAAAGCCAAAGCAATCTACTGAGAAAATATTAAAGTTTAGAAAAAAATTATCAAGGGTGATGGGATAAATGGTGAATAAAAATAAATTTGCAAAAATTAAATTTAAAAGGTAAAATTATAGTTTTTAAAATTGGATAATTAAATCTCATAAAAATGCACAGTTCTTTGATGAAGCAAAAATATAACTTATTGAAAGACATTTCAAAACAAATTAAATAGAAGAATATGCCAAATTAAAATAAAGAATCAATAATTAAAAATTTTAATTTACCCAATTATATCCATAGTTTTATTGCTATGCCAATCACATTTTTCATTTTTTTGTACAAATTGATAAGACGATTCTACATATTTGTAGAAGTACAAAGGGCCAAGGATTTCCAAGTCTCTCCTGAAGAGAAATATTGATATTGGAATGAACTGCTTTACCTGAGACCAAGAACTATTATAAAGCTAGTACAATTGGTATAGCAAAAACAAACAAACAAACAAACACACAAAAATTGTAATTAAGACAGTTCATTTGAGAGAGAACTCATTATATTAACCAATAAAACCATTCAGAAAGGACAGGAAGGGTCTCATGAACATACAAAAATTCATTACCTGAACATAGAAGAACAAATCAGATTGGGAAGTGTGCATTGTTTAACAAATAGTGTTGAGCTCACTAGGGTGAAATGAACCACATCTCTACCACACCACATTCAAAAGAAAGTCCATACTTAGTATGGAAAACAAAGCTTGCAAAGTGTTATAAAACAGTACTGGAGATGATATTAGTAAAATAAAAGATGAGAATGGAATTTTTTTTTTTTTTTAAGACCAAGTCTTGCTCTTGTTCTCCAGGCTGGAGTGCAATGGCCATGATTTTGGCTCACTGCAAACTCTGCCTCCCGGGTTCAAGGGATTCTCCTTCCTCAGCCTCCCCAGTAGCTTGGATTACAGGTGCCTGCCACCATGTCCGGCTAATTTTTGTATTTTTAGTAGAGACGGGGTTGCACCATGTTGTCTAGGCTGGTCTCGAACTCCTGACCTCAGGTGATCCGCACGCCTCGGCCTCCCAAAGTGCTGGGATTACAGGCGTGAGCCAATGCTCCCGGCCGAGAATAATTTATTTTTTAAAGCCTAAATATACTATCCTCCAAAAGAAAAGAGATACATGTGTCTACATTGAAATTACATAGCCATTTATCAAAGGACACCATAAAGGAAAAAAAAAAGAGAGAAACTATCAACTGAAAAAGATATTTGCAAAATATATAACTGAAAAATGACAATTTTATCAAAATGTATAATAATGCATACAAGTAAATGAGATAGTCACGAAAACACAGTAGAGAAATGAAGAAAAGACATGAACAGAAATCTCAGAAAAGAGTAATATAAATGGGAATTATTTACATAGGAAGATGCTTTTTAGTAGTAATTTATAAAGTAATAATTAAGATTCCAATAAACCAATACTTTATAACAAAAGAGCAGCAAAAGATTAGAAATTTGACAGCAATTTATCCTTGCTCCTCAAGGAAGGGATAGGTTTGATGTAATCAACCTGGCATCCAGTAGATCTTGGGGAACTGAGTCATTTTGATGGCATTTGCGGCAGGCAAGCTGGAAAATTCCACACTGGCAAAAATTAGACCAGCTTTGGTGAGATAAAGCTCATGCTCTGTGTGCATTCTGTGTCTGTAAATTAATAAATGTTAGACAGTCGTGAGAGAGGCAGTGATTTTCCACTGCGGGAGCAGACATCAGTCTTCGGATAGCCAGCCTCAAAAATTGTGTCAGTAATATCCTGTCGGTTATTAATCTTTATCCCATGAATTTTGTAAAGTATTGGCCATCGTTACACATTCTTTTGGGTCAAGCCACTCTGATGGCCACTTCAGTTTTTCCACAATTTCAGTAATTACATCCATTTAGCCTCTTATGGTTAAGTGCTGTCACCTGGTCTGCCATTCTGAAAACCATTATCCTCACTGATATTTCAGAGCCAATTTCCATTTTAGCATTTCCTACAAAACAGCCCCTGTAGGGCTTCTCTATTATCTTAATGAGGATCGGATAACAGAGCCAAGTGGTAACTTTCAGTACAAAATAAATTCTTTCTAACATTAGTACCTCCCTGAGCCTTTGATCCCTTCCTTAATACTATTTTAAGAAAGTTCTAGCATCTTCTCCTTTTACTAAATGCTGTCCTCATGGCCAAGCATCAAAGAGCCACTCCAGCATAAATAACTTTCAGCCTCAGATTTTCTTGCCAGAATATTGAATGCTGACTCATTGATCATTTTCCCCTGTCAAGAAGTTCTCGCTTCTCTAGCCTTCTATTCTGCACTCTTCTGTCTAGTCAGACAGCCTTAAGATTATAAGATCCACTCTCAAAAGTTCTTCCTAGATTCCTACTGGTATGTGTTATGCACAATTTACAATTCAGTTAGTATCTAGGACTTTCTTCTTTGAGCAGAGACTGTACATCCTTGCTTGGTCTCTTCTCAGCCCTGAATTATAAGCTTGAGTCATGGCGGGGCATCATCTTTAAAAGGACAAGTAAAATTCTGAGAGACACCTACCTCTGGTAAGAACCTTGCAGGAACTCAAGTGAGGGAAGATTGCGCTCTTCTGTTAGGTTGGTGCAAAAGTAATTGCGGTTTTTGCCATTAAAAGTAATATTGGGGCCGGGAGTGGTGGTTCATGCCTTTATCCCAGCACTCTGGGAGGCCGAGGCAGGCGGATCACCTGAGGTTAGGCATTCAAGACCAGCCTGGCCAACATGGAAAAAACCCGTCTCTACTAAAAATACACAAAAAAAATTAGCCGGGTGCGGTGGTGCATTCCTGTAGTCCCAGCTACTGGGCAGGCTGAGGCAGGAGAATCGCTTGAACCCGGGAGGGAGAGGTTGCAGTGAGCCAAGATCACGCCACTGCACTCCAGCCGTGGAGGCAGAGTGAGACTCCATGTCACACACACACACACACACACACACACACACACACACACACACACACACAAAATTAAGATTGGGGCTACTTCTGTGAGACGAAGGTTCAAAGGAAACTTGTGTTTTAAGATTCCCAGTGAAATCTTTCAATGTTTCCTTTTCCATATTTTGTCAATTTTATCCATCTGAAATGTCTTAAATATCAACTGGCATTGTCATTTTTCCTCCATCATGTTTTTTATTTCATACTGTTGGTCTATTTATAATTTATAATACATTTTAGTATATTTTTCAGTTATACCTTCCAATTCCTATCTTTTGTGTTGTGTCTACACTACTCCCTTAGCTCGCTTAGAGAGTTTTTCTTTAAATTATTATATTATTTAAATTTCAGTGACTATATTTTAAAAAACTTAACCATAGTAATAAATGTACAGAACTAAACATTTAAGATTTAACTTCCTTTTTATGACAAAAGATAGACCTGTACACTTTCCCAATCCCAAACATTATCCTATTATCAGGATAAAAATTTTGGCAAATTTTTATTTTTTATTTGCTAAGTAGTTTATATAGCTAGTTTGTCTTTTAGTTGCTAATAATTAGTTCTGTTACATTGCAATTCCCTTACTTTCTATACCACGTAACTCCAAATACTAAATTTTAATTAAATTAATAGAATTTTAAGATCACTATGGGTTATATAAATATTATTCATTACTATGATTACTTTATTATGCATTATTTTACTATTTATAGTTAATGCTTATTTTTTATTTGCATAAGTGTAAAAGTTATAGTTCTTTTATTTCCAGTTGTTCCAAAAATCTAATATGGTGTTTCAACGTGGGGTCTCTAGACCAACAAGCAGCATCAGCATAGCCTTAGAATTTGTTTAATATACAAATTATCTGGCCTTCACTAAGATTTATTGGGTCATTGATAAGGGGTGAATCTTTGTTTACCCCCAAATTTATATGTTGAAATATTAACTCCAAATGTAATGATATTAGAAGGTAGGATCTACAGGAGGTAATTTGGTAATGAAGGCCCTCCCCTCATAAATGGCACCAGTGCCTCTATAAAAGGGACCCTAGTCAACAGTAGGGAACCTGGAACAGGGCAGAACCTAACAGTGCTAGCACAGTGATCTCAGACTGTTAGCCTCCAGAACTGTGAGAAATGCATTTCTATTTTGTGTAAGACACCTAATTTATGAAACTTTGTTATAGCTGCCAGAGCTGATTAAGATAGTCAGAAATAGAATGGGGCCTACATTCCATTTTACATTCTTAAAAAACCCTCTAGGGGAATTTTTTCATGTTCATTTTTCCTAATGTATTCCTCAAAGCTCAAATTGATCAGAAATGCTTCACGTTTCTGCCTTTCACCCCCGGAGATCGAAACACACTATCCTTCTTTCTGCTGCTATCTGAGCTGATTTTTAAAAAAATAAGTGCACACGAGACATTCAAATACTTCCCTGTGCTATCATCCTTAATTCTTACTGGGCCTGTTGACTCCCAGATCCCATGACTTCCAATCCCTTCTTGTTTGTGGTTAATATTTTTGTTTTACTAAATCATATGCTCTGAAAATTACCTAAATATATATTGAATTAATACATGGGAATAATTTTATTACTTTTTTTGTTGTTGTTTTTAGAAGTGTAGTATTCTTGGTTGAAAAATTAACTCACGTAGAAATTTGCAGTATTGTTGCATTGTTTTCTAGAATATATTGACCTTATAAAAGTCAGAAAAGATCTTTATTTCAATCGTTTATTTGTATGCCTGGAAGTTGTTTAATGTCTTTCATTTTACCCTGATGTTATATGTAATATCATTGTCAGAGGTGTTTGAACCAGAGCAACTCCATCTTGAATAGGGACTGGGTAAAATAAGGCTGAGACTTGCTGGACTGCATTCCCAATAGTTGAGGCATTCTTTGTAACAGAATGAGACAGGAGGTCAGCACAAGAAAGAGGTCACAAAGACCTTGCTGATAAAGCAGCTTGCAGCAAAGAAGCCAGCCAAAACTCACCAAAACCAAGATGGAGATGAAAGTGACTACTAGTTGCCCCATTGCTCATTATGCACTAACTATAATGCATTAGCATGCTAAAAGACACTCCCATCAGCACCATGACTATTTACAAATGTCATGGCAACCTCAGGAAGTTACTTTATATGTCTAAAAAAAAGGGAGGAACTCTCAGTTCCGGAAATTGCCCACCACCTTCCTGGGAAACTGATGAATAATCCACCACTTCTTTAGTGTATAATCAAGAAATAACTGTAAGTATAATCAGTGGAGCAGCCCATGCTGCTGCTCTAACTATGGAGTAGCTATTCTTTATTCCTTTGCTTTCTTAATAAACTTGCTTTCAATTTACTCTATGGATTCACCCTGAATTTTTTTTTTTTTTTTTGCGATATCCAAGAACCCTCTCTTGGGGTCTGAATCACGACTCCTTTCTGGTAATATTATGATCATGTTACAAGTCAGATCATGTGACCTGTAACAGATTTTTGTTTGTTTCTTGTTCTGTCCATTTTCTTGTCTCAAAAATCCTGCTTTTTCTTTTCACTACAACTAATAATTTACACAGAAATAATATTTTATAATTACTTTTTTAGATTTGAAAAGATAATATTTCTATTTTTTGTAAGAATAAGAAGTTAAAGTCTCTTTAACCATTTTAACAGAGTACAGGATGCTGTTAACATTTCATTGTATAATAAGAATATAAGTAACAGATAATTTATATGATTTCCTAAGGATATGGAAAGAGAGAATTCAGATAGACTCATCACCGTCTTTTCCATTTGCCATAGTGTTGTCATAATTTCTATTGATATTATTGTTGAAAGTAAATGAAATACAAAATTCCTAAAGATCTATACTTGGCTCCCAAATTTGACATTTTTTGTTAGAACACTTCTTTAGGACTTCTATGGAAAAAAATACCAAAATAACCAGAACATTATTTCTCTCTTGTGTTAGTTAATCAAACTCTATTGGATGCTATTACTTGTGACCAAAAATGTGAAAATCTTCAAAAAATTATTTAAAGTTATTATAACTAGTATAATGTATATTGTTCTGTATAAATAGTATGTGAATACATTTAAATACATTATAGCAAACATTTATTACATTCTCCAAATAAAAATATTTTTGTTTCAAAGTTTAATTTTTAAGTAACCAATATCTTCCAACATATATAATTGAATGTGTGTTTCAGAAATAATATAGTCTGTCAAAAGGTTTATCCCTTTGTTAGACTTATGAATAGATTCAGTTTTATGCTCTGTATAAGAACTCAATAAGGAGAATACTTAATCTTATTAGAAGGAATTTCAAGATAATTACTAAACACCTAGAAATACAAAGAAATCTAAAAAACTACTGGGTCACCTGCCAGTTTCAACATACATGAATACATGAGTATTGCTTTTCTTGACATCAAAGACATCTTTATGTTCATAGAGTGGTGTGATAAAGTGAAAAAACCTGACAGCAGAAAACTTAACTAAGCAAAATATATTGAGAAGAAGAAACATTTCAAAAAGAACTTTTAAAGAATACATAGTTAAGCAGAGAAGCTTTAAATAGATGAAACATTTAATTATAAATTGATTCACATTACTGACTCTTTACCCTCTACTTTAATTCTTTAAACTTCTTGTACACTGATTATGCTCATATTAAGAAACTGTGCTGTTATTATCTTTTCCTAATTATTATTTGACATTCTTCCTTTTTTTTTCAAGAGACAGGGTCTTGCTTTGTCACCCAGGCTGGAGTGCAATGGCTTGATCATAGTTCACTGCAGCCTTCTACTCCAGGGATCAAGGAATCCTCCCACCACAGCCTCTCATGTAGTGAGGATTACAGGTGCACACCACCATGCCCAGTTGTTTTTTAAAAAAATTGTAGAGATAGGGTCTTGCTATGTTGCCCAGCCTGGTCTGGAACTCCTAACTTTATGCAATCCTTCGTTATTGGCCTCTCAAATCGCTGGGATTACAGGCATGAGCCACCACGTCCAGCCTATTTGACATTCTTTAAAAAATTTAAGAATTAAATTTTCTAACTAAAATATATTAATTGAGTAATAATAGAAACATTTTCCACTTCCAGTTTATCAAATGTTGTTTTTTTCTCTTTATTACTTCCTTTTAGATTTTTCTCATTACCTTATAATCTCAATTTATAATCATATAAATTATGTTACTCATATTCTTATTATACAGTGAATTTTAACAGCATCCTGTACTCTGTTAAAATGGTTAAAGAGACTTAACTTCTTAATAAAAGAGATAATATATCTTTATGTGCCAGATACAGGACAAATTACCATATTATGGAAAAAATACTTTTTTTTCCAAATAAAGAAATGTGTGTAAAATAGTGATTATGAAACCAATCACTTTTTCCTTTTTGTTTCTTCCAAAATAATATAAAATTATATATGATACATATAAATCATACATATATGTTTATATACGTGCATGCATACATATATAAATAGTGCCTACTGCTGTTTTACAAACAGCCTCAAAATCTAGTGACTTAAATGATAACGATTGAGTATTCCCCATCATTTTGTGAATTGGCTGCATGATGCTCTGGTGACCTAGTCTGTGCTCATTCCTATGGCTGTGGCCAGCTTGCTGGTTGGCTGGAGCTAGATGCCTGAGATGGTTTTACTCATGTGTTTGGAATCTTGGGGGTGGGGCGGGGATGACTGGGCCTTATTCTCCATGTGGGTCTTCATTATGTGCTTCATAATAGCATAATGGTCTCAGATTACCAAAAGAACAAGAGTTAAAACTGGAAAGTTCTCTTGACACTGAGACTCAGAAATCACCCACCATTATTTCACTTTGTTTTATTGATTACTGTTATTCACAGGGACAGTTCAGATTCAAGGGAAGTAAATCTACCAAACGATGGAAGAATCAAAAAAGAATTTGTAACCTTTTTTAATCCACACAATTCTAACTTCCATTACTTATATCATCTTTTGTAAATTTATAATCAAAGTAAATATAATCAAAGGTTTGTTTATATTTATTTTAATATAGCATACCTATAAAAATAAGTTCATAATGTGATACCAAAAATTAATGTTTGGAATTTGTTTATATCATATATGATTTGTAGATATACTATACTTATTAAAGATGATAACATTTAATATTAGATCAACTTTTGAAGAGAATCATGAACTATTGTTAAACCATGTATTATTTTGCTAACCTCATAAACATCATATGGGCAGAGATAATGAGTTTCTATTTGGTGAACTGTGACTAAAAATGTACAGTGTAGGCACCCTGGTAATCTATTTATAATCAAAACAAAGAGCAAGATCTAATTTTTTTAAAAATAATTAAAATGTAAATTACTAAATAGTGAGAGCTTCTTTTATTTAATTATCTTTCCTTCTTTTAAATATCACATATGCTGCTTAGCTAGCAAAGACAAAATTAGCACAGATTTATATACATATATAGAGAGACATATACACACACACACACACACATATATGGAGAGAGAGAGAGAGAGGATAATGCTTGGAAAAGAGATAATGACCTTTGTAAAAAACCTAGTAAAATTAATACCAATAAATTCAGACTTTAAAAACTGATTGTTAAAAAAATAGGTTAATAACAAACCACGTGTGTTTATTTTGTGAATAGCAACCAGAATTATTTATCAGATGTAAGTAAAATTAATGTTATATTTTTATTTATGCATTTCTTTTATTTTTAATTTGTAAAAGTTTGGCACAAAGGCAATTATACTCTATGAAGAAGGTGACATAATTTAATTATTGAAATAAATCAAAATAAATATTTAAGTAAATAGTAATTTGATTTCTGTACCATACAGGAGTTTTTTAGTGTCATAACTTAAAAATACATAGATTTCTGTCCCACTTAAAAATGCATGAGAAAAGATTTTTCATAAAGTTGCTTCTAAACAAATCATTGTATATGTAAACAAATATTTATACATTCAGTTAATATTTTGGGGTACTTAAATGTGGTAGGCATTGTTTTAAACACTGAGGAAAGGAGAGAGAGATTGAGTGTGTGTGTCTATGTGTTTATATGGTCGAAAGTTAAATATAACATGCATTTTTGGCACATGAGTTGAAACAGGTCTATAATATGCACAAGCACAACTCAAACACAATCTGTATTAGGTCTTTCTTCTATGCAGACTCACCTTCTTTATTTACTAACCAAAACCCTGTTATTTTCTAGCTGTTCGTGAGTATTATACCACTTGACGACTGAGGCAGAATCAAAGAAAGTACTAATGCTCTTCAGTAAAATATACAAAACTACAGACAATGGCAGTGCCTTATTTTGTAAAGTATATAGCTATGAGCCTTTGCTACTCCTTGCTGACATTTGGAATTTAACTGAAGTGTCTTGTTAAAAAACATTTATGGAAATAAAAAGAATATCTTTCCTTTTTAGGGATATAAATTAAACTCAATTTTATTGGTCAAGGACTATGGTATAAGGCCATTTTAATAAAGGCATAACTAATCTTATCACCATCATTTAGTTACTACTGGAGATCACAATTCAATTAACTCATAGATATGAAACATCATTAGATATTCATAAAGAGGGCTGCAAAGCAAATCAACTTAAATGTTAAAGCAGAAGAGTAAGTTACAAGTTTTAGCATTGATTTTCAAAGTTTGCCCCTATTGTTGCTGTGGGCCTAGAATTTTGCATTTAGCTTTGTAAGGATTGAGTACAGACATTTTAATGGAAAACTTTACAACTTATATTCTATATTTTTATTTGGCAGAAATTTATTGAGTGTCTGCTATGTGCAAGACACTGCGTTAGGAGTTTGTATTAGTCCATTTTCACAATGCTATAAACAACTGCATGAGACTGGGTAATTTATAATGAAAAGAGGTTTAATTGACTCACAGTTCCACATGGCTAGAAGGCCTCAGGAAACTTACAATCATGGCAAAAGGGGAAGCAGGCACCTTCTTCAGAAGGTGGCAGGAGAGAGAAAACAAAGAAAGAACTTGCAAACACTTACAAAACTATCATATCTCATGAGAATTAATTCACTATCATGAGAACAGCATAGGTGAAACCACCTCCATGATTTAATTACCTTCCTCCCAGTTTAAACCATAAGCTTAGAACTGATCTGGATCCCTGAGGAATTGCCACACTGACTTCCACAATGGTTGAACTAGTTTACAGTCCAACCAACAGTGTAAAAGTGTTCCTATTTCTCCACATCCTCTCCAGCACCTGTTGTTTCCTGACTTTTTAATGATCGCCATTCTAACTGGTCTGAGATGGTATCTCATTGTGGTTTTGACTTGCATTTCTCTGATGGCCAGTGATGATGAGCATTTTTTCATGTGTCTTTTGGCTGCATAAATGTCTTCTTTTGAGAAGTGTCTGTTCATATCCTTCGCCCATTTTTCATGGGGTTGTTGGTTTTTTCCTTGTAAATTTGTTTGAGTTCATTGTAGATTCTGGATATGAGCCCTTTGTCAGATGAGTAGGTTGCGAAAATTTTCTCCCATTTTGTGGGTTGCCTGTTCACTCTGATGGTAGTTTCTTTTGCTGTGCAGAAGCTCTTTAGTTTAATTAGATCTTATTTGTCAATGTTGGCTTTTGTTGCCATTGCTTTTGGTGTTTTAGACATGAAGTCCTTGCTCATGCCTATGTCCTGAATGGCATTGCCTAGGTTTTCTTCTAGGGTTTTTATGGTTTTAGGTCTGACATGTAAGTCTTTAATCCATCTTGAATTAATTTTTGTATAAGGTGTAAGGAAGGGATCCAGTTTCAGCTTTCTACATATGGGTAGCCAGTTTTCCCAGCACCATTTTTTAAATAGGGAATCCTTCCCCATTTCTTCTTTTTGTCAGGTTTGTCAAAGATCAGATAGTTGTAGATATGTGGCATTATTTCTGAGGGCTCTGTTCTGTTCCATTGGTCTATATCTCTGTTTTGGTACCAGTACTGTGCTGTTTTGGTTAGTGTAGTCTTGTAGTATAGTTTGAAGTCAGCATGATTCCTCCAGCTTTGTTCTATTGGCTTAGGATTGATTTGGCAATGCGGGCTCCTTTTTGGTTCCATATGAACTTTAAAGTAGTTTTTTCCCAATTCTGTGAAGAAAGTCATTGGTAGCTTCATGGGAATGGCGTTGAATCTGTAAATTACCTTGGGCAGTATGGCCATTTTCATGATATTGATTCTTCCTACCCATGAGCATGGAATGTTCTTCCATTGGTTTGTATCCTCTTTTATTTCATTGAGCAGTGGTTTGAGAAATACCATTTGACCCAGCAATCCCATTACTGGTTATATACCCAAAGGATTATAAATCATGCTGCTATAAAGACACATGCACACGTATGTTTATTGAGGCACTATTCAGAATAGCAAAGACTTGGAACCAACCCAAATATCCAGCAAGGATAGACTGGATTAAGAAAATGTGGCACATATACACCACGGAATACTATGCAGCCATAAAAAATGATGAGTTCCTGTCCTTTGTAGGGACATGGATGAAGCTGGAAACCATCATTCTCAGCAAACTATCGCAAGGACAGAAAACCAAGCACCGATGTTCTCACTCATAGGTGGGAATTGAACAATGAGAACACATGGACACAGGAAGGGGGATATCACACACCGGGGCCTGTTGTGGGGTTGTGGGAGGGGGGAGGGATAGCATTTGGAGATATACCTAATGTTAAATGACGATTTAATGGGTGCAGCACACCAACATGGCACATGTATACACATGTAGCTAACCTGTACGTTGTGCACACGTACCCTAAAACTTAAAGTATAGTAAAAAAAAAAAAAAAAAAAAAGAACTGATCTGGACATGTGCTGCAGCTTCCCCACCTCACCTTCCCTGTTACCTCCAACAGGCAAGTGGCTAACTTCTCAGTCTCTCTCTCTCTCTCACTCTCTCTCTCTCTCTCTCATTGTGATAAGAACACAAATTGAGATCCACCCCCTTATCACATTTTTACATATGCAATACAGCACAGTTAACTATATGCACAATGTTGTACAGGTAGCTTTTTTACTTATGGACTTCTTCAGCCTAAAACAATCTGCTTAGAATGAACAAATCCTAGTAGATCACTTCAACTAAAACAAGTGTGACATGGGCTTCAGAAATAAAAACATGAAAAAAGAGAAAAAGAAAGAGAGGGAGGGAGGGAGAGAAAGAAAGAAAGAAAGAGAAAGAGAGAAAGAAATAGAAAGGCAAGGTGGAAGGAAGGAAGGAAGGAAGAAAGGGAGGGAGGAAGGAAAAGAAAGAGAAAATCTGTTCTCCATTTGGACTATTGACTAGTAGGTGCCTCTCAGACCTATACATAGATATGTCACCCTGTCAGATCAAGAGCTAAGATATCAAAATCACCAATGGTAACAAAGAGATCCTACCAAATTATGATACAGAGATAATAAGAATAATCAAAAAACTAGCAGAGGTAGTAGAGTTAACAAGGACCTTTTAGAGATATTGAGCAAGCAGTATAGAAAGTATTTAAAAATAATAGGCTTTATAGATTTAACAATATAAATATTTTTCCCTAAGAAACTATACATTTATGAGTATGTATTATACATAATATCATTATTACATTGCTTACTGAGCAATATAAAGTGTTGATTCTCATCTAATAATGTTCAAATAATTTTTTAATCTTTAGAAATATTTCTCCTTCTTTCCTTGCTACTGTCCTACTTTTCATCTTTCCTTCATCCTTTCAAAATATATTGTCATCAATGAAAACACTTCAGGCAGCAAGGAAAGATCCTAGACTTGAATAAATATATCCAAATTATTGTTGCCTTACTAGTACATGTTCAAAGAAATAAGAAAACATTTTTATTACCCCATTTGCATGTTGTGTAAGTGACCATAAGTTTCATGCAGTTCCTGAGAGCTAGGTTCACTAGAGTCACTTTATTGTGTCTCCAGAAGAAAAATAAGGTGATGATTTAACATGTCTGCATGTTTGAGCATTGAATATTTAGTTGATGGCTACATTTGTGAACAGTGCACTTAGCCTGTTGACCAGCAGTTAATAAAAATATATAGAAATAAATACATAAATGGGAGCAAAATCAGCTAGCAGCTATGGAGATGACAGACAGTATGTGCACAAATTCAGTTTTAAGAAATGAATTTAAAGTTCAATAAGAATAGGATTTGAGTTCTGGAATAACTGCTGTCTCTGAGATATTCAAACAGTTTTGGTAACATGCCTAACCCTCAATGACTTCATCTGTAAATGGGCCACAGTTGAAGCTAAGGCATAAAAGTTTTAAATAATAAAATAGAATATGATAAAATGTACAGAGGCAGAGCTAAATGCCTGGCATATAATATACAATGAAAGTTAGATATGACTATTATTAGTTGAAGGGACCTTGTATTAGTCCATTTTCACACTGCTGATAAAAACATACCAAGACTGGGAAATTTACAAAAGAAAGAGGTTTAATTTGACTTCCAGTTCCAAGTGGCTGGGGAAGCCTCACAATCATGGAGGAAGCCAAGGAAGAACAAGTCACGTCTTACATGGGTGACAGCAGGCAAAGAGAGAATGAGGAAGGCGCAAAAGTGAAAACACCTGAGAAAACCATCAGATCTCTTGAGACTTATTCACTACCACGAGAACAGTATGGGGGAACCGCCCCCATGATTCAATTGTCTCCCACCAACTCCCCACCACAACACATGAGAATGATGGGAGTACCATTCAAGATGAGATTTGGGTGGGGAAACAGAGCCAAATCGCATCATTCCAATTCTGGCCCCTGCCAAATCTCATGTCCTCACATCACAAAACTAATCATGCCTTCCCAACAGTCCACCAAAGTCTTAACTCATTTCAGCATTACCTCAGAAGTCCACAGTCCAAAGTCTCATCTGAGACAAGGCAAGTCCCTTTGGCCTATGAGCCTGGAAAATCAAAAGCAAGCTATTTATTTCCTAGATACAATAGGGCTACAGACACTGGGTAAATACAACTGTTCCAAATGAGATACATTGGCCAAAACAAAGGGGTTATGGGGCCCATGCAAGTCTGAAATCCAGTGAGGCAGTTAAAACTTAAAGTTCCAAAATGATCTCCTTTGGCTCCATGTCTCATATCCAGGTTGCACTGATGCAAAAGGTGGGCTCCCATGGTCTTGAGCAGCTCTGCCCTTATGACTTTGCAGACTACAGCCTCCCTCCTGACTGCTTTCATGGGCTGGTGTTTGGTGTCTGCAGCTTTTCCAGGTGCACGGTGAAAGCTGTTGGTGGATCTACCATTCTGGGGTCTGGAGGACAGTGGCCCTTTTCTCACAGCTCCACTAGGTGGTGCCCCATTAGGGACTCTCTGTGGGGTCTCCAACCCCACATTTCCCTTCCGCACTGCCCTAGCGGAGGTTCTCTATGAGAGCACCGCCAATGCAGCAAACTTCTGAAATTTAAGTAGAGGTTCCCAAACCTCAATTCTTGACTTCTGTGCACCTGCAGGCTCAACACCACATGAAAGGTGCCAAAGCTTGGGGCTTGCACCATCTGAAGCCACAGCCAGAGCTTTATGTTGGCCCCTTTCGGCCATTGCTGGAGCGGCTGGGACACAGGGCACCAGTTTCCTAGGCTGCACACAGCTCGGGGACCCTGGGCTGGGTCCACAAAACCACTTTTTCCTCTTAGGCCTCCAGGCCTCTGATGAGAGGGGCTGCCATGAAGACTTCTGACATACCCTGGAGACATTTTCCCCATTGTCTTGGGGATTAACATTTGGCTCCTTGTTCCTTATGCAATTTTTTTTCACCCAGCTTGAATTTCTCCTCAGAAAATGGGATTTTTTTTTTCTATCGCATTGTCAAACTGCAAATTTTTCAAACTTTTATTCTTTGTTTCCCTTTTAAAACTGAATACTTGTCACAGCACTCAAGTCACCTCTTGAATGCTTTGCTGCTTAGAAATTTCTTTGGCCACATTCCCTAAGTCATCTCTCAAGTTCAAAGTTCCACAAATCTTTAGGGCAGGGGAAAAATGCTGCCTGTCTCTTTGCTAAAACATAACAAGAGTCACTTTTGCTCCGGTTCCCAACAAGTTCCTCATCTCCATCTGAGATCACCTCAGCCTGGACCTTATTGTCCATATTGCTATCAGCATTTTGGGCAAAGCCATTCAACAAGTCTCTAGGAAGTTCCAAACTTTCCCACATTTTCCCGTCTTCTTCTGAACCCTCCAAACTGTTCCAACCTCTGCCTGTTACCCAGTTCCATAGTCACTTCCACATTTTCAGGTATCTTTTCAGCAGCACCCCACTAGTACCACTTTTCTGTATTAGTCTATTTTCATGCTGCTGATAAAGACATACCTGAGACTGGGAAATTTACAAGAGAAAGAGGTTTAATTTGACTTACAGAAGACTCACAATCATGGTGGAAGCCAAGGAAGAACAAATCACACCTTACATGGAATGAAGCAGGATAAGAGAGAATGAGGAAGACGCAAAAGTGGAAACCCCTGAAAAAAACATCAGATTTCATGAGACTTACTCATTACCACAAGAACAGTATGGGGGAAACTGCCCCCATGATTCAATTATCTCCCACCGTATCCCCCCCACAACGCATAGGAATGATGGGAGTACAATTCGAGATTTGGGTGTAGACACAAAGCCAAACAATATCAGACATTCATAGTATTCCCAACATGGGTAATGACTGGTTGGTTAACAGAAATAAAGGATACATTCGTTTCAAAAACAAGAACTTTACTTCTAAAATCCTGTGTGATTATATCTCTTTAATTATAGAAATATAACAAATATAACTTTACGTGAGTAAAATTAATAAGTAAGTGAAAGTCAGAATCTCTTCATTTCTTTTGTGAACTCATTCCTGGGAAACTTATTTTTTTTAATTTCCACCTGAAACTGGAGTTCTGTTAGGTTTCTCTGGCCCTGGGAAAGTATGAGCCCAGCTGGAATTATTCATGACTCACAAGGAACCCCATGTCAGGCCTCCATAAGCCAAACACAAATCACTTATAGAAAATAGTACATATATAGATCATTTACATTGTATAGTTACCTCAATGGGATTGATTTAATTACTTTTCCTTGTATTTTAAATTCATGATATTATAATCATCATACACTTTGATAAGGAGAGCTACACCCTTCTGTTTAGATGTTAGTGCAACAAATCTATATATTTTGGGCCATGAAACAACACAACACAAATACAAGAAGCCAAGGTATAAGATAATTTTGAAGGGAAATATTTACTTTTAATTTACACTCCATTTACACAATAAACAATGGAGAATTCTTTATCTATGGTTGGCGGTGCATTTTTACTTAGGGCAAAGCTATAGGCTCTAGGCAACAGTCAGAAGTCTGGTTAGATCTTCCTTTTGTGCAGGCATACAAGTTTTGTGAAGATCATTTATTATGGAAAGGAGTAAGACTATGTCCAAGTGTATTAAAATGACTATTCCCCTGTTTTCTTTAATTCCAAAGTCTGCTATTTCAATAGAGTTCAAAAAAGAAAAGCATTTCAGAAGTTTGCAATGAATCATCTCTAGTAAAAGAACAACTAATTTCATTTTTCACAGTTCTTTCTAGCTGTGCAACTAAAATTGCCTTGTGTAAATTAGTATGAGATTTTTGTTGGGAGAAGCACAGCTTGAGGTTGTAGAAAACCTCTAACACTTATGTCTTATCAGCAATATGCTTTTCTGTTTTGTGATCACAAGTTTTCCTTCTGTCTCCTTTCTACTGAAAAGTCCTGCTGTTTTCCCCCCAAACCTAGCAAGTGTTATGTCCCCCTGGGCTATAATACTGAACATACTGACACACACTTGCTTCAGTTCCCTTGATGGTGATTTAGACTGAAGTGAGTTTATTGGATTTTTTTCCCCCAAAGCCATGCCAGCATAATGTGTTGAGCATCTTAGCATAACAGTATAATTAACATATATTTAAAAAATACTGGGTAATGTGAGAAAACAAATGTTTTTTAAATTATATATCACAGAATTTGTTGATATTAAATGATAATTCAATATCATTTTATGTATAGTTACTGTTATTTTGTAATCAGACTTAAAATATTGTTTCACAATATATATACTCAATATAGTTGTACTTTTAAAGGAGCTCCCAATTAAATTCAATTTTTAATTTATTTAGTTAATGTTTTTATTTTAAAATATTTGTATTTAGTTTTCTTAAGACAGCTTAAAAATGTGGATATGGCTTATTAAAAATTTTACATAAGCTGAAATGTTCTAGTTTCTAGCAAAGAAAAATTATGACATATGTTGATATATAGCTTATAATATTAAAAAGCATACTAAATTCAATACATTTCAAGCATCTATTTTCACACAAAATATTTTATTAACATATAACACTTTATTGTTCTTACTAACCTTAATAACTAGTAATATTAACATGCCTTATTTTAAATATTAACTGCTACAAATCAATCTTTCCTTAAAGATGAAAAAATTATTTGCAAAATTTTAATGATTAGTTAAATTCTATTCTATAGGTAAATTTGATCAGTGATAAGACCATTGCACAGAACAGTACTGTATGAACACTGTACAGTATTGGCCCTACAAAATCTGAACAACATCCAAAATCTTACAGACTTGAACTTAGTAATTTAAAGTTAATAATTTAAGGTTATAAATGTTTAGCACATCTATAATTTCATAATATCAATTAAGATTGGTTTTACTTTTTTAAATATTCTCAAATATGGTTCCAGATAAAGTGATCAGTATTCTATGATGTTTTATTGACTTACGGTGATTCTCCCATATGGAAAGCAATATTTAAATATTCATGGTAAATTATTTTTTTATTAAAATGAGGAACTGGTTTCGAGATTGAAATCTAGTTGTTTAACCTCAACAATGTCTGTGGTGCTGAGGTTAAAGTTTAGCCAATCTTACCTGTAGAAGTAAACAGTCAGTGGATCTAGATAAAGAGAGGATGAAGTGTGGTGGTGAAAACAAAGGAATCATGTGACAGGTGAACTGGGTTCAGACCTCGGCTGTATTACTGATTAGATGTGTGTCCCTGAAAATCTTAACGTTTTGCTTGTAAAATTTACCTAAATAAAATGTTTATATGACTTCTATGAGTCCCTAGCACCATCATATGTGCAATGCAAAATTTAGCTATCAACTATATTTAATAAGTATTCCTTTTAGAGGTAGAGAACATTTTTTTCTTTGATTTTTTTAAACATATAATATTATCTTTTTGAACACATTTGAAATTTTAACTAGTTACTAAGCCAGACAACTGTGGGCAAAATCTGGCCCACTGCCTGTCTTGGGAAGTGAAGTTTTATTGGAAGGCAGCCTGAACCCATTCATTTGTGTATTGTCTATGACTGCCTTTGCCTTTATACTAAAATAGAACTAAAAAGGTGCAACAGAGACTATTTAGCACACAGAGCCTAAAATATTTACTATTTGCCCCTTTAGAAGTATAGTGTGCTAAGCCCTGACATAAACAAATAATCTCAGAGAATAGTCATTCAGGAGAATCTTGCTGCTGTATAATACGTGAAATGCAAACAATCTCGTTGTTCAAACTGCTCCAAAGTTTCATTTCTACAGGGATCACAACACAATGCTAACAACTGATATTTATCACTTTCTAAGACCTTTGGGTTTACTTTTCCTCATTATGTCTTTAAAAATGTGCCATGCTTATAGTTCATGTTATAGAATGTGTTGCCTTATTTCCTTGGGTGACAGGTACTTAGGTGGAAATGGTTTGGACATTAAAATCAGATATGTCTCTTAATAAATGTGTGACTTGGATAACTCATCAGTCCTCCAAATTTTACTTCCTAATTTGTAAAAAAAAAATACATACACACACACACACACACACACACACACACACATATGGTTCCCAGTACATGGTGGGGCTCATTAGTTTTACTTTTACCCCACATTTATTTTAACAATAAATTTGTTAAGCAAAGCGAAAAAATGTTTTAGATTTACAAATGAGAACTACTAGTTGAATGTCAAATTACTTGTTAGTTGAGAGGGAAAGAAAAAGAGATCTAAGATGTATAGTATGGTGGTTAGAACACAGGTTTGGGAGTCTGATTTCATATGCTCATACCCTATCTTGTCACTTATTAACTGTTTGATCTTAGCCAAGATCCCTTATTTGTGCCTCAGTTACCCTTATTTATATTGAATAAATGTTTCTTACTTGATAGAGTTGTTTGGATAACTAAATAAGCTAATATGTAAAATGCTCAAATTACTATACATAAAGTAAGCATTAGCTATTGGCATTGATCATCATAATGCATCAGAAATTCTAGAATTATGCTAATTAATTATTGCAAAAATTTTAGGCTTTATTATTCTCCCCAGTAAAGATAGGTAAATAGCAAAGCATAGAGAAAGAAAAGGAAAGGAGGGAGGGAGTGACAGAGAGAGGAAGAAAGAGAGGAAGTAAGAAAGAGAAGGAGGGAGGGAGGAAGGAAAGAAGGAAGGAAGAGAGGAGAGGGAGAAAGAGAGAGAGAGAGGTAAGAAATCTATGGTACAATATATTGAAACAGCTTGCTCAGGTTCTCACAGTAAAATTGATGGGTCTGTAATGCATATACAGATCTGTATGGTTCCACAGAGAAACTCCTCTTCTGTCTCCACAGCTAATATTCTTTCAACTACTCTAATGTCAATTTTGCCTCTGAATGATGTTCTGTTATTAACTTGCTATGTCACTTTTTTAGTGTAGCTGTAATTATAGAGGTCAGTGGATGGAAGGGAAAGCATACTTAAGCACATAAAATGCCTTTTGTATATGCTATTTTGTTGAGATTCATAACAAGTTTTTGAAGTAGGCATTTACAGAAAAGATAAAAGTTTGACAAAGTCACACACTTCAAGGGTTTAGGTTCAGGCCTTTTGAACCCATGTAGCATCTCTTTATTCTTTCAGAAAAAACATCCCTATCTTCTTAAAGCTTACTCTCTATTTTTAAAAAGGAGTCACCCACACATTCACATATGTACCTTATATATTTTATCATATTATATTGTATGTGTGCACACATTATGTTCTTGCACTATGTGTCATATAAATATTTATAAAAGACTCATTTGTAAATTTTACATATGCTACACATAAACACACCACACATGTCCTATTGATACTTAAATTGTAAGTCTGTGATAGGCAAAACAATTGCACCTCAAAGATGTTCATGTCCTAATACCCAGAACCTGTGAATATGTAACCTTACATGGCAAAACTGCCTTTTAATTTTGAAAGGAATTTGAAAGGAATTTGAAACCTGGCTATCATCTTAGATTACCCAGGTGGTTCCAATGTAATCAGAGGGTCTTTATAAAACACAGACAAGAAGGCCAGAATCAGAGAGGGATAGAAAGTCGAAAGGGAGGGGGAATAGGAGAGAGAGAGACAGAGAGAGAGGAAAAGAGTCAAAGATGCTACACTTTTGGCTTTGAAGACGGATGAGGAGGTTGAAAACTAAGGAATGCTATCAGCATCTAGAAGCTGGAAAAACAAGGAGATAGTTTCTACCCTTAAACCTGCAGAAGGAACATGGCCAGCCAATCAATTTGAAACTCTGATCTTCAGAATCATACTACAATAACAGCGGTGCATTAAGTCACTATATTTGTGGTAATTTCTTAAAACAGTAATAAGGAAGAAATGCAATCACAGCTAATCAGAGAGAAAAAAAGACATAGTAGATGCTTTTTAGGAAATTTCAGTTTGAAAACTAAAGAGATACTTGACTTAAAATTTTGATATAGTGTAGTGAGTGCTATGATCATTATCCTATCCCATTTCTTCCTTTGTTACTTAATTTTTCTATACACCCTGTATATATGGTATATTCTATATTTGTATATCTTCTTTTTTCCCCACTAGAATGATTGCTTCACGGAGGTGGTATTTTCTTTTTCTTTTTTTTTAAGTGCTAAATATCACTGTCTAGAACAGATCTGACGCATGAGAATTGCTCAAAGTTTACTTGTTAAATTTATGAATGAACAAAGCCCTGAAGGCTATATGTGTGAGTATAGACAAAAAGTATTGAGCATGGAGAAATCATGAAGGATCAGGGTAATTTTCTATTTGACAATGAGGTATTTTTTCTTCCCACAACTGTGTTTATGCAGCATTTTGAATGTAATACTCAACAAGGCTGGGCTAAGCAGCTTTATAAGCTAGACTAAGCTTTCCCATTTTTAAGACGAAAAGGATATCAGTGGTGCTGGACAATTAAGGGTGAGTATAGGCCTTCATATTTGATAAAAAGCAAACAAAAGAAACAAGGCAGGAAAAGGTAAATAGGAATGAATAAGATGTGGTTATTAGATGATTAATTAATAGTATTATTAAGGGGCATGCCTATAAATAACTTTTGATAGATTTTGTTATACCATAGCAATATAATAAAAGAAAATATTATCCAGAATATTTATACTAATATACCTATTTTGGATAAAGTATATGTAGGTTGTTTGGAAATTAATGTCATATAACTGAAATAGCATAAACTTTAATAAAAGGTAGAACTAGGTTTGATACCCAGAACTATGGTTTACTATAAAATTATTTTAATTATTTAACCTTCAATTCATTATCCTTACAAGATGGCTGTGATAAATAGAAATAAAATATGTAGACCAGGTGAGGTGGCTCATGCCTGTAATGCCAGTGCTTTGGAAGGCCAAGTGGGGAAGATTGCTTGAGCCCAGGAGTTAGAGACCAGCCTGGGCAAAATGGTGAGACTCCACCTCTACAAAATTAAAAAAACATTAGCCCAGTGTGTTGGTGTGACTGTAGTCCTAGCTCCTTGGTGGGCTGAGACAGGAGGATCCCTTGAGCTCTGGAGTTCAAGGCAGCACTGAGCTATGATTTTGCCACCGCACTCAAGCCTGGGTGACAAAGTGAGACGCACATGTCTTAAAAAAAATAAGGACCTTAATAAGTTATGTAAAGTATCTAGATGATATGATTTTTAATTTACTCAAAATGGCAGTTAACGTTGCTCCAAAAATTTTTTTCTTTTGAGAAAGGGTCTCTCTCTCTTGCCCAGGCTGGAGGGCAGTAGTGTGATCATAGATCACTGTAGCCTTGAACTCCTGTGCTCAAGGGATCCTCCCACCTCAGCTTCCCGAGTAGCTAGGACTACAGGCATGCCACCACGCAAGGTTAGTATAAAAAAAAAAAAACCTGTACAGACAATCTCACTACGTTGTACAGGCTGGTCTTGAGCTCCACACCTCAAGCAATTCTCTCGCGTTAGCCTCCCAAAGTTCTGGGTTTACAAGTGTAAGCCATCACACCCGGTCAAAGATTTTGTTTAAAATTTACATCCTGTTTTAGACACTTTCAATTTAAATATATGAAAGATAGAGAAATAAAGTTGGTTTCAATGCCATGCAAGGTTTTGACTTTAAAGAAATGTAAAGTAAATAGAGCAATTGGAATAAACTTTCTCTTTGGCCCTTACCCACTCTTCTCTTCCCACCTGTATCTAATTACGAGCCACTTCCCTTCTTGCTTTTCTAAGTGGCAACAATCCTCAGTTTGATATTCATGGCAACCCACTTAGGCATACTGTCACTCAGGGATGTGCAGTGCAGAAGCATACCCTCTATCAAGGCTCCTTTTATATAGATTGCCAAAAGCATAAATGCATGTGGGACACTACTGGTGGAAGATCATTTGCAAACTCAATATAGTAGTGCAAGTTAGAGAATAGGAAACATTTATTGATCCAAACCTCAGAAATGATCATTTCTGTATTTAAAATGCACAAATAAATACATGTTTTAAAATATTTTGCAGCATATCTCCATAGCCCAGTGAAATTGCTCCTTTTTTAAATCTTAGTGGCCCCATGACTGATATGGTAGAGCAGGCTTTGACTATTGGGTAGTTATTACTGATTCTAAGCTATTTTGCGTAAAATCTATCTTTGTGTAAAATTTCCTTATTCTGGAGATTAATTAAATGTGTTATTGCCTCAACTGGTTCACTTTGCTGTAAAGAAACACGAAAAGAAACTAGTGTCTTGCAAACTTTACACAGCTCCTCAGTTTTCATGTCAAAACTGGGAGTCCCATTTGCTAATTATTTCTACTTCTGATGTCTTTATTAGATGGATGAAAAGAGATACTTTGCTGTTGACATTTGTTAAGAAAAGTGTCAAAAATATAAAAGGACACAAATATTGTGAATAAATAAAAGTTAATTTCTATTATCCCTCTTGTGATGATTGAATTCAGTAAACATTTTGGAGAGCCTATTATATGCAAGGTAAAAATACTGGGCATGTGAAATGAACTTGAATGTTTATGAACCTTCCAAATTTCTGTGTTGAAATCCTAACACCCACTATGATGGTATTAGAAGACGAGACTTTTGGGAATAATTAGGTCATGAGAGTATAGTGCTCCTGAAAGGGATTAGAGCTTTTATTAAAGGAACCCCAGGAGCTTTCTCACCCTCTTTCTACCATGAGAGGCTACGATAACAAGTTGGCAGTCTGCAACCTAGAAGGGAGCCATCACCACCCCCCGACCATGCTGGCACCCTGATACCAGACTTTCAGCTTCCAAAACTACAAGAAATATATCTTTAGTTTTTATAAGCCATTCAGTTTATGGGTTTTTTGTATAGTAGCCTGAACTGACTAAGATATCATGCCAGGGAAGAAGAGATAGTTAAGGCACAGAATACATGGCAAATTATTCACATTTCAAGAAAATAAAAGTTTAAAACATTGTAAAGGGGCATTTGCCTTCTTTCTCCAGTATGGAAGTGGAAAAGTTGCAAGTATGGGTGGAAAACAATGATAGAATCTACTATAGCCCAAGACAACTACATAAAACTATGTATTGAATATTATGTGTTAACAATGCAACAGTTGGCAATTAAGTGGACATAGAATAATGAGATATTTTAATATTTTTACTATTGTCATTTTATACTAGTACTTCTCTTTTTGTTTAAACAAGGGAATATTTAACATAGATTACGTACCATTTAACATTTTTTCAGTGTTCTTGAAGAATAATATGTTTGCATGACATCAACTGGAGGTGTAAAAGCATAGCTTTGCATTGTTAAATGTTTCACTTGAGCATTCCCCTTAGTCCACAAATCAGTATTTTTTGAGTGGGGACTAAGCCAACAGGCCATGTTGTAAAAGTGTCCTTTTCGGCCTAACTACCCAAATGACACCTTTAAACTACAAGTTCCTGCGACTGAATATTTTGCCAACTGAAGTTTGGCAAAGGGGATTTATGTACTTGGATCGCTCCTTAGAATTCAGGGTTAATTGCTTCCCTGATGCTGCTGCTGCTGCTGCTGCCAGCTACACTGTTTTGGAAAAGAAGTGACAAGCTTTATATTGTATTCATGTCTAAACTAAACATACAAACTACGTATGCCTTTTGACTCTTGGGCCTCATATTCCTAAGTTAAGGTGGTGTCAAATCAGATTTCATTATGAAAAAGATGAGAAGAGCCAAGCCAGCTTCACTTTCAAATGGAAATGCCAAATGTAAAAGAATGCAGGGAATCTGGTCCCACTAGTATCTTGACTTTATGTGAAAAAGTGGCAGCCCTTCCTTAGGACAAAACGTGACCCCCTGCTCGAGCTCTCAAAGAAAATACATTGGCTCATTTTACTGAGATTCCTCTGAATAACTAGGCTTTGGTCACTGATGAAATCTCAACTAAACCATTCTCAATAGTACATAAGGCTGCTGTTCACTTTTAATATCAGGGATATCTATGTAGAACTGAAAGCAGAGGCGATCACCGTACTCCACAGGCAGAAATCAAGGTCTTTCTCTTAGCTTTGTCCAGTACTATTCTTGTTGGGTTTGTTTAGCTGTTTAAAAATTATAGTTTCACTTTCCATTTTTTCTCAAAAGAAATAATTGTTTCCTATATTTGCATATCCTGGGTTAGTTACTGAAGACCATTGCTTAATAAATTACATATTCCAAGTTGTTTGTGGCACACCATATGTTATTATCATAGTATAATTTCTTAACATGTGCTTACAGGCTTCTTTACATACCATTAACACTATCTCTGATTGAGATTACATAACTTTTATAATTATTTTCCCAAAAATTAATTTACTGAGAAATTACAATTTTAAAGCTAAAATACTCAATTTATAAAATTATCCAAATGAAGACCACACTATCCATAGATGAGCTTTCATCATTTAGATTTATTAATATCATAATGATTTTATAAGTACCCTGTCCCTAGCTGGGGCTTCCCTGCTGTTCAATTATTCATTTGTTCATATATATATGTGTGAGTGTATGTATATACATGTATATGTGTGCATGTATGTATATACACACATATAGATACATACATATACACATAAATATGTGTGTATATGTGTATGTGTGTGTGTATATATACACACACACATTTATATGTATACACACACAGACATTACACATTATCACTCCTTCAACTATTCTCATAATTTTAGAAGTGAGGTGTCCTAATGTGTCAGCTTGGACTTCTCTAAATTAATCCTTACTATTATAAAAAACAATCTGCTATTGCTTTCCTGGAATTCTATATTATTTATGTTTCTCTGTAGTTCTGCAGAATAGGGATTGAACAATTCCAAAGATTTCCATTTAGTATGCCTTATCATATATATAAATATATATCATATATATATCTCATGATATATATATATAAAATATTTAAAAATTGTAATAGCTTTGTGGGTACAAGCGGTTCTTGCTTACATGGATGAATTATATATGGTGAATTCTGTGGCCAATACGTAGTATTTTATCCCATATCTATAGTTGTTATTTTTTTCTCAGCTAATGTAATTTTCTTTCTACTGTTGTTTGATATAAAAAAAGTTTCATCTAATCAGAAATGTGCCTCTTCTACTAACAAGTCACTTCATTATCTTTCTAAATGGACTACTGCTAACTGTTGCCAATTTTCTGGAAAAGCATTTTTTTTTCTTGAGACAGCAAGTGTTTTTCATCTTGATGAGGAGTCTCTAGGAAGGACATTTGGACTTAATGCCCGCCGTTCAAGTCCAGTTTTTAAAACTCCAAAGGTTTTATTTGTTTATCAGGCCAGTGTTTATTTTGCCATCACATAAGTTGTCTTCTGAACAGGCAATGATTATATCATTAATGTTGTGCAACAAATTATTCCTAATGAGAATGCTCACTCTTAATGGATTAGTGTTGCTCTCCTGTATTTTAATAGTTTTCTGGTCAATTTAAATATCCTTTGTACGTTCTGAAGGCCATTTCGCCTAAACCAGGTGTGCTTACCTTGACTGTTCTCCAATATAGGTAAAGAAAGTGTTTGTAAATATATTACAACATACCATCACCTTTGATATTTTCTACTTCTTTTAAATATTTTAATTATATCTTGTACCATTGAGGATATCAGGAGAACTACCTTGTCAAAATCCTAACAGTCTACAGTCAGTCCACTAAACCACCTGTTTTATATATTTGCCATATGGGAATATTTAAAATTGAATTAGTGAATATCATTATCCATCTTTTAACTATTCTCATAATTTTAGAAGTGAAGTGTCTAATGTGTCAGCTTGGACTTCTCTGAGTTAACCCTTTCTGTTATAGAAAGCAATCTGTTGTTGCTTTCCTGGAATTCTGTATTATTTACGTTTCTCTATAGCACTACAGAAGAGGGATTGAACAGTTCCAAAGATTCCCATCTAGCATGCTTTATCAAAACTGGGTGAGGGAAATATTTGACCAACACCTAATTTGAGAACAAAAGGGGCAAAGCCTTCTTTTTTATATATATGCACATCAACTGAAAAATCTGGTAAGGGATGTCAACCACAGAATATTTTCTCAAGTCTCATTTTTCAACTCATAGTCAAGCTACAATTTCAGGACCGCAAACATAGCCCCAGATTGTCCCTAACTTTTTTTAGGGCTTTTAAAAAATAATTTTTCTCTCTATCCCTCATTGGAAGAACATTATATGGAACTAATGTTTGATGTTAACAAAAATTCTGTTTACCAATCCTGAGCCAAAAACAATGTCAACAGATATATCCTTCATAATCCTTCACCAGAGGTTGACTGAGCACATTCTGACCACTTGTTCAATCTTTTCATCTTCTATAGCTTTATATGAGAGGTAAGCTCATGTCCTTTGTTCACCATGGCTAACTAGCTACCATATATTTGGGAAATTTATATCCATAAACTTTGCAGCCATTGGGCATGACTTCAAATAATCTCTTGTGTTTGTCTCTCTTTTGAGCAATAATAAAACAGAGATGCCTGCCATCACCACCCCTAATTATCATTGTGCTGAAAGTCCTCACTATGACAATCCGACATATATAATAATTAAATTACATGAAATGATACGGGGTACTAAAATGGCCATTATTAGGAGAAAATAAATGATTACAGAGAAAAGCCAATCATCTATAAAAATTATTATAAATGATAAAATGTTAAAGTGCTGGAAATAGATTACTACACAAAAATCTAGGCAAATAGCAAAGAATTTTTCTAAGGACACAGAAAAAAATTAGTAAACATAATTTAAAATTCATATTACAATACAAAAGATGCCATATAGTACCTAGTAAATTTTTTTAAAAAAGATGTGGAATACTTATACAAAGGAAATTATAAGACTAAATGTAGACATATTAAAGGCATACAAACATGACATTTGAGAAATACGTCATTTCTCAACATATTGATTGGTCAATTCAATGCAGCTCCAATTCCACATGTTTTTTAATGCTGTGTTATGATTTTTTGGCAGACCTTTATTGTGCTAATGAAGAATATTTGCTTTGCCCAATACGAAGATGTAAAGCAATAAGAAGTTAGACAATAAGTTATTGCAACAGGAAAAGAAAAATTAAATAACAGAACAAGATCAAGAGTTCAAAAATGACCATGTATATATGTAACTTTGATATTTTAAAAAGCTGGCATGTCAGTTCAATGAAGTAATAAGATACACTACCTTCAAAAAATTTAAAAGATAATTTTGGTTCCCTACCTTATAAGGATATTTGCCTAGTTTGTGCCTGAAATGAATATGGATTAAAATCTTAAATGACAAAAGCAGATGTTTATATCTTTTAGAAAATCAATTTCATACATGTATATATCAAATCCATAATATATATATCAAATCCATAAATATATATATATATTTATTATATATTTTTTGTTTGTTTGTTTTATGAGACAGGGTCTCAGTTTGTTGCCCAGGCTAGAGTGCAGTGGTGTGATCTCAGCTCACTGCAATCTCAGCCTCCCGGGCTCAAGGGATCCTCCTGCCTCAGGCCCTGAGTAGCTGGGACTACAGGCCTGTGCCACCATGCCTGGCTAATTTTTGTTTGTTTGTTGTTTGTATTGTTTTGTAGAGGCATGGTTTTGTCAGGTTGCCCCACTTGTCTTAAACTTCTGAGCTCAAGGGATCCGCCCACCTCAGCCTCCCAAAGTGCTGGGATTACAACTGTGAGCCACAGTGCCCTGCCTAAATCTTTATATATTTAAAAGGTACTAAAGAGTGTGTTGATAAATATGAATATTTTAGAATCAAGAACTCAGTATTAAAAGGCACATAAAAGCAAATGAAATAGTACTTGTGGGAGAATATATTTTCAACACATAAGTCCAACTAATTTTTATAAATCCACATTTTTCCATCTGAAAAAAATCCTATCTTCCTGGTTTCTAAAAAAAGGTAGCATGATGCTCTATCACAGTTGTCATTCTTCTCCCCCTCTTATTTAGTTATCTAAATTAAAGAAGTTGACTATACCTAATCTTTGTTTTATAGTATCTAATCATCATTTTTCCATGAATGGCCGTGTTTTCATCCTTGTGCTTCATCTTAATTGGCCATAAAGGAAAATTGTGTATTAGTTATTTCTTTACAGGCACACACACAAACACGCACACACACAAACATACAAAATCTACATACAGTTTTATCACCCAAATACTGTTTTTCTTGTTTTTAAACTTTGCAAAAATGTGACAATAATCATTCTTGTGTGCTTTGATTTATTTTTTCAGATATTAAGATACTGGGATAAACAATGCAAAGTAGCTATCGCAAATTATTCTTGGGACCTAATTATTGCAGTGTAGTGTTTAATGTTGACCACTTTAACTTTTCACTGTGATTACTTAACAACTCAAATTAAAGGTTTATGGGAGGTCTTGTCACAATTTACTCTCTAGATGCCTTATTAAACTGGACATCATAATGAAGTATTTAAAATTAAATAAATTTTGAAGAGTTAACATAAGTTAGTCTTGGTCATAAACCACTATTGGGAGTGTAATTGAGGCTACAATGTCATGAACTCACTGAAATTATAACCAGTATACTTCTAGGACTTAATTTAGCATCTTTAGAAAATTGTGGGAACTGGAGTAGGCTCATTACATGGTAAAAATTAATGAATGCTCAAAATCTGTTCAGGTGATTTTGAAAAAATAGCAGTGTTGAATTAGTACATAATAGGGCACAGACAGCAATGTCAGAAAGATATAAAATAGGATACGAAGTTAAAGCATATTGAATAAAAATAAAGAATTAAGATGATAGAGAATGCACACAGATAAGAGTCAAGTACTGTCATCAATCAACTAATTATTTGAAAATAAATTATGGAGTTCAGTCAAAGAATATGTGCATGATAAATGAATGCCACAGGAACATGCTGCAACCTGCAGAAGAAGAAATCATGTTTTATCACTCATTCAAAGTACATAAATGCTCAAAATCAGTGTTCAGATGATTTTGAAAATATAGCAATGTTGAGTTAGTACATCATAGGGTACAAACACAAAGAAAAGAGAGAAATAGCAGAAAGATATAAAGTAGGAAGTGAAGTTAAACCATATTGAATAAAAATAATTAAGATGATAGAGAATGCACATAGCTAAGAGTCAAGTACTGATATCAATCGACTAATTATTTGAAAATAAATTACGAAGTTCAGTCAAATAAAATGTATATAATGAATGAATGCTATAAGAACATGATGTGACCTGCAGAAGAAAAGATAATGTTTTATCATTCATTCAAAATACATAATTTGGACACAACACACATTGAACTAGGTTTTCAAGTGAATAAAATACATATGAGTTCTGCTTTATGAAAGGGAAACTGAGTAAAGCAATAAATACATACACATATAGTAATAAACAAGGATAGTGTAGGTGAGGTATTAAAAGGAAAGGACATTTTCATATGAGGGGAGTAGGATAACTTTTTTTTAATGTAATATTTAAGCAGGGCAAAGATAAAGAAGAAATAACTCAGGACTGTAATCAGTAAGTGCATATTTGGTATTTGAAAGTTTAGAGAGATACTTTTGGTTGCCATGTGGAGAAAATAGAAAACACAGGTTGAAGCAAGAAGACAAGTGAGGAAGTTGTTGCATTAACCTCTTCTCTAGTAGGAGATGGTGACTTGGACTGAGGTGATGATAACGGTGGTATAGAACAGATGTATCTAGGCTCAAGATATGTTTGGAAATACAGTTATCACAATTTATTACCTAGGATATGGAATGTATGACAAGATGATATTAAAATGACTTGAAGAGTTCTATCTTGAGCAGTAGGTGGGCTAAATGAAAGAGGTGAAGTGAGGACGAAAGTTAATGGGAAGGACAAAAGTACAATTTTGAAAATGTCGCATTTACAATACCTAAATTTGATTAAGTTCAGATTTCAAATAGGCAGTATTATACGAGTGTCTGGGCTCAGAAAAGATTTCTAGATTGGATTTCAATCAATGAATAACTAGAGTAATAATACAAATTAAAAGCTTGAGAATGATCTAGAAAATGCTTAGAAAACTGAGGTGAAAAGTTTCACCTCCGAAGTTGTTTCAAAGGAATTAGAGGAGAAGAAACTAAAAAACTAAAAGAGAAAATAGCAGCTAGAGAGACATAAAACAAAAATAAGATGGTATCAAGGAAATTATTTGGTTAAATGGAAGCATAATAATAACATCATGAGTCAAATGACAGGAACTAGTCCAAGCCTGAGTCAGTTTAAAAGTAAAGTGAGCTGAGGGAATAGTGGGGTGTAGTCAAACAAATTTTTGGTGTGCTAGCTAGAAAGGCTATACTATGTCATATTTATATGTTTGTGAGAATATTACACTAGAATAGGAAAATTTTGAATATGTAAGGTAGAGAGAATGAGAGATTAAGGCATTGTGTCAGAGTGACATTGAAAGATGATTTAGGGAAAATTAGAACAAGAAATAAACCATTCCTTCCCCAGGGCTAGAAAAAGAGTCTCAATTACTGAAGAATGTTTCAAGAATTGTCCTTGATGGAAACTAGAGTGTAACTAAAAATAATGAGGTTGAAGAGAATTGCAAATAATTTGGGATTTTAAGAGCTGCAATTAGTGTTGAACTGGGATATCACGGAACATAATGAAGAATAAAAGGTTTTGTTTATTAGTTTTTATTAATTCATATGTCATGTGCCTTATGTTATAGTTTGTAATATGTAATATAATAAATTCTATTAAATAAAATCCTGATTAGAATACAAGGTTCATAGTCATGGCAAAATTTATATATATATATATGATATATATATATATATGATATATATATTTGGTCTGAAACACATTTGCCTTTCAAAGGACAGAAAAACTTAGTAGTTTGAAAGTAAAATCTACACATGTCAAGTTGTCTAATATTTTCCAATAATAATTATAATAATTTGCTGTCAAAAGGCCTGTTTTCTAAATACTGAGAAACAAAGTGTTTTACTATTAAAAAAATTGTTGGAATAATTAGATTCAATAAAAAATGCTGTAGGGACTGTTAAACATATTCCAGAATTTACAAAAAGAGATGCATTTTAACATTCCAGAGACAGTATCAAACAATGTAGATAAATAGAATTTATGAAAGATTAGTAAGCATTACAAAATGATTTATTGTAATTCACTATGTACCTTTGCATCACCAAGAGTTTTTTAAATTTTTTATTTTAATTTAGTCCTTGGATCTAAATAGATATGCATAATGCTGAAACTTTAAGAAATAATACTTTTCTTATTTGTTTACTTCTATTTGTATCTGGGTAAGCCAAAACACACAAAATTTATACAGAAAGTGTTCATAGAAATTTGGGGATGTTTCCAAAGGGAATGATACTGATTTCTTCAAAGTATGTAGAAATTTTATTTTACTTTGGATCAATTTTATTCTATTTTATAATAAAACCAGTTTTGTTACTCTTTGGTAAGTTTGTGTCTAAATGAAATAATGCAATGGAAAAAGATAATCACCAAAGTATTAAAATTAAAGCAATTTGGATAGGAAATATTGTGATAATAATCTCTTTAAGCCTACATAACAACCACTGAATAATAGGTGTTCATGTTGGGGAAAGAAAAAAATAAATAACATAAATAAAGAACAAGTGAATCTAGGAGGAATATAATATGTTTTATCTTTAAAATTGATCTTAAAGGTGTAAATATCATAAATTTTTTTTAAATTAATTTCTACAATTTTAAGAAGGACATGCAAACTGTTGTTGGTGCCCACTATTTATTATTCTGAATAGCTATAAGGTTATGCTTAAGTTTAAACCCAAACCAAACCAAAACAAAACAACAAAAATCTACATAGCAATTACTTATTATAAGAAAGCTTTATTTTTAACCATGCAAAGTTGTTCGTAACTTCAAGCAACATTTGAATGCATTTCAAGCATACAGGCCTATAGGTCTATCCTCTTGTTAAGGGGAATTTTACATGATTATTCCAGGAGAAAAATAAAACCCTAGAAAGTCTCACATATGAAATTAGCTGTTTTGCCTGAAAGTTGTTTATAATCATAACCAATTGGCCAAAAATTTTCGTGCAGCCCACCTAACTGAAAAGGGGCTGAGAAATACACTTTCTTATGTATCCACAAGGCAAGGAGTACCAGACATTGTGAATAATTGAATTCCTAATATTAAACTTGATAGAAATACACCTAAACCAAGATTCAAACTAGACCCCTTCCAGTTCCAGTTCCAGTTTTGTATACCCCATATACAAAAAACAACTCAAGATGGATTAAAGACTTAATGTAGGACCTAAAATTATAACAACCTTAGAAGATAACCTAGGAAATACCACTCTGGACATAAGCCCTAGCAAAGATTTTATGATGAAGTCACCAAAAGTAAATGCAACAAAAAGCAAAATTGACAAATAGGAACTAATTAAACTAAAGAGCTTCTTCACCACAAAAGAAACTATCAACAAGATAAACAGATAACCTATAGTATGGGAGAAAATATTTTCAAAATTTGCATCTGACAAAGATCTAATAGCCAGAAACTGTAAGGAATTTAAACAAACTAATAAGCAAAAATGAACAACCACATTGGGCAAAGAACATGAACAGACACTTCTCAAAAGAAGACATACCTGCAGCCAAGATGCATATGAAAAATTGCTCAATACCTGTAATTATTAAATGAAAGTAAAAACCACAGTGAGATACAATTTCACACCAGTCAACATGGATACTATTAAAAACTCAAAAATATAACAAATTCTGGCAAGGTTGCAGAGAAAAGGGAATGCTTATACTGTACTGCTTGTGGGAATGTAAATTAGTTCAGCCATTGTGAAAAGCAGTTTGGTGTTTTCTCGAATAACTTAAAACAGAATGACCATTAGCCCCAGCAATTCCATTACTGGGTATATAACCAGAGGAATATAAATCATTCTACCATAAGGACACATGCCTGCATATGTTTGCTGCAGCACTATTCACAGTAGCAAAGACCTGGAATCATCTAAATGCCAATCAACAGTAGACTGGATAAAGAAAATGTGGTCCATATACACCATGGAATACTATGCAGTCATAAAAAGAAAGGGATCATGTCCTTTGCACCAACATGGATGGAGCTGGAGGCCATTATTCTAAGGGAACTAAGGCAAGAACCGAAAATCAAATACCACACATTCTCACTTATAAGTGAGAGCTAAACATTGAGTACACACAGACACAAAGAAGGAACAACAGACATGGGAGCCTACATGAGGGTGGATGGTGGGAGAAAGGTGAGCATCGAAAAACTACCTATAGGGTACTATACTTATTACCTGGTGTATTGTCCATTCCTGTGCTACTGTAAAGAAATACCCAAGACTGGGTAATTTATAAAGAAAAGAGGTTTAATTGGCTCATAGTTCTTCAGGTTGTACAGGAAACACGGTGACTTCTGCTTCTGGAGAGGCTTCAGGAAATTTACAATCATGGTGGAAGGCAATGGTGAAGTGGACATGAATTATGTGGCTGGAGCCTGCAGAAGAAAGAGTCGGGGAGGTGCTACATATTTTTAAACAACCACATCTTATGAGAACGTTATCAGGAGAACAGCAACAAAGAGATGGTGCTAAACCATTCATAAAGGATCCACCCCATGATCCAAACGCGTCTCACCAGGCCCCACTTCCAATACTGGGGATTAAAATTGAACACGAGGCCAGGCGCAGTTGGCTCATGTCTGTAATCCCAGCCCTTTGGGAGGCCGAGGCGGGTGGATCACTTGAGGTCAGGAGTTCGAGACCAACCTGGGCAACATGGTGAAACCCCGTCGCTACTATAAATAGAAAAATCAGCTGGGCGTGGTGACACATGCCTGTGTCCCCAGCTACTTGGCAAGCTGAGGCGGGAGAATTCCTTGAACCTGGGAGGCGGAGGCTTCAGTGAGCCAGATTGTGCCACTGCACTCCAGCCAGGGCAACAGAGTGAGACTGTCAAAAAAAAAAAAAAAATGAACATGGGATTTGGTGGGGACACAAATCCAAACCATATCACCTGGCTGATGAAATAATCTGTATATCAAACCTTGTGACATGCAATTTATCTATAAAACAAACCTGCACACAACCTCCTGAACCTAAAGTGAAAGTTAAAAAACAAACAAAAGAAACACACCTAAACCACATAGGTTCAGAAGAGGTGGTCGGTATCACACTACAGCTTCTAGCACTTATCTTTATTTTTTTTCTTTAAACTGTCCTGAAAAAATCAGCATTATCATAATGTTTTGTAATGTAAAGTGAATGGATGATATGTACATATATATGTATTTTATGTGTGTATTTTAACATATATATTGCTTATCTAATCCCTTATTTAGGAATAAAAGTTATATTTAGAAAAGTTTCCTATTATAAATAGTGCCATGGTGATCATCTTCATAGGCAGTTGTTTGTTGGAAATAATTTTAAATATTACACTTATAATAATAGTTATCTACAACATGATGCTTTTTTCCCTATCAGTTTAATATCCAAATATATTTGACCTAAGCTTTCACTTCCTATATTGCTGAAAGTCCAGTACTCCAGCCAAGGTGTCAGTCATTTCTGGTCCGAAGTTTCTGCTGCCTGTGAATTCACTTCACTGCTCTTATCAACTATTCCTCTATCATATTTACACACAGATTCCAAAGACGTCAGGAATTGAGGCCTGCTATGTACAAAAGAACTGTAATTTTTGAGTGATTATGACATGAAAAGTTGCATTCTACTGCCTGTCACAGTCAAAGTTGAAATGCATATGTGTTTTCCTTAACACTGGAAGTACTTTTTGGACACCCTGATATTGATTATACTAATTACTCCCTGATCATGTTACCCTCTCCAGAGCTTCACCCACTCACTGGAATTCTAGACCTTTGTTTTTCATTCCTTCCCATCTTTCCATCTCCCCCTCAGACTTCAAATTATCTTTTCTCTCTAACTATGCCCAGGACAACTTCTGTATATGAAAAACCATTGCTATTCAGGTGAATAAATGGACTGCTCTGAAACTGAGGGATTTTTTTTTTTAACTCCTTTGAAAATCATTTGCCTTCCTTACAAGTCAGTTTTGCTTAAAAATATAATTTTGATTGTAGGTAATACTAGAAAATATGTTACAGGCTTAAGAGGTTTAAATATGTCCCTAAATGAAATGTTTTTAAAGCAGACCTTGCCATTAAGTATTCAATTCCTGTTATTATTGTTGTTGTGCACTAATATCATTTCCCCAACTCTTCCATATGTATTTATGCTTATCCAACGTTTATCATTTATTAATTTTCACAAAAGGGTATTTTCCCCAGATTTTATTGCAATTTTATAATACTTCATATTTTAACAATTTTCAACATTGTATTGTTTCATAATCATGTTAGCACTACTTTATTTAGAGTTTCTGTAATTGTTACTAAAGTATTTGGTATTCTGTTTATTTTACAGATATTTTCTCCATTGCTGTCAATTAATACCTTGTTATCTCTACTATTTTTCCTAAAGAGATTATGACAATTGCCCACTTTCTGACTCCTTGCAGTCAGTGAATGTCCATCTCTCACCTCCCATGTGAAAGACAGCCTGACAGATTTTGTCACAGAGGGCACAACCTTTTTTTAATATAATGCAGATAATGAGCCCTTGTTTTCTGACATTTGGCATTGCAGAACAGCTTAACGTCAACCTCATTATTTCTTCATTTCTGTCTACTGGACTGTAGAGTTTCTTCTTCATTCTTGATTTTTTAAAGGACCAACATGTATCTACTTACAAATTTATTTTCATCGGTGTTATTTGTTATCATTAACTCATTTGACTTCTGCACTAAGATATTTCTTCAGATAGATGACTTTAAAAATATATTGTCCATATTCCTTTATTTCTACTATTAATGTTTGGTTGCCTCTTCTAATAACTTCCCTATGTCTCACCCTCTATCACCTTTGACTTGTTCCACAGAGACTGCAAACACATTCTTGCCTTAGGGTTTTCACATTTACTTTTGCTATTTTTCTGGAACACTCCCTATTCGATATTCACAAGGTCACTCTTACTTATCACTTACTACCATATTATGTATTTTGTTTTATATTGTGTTGTGTATTTACTTTCAAATCACTCCCCACATTTTAGACACTGTATGAACTTTTAAAGAATAGACTTATTTATTTTTCTCAAATTTATCCCTCTTATCTCTAAATATGAAAGAAGTTTCTGGAGGTACATAAATATTGTTGGATGGTAAATGAATTGATAAACAAATGGGGATATGAATGAATGAATGATGGATGCACAGAATACTTCCTCTCTTCACACCTGTTAGAATTCTTATTATAGAATTGTAGGATCTCCTATTTTTATTCTTTGTGTTTAACTTTACTGTCATTTAAAATATATTATGTGTGTATGTGTGTGTTTTAGGAGAGACCAGCTTCACCTGGTCTTTCTCATTAATCTGGTACTCTCCAATTTGTTGTTGATTGACTCAAACACATTTTCATATTTGTGCATATTTTCATCTATAGAAACTCTTTTCATATCTCAAGCTATTGATTGATATATCCTTATGTTTTTATTGCAATGTCTTCATGACTAAAATTAAAAATATGAATAAAAGTGGGATTAAAAGTAAATTCAAGTGGTAAAATGAGACCTGAAGAAAAGGAATCAATACTGCTATTACTACAATCTTTGTGTTTATGTTCTGTAGTTTAGAGGCAACCATAATTAATTGTCAACAAATTTTTTTTTTCTTTATCTCACAAGAATGCTCTCGTTAGAAATCACCATTAGTGCATCAGCAATATCGTTTAAAAGTCACAGAGATTGCAGTGAAGCTGTTAATTGCTGTAAATTCAAGAAACACATTTACAAAATGTTTATGTATCCTTAATTTAACTTTTAAGAACTGTTCTATGATGTATACTAGTCTCCAAGCTGTGAATTTTTAAATTCAATAATTTTGGTGAGATTCTATCCAGGATCTAAAACTGAGGTTTCTTTTTAGTGTGATAAATCATAAATTTGGAATTTCTTTATTGTGTTCTTGTCAGTTTTGTCAACTTGGCAATATGACAATATTTAAAATTGAAAAAGAGTGTAAAACTTTTGTATAATAGGAGAAAAAAATTATTACTATATATACAGAATATAATAGGTCAGCGTTTAAAATAGTGGCCATGGATAAAATAGAAATGATTATAATACTTATTACAGCTAATATGTACTTGTTCTTAATTAAATTATAAGCTTTGTAATATGAACTTCACATGTATTTTCTCATTAAATTCTTATCATAATTATGTGCAGTGGGTTTTCTTATTATCTTTATGTTATGAAAGAGAATAATTAGAATCATGAAATACAAATAGGCACAAAGTAATATTGTTGTAACCTGTGGTGTCATATTGCGAATCCAGCTCTATCTGAACTGAGTCCATATTTTAATTTACTTTTACTTACCCAGTTTTATCTACTAAGCTGGTCCATATAATTAGTCATTTTTTTCCACGAGTGACAATTGCTTCAGTATAGATATGTCAAATCTTATTTTTAATTTGAACACCTCTTTTTCTGTTGGAGTAGAAAACAATGTACAGGGTGAAGATAGTTCCATTAAAAGAAATTCAAATTATCAAACACTAAGCAAGACTACTCAATAAATGCAAACCTGGATAAGTTTATCATTTTCTTTTCATATGTAAATAACAGCAATAACAGCAATCTTAATAAATGTTGTTACACGTATTTAGAATGTATTATCTCCTATGCATTAATCAATGATTCTATATGCCTAATATATGTGTTCCTACTGATATTTAATATACTTTCTTTTATTTTTTTTTGAGACATGGTCTCATTCTGTTGCCCAGTCTGGAGTGCAGTGGTGCGATCTCAGGTAACTGCAACCTCCGCCTCCTGGGTTCAAGCAATTCTCCCACCTCAGCCTTCCATGTAGCTGGGACTACAGGTGTGTGCTACCACGCCTGGTTAATTTTTGTATTTTTTGGTAGAGATGGGGTTTCACCATGTTGTCCAGGATGCTCTTGAACTCCTGACCTCAAGTGATCCGCCCGCCTCAACCTTTAAAAGACTTGGGATTACAGGTATGAGCCACCGCGCCTGGCCTAATACTTAGTGTACCCTTACAAGGAATTTATTTTAATGCATACATTATATATTAAGAAACTCAGATGCAAATATGTGTGAGTGTGAGTTTGTGTGATTGTGTGTTTACAGATATATCTTTGTTTTCTGTTTGTTTTGACTACAACTAAGAATACATACTGTCATAAGTACATCAGGTATAGTATTTAACTGATCAAATTGTATAAGGTTATAAAAATATAATAAAACTATAAAGCTCATGGATGGGATCAATTGAGTAATATTTATTATTTATGACATAAAAAATTTTATCTGGGCATTTATCAGACAGTACAGACTAAGCAGTACAAAACTCTGAAACGTAATTGCACAAGGCTAAAGTGGATTTAAACAAAGAGTGTTATAACCATGAATGCTTTAATAAAATCCATGAAAATCATACTAGCATAGTGATTATACATGTAAAGTTTGTTTTTAATATTGTTCTTCACTGTTCTACTCTATTTACAAATGTTTTGTTATCTTAAAATATTCTGCAAAAATTTTAAAATTCAAAGTGTGCAAAGATAACAAAAAGGCTAAAATGGATATGGTATATAAATCGTTTCTGATTATCTTTCAAGGGGGTTCAATAGTGCATTTGATTAGCAAGGAAGTGTCTTAATTCAGTGGTTTACAACTTAATACTTAACGTTAGTATATTTGTTTATTTTTCTTCAAAGGATTGGCTTGTCCCAGAATAATTATCTTCTAATTTATTGTTTTTAAACTCATAGTTTTTGCAGAAGGTAAAAATAGTTTTTTATTATAAATATAACATGGAATCTGGTGAGAATGATAACAAAAATGAATCAATCACTCAATCAATAAAGCATAGTTTAACTGATAGGTATTATTAAGTGCTTGAGACAGAGCCATCACTGGAAATGGACCTTACTTGAAACAATTAGTTACATCAGTCACTTTCTTTCCAACTTAGGACCCAACGTTCAGTTTCCCAAAAATAGTCTCATTTGTTAAGCTTTCATTTTGAACTCAACCCTGAGTAGTCTACTGCTATCTAAACAAATGTAATGTCCCCCAAAAATCTGCAAATATGTTAATGTTGATCTATGTTAAAATAAGTAGGACTCTCTAAAAATTTTAGCTTATTAGTCACCTGCATTGTACCCAAGTGCTTTGTACATCTGACAACAAAATCAGCATTATATATGTGAAACTTTTTCTATGAAGAACATGATATATAATTTTATAATAATGCCTAAAGTGGGTATATCTATATGTTCTTAAATTGATGATGAAGCAGAATAAACATTGTCAGTTCTCAATTATAGCATACTTTGGATTTAACATGTTTATTATGTAAAATAAAATCATATTAAAACAATCTTTTATTAAAATGCTTCTGTATATTTTTATTTTTCTTATGTATTTTCTTTGACATTCTCAAAATGTTATGGACAAAATCCCATCAATTTTTGAAAATTTCATTGAGATAATGAAAATATGATCTGGAGATTATTTTTACTATAGAATCAAGAAAACATAATTTTGTTTCAGCACATATCAATTACACTATATCAGCCAAAATCAAACAATTGTGATAATCATGTCATGTTACACATGAACTATTAAAAAAATAGTTCCTGGATAAATAATACTAAGTTAATATAATTTCAGGTGGCCATTAGTTGCTTGAAAGCTACATCTTTAAATTTAGAAATTATTTCTTTTGAAAGATATTAGATAATTTTAATGGCATATTTGAAATAACATTTTAAAATATGAAACATTAAATAGCTTAGTATTACAATAAAGAAAATAACCAATATATGAATAAATAATATAAGAATTTTAATGTGTTGTTGAAATCCTGGGATTGGATTCAAACAATCTTAATTTAAAGTATGGCTGTATTATTTTTAAAGTTTATATCTACATCTCTTCATTAATTAAGTGAGGATAATTGTCCCATAACTGAATTGTTACAATAGTAACACACATATTATTACATCATACACTCCATAAATAATATTCATATATGTATTTATTTCCTATTGCTGCTATACAAATTACTACAACCTTAGTGGCTTAAAATACCATGTTTTATTATTTTACAATTCTCTTGGTTAGAAGTTCAAAATAGGTTTCATTGAGCTATAATCACTGGGTTGGCAGAGTGGTATTCCTTTCTGGAAGCTTTGGAAAGTGATTCAATTTCTCACCTTTTCTAACTTTTAGAGTCCACCTATATTTCTTGGGTTTTGGCCCCCTTACATCTTCTCAGCCAGCAATGGAAGGTCGAGTTTTTCTTAACATCACGTCACTCTGACACTGTCTCTCTATTTATACAGACTCTTGTGATTTCACTGGGCCCACCTGGATAACCTGGTCTATCTCCCTATTTTAAGGTCAATGAATTAGCAACCTTAATTCAATCCAATCTTAATTCCCCTTTTCCATGTAGCCTAACATATTCACGAATTCCAAGGCTTAGATAAAAAATATCTTTGGGGTGGGGTGGTGTCTACTAGACAGATAGATAGATAGATACTTTTCTATAGTAGTCATTGTACAGTAATATTTTTCCATAGAGAACATTGTGTGTTTCAACAAGTATTAATTTAGTTTATCTGTGATATAGGATATATATATATAAATATACATATTATATACATTTATATATAAAACACACATATATGTATATATTATGTATAAAACACATATGCACACACATATATACATATAATAATTCAATAATACAGTTACAAAGTCCAGTATCACAAAAAAGTAGCAACTACTGTGCTCATATCATGGTGGCTTTGGTTGGAAAACCCTGGTCCACATAGCTATTCTCTGGATACTTTTTCTACTCCATCAGGCTAGCCTGGTGATATTCACATACAGTGCTAGACAAGGAGGAGTGGGAGTAAGCCTGATCAGGTATATGTCTTTTAGTCCTCTGTTTATGTCATGTCATCTAATATTTCACTGGCTAAAAAAGGGTACATGGCTGAACCAGATTCAGATTAAAAATACGCCGCAAAAATTATATGATGAAAAAAAGAAGGAATAAAATATTTGGGCCATTTTTGTAATCTATCACAATGCATTTACCTATATTAAAAACTATAATCTTAGAAAGGTAACATTTTTAATGCATAGTGTATATAGGGCACAATTCTAGGCAGCAGGAAATCATCTAGGATAAGAGAAAATCACTTTGGTCAACATTATTTTGCTTCTATGATTAAAACATTATTATCTTATCAATAATCAACTGTATACATATAATTAAGTACAAAGCTTTGGTTAAAATTCAAACTTATGAGTGTATGTGTTGTTAGTGGAAAGGTAAGTAGAGAATGTTTTATGAAATCATTGGACACTCTAATATTGCTAATTTGTGGAAAAAGTAAAATGGATATATCAGGAAAAAGAGGATGGAAATTTAAAGCAGATATTTCTCACCTGAGAATTTTCTCCAAAGTTGATTATAGACTAGCACCTAAGGCTATTTAAGAATATTTACCTTAATGACATTTTATATATGATTATAGGTGGTAATTGAAGATAGTATTTATTAAAGAAAACTTACACACAAAATATTTACACAGACTATTCTGCAATAAGAGAAGTATGACATAGTGAATATACCATCAGGTGATAAACAGGACCTATGAATTGTTACTCCAGGTCTGTTGTGGACACTTTCACTCTATCTACAAATGACAATTAATGCCACTAGAGGAAGAGCAAAAGCCAGAAGTCGGTCAATTAGTTTATAACTGACAAGTTGGGATTAAGCATTCTAAATCATGTGTGATAAAATTTATTGCTTTTATTATCTAACAATCCTGGGTCATTCCTTCTACTGGGACATTCTGTTTCATGCAGCAATCATTACAACGACTGACTCAATGTCCCAGTCTCCAACATTATTACTGCCTTAATTTGCGATGCTCTCATACACAAGATGATTCATTTACTGATATCTCATTTCCTTTATTTGTGCATGTCCTTGTCCTCCACCCTAACCTATTCATTTTCATCATCTTACCATATAACCAGTCATTAACCCTAATGACTATCATTCCATAGTTGAAATAATAGGAATCTCATTCCTGATTATTACTTCCAGCATTTTCAACTTATTCCTTCCAGTATCTAAACTACAACAGTGCTTGCATCCCAAGGAGACCTTCGATGTATTGTACCCACCTACATTTAATGTTTTTATGTCTTTCCTCATGCAGTTTTGATTGTATAAACAATCATTAAAATTATTCCCTTTCATGTAGCCTCTTTTACCTTGACTTTTTTTTTTTCCACAAGATCCACTTGGAAACAGAGCAACCCTATCGAAATACATCTCACAACTCTTATACACCCACGTTGTTTCTAATGAGTATCTCTGGGGAAAGCACAGCAACAAAAGCTGACAATTCTGGCATTTAATTTTCATCCATGATGCTCAAATGAGCCCTGAATTCTTGTTGGCAATCATATTATTTTCCTATCACACTGATTCTCTTGCTCTCTTAGAGAAATATTTTAACCTTATTTTATTTTTAGAGATAGGGTCTTGCTATATTACCCAGGCTGGTCTCGAAATCCTAGCCTCTAGCAATCCTCCCTTTTCAGCCTCCCAAAATGCTAGGATTACATGTATGGGCCACCACACCCAGCTTTTACACCTTCCTTTTACCTGAACTCCAACCCCTCTTTCCTATCTTCACTGTAACTAATAACCTCATTTCTAATTGACTGAACAAATTGAAGCAATCAAAAAAGAATACTTATTGACTTATACTACTACATCGACCACTTGGCCTGCACCTACACCCACATATTTTGCATTTGCATCTTACACTTGGCTAAACTACATAAAGCAAATATCTTCAGGCCTCGTATCTTTATGACTATGAATACTCCACAAAAAATTAGTTCCATTCTCCCTTGCACCACTAGTTTTTGTTAAACTCACATGTAAATTACATAACATAATATAAATTACATAACACTAAATTCACATTTTTTAAATGTAGAATTCAATGTTTCTTAGTATATTCACAAGTTGTGCGACCATCACCACTATCTAAATACAGTATACTTTTATTACTCCAAAAGGAAAGCCTGCAGCCATTAGCAGTCACTTGCTCTTTTCTCTTCCCCTTTTCTTTCCCTAGCATAATGCTTTCCAGTTTCATCAATGTTGCATCATGTACCTGTACTTCAATCTGTTCGTGACTCAATAATATTCCATTATATGGATGTACCATATTTGGTTCATACTTTCACTGATTGATACATATTTAGACAGGGATATGGTTTGGCTCTGTGTCCCCATGCAAATCTCATCTTGAATTGTAATTCCTAAGTGTCAAGGGAGGGACCCACAATCCCCAAGTGTCCAGGGATGGAGGTAATTGGATCATGAGGGCTGTTTGCTCCATGCTGTTCTCATGATAGTGAGTGAGTTCTCATGAGATCTGATAGTTTTATGTGTTTGGACGTTCCTCCATCACACTTCTCTCTTCTGCCACCTTGTGAGGTGCCTGCTTCCCCTTTATCTTCTGCCATGATTGTAAATTTCCTGAGGCCTCCCCAGCCATGTGGAACTGTGAGTCAATTAAACCTCTTTGCTTTATAAATTACTAAGTTTTGGGTATTTCTTTATAGCAGTGTGAGAATGGACTAATGCAATAATTGATACCACAGAGAGTAGGGTACTGCTATAAAGATAACCTGAAAATGTGGAAATGACTTTGGAACTGAGTAACAGGCAGAGGTTGGAACAGTTTGGAGGGCTCAGAAGAAGATAGGAAAATGTGGGGAAGTTTGAACTTCCTAGAGACATGTTGAGTAGTTTTGACCAAAATACTGATAATGATGTGGACAATGAAGTTCAGGCTGAAGTGGTCTCAGGTGAAGATGAGGAACTTGTTGGGAACCAGAGCAAAGGTCACCCTTGCTATGCTTTAGCAAAGAGACTGGTAGCATTTTGCCCCTGCCCTAGAGATCTGTGAAACTTTTAACCTGAGAGAAATGATCTGTTACTGGAATTTATGTTTGAAAGGGAAGGAAACCATAAAAGTTTGGAAAATTTACACGCTAATGATATTGTAGAAAAGAAAAATTTATTTTCTGGGGAGGAATTCAAGCCAGCTGCAGAAGTTTGCATAAGTAATGAGGAGTCAAATGTTAATTGCCAAGACAATGGGGAAAATGTCTCCAGGGCATGTCAGAGAACTTCATGGCAGCCCTTCTTATCAAAGACCCAGAGGTCTAAAAGGGAAAAATGATTGTCTAGGCTGGATCCAGAGCCTCAATGCTTTGTGCAGCCTCAAGACTAGGTACCCTGTGTCCCAGCTGCTCCAGCTCCAGCTGGCACTAAAAGACGCCAAAGTATAGCTCAGACTATGGCTGCAGAGGGTGCAAGCCTCAAGCCTTGGTGGCTTCCATTTTATTTTGGGCCTGTGGGTGCACAGAGGTCAAGATTTGAAGTTTGGGAACCTCTGCCTGGATTTCAGGGGATGTATGGAAATGCCCGGATGTCCAGGCAGAAGTCTGCTGCAGGGGCAGAGACCTCATGGAGAGCCTCTGCTAGGCCAGTACAGAAGGGAAATGTGGGGTTGGAGTCCCCACATAGAGTCACCACTGGAGCACTGCCTAGTGGAGCTGTGAGAAGAGGGCCACCATCCTCCAGACCCCAGAATGGTAGAACCACTGACAGCCTGTACCATAAACCTGGAAAAGCTGCGGACAGTCAATGCCAGCCCATAAAAACAGCAAGGAAAGGGGCTGTACTATGCAAGGCCATTAGGGTGGAGCTTCCCAAGACCATAGGAGCCCACCTCTTGTATCAGAGTGACCTGGATGTGAGACATGAAGTCAACGGAGATTATTTTGGAGCTTTAAGATTTAAAGACAGCCCTGCTGGACTTTGGACTTGCATGGGGCCCACAGCCCTTTCGTTTTGGCCAATTTCTCCCATTTGGAATGTCAGCATTTACCCAATGTCTGTGCCCCAATTGTATCTAGGACATAACTTACTTGCTTTTGATTTTACAGGCTTACAGGCAGAAGAGACTTGCCTTGTCTCACATGAGACTTTGGACTGTGGACTTTTGAGTTGTGCTGAAATGAGTTAAGACTTTGAGGGACTGCTGGGAAGGCATGATTGGTTTTGAAATGTGAGGACATGAGATTTGGGAGGAGCCAGGGTCAGAATCATACAGTTTGGCTGTGTGTCCCCCCCCAACATCACTTGTCAAATTGTAATCCCTACATGTTGAGGGAGGGACCTATAATCTCCATGTGTCCTGGGAGGGAGGTAATTGGATCATGGGGTTGGTTTCCTTTATGCTGTTCTCGTGATAGCGAGTGAGTTCTCATCAGATATGATGGTTTTATAAGTGTTTGGAAGTTCCTCCTTCATACTTCTCTCTCCAGCTGTCTTGTAAAGAAGGTGCTTGCTTCTCCTTCACCTTCCACCTTGATTGTAAGCTTCCTGAGGCCTCCACAGCCATGTGGAAATGTGAGTCAATTAAGCCTCTTTATTTTATAAATTACCCTGTGTTGTGTATTTCTTATAGCACTATGAGAACTGACTAATACAGGTGGCTTCTATCTTTGACTATTATAAACAATGCTTCTATTAATAGTCATGTACACATTTTTGTGTAAAAATAATTTTAATTGAGTAGACGTATATCTAGGATATAAATTGTTGGGTCATATGGAAACCCTACAATTATTTTGTTGGACTCCCAGGCTATTTTCCAAAGTAGCTACATTTTACAATCTCACCAACAATTAATAAAGTTTCTGGGTTCTGCACATTCTTTTCAATAGTTGTCCATAATTTTGATGATAACTATCCTAGAGATATGAAAGGGTATATCATTGTGGTTTGAGTTAGCTCTTCACTAATGGCTAATGATATCGAGCATATTTTAATTTGTTTATTGCTTTCATATATACTTATTTGGGAAAATATCTAATCAAGTATTTTGCTTACTTTTTAATTCAGCTTGTTGTTTTTCAAATTTTTGAGTTGTAAGAACTCTTTATATATTCTTGATTATAAACCCTTATCAAGTACATGTTTTGAAAATCTTTCATTGTGTTTTACTTTTGAATAGTGACCTATGGAGCACAAAATATTTTAATTATGACAAACGCTAATTTCTCATTTTTCTTCTGTTGCTTGTGCTTTAGCTGTGTATCTACAAAACAAATTCCCAATCCAAGATTAAGAAAGAGAGAGAGAAAGAGTTAAGCCTGTGACTTCAACTAAAAGTTTTGTAGTTTTTACATTTAGATTTTTGTAGCTTTTACATTTAGATTTTTGATCCATTTAGAGTTAATTTTTGTAAATGGCATGAAGTAGAGCTCCAAAGCCTTTTATTTTCTTGAATCTATCTAGTTGTGCCAACACCATTAGGTGAAAAGATTCTTCTTACCTCATTAACTGGTCTTGTCATTCCTGCTGAAAATCAATTTACCATAGATGTCTGAGTTTATATCTGTACTTTCAATTCTATTTCATTGATCTATATATCTACTTGTATTCCAGTATTACATATTTTTCTTTATCATAACTTTATAGGAAGTGTTGAAATTGGGAAGTGGGAGTCCCCCAGATTTATCTTTCTTTTTACATAGATTTCAACTATCCTCTTTAACGTGCATTTCCATATGATTTTTTGATAACTTTTGGAATAAATTTTGGAATACATATTTGGATAAAATTTGGGATTGTCAATTTTTTGCCAAAAAGAGGCTGGAATTTTGGCAGGAATTACATAAATCTGTAGTTCAATCTGGCATGTAGAGCTATCCTATTAATATTACAAATCCAATGAATAAAGAATGTTTTTCAGTTGAGATCTTATTGTAATTTATTTTAGCAATACTTTGTTGTTTTCGGTGCGTAAGTCTCATACTTCTTTGTTAAATTATTCTTAATTATTTGTTACTGTTTTATGGTATTATACGTGAATAATTTTCTGCATTTCATTTTGAGATTGTTCATTGGTAGTACATAAAAATACAACACATTTTCATATATTGATCTTGTATACTGCAATCTTTGTGAAATTGTTTATGAAATTCAATTATTTGTGGATTCTTCAGGATTTTGTACATATAAGATAATGTCATCTAAATATATCAATGGTTTTACTTCCTCCTTTCCTATCTATATTTTCTTTTAATTTTTTTCTTGCTTAATTGCCCTGATTAGAACTTCTAGCACAATGTTCAATGGAATTGCTAGAGTGGACATGCTTGTCTTGCTCCTGATCTTAGGGGAAGTACTTTCAATGTTCCAACATTAAATACGATATTAGCTATGATGTTTCAGATATTACATTTATTGGTTTTTAAAAGTGCCATTTCACTTTTAGTTTGCTTAATATTTATCATGAAAGGTTGTTGGATTTTGTCAAGTTCCCTTTCTACATAAATTGAAATAATTATTTAGATTTTGTTACTTATTTCTATTAATATGATCTATTACATTTATTGATGTTCAGATATTAAACCAGCTTCACATTCTCAAGATACATCCCATATGGTGAAGATATATAATGCTTTTCATGTGTTACTAGAATCTGTTTGCTAGAATTTTGCCATTTTGCAACTATGTGTATAAAGGATAATTTTCTGTAGTTTTTTTTTTTTTCTTGTGGTGTGTTCCACTGGTTTGGTATCTGTGAATACTGACATCATAGAATGAATTAGGAAGTGTTCTCTACTCTTCAGTGTTTTGAAAGATTTTGTGAAGGGTTGCTGCTATTTATAACATTTGTTCTTTTTAAAACATTTGTTAGAATTCACCGGTGTAACCAGTTGGACTTGGGCTTTTCTATATGGGAATGTTTTCTTACTAATTAAATCTTACACTTGTTGTAAGTTTATTGAGATTTTCTTCTCCAGTCAGTTTTGATAACTTGTTTCTTTTAAGAAATTTGTCCATTTTATCTAAGATATCTGTTTCTGGTATACAATTTTTGTAGTATTTCCTTATAATCCTTTTTTTTTTCTGTAAATTCATTATTTCCGCTCTCCAGTCTTGATTTTACTCATTTCAGTCTTTTTTTTTCTTCGTATCGTAAATTTGTTAAAATTTGTTGATTTTTTTTTCAAAAAAACAATTTTTGGACTCGTTAATTTTATCTGTCGTATTTTTATTCTGTATTTTATTGATTTCTACTCTAGTCTTTATTATTCTCTTCCCTCTTTTTGCTTTAGGTTTAGTTTGCTTTTCTTTCTCACATGTGTTAAGATGAAACGTTAGGTTGTTAATTTGAGACAAATCTTCCTTCCTTCCTCCCTCCTCCCTCCCACCCTCCCTTCCTTCCTTCCTTCCTTCCTTCCTTCACTCCTTCCTTTCTTTTTTATGTATAGTTGTTTACAACTTTGATTTTCCCTCTAAGCCTGCTTTTATTTCATTCTGTAAGTTTTAGCATGTTATATTTTCATTTTCATTCCTTAATGCAATTTAAAGTATTATATAATTTCAATTCTAATTTCTTCATTAATTCATTGGTTATTGTGAATTTTTTTAAAAATCTAGATATTTGTATATTTCACCAATATCCATTTGTTATTGATTTTTAATTTTATTCCATTCTGGTTGAGGAATACAATATCTATTATTTTAATGATTTTTAAATTTTTGAGGGTCATTTTATGTTATAAAATGCAGTCCAATATTTAAAATCTTTTATCCACATTTGAGAAGGAATAGGTACTCTGCGTTCATTAGCTAGAGTAATATTTAGATGTCTATTAAGTCCAGTTGTTTTATAATGCTGTTCGTGGCTTTTGTTCTTTGTTGTTCTTTTGCCTAGTTATTCGTGTTATTCAAAGTGTGGTATTGAACTCACCAACTGTTATTGTTGAGTTGTATTCTTTTCATTTCTGTTAGCTCTTGCTTCATATATTTTGGGGTTCTCTTGTTAGATACTTATATAGTTTGCATCTGCATCCATGCCCAAATCACACTTCAAAATGTAATCCCCAGTGCTGGAATGAGGCCTGGCAGGAGGTGATTGGATCATGGGGGCAGTTTCTAATGGTTTAGCTCTATCCTCTTAGTGCTCTGCTTGATAGTGTTCTCATGAGATCTGATTGTTTAAAAGTGTGTGACACCTACCCTTGCTCTCTGTTCCTCCAGCTCTGGCCACATAATTTGTGCCTGCTTCCTTTTTGCCTTCTGCCATGATTCTAAGTTTCCTGAGGATTCCCCAGAAGCTGCACAGATGCCAGCATCATGCATCCTGTGCAACCTGCAGAACTATTAGCCAATTAAATATTTTTTCTTTATAAATTACCCAGTCTCAGGTGTTTCTTTATATCAGTGCAAGAACAGACTAATACATATTCATATATGTTTATAATTATTGTATCTTATTGATGGATTGGTACTTTTGTCATTGTAAAATGTCCTTTTTGTCTCTAGTTAAAACAGATATATTTAAGGCTATTGGTATCATATTTATATGGTCACTGTAGTTTTTTTCATTATTTTTGTGTAATAGATCTGTATTCTTCTTTTACTTTCAACCTATTTTTGTCTTTAAATCTCAAGTGTGTATCCTGTACACAGCATATAGTTGGAGTGTGTTTTCTTTTTTTTTCTTTTTTAAAAATTATTATTTTACTTTAAGTTCTAGGTTACATGTGCACAATGTACAGGTTTGTTGCATATGTATGGAGTGTGTTTTCTTATCAATTTTTCCAATTTTCTACATTTAATTGGTGTGTTTAGCCAATTTAAATTTGATACAATTATTTGTATATTTGGCATTTTGCTATTTGGTTTCTATATGTCTTATTTTTTTTCTATATTCCTGTGTGGACTTCTTTTGCATTACACACACACACACACACACACACAAATATATATACATACATATATGTACTAGTTTACCATTTACATTCTCCAGTTCTTTAATTTACTATTTTTTTCTTAGTGGTTTTCCTGAGGATAAAAAATAACATTGTAACTTATAATAACTGGTTCAAATTAATAACAACTTATTTCAAGTGTTGACAGTAATCTTTGTACTTATGTAGCTGTTTCTTCCTCCCTCGTTTTTGCTGTTATTATCATAAAGATTAAATATTGATGAAGTGTACCCATCAATACATTTATAACATTTACTTCATATTTTCGTTTAAGTTGTGGCTATTTTTGTCATATAGGAGAAAAAATAATTTTAAATGAAAATACATTTATATTGTCTTTTATATTTACCTGTGGAGTTGTCTATACTGGTTCCTTTTTATTTCTTTATGTGGGTTTAGGCCACTTTAGTGTCCTTTAATTTTAGTTTCAAGTATTATTATGTTAATTTTTAAAGGGTAGGTCTCCTAGTAAAATATTGTCTCTGGATGTGTTTGTCTTGGAATGTCTTAATTTCTTCTTTGTTTACAAAGTACCATTTTGCTGGATATAGAATTATTGGTTAACATGGGTTGTTTGTTCTGTTATTTTTCTCTTCCCCCAGAGCTTTGAGTAGGTCATCCTACTGCCTTCTGGCAGTATGGTTTCTGGTGAGAAATTATCTCTTAATCTTATTGGAGATTATTTATATATAATGAGTCACTTCTCTCTTGCTGCTTATAAGATTTTCTCTTTTTCTTTGACTTTTGGCTATTAGTCTAGGCACTAAATTCTAAGTTTATCATGTTTGGAATTTGCCAAGCTTCTTTTTTTTTTTTTTTTGTATAGATTAACCTTGTAAATCAAATTTGTTAAATTTTTGGCCTTTATTTCTTCAAATTGTGCTTACTCCTTTCTATCTCTCTTCTCCACCTTGCTCTCTCATCATGTGTTTTTTGGTAGGCTTGATGATGTCATCCAGGTCTTTGAGGCTTTCTTCATCTCCATTTATTCTTTTGCTTTCTGTTCTTCAGACTAGATAATTGTATTAGTCCATTTTCACACTGTTATAAAGACATAATTGAGACTGGCTAATTTATAAAGGAATGAGTTTAATTGACTCACAGTTCTGCATGACTGGGGAGACCTCAGGAAACTTACAATCATGGTGGAAGTGGAAGAAGGCATATTTTACATGGTGGCACGCAAGAGAAGGGTGAGTGAAGGAGAAAGTTGCCAAACACTTATAAAACCATTAGATCTCACGAGTACTCACTCACTATCGTGAGAACAGCATAGGGGAAACCTCCTCCATGATCCAATCACCTCACACCAAGTCTCTCCCTCAACACCTGGGGATTACAATTCAAGACAAGATTTGGGTGGGGACACAAAGTCTAACCATATCAATAATCAAAATTTGCCTATATTTGAGTTTGATAATTTTTTCTTCCACCTGTTTAAATATACTATGAAGCCCCTCTTGAATTTTTCATTTCAATCGTTGTACTCATGATCTTCAAAATTTATCCTTAAAATATTTTATTCTTTATTTGAATTGATATTCTATATATCATAAGGTGTCATTCTCGTACTTCTTATTTTTTATGTGTGACTTATTTTAGTTGATTGAAAATATTTAAAGTTGCTGATTTAAAGTTTTTCTCTAGTAAGTCCAAATTTGGGGTTTCTCAGAGCTAGTTTTCTTGATTGCTTTGTTTTCTGTGTATGAATGATGCCTTCTTATTTCTTTGAATGCCTTTTATTTTTGGTGAAAACCTAGACAATTTACATAGTATGATGTGGTATCTTTAGAAATCATACCTGTTTTTCTTTCCAGGGTTATTGGTTGCTGTTTGCCTTATTTGTTTTGTTTCTTTGTCCTGTTATATTTTTGGGCTGCTTTAGTAAAATGTGTTTGATCTGCTTTTTTTTTTTTTTAATCTTACATGACCACTGAAGTGTCTTCTGCACTCAATTAATTTGGTGTTCAGCTAATGGTGTAAGGAAAGCTCTTTTACTAAATAGAGCCAATAAGTCTCTTACATTTTGCCAAGGTGCCCTGTATCAATGTTGGAACATAAATTTTGACACTCAGCCAGACAGCTAACACCCTTGCCTTATCCTACAGGTTTTGCTTTCTCAAAACTTCAAGGCCAACCAGAAGTGAGAGCACATCCTTGGCTATACACACACACATATGGCCTACATGCACATGGCCTTCAATGTTGTAGCTTTTCAAATTCCCTATAGACATGTGATTTCCAGTATTTCCTTTTATAATCTTTTTGGTTCATCTATTGTTTGCTCCAACTGTTATCCACCATCTAGGCAGCTGCAATGTTAGATAAGCACCTGTAGTTGTTTTTGACAAATTCCCTGAGGCATGAGCTTTTTGTACTCAGCAAACTTCAAGTCATATCAAATACAGACAACTTTGTAAATGAGGAATTATCAGATAGGTAAAATAATAATTCTCTATAAATGACTTTAAAAGAATTTCAACCTCATTCTTTAACCTCCAGTACTAGTTCTGGAAAAAAACAGTAAGTGCTGTTTCTTTCCTGGCTACCATAGAAATAGAAAGGGGAAATGAGAGAAGACAAATCAAAAGGCTATAATCCTCAGTATTTTTATTACAATTCAGCCAGTTTTCTTAAGTAAATGATTCCTGGATGGTTACATGCTATGGGTCAGTTTTTAGTGTCCTGAAAAATTTGATTCTAATGATTTTCATAAGTCTATATTTTTCTTTTATGGGAAAGTTTTTTAAAGGTTCTTATTCCAAATGTTTTATGATTTTACTACGATCACTACATTTCGTTTCTTTGCTCTCTACTCCATCACTTTCTTCAGTGTAAATACATGCAGATATTCTCCCATTCTATGAGATAAATTCCTTTCAAGTGATTTTCTTGAATCCTATTCTCCAAAGTCTTTGTTAAAGCTTCTCAAAATTACTTTCCTTCCTTGATCTTGTCAATCATTCACCTCTTATCTTCTCTAAATCAGACATTGACTCTCAATACACCACCAAAAAAGCATTTTTCTGGTCATTTCAATACAATATTACTATTTACAATATTTATAGTTTACATATTTTAGATACACAGGCATATTATATACTTAGTTCCTATCTTACTTGACTACTCAGCAATATTTGATGCAGACTGTCACTCTTGATAAAATGTTTTACTTGTCCTCTAGAACACTACATTTTTTTTGTTGTTTTTGTTATACCTCACTGGTCACTGCTTATCAGTATTATTTGATGGTTCTCCTTTTTACCTCTGATAATTATTGTTGAAAAACCTGCAATCTCAATCTTCGGTCATCAGTATGTATATTCTTTCTTTGAAATGTCCATTCTGACTCATGGCTTTAAATGCTACATCTGTACTGACAACCTCTGATGTCAGTACAAAATTATGTACTGATGACAAAATTATACATCAAACCTTGATTTTTCCTTCACACTAAAGAACAAAACCATATTTGAGTGAATAGTAAACATCACTACTTGGATATATAAGATATGTACAACTTAATATTATAAAACTGACCACTGGTCTTCACAAACTATTCTACCTGCATTTTTTCAAATGTCACATGATGGTAATTACATTCTTCAGATAAGTCTTTTTTTTTTCTTAATTGGTTAAAACATACGCATGTATCATGGGATGTTTTAGTTTTTTGTGTGTTTTAACTTAAAATTAGTAGAATAATCAACGAATATTCTTGCATTCTTTACTCAAAATTCTGTGTGGTTCATCACATTGTATGTATAGCTGTAGTTTTTTTTCATTTGAATACATGTATAATATGCTATTGAACGATCATGCTACCCTTTAATGCATTTTATTTTTGAAGAACAATTAATTTTTACAGATTTTCTATACTCAAAACGGTGCTCTTATAAAAAGCATAGTGCATTTTTCCTAGGGTATACCTGTAGGAATTTTCTACGTTATGTAATTAGGAGTAGAATTATTTTTATATATCTCCAACTTGGCTAGGTAATGCCCAAATTTTTATTCAAGATGATTGTACTAAATTGCACAATCGTCAGTGATGTATTTGAATTCCTATTGTTCCACAAACTTGTGCAAAATTGATGTTATCAAACTTTTAAACGTGCTAATTTGATATATGTGTACTGGGATTGCATTATGATTTTAAAATAAATTTTACTGACACTGAATGGTAATTTTGTCCACCATTCCATAGGTATGTAGACTATTTTATTTTTTATTTATTTATTTTTTAAGTGAAGTGTTCCTAGGACTGTGAAGCATTTGAAATTTTCCTCTATATATAAGTTAACAAGTTAGCCTCATACAGTTTTGTAGATGCTGGAAGAAGACACAGAACTCCTGGGTAAGGTAAAAATGACTTTATTATTCACAACACATTTGACAGCATGAGCTCCATGTTTGCTTTGGTTGCTTTTGCCCCTCAAGTCCCTTCCAAGGTATGTAGAGCAGGACCTAGATAGATGCCAAGTACAAAGTGGTTTTATATCACAGCAGAGGAACTCAAAACTTTTATAGGGTGCTGCCAGCCAGCTGCCATAATTTTATTTGAAAGAAAAAAAGAGCATTGTCTTTACTATTTTGTCCACAAAACAAACCTGCCTTCTTTACCTATACAGAGACAGTATTTCAATTGTCCTTCAAAAGTATAATGCATAAACTAGGATAGAATATATACAGAATGTTATACATGTATGCAAATGAGTAAACTATAGCTATGAGCAAAATATAATGACTCACATATATTATGTTGAGTAAAGGAGCATGTCACAAGGGATTATTGGTTTATTACCTATTCTATTATACTAATTTAAATTAAAATAGGCAAAAATCCCAAACATTTACTAACCAAATACACTAGAAATGATAATCCAGAACAAAAGCTGATACAAAATATATAGATTTGCCAGGCATAGTTTTCTCCAACAAGATGACTGCTCAAGTCATTCACCTAACTTTAAATTGGGTTTCATGTTTTTTTAAACATTGATTTATAGGAGTTTCTAATATATTCTGAATTGTTATATTTAAAAAATTTTTATGTGTATGTCTGGTTCATTTTATGTTTTATTTTCAAAGAAGATTTTCTTGAATATAATTTTAGTGAAAACCAACATAATCTATTGGGAGGAGCATACATTTTGTTATTCAAAGCCATGGATTTAAATCTTAGCTCTTATTTTATCATTTAGGTAATATTTTTATAAATGCTAAGCGTGATTTTACAGAGTAGACTAGCAATACCTGTCTCTCAATATTATTATGATAAAAGGAGAATTGGAAAACATCCAATATAGAGCATTTTAATTATAATTAAATTCTAAAATAATTCAAATAGTTTCACTTTTATAGTTAATTAGTATGGATAAGGATGTTGCCTAATAAATATCAGCAAATTGCTATGCAGAGATACTTACATAAATGACAGCAAATAATGATTCAATTCAAGGTTATTTATAAATATTTGTCTAATATGAAATGATAAAATTTTAAAGATGGTTATGTTTTTAAAATTTTGACTCACTTGCTGTTATATTTCTTTTTCTTCTACATTTTCAACTTAATTTCATGAATAATTTTACCCTATCATATATTTTAAAAATAGACTACGTACATAAATAGAACTTATTTCTGGAATGTGGCATAAAGTACTTTTGAAATAACATGTTCTGTTTTTGTAAAATTCACTATTTTTTCTTAACGGTTTAACATTTATAATAGATATAAAAGCTTTATGTATATAATACACTTAAATTTTTCCTGGGAAAAATTTTATAATGGATCTTAACTCATGCTTTGTTAAAATGTTTTTGAATGCTCAATTGTAATCAGAATTATACATTTTGAAAATGATATTCTATATCATGATTTTTGGTAAATAAATGAAGTTTAATAGTGCTGTTTGTATTATAAAGAGTTGTGTCACAGGTTTGAAAAGGGTAAAATTAACTATAGTTCACTTCTGTGATAAAGGTATGGCTTTTAAAATAACTTGGGCTTAGAGTAATAATAAACATTTCCAACGATATGGAGACACACTTGATTAGCTAAGGTCTTCAGCCATTGTTTTACACATCTTGTGTTTTACTATATGCATTGGCTTAATTCAGACATGTTAACATCATTGATTTTTAAGGAAGCCCAAACCTAAGTTTAGATAAATAAAAATATGTAGTTAAACTTAGATCTCACCTTTCTTGAATCCTTCATTTCAATTTTGACTGCAGTGTGTACTTGCTTGTATTTTTTTTCTAGTGAAATTGTTTGTGATAATGGTTAATTATAGATTCACAGTTGTGTTTTATTACATTTAAATGTGAAATTATAACTAAAAATTTTTAAAGATACATCTTTGTTCAGGGTATATCATTAAGTTCAACAACAAAGTCAAAATTATTTCTAAGGTAATGCATTCATAATGGTGATCAATTTATAATTTTTTAAAAATATAATATTCAAAACATTTTAGAAAATTATATTGTAAGTGCAATTACAGAGCAATAAATTTGCTTTTGAGGAAAATATTTTCTAGATTTCAAAGGTATCAGCAATATATATTTCAATACAAAATGATAGAAATCAGCTTGAAAATGCAAATGATACTTATTCTGTGTTTTCAGCATTAAATATGATCTTATAAGAGCACTATAAAGAAATACTAATGAGATGTATATGAGATTGTTCCTGTTTAGTTCTTTATATAGATAAAATGATAGATTTTGGGTGCATTGATATTGAAAATAAGAACGTATAATATGGTTCAAATTGAAATGATCTTATTTGGGAAATATATTCTTATATCTCATTATCATAAAATTGTTATAAATGATGATTTAGTCTTTATATAATTATCCACATATTGCTTTCCAAGTCATCAGAATTTCAAAACAACTCCTTGTTTTATTAGTAGAAATATGAGTTTTATGAACACCTAAGAGTTAAAAGTAGTATTAAATGAATTCATCAATTACTGATGATAATTAGTTGATATCAATATTATTACTTTTTTTGGACAATATAATTTTAAAATTAATCCCAAGTTAAAACATCAAATAAACAAGCAAACATATGTAGCACTATGATATCAAGCAAATGGACTATAAAAACTTAAATTACAAAATAATGAAAATGACTGTTCAACTAATTAAAATAACAATTTATTAAAATCTATATTATTCTTTTTAACTTTTATTACTTTACTCTGGAAGTAGGATGGAGTTGAAGTAGAACAATAAAATATAACAATAATTTAAATTTATGTAACACATTTACTGTAAAATTTAAAAGTCTTCTGACTTTGTTAAAGAAAATATTTTGTGTCTTCTCTCTTATATTGTTTTTTTAATGTGCTAATAAATCTGTTCAGATCTTTTCATGGTAAACTGCAATAAAGATGAAATAATTTGTAATAGGATCAGAATTAGCTTGCTTTATTAGGTGTGGGTTCCAGAGATTCTGTTTTTTTCCTTTTATTTTTTTAATTAATGCATCTTCCACATAATGACAGTTTGAAAGGTTGTTAAAATATCACTAGCAAATGTATACCTGATGTCTCATATTTGTAGGTCTTTATAGTGATAACTTTGTTAAGCTATATAGAAAGAGACTCAATTTTTAAAATTTTGAAATCCCTAACTGGATACCTAAAAGGCATTAGTAATTGGGGTCTTGAGTCCTACACATTGTTGAAGTTACCCTCTATATGATAATTCACTCTTTTATCAAAATAATATATTATTAACCACTGTGCTGAATGCTGGGCATATAAAATGGAAATAAATGACAAGCTTGCTAATTAAATTTTTGTAATTAAATTATATCCAACAAGCTAGACTTTGGTTGTTCTTGTCTTGCTAACCAGGACTTTGAAATTAGGGGTATTTGATAATAATTTGATAACAGGAACACTGTGAGCCTTTTCTCCTGTATTACATTTAATTATTTATTGAATGCCAATTTAATAAACATTATCTAGTAAATTTAAAGATGAATCATATATAGTCACTAAATGCAATAAATGTATTCTCTAGATAGATAAGTGCAAAGCGTATAAAATTAGAATTTTTATAATTCAGATAGGAATATATGGTAGTGGATAAGCAGCTCAGTCTCAGAACATCAAGTATTGCTTTAAGTAAAGAGGCAGGCCATGGTGGCTCATGCCTGTAATCCAAGCACATTAGGAGGCAGAGGTGGGTGGATTGCTTGAGCTCAGGAGTTTGAGACCAGCCTGGACAACATGGCAAAACCCCATCTCTACCAAAAAATACAAAAAATTAGCTGTGTGTAGTGGTGCATGCCAGTGGTCTCAGCTACTTGGAAGGCTGCGGTGGGAGGATTGCTTGAGTCCAGGAGATGGAGATTGCAGTGAGTTAAAATGGCGCACCACTGCTCTACAGCCTGGGCGACAGAGCAAGACCCTGTCTCAACAACAACAAAAAGTATTGTTCTATGTATAGAATTGTCTTTGTTAGGATTTACAGTGTTTGAAATGTTCTGATTAAAATATCATAAATATCACTTGGTAGGATTGTCCTATCTATGCGATAGTTGCAGATAAGGACATCAGACTTTGTCACAGAATATGCTATTTTAGGTAAGCATGGAGATTTTAATAAAAAATTGAAAGCTAACAGCAGATTCTGGAAACAATCCAAATGAGCATGGTTCACTTCTCCTTTACTTAAAATACCAAGTATTTGGCCTTTTCTGAGCGGAAAGAATGCTTAGGCTTATGGAACCTAAGTGTGAGGCCTGGGACTGTGTGGGGATTTATTCAATGAATGGAAGAATGGTGTGAGAGTCTCTAATGATTGAGTTAGAGAGATCTCTCTAGAAAACTGCCCCAGAGATAGCAAGAAAGGACTGGTGTATTCATCTACCAGGGATGCCAGAACAAGATATTATATATTAGGTGGATTTAACAACAGAAATTTATTTTCTTATGGTTCTGGAGGCTGGAAGTCCAAGATCAATGTGCAATCACATTTTCCGGTGAGGCTTCTCTTCCTGTCTTCTATGGCTCCCTTCTTGCTGTGTCCTCACATGTCTTTCCTCTATGTGCTCCTGAAGAGAGAAAGGTCGCTGTGTCTCTTCCTCTTCTTACAAGGATAACGGTGCTATCAGATTAGGGCCCTGTGTTTATGATCTCATTTACTTTTAATTACCTCCTTAAAGGCTCTGTCTACAAATAGAGTCACCTTGGGGTTTAGGGCTTCAACATATGAATTTCGGGGAGACAAATTCAGTCTATACAACTGGAAAGCCACAGAACCTGGGAAGGTCTTGCTCATTAGGATATCTTCACTGACCCAAATGCAAATGTGCCAGGCCTTTATCACCATCCCTACCTGATATGTATACAAAGCTGTAAGGAATATCTGGATCTTCTTGCCTCTTAGATAATCTCATGGCAAAGGACTGAAGGCCTCCAAGATATCACAGTGCAGCGCCATGAAGTGTAGAGGCTACTGTCATTTTGGAAAGAAAAACTGACTGAACAAGAATGTATTACATTATGAATTCATTTTTTACATTCCAAAAATATGTATTGAGCTTCTATACTATGGGCTGGGATGGGACACAGCATAGAAGAAATAGGATGGAATCTCAGATTTCAGGAGCCTTGCAATTTAGCGGAGGGAAGAGCAGAGGATCAAGAATGACAGAAAAAAAGAGAAATATAAACATATTCTATCTGGGAATAAGAAGTGTTCAGATTTAAAAAACTATAGTATATGGGGTCTAAAATTATACTATTTTGCTATTTTTAACAGAATACTTAAGAAATCCTATCTAATAAAGTGATATTGGAACAGAAGTAAATAGAGAGTGAGCATATGTAGTCAAATAGAACTGGTGGAAGGGACACACACATATAAAGATGGTTCAAATAAAGGAGATCCAAGTAACAAACACAAAATTCTGTAGTTAAAAATACTTTTAGATATAACCATTAGTGAATGAGAATGAGAAAACACCTCAGGAAAGGAAGAACACAGCAGAAAAATTCTCGCCAGCCTTACTACCATCCCTGACAAACTAAGATTAACAAGTAAACATATCATATTATTTTTTAAATATGATAAATGTATGCAAATCTTAGTTATAGAATTGAGGAATTATTACATGAGAACAGGCTCTCTACATAAGTGAGGATATCCAAATGATTGATCCAAATTGTCCTCAGCATCATTTATCATTTAAAAAATGCACATTTATACTAAAATAAAATAGCTATACACACCAGGAGAATGACTCCATTTAACAGATTGAGAATAACAAGTACCAACAAAGATGTGGATCAACTGGAACTCTCATATAATGTTCAAGGAAGTTGACTATAAAATTACTTTGAAAAACTCTGGACAATTTTTTTATACATTGAAAATAAACCTACCTTATGGCCAAGCAATTATACTATCTATTTTTTCTTGCTCAAAAAAACTGAAAGAATATCTACAAAAAGGCTCATAACAGCTTTATTCATAATAGAAAAAAAAACTGGGGTTGAAAGCAAATTTCCATGAAGAGAAGACGGGTGAACATATTATGCTGTATTCATGCAGTGGGGTATTACTCAGCAATCAAGAGAATAAATACTAATACTGAACATTATTATATGCAGCACAAGAAACCAGACACAAAAGAAGACACACTGTGTGATCCCATTAACATGAATTTGAATAACAGGCAACACTTCTCTGTGCTAACTGACTCCTATCTGTATTTGTTTCTGGGAGTTTGGTAGGGAATTAGCAGAAAAGAAGTCCAAGAGTACTCTCAGAGTTGATGGAAATAGTCCATAGGTTGATGAGAGAGTTAGTGATTATGTAGGTGTATATGTCAAAGTATATGTCGAAATTAATCATGCGGTACACCTGAATATATGCATTTTATTGCAAAGAAATTATACATATATTAAAATAAAATTTAGATAAACCAAAGAAGAAGTTTTAGGGGTGGGTAATTTATCAGAGACATTGTTTAGAATTGTGAGCACATGGTTATAATAAGGAGTAGAGCAACTTTTACTTGACTTTATTTTTTGTTTTGTTTTGTTTCAAAATTCTAGTCAATGTACTTTTTTTAAACCTGCTCCTCAGGTAGATCTTCCCCTCTCCACACTTCTGGATACACCACTGCCAACTCCCCACTTCTTTGAATAGTCAATAAAAACTTCACAATATTTCTCATCTCTGGTCTCATAGCCCCACAACAATTTGCCTCTTGTTACTATTTTGGGACACAATAGAGCCAAAGTGAAATGAAATTTACCCCTACCTCTAGGAGTGAGAACTATTCTTGTTTAGGAAAACTGGAGTGATTGCAGCAGCCATTACCATAGTGACAGGCCCAGAATGATTCAATCAGAACAAAGAATAAGATTTGTGTTGTAAAGAGTAGCCTCTATCTGTTTAGGGTAGAGTGGCCTACAGAAATGAGACCCAGAACTCCTCAGCCTTTTGTTACCATTCATCAAGAGAACCAAAGAAACATTGACTCAGACCCTAGTCCCATTTGTGATTATAGCCAGCCATACTTCTACAGCTTCAAAGTAGGTTGTAATAACTCTTTTTATTTCATCTGGGTTATGTTATATTTCTTGTAATTTACTAAACTAGGAGTCATAACTGCTACAAAGAGAAGTAACTCTGCCTTAACTGTATATTTCCAACAGTTTTATAGAATATACTTTAAAATGAATTGATTTAACCTAGGAGGATTTATATTTCATGAACTGAGTATTTTTAAAAGATAAATTTTATTTTCCTTTGAGTTCTGCACACCTTACTGAAATACTACCTTGTGGAAAGGTCATGTGTTTTAAATTTTGTGTCTGGTTCTGAAAAACACCATACCAAAAAACATTAGCTTTAGCTTTTCTTTCTTTCTTTTCTTTTCTTTTTTATTTTAATTAATTAATTTATGTTTTTGAGACAGAGTCTTGCTCTGCAGCCCAGGCTGGAGTGCAGTGGTACAATCTTGTCTCACTGCAACCTCTGCCTCCTGGGTTCAAGCGATTCTCCTGCCTCAGCCCCCTGAGTATCAGGGATTACAGGTGCCCACCATCACGCCCAGCTTATTTTTGTATTTTTAGTAGAAACAGGTTTTCGCAGTGTTGGCCAGGCTGTTCTCGAACTCCTGGCCTCAAGTGATCCTCCTGCCTCAGCCTCCCAAAGTGATGGGACTGCAGGCATAAGCCACCACACCCAGCCACCTTCAGCTTTCCTGCTATTTGAAGTTAATGAAACCTATTTAGCTATCTCTTTCTTACATTTCCATTTATTTAATTTTTATTTTTTTCATCATTTACAGCCAACTGCTCTGTATTTTTTCCTTGACCTGTGAACAACCTGGTGTGAGAATGATATCTTGATTTCACAATTAATTCTACAAGTATTTATTGTGAGGGTAGGTCACAAGCAATAATGATGAGTTTGCCCCTTATTCTACATGTGTTCTTGTCTCTGGACACTTAAACATAATTACAAATTTAACTGGGATATTTGTAGTTTCACCTTCAGCGAAAAGCTTTTGTGAGCTAAGAACTTCTAGCTTGCTGACATTTTCATTAAAAAGAAATGAACAACAACAAAGAAACCCTCTCAGCTTAAATGGAGACACAGTGACTCATCAACAATATTCTACATCAAGAGCCCATTAACATTTTTGGTTTTTGCCCACGGGACCCATTTGCTATTATGACTATGATGTATATTTTACATACTCTGAGAGTCCTAGAAAAATGATACATATCTGTATGTGGCCATGTGACTGTAAATACTGATTGAAACAGAGTTATTCAATAATTTTTTGGATATTTTCCTGATATGTTAACATTTTATAAAGAAAGACACATTTTCTATATTTATCAATATGTTTAATATAGGTACAAGTCCTGAACCTCAATTTGTTTATTTTCTTTATTTAACTCAAAATTAAATAAATTTTTGCGGACCTAAATCTGTAAGTCAATAATTGATTCAATTATTTGGGTACTTTAAGACAAAATCAAAAGTTCACATGGATAGATCTACATTTTTTATATAAAAAATATTAAAATCATATATATGTTCAAGGTAATTTTTGAAATGTTCGGAGGGTAAAATGGGCTAATATTATTAAATTAGAGAGTACGTGTTTTTTCCTTCTATTTTCACTTCTTATTTATACCTGTCACCACAGAGTTTCCATCCTACATTAAGCTTACCAGCTACATAACTACACTTCAGCCCAAAGCTCCATCATTCTAATTTTGTGACTTTCCCTTTCCGTACTTGGGTTACTGTGTACAACTGCAATCTTTGTAAATAAATGGGCACCTACTGCTGGATGTTTATATTTTTACTCAGCTATCTCATTCATTCTGCATAGTGATAATTCAAACCTTCAAAATTTTCGTCAATCATGTTCTTACCAAAATCAAATTATATTCAAAGTTGATTTCACCATTTATTTCTAAAAAATTATTAGATATTTTACTGAAGTTCACCATAGCTTCAAAACACTGGAATGAGCCAACATTATTCTCATGTTCTTTAAAGACTCTATGAAAGACCAATCAATCCAATTCTGTTTCATTCAAATTTCTTAATGCCACCTCACCATCCTCAGTAAGTTGTTTTTCCCCCTTTAAATATAGCATATACATATACATTCCATCTTTACTTGTTTTGTTTTCCTGTAACAGTTTAAATTTGCACATGACTTTCCCATCTTAAGCAAAAACAATATTATCTTCCTTTCAAAATTAAGATTCCTGATAAAATATCCATATTTTAATAATTCATAATCATCTCACTAAAATTTGTTCTACTAGATCTACTATGTTTCTTAAAACAACTTTTGCTAACATTACCAACGTTATTTGCTGCTAGGTTTAACAGAATTTCTTCAGTCCTACTCTTACTTAAAAATCTGGCATTAACCATTAACCAACTTGATCAAATCTGCATTTTTAGTAGACTCTTCCATTAGATATATACGTAATATTTCCTGAGTACTTTGTTTAAAGATGGTTTCTGTGATCTGAATATGTTCTCCAAAACTCATACGTTTAAACTTAATCATCAATGTGAAACAGGTGGGAACCTTTAGAAGGTGATTAAGTCATGAGTACAGAGACTTCATGAATGGGATTAGCATTTATAATGGAAATTCCTGGGAGCTGTCTCTCTCTTTCTTTGTCCCTTCTGCTCACTCTTTCACCATGAGAGGACATAACATCTTTCTCCTTTTTGTACTTTTATCATTTCCACCATGTGAGGACATCTAGACATTGTCGTCTATAAGGAACAGGCTTTTACCAGACACTGAACAGCCTGGTGCCTTGATCTTGGTCTTCCCAATGTACAGAACTGTGAGAAAATAAATTTCTACTCCTTATAAATTACCCAGTCTCAGGTATTTTGTTGTAGAAGCACAATGACAATGGTTTTATAATTTGAATTATATCTCCCCCAAAATATGTAGAATTCTTAACACCTAGAAACTGTGAACATAATTTATTTTAAAATAAGATCTTTGCAATTAATCAACTTGAGGTTGTTAGAATGGGTCCCAATCAAATAAGACAAGCGCCCTAATAAAAGGGGGGTGATTTAGACACAGACACAGACAAACACAGAGGTAAGACAATGGGAAGAAGGTTATGTTGATGCAGGATATTTCTCTGTTACTTTTGCCAGCTGGAGACACCTGGCTGGCAATGCCCTTGCCCTGCCTCGGCCTGTGGCCCTGGGACTGGCTCGGATCACACCGCCCTTTCTGTCACATGAGGCAGCTGCCCTCCCCACCTCCAAGAAGAATGAGAATATGCTGAAAATCTAAGAGTGAGGAAAGCAGAGAATAATTTTACTGAGCAATGGAACAGCTCTCACTGGAGAGAGGATGTGGGGGTAGTGCTTTTATGGGCTCAGAATTGGGGAATGTGTGCTGATTGGTTTGTGAATATGCAAAGAAAGGCTAAAGCAAAGGCACCACTCAAAAGTGGGCATGGCAGTGTAGAAAACCAAATAGGAAAGGGTAGGTATATGTAAAATAAGTGAAGGGTGGAGATCAATCAGAGGAAAGCACACCAAATGAAAAGACAGGTTTTCAATCCAGTCCACAGATCTGTAGCTTGGCTTTCAGGCTTTAAACTGTCTTCGGCTTGGAGGTGGGTTTCACCAAGGACCCACCCCTATCTGCCTAGGCATTCGTCTGCCTCCTGCCACTATCAATATTGCAAGGAAAGGAAAATGGCAAGGATTTCTGGCCACCACCAAAAGGTAGGAAAACATAAGGAAGGATCTATTCAAAGTCTCGATAGGACTATGGTCCTGCCAACCCTGATTTGAAACTTACAGTTTCCAGGCATGTAAGACGCAATTTTCTGTTGTTTTAAGATACCCAGTTTGTGGTCCTCTGTTAAGGCAGCTTTAGCAAATTAATATAGATGCTGCTTTTTTGTTATTTGCCCTTTTCTTTCTTCTATTCTTAGTCTTCATATTCCCCACATTACCTTATCAATTACAGTGGTTACAATTATCATCAATACCGGAAAAAATTTTACATGCCATTCAAGGCCTTTAATGATCTAAGTTTTTATTTTATGGTTCATTGCTTTTCACTTGTCCCTTATATGCTACATTCCAGTCATGCTTTTCTTTTGCATAGGGATTAAGACCATGGTATCTTATGTAAGAAACCAGCTCTAAAAGGTAGTTGTTTTGGTGAAAACTACCAAACTTTTTAAGCCTCAATTTCCAGACCTTCCAAGCTGAAGTTATAGAAACATTCAAGAATGCTACTTTCTAACTATGCTGTCACTTCTCTTACTTGTTTCTTTCTTTTATAGAACATACTATCAACTAGTGTTTTCTAATTCTGGGGGTTAGATGTATTGAAAAAAATTAAGTCTCTAAATGAAGGCAGAGAAAGTTTTTTATGTGACCACCATGCATTCTCTATTTGCTGATCCCTTCTTCATTTAGTCTTTTATAAAGGTCCAGATAAAAAGATTAATATGAGAAATAAAGTGCCAACACAAATGGAAATTATAAACTAGCTGATTATGTTGGTCACCAGCAATAATGTTTATATGGAAACATTCAAAATATGTTTGATCTAAGATTTAATGATTCCCAATAAATATTAGTAACTCAAAAATTGGTATATACCTATTTTGGTACATTTAACATATTTCTACCCAGACATAATTTAATATTGATAAATAAATATGTCAGTACAGTTTCTAATTTTGATTTATTTTTTCTCTTCATTGTTCAAAAACTGCATATTCTTTCTTGATATCTTTAAATTACTCAATTTTTTTGTGTTGGTGATATTTGTTGTTTGTTTTTGCTCTAGTATTTGCTCTCAGTATTGTTAGATTAATAATTAATCTTTGACGCCTATCACAGAGTTCAGGGATTTGAGTATTGAAAGATTTCTAGAATTTTTAGTTGAAGAGTTTATCAGTATATACATATAGGACAAAAATGTATTAGTAGAAATAATAAGGCTTACTGGTTCCACCTAGTGGCAATGTAAAGCAAGTTTAAAAGTAAAATTATTAGCATTACTAAAATGATATTAAATGATTTACATAAAGGCTTTTTAAAAGTTTACTTGGAAAACCTTTGAGTAAAAGTAGATATTCAATGCTATCCAACTAAATGTACTTACTCACTATGGGAATAACCCACTATGTTAATAACTCAAAAAAATAAATTTTGGATTTCTACAGCATTTTGTTTTCTGGTAAAATAAGTTATTTTCTTATTTTTGAAGAGCTGTCCAAGCAATACAGAACTAACTGAGTTATTATCTCCTAATAGTAAACTTTTTTGCTTATTTTTCTACTAATTAAGCATATGTTTTTCTCCACACCGCTATTAAATACCATTTATTCAGTGGCTGGAACTTTAATAGTCCTAAGGATATTTATAAAGCATCAGAAACAAAACCATATAAATTTAGAAGGTAACACGATAGTTCTTATAGACGCATTCATCTTTCATATGAGCTAACAAAACATTTTTAGGATATCTACCACAACCTCGACAATCTTCAGTGATTTCAACAACTAATCATTAGGGCTTTTATTAGCAAAAGCCTTGTACTTTTTACAAAACAATATTTAAGCAGATGAAATGTTGCTGCCATAATACAAAGCACTAAATTCAGTTTCCTTTAAAATGTATAATTGTTTATGGCATTCTATCCTAATTGTGTTTATTATCATGAAGTATGATGAAAGAATGATATATGAATAAATTATGTTTAACCAATGCAAATATCGGTGGAACACCTGCCATAGAAAATTATTTTTCTTTCTCTGCATCAATAGCACCTTCAAGTTTCTTATGCAAGCCATTTATGTCTTACAAGTAGCTTCATTTTTATTCTTTTTAATGTCTGCAAAAATTCAAACTGTACATAGCATTTTTATTATAGAAAAATATTTCTGGTTTAGTTATGACAAATTGAGTTTTATATAATATATGAAAGTATCTGATCTGTATACAAAACGTATTGCTGGGGGAAAATCACTTAATGCCAGATATAGTTAACTAAACTTTCAGATATTTTAAAAGGAGAAAATAAAAGGAAATTACAACAGAGTATTATTTTTAGATGGAAATAATATGCTATATTAGGCAAAAGAAATAAAATCCACAGTGTGTCAACTTTCAATCTTGCTTGTTTAATTAATTTTACATACAAAAGAAAATGACTTAAAAACCATTCAGTGGCAGCAAATTACTATTTTTACCTTTGCAGTTTGCTATGGATAAGTTTCCCACTTCCTTACATAGCTGTCACCACTGTGAAAAGTTAGTGTGGCTATTACTGAACACTAGAGGAGAAATAATTTGTGAAAAGAGCATTATCCTTACATTCTTGATAATGTTATATTGAATTACATTAAGTCATGAAGAATGCAAACAAAGACAGGTAATATGTTGTTCAGACTAATAAAAATACTAATCCAATATGCTTAATTCATATATTATCAATTGCTTATATTTCAATCTAAATGTATAAATGAAATTCATTTTTAAATCATATTGTGTAATCTTATTGATGACAAAGAATGCCCCAAAATCTTAAAACCATTGTTGTAAGTAAGGATTATGCAGCAAGGCTCATATCACAAATACCTATTACTCCTCCGGAGGGAGAAAAAAATTAAACTTGTGAGAGAACCTACGAAAAGTACCTAGACTTTCAATAATCATTAAGTCTTAGAGAAATTGAATATGTGAGTATACAGCAGTATACAACACACAGAATCCATGTATACTTTCATTTGGTAATCTGAAAACTGCCCCTGAAAAAGCTATTATCTGATGATACATGAACCACAAACCATAGATTCACCCAAGTACAAATAAAGTATGATAACATAGTACTTTGAAGATTAATTAATTGAGCATATTGACATTAGATTACACAAAGTAGAATGTGTTTTTATTCCAAGTTGTAATTTGTTAGATGCATGTTTCTGCCTCAAGGCATTTATACCTCTCTGTTCCTGTGCCTGAAAAAAAAAGTCTTTCCCCAAGAAACTCATTGGTCTTGCACCATGATGACCTTCAGGTCTTTACTCAAATGTATCACTCCAGTTAGACCTCCTTTGACTTCTGTATTTAAAATTACACTCTTTTTTTGAAGGTAAATTCAAAAGTGAATGAAAACCTTAGTCTCCCATCATGACCCCAGTATCCTTATCCATTTCGCTTCTTTATTTTTCTTCATAACATTTATGACCATCTGAAACACTGTAGATGTTTTTATATACACTTAATATATGGCTTGCCACCCTCACTGCTATGTAACCTCCATGAAAGGGAGAGATTTTTTTTCTTCGTATCCTGGATTTTTAGTGCATAGAACACTACTTAGAACACACATAGAAAATGGACTGCAGATTTATTTTGACAAATTAAGAGAATCATAAGATGAATAAATGATTAACCCAAATATGTACTGTTTAGAAGGTCACATTGAGGAGCTAGAGATGACCATTTGGATTACAAAGAAGGGCACCTTTCATACTGACTAGTGCTCAGTGAGGGTTACACACATATGTGTCTATGGTGAAACGTCATGTAGGGTTTCTCACAGAAAGTTTTCTTGCTTCTTTTTTCCTTCTTTTCCCTATTAAGTGTGGATGTTTTCCAAAGTCTGTACCTAGAATCTCTACATATTTTCTTTATACGTCACTTTGAAATCTCAGTTTCCACAACTTCAACAAACATCTGCAGGTAAAGTGATTCCAAATGTTAGTTATCAGATTTCTAGGCTGCAGATGTTTTAACAGTCATACACATACATGTGCATGCGTGTGCGCGCGCACGCGTGCACACACACACACTATTATATATTTTCCCACATTTTAAATTCATATATAATCACGCCTGTAATCCCAGGACTTTGGGGGGCCGAGATGGGCGGATCAAGAAGTCAGGAGGTCAAGACCATCCTGGCTAACACGGTGAAACCCTGTCTCTACTAAAAAGTACAAAAAATTAGCCGGGCGTGGTGGCACACTCCTGTAGTCCCAGCTACTCGGGAGGCTGAGGCAGGAGAATCACTTGAACTTGGGAGGTGGAGGTTGTAGTGAGCCATGATCGCGCCACTACAATCCAGCCTGGGTGACAAAGCGAGACTCCATCTCAAAAAAAAAAAAAAAAAAAAAAAAAAAAAAAAAAAAAAAAAAAAGAAAAAAAGAAAAGAAAAGAAATTTACCCTTTAAAGTACACATTTTAGTGAATTTCAGCATTTTTAGAACTTTTGGTTTATTCACAGATTGTGCAACCATCACCATTGTCTATTTTAGAATATTTTCACACCGAAAAGAAGTGTTTTACCTATTAGCATTTGTTCTCCATTCTCCCTTCTCTCAGCCCTTGGCTAATATTAGCTATTAGGAATAATGCTGCTATGAAGAGCCATATACAAATGTTAATATGAACTATATTTTCAGATGCTTTCAATGTTATTGGGTATATCATCCGTGCCAATATGTCTATTCAAATATTTTGCCTAACCTAAAAAATTCTGCAATTTGTTTTTATGATTGAGTTGTAAGATAATATTATATATTCTGGATACTAGAAGCTTGTCAGATATGATTTGACCCATTATGTGGATCATCTTCACACTTTTTTGATAGTGTCCTTTGAAACACAGAAGGGTTTTAATTTTGAATCCAATTTATCTTTTTTCTTTTGTTACTTGTGCTTTGGAGCCATATCTGAAAAACTATTTCTTAATCAAAGATCACAAAGATTTATAATTATTTTGTATTCTAAAAGTTTCATAGTTTCAGCTTGTATATTTAAGTCACCGATGGCATGAGGTAGGTTTCAAATTTATTCTTTTGCATAGGGATATCCAGTTGTACCAGTGTCATTTGTCAAAAAGGCTATTGGCACTACAATATCTTGCTTGTAAATCTAGCTATATTATTTTAAAAAGCAGCTTACAGCCATAAAAGTTATAGGCAATCGCCTCAAAAGAAAACACTCACATAGAGATATATCTTTATTGAGGCTGCCTCTGTCTTCACTATCATTCATGCTATTGGCTCTGGGATCTTAGAGAATAAAAAAGCCATTTGACTTTTCTATGTATTCATTGACTAAAAATTTTATGTTGAAAATCAAAGAGTATTTGATTCCTATAAAGTGTTGGGAAAAACTTGAACTTACTCTCTAATAAAGAAATAAAAATGTAAATATAATAATTCAAAATTTGAGAGAAAAGTTGTGGAAGGGTTTCTGATGCAGCAAGCTTGAACACAAAAAATTATATTATTTGATAATTTACCATTAATATATTGATTTAGGATATCCCTTAATAAACTAGAAAAAAGTATAACATAAAAATGAAATTATGAAAAAAAAATATTTTAAAAGTACAAAACATGAATACCTTTAAGATTTTTTTTCTTTCTTTCTCCCGCATTTGATATTAACAAGGATGCTGACAAAAGAAAGGGGAAAACAACCACTTTATAGCATAATTAATTAGAAATAGAATAAAATAAAATGAAGATTGACAAAAAGTCAAATTCTGTGAATATCCTCAGCTAATACATTTGATAACTTTAATGAAATTGAACATATGTTAAAAAAGTAAAAACAGCCAAATTTTAATCAATAAGAAATGGTAATTTGCACATGAAATATTGATGAAAGAAAGTTAGACAATTAAGCAAAGGAAACAAATAAACACAAAGCTAAATGGGTGAGTGCAGTTTCAGAAGTGAACTGCTGCTTTTTTTTCCAACAATTAGGAAGAACCATATAGATATTATCTGTTTTTTTCAAGGGCAAGGAAAAGACTTAAAATTGCAATTAGTTTTAAAATATAAAAGTAAACTGCCATACTAAATTCTGGCAAATACAATGTGAATAAGGAGAAATTCCAGGCACTTAGAGAAAAACAATAAAAATCTCAAATAAAATTTTGCTGAGTAATCCAAGTAAGATTCAATTTTAAAAAACATTGCAATATAATCCATTACATTAGCATATTAAATATATAATTATTTTGATGATTGCTCAGAATATTTGATAAAATTCAATTTCACTTCCTGCTTTTTTAAATTTTAAACAACACTGTCTATGTAATTTATTTTGTAGGTTGCTTTCAACGTTTACTCCATATATTCATATAAATTTATCAGAAATAAGATAGAGTCATTTGCAAACCATGATTTTAATAGTATTTTAAAATATTTTAATTTTTTATAACCTGTGGAAAGTAGTGGTCACAAACCAAAATCATTCCATGCATTTTCCAAAATAGCTACATTAAAAAAAAGAACTATTAAATCCATATAAAAGCTACATGATCATTCATAAATAAAAGAACATAAATATCACAGACCTCAAATCACTTGTAAGTAGAAAATTGCGATAAAATTCCAGCAGAACTCTTTTGAGCTCCAGATGAACTTAAACTGGCATACACTAAACAGAAAAGCTACGAGGGCTGACTAGCCTCTGAAATCTTAACACATAATACAAAGACTCTTTAATTAAAATAATGACATTAGTACTTCTTTAGAGTAACATGCCAACAAAACTTAAGGCAATACTGGTGTTAGAAAATCACTATTTTGCAACTTTCATAAAATGACTTATTGATTGATTCCCATCAATGGATACTAAAACCATTGATTAAATAAAAAAAGAATACCAAGATAGTTACATATTCTCTAGTATTTTCTACTACTTACTAATTACAAAGGAAAAACTAACTTTACAATGGAGAAAGAAACCTGAAGACACCACCACAACCTAATATACTTACCTAAAATGAAAAACCTGAATCTGAGTATGAGGAAATATCAGGCAAAGTCAAAGTTCCTACTGAAAAATAATAAATTAAGAATAGTATGAACATGTATATACTTGGCAGGACCAGAACAAGTTTTGCCTCTCTGTTTTCTGTTTTACCATAAACTCTTTCTTTTTAAAATGTTTCTCATGCACTTTTCAGATCTCAATGTATTACAGTAGTTGTTAGAAATAATGCTTTTTCTTCATATTTTTTCTTATCTGTATATTTCTTTTTTCTTTTTATATTGTGTATGTTACCTCAAAGCAAAATTTAGTGTGCAGGTGTTTGCTATTTAACTTTATTTCCAAAATTATTTGTAATTTACATTTGTGAATTCTTACATATCACAAAATACAAGAATACTATCAAATTTTACTTCTATTTATAATACACTCTAATTTTATTGATTTAAAAATTGAAAGAAAAAAATAAATTGATCAACTGAGCTCATAAAATGCATCATTCTCTTAGATACAAATTTCTATGATGTTAAATCATTGATTCTACAAGTAATTTTTCTCTTTTTTGACAAATATTGTTGGTTATGCTATTGCTGTTGCTATTGTTTGAGACAGAGTCTCATTTCATTCTGTTACCCAGGCTGGAGTGCAGTGGTGCAATCATGGCTCATGGCAGCCTCAACCTCCCAGGCTCAAGCAATCCTGGCACTGTAGCTTCCCAAGTAGCTGGGACCAGAATATGCACCTGTGCACCATGCCCAGCTAATTTTTTTTTTTTTTTTGAGACGGGGTCTCACTATGTTGCCCAGGCTGATCTCAAACTCCTGGACTCAAGCAGTCCTCTCACCTCGACCTCCTAAAGTGCTGGGATTGCAAGCTTGAGCCACCACACATGGCCAACAAACATTTTTAAGAGGAGAACATGTAATGGAAAAGAGATGTATTATTTCTGTAAATTAAATTTCAGCAAGCTTAAATTAATTAAAAATTTCAAACATAGCAAACAGAAACCCATATTGCTAGAGCTATGCTATCCTGTGTATTTATTTATCTTTGGTGGGAGGAGAGCAGGTTGAAAGGAAGGTTGTAAAGCCTCTTGACTCCTATAGAATTAATCAAGCCTTGCTAATGTTAATAAAAAGTTTCCCAGAGTTTCCTGTCAGATATATTTAAATAATTCTGAGCATCGGTAGTCATGACCATATACTGAATTGGCAAATAATGTATAGTACTTAAGCCCCTTGGTCTCTCTGATGGTTAATTTTAAGTGTCAACTTGACTGGATTAAGGAATACCTAGAAAACTAGTAGAGCATTATTTCCAGGTGTCTGCGAGCCAGTGGGCGCCCCGAACGCGGGGGTTGGGGTCTGGGAGCGCGAGCGGCCGTTACGGTACGAGCGGGGTGTGCTGAGTCCCGTGGCCACACAGCTGTGAGGGTGTTCACAGAGGAAATTCATATGTGAATTGGTGGACTGAGTTGGGGAGATTCACCCTGAATGCGGGTAGGCACCAGCTAATTCCTAGGGGCCCAGATAGAACAAAAAAGAAGAGGAAAGGGGAATTTTTATCTCTGTCTCTTTTGGAGCTGGGAAACCCTTCTTCTCTTACCCTTGAACATCAGAACTCCAGGCTTTCTGGCCTTTGGACCCTGGAACTCACACCAGTGCCTCCTCCTCCAACTCTTGGTTGGTTCTCAGACCTTGAGCAATGTATTGAGAGTTACACCGTGGGCTTCCCTGGTCCTAAGGCTTTTGGATTTGGACTGTACCACACTACTGGCATTTCAGGGTTTCAAGCTTGCAGACAGCCTGCCATGAGACTTCTCAGCTTCCATAATTGCATGAGAAAATTTTCATAATTAATTATCTCTCATATATCTATATCTATATCATCTATATCTACATCTATCTATCTTTCTATCCTTAATCTATTTATTTATCTTGTTGGTTCTGTCTCTCTAGAGAAACTTGACTAATGGAGCTTCCAATGTTTCATTCAATTATTACAGTATTCCTATGAAGTACAGATAACTGTTAGTGTATTATCTCATGCAAAAAGGATTTTTTAAGTCAGAAAGGTGGAAAAGTTTTTCTACGGTCACTTTAAAAATGAAGTTGCCTCCCAGGAAATCCCATTTATTTCTAATGATCTTTTCATTGCATTGTGTCTAAAGTAAACTTATAATAATTCCTATCATGTGGGTTTGTATTTCAACACCTTAACATTTCATTTAGGTCCACAGAGTAGGAACTAACTGAAAAGTGTTAGCTCACAATTTGGATGAGTCAAGGACTTTAAACATAGAGGCTGGAATATTCAAGGCCAGCTGAAATAATTATCAATTTTTCTAAGATAATAAGGACTAAGTCTTTTGGAAATTAACTGAAATACGAAAAGTACAGAAAAAGCAAGATGAGAGTGAAGCAGATATTTGTTCGTGTTGGTCACCTGGTGGGTAGTAGTGCTTAAGCTATCTACCAGGAGGGGTGGAGTATTACTGTACTACCGTAGAGTAATACAGTAATAGAAGGCACCAATTTAAATAAGTTACTTTATGCTATACCATTTACATGTTATTTTATTTATTCTGAGAAACTTCTATTAGCTAAGTTTGTTCATTCTATTTTATAAATTAGATGCATTTAAATGTGTATATGTATGTACAGTCTGTTTCATTTATATCATTTTTGCAAGCTCTCTTGGTAGATTGGCTTTCATTGGAGTTGCTTTGTTGAAGGTATCAATGAGAAGGACTAGGGGCGGGGAGTGAAATAGGCAAAAATTTGCCTCCTCTATTGTCAGCACATTTTGTCAGTTCTAAAAAGGGCACCACAGGTAACTTAAGCTTGGTAAACAGGTGAAGTTTAAACAATTGTATTAATTTTAATTTTTATATATTTATCTCTTAAAAATTGGGCTCATAACATTAATGAGCAAAAGTAGAAGCTGTTTTATTTTTATTTTTATTTTTTTGAGATAGAGTCTTGCTCTTCACCTAGGCTGGAGTGCAGTGGTGCACTCAGTTCACTGAGACCTCTGCCTCCCAGATTCAAGTTATTCTCCTGCCTCAGCCTCCTGAGTAGCTGGGATTACAGGCCTGTGCCACCACGACCTGCTAATTTTTCTATTTTTAGTAGACCATGTTGGCAAGACTGGTCTCAAACTCCTGACCTCAAGTTGTCCACACGTCTCGGCCTCCTGAACTGCTAGGATTATGGGCATGAGCCACCGCACCTGGCCCAAGAGCTATTTTTTTTAAAGGATGTACCTCTATTGATCTATTCATGAAATATATAAACCTAAAACTGTAAACATATTTCAAGAAAAGAAGCAAGGAAAAAATTTATAGACAACAGTGTTTTTTTTTCTGAAATCCTTTCACTTTGGATGATCCAAGTTAGGGATGTTATTTTGTGTTTTTATACATTAAAACCATCATGTATTCACTTGTAACATGTTAAGTTTTTGAGTACTTTTTATGTAAATACAGTCAATTTTGACTTCCAAAGCTGTAAGTGTTACTACTTTAAATATCTTCATGACAGAGAATATATTCTCACTTATATTGCATTTAAATAACTGGTGAAATTTAGGACCGTATAGTCTATTGTAACATTTCACATATTAAGTGTTCATGCTTGTTTTCAGTATACTTTTTAAAGAAAATGATACATTTTAAACTTTTAACATAGATGGTACAGTGATTTGCTTTCCCTTAGTACCCATTCTGATTAATACTCTCAAAGAGTCCTTCTCAAATCATTTAAAGATTTTCTTTGACCTCACCTGCTAGTATTGTAAGGTTTGTATTTTGTGATCACTGACTGTATGTCACTGTTTGGGCTCTCCAAGAAGCAAGTGAGAGGGGTAACATACAGGAGGTTTATTAGAGAGTCAACTTAGGATTTCTCTCTCTGAGGACAGCAAAAGAAAGAATCAGGATTGGCCAGAGATTGGATGTGAACTGTGAAAAGGTCTCAGAAAATCCCTCAACTTGCCTCTATGTTCTGCAGCTGGAATGGTTTTTTACAGCTATTTTGAATTGAAACATGGAGGCCAGGCTCTTTTACCCCTGTGTTAAGGAGTCATTGGACATAGGTTTCTCCAGGAACAAGCTACAGCTACGCTGTAAAAGCTCCTTTTATTTCTTTAACATATAATGCAGTAATCTCAAGGTCAAAATCTTTTATTTGATGCTTGAGAAATGAGAAATTTAAGAAAGGAGGGAACTGTGAGTTTTATAAAACTACATGTAATTAATTACAATGACCTTTAAGATATTAATAGCATATTAAGGCATGTGGTAAAATTTATCATTTTACATGTGTAACAATTTCATTCTAACTTTCACTAAGGCCAAAGCACTGAAAAAAATAAACAGGTACAAAGTACCAAGGTAACTAATTCAAAAGGAAGGTGCTATAAGCTTCAGGGTATAGTAGGAAACTGACATGTTCACCTACGTCATCATCTTTCTCTTGGCTATAGAAAGATGGTGGTTGATGATTTGAAAAAAGTGCACTTAAGTTAAAGAGTCATGACTATAGTGTTCACTCCCCTTCAAGAGAAGTGTGAGATGATGCCACTGCTTCATTCCCAGCCTGGTGAGAAAAAACACATGGAGACTTCAGGTATGAGAATATCAGGATTTACAAATATAAGGATAACTCCTCTGTTAGGATGAACAAAGAGGAACGTTTATGCTTGGAGCTTTTGGCCCTATGCCAGAGCAAAGGAAGGTAGTTGAATAGATAGCAAATGACAAGTTGTCAAAGTTAGGACAAGGCTGAGTGTGGTGGCTCATGCCTGTAATCCCAGCACTTTGGGAGGCTGAAGCGGGCAGATCCCATGAGTCCAGAAATTTGAGACCAGCCTGGACAACATGGTGAAATTCCATCTCTACAAAAAAAAAATACCAAAAATTGTCTGGGGTTGGTGGTGCACCCCTGTAGTCCTAGATGCTGGGGAGGCTGAGGTGGGAGGATCCCTTGAGCCTAGAAGGTGGAGGTTGCAATAAGCTGAGATTGCACCACTGCCCTCCATCCTGGTTGACAGGGCAAGACTGTCTCAACAAGAAAAACAAAAAGGTAGGACAAACTTCTGTTTTCCAAACACCAGGTATAATTCAAATGCAAGGAGTCAGTTTAGAGACATGCATAAATTAATTTCACTCAAGAGGATTAACTGGGGGACAAAGGAATCTAAACACCATATTTTTTGTGGGGCAAATCACTGAATCCTGTGACTGAAAAAATTGATCACGCATACTCACTTTGTATCTTTATAATTTACTTACTTTCAAACAAGATAAAAACTGTTAAAAAGTACTTTTTGGTATTTACATGTCGCTCGTATGGCTGACCAGCATGAAAACAACTGAATGTTCCTAAGAAGAATTCTAAGAACATTGCTAAATTTTCTGAGTGTAATTCATTAGTTTACTTCAATTATCATGGTTATCCAGCATTTATGAATATTCTTTTCACAGGTGAAGTAATCAATGCAGCTTGTCAAAGGGAAATAATTAACCCAAAAATTCATCAATCAGCCAGAAAATTGGTGAAAGTTTTAAATTTCAAATTTTCCTAGATTAGAAATAAAAGCCCTGTAAATATATCCAAGATGTCTTTAAAGGGCAAAAAAATGGGATTCAGCCTCATTTAGAGAAAGTACCATGTTGCAAATCTTAGATTTAACCTGGTGAATAAATAATTCATTATCTCCGCTCAACTTTCAGAGGAGAGAGAATTTAAATGGCACTTACGTAGGGTAATTTTTACTGGCCTTTCTTCCACCACTAAGTGCACCAAGATACTGCCCATCCTCAAAGAAACCAACAAACCTTCCGAAGCAAGTACAACATATTTTACTTAAAATGGCAGGGTAAGGATAAGAATATTTGTTGTGTACAAAATAAGTGTCAGTCAAAATGTAAAAGCCATTAAATTTAACCTGCTTTAACTCTGCAGCTGATTATAAATACCTTCTCTTAGAAATAAACACATAGATATAGAAAAAGGCACCATAATCTTCAGACAGATTGATGAATTCTCCCTTCTTGTCAATCCTGTGACACCATTTTTGTCAGCTTAGCAAAATTGTTCTTCAGTGTCATTCATTTCAGACATAGCTTAAGGAGGTAATCCTCAACATCTTTTTTTCTGAGCAGGGAGTGAGGTAAGAAGCAGATTATACATAGAAAATAATAATGTTTATATACCGGGCTGTGGGAAACTGAAATACTTTCTTACGCACATCAAGGAACCAGCCCAGGGCCTGCAGAGATGGGAAAGCTAAGGAGATTAGTACCTTGGCACATAAGTAACCTATTTAAAGAGTAACAGAAGTTGGCAATCTCTGGAGTTTTAAATTAAATAATTATTTTGAGGGGAGGCCAAAAATAGCTAATCCTGCAGATAGGGAAACTCAAGGTAATTCATGACTATCTTTACATGACTTATAATTGATGGTTTCCAAAGAGATGTTAACTTGAATGCCTCAAAATGGGACCCCAAAATTGTTCTTTATTTTAGCACTATTTTTTATATATCTTCAGATGTTGTTATAATATAAGCCTTTATCAGGTGATGAAAATACATGAGTTGTAAAATACATAGATAACTATTTTTTTAAAATAACAAAGTTATGTTGCAACTTTTATAATTTTACATATGCACATTAACTTATGTTTATGTGAACAGTAGCTTATTAAATTGCTCTCAGTTAAAAATGTATAAATAAGCTTAAAGTAATTTGCTAAAACGATTAGTAGCATTTGGAAATATAATATATTTTATTGAATATTCATAAATTAGAATGTGAACTCTTTAAAAATTCTGTGTTCGTCAACTAGCTAATAAAAATACTTTTTAAAATAAAAGAGATCAGGACGGTGGGAACTCAGAGATCATGAGAGGAAAGACACATACCTTAACTTAAAAAGCAATGTATATGAAAGCATAAAACATATAACCAACAAGTTTCTTTTGTTTTTAAGTAGTAAATTCTTAATGAATTACCCCAATTTCCATGTTAACATATCACATCCTCATCTTCTGTTTACAGTGGTAATTTAGTGCAAATCTAATACTAGAATTAATAATTAGCAATTAATAAACACATTATTTCTGAGGCATGACATTTTGAGACTCTAAAAAGCAATTTTGTATAAAAATAAATATAACAACACCAAGAGTCTACAAGGACACAATTATGTCAGAAGTTAAATGGATACTAAAGAAGCATCCTATTTTAGATAGTCCTCAAATTGAAACCAAGAAAATAATGGCACTTTTTTCTCCAGTGGCAAAGGTGAAGGTAAACTTTAAATCTTTCACAGAAAGATAGTGAGGCTCTGGGGCATGTAGAATTCCTGTTCCCTGTTTTCAACAACGCCTGACTACAATTTTTCCCTTTTCTACTGGATTTGCACATAGATTTTGTATTATGATTTCCACTTTTAAGATAAACTAAGCATAATTAAAACAGAAGTTAATAACTGAAAATGTCATGGTAAATTACTAAATGTTATTTAGTAATAATTACTAAACCTAAAATGTGGAATTTTGGGCCAGCATAAGATAAGGGCACTAAGAATCAGCAAACTTCAGGTTTTGGAAAATTACAATATTAGTATTATCTTTTGGGACTTTGACCATGTTTTGATCCCTTGTTATTTTGACCTCATGCCCATCAACATTGGATATTTAGGGAATTCAAAATATGAGAACATTAATATTCTCACTTTTTAAACTTACTGTAAGAAAAACAAGAGAGTTTACAATATCAACAAAGACATGCAGTTTTATAAACATGTCTATATTCACCTATTCTAGATGGCCAAGCATTTATGTTTATATTATATATATATATATATATATATACACACACACACACTAAACTTAGTAAGAAATATATATATGATATATATTTATATATATGATTTCCACTTATATATAAATATATATTATATATATAAAGATGATATATATTTATATATGATATATATTTCCTACTAAGAACTAAGTAAAAAATTATATATAATATATATATATAATTATATATATAATATATAATTTTTTTTTTACTAAATTACCCCCAGTTGAAATTCAGGGTATATGTTAAAAATTAAATATGTTATACAAATCAGAATGAAAATATTGTAACATTTAAGAACTATAGACAGGCTTTCCCATCTCCAATTACTCTGCATACTTGCCCAATAAGAATTTGTCCTCAAATGAGACACAACATGGAAGAAAACGGCAACTTCCCAGGCAGGTGAGCCATGCCAGCACTCTGGCCTTTAGTTACTTCTTGGAAGTCATTGCCAAGGTCTACAGGACTAGCCTCTGCCTTGGGATAGCTAAATAGATCTATTCTACCTAGTGGTTCAGATGTGAGAGCCTTTACATGCAGAGATTTTAGTTTTATAGATAATGACTAAACAGGCTATTTAGCACAGGCCTTCTACCAAAAAATTTCATGAGGTAAAAATCTCTTGTAGTGTGATTACAGAAAAACCTCAACTATGTCAAAAGGATGTCTAATCTTCAACATTCTAGAAAACCTCTAGTTCAAGGAGATTTGGACTGTGAAATACACGATAATTTCTAAAATAAATACATTTTACATTCCAGGAGAAGGCCTGAAAGATCCTAGATAATTATTCCTCCTGATAGAAAGCAGATGAGTTGGACAGATTGGGTAAACAATGAAACCTGTGTCAGTCTTCCCTTTGACTCTGTATCATTTGCTGCTAATTAAGGACTAGTATCCTACAACTACAGTACCCTGACCACTAGCCACAGGGCAAATATATCATCCAAGCCAAACAAACCAAAATTTCCCCTAAGATTTGAAATAAAAGAAATAAACACAGTCCTCTTTTTGGTAGTGAAGCTAAGGGTTGATAATGGGAAGGTACAATTAGCCATAAAAAATAATTAATAAAGACAAGATAAAAAAACTGAGGCAATAAATGGAATGAGAGCTGATTGACTCAATTCTCTGTTTCTAGTTGCTCTTCCCTTTTTGACTCTCAATTTGAGACATTTTTAATATCTATTTTTCACTATTCACAGCAATATTTAAAATAATAATGGAAATTAATGAGACAATAAAAGAAAGAAAATGAAAAATTGCCCATAGGAAAAACAGGTGAGGATTTAAGTAAGGGTTCCCACATACCAAACTATGTTTAATTTATGTTAAACTGGTCAAATTGATGGTGATAGTATTTCTTTTTCACCAAACATTTTTTATTTTATTATACTGGCAAGTTCATTTCTCCTGTAGAATACATTTCTCAATATGTATTACTTGTTCAATTACATATCTAATTTATTTGTCCATCTCAACTCACAACCTTAAAATAGCTCAGTTTGTCTATGAAAAAATAAGCTAAAGGCAAGTAAATATCCACACTCAGTTTTTGACTGTCAATAATTCACTCTGATCCTCTTGGCTCTAAACTCTCTTTCTGACAAGTCATATTTATACTGAATAATTTTTGGCAAATGAAAAAATAAGTTATTAAACATAATCTAGGATAATTCACTTTAAAATAGATTGCTCTATCCCTAAACAGGTTAAACATTTCTCCCTCTTCCTCTCCTTTTTCACAATTTGTTGACATATTTGCAACATAATTATTTTTGAATTCTTCACTTAGCCAGTAGTCTCTTCCTTTTATGGGAATTATAATTGGAGTACTTTAGGGCTATCACATGCATATATGGTACTCACAGAAGCCAAGATTGTCATGATGACTTTTATTAGTATGTCATGTTTATGGATAATAAAACTGAGGTCCAGGGAATTCAATGGCAAGAAAATAAACAAGACATTTGGACTCCCTCCCTCCCTCCCTCCCTTCCTCCCTTCCTCCCTTCCTCCCTTCCTTTGACAAAATATCACTCTGTCGCCCAGTGGGGCGATCTCGGCTCACTGCAAGCTCCGCCTCGCGGGTTCACGCCATTCTCCTGCCTCAGCCTCCCGAGTAGCTGGGACTACAGGCGCCCGCCACCACGTGCAGCTAATTTTTTGTATTTTTAGTAGAGACGGGGTTTCACCGTATTAGCCAGGATGGTCTCGATCTCCTGACCTCGTGATCCGCCCGCCTCGGCCTTCCAAAGTGCTGGGATTACAGGCGTGAGCCACCGCGCCCGGCCTGGACTACTTTATTTCTTGTGTTCCTTCCATTATATTAAATGCTAGTAGAAAAGGTGGGAGCAATTCAGAAAAACAAATGCTTGTCATTAAAAATATGTACAGTATAAAATGTAGGTCCACACACCAATATACCACAGTTATGTAGTATCACTATTCTAAATACAACTGCAAACATTTTGAATTACATTCAACTTTTTTATGTATTACAGATTAGAATAGTTTCATTGCTTTACATACATATTCCATTTTGACAATGCCTATATCACCTTATGTGTTGTCTAACCTGTTTAGACAGTGTAGAAAAATACTCTTTGTTCCACATCATAACCAGATTTATCTTCAGTCAACAAATTCTACATTACTGAGAAAAGTCTATACAAAATTCTGTCTATAAAAACTGTATTATTCATGTATGTGACAGTGATATAAATATAAAAGTTTTAGCCACCAGAAAATTCAGAAAATAAAAAAATGAATAGACTCATAAAGCCATAATCTAAATGCAATCTAATAACTGATCTAAGACACTTAGCTATAAAATGTAAATATATTGTGAAACAAAACACACATACTGGCACATTCTGGAATTTAAAGAAATCATATGTCTTTAGTAGGTGAACATAAAGCTAAAACTCAAGTATTATTTATTAATTGTTTTAAAAGAACTAAAAATATTTTCCAAGTAGTGTTTAGTATAAGAGTGCATATATATTTCTGTTTTTTAAGGAATATTTTTTTCTATGAAGTTTGCAAAGAAAAAACGAATTGGTGTTGGAACTCGAATTTATCGTAAAAAATTTAATTGTCAAAAGTGAAATAATATGCTCCAAAATAATAGTAACAAACTACCTAAGTAGTATGTCATAGCAAAGTTCTTTTCATAGAATCATTATTTTTTCTGTACAAATTTTGTTATTAAAACACACAGAACCCACTAAAGTTTTTTTTCCCTATTATTGTCTGAATTATATAAAACAATCAAGAAATCTAAATAAAGCAACCTTAATTTTAATAACCTAAACATGTAGGTGACTTAGATATTTTCTTATAAGGAAATCATAGCTGAAAGTGGTATTCAGGAGATTATATTGGTAAAAAATAGGTAAAAGTTGATGAAGTCATTAAATTTTCAAAAGTTATAAATTATCCTGTAAAGCTTCACTGGCTGCAAATTAGCCTGTGCTGTAGCCCTCTGCTAACAATCTATAGATCATTTTATTATTCATGAATTTTAGTAATTTCAGGACACCACAGGTCATCTTATGCTCATTTATTTGCTAAACACCTTGTGCTAGCATGCCTATGCTGAAAAATTGCTACTATTTACTCCCTGTGAGACAAGCAAGCCACAAAGTGCCGATTTTGGCCCAGACATCCAGTATGTGAGGCTGCACATACATCTTGCTGTCAGTGAAATAAATGAGCCCTTAAATTGGCTGCAAAGCTTTAAGAACTGAAATTTATATGTCTAGTTTTCAAACAGAAAGTTCAGAACACCTGCCAATATGACACGTAATTGTGACAAACTGTTACATTTTACCTTTAACTTTTCAGTTTTAATACCACAGCTTCATTATTAAAAAAATTCTGCAAAATACCCCAAGTCTGTAAAACAAAATAATTGTGGCTCTACAGTGTGTATGTGCATGTGTGCATGTATGTGTGTGTACAGTGGCCTTAGCATTTAAACATTGAGTCATCCATCAGCCGATGAATAACACGCCACAGACAACCGGAGCCTCAGAATTTACTTTGAGCAGAAAGTCAAGTCCCAGCAGATTTGCCAACTTCAGGGAGCATTACAGCTTCTTCACAAGTTCCTTTTGAAATACCAGCAACACTGATAGCAAAGAAGTTGTGTTTTATTTTCTGTTCTAATCACTAGATAATTTGACAGTTGGAAAGATATTAAATATTAGGAATCCTTTTATATTCACTTCACAATGAAGACACATTGCTTAAGGGTTATGTGACTTGTCTAAGAAAACAAAGGCAGTCAGTGATGTGGAGGGGAGGAGGCCTCCATAACTTAGACTTCTAAGTAGGGTAGTAAAATATTTATATTAATAATTACAATAATAGCAATCATGACAGACACTTACTAAATATTTTTAAAAAGAAGTCTTACTTGTGTTTTATATTAAATGCTCATCGTGACAATTTTATTGATGAGAAAACTGAGATAAAATCAGGAAAAATAACTTGCTCATGTTGGTCACGTATAGGCGTGTGTTCTGGAACCATGATTCAAATTCCACAGTCTAGCTTTAGGATCCCCATAAGTAAACCGCTATGTTAAATCCCTGAAGCCTCAGGAAAGACTAAAACCCAGGTTGATTATATCCAAGCTACCTCTTTTTTCACTCTTCCACACTGCATAGTAATAATTTGTATTGTGCTATACAATGTGTTTCTCTTTAATGGCATTATAACTTTTGACATACAACCACATACAACCTTCCAAGAAATAGGATTCTTTACATTATGTACTCTTTTATAAGTCCTGTGTTACATGTTTGTATGTGAGCTGGTTTTCGCACACAAAATGCAGAAACCAAGTGAAGAGCGAGGCAGGAAGAATTTCACCCTCTACTTGATTACTTTTTTTTTTTTTGGTCTCAAGGACCGTCTTTCTTGTATAAAACCATACAGATCCTTTAGGACTCTAAAGATAGCACATATTAATCAAATTCATTTTTAAGTAACAATATAGTTAGTTTAAACTTTCTATTCTACTTGAAATGTTCAAATGAGAGATTTGTGAAATAATGCATTGGCAGTATAAATGAATCCTCCCTATCAATATAGCTCACAAAAGAAACCAAGGATTATATCTTATTCTTCTTATGAATTCATTTTGTGTGAAATTCTCAAGGCAAAAGAAGAGCTTTAATAATTCTGAAGGAAGAACTATACTTTAAAAATGTATGACACTTGTGCTTTGATTAATTTTTTTCTAATGCCTTCTTTCAGATGCTGGCTCTCAGATTGGTGATAGCCAATGATTTGTCCTCTTGTGATAGAGGAATGTGATTTGCCTGTCATATATTTTGCTAACCGATTTTCCAAGTCACTCTGTCCTTCATTATATTCATCATATAAGCTGCTTCTGCAGCTATCTTAGAAAAATACAAAATTGATTATTTTATATTCCAGTTTAACTGCCTTTGTTCACAATTCAACTCTGCCATATACCATCTTGAATTTTAATTTACCAGTGTACCCAGTGTCATGAACTATTTATAATGCCTACAAAATTCCTGACATATATTAACTACTCAATATTGAATAAACTATTTTATTTCTATTTATCTATCCCTCTTTTCTCCATTCTAATGCCCTAAACATGCCAGTGTTGTGTTCTGAATCAATTCCCTACAACCAAGAGACATGTGATGATAATGTTTCTAATAATAATTGCAATCAGCAATTCCTGAGTTTTATTAAGGACCAATCACAGTTTTAATAAAGTTGCAGATATGAGTACATTTAAAGCTCAAAACAAACATACTATTAAAGAAATTAAGATCACAAAGGAGTTGAGTAAATTGTTAAGATCACATCATTATTAAGTATTGGAGGCAACGGGCACCTGTGGCAACTGAAGAGAAGGTGGAGAGTGAGGTCAGGCTCTTATGTTTCCTCACCTATTAATAGCTGACTGTGACCCTGTACTCAAAGTTACAATTCCTGAATTCCTATCAGGTGGCCCTCTCCACTCAAAGATTTTTTCAGGGCCAAGTTAGCTGAATAATCTGGTCCCTTCAGGCATAGCGGTATGAATAAATATTCCCTTATCTACTCATCCCTCCACCCCCAATGACTTGTCATAGAAACTTTTGAGTTTCCTATACTCTACAAAAATTTCTTAAATTCTCTTTCAATTACTGAGTTTGAGTATGTTCTATGTTTCTTGCTGGGATGTCACTGATTGAGGGATAATTTACTATGCTATTCCTATGTTCACAGATACAATAGCAGGGACTGGAAAAGGCTAAGTGATTTGTACAAGTTAGATAATTTGGAGAAAGTTTTAAGGATACATTCTGAGGTATTGTTACTTCTTTTAGACATATAAAAATAAATTTGAGAATAGGGGGATTATTCTGGATTATCTGGCTGGGCCCAATGTAATTACACACATCTTTGAAAGCAAATCAGGGAATAGGACGACAGGGTTAGAAATTGGCATTATCAGAAGGACTTGGCCCCATGTTACTGGCTCTGAAGATGGTGGAAGGCACCCATGAGCCAAAACAAAACAAAACAAAAACAAAACAACAACAAAGTGGTTTCTAGAAGCTGGAAAAGGCAAGAAAGTGGATTCTCTCACATGTCCACAGGAAATTAACTCAGTCCTACTGACATCTTGATTTCTGTACAGAAAGACCCATGTATGGCATCTGACATCCTGAAATGCAAGATTATAAATTTGTGTTGTTCCAAGTTACTTGGTGATAATTTATTAGAGCAGGAATAGAAAACTAACAGAAAATGCAGACAAAATTTAAGTAATTTTTTTCTCGGTATATAAAATATTAAGTGCCGTCACTAAATTTTTCAATCAAAAATGTGTTCATTTATTTTTTAAAGCTTTTCCCAATTTAATTTTAGTACAATATTTCCAAAATAAGAAGTTATATTATGCCTAACACCAACCCAATTGAAATAGATTTCTTTTCTGCTACTACATCCACAGATGACACATCTTTCAGCAAATATTGTTTATCATATGTATAATTTCATATAGTTTTCTGTTTTTTAAATCTTAAAAAAAATAAAAAGCATTAAGTAGATAAGCTTAAGTAACAGAGCAAATAATAGTATTTTCCTTAAACTATTTGGAAAAATTTTTAAAACATTAATGACATTGCATTGCAACATTTATATAAAATGCAATCAACCTTGCAGTATTTCTCTCGTACTCTCTTTCCCTCTCCACCTGTGTGTGTATATAATATATATTTATAGATACATTATAAATATTATTTGTATATATATCAATTTTGATAAAACATTGAAAAAATAAATGAATAAATATAAGATTAACAAATAATTATAAACAAATAATGGAAATTCTACACAATAATTTTTAAAACATCAAAGTCAGGGACCCTTTCTAACTTAAATTCTGAAATTAAAATTGTACAGAGATCAAAACCAGACTTAAAAATTAAGGAAAAAAACACCATACATTTAGAAGAAAGTAACCAAAATTCCTTGGTCAAAGTATTACCAAATTACATCCAAAATTTAACTGCAAATTCTAAACCAGCAAAGAATATAAAATTTATTCAATCTGATAAAGTCTATATATGAGAAACTTATACCTAACATCTTACATAATTGCAAAAAACCGAATGCATTCTCACTGGATTGATCAAGGCAAGGGTGTAAAATCATCTCTTTTATTGAACATTTTTGGATATGTTGGGAAATACAATAAAACAAGGAAAGGGAATAAAAAGTACAGAGTTTGAAAAAACAGACATATAATTGTATTATATTTGTGTATTTTATATGTGAATAGCATAATGACTAGAAAATTACAGGCCGTACCATCGAATTACTAAAAATAAATGAGTTTAGAGTATCAAAAGTTTACATGCCAATATGCAAAATAATTTACATTTGAGGAAAGTTATGAGCAACAGAAAACTAAAAGTTAAAAATGACATAATTCACAATAGAATAAAATATGAAATGCTTAGGCATAAGTATAACAGATTATAAGAAAAATGTGTATACTAAAATCTATAAAAATTGATGGGAAAATTGAGAAAAAACTAAATATATGAAGATATTTGTTGCATTTATGAATCAAAAATTTTATTATGTTAACATTTTATATGGTCCCAAGTTGATTTATGGATTTTAAATATTTTAAACCACATTTCCAGTTGATGATTTTGCCAGAAATTGACAATCTGATTTCAACATTTAAATGGGAAAATTAAAAAATGCAAATATCCATTACAATGATAAAAAATAACAAATATTAAGGACTCATACCTGATATTGAGACTTTCTGTCAAGGAACTCTAATAAAGACAATGTGAAATTGGTGTAAGAATTAACATAGAGATCAATAAAACAAAACACATTGTCTAGAAATAGTCCTATACATATATTGTCAATTTACGAATGACAAGTGTCCAGTTAGTTTAGTGAAAACAAGCCTTGTCTGATGTCCCAAAGCTGGAATTCCCATTGTCCACTTTCATGGCTGTGAAAAGGCAAGCACAATATGGGAGAAAGAGTAACTCATGTTTTCAGGGTCGGACCCAAAATGTTCATATATAATTTTGCTCACTTTATCATCAACAAATTAGTCATCTGCCCACATCATACAGTAAACAGGCTTGGAAACAGCCATATTAGATAGCTATAGCTCCAGTTATAATTCTCTAACAATAGAATATGGGAGAAATAAATTTTGGTAAAGGACAACAGTCTTCACCTCTGACGGTAGTCAGTCTTGTGTTAAGGTACATGTTGTAGTATGGCTCCATGTAGCTTGATATCACCAAAACTAAAGCACTCTTTATCTCAGTGCCTTAGTTTAGGAAATGTAAAGATAAAAAATGTTTAATTCCTATTGTTCCAAATATAACTCTTTATCTTTTTGTCAGTTAATGAACGTTTAGTTTGTTTTCACATCTTAGCTATTGTAAATAATGTTGCAATGAACATAGGAGTGCTAAAATCTCTTCAAGATTGTGATTTCAGTTCTTTTGGATAAATATCCAGAAGTAGGATTGCTGGATCATAAGGTAGTTTTGCTTTTTAGTTTTTGAGGAATCTCCATGCTTTTTTCTATAAAGCTGCACCATTTCCATTAACAGTACAGGGGTCCCAGTTGCTCCCCATTCCCTCCAACACTTAACTTTATTTTTTCTTAATAATAGCCATCCCAACAAGTTTGAGGTATTATCTCATTGTGGTTTCTATTTGTATATGCCTGATGATTAATGACACTGATTATCTTTTCACATACCTCTTGACCATTTGTTCGTCTTCTTTGGAATGGAATATCCAATTTTAAAAAAAAAGAATATTCTGCAATATTGGGCAACATAGATGAAACTCAAGGACATCAGGCTAAGTGAAATAAGTCAGTCACAGAAGAACAAATACTGTATTATTAATGTATATGAAGTATCTAATATAGTCAAGCTCATAGACACAGAGATTACAATAGCAGTTGCCAGGGCCACAGAGGAGGGTGTAGTCTGTTCTTGCACTGCTATAAAGAAATACCAGAGACTGGGTAATTTATAAAGAAAAAAGGTTTAATTAGCTAGTGGTTCCTCAAGCTGTACAGAAAGCATTGCTGGGGAAGCTTTCTTGCTGGCCAGAGCAAGAGTAAGAGTAAGAGTAAGAGAGAGAAGGGGGAGGTACTATACACTTTTAAACAACCAGAGCAAGGGTAAGAGAGAGAAGCGGGAGGTACTATACACTTTTAAACAACCAGATCTTCCAAGAACAGCAAGAAGGAAATCTGCCCCCATGATCCAACCGCCTCCCACCAGGCCCCTCCTCCAGCACTGGGAATTACAATTCAACATAAGATTTGGGCAGGGACACAAATCTAAACCATACAATTTCTCCACCACTTCTCCCAAATCTCATATCATTCCAAACGGTATAATTCCCCTACCACCCCTCCCAAATCTTATATCCTTCTCACATTGCAAAATACAATCACCCCTTCTCAACAGTCCCCCATGACTTAACTCATTTCAGCATTAACAAAAAAGTCCACTGTCCAAAAACTCATTTGAGACAAGGTAATTCTCTTTTGCTTAGTAGCCTGTAAAATCTAAAACAAGTTAGTTACTTCTAAGATACTATAGGGATATAGGTAATGTGTAAATACTCCCTTTTGAAGAGGTATTAACTGGCCAAAAGACAGTGTCTACAGGCCCTATTCAAGTCCAAAACCCAGGAGGGTAGTCATTAAATCTTAAAGCACCAAAATAGTCTCCTTTGACTTTATATCTCACATTCAATCAACACTGATGCAAGGGGTGGGCTTCCAAGACCTTGAGAAGCTCTACCCCTGTGGCTCTGCAGGGAACAGCCCCACAGCTGCTTTCACAGTCTGGTATTGAGCACCTGTGGCTTTTCCAGGTGTAAGCTGTCAGTGGATCTACCATTCTAGGGTCTGGAAAATGGTGGCCCTCTTTTCATAGCTCCACTAGACAGCACCCCAGAGGAGACTCTGTGTCTGGGCTCCAACCCCACATTTCCCTTCTGCACTGTCCTAGTAGAGGTTCTCCATGAGGGCTCCACTCCTGCAGCAGACATCTTGCTCAACATCCAGACCTTTCCATACATCCTTTGAAATCTAGGCAGAGGCACCCAAGCCTCAGTTCTTACCCTCTGCACACCTGCAGGCTTAACACTACATGGAAACTGTCAAGGCTTACAGCTTGCACCCTTTGGACCAGCAGCCTGAGACATATCTGGAGCCCTTTTAGTAGTGGCTGCAATTGGAACAGCTGGAACACAAGCAGAAGTGTCCCAGTGTTGTGAAGGGCAGCAGGCCCTGGGCCAAGCCCAGGAAATCATTCTTCCCTCCTAGGCCTCTGGGACTGTGATAGGAGTAGTTGCTGTAAAGATGTCTGAAATACCTTTGAGGCATTTTTCCCATTGTCTTAGCTATTAACATTTGACTCCTCTTTACTTACGCAAATTTTTGCAGGCCTGCTTGAATTCCTCCACAGATTTTTTTTTTTTTTCTCACATGGTCAGGATGCACATTTTCCAAACTTTTATGATGTCTTTGCATTTTAAATATAACTATCAGTTTCAGATAATCTCTTTGCTCATGCATATGAGCATATGCTGTTACAAGCAGCCAGACCACATCTTGAATGCCTTCCTGCTTAGAAATTTCTTCTACCAGATGCCCTAAATCATCTCTCTCAAGTTCAAAGTTCCATAGATCCCTAGAGCAGGGGCACAATGCCACCAGTCTCTTTTCTAAAGCGTAGCAAGAGTGACTTTTACTGCAGTCCCCAATATGTTCTTCATCGCTGTCTGAGATCTCCTCAGCCTGGACTTCACTATCAATATTTCCATTTCACTATGAATATTTTGGTCACAACCAATCAACAAGTCTCTAGGAAGTCCAAAACTTTCCCTCATCTTCCTGTCTTCCTCCAAGTCTACCAAACTATTCTATCCTCTGTCCATTACCCAGTTCCAAAGTGGCTTCCATATTTTCAGCTATTTTTATAGCAATGCTTCACTCCTAGGTACCAATTTTTTGTATTAGTCAATTCTCGCATTGCTATATAGAAATACCTGAGATTGGGTAATATATATAAAAAAGGTTTAACAGGCTTACTGTTCTGCAGGCTGTACAGGAAGCATGGCTGAGGAGGCCCCAGGAAACTTACATTCATGGTGAATGGTGAAAGGGAAGTAGGCGTGTTCTACATGGCTGTGGCAGGAGAGGGAGAGAGAGAGAAGGGGGAGCTGCCTAACAGTTTTAAATAACAAGAACTCATAAGAACTCATGCACTATCACAAGAACAGCAAGGGGGAAATCTGTCCCCATGATCCAATCACCTCCCAGCAGGCTTGTCCTCCAACACTGGGAATTAGAGATTCCACATGAGATTTGGGTTGGGATACAAATTCAAACCATATTAAGAGGAGAATGGAAAGTTGCTCATCCATAAGTGTGACATTTCAGTAATGCAAAGTCAATAAGTTCTAGAGATCTGCTATACAACATGTTGCCTATAGTTAATAATACTGTGTTAACTTAAAAATCAAGACAGTAGATCTCATGTTATGTTCTTACAATAAAATAAAAATAAATAGCTCAAGATATTTATTTCTCTTTTCATTCATATAATAAACTAACCATTTTTTTCTTGCCTTTTAAGACGTAGTAATATTCTAATTTATCAGGTAATAAAAAAGCTTAGCTCAAATACTACACACACTTTAAAACTACATTTGTGATCTAATACAAGATTGCATAAATGTGAATAATACATAAAAGCATTACTTTTGAAATTAAGATGAAATTGTTTAACTATTTTGTTTTAGGTAACATACTTTTTTCATATATTTAGTTTTTACATACTCACTCTACTTCAATTCACTTAACTGGAATCACAAAATAAGCAATTTCTAATGAAGATGTGCTTTCTACTTTTTTTTGAGACGGAGTCTCACTCTGTCACCCAGGCGGGAGTGCAGTGTCGTGATCTCGACTCATCGCAAGTTCCACCTCCCAGGTTCAAGCCATTCTCCTACCTCAGCCTCCCAAGTAGCTGGGACTACAGGCACCTGCCACCACGCCCGGCTAGTTTTTTGTATTTTTAGTAGAGATGGAGTTTCACCGTGTTAGCCAGGATGATCTCAATCCCCTGACCTCGTGATCCGCCTGCCTCAGCCTCCCAAAGTGCTGGGATTACAGGCGTGAGCCACCACACCTGGCCAAAGATGTGCTTTCTAATTGACTTTGTTACTGAAATCATTATGAAATAGTGCACTTTTTAACTTAAAAATGTACGTTCAGAAACTCCTTCATAAAGCGTATGTGTTTCCCACACAGCATGAGCATATTAGCAACCATTTAGCATTAATCTCTCTCTCTTACCTGTTATTATCAGCCTTATTTAGATCACCACTCTTCCAATAAAAATTTAATGCAGGCCAGAATTATGAAATACTATACATAGTTTAAAATTTTCCAGAAGGCACATTTTAAAAAGTTAAATACAGTTAAAATTATTTATATATAACCCTATTATACAAAATATTATTTCATATGTAATCAATACATAAATATTAATGACATATTTAACATCATTTTCACATGAATATTTTGAAACAAGGTGCATATTTTACATGCCAAGCACATAATAAATGTGTATCCAACAGTTCCATAGCCACATGTGACTAGTGGCTACTGTATTAAATGGATCAGTCCTGAAACAGAGAAGGAAAATTGAAGTGACTTTAAAAACATGTTCCAGCAAGAAGAGATAATAAATAATGAACAAAAACAAATTATTAAAGTTTATGAAATTTTTGAGTGTCATAAATTTGATCAAAATAGGATAGAAAGAAACAGTGAAATCTGCACAATGATGGAAGTACGGGAGTCACACATGTGAATATCTGAGGAAGAAAATCCAGACCAAAGGAATGCACAGTTTTAATGCCTGAAAATAAAATTTCAGCTCTATTTTAGGAACAAGAGGGCTAGTTGCTTAAAACAGTTAGCACGACAGGAAATATGAAATCAAGACAAGAGACTTAAGGAGGACCAGATCAAATATAAGCCTGTAGACATTATATTAGTTTTTATTTTAAGAATGACATAGAAATACTGGATCATTTTGAGCATAAAAGGGACAATATTTGGTATGTCTTTTTAAAATCACTCAGAGTTCTCCACTGAGGAGTTGTGTTATGGGACCAAAAGATTGTTCTATTCTTCCATGAAATTGAACTGAAAGTGAGCTTGTTAGTTTGCTCAGGCTGCAGGAACAAATTACCACAAATTGGGCACCTTCAAATATTAAAGATTTTTTATCTTACTTTTCTGGAGTCTAGTAGTCTGAAATCAACATGTTGACAGGCCAGGACTTGCTTCAGATGATGATCCTTCCCTAACTCTAAGCTTCTGGTAACTGCCGGCGCTCTTGAGGTTCTTCGCTTGTACATCTGTCACTCCACTCTTTGCCTCTGTCTTCACATGACATTGTTTTCTCTTTGTGTCTGTGTCCCAATTTCCTGTGTCACATGAGGACAACAATCACTGCATTAAGGCCCGCTCTATTCCAGTATAACTTCATTTTAACTTGATTACATCTACAAAGATACTATTTGTAAATAAGGTCACATTCACATGTACCCACATCAAGGGTTAGGACTTGAACATGCTATTTGGGGGATACACTTCAACCTACAACAGGGAGCAATGTTAGAAGCAAGACAGTCAGCTAGTAGGGCATTTTAATAATCCAGGAAGGAAGTTGACCTGGCTAAAGAAAGGTGGTAAAAATTAGTGGATTTTTCAATGGCACCTCCATGCATGTTTTGTGGGGGGAATAATAAATATTTGTTTTCTTGTTTTTCCTTCTGGTGACAAATTCAATAGCTACATTGAATTGTAACATCACTTGGAGAACATATTGTTCTTCAAGTGCGACTAGGATGAGAAGAACACTGGTAAGAAGCTGGAGCATGGTAATAATAAAGCAAGCACAAGGCACTGGAGAGCCAGAAAGTTAAATGTTGGTATTGAGGGATGAAAAAGCGAAAAGACAGTAGGAGGTGTGTGTGTATGAGATAGAGAGATAATGTGTGTCTGTGTGTTCGTATGTGTGTATGTGTGTGTGTGGTGTTCCTCTGAGTGGGGATATATAGACTAGGAGGTAGGAAAGAACTAAATTAATGCTTTCAAAGACCAACATTTTCAACAGGAGATATTTGGTTAAGAAGTTTCCCCTTCAAATATAGAGTAAAGCTATTAAATAGATGTTTATCTGAATAAAGGAAATAAAGACTAATCTAAGAAATGAAAGTCCAATAATACTACTGATCTCACAAAAATTATCAAGATACTATCCAATAGTATATTTAATTATATTTCTAATACTAATTATACATATATTTATAATTTTACAGGATATATTATTTTAAAGCACTTTTCAGAAAAAAAGAACAGCAATATTTTTCATCTCCTTAAGCTTCGATAGAAGTAAACTGGATTTGAAAAGTATAATCTTAAATAATTTCAACCCTAAAAGTGCAAAATATTTCATCGTCTCTTTCCTAGAAATAAGGCATAGTAATCATTTATTTATTTATGTCTCTCCATCATTCTTATTTGTAATGTATGTTTTGTGAAAAAATTCATCTTTAATAAAAGTCAATTTATTATTATAAGTGCACATCATTCATCATCTACTTTTAGCAGTTCTACTATATTTTAAAAATATATTTTAAATTTTATATCCCTAACTGACCGTTATTCTGGAAAGGGTAATTTACTCTCAAAAAGGAAATGATTTTAGCAGAAGTTATTACTAAGATGAGTAACAACTGAGCTGGCAAAAATTTCAGAGTATCTATTCAGATTAAAGTAATGCAATAAATGAATCAGCAATCAAAGTGTAATACCAACATTGATAACCTCTGAATTTTACAGATTCTTGAATTTGGGAATCTATTTGTTTATTCCTCACAATACAATTTCAAGTACATAGGTATGTTACTTAAGTCAATTATTTGTGTTAGAAAAATGGTTTACGGCCTTTTAAAGAAAGATTAATAATCTGAAAAACAAAAATAATATAAGTAATGAGAGCAAAATTGAGTAGGTTTTAAGCACAATTTCAAAGTTTTCTTATGCTTTTAAAATTTCCTAGCGCGGACTGGCTGGGTGCGGTGGCTCACATGCCTGTAACCCCAGCATTTTGCAAGGTGGAGAAAGGCAGATTGCTTGACCCCAGGAGTTTAACACCAGCCTGGCCTATATATATAATGTTATAATATATATAACATATAATATATAAAACATATATATAATATATACAACATATGTATAATATGTTATATATCTGTTTTATATATATATGTTATATATATATATAAAAATAACAAATGTTGTTTTAAGTCATGCCTTCTTTGTATGTAACCTGGACAATTAGGTGTATTAACCACTTATTAGATTTGATATTATCACTATATTGCTTAGCCACAATAAATGTATTCTATTATTCTAGCTTACTGAACTTAAGATTATTCTCATTATTATATTCAACAATTTCTATTTTATGAAAAGATGTATATATATATATATATATATATATTTCAACTATTTGTTGCTCATTCCTATATATATGTGTGTGTGTTTTCTGACTATTCCAGAAGTGAGGAAATGCAATTTATGACGGAAATGATTGAGTGAGACAGATCCAAAAACAGAGGTGTGCAAGAGCTAATAGAGATCTCTTTAAATGTTAATACTAACTCCTTTATATTCATTTTTATACATACTAATTCATCAACAAGTTATCATCTAGTTATCTTCAAGATATCTAGTTCAGAGATCAGCAAACTACAGGCCACAGGTCAAATCTTGCCCACTACCATTTTGTAAATAAAATTTTATCGGAACACAGCCAAATTCATTCAATTACATATTATCTACATCTGATTTTATGTTACAATGTCAGTGTTTAGCAGCTGTGAGAGATGTTGTGACAGTGACTGAAACACTCACAAAAACTAAAACAATTATCTGGTCCTTTTTCAGAAAAAGTTTGACAACCCTTGATATAGATGATGCTGCTAGAAGTTGTAAATTTGAACAGTTGGAACTTTGCATAGGTTTGACTGCATTTCCACTTATCAAACATATAAGAAAGTGTTAGCGACTTTTGTCTAACTCTGGTTGCTTGACATAGACAGGTTAGCAACAAATGAGTATCACATTTAGCTCAAATTCATGTGGAATAGAAGCTAGTCCCACTTTAAAATATTCTGTTGTCAGAGGGTAGAAATTGATGCAAAGTATAGGAAAACTCACTTTACTTTCATGTAGTATTCAACATTTTTAATGCATGAAAATATTTGAATAGTTTATTAAGCTATGGATTCTAGCCTCATATGTCAAGATTATCACACATTAAATGGGAGATTAGGCCATAAATCTACATTATAAGCAAGCAGTCCAGGGGATTCTGAGGCTGGACATTCATGGAACAAAATTTAAAACATGTTGGCATAAAATTGGATAAACAGTCTTCAGATAACATACTTTTAGATTAGTCATTGTTGAATCTATCATATTAGTAAAATATATGGCTTTTCTCCCCCAGAAAAAATGGCCATCTGTATATATAAACACTTTGTCTGTTAATGGGCTTTTTTGAAGACCTGCAATGGACACCAAATTAATCACATCTGTGTTTAGAATAACTATTAATATAATGGTGATGGATTTGTGACTCATTTCTACTATAGCATGTATGACAGGCATTTTAGAATCCTTTTATTAAAAGACACAGAACTACAAAGCCTTGATAAAGTAATGATGGTATTGTCTAAGTGTGCTTATAGCAATAAGGGGAAAAAGAACTTCATTTGAACTGCAGGAATTTTCCTACAGACAATTCTCATTAACATTTAAATTGGAAGGTCATTCTAACATCTAGGCCAGTTCTATGCTCAAGGAACCATGGTGAAATTCTTAAGTCTGATCTTTAGTTCTTCTATTAATGTATATGCACTACTCTGTCTTTCTGCTCTCTCTGTCTCTCTTGCTTTCTCTCTCTCCTTCAATCAGATGCTTTTCATATTTCTTAGCATATGCTCTTGAAAAAAAGTGGCCTTTTAATTTTTTTAACTAATTTAACACAGCATTTTTCACCAAACTAATTCATAAATCAAAGATTAGTCCAGAGTTGCCACCTTGCAAATTTTCTGGAATTATGCCACTAATAGTGATACTTGATAACCAATCCCATTCCCATCATCTATGTGCTGGTTATAGACAATACACAGCCCCATTTTTTTTCATTAAAGACACTTGTGCTCCAGTGGAGCTGGGGTGAAACAACTTCTCTTATAAGAGGAAACTCAAGGTACATTCAATGCGATAACACTTTTCAAGGTATGTGGGAAAACAACTCAAATTCACTAAAATTGTTTACCTTATCTGTAAATTATGAAGGCGGAGTAGATTTTTCTGTTTCCTCATGTTGTGGTATTCATTATATCACATACAAATAATTTTGTTAGAATACATATAAGAGAACATTAATTTTACATATCTTATAATAAAGTTACTGTGTAAGAAATACCAACTTTTAGCTAACCAGATTATAAAGTCTGTGAAAGGTAAAATGGTGTTCTTAAGTATATTGTAATTAATGCATAACCATTTGCAAAAATAAAATTCAACATAAGCCAGAGAAATCATGATTATTTTATATATAATTAAGAATTTTATATATAAAAATAGTATACATATATACTATATATAATACATGCACACATATATATTACATATGCACACACATATGCCTGTATAATTATTATATTAATAGTAACTTTCTTATTTTTCATTATATATGCAAACTCCAAAAATAGTTCTCTATTGAATTTCTTGATGATCTTGTATCTTTTATTCCATTCTGTAAAATATAGTAGAAATAATAAACAGCTTTTAATTTTTTCAAGGTAGAGAATAGATTTCACCCGATGTTAAAGTTACGCTGAGAATGAAATCCAAACTAATGTTCACAAATTGCACTAAAAAAAAACAAAATTGAAATTAGCTTTTAAAAAGTGAATTTCAGTATAAATTTTACTTTAAAAATTATAGTCTAAAATGGTAGTTCTCAGTCTTTCCTTAAAGAATTCCCTGACTAACCCCTCAGATATGCTGGCTCAGTATGTCAAGGTGGGGGGTCCATGAACCTGCAGTCCAAATATGCTTACAGTTTGTGCTGAGGCAAAAGTCTGCAAAAGTCTGAGGAACAAACTTTTAAAACCATTGTTCTAAAACTCCATGCACTCTTTGAAGATGCTGAGGAAGTGTTAGAGAAGAAATGGTGATTGAGTAGACAAAATAATAAATATTACTTGGCTTTTTTTCTTTCAAATTAGAAGAAAAATAAAAAGTGATTGTTAACATAGTGATGAAAACTGAAGATTCTTATTTAAAATTAGAAAAGAAGGAAGGAATCATGCCAAGATTTTAATATCAGCCCTACTCATGATATACTTTGTGGGTTTGATTAAGTTACTGAAAAAATTCTCTGACTTGGTCTCTCCCTAATGTAAAATGTGGCCCAGTAATGCCTCTTAGAAAAAAAAAAAAAAAAAAAAAAAATATATATATATATATATATATATATATATATATATATATATATATATATATAGTGAAGAAAAGCAAATAACTCTTTGCAAAGTTTCTTTAAATAAAACTAATCCCAGATATGTGATTTGGCACAGATACAATTTTATTAAAGAATATTTTAACAAACTGGTGTGTGCTTCCAAAAACCATCATTGATCTTTATTTATTCATGAATTACATAGGATTAGGATAAGGAATTAGAGTTAATGCTTCATTCTCTAATTTTCATTAATGTTTAAATTGAAGACTATTGTCAATCTGCTTAACTCTGTACTTAGCAATTCAATATGCTACCAATGTGGAAATAAAGTGACATCAAAATCTTTTATCCTAACAGAACTGATATTAAGCAGAATATTTCTGAAAGTTTTAGGTGTCTAATTAACTATTTATATTTACCTGCCACTAGGATTAAAGTCTACATGAGAGGAAGGTGAGAAAAATGATTAAGTCTCTGGATGCATAATTTATCAACTATAAAATGCTTCCCGCTATTTTACTCTATTCTCTTTACTTTCAATTTAATATTTAAAACAACACTTTAACCTTTTCTTCCAAAAGAGAAGGAAACATTATTAGGGTGTACCCATCATATTAGGCCATTTATCTTTGGACCTATTGCAGTCTCAAATGACAGAGTATGCAACCAAGTCGGATTATTCCTAATATACAATTCTATGGAAGAATTCTGAACACATCTTTTTCAAGATAAAAACACATAAAAAAGGAGACTAGTCCTATGTAAAATAAAAAAAAAGCATTTTTTTTTCTACACTGTGCTTTGGGACAGAAGTGTGTGATATGATGCTTGGAACTGCCACAAACCTGTTTTGAATGTAAGACAAACTTCCTTTCTCTAGCTATTTTGCCATGTGAGATAATGGAATATCTTGAACGAGTGAGCCACTGTAAGTCCAATGGTCAGCTATTTACTGCCAAAACCTTATCACTAATGAAGAACATTAATTTATTTGAGCAGCTTCATTTAATCTTTCTTAAAAGGAAAAAGAGCTGTTTGGCTGAGCTAAAGTGGTCTCAAAAATATGATATGCATACAGAATAGGCAAAATATATGGTATGACATTTCACTGAATGGGTCTGTGTGTGCATTTCTATATTGTGTCCATTTGTAGACAGGGTGAGGAAGTTGCCACCGACCCTAGTGTATTTTTCTTCTCATCTCATTACATGCCCCTTCAATAGAAAAACACATATATACTCATGCATGGACACATATTATGAAGATTCTAATCCAGGGCATCCAAATAACTAATTTTTACTCATTTGAACATGTGATAATTTACATATAAAAGTGATTACTCAGACCAGAGAGATTTACAAGTAAAATATATGTAGAAATATTTTTCTCCACATGTTAAAACTGTCAACTCTTTTTCACTATTGAAAAACATGTGCAGTACAGAAGTTGTTTGTATGCATATGTGAATACATTTATATAAATAAACACATATGCACATATATGCACATAATAGATATATACTGTAGGAGAAAAAAGAAATTTCTTTATTCATCATAGGTTAATGGCTGAGCTGCCTACAACAAAGGACCAATTAGGAAGAGAAAAACGTTAACAAATGTATGTAATACAAGTTTTAAATGACATGAGAGCCTTCAGAAGGAAATTCAGACCCAAAGAAAAGGAAACTTGTGAATTTTTATGCTTAGGTTTAAGAATGGACAGTCATGGGAAAATATAATTGGACAAAGTGGGAATGATCCACTGTGTAAACTACGGAAGAATTTAGCAAGGCCCATTTGTTCAGACTCTCCTTGGTCAAGTCTCTGGGTCTTAGGCTCCTTTCCTCTGGGTATACAGAAGGAACCTCTCAATTAAGGATCTTATGACTTGCTTTAAGAGAAGTAAAACAATTCTTCCTAGGTTTTATGACCTGCTTCAGAGAAGAATGAGGGGAAGGTCAGAGAGAGCTTTCTATTTCTACTGTTTTCTCAAATGCCAAAGTACCATATTTTGGGGTAGCATGTCCTGAACCACATCAATACCATCATTTTTCACCTAAGTTAAAATAATATAATGAACATTTTTTAATTTTTATTATAATTACAAATATTTTTCTTTTAAAAAGAGACATTATATATGTGCTGTTAATAAAGACATATAATCATCAATTAATGCATATGCCAAAAAGTGGAGAGATTAAATGCTGATTAAAACAATAACATTAGCTATGTATTGACATATACAACATTTAATAATATATAATCAGTAAATAGTTTGCCTGAAGAGGTAATAAAGGTTTCTTTTTTTTTAATCTCCAGCTTCTAAATTGCAAAAATAAAATGTCATATATTTTGGGACACATGGTGTCCATAGGTAAGCATTTCCAGAAACAGAGGTGAGATGGAGATTCTTGTACAAATGAGTTATTGAGGGAGTGATCTCAAGAGAAACATGCCAGTGAATATGGGAATGCATCTATTTCTTTAAAATCAGAAAATCATTTAAAATCCTGATTTCAGTGTCCTCAAACAAATATCCAGAAGTAAGATTGTTGGATCACATGGTAGTTCTCTTTAAAATTTTTTTAGAAACTTTCATATTGTTTTTCACAGTGACTGTATCATCCTACATTCCCAACAGTGTATCAGGATTCTCATTTCTCTACATCCTCACCAACACTAATTATCTCTGTTTGTTTTTATTATGGCCATCCTAGCAGATGTGAGGTTATATCTCATTGTGGGTTTGATTTACATTTCCTTGATGGTTAGTGATATTAAACATTTTTTTTCATATTCCTGTTGGCCATTTGTATGTCTTCTCAAGAAAGAAATTTATTCAAGTCCTTTACCCCTTTTCTAATTAAGTTATTTGGTGTTTCAATATGAATTGAAGAAGTTTATCATATATTTTGTATATTAACCTTTTATCAGATGTATGATTTGCAAATATTTTCTATTACATAGATTGCTTTTACATTCTGTTATTTCCTTTGCTGTGCAAAACTTTTGTTTTTTTATTTTTTATGGTCCCACTCATCTATTTTTGCTTTTGTTATCCATGATTTTGGTGTCCTATTCAAAAAACCATTGCCAATAACAATGTCGTGAAGATTTTCACCTACGTTTTATTCGGAGTTTTAGAGTTAAAGGTGTTCTATTTAAATCTTTAATCCATCTTGAGTTGGTTTTTGTGCATGATATAAGGGTCAACTTCATTCTTCTGTAGGTGAATATTCAGTTTTCCAAATACCTTCTGTATGTGAATATTCAGTTTTCCAAATAACATTTGTTGAAGAGACTATCCTTTCCATTTTGTATTTCTTGGCACCCTTGTAGAAGATCACTTGATATTCTATTGATGGGTTATATTCTGGGCTCTATTCTGCTCTATTTATCTGTCTTTATGCTGGTACCCTACTCTGCTAATTACTGTCTCCTTTGTCCCTACACCAGCATTGTTGAGTTGTTGCAATAGAGACCATATGGCTTTGCAGACCCTAAAATATTTACTATCTGTCCCCATACAGAAAAATTTACCCACCCTTGAACTAAACAAAAGTGTGATTTTAGGAGATGTCTGTCCTCACGTATTTCCCCGAGAAATTCTGCTGTGTAGATCATGGCACAAAGCCATTATACTTATAAAGTAGTGGTTTGTGCTGCTATGACCCCATGGGTTGGCCACTGGCTTCAGTACAGGACCAATGGAGCTTTGCTAAGGAGTCTAATCTCCCAATCATCTCAACATAAGATGGCTCTCATCAGTCAAGTGCAATCCTCCAGAGAAGAGGGCAGACATGAGTCAGCCAATAGCTACTACTGCCAGGAAACCAGTGTCCCAGTCTGGTAAATGTCAGCTGAACAGTGCAACAAGAGCATCTGTGTCTTAGTAGTAGAGTCTTAACAGTAGAGACTTGTTTTTTACTGCAAATCACATGACTAAGTATTCAGAATATGTAACCAGGAGGACATTATTTAAGGGAAATAAGCCAGGCACAGAAAGGTATTGGAGGGATGCAAAACTGCCTTTACAGAGGGATGACTTTTTGTATGTTCAGTTTTTACAGGGCCAATTAGGGGACTTGTGTTCATGGATTTTGGTATATGGAGGTCCTGGAACCAATCCTCTGTATATACAGAGAGAGGACAGTGCATATTAAAGTTCATATAACTGTACTATGTACCCCCTGCAGCAAAAATAGTTTACTTATGCTATTTTCAAGTTACACATGTAAACACACAAATGCACATACAAAGTTAATCTCTGCTCAAGTCTGGCAAAAATTCTGAACTCCTCACACCCATCCTTATGCTGGACTATTTCATGGAGCTCCGTAGTTTTTACTTAAGGTCAGCACCTACATTTCTATTTACATCAAACAGCCAATATCCTGTACAAAGATTTGAGTCACCCCAAAATTTGTAAACCCTATGTCATTGGGTATCCAGTTGACAATTAGTAATAATTGAAGTCACTTTCTCTGCCTCTGAGAAAAGCCACCATCTTTTCATGCTTGCCTCCTAAAATTCCACTTTTTCTCTGTATATCAATGTTATTGCCCATGCACATGAAATTGGGGGTTTTCCAGAAACCAGATAAATAGCACTGTCTTTTACAGTACAGAGTTAGGAAGGAACTGTGACTGTTTACATGGAAATAGGTACATAGAGAATAAAAAATAATTTGTCTTAAAGATAAAAGCTGGTATCTGTTAATGTGTCTTACATTATAGGCAATTTTATTTACCACCTCATAGGAAATCTAACAATTACAGGCTTCTCTCATGGAAGTAAGCTGTCTTAGTGTATGATGGCAAAATAGAAATACCTGTTCCCTTCAGATAAGCCAAATTAAAAATGAAAAGGAAGAGAAAGGGACTCAAATCTAAATGTCCAGTCTTTCTATCCCATCTCAGCAATAAGATTATATCATTCCTTTTTTCCTTGGGGGGATTCAGCAAGAGATCAGAGAGAAGCCTAAAGCATTTACAGTACTGAATTTCCTTACAACTAAAAAGTTGCATTAGGCCTGGGTAAAATATTTTCCTCCTTAAAGATCAGTAATGGGTATAGGTAACATTATAACATTCCTAGAAATATATCTAGCAGCATCAGTTACAATTATAAATACATATACAATTTGAGCCAACAATCCTACTCCTGAAAATTTCTCTGTTCATGTTCCAGAACATTTATAAAGGGGTTTAATGGAACATATTAATGATATTGACAGGGAGTGTATCACAAAAATTGTTATGATTTGTTCACAAAAAAATAAAACAAATAAGCACAGAAAAAAGTCTGTAAAGATAAATGCTATTGACCAGAGTTCTCTATGAGTGATAGGTCAATAGTATTTACTTTCCTCTATTATTATTTATGAGCATATTACCTTTATGAACAAATACAATATTTTTAAAAAGGACAAAGTTACAGAGCATATGAGTTCAACAAATAATAGAATTTTAAAATTATTATGGAAATGTTTAAACAAAGAGAAAGAGAATAGTAAAATAAATACCATATACGCATCACCTTGATTTAACAGCTGTTAACATTTTGCCACACTTCTCTATCTATTTTATTGTTGTTGGAGTACACACATTAAATTACAGACATCAAGATATTTCACCACTAAACACAGATAGTCCCTAACTTATGATGGTTTAACTTTCATTTTCGACTTTACGATGGTGTGAAAGTGATATGCATTTGTAGAAAGCAGTAGCATACTGTCTTGCCTTGCTGGGCAATCTTAGTAAGCAACTGTTCCCAGTCAGCTATGCAATCACCAAGGTAAACAACTGATACTCTACAGCGTACTAGGTTCCCAGATGATTTTGCTCAACTGTAGGCTAATGTAAATGTTCTGGGCGCATTTAAGGTAAGTTAGGCTAAGCTACGATTTTCAGCAGCAGTTCCCAACCTTTTTGGCACCAGTGACCAGTTTCATGGAGGGCAATTTTTCTACAGACAGGGATGGGCAGGGAGATATAGTTTCAGGATGAAACTGTTCCACCTTAGATCATCAGGCATTGGTTAGATTCTGGTAAGAAACAGCAACCTAGATTCCTTACATGCACAGTTCACAGAAGGGATTGCTCTCCTATGAGAATCTAATGCCGCTGCTGATCTGACAGGAGGCGGAGCTCAGGCAGTAATGCTCACTCGCCTGCTACTCAATTCCTGCTGTGAGGCCCAGTTCTTAACAGGCCACCCATCAGTACCAGTCTGTGGCCTGGGAATTGGGAACCTATGATTTTCAGGAAGTTTAGTAGGTTAGGTGTATTAAGTGCATTTTCAGCTTAGGATATTTTAAATTTACAATGGAATTGTGGTATGTATTGCCATCGTAAGTCCAGGAGCATCTATACTTCAGTATCCATGTCTAAAAATAAAAATATTTTTCACCATAACCATAATATCATAAGTACTTCTAACAAAAGTAATTTTTTTTTACTGATGATGATGCCATATATTAGCCAGTTATATCCAAATTTCCCTACTTATCTTTTTAATCCTTCAATTTTTAAAAATTTTGGTAAAATATAACCTAAAATTTACCATCTTAGCCATCTTTAAGCATACGGTTCAGTGGTATTAAGTACATTCATATGGTTGTTGCTAAACCTCACCACCATTCATTTCTAGGAAGTTTTTCATTTTGCAAAATTGAAACTGTATACTCATTAAACAAAAAATTCTCCATTTTCCCTTGCTACCAACACCAGGCAACCACCATTGTACTTTCATACAGTATCATACAGTATTTTATTTTGTAATTAGTTTATTTCACTTAACATAGTATCCTTAAGGTCCATCCATGTTGTAGCATATATCAGGATTTCTTTTCTTTTTAAGGCTGAGTCATATTCTATTGTATGTATATACCACGTTTTGCTTACCTATTCATCTGTCCATGGATACCTGGGTTGTTTCAACATTTTAGCTATATGAAAAATGCTTCTGTGAGCATGGGTCTACAAAATCTCTTCAAGACCCTGCTTTCAATTTATTTGGGTATTTGTGGAAAAATCAAATCCCTGGATCATATGTTAATTCAACTTTTAAATTTTGATGAACAATTGTACTGTTTTCTATAACAGTTGTACCATTTTATAGTCCCACCAACAGTGCAACACGGGTTCTCATTTCCTCACATCTGCACCAATGCTTTTTATTTTCTTCTTATTTGATAGTAGCTCTCCTAATGGATTTGAGGTGGTATCTCATTGTGGTTTTGATTTTCATTTACCTAATGATTAGTGATGTTGATTATGTTTTCATGTGCTTATTGGCCATTTGTATATCTTCTTTGGAAAAATGACTATTCAAAATTGTTGCCCATTTTTGAATTTGGTCATTTACATTGTTAGAGTTGTTGATTTTTAGGAGTATTCTGCATATCCAGGATAGTAATCCTTATCAGATAAATTATTTGCAAATACTTTATTCCAATATGTGAGTTGCCCTCTTGCTTTGTTGATAATATCTTTTGATGCACAAAAGTTTAAAATTTTTATGAAGTACAATTTGCCTACTGTTTCTTTTGTGACATGTGCTTTTGGTGCCATATTCAAAAACTTATTGTCAAATATAATGTTGTGAAGATTTCACTCTATGTTAGCTTTTAAGAGTTTTGTAGCTTTAGGTCTTATGTTTAGGTCTTAAATTCGCGTTGAGTTAATTTTTGTATATGATGTTATGTAAGGGCCCAACTTCATTCTTTTGCATGTGAGTATCCAGTTTTCTCCAGTACCACTTATTGAAATAATTTTTTTCCCTATTCATTGGCCTTGGCATCCTGACAAAAATCATTTGACCATATAAGAGAAGGTTTATTTGGGGGCTCTCCATTCCATTGGTCCATATGTCTCCCTTCATGTTAGTATCACAGTGTTTTGATTACAGCATATTTCAATATATTTTGAAATAAAGAAGTGTGGGTGCTCCAGAGTTTTTTTTCAGTAGTTTATGTATTTCTAGAAATTTGTTCATTTCATCAAGGATAATTTATTGGCATTCAATTGTTCATAGTACTATCTTATAATCACTTTTATTTCTGTCAATCTGTATCTGTAATATCCCCACTTTGATTTCTAATTTTGGTAACTTGAATCTTCTCTCTTTCTCTCTTATTTTCCTTAGTCAATCTAGATTAAGTTTGTCATTTGAAGAACTAACTTTTGATTTCATTGATTTTTTTTTCTATTGTTTTTCTATTTTCCATTTTATCTCTGCTTTAATGTCTATCATTTCCTTAGTTCTGCTAGGTTGCTTTTTGTTTAGGTTGTTTTCTTTTTTCAAATTTTAAAGCTGCAAAGATAAGTTTTTGATTGGAGATTTTTCTTCTTTTTTAATATAAGCAATTACACCTATAAATTTCTCCACTGACAGTCCTTTGGTTGCATTCCGTAAGTCTTAATATGTTATGTTTTCATTTTCATTTATCTTTATTTTCTAATTTTCCTTGTGATTTATTCTTTGATTCGTTAAATAAGAATGTTTGTTTTCTACAGATTTGTGAATTTTCCTGTTTTCCTTTGTTATTGATTTCTAACTTCATCCCACTGTGATCAGGAAAAGGTAATTTGTATAATATCAGAATTTTAAAATCAATTGAGACAATTTGTGGACTAACATATGGTTTATTCTATAAAACCTGTCATGTGGCCAGGCGCAGTGGCTCATGCCTGTAATCCTAGCATTTTGGGAGGCTGAGACAGGTGGATCATTTGAGGTCAGGAGTTCAATACCAGGCTGGCCAACATGGTGAAACTCTGTCTCTACTAAAAATACAAAAAAAAAAAAAAAAGCCTGGCAGTGGTGGTGCTCCCCTGTAATCCTGGCTACCCAGGAGGCTGAGGTGGGAGAATCACTGAAACCTGGGAGATGGAGGTTGTGGTGAGCCAAGATCGTGCCACCACACTCCAGTCTGGGTGACAGAGCGAGACTCCATCTCAGAAAAAAGAAAAACAAAATAAAACAAACAAAACAAAACAAAAGCCCTCCATGTATATTTTAGAAGACTGTTTATTCTGCTGTTGTTGGGTAGAATATGTTGTATATATCTTTTAGATTTAATTGGTTTATTATGTTTTTCAAGTCCTCTATTTCCTTGTTAATCTTCTGTTTTTTCTATTTGTTATTGAGAGTAGGATATTGACATGTTCAACTGTTGTTATAGAAATGCCTATTTTTGCATTCATTTCTGTGAATTTTGTTTCATATATTTTGACTAATTAATATTAGGTGCATAAATGTTTATCATTATTATATCTTCTTGCTGTATTTCACCTCTTATTAGCATATAATATCCTTTTGTCTCATATAATTTTTTTTCTGTTTAAAGTCTATTTTATCTTATTATAGGCAATCAATCTTATCTCTTTTAGTTACTACTTGTAGGAAATGCCTTTTTCCATTGTGTTGCTTTCAACTTATTTTTGACTTTTGATCTGAAGTGAGTAGCTGGTAGACAGCATGTAGTTGGATTATTGTTTCTTACCTATTCTGCCAATCTCTGCATTTTGATTGGAAAGTTTAAACCTTTTATATCTAAAGTAATTTTGACAAAGGGACATACTTCTATCATTTTGCTATTTGTTTTCTATATGACTTGTAGCTTTTTTGTTCCTAATTTTCTGTATTGCTGTCTTCTTTTGTGTATAGTTCTTGTTTTGTACTGAAATATTTTATTTCTCATTTCCTTTTTTTAAATTCTATACTCTTTCTTTGGTGACCATGGGGATTATAATCAGCATCCTACAGTTATAATACTCAAACTTTGATGACATGCAAAACTTTACAGCACTGTCCCCAATCATTTTAGTTCTTTTTTTTTTTTTTTTTTTTTTTTTTTTTTTTTTTTTTGAGACGGAGTCTCGCTCTGTCGCCCAGGCTGGAGTGCAGTGGCGCGATCTCGGCTCACTGCAAGCTCCGCCTCCCGGGTTCACGCCATTCTCCTGCCTCAGCCTCCCGAGTAGCTGGGACTACAGGCGCCCGCCACTACGCCCGGCTAATTTTTTGTATTTTTAGTAGAGACGGGGTTTCACCGTGTTAGCCAGGATGGTCTCGATCTCCTGACCTCGTGATCCGCCCGCCTCGGCCTCCCAAAGTGCTGGGATTACAGGCGTGAGCCACCGCGCCCGGCCTTTAGTTCTTGATGTCACAAAATTCCATCTTCATTCATCATGTCCAAAACCATAACCTAGTAATTGTTTAATATTTTTAGCTAAAGATTTTTAAAAATCATTAGTTTCTTAAATTATGTAGAAAACAAAATATGATTGCAAATCTGTTACAATAATACCAGCTTTTATAATTGCTCATGCATTTACTTTTACTGCAATATTTATTTCTTCACACAGATTTGAGTTATTGTCTATTGTCCTTCCATTTTAACCTGCAATATTCCTTGTAGCATTTCTTGCAGGGCAAAGCTAGTGGTAATGATCTTTCTCAGCTTGTATTTATCTGAAACTGACTTAGTTTCTCCCGTACTTTTAAATGGTCATTTTGACACATACAGGATTCTTGGCTGACAGTTTTGTTTTTGTTTTTAGTTTTAGCACATTAGATATATCCACTTATTTCCTTCCGGCCTCCAAATTTTCTGATAAAAAATCTGCTGATAATCTTATGAAGAATTCCTTGTATGTGATATGTTACTTCCCTCTTGCTGCTTTCAAAATGTTCTTTTTGTCTTTTAATAGTGTGACTATAATAATGTTTCTTGGTGCAAGTCTCTATTATATTTAGACTTCATTAAACTGCTTGGATGTTTATATTTAAGTCTTTTATCAAATTGGACATTTTGGGCCACTATTCCTTTAGTATTCTCTATACCCCTTTCTCTCTTTCTTCTCCTTATGTGAGTCACATAATCATCTGTTGACCTGCGCGGTGGTATTACATAGGTTCCTTAGTCTCTGTTCAGATGTCTGTAATAATTTTTCTTTCTATTCCTCAGACACAATAATTTCAATTGTCCTATCTACAATTTCACTGATTCTTTTTTCTGCCTGCTGAAATCTGCCTTTGAATTTCTGTAGCATTTTTTTAAAGTTATATTTTTCCATAGCAGAATTTCTTACTAAATCAATTTTTCATATTTTATATTTTCTTATTGATATAATCATATTGTTTTATATATCATATTCTTGACTTTTTCCACATAGTCCTCTGGCCATATGCACATCTTTAAGACAGTTGTCATACAGTCTTTTTCTGGTAGATCTGCCATTGGGTTTTTCTCACATACAGTTTCTGTTCATTTATTTTTTTTCCTGTGAATGAGACTTTTCTATAATTTTTTTGTGGACAACTGGACATTTGAATTTAACAATTTGGTAACTCTAGAAATCACATTTCATCTTTTTCTTAGGTTGTGGTTTTATTTTGTTCTGTTTTGTTTTTATTGCTGTAGACAGTCTCTATCCTGAGTATCAGTCTGTGGTGTAAACTTAGTATTTTCATTTTAGGTCTTTTGGGGCCTACATCTTTCTCTGGGCAAGCACCATGATTTTCTAACCTTTTCCACAACCTCTCCTCCCTCTGCCATATAAACAGTTAATTTTGAATATTATAGTCTTTAATGTCTAACTCTCAAAAGGAGAAAAGGAGAAAATTCCTGACTCTTTAATTCCCCAGAAAATCACTTCTGCCAGAGGGGAAGAAACTTGCAAAAATGTGAGCAGTTGCAACCATAATGGTTACATGCATCTGTGTCTGCACCTCTGTGATCAGAAGCAGCAATCAGTGATCAGAACATAGATTTCCAATATTTAAAGAACAGGATTTTAAACATCCACCTTGCTTCCCACAACCTACTTGCCAGCTTGTATCAGGAACATGTGTGGTTTTCTGCGATGGGAATGAAAGCTGGGGAGCCATTGCTGAACTAAGAGCTGAAATGGACCAAAATTATCTGCAATGTAGTGTGCTAGCTTTTCCCTGGAAGTTGCAAAGTATCCATAGACTCCAGAGTTCCAAAATCATCAGACAGATTCTGTCTGTGTAATTATTTTCCAGATGTGGAGTCAGATTTCTGGTTCTTTCTACTCTACCATATTGCCAGTATCCAATTACAAAATAATTTAAATATAAAAATGGAAACAATGTGAATTCCTGTCAGTAGAAAAATAGTTTTAAAAAGTTTAATATATGTTCAATTTAATATAAATCAATAATACAAATAAATCTTTTAGATGTATGACAATTATCTGAAAAACAGTTCAACCATACACACATTGCTTATTTTATAGCATATATATATAAAAGATTTTTTAAAAACACTTCTAAATACTACTTAGACTAAATTAGAAATTTTATCACTTACTTGAAAAGTTAAAATGTCTGTAAGGCAATATGAACCAATTTATGTTTCTAATTTTGTAATTTGCATATTCTTTTTCAAAAGGCCAACAGACGTGTAGAATAGAAAGTATATTTTTAAAAAATAAATATTAAGTAAAAAAAGAATTAAAAGTTCATGTATAAATTCTTAAACCAAACTAATAGAAAGTATCTCCAATGTAAAAATACTGTATACTAAAAACATTTTAAGTTCCCAGTTAATTGCAATTACAGAAATATATTTCATAATTATGACTGAATGTATTTTTAAATATTACAACAAACTGAATGATATGCCCTAGGCCAAATGGTATACTTTTACAGTTCTCTAAGTTCTTCTTCCCTTCTGCTAACAATCTGTAGCAAGCATGGCTCAGGAAGTGCAGTTGTAGAGGGATTTGTGTATTAGATTAGAATGGTTGTGTTTTCAATTGATACGCTGTGTTAAGGCAAGCTCTCTAGGGAAAAGATGGCTTTTGGCAATTTGCTAAATTTCTATGAAAACTTTGCAATTTTTTAAAACTAATAATAAGGTAGAAAGCCAAATTAGACAGTGATAATATACATAAATAACCACATGTAAATAAAATCAACTAAATAAGCATATGGAGTATTTTAAATGATATTATAATAAAATTGCTATTTTATTTCAATCCTGAAATTTCAACAGAAAAAATTATTTCTCTTTTTAAAAAATATAAGTTTATATTAACTCCGAAAATTTTAGTTTTTCTCTGCCATTTCCAAAATTTGTATGTCTCTTTTATTCTTGAAAATATGATACAAAAGAATCTTAAAGTTGCACATAGTTCATCTCTTTGTCCCCTAAGTATTCAATAAAATAAATATCAATTCAGCCAACAGAAAATATATTGTTCTGGGTTAGTTAATGGAAGGAAATTATAATAGGAAAGCAATTGTTAAAAGTTAATATGGAAAATACATGATTAAGTCCTTCAACTCATACTAAAAAAAAAAAAAACCCCGATTTAAAAGAACTTGACAAATAACTTGAATGGACATTTATCTCTAGAAAAACATAAAAATGGCCAACAGGTATATGAAAATATTCTCAACATCACAAATCATAAGAGAAATGCAAATCAAAACTACAACAAGATAGCACTTCATACCTGTTATAATGATTATTATAAAAAATGAATAAAACTAAATGTAAGAAGTGTTAGCAAGTATGTGAGAAATTGCAGTATTAATATATGTTGATGAGAATGTATAATGGTGCAGCTGCTATGAATAACAAGTATGAAGTTTCCTGAAAAAATGCAAATAGACTACCACAGGATATAGAAATCCTACTTCTGAGTAATTAATCCAAAAGAAAAAATTATGATCTTGAACAGTTATGTGCACCCTTATGTTAACTGGAACATTATTTACAGTAGATAAGATATGGAAACAACCTAAATGCCCATCAGTTGATTAGTGGATAAAGAACATATAATATATAAATACAATAAAATATCATTCAGCTTTTAAAAAGGAGGAAATTTTCTAATATGCAACAAAATGGATGAACCATGAAGACATTATGCTAAGAGAAATAAGTCAGTCACAGAACTACCAATACTGTGTAAATCCACTTATATGATATATCTAAAATAGTCAATCTCATTGAAGTAGAAAGTAGATGGCGGCTGCCAGGGGCAGGGGAGAGGGAAAAATGGGGAGATATTATTCAATGAGCATAAACTTTTAATAATGCAAGAGGAATAAGATTAACAGAACTGCTGTACAACATTGTGCCTATAATTAACAATGCTCCATTGTGTTCTTAAAATTTTGGTAAGCAAGTAGATCTAATGTTAAATGTTCTTACCCCAGTATATTTTTTTAAATCAACAAATTAAAAAATAATAATAACAATTACTTTAAGACAAGAAGAGATTTCTTTTTAGATACCTTCCTGGAGTAAAAAATCACATTTTACCTTAAGATATGCTCCATCTTCTTTCTTGAACAGTAGGTCTAAATAGGGTTAATTTATAACATACTTCATTTGAGGATATATTAGTTGTCAATATCTCAATGTCACTACATGCCAAAGAAAGTAAAAAAAATCTGGCTGTCCTTTACAGGCAGAAGCTCTCCAGTTAGTCATGAGACTAAATTCTGAGGGTGCTGATAAAGTGATTTGGGATATAAAATTGAATTTGTGGCATTATCCCAAATTACAAGATATAACACTCTGAAAAAGGACCCTGGAAGGTGGTAAACTCACTTCCATAATGCTCGCTAGAACCATGGAAAAGTGACTGTCCATGTTGAATAAATATGAGATGCCAGAGTTGCCTCTCAGATGGTGAAAGAGAAACCATGCTGAACTGGACATGCAGTCAAAAGGTTCACAGACGTTAGAGTACTGTAGGAAGGTAACAACACTAAGCAATGCACAAGTAAAAGAATCACTCTTTCTGATACCAAGGCTAGAAGTATATGTATTAGTCTATTCTCATGCTGCTAATAAAGACATTTCTGAGACTGGGTAATTTATAAAAGAAAGAGGTTTAATGGACTCACGGTTCCACATGGCTGGGGAGGCCTCACAATCATGACAGAAAGACAAAGGAAAAGCAAAGGTATGTCTTACATGGCAGCAGGCAAGAGAGAGCTTGTGCAGGGGAACTCCCCTTTATAAAACCATGAGATCTCGTGAGACTCATTCACTATCATGCAAACAACATGGGAAAGACTCACCCTCATAATTCAATTACCTCCCACTGGGTCCCTCCCATGACATGTGGGAATTATGGGAGCTGTGATGCAAGATGAGATTTGGGTGGGGACACAGCTAAACCATATCATTAGGAGAAGCTTCTACAAACCTCGTTTAATTATTGCAAGACAATGGAGGCAGGGCCGTGGTGTTTAACCACTGGAAGAGAAGTGATCATAACCATACTAATAACTGGCAAGTTCTGAGTGGCAGCCAAAGGGTAACAAACAGCACAGGTTTATAAAAATGGTCAATAGAACACAAAATTTCTAGGGGAATGCAGCCAACAAAGTTGGCTGTGGGTAGCCAACAAAGTTACTATTCAATTTGTGCCAACAGAAAAAATGAAGGGTGAAATATCTGTGTACTGAAGACAATTGATCCATTTAAAAGTACCGATTGCCGAGTTTCTGGAGCTAAGCCAGTTTTGCAGTTAGAATGCATTACCTGAAGAAGCAGTGAAATCCCCAGGGGAAAGGACTGTGCAAAACCATAGAGAGTAACCTACACAAAATGTATATCCTAGTGCTTCACTAAAGAGATTCATGTTAATTTCCTCTGGTAACTGTGGATTGATACCAAGGCTAAAAGTAGATGTATTAGTCTAAAAGTAGATGTATTAGTCTATTCTCATGCTTTCTAATCACATCCGATCACAATGCACCTTTCTTTAGTCCATAGAGGAAAAACTTTCATGGTATAATTTTCCTTGTAAAACAAGAAATTCAAAAACAATATTACATCCCAGGTGGCTTAAAAAAATCTAATATCACCCTCAATAGTCTAAAAAGGGCCAGATTAGTGGATTAGTAGTTCTTATTATATCTATTTTAATTCACCTATGTGACTCCTATAGAAATAGATGGATGCTGGAGAATGACCGTAGAATACTATAGGATCAACCTTGTTGTAGACCAAATCCCAAATCCCATGAGAATGTGAAACTTTTGCTAAAAATAATTAGTATAGCCTCAGAGACCATTGATTTGGAAAATATAGTTTTCTATTATGATAAGAAAGGGATTAAAACAGTTCACATTCACATGGAATAAACAACACCTTATAGTCACAATTTTGTCTCAAAGCTACGTTAACACTTCCACCTCTGGCATCATTTAGTCAGAAGAGATATGGACTATGTGAATATTGTACAAACCATCTCTGATATAAAACCCTGACAGATGAATGAAGCAGTACACCTGGAATGCATTACATCAGTGACAGAGTGCACAGCCAGAAGCATGTGAGGGAAGCCTAGATGCCCATGATACCCAATATTGTTACACCAGTATCCCTCCCTTGGCCTATGTCTATGAGAACATCTTATGATCAGATGAAAGACAAGAACACATCTCAATTTTGTTTATCAATAATTTGTCTTGGCAATAGCATGCAAGTCAGTATCAATGAAAACTGCACTATAACTCCCTATGCTATTAGCCTTGAAAAAAGTGACAAAGGAAAATCTTACCAATAGGTAGAAATTCAGACAATGACCCTAATCATCCACTTTGTGTGGACAGAGAATTTTCCCAAAGAGGCAGTAAACATAGGCTAGTGATTAGTATTGAGTAGCCTGGATGAAAAATACTGTATGTTTTGCTTAAAATCTGGGTTATAAGCATATGATGTGTAAATATGTCACATATCAAAATATTCATTCACTTCTGAAAATGGATCAATTCACAAAGAAGTCAAAAGGACTCAGCAAGGGAATCTTAGCAGGCCTTTGTAATTGGCAACCACAGGTCTAGCCTGATAGGCACATGAATAAAGTGGCCATTGTGGTAGCAATGAAGGAGATGCCTGAGATAAACAGCCTGTACTCACATGACCAGTGTTAGTCTGGCAACTTCTAGAGACCAGTGATCCATCTGCCAGGAAGAGGAACCAGTGGCATGATCCACTGAGGGAGCCAACAGCAGCTTGGTGGTAAGGACCAGTGGATTATTCTCAAGCAATAGATATCTATCTGGATAAATTTGTATATTTACTGCCTGCACAGCTTTGGTATATCTGAAAATGTGTTTAATATGTTGGCATCAGATTATACATAAACTTGCATAAACACAGGAGATCCACTTTCTATTAAAACACGTACAGGAATCAGCCAATGACCATAGATCCACAAGTAGCATATGGCACCAAGTTACTTCCAGGCTTGATAGCTGTTCAAAGGTGGGTAATCACTCCAATGAACACACAGCCTTACCATCTGAAAGGAGAATTGTGACTAAGAATGGGTGTGAAACAGTGATAGGAACAAGTTTTGAGTGATCCCAAATATAATCCACCTGACTTAATACTTGTTACATGAGTATTTGGTGAGTCAAAAAAACTATTAGGAAAATGTGGAACTTTTAAATAATATGACTCTCATACCTCATTGAAGCTTTTGGAATTTTTTTAGAAGAGGTAAGAGCATTAATTTTATAGTCAGCAACAACACATTGCATGCCTCCTACAAATTGAGCATCATAATATTATCTGGAGAGAAATAAATATCATGAGCCCTAATCTGTAATTTCTGGGAAACTACTTGGCTCATGTCTTCATTTGTCAATACCTGTAGTCCCCAACCTTAATTATATACTGTTCAATAACCTGCTTACTTGCTTACTTTAGTATAGTGTCTTATCTAAAGTCTCCATCCTCTGGGTGCTAATCTATCACTGGAAACAGTTTCAACCGTAATTTTTTCACTCTTGATCACGACTCACTCATATGACCCAGTGAAACAAATTACAGTGTTCTCTTTGCATTGATTTGACTTCTGGGCCTTTGTAAATCTTACTTCTCTAATTAGGCTGTAAAAAGAAACTGCAATATATAGATTCATGGAATAGAATCAGGACAGGGGAAACATTTTTAACAGTTTTGAAGCCCAAGGGGATTTTAGAACTGTCACTGTGATGAGTTGGGTTTAAAAATTCTATGGTCTATATTAAAATAAATAGTCTTATGACAACACAGTTCCTGTTCTAGGCATCTCAGAGTCACTGTAGTTTTGTATATTTGGAAATGCTTAAATACACTGGAAATAAAAAAAATGCTACATTTTCATATTACAATATTAAACATTCTATTACTTTTCATTCCTACAACTACTGTTCCATTTCATGTCCTAATCATTGCTTGTCTGTAGAATTTCAATAATTTCTCGAATGGTTTTTATTACTAGGAATCTGTCCTTTGTCAGATGACTTTCCTAGAAAACAATATCCATTTTATATGACTTTAATATTTTGGAATCACATGGTTTCCTCATATCTATTCAATTGTTTTAAAACTAGTGAACATATTCATTTTACAAAGGCAATATCACATAAAACTATATTATATTTTAAAAAGCATGGAGACTTCTACTTATGGCCATGATGAATAATTGGTACTGGAATAAACCTTCATGGATAAACAAATATTAAACTGAATGATTGAACAACCACTGGACTATTTGTAAAGATCTAAAATATTGTGCCACTTTCTGATAAAATGTGCATATAAATTTATATTATTCTTCAGAAATGTATCTATTAATAGCATTTTTCCTTGAGTACATGTAAATAAAATGTTAGCTATTTTCTAGTTTAAAAAATGATTTTTATAACTAGTGATTATTTATTTTATATTTAATCGTAATGAAATTTCCATTTATTCCTAAATGTTGATTATTTTAATCCATCCAAATATAAGTTTCCTAAATGCAGCCATCTTTATTGTCTTGTGTTCTTATATATTCTTATAACATCATCCGATACTTGGCATTCTTTATGTACTCAAAACATATATGCTGAGTTTTTGAAAGAATGCATACTTATTAATTTTTTTGTCAAATAAATATTCATCCATGCTACAGATTAAATAGCTTTCCTTTTAAGATTTTTAATACATATATTAATCAAAATCACCATATTTGCATACATACTTTGCAGTAGACATGATAGAAATTGTAAATGACTTGGTCATACATATTAATATTACTTATATTAAAGAAAGTTATGTTAGCCTTCATTTACTTTGCATCGTCTTTTGTTAAGATAAGTGGCAAAATATTTAAATCAAGTAAATGGAGAAAAGACACTAAACATTATTTTATAGGAGATGCAAGTTAAGCAAAATAAGATTTGAGACTGGGTGAAGGGTCTTTAAAATGATAATGGAAAAATGCATACTATGAAAAACTACTCATAAATTTCAAAACTATTGCACAGTAATAAACTCGTACTAACTTTTTATAACATGTATGAACAGTATCTAGTTTGAGGCATTAAGAAGAAAAAGGCATCAGTTTGAAAAGAGCCCCTAGAAAAGTAACATGTATTCTATGAAAATTGAAGCAAGAACCAATATCAAATTTATGGTGAAGCTTGGGTAGAAAAATGATGAGTCACTGATGCTTTCTGAAAAGTTTAGGAGGACAATAACCAAGAGAAATTAGCAGTGTACAAATGGTTGACTTGTTTTAAGAAGGGACAAGACAATGTTAAAGCCCACAGCGTCAGGCCATCTATATCAATTTGCTAGAAATAAAATAATCTTGTTCATGCCCTAATTCAAGAAGACGAACAATTAACAGCAGAAACAATAGACAACATCACAGACATCTCAACTGGTTAAGCTTACACAATTCTGACTACTAAAAAATTAAAGTTATGCCAACTTTCCATTTAATAGATCCCAAAACTGTTGTGCCTGGGTCAGCTGCAGACAAGAGCATAACATTCAACGAAAATTTTAAAGAACTGAGATCAAGATGCTGAAGTCTTTCTTAAGAGAATTGTAACAGGAGATAAATCATAGCTATACCAATATTATCCTGAAGACAAAGCACAAATAAAGTAATGGCTATCAAGAGTTGGAAGTGGTCCAGTCAAAGAAAAAGTGGACTGGTCAAGAGCAAAGTCATGGCATCATTTTTTGGGATGCTCGTGGCTTTTTGCTTATTCTCTAGAAGTTCAAAAACTATAAATCCTGCTTATTATGAGTGTTTGAGAAAGTTAGTCAATGCTTTAACACAAAAACACCCGGCAAACTTCATCAGAGAGTCCCTCTCCACCATAACAATGCTTCTGCTCATTACTCTCATTAACAAGGGCAATTTTGTGAGAGTTTTAATGGAAAATCATTAGGCATCCCACTTAGGGATCTGATTTGGCTTCTTCTGACTTTGTTTTTTTCCTAATATGAAAAACATCTGTAAAGGACATGTATTTTCTTTAATTAATAATGTAAAAAAGACTACCTTGACATGATTAAATTCTTAGGACCATCATTTATTTAGAGATGGACTAAATGGCTGCTGTCATTGCTTACAAAAGCATCTTAGCCTTGACGGAGCTCATAGTGAGAAATAAAGTTCATACTTATATTTTTATTTGTAAGTTTCATTTCTTGGTGAACTTTCTGAAGTCCCCTCATATGTGAAACCTTTTCCTATAATACATACAAATAAATGTATTATATTGTACAGCAGCATTCATTCAACAAATATTGGAGTACCCATCACATGTCTTTAACTGTATAAGGAATTTGGACGGGATCTGTGAACAAAACATAAAAATATCACTGTCGTCATGAAACTTAACTTCTGCTAATGGAAAATATGCAATAAATGATAATCAAATAGATACAATAAATTACATATTATGCTGAGAATGCTAAGTATTTTTGGGGAAATGACACAAGGAAAGTGAGTTTAGAAATCATAGAGAGGAAAGTTACAATTATAAAGAGGATTGGGAGGCAGAGTGATATTTTAACCATAAGAAGATATTTTATTAAGAGATTGAAGATGATTTTGGTCACACGGTTCTCTTGGTAAGGGGCATTTAAGCAGAGGAAAAAAACCTGTGCAAAGCCCCATGACACAGCTAATTTGACATGTTCAAGGATCAGTAAGAAGGCCAGGGAGGGTATAGGGCAGTGAGGGAGGAACAGAAGAGTAGATGAGAAGGGCAAAAATATTGATATTTTACAAAGATATTTCATATTTGATAATGTTTGTCATGTGTTTCACAAAGAATCATGTAGAGACTCTGGTCTCTAGATTTTATAATTCAAACCCAAAAGAGTAAATTATTACAATTAAGGAAAATTAATTTCACAATAATAATAATGGAAGGTGCAGTGTGTCTTGTTCAGTTTACAAATAAATTCAGAACCAATAGAAAATGGAAAAATTCAGGTATTCTCATTCATATTTTATGTAAAGGAACTTCATCTCATAGTTTTTGATGACAAAATAAGATGTTACCATAATATAGCACCTTTAGGTGTTTTTAAAAGAAGTATATTCTATCCATGACACTAATAGCCCACAACTCACAATTGGTAGCAGAAGGTAGGATGTTGCTTTTTTTTTTTAATCCAAATCTTTAATCACTTGGGGTATTTCTAAAAGAAGAGCAATTTGATTCTTTAGTTTTGTGAAAGTGAAAGCCCCATAACCTTTTATGGAACAAGTGGTTCATCACATTTGATCTGTTGAGCTATAAAAGCATGAAACTTCAATATGAACATCACACAGAACTCTTACCATTTATTCTTTTGTTCCATGTGGCCACAGCTTTCAGCTCTTAAAAGCACTTCTTTTACATCATTTTTTGAAGTTGGTACTTTTAATGAAAAGGTTTTCTCAATGTCCATGAATTTTGCAACTACTATAAATCAGGTGACAGCTTAACAGTAAAGAGCTTTAAAAATATTGCTTTGCTTCATTTTTCATAAAATTTAAGTATACAGAACAAAATAAAAACACTATTATAGCAAAGGCACCAGAAAAAAGACTATATAATACTTGAATATTTATGATATAATCAGTAATATGTAACATATATAACATATATGTACACATATATATTTATATTCAGCAGCTAGTTTACACTACCTCTCTATCTATTCCTCCACCCACCTCTCTCTCTTTCAAGTTGTTTCATATTTTGCAGCTCTATTACTTGGCGTATAAACATTTAGGATAGCTATGTTTTTTGAAAGACTGTCCCATTTATATTAATATAATATCCCTCAATACCTCTGGTAATTTTATTTGCTATGAAGACTACTTTTTCTGATATGAATATATCCACTCCTGTTTTAAAAACTTATTATTTGCATGATATATGTTTTATCATTTTACTTTCAACCTTCCTGTATTTCCGTATTTGAAATGGTTTTCTCAGGGGCATGTAGTTGGGTTATGTGTTTAAATTTACTCTGCCAATCACTTCTAATTGGTGTATTTAGAACATTTACATATAGTTATTTATATGTTAGGGCTTACTTTTGCCTTTTTGTTTGTGTTGCTGTTTGCTCCATGGTTTTCTTCTGATTTCATTTACCTATCTAGTTCTGGGTTATTTAAACATTTGTTAAATTTTAATTTTGATTTATTTGTAGTGTTTATGAGAGTATGTATTTATTTCTATAGATTTTCCTTTTAGTCATATTTATGTAGTTTATTACAGTCTACTACTATTCATTTTACTGGGTCAAGTGAGATACAGAAATCTTACTTCTTTTTATGTCTCTTCACCTTCTCTAATTTATAACAGTTGTGTTAAATATTTTCTTCTATATTCTACAGTTACTGTAGAGAATTCTGTGGGAGTTTTGAATGTAGATCTCTTTCTTTTTTCTTCTAGAAGTGTCACTGTTTTCTCTTCTTTAATGCACTGAATTCTTATCACTATGAGCCTTTTCTGAGGTATAACTTTTATACATATAATGTATAGAATGTATAGATATAATGGTATATGTATAAAAGTTACATATGGCCGGGCGCGGTGGCTCACGCCTGTAATCCCAGCACTTTGGGAGGCCGAGGTGGGTGGATCATGAGGTCAGGAGATCGAGACCATCATGGCTAACAAGGTGAAACCCCGTCTCTACTAAAAATACAAAAAATTAGCCGGGCGCGGTGGTGGGCGCCTGTAGTCCCAGCTACTCGGGAGGCTGAGGCAGGAGAATGGCGTGAACCCGGGAAGCGGAGCTTGCAGTGAGCCGAGATTGCGCCACTGTAGTCCGCAGTCCAGCCTGGGCGACAGAGCGAGACTCCGTCTCAAAAAAAAAAAGTTACATATATAATGTTGCACACATATATAATAATATATGTGTGTTTGTGTGTGTGTGTGTGTGTGTGTGTGTGTGTGTGTGTGTGTGTATGTATATAATAGGGCACCAGTGGCCTCATCAACCTGGCAACTATGCAACTCTTTTAAAAAATAATGTCAATAATGTTTAACCCTGTTTTCACAAGTATCTCATTTTAGGGCTCTTAAACACAGGTAAGTTCTTTACTGCTTTGACCAATGAAATACAATGAAAGTGGTATTTGTCAGTATCAGACATCTGGCCTTCCACTGGCAGTTTCCATGTTCTAACTTTCTAGGAACACTCACTCATAGGGAATCTATGTTAGTCCTTTATCACATTGCTATAAGGAACTACCTCAGACTGAGTAATTTATGAAGAAAAGAGGTTTAATTGCTTCACACTTCTACAGGCTGTACAGGAAGGCTGAGGAACCTCAGGAAACTTACAGTTATGGAGGAAGGCAAAGGGGAAGGAAGCACATCATACTGTGGCATAGCAGGAGAGAGAGGGAAGGGTGAAGTGCTACCACTTTTAAACAGATCTCTTGAGAACTCCATCATGAGAACAGTAAGGGGAAGCCCTCCCGCATGATTCAATCACATTCGACCAGCCCCCTCCTTCAACATGAGGAGATTACGAGTCACCGTGAGATTTGGGTGGGGACGCAGAGCCAAACCATATCAGAAGCCAACCAACAAGTACCAAATCCAGCTTTCCTAAAGTTATCAAGTTTGAAAAAGACTAAGCCGTAGTAATCAGTGCAGTAAAATTGAAAAGATTCTTAGATGCAATTATAAGATTAACATCCTCAGATTAGATATTCATTTAACTCTTATTCATCATCAAATGTGAAGTAATTAGAGAAAATGAGGTATTATTAAAATTTTATATTATAATTTGTGAAAATATTGCTATATTCAAATAATACCTAGATAATGAACGAAAAATACAGGTTATAGCTATAAAGCCTTTATTTTGCAATAATGAATTTGAAATAAACAGCACAATTATTGCTCATTTTCTTTATCATAAGAGCATTCATCATTTTGTGTGAAAAAGCTATTTTTCTTTCATTAGTATTGTAAGTGATAACTTTATTTTTTCTAGTATAGCTAAGATTTTTGTTTACTTGTGCTATTTAATTTTTTAAATTAATATATTTCCAGATGAATTTAATTTTAGGTTTTTTGATACTGATTATTTTTAAATATTTCATAATTTTCATAAGTGTATATAGAAATAATAGTCACCTTACATTTTACTTCTTAATACTTTATTATTGGATTATTATTCTTTAAAACTGTATGCCTTGCAACTGTTTTGATTAAATGCACTTGTTTTCTTTGTTTGTATTAAAAACATATAATTTCTCTGCAGTATACAAAGATTTATGTGTATACACATAGTTTTAATCCTGCTGACAATTTTACTGAAATCCATTACATCATTGCTAATTGACATATTTTGTCTTTGTCAAATTGTTTATATGGTCACATATGAAAGTAGATACATCAAATATTTTAACTCTGATTTATGTTTTTAAAGTTCTTATTTTATGAGTATTAACTTCAGCTAATTCAATACAATATCCTTTGGTATGATCAGTTTAGATTGTTATAAATTAAGAATGAATTATTCCGTTTATAATTACATAATACACACATCCTGGCTTTGGTAATGAATAACCTTCGCTCTGTATGAATGCCCTCATACTAATCCATTTTAACTGTTTCATTATATAATATGTGATACATGAAAAAAATCTATGCAACACACATGTAAACCTAAAAGCACAATAATTTAAAAAAAAACCCTCAGGAATTAACTACTAAACCCATCAAGCAGAAAGCCAATGGTATTGCTATATGAATTTTTGTTTCTTTTTACTGTATCCTAAAGTTTTCCTCTATCCCAGGTTAACCAATAATCTGAATATATACATATATATATATATGCAGAATTTTTTTAGATTTAAAAATGTTTAATCACAAATGTAAAGTTCCTAAAATGCATAATATGTATATATGCATATGCAAGTGTTTATTTTTTTTTATAATTTTGCTGACAATAAAAGTTATGCTATAAATAGTCTTACAGCTTTCTTTTTCATTAATATATTTTATTTCTCAAGTGTGTTCTGTAACCGTATTTTCTCTGATCTATGGTATTTCACTGGCAAATATATTACATTATATACAGCCATTCAGTCCTCTGAACCGTTTTTTCTCTCCCACTTAACTACAGTCATATTCTTATGGAAATATTGGTGGTGAAGTACAAGAGTTCCCAAAGATATATGACTCTAACAGTGAAATTACTGCTTTTTGGAGTTTATGGATATTTAACTTTATATGGCTGTCACATTATTAATGTACTTGTATCAATTTAAAAATCTAATAAGAGCAATAAAACTACTGATGAAAATTCTTACTAATGCTTGATATTAGTAAGCTTCTTAATTGTTGTCAATTTGATATGAAACATCTCATTTTGGTTCTAATTTGCATTTTCATTATTACTAATTATATTTATATAAGTCATTCCTAATTACTTTTCTATGAAAACCTATTGCCTATAATTTTGAAGTTATCTATAGTTTTCTTAGGAATAATTAACACTTGCGTATATATTATTGCAATTTTTTGTTTTTAGAATTCAAATAACTTTCCCAGATTATAAATTCTCTTTCATTCTCTGTGGGGTTTTTCTTCTAATTTTTACTTCTAATTTTTTCTTCTAATTTTTATTATGGAGATGTTTCATACACACCAAGTTAGAGAGAAGTTTACTAAAACTCATATGCCTATGCCTTACTTGCAATGTTCTCAACATTTTGCCAATACTGTTTCATTTTACCCTGTAGTCTTTTAATGTTTACTTTGAAGATCATAAATAACTGCAATGCTGTAATACTGTAAATAGCTCACTAATCATCTCTGAAGAAGGATTTGTTTTTATGATTACCACATTGCCATTGTGAAACCACAGCAAATTAAGAATTTTTTTTTCTTGGTGTCACATACTGGCCACTAATTATGCTCTTTTGCTGCCAGTATTTTTTCTTTTTGTATGCAGTTGGTTCCTGCAAAACTTCACCCAATCATCACCTGGCAAATTATGATACATATTTCAAAGTAGATACTAATTACACTGGGAATAAATCCCTTTGCTCCAAAATTATGTTAGGTGTCCTTTCTATACAGTATAATAGCAATACCCACTTCTTCCATTGCATCTATATTCCCAGCCTGCAAATGCCTTGTTAAATATGTATCTCTGGAAGTACACTATAAAAGCTTTATTTACCAATTTATTGCTTGTTCTTAGTAGGAGAAATTGCATACTGTCATTACTCAATATGAATGAATGAAACACATAAAATAATTAATTAATAATATTTTTGGAAAACTTTTAATCGTAGATACTATTTTTTCATATTTGTATGGTGCCAAACACAGTTCTTAGCTCTTTATATATCAGAAAAAATAAAGAAGCTTTTCAATTCTTCATTTTATGTAATATAGGAAAAAATTTTAACATCTCTAATGTTAAATATTTGTTGACCAAAGTTAGGCATGCTTCTCATGGAACATACAATTAATATTTATGTTCCTATGCAAATATTTCGTTGGCCAAAATATCAACTATAATCAGCACATATAACTGCAACAGTTATAAATGGAATATATTCCTTTGGCTCAGCATTCAGATTTAACATTTGCATGTGTTGTGAACATGGTAGCTTGCTTAAGAACTGGAAACTATACAACAATGTACCCCTTATGTATCTTCAGGTACACAGTATGTCCAAATGCTCTCAGAGAACCTCACAAGATTTACTTCGCTCTGTCCCAGGGTAATACCTTTCATTTATGTATATATTTATATTCTTACATCTATATTCACTTAAGTAGGTAGACAGTATTTCATTCTTTCCTCTAAATATTTTATTTACACAAAATGTTATGGTAACAGACAACATAAATTAAAAACAAAACAAAACAAAACAAAAAACAGCTTACAGTGTTTTTTCCCAAGGCAAGCAGAAGACTCATAATGTTGTGAAAGCAGTAAACTTTAAAAAGAAGATAATTTCTGTGTGTGTGTATGTAAGCAACTCATGTAAATGATTGTTTTCACTTTTGAATTAAACTGGCCCTAGTCCCATCTCATCTAGTTATTAGTTGATATAAATGTAAAATAGGGTTTTTTTTGGGAGGGGGTTTCTTTGTTTTTTGTTTGTTTGTCTGTTTTTGTTTTTGTTTTTTAGGTTTTTGTTTTGTTTTTTTTTGAGATGGAGTGTCGCTCTGTTGCCCAGGCTGGAGTGCTGTGGCACGATCTTGACTCACTGAATCTCCATCTCCCGGGTTCAAGCGATTCTCCTGCCTCACCCTCCCGAGTAGCTGGGACGACAGGTGCCCGCCACCAAGCCTGGCTAATTTTTTATATTTTTAGTAGAGACGGGGTTTCACCGTGTTAGCCAGATGGTCTCAATCTCCTGACTTCGTGATCTGCCCGACTCAGACTCCCAAAGTGCTAGGATTACAGGCGTGAGCCACGGCATCCAGCGTTTTTTTGTTTGTTTGTTTGTTTTGTTTGTTTTATTGGCTATGCCATTCTTGGAGTAAAAATAGGCAACTAAAAACAATTACAAAAAAAGTATTTGTTAGACTCCGATCTATTTCTGTGAAAATTCAGCCTTACCTAAATTCCTCACTGATAGCACTAAGAGTACCCAAAGAATATTCCCCACATGTTTGTTTGTTTGTTTTGGTGGGCCCTTGTAGAAGACTAAACATGTTCTGAGGACTGATAACTAGGACACTCTTTTCACCAACCCTTTGCATCTTCTACTGCTACAAATGATTAGTAGCTCTCTATTCTACCTGATATCTGAAGTAGCAGTTAACATGCTCTGTTCTTCTCAATGATACTCTACAACTGATCCCCATGTAAAGATTATTTATCTTTTTTTTTCCTGTGGATTACACTGGTGTTGCACAAGTTACTGTTACATATATTAATGAGTTGTATCATCACACAGTAGTCTGCCACATAATCCATTTTCATTTTATTCATTTTAGAAAGACCTACTTGCTCTAGATATATTTAAGCTCTAGTGTATAAAACTATTAGAGGCATTCCTCCTGGCATGGGGAATGAGAAAGAGGAGATATGGAAATGCTGAAGTTGACAGACACTGTATATTTCATTTAGAGAATGAGGAGGACAAATCTGCTGTAAAATACACACATACTTTTTAAATACTGAAATTGTGCCAGTACTGTTAAGAGAAAAAATATGTTTTTAAGAACTCAACAAACATTAATCAAATGCCACTGTATTCTAGATAATATGGTATAGATTCAGTCATTTCTGTTGCATCCACATCATGTCCTTCAAAAATCCAACAAAGTTGTACTCTCAAAGAAGCATTAGATAATATCAAATGAAAATACGCTCTTTATTCAACAGGATAGACTAAAGGAGCGTGGGGGAAAGGGGTTGATCTGTTCAGTGTATACAACAGTGAAGCAGTTGGAATTTCGTAGCCAGAATATACTCACAGGGCAGAAGGAGATTCGAACTTCGTATCTACAAATGAAAAAGTCTTATGATGGCAGGCTCGCAGGCTTCGTTACATTGAGAGTATAAAAAGGAACGAATTTAAAAGTTTTAGTGAAACTGAATTAGAAAAATAGAGATACTCTGGACTGTACTTAATGCAACACCTCGTGGCATCCCTCAAAATTTTGGTAAGATATCTAAACCTCTCAAATCCTAATGACTGAAATTGTCATAAAAATTAGAGCACAAAAGAGTCATGAAGTCTTAGTGTGATCAGCAGGACATGTATCAGGAAGCTCATTGTTAAGGAGAGTCCTTCAGAGAAGATAGGCAAAAAAGAACCACATAGCAGATAAAATCTTTTCAGTAGAGCAAACCTCGGGGAAAATTGAAGTAAATGAAAATTGATCTGTGCCTTAAGTTTTTAAAAAATTAGTATTTAACAAATTAATAGATACTTTTCTGACTTTTCTGATTTCTCTTTGATATTTAATAACCTATTCTTCTTGAAAATTGCTCTCTTTTTGATTTCCGTAATACTGATCTCCACTAGCTTTTCTCCTTTGTTATTACTTTTCATTGGCAGAAGGAGCCGTTCAAACTCTGGATTTGATAGTGGATGAGACAGAAAAAAAAGAAAAAAAAAGGCAGAGTGCCTGAATTGTTTTGTTTCTTGGTTGCTGGTAGAAAAAAAGGTAATGAGCTCCCACCCTACACAAAATCTGTTGGACAATCTGGACCAGCTTCTTCCATTTCCTTTCCTCTGTCCACACCATAAATACTAGTTTTCTTCAGTGTTTGGCTATATTCTCTTTTCTTCTATATTTTATACTTCACTGGGCAATTGTATCAACTTTAATTAAATTGACCCCACTATTATATTAATAGTAACTCCTAAATCTTCCTTACTAGCACAGATGGCATCTTTTTATTCGTACACACCCAAACAATAATACATATTGACAATCAGATGTTGTACAGGACGCTGTTGTTTAACATGCCTAAAATTCAGTTCATCAATTTCTTCTAAGAAAATGTTAATAAAAATGTTAAGAGCTGTTAAATCTACTGATACTGGATTAGGAGAATTTTATAAGGAAGTATTTTTGTGGTTTCTCCATGTATTTCAACTGTACATATATTAATTTATTTTTTATGTGGCAGGTAATTATCTTAGTAGGAATATAAGGTGCAGAAATGACACAGAGTCCTTACAGAGTTGGCACTCTTATCAGCACGAAAATAACTATCTAGAAACAAATAAGCATAGAACAAACTTCTAAGAGTAAAAGATAATATGTGTTGGGGAAGTGGAGTTGGGACAGGGATACTTTAGATGGAATTATCCGGAAGGACTTCTCTGAGATCTTTTGAAAAGATAAATGGGTGAGGTAAAGAAGAAAATTATGTCAAGCTTCACAGGAAGAGTAAGGCACATTTTCCTAAGTAAATGCATTTTCCAATTTAGTAGTAAAATTATATATTGTCTAGATAATTATTTTTAATAAATACGGAGAAATACTGGACATGAGTGTTTTATTCTGAGGACATATGCATTGCATTTAACGTTAAGGAAACACTGGCTCAAAAATAGATATACACTCACATGGAAAAAAAGTAAAATAGATTTAAGACAATTAATTGTTTAACTTTTGTCTCAATTAGATAAACACATTTGCACATCTTAACCAAGTTAAATATTCACCTTTAAATAAAAGAGTTTGTTTTTTTTAAAAAAAGTAATAAATACAGTGCAAAAAAATTGGGGACTTGAAAGTGAATTAGGTTTCAATTTTAACATAACAGGAAACTTCCTTTGTCATTTTTTAGCGTTGTGTTTATATAGCTTACACATTTTCTGCAAATACATTAGACTCAGATATTAACATTAATTGTCATATTTAACACTGTCAACTTAAAATATGAGATACAGGATAAATATTTTTATGTGAGTCATTAACTATGTTCATTTCCCAATGCTTGAGAAAAAAATGCAGGCACCAGTTATTACCTATTATAGTGGATGATGTGAAAACCTAAAGAAAATTATTCCGTAGTAAAAAATTTTAGAAAGTTTACCAAGATTATCTCTAAAATCATACAATGTTAGATTTCTTCATGGAAGAATAACAATATTTAAATTAACAAGGAAGCTTGAAAACTTTAAGTACAGATAGATTATCAGTTATAAATGGTGTGAACTGATAAATGTTATTTGTATAAAACCAGAAACAATAAAGCATTTTTACCTTCTGTAATAAAATCTCAAAATTTATGGAAGACAACTCTTATTTTAAAACGATAAGTGTATAAAGTCCTAATATTTTGCATAAGCATATATTAGGTTGACAGCCTATGGAAATGCTTACTTATGTATAGTATATGAATTTCTAGTAATCATTTATTATAAAGGAATATGAATGTGTGCATTAAGTGCAAAACTGACATTTACCTCCAAATAATTTATATTAGTAATTTGCTCCAGAATGGTTCACCTATTTTTGCTAAGAGAATGTTTTGATCTAGTTTTCTAATTACAAATAAGTCAATATTACACCCTCACCTTATATTTAATGTTTTGTGTTTAAAACTTTTTCCTTATCCGTGAAGATAGATAATCCAATTATGAATATAATCTTTACAATATATCTGGAATGCTCACTTTATTTACATTTGGAAGCAATGTCTTTTAAAATGACACAATCATCTATAAAATAATCTGAAAATTAATTGGAAATAATAATGCACTTATAAATTTTAATTACATACTACTATCTTATTAAAAATTAAACTTATGATTATGTAAAAAGTGAATAAACTCTTGAGAAAATCAAGACAATGTGAATATTATTTCAGGCAGGTTGGATAAAGAAATTTCTTATGATTGTATGTCTTTCATTAGTACATGACCCAAAAATTAAAAATATATATTTTCATACATTATGTTTTCAGTTTTAAATCAGGAATAAAACATGATGAATGACAAATAGTTAGGTATTTTTGATATATTTAAAAATTAGTAAATTCTATACTGTAGCAGATGTGCTAATATTCCTTTTAGTCAATCTCATATATTCAAGACAATGGAAATTTTGAATTATAACATCAAAATATCATTTTTATCATTTTAATGTTTTTATTGAAGTGTCAAAATAAAAAATTATTGGGAGATGAAAAGTTTTAATAAATATAATTAAAATTATTCATGCAATAATATTTAACACTTTGTGCCACCACATATAATGTACGATTGCATAAGTTTAAATATTCAAAAGCTTTATACAGTTATGTAAATTAGATGTGACATTATTTTATTATTAATAAAAACATATAGTGAATTTTAAGTTTCAGTGCCTTCAAGCTATTAAGTGGCAGGATCTGTAAACAAGGTATAACTTTCTCATTAAATTTACTCTATATCGCATTGAATCTGAGATCGGATTATATAAAACACACAGAAGAATACCATAACTTTCAAGTCAAAACGGTATTTCAGCTTTATAAAGATGGATGATGTACAAGAAGAGAAAACTTAAAATTATAAATAAAACATCTAATGTTTAGATTTTATTCAACACTAAGGAGACTTTTTTATTTTTTAATATGTGTGATTTCATTTTATTTGCAGAAATTTTTGATACATAAATGAAACAATTTGTTACTTTGTAAAAGAAAAATTTGTTATCTCCTTTTTTCAAATATATGCTTAGATTAATACTGTTTGATATATAAAGCTTGATTTCCATAGAATGTTTCAAGAAGATTGCCTCTTGATATAAATGAAGTACATATAAAATGTATATCAAACTACTGGTTTCCCAAAACAAATATAATGGTTGTAATATAAAAACATAATTTTGAATCCTGAAATTGTGGAAACAATTTATAATTTATTTTTAGTACAATTAGTCCCTAAAGTGTAAATTTAAATAATAATTGATAAATTATAAATAATTATAAATAAATTGATAAATTTTAAAACAGGTATTCAGTTTATTTGACAACATTTTTATTGGGTAATTAACAAAATTTTGTCATTGTAATACGAAGCCATTTCCTCAAAATTATAGATGAGATCTCAATATACCCAGTTCACATTTATTACCTCCTTCTTTAGAGTATTTCCCAATATATAGCTCTTTACAATTTTATAATATTTTGACATGTCTTTTTATGGTGTAGTTGGATGAGTCCACTATTTGTTTATGCACAAAGAGTTCAGCATGCAGTTTCTTCCACTTAATAACTGTTTAATCTTAAACTAGTTTTTATGCTTTCATCTCAATAAGTATTATGGGAAAAAATTTCTAGGGAAGGTTTGTTAAAATGTTAACAATGCATTATTATATTGGCCCTCCTGTGTATGTGTATATAGGCATTGCATACATAGGAGAAGAATAACACGAAAATTCAAAACAAACATATAAAAAAACATGGTAAATATCTAGCTTACAAAACAAGAACTTGTCATATGAATTTGGTTTTGAATTTCTATACGCAAAAAAATACGATATATTTAAAGACTAAACAAATATTAGAGACATAGGATGGCTTAAGAAAACCAAAACTCTTAGCTAAATAGATAAAAATAAAGGCCATAAATCATAATAATAATAAAAAAACACAAATGCAGAGAAGTAAGATAGTACTGTAACTGGTATTAACACCGAGAACGTCTGTTGAATACTTTTAGCCTAGAACTGAATCTTAGTGGAGATATATATATATATATATATATATATATATATATATATATATATATATATATGTTTATTTCTTTTCTTTTTTTGCACAAATCGAGAGATAAACTACCAAACCTGGAACCTATAAAGGGTGAAAGTTCAGTTTAGAGACAAGACCCCACAGGGAATGATCTCCTGAGTGCACAAAAATGCACACCTTATTACAAAAGATCATGTATTTGCCCATATTGACAATAACATTGAGTAGAAATCAAAAATAAAAGCTAAAAGTCTCCACTAAGTTTCTAGAGACACAATCTAATAGTTACCGGTGGAGGGTGTCCGGATCCTTGGCGTTTTGAACAAAGAACCGGACAAAATGCACAAACAAAGCAAGGAAAGAATGAAGCAGCAAAAGCAGAGATTTACTGAAAATCAAAGTACACTCCACAGGGTAGGAGCTGGCCTGAGAAAAGGTGCTCAAGAGCCCTATTACAGAGTTTCTGGGGAAACCCTCTAGAGGTTTCCCATTGGTTACTTGGTGTACACCCCATGTAAATGAAGTCGTGGCCCACATCAGAATGATTGTTTCTCAGAATTGTTCAAAAAACGCCAATCCTCAGATTTGGGGCAGGGGCCAAATAAATTAAAAACCAACCTATAACTATTACTCTAAAATAAGTCAAAATTTAAAAAATAAACAATATGAAAATTGATGTAAAGGAAAGCACAACAAAATTATTGAAATAGATGAAAATATTAAATATTTTAAAAATATTAATGGTAAAATGCCTTAAAAATTCCCTCTAAGAAAAAAAAAATTACCAGTTGAGTTTCATGCCGAAAGACAGCTTCATGGCTGAAGACTATGAGACAGGCTAAGGTAAGAGAATTTCCTGAGCCCAGGAGGTTATGCCCAACCTGGGCAATCTAGCAAGACCCTGTCTCTAAAATAAACAAAAAAATTCTCAGACTAAATAAAAAAATTCCAAATTTATGCTTTTTTAAAAAAAAACCTTTCTAATGCTTACAGATGGTCAAAAGTAAAATAACAGAAATATCTCATGTGAGTACTAATCACAAGAATCTTATTCTACATAGGCTATTACCAGTAGAATAAACATTAAGGCAAAGCAATAATAAGAACAAACCAAAACAAAACCTGTAACTCAAGACCAAGGCCAATATAGACTCAAAAAGTTTTAGTACATTTTAGATATATTTGTTTTAAATTTACAGTAATAAAAGAGCTTAAATTATACAAAGCAAAAATGATAGAACAAGGTTAGCTATAAGTCAATGATAGACTAAATGCATATATAGTTCTATATACATATAAAAATTTAAGTAACAAAATTAGTAAGTTTAAGCTGAATAAAATGCATAGAATGCAGCCTGTATTAGTCTGTTTTCACAGTACTACTAAGAACTATCTGAGATTGGATAATTTATGAAGAAAAGAAGTTTAATTGACTCACAGTTTTGCATGGCTGGGGAGGCCTCAGGAAACCTACAATCGTGGTGGAAGGCGAAGGGGAAGCAAGGCACATCTTCCCACAGAGGCAGGAGAAAGAGAAAGAGTGAAGGGGGAAGTGCCACACTTTTAAACCATCAGATCTCCTGAGAACTCACTCACTATCAGGAGAACAGCAACGGGCAAATCTCCCCCCATGGTCCAATCACCTCCCACTAGGTCCTTCCCTCAACACATGGGGATACAATTCGAGATGAGATTTGGGTGGGGACACAGAGCCAAACCATATCACAGCTCTTCCAAACTAAAGCATATACACGGTTTCAAAAACCCATGATATATTTGGATAAGTAATCATGTGCTGGTCATATCTTATTGAAAAATTAGTATCATAAGCCTTATTTTTTGACCATATTGTTATCACTATAAACATTAGTAACAACAGTAAAATAACATAAAAGACCTTATGGACATAAAAATTTAATGAGCTCATACAAAACTAATAATACAGATAAAATTCCTTAGAACTCAGTATGTAAATATTACTTCTTGAAACTTGTGAAAGGCAGATAAAGCAGTACGTATAAATTTGTGTTACACAATATATGGTAATTAATTATAACAGATGGGATGAAAAAAATCATTACTAAGATGTCAAATTCCCCAGATTAATCTGTCAAATTTTACGGTATTTGGTGGAATATCATTATGTCATATCTCATTAAATGTCAATGACTTTCAACAAGATAAGAAGTTCTTGTTGATATATTGATCATTTCCCAATAGGCAGCCTTAGTACTCCAGTTTTTCTTAGTGACTCACTGGCTACTTGTTTTGGGCTGGGGATTACTGTGATGAAGCTATATGGCCCTGGAAAGAAACAGATAATTATTTGAAAAACATGGTAGCATTTTATCCTGTTTAGCGTTTTTCAAATTGTAATCTTTTTATATAATATTAAAACATAGCCTTCTCAAAAGTTAATGTAATATACTAAAAGCCATTAAAAATCCTAATTTGGAAAACCAGACTAGTTTTGATTACCCATACAATTCTAAGGTTTATGACCTCTGAAGTAATGTTCCACAACTGTTTTGTAATCAATCTGTGATTTTTTGTGTGATGTCATAGGTAGAGTAGCTGATCCCCCTCCAACAAATAAATAAACAGCTTTCAAAACATTTGCTATTATTTATCATTGTCTATGCGTGTATTCATTTTGTGCTGCTATAATGGAATACCTGAGACTATGTAAATTATAAAGCACATAAATTTACTTCTCACCATTCTAGAGACCAGGAATTCCAAGGTGAAAGGGCTGGTAAAACTTTCAAGGGCCTTCTTGATGCATAATGCCATGGCAGAAAGCAAAAGGGTGAAGAAAGCTGGGTACGGTGGCTCACACCTGTAATCCCAGCACTTTGTGAGGCTGAGGTGGGTGGATCACAAGGTCAGGAGATCGAGACCATCCTGGCCATCATGGTGAATCCCCATCTCTACTAAAAATACAAAAATTAGCTGGGTGTGGTGGCACGTGACTGTAATCCCAGATACTTGGGATGCTGAGGCAGGAGAATCACATGAACCAGGGAGTCAGAGGTTGCAGTGAGCCGATATCGTGCCACTGCACTCCAGCCTGGCAACAGAGTGACACTCCGTCTCAAAAAAAAAAAAAAAAAAGGGTGAAGAAAATAAATCCAAATTATTCTGTGTGTCATATTTAGTCAGATCTATCCTACTGTCCATATGATAAAAGAGCTGTAAGTAAAATTAAATCTAAATAAAACATGGTTTAAATAAATTTGACATTTTATTTTTCTTAAGTGAAAGTATGCCAGTATATGTAGAACAGTTCCATGAGTATAAAGCCCTTACACTCTCCATAAAATTATATTCAACCACCATTTGAAGTGATTTGTTGCTTCATAGTCTTAGAAAGGCTCTTTCACTTAAATATTGCACCTATTTTCTAGACCTGGGAAAAATAGTACATGCCAGTCAGTTAGGTATATTTAAAAGAGTATTCTCAAAATGCTTATCCAGGACGTTTCATTTATATACGTTATATACATTTATATACGAATATTGGTATAACTATGTGTCCTAGTATTCTTGGCTACAATGGCCCTGAGAGACACATTTTTTTAAGCTGGAAGATGGTTTTCTTTATGATAATTAGGGTTATTTTACAGAAGACAAAAATGCATCTTAGGCTATTATCTGTGAATGTCACATGAATCCAGTGTGTTTATTTGCCATTGTTTATTTACTGGTATAGGTCCTAATCTTGTGACAACACTCCTATATAGCAAAGTGATCAGTGAAGATGTTCTAAACAAAATCTCTCCATGGGAAACATTTATATTCTTATCCTACTTTAGTAACATCCCTTTTTGGAATAAACACACTCTGCAGAGCAAAACAGAAGCCCTGCTAGAACTTTTTTCTTTCCTTTAAAACAATCATTGTCAATTTTAAGAGACTATGTTAGGGTTCTCTAAGTGGACTTGATGATGAATGGCTACTAGTAATGCCTGTCTTTATACTTTGTGGATCAGAAAATGTCATATTGACTGAGAGAAATAAATATTCTGGTTACATGGGTTCCATGATACTTACATTAGTACCAAGGGCTGTTTCTCGAAAAGATCTAAAAACGAATAAGAGATTCCTTCAAAAATCTGATATACAGGCCAGGCGCGGTGGCTCACTCCTGTAATCCCAGCACTTTGGGAGGCCGAGGTGGGCAGATCATGAGGTCAGGAGATGGAGACCATCCTGGCCAACATGGTGAAACCCTGTCTCCACTAAAAATACGAAAAAATTAGCTGGGAGTGGTGGCGCGCCCCTGTAGTCCAAGCTACTTGGGAGGCAGAGGCAGGAGAATCGCTTGAACCCGGGAGGAGGAGGTTGCAGTGAACCGAAATGGCGCAACTTCCCTCCAGCCTGGGTGACAGAGCAAGACTCTACCAAAAAAATAAAAAAATAAAAATATCCTATATACAATGTCTATAGTCATTAATAAAATTCAAACTATTTCTAAACCATTGAATCACCTGCCCCATCTACAAAGTCCCGTATGAAAGAATCAAATGGCCAAATTTAAGGCACAGGAACTTGCCCTAGATTTTAAGAATGTGTTTTTTTTTTTGTTTTTTTTTTTTTTGAGATGGAGTCTCACTCTGTCACCCAGGCTGGAATGCAGTGGCACAATGTTGGCTCACTGCAACCTCCGCCTCCTGGGTTCAAACAATTCTCTGCCTCAGCCTCTCAAGTAGCTGGGATTACAGGTGCCTGCCACCATGTCCGGCTAATTTTTGTATTTTTAGAAGAGATGGGGTTTCACTATTTTGGCCACAGTGGTCTTGAACTCCTGACCTCATGATCCACCCGCCTCTGCCTCCCAAAGTGCTGGGATTACAGGCATGAGCCACCGAGCCCGTCAGAAGTTTTCTGAAAATGACTTTCTTAACTAACAATATATAAGTCCCTTAACCTCATAGGTAAGTCTTATTTTCCAGATATAAATGAAATTTCAATGTTGAAAAACAAAGGAGCATGACATATGCCAAGTATACAAGAATAGCTATCAAATTCATTCAAGATGAAATTTAGAGCAGAATGTTTTATAATTGTTTTAAATAAAAGTAAAGGATATGACTTAGGGTGGCGGTCCATGGTACTTGATGAGTTGAGAGGTACTATTAACACTCTTCAACTATGACCGATTTTTCAATAGGTTAATGACCAGTTTGAAGTATGCGAAGAATTAATTTCTCTTTGTAGTCTGCAAGGAAAAAATTCAAGTGAAAATATTCTCACTTGAATTTTTTCAAATATGTCAAGTTAAAACTAATTTCGTACATCCAGAAATGGAATTTGCTAAGATGGTTTACAAATATTGGTGGTAAAAACGTATGTGCATCAAAAAGTACATAATTAGAAAAATTTATAGTGTGTGAAAACACAAGGTTTATAAAATCTTTTGTCATTCCTTATTACCAGCATATAGTTGAAGAAAATGTTTGAATCTATCATGTGAACTTCATTCATTCTTGTCTATGTAACCATTGTCAATTATAGAAATATTTTTATGGAAAATTGAAGAATCCTAACCTACCTGCATAATAATTAGATCATCTAGCATTGGTAACATTTTATACTAATTATTTGGACAGATCGACATGATGGAAATTTTTCTAAAGAAGAGTCACCCCAATCGCTTCGTTGAAAGGCTTTGAAATTAGCTTTTAGTGTAAACATTTGTAGATATTTATCAAAATTCATTCAAAAATTACAAAGCAAAATAGTGCTATATGAAAATTGTTGACTGCTATAATGCAGTTTCAACAACTAAACAATAAATCATTTAACAAAATGCCAATCTGCTGTACATTCTCTCTGTGCTTTCATGAGTTATAACAAAAAGTTGTTCTTCATTCCCATGCAAATTTGCAGTAAGATGTATTTTCTCTGAGTTCAAACTACAATTTCAGGACTGGTATTTGAAAATTGATGTAGCTATAAAAGAAAGTTTAATATTTCAAAATGAATGTAATTATACAATTGAGAAACTCCTACCTAACCTTTAACTGGAAGTGACAACTCTGCAATATAATAATATAATGATATGCCAAAAGGCAAATATCAAGAGAAAGAATCTAGTAGAATACCTTCCAAATGTTTTATGTGCTCAATTAAAAGAATATGCTTATGAACTGATATCAATATTTGGCAGTATCTCTGTGTTAAAAACAATATCAGGCCGGGCACAGTGGCTCATTCCTGTAATCCTAGCACTTTGATAGGCCAAGGCAGGCAGATCACCTGAGGTCAGGAGTTCGAGACCAGCCTGGCCAGCATGGTGTAGCCCTGTCTCTACTAAAAATACAAAAGTTACCTGGGCATGGTGGTGCACGACTGTAATCTCAGCTGCTCTAGAGGCTGAGGCAGGAGAATTACTGGAACGCGGGAGGTGGTGGCTATAGTGAGCTGAAATTGTACCATGGTACTCTAGCCTGGGCAACAGAGTGAGACTCCATGTCAAAAAAAAAAAAAAAAACCAAAGATAAAATATGTAAAATTTCATTATAGATGAGTATTAACAGATGAGAATTTGCAATCAATTTTGATGATAGGTAAAATAAACCTTGAATCTCAATTAAGCAAAATGCTATTTCCCAGTAAATAATTCAATTGTTTTTATCAGTAGATTCATATTATAAGTCTACTTAATTATTCTTAGGTTTTTATTTTAGTCAATAAAAATATGGAAATGTGGCTTCTTGTTTGATATATAAGCAGACATATGATATCTTCAATTTTGCCTTTTGGCCAATGAAGCCTAAAACTTTTACTATCTGATATTTTACCAAAATAATTTGCACCCTGCTTTGTCATTGACTGTCATAAATTATCAACTGAAGTGTTCTTGAGTAGAAAAGTTTTACCTGTCTTCTACTTAGGTACAAGCAACTGAGGCTCTGTAGAGTACTTAACACCTTTGCTGATAACTTGTACACTATCATTTCCACATTGCTCTTTGATCTTCCCTTTAAACATTCTTGTCATTCATCCTTGCCTTAGAGCCTCTGCCCTAGATAATCTTTCTGTCTGAACCTCTTGTCTTCTAACATCTGTCTCTTTCTCACCATTTAAATCTCATAAATAATATTAGCTCTTCAGAAAGACCTTCTCTAAGCACTATATACAATGCTGCCCATCCCACCAGACCCCATAAGTAATATCTCTATATTTAAATTTTCTTTAAAATATGTAACACTATATTAATAAATGTATTCATTTATTTGTATATTTATTAAAAGTTGGTCTCCCAGTTTTCCCTATGATAAATATTTATAAGAAAACAATGATTTTTTTTTCCAATTACTGAATGACTTAAGTAGATTATACTTTGCGACTGTAGGAACTATGACATAATTTTAGCACAGTGGTTAATACATATTTAATAATGCAAAATGAATGATTAATTAGATTCTACTTGTTGCTAACAATTTCTAGTCAGGACTAAAGGAACTAACACTTCTGTACTCATAAATTAATAAAAAGTCACTTTGAATTGACTCATAGTTTTCATTTATCATGCACTCCTCTAATTTTCCTTCCCATTTTGGTTTTTATTCTGATTTAATTCATTTTTTTAATCAATTGTGATCAACAAATCATATATGTGATAGGAAGATAACAGGTTCTCACAGGTCCTGAGAATAACCTTGTACAAAAATAGATTTTTGATTTAAATTGCCTATTACCATAGAGTCAAAATATGCTTTTGTAAATCTATAACTTGACAGTTGTGATTCTGCTCTATTTGAACTTAACTAGTCATTCCACTACAAGTAACATTATAACTGGTATTTTGCTTTTAATTTAGCTACCTCAGACTTGTCCTTATTGACCTTCACCCCTGATTTTATGTAACTATTTATCTAACCTGCCAAGACCATGACAAATGCCCCCAGGGTATACTGTGATTGAATGTGAAATTTCTGCAGTGAGAAGAATCCCCCTAGGCAATGTTAAGAAAGACACCAGAAAACTCTGACCCTTAAATTTAAGTCTAGTTGGTTTCCCATTAATTCAGAAGTCCTAAAATAAAGAAGAAATGTGCCACCTTTATACATGCAGATGCATACACAGGATATGCCAATAAGTGGAGCATCTAGTATTGTGCATCAGATGCAAAATAACTAGGGGGAAAAAAAAGCAAAGCACATGCTGCTTTTTAAAATAAAATATGTTTTATTTTTATATTTTTAAAATAAAAATAAAATAAAATATATTTATTATATTTTAAATATAATAAATATATTTTATATTTTATATTTATGATAAATAAATATATTTATTATACTGTTAAAATAAAATATTGTTTTACAATATGTAGAATTATGTTTTTTTGTTTGTTTGTTTTTTGAGACGGCGTCTCGCTCTGTTGCCCAGGCTGGAGTGTAGTGGCAGGATCTCAGCTCACTGCAAGCTCCGCCTCTCAGATTCACGCCATTCTCCTGCCTCAGCCTCCCGAGTAGCTGGGACTACAGGTGCCCACCACCACGCCCAGCTAATTTTTTGTATTTTTAGTAGAGACGGGGTTTCACCATGGTCTCGATCTCCTGACCTCGTGATCTGCCCGCCTCGCCCTCCCAAAGTGCTGGGATTACATGCGTGAGCCACCGTGCCCAGCCTGTAGAATTATATTTTCAAAGATGCATGGGTATATGTAAACTCAATAAAAGAATAGAAAAATTATCTTCATAAATTATACACCTTTCAAATGTGGTTTCCTCTTTGATTTTTAAAGTAAAATATATTCATACAAATGCCTTTTTGTGTGCTTTTTCTTTTTGGTTCCGCAAATATATATACATTTTTCAGCTTTATTGAGGTAGAATTGAAAAATAAAACTGTACATATTTAAGGCTGAAAATTTGAGGATTTATATAGGTATACATTGTGAAGGGATTACCACAAGCTAAGTAGGATAGATAGATAGATAGATAGATAGATAGATAGATAGATAGATCTTAGAATATTTTTAAAATAAAATATTGGTATTTTCAAATGTGGATTTAGAGTATTAACTGGTGTTAGGCATTTCTGTTTCATTGTTTGTAAAATATTGGTCCCCTCCCCAAAATTAAATCAGCTGAGAGAAAACATGTAAAATTAAAATGAATTTGTGTTAGATATAATTTTTGCATAATTGTATTTGAAACAAAGCTTACACAATGTCTAATTGCATTATAAGTGAAATTAACATGTTAATGATATAATATTGGCATGATGAAATGCACACAATCTGTGCTAATAGTCTTTTTTATATTTTCTTACATAAAATAAAATTATTAAGTAGTATCAACATTTGATTCTGATATTATGTATTAGATAAGACAGACACTCAGGAAAATGACATGTTTCAAGTTATATTTAAAATTAAATTTTATATATGATTATCTTAGAAGTTTTATTTTAGGAGATGCAGAACAGTTTATGAATGTTTGATTATAAAATTAAATTCAGACAGCTTGGGATCAAAACTCATCAAGTACTAATTTATGATTTTAGGCAAATTACTTAACATATTGTGCCACAGTTTTCTTATTTTGAAAATAACAATAATATTTATATTGTCTTTAGTAATATTGTGAGGAATAAATGAGTTAATTAATATATAATATATAATAAGTACTATAAAATTGTCAGGATTTTTTTTTTTAGGTATTATCAGTTTAATTCAATCATTGACAATCTTTCCTAACTCAAGGTGCTAAGACTCATACACATTAAAAAGCAATGTAATTATCAAATGATGTCTTCTAACTTGATTAAAAAATTTTGGCTTTATTCTCCTGTGAGAAATAAATGCTGCAAACAAATGACAAACTTAGATAGTGACTGGAATTACTATCAGCTCTGACAATGAGGCACAGAGCCACCTTGTGGAATTCTGGACCATACACTGAGGAAAGCTGTCTAGTTATAAAATAGGTTCAAACTAATAAAATGTAGAACTACTGGAGACAATTTCTTGAAATAAATTATGAAGATACTCTTAATGACATCCCCCCATTAAAGATTATAATTAGTGAGAATGAAAAATACTGAAGTCCTTGTATACATGTATCAAAATATTGTTATGTACCCCATAAATATGTGTAATTATTACATGTCAACTAAAAATATAATTAAAAAGCAGAAATACAAAAACAATTCTGTAGAAAACTCAATAATGTTATACTGTCTTCTGGGTTTTATCTAAAAAAAATTCTTTTTACTATCTATATGTATATCAAAATCATCATTATTTACATCTTATATATATATATACAATAATATTTTTATAACAAAGGCTCATGCTAATAAAATGTAGAGCTACCACATAAAATTTCTTAAAATCAATTATAAAGATTATTTTGACTGTGTCCTGTCCAACAAGGACTACGCTTAGTGAGAAGAAAAAATACTGAAGACAATTATATTTTTCGTTTCTATATCCTTGCATATCCCCGCTGTTACTGAAGGCTGAAGTTAATAGGTTGGGGTCATCACCATTGCAATTCAGTTATTAGTTCCATATTACACAGAGTTACTAAAAAGTGTGTCATGTGGGAAAAAATCAACAAAGACTATCTACAAATGTTGAGAATCTAAAAGTTGTCATCTTGAGATGTCAATGCTGTGAAAAAACAAAATAAAATATTTATAGCATATGGTTCTCAGTCAATTACAAACCACAAGATGATAAAGGCATGCTGGTTTGCAAGGCTGGCAGTGTTGATCTGCCTTTAGGGATGATCTGATGCTAATGTACATAGCAGTCATGACCAAGAGGACCTTAGTATTCATTCCCCTCAGCTTCACAAAACTTTACACAGGCTTGTTCCTACTCTAGGCCACTGACCTTCCTTTTTATATACCATTTGATTTAGAACACTTGAAACTGTAAATTCTTTCTCTGTCCCTTTGAGATGTAAGTATTTTTGCAGCCTCTTACCAGTTTAACAACCCAGGAATATTTTCTCAAGGACCTGAGCCCCATCCCTTTCAAATGTAATCATCAAGTTGAATACCCCTATCTACCAGTTTCTATGGGAGGATAAAACCTACATTAGTACTGGTGCCTTGAGCCAAGTTGTGAAAATACTTCCTGTCATAAAAATATTAAAATGTCTATTTTTCCTTTCAGTAAAGCCAATTAGCAAACACATGTGGCCTATCATCCTCTTACCTTATATCTTAAAAATGCTTCAGTTCTTTGTGTAGAGTAGAGCTCAGATTGAATGCTGGCCTCTGTCCACAATTTCAATACCCTTGGATAAAGTATTCCCTGCTGTTAACTTTGTCTAGTGAAATATTTGCCTTGACACTGCTCTTTTGGGATAAAAGTTCAAATTCAAAAAAAGACCTAATTCAAAATTTGGCCTTTTAATAACTAGAAATGTGCCTCTGTTTATAGATGTTCTATTGAGCCTCAAATTTAGGCTCATCAATACACTCCAAAAATGGTATTCTATTCCTTTATCTCCTTTTGCAACCTATCTTGACATAAAATTTAAAACAGTTTAGAGTAACTAGACATTTAGAGCTAGTGTTACCAGAATCTATGTTTCATAAAAAAGCAATAAATTCTGGAAGTAACTTCTCTGCCCAGCAGTATCACCAAGGGGTCACAATTCTAGAAAACATTTACAGACATGCATTTAGGATGATGACCCTTTAGTTTTAGCCTTGGGTTTTCAAATCTCTACGCAAATGGCATAAGACTTTTCTGTAATCAGAAATTAGCCCCATATGCAGCCAATATGATACAGTGAAACCATGAAACTCAGGCATACAATAAAAGTAACTGTTTTTATTCTCCCTTGTAAAACATGGGTTCTGTATCTAGATCATACATGTATGTGCTTTTCTTTTTTTCACCAATTTCAAATTTAACCTTGTTAGTTAAGGTATCTCTCCTTTCTACAAAATTATTTTGTGTTAATTCTACTTGGGGGCAGAATATGGTGTGGTGTTTGACTTTTACAGTGCTCTGGCAACACTTGACAACATTCTTCCCTTTCTGATGTTTTTCATATCTTCCATTGATCCAGATGGTCCTAGTGGTTGGGAGCAGTCAAATCAGTCAGTCATTTATTTGTTTGTTCAACAAATATTTGTATATTTATTCAACAAATGCTTATTAAACACCATGTCTTGCTTGGGAAGGCAAAATAAACAATATTTCCCTAACCTCATAGTGCATACATTTCACATTGAAAGAGAAACAATTGACATTTTAAAAGTAGGTGTCATGTTTTTTGTGAGGAACAAAAAACAAGAAAAGATAATCAGGAGTGTTAAGGACTTCAATTTTAAATAGGGTGGTAATGAAATACCTTCATAAAAATGCTACTGGCTAAAAAATGGAATGTGTTGAGGGAATGAGCCATTTTCATATTGTGAGGAAGAGCATTTTAATTCAGCAACACAACAGGTAGAACACAACAGAATAATCACAAGTTGACTATTAGCTTCAAATAACTAGGTCTGTGAATGAATGAGAAACAAGAAATGTGATTAGATAAATAATGAGGATGTGGTGAGAGTGCATCTCATAGGCCTGGTAAGCCATTGTGATGATTTTGAATTTCACATGAGTTGGGAAGTCATCAGAAAGTGTTGGACATAGTAGTAACACGATGTAACATAACTTGAAAGCCACTTTAGCCCTTGAATTGAGAGTATGTTCTTGGAGTCAAGTGTGATACAAAAAAAAATCAATTAGGAGAAACTCACAATAATTCAGGAAAGGAACAATACAGAGTTTATCATGATGAAAACAGCAGAGATAGAGAGAAGTGGTCAAATTTCAGCTATGTTGTTAGAAAGAACCCACTTTTTTTTTTTTTTTTTTGAGGAATTAGGAATTAAAGTGTAATGTGAGAAGATGTTAAACACTATGGATGACTCAAAGAGTTTGGCCTAAGTAACAGAATGGCTGTGTCACTAACTGAAATGAGAAAGAGTATAAGAAGCAGACATTTTAGGGGTGAATAGAAGAATCATATTGGCATTTTGTATGCCTAGTAGGCATCTGAGAAGTGACATTGAATAGGCACCTATGCCTGAGAGTCTGTAACTCAAAGGAGATTGCAAAGCCGAATTTATAAATTTGGGAGTACTAAGTGTACAGATTTTACTCAAAAGTATTAAAAAAAACATGGAGTAACATCACCAAAGTGACTATAAATAGAAGAGTTTGAAACTTGGGACACTTTTTAAGATGTTATAGAGAGGAGTAGAATTAGAAACAAAGCAGAAGGAAAATCTGAAGGTAGAAACATGAAGATAATTGGAGACCAGGATAAGAGCAGTTTCTGTGGGGAAGTAGAAGCAAAAAAAATGGTGGGAGTGGATTCAATGAAGTTATCTATGAAAAATTAGATGCAGAGAAACTTTATGTTTTGCATAAATATTGCTGTAAATGAAAAAAGAGAAAGGGGTTGTGAGCATTTTGTTTTTTAGTAACGATATATGCTAATTTGGGGAATTTGAGCATTAAACTGAGGCAGAAATTAGAGAAAGAAAGAAAAATAAAATTAAAAAGAGAAAGAAATAAGCTTTCTGTATTAGGCTGACTCATCCCAAAGGCAATGACAGGCAAAACCCAGACACAGGCAAAAGTTCCAATAATGTTATATAAGAAACCAGGGCTCAAAGGAATGTGCTCTGGAGACTCTCCCAGCACTCCCTCAACATAAGGAGAAGAAAAAACAAATTTTCCCTTCTCTTATGATATAAGTAAACCTAGGAGTTTATGGATTTCTATTCTCTGTAACTAGTACCTTCAAGTATTCTAGGCAGCACAGTGAAGGTCATGAGAAGCCTGAGCAGGCCTGAACTACGGTCACCTGGGCACCATAGCGAATGTTATGAGATAAGCCCATGCAAGGCACTTGAGTAAAACCTAGGTAACAGCCATCTGAGCCACATAGCAAGATGTCATACGTAATCCTGAGTTATGCACCTGTCACAATTTGATTAACTGTCTTTGTTCTGCTTCTTTCTGCACACTTGCTTTTGTGCCACTACACTTCACACCACTGTAAGCTTGCTTCAAACTAGCCAGCCCCCTTTTTGAAGTGTGTATAAAAGCCGAGACCTGTCTTTGTTCTTGGCTCAGTTTTTGGATGTTAAGCTGCTGGGCCGGACTGCACTCAGTAAAATTCTACTGTCTCACCCTGTGGTCTCTCCAGTCCTTCATTCCCTCAACAAAACAAGATAGCCAAAACATATCTGTGCTTTCCTGGAGTTTATAATGTAGGACATACAACAGCAAATAATGACAAATTGTAAGTGAGAGACAGAAAATAATGATTAGTTCAAATTAACTGATACATCAAACTGTGATAAATGTTTTTGCATTATTTACTGGTACAACTAGAAAATAATTTTTGAGAGTATTTACAGCTGACAGATTAATATGTATTAAATTATAAGAACATACATAAGAATATGTGTGTGTGTATTTGTGTGTATTTTCATTATAATGAAAAGCAGTAGAAACACACAAGTTAGCCAGTGGTTAACTCTAAAAGGGCGGGAGGGGTATTACCTCTATGATGAGCATAAAGGACCTTCAATGGTATAAGTAATATTGTATTTATTGAATTACTGACAGGTTGATATCCATTTACCAAGTATTATTGGTTGTATATATGCTGTTGTTATTTGTACTCACAAAAGATTTATAATTTTTATTCTTAAAATTAAAGAGTAAAAGAATATTTTAAAAATTAATGATGAAATAAGAATTGTATAGGAAAGGTAGCCATGATTAATTGAATAGAAACACTGCCTAGGCTCTTATCTCACTAATATTTAGACTAGAAGTTGGACTACTACTGAAAGACACTCATTTATAGCTACCATAGCTAATCTTGCTCACTTTTACATCCTTATTTTATCTCCCGAAGCACAGTCTTTTATTCAAAATCTAAAAAAGGAAAAGTAGTTCTTTCATCATCATGCATTCTGCAAATATACCTTTATGAAGGCATAAATATGGGTTTGACCTAAATATTTTATGTAATAAAATATTTTATGCAGGAAAAATTATATTTCAAAAGACTTTGAACAGTGAACAGCCCACTTGAAGTTTGCTAGAGACAATAGCATGTAACTTTTAGAGCATGTAAATTCTAAAATGTGTATAAAGGAAGAGATAAAGGATTTACATCAATAGAGGTAAACTATATTATTTAACATGAGATTTTAATTCATCAAAATGTAAACATTTTCAAACATATTGATGCATAAAACAAACTCAAATTCTTGAAAAATTGATGGGAGGTGCAAAAACTTTCTCTAGATTTCATATGACATATTCGAATCCTAATATTAGGAAATGCAATTTTGCAACCAAAAAAATCTGAGTTTTTGAATTCTACTGTATTTCCAAAACATATAAAGAAGCTGAAATAGTCAAAACCATAAAGAATTTTGAAATCTGGGTTTAAATATGACACTGGATATTTATATGAATATCTCTTAACTGCAAAGCCAGACATTAGCTCCAATTTAAGCAAAAATAAATTTCAGAAGGAAAATATACTTTAGACATGGCTTATTCAAATATCTGCATATAACGGAAGACAATTAGTCTCATAAACTCTCAGTTTAAGTAAGCTGGAGCACACTGTGCTTATTTAAAGTTTGTGATAATACTTATTGTGATTGATATTCGCAGTATACCTATCAGGATTTCTGTGGACCATATAATTCTTCAAAGAACAGTTAAGTTTGAAGAAGAATACCTGTGTCTAGCCACTATCATCTGGATATTTCTGCCTTGTTTACGCTAACAATCTTAAGCTTCAAGGAAATATCCTAATGAGAGATCATGCTGTGACAATCTGCTAGCTAAGCTACTCCATGCAGACCAATTTCATTATTTTAAATGTATGTACCCCTGCCTATAAATTCATGATTTCCATTTTACTCCTGTCTAATCAAGCTTAAGTATATACCCATGAAAAAGCAACCCAGATGCCTCAAAATGATCTAATCCTGATTTCAGCTTTGCATTGTAAAACTTTTATTTGACTTTGCATTTGTAATTCAGTTTGCTGATAAACACCTTGGACATCTTTTCTATGCCAAGGTTAGTAAAGCTTCTTTTAACAATGTGTAACACTGATAGCTTTTGTCCATTCTCCTTTATTTGGTGCATTTAAAAAATTATGAGAAGTTCATTTTCTTATATCTCTTTACTACAAACTGATCAGCAAAAGAAAGGAAACACGGCATTTATTCTAACCTAATTTTAGCCAAAAACTCCCCATAAAGACTATCAGCATTTTTTATTTTATCTTTAAAAAACTGTGATTTTAAAATAACTAACTTTCTGAGCATTTAGGATCTAGAGAAGAGTCAAAATATATATGACAAATAATTAATGTTGCCTAACATCTAAACTAGTGGTACTCAATTTTTTTGGCAGAAACTCATACTAAGAAATGCAGTTTACATACCAATCTAGTTCACACATAAACATATCTACAATAGCACTTCCCTAGAATGTAGCAAAACCGATTGTTTCATTTCATAATAACTGGCTCTAACCAGCTAAAGCTGATAAGATGTCATGAATTTGAGTGAGCTGAATGAACATTTATTTATTCAACAAATTAAGGAGTCTTTCCTGATGAATGGACAGTGCAGAAGTATAAACTCATTTCACTTAATTTGGTGTTCTAGTTTTGGCTCTTAATTAGCATAACTATTGTGAATTCCCTTCTTTTAATCACTTAATGAACCCTGATTATACACTGCAGAGACTTAGTAAATTTCTTAACTGTTGAGTGTTCCCTTGCCTGGCAAGTTAATAGACTCAGCAGCTTTGTAATTATTATTACAGGTAGTAGTATGATTAGTTGTAGTCATAGTCATAGTCATAGTCATAGTCGTAGTCATAGTCGTAGTCATAGTCATAGTCATAGTAGTACTTAGCCCTGGCCTTATTTTATCAGACATTTTAGGAGATCCACCAAAATTGCCTTGTCGGCCTCACTTGGTGCTGGTGTTGCCAGCCTTAAGACCAGAAACACATTCTTACCTGTGCCTTTTTGTTCACAAGGATTTTTTAAAAATTAATTACTAATGCTTAAAATGTCTAGCTGGCTTCTTCTAAGAATAACTGCCTGGTTGTGTCTTTAATTATGGGAACATTATCTTTTGTTTTGGTCTTCAGGTACAATTGCAGTGGTGACTAAGATTTGATTCTTCTTAGAGACTCCCTTAAATTTATTACATTTACCGGGACGATTTGAGGAACTGTAGCTCTGAGTTACCATAGTTCATGACTTATATATGATTTTTTTGTTTGTTTGTTTTTGAGTCAGAGTCTTGCTCTGTTGCCAGGCTGGAGTGCAGTGGTGCGATCTCAGCTCACTGCAACCTCCGCCTCCCGGGTTCAAGCGATTCCCCTGACTCAGCCTCCCGAGTGGCTGGGACTACAGGCGCCCACCACCATACCTGGCTAATTTTTTGTATTTTAGTAGAGACAGAGTTTCACCATGTTGGCCAGGATGGTCTCCATCTCCTGATCTTGTGATCTGCCTGCCTTGGCCTCCGAAAGTGCTGGGATTACAGGCCTGAGCCACCATGCCTGGCCAATATGATTTTGACCATCAGTTGTCTGTCACTGAACTTTCAGTCTTATTTTGTTTCTTATTTTTTGGTGATTGCTTGGGAAAAGAGAATCAGTTGCTCTCTTTTCTGGTGCTTTCCTAAGTCTATCTTGTAGCTGTCACAGATAACATTTCGGTCTGTTATGTGGTTAACATAGGAACTACAGTGTCAAATCGTTATTACCCTGTACCCTCACTCTCCTGTGGGGATTTTTTAATTTGACAACAGTCGGCCTTTTAAATTGCTTTAAAGTCTGTCATCATATATGCATTGTCCAGGAATATCTAGCCCAGGTCTACATAAAACTAAGTAGAAAAAAAAATGAAACTTATTATAAGGTCTCTTAAATTTCATGGTAACTCTAATGCTAACTGGTTTATTGAAACTTATAAATACATAATTTTAAAATGGTACAAAGTTCACAAGGATTTTTTGAAATTAATTACTAATGCTTAAAATGTCTAGCTGGCTTCTTCTAAGGATAACTGCCTGGTTGTGTCTTTAATTATGGGAACGATATCTTTTTTTTTTTTTAAAGGAAACTTTAGCTGCGTTAAAGGTTAACACTTTGGTTGCATATCTCTTAGTTAACAGATAATAAAAAATGCAAGTCATTCAGTGACTAAAAATTGTTCTATATTTGTAAAAATATATTAAATTTCTATAAATATAACTAATCAAAGTAAGTCTTAAAAAATGATTTTTTATCGAATAATTGTCACTTCAAATTTGCTGCAAATTGGATGAGGCTAAAGAAATATTGTAAAAAAGACATTTTTTCTTAAAATTTCTAGTATCTAATATGTTATCTTGTTCTTTTTAAGTCTTTATTGAGATATAATTGATATAAAAATAACTGCACATTTTAATATATACATTTTGATGAATTACCGTCTTTTGTGTTTGCACGCTGCATGCTCACAAGTCTGAGTGTGTGTGTGGGCATGGTGAAAGCACGTAAAATGAAATGTATCCTCTTAAACTTTGGAGTGCTAAATGTTATATTGTTAACTATAAACACAATGTTGTACAGCAGATCTCTAAAACTTTTTCATCTTGGGTAACCAAAACTTTATATCAATTGAGCAACAAGTCTCCATTTCCCTATTCACCCATTCCCTGGCAACCACCATTCTACTCTCTGCTTCTATGAGTTTGACTATTTTAGATATTCTGTATAGGTGGAATCATGCAACATATGTCTTTCTCTGACTGGCTTATTTCACTTTTCATGATGTCCTCTACTTGCATCCATGTTTTCACAAAAGATGACATTTTCATCTTTTTAAATCCTGAACAATATTCCATTGTTTGGTGACATATCATAACTTCTTTATCTTCTTTTTTGTCAATGGACATTTAGGTTGTTTCTATATTTAGACTATTGTAAATAATGCTGTAGTATACATGGGAGAGCAGCTACCTCTCAGAAATTACTTTGATTGTGCCGATGGTTTCACAGGTGTATGCATATTTTCAAACTCATCAAATTGTACACACTGAATATGTGAAGGCTTTTGTATATCAGTTACGCCTCAATAAAGGTGTTTAAAAAAACAAATAATTTGTTTGATTCAAGGCAGGTATAATTTGCTACACAAGTTAAGCTGTTGAGTTTGTCATACTTTTTCTATTATTGTAATATTCTGCTAAAATTATTACAACTACAGTTTTCATAAGGTTCATCCAGAGAAGTTTATTTTCTCATCAGCCCAACATTAGTAACATTGGTAATTACTTCTTCCAGGCTCAAACTTTTCAGCAACCAATTTTTTTTAGCTAAAAAAATCTTTAGTTAAAATAGGCATCATTTTATGGCATATGACTGTTATTACCTTATTTCTTATATGACATGAATATCATAGTTCTGAAATATAATATTCTTTCTATAAAGCCAGATAGCTTAAAATATTGACAATGGCTCCATATCACAGGAAATCACTAACAACGTATTTGCACTCAACTAATTAAGAAAAAAATGTCCTTGAACTGTTTGAACAAGTTATACTTGTCCTGCTGTGAATTTAGAATTATTTGGTTAAAACAACTCTCAGTTTCCTCAGATAACTACAAAAACTATAGATTGTGCTCTTTAAGACTTGCATATGTATGCACCAAGATATATTGTACCACAATATTGATTGTGGAGATAAATAAGTCTGCTATCTTAAAAGAGTTTATATGCTCTGTTGAAATGTTGGTAAGTCTATAATGGTAGCATTTCACATGATCTATGTACATGCCTGTTGAAGTATAAAACTTTCAGGCTGTATCAGAAATATTTGTATCCGCTGATTCCTGAGAAGTTTTCTTTATTGGCCTTGATACTCCTATATTTGAATACTGCATAGAAGCTCTATGACAGAAGCAATCATAGCAAAGGAAGCCATATGTTGTCCCTGCGATACAGGTTCAACAAAATTTCTTGCACATTTTTCTTGCAAGAATACTGAACAACAGAATCACTTTATTCACAATTCTAAAACATAATTTACTTATCACAATATTTTCTATACTATCTAGTCTCCTGTTTTTGTTTGGATAAATGCTCCAAGGTAAGTGTTGAGAGAAAATTTTTCATGTATGTCGCATGTTGCTGTTTGTCTCATATTAAGAGCCTTAGAAAATAGAAGGGATGTCTCCTTCCAGAGTGAAGGGTAGATATGCTTCCTACCCATTATAAGAGATCCACATTCCCTAAAGCTCAGCTTCTTCTCTCTGAACACAACTCACTGTGTGTGCTGGCTTCTACCTGAGCCCATATGTTTCTCCCCATTGGACTCTGAGGCAAGGGAAAGTAACCCATATGTATCTCCCCACTGGACTCTGGGGCAAGGGAAAGTGACAGGAATGTACATATGCTTTTACTGCTTTTGCAGCATTATCAGTAATAATGTCCTTTGTCTCTCACCTAGAAATATTTTATCTTCTCCCATTGTCCATTAAATTGTGACAAGCTAACTTGTTAACTTGTAAATAGATTATTTAACCCTTTGAAATCCTTGATTGTAGGTTAAGAAGACTCTATGTAAAATTAATAAGGAAGCCAATTGGTTTTCCAAAATATGACACACCTGCCCGCAGGATCTTTTTTTAATGATTCAGCCATGTACAAATGAAAGAATATGATTAATTGTTGCTGTGATCAGGGTATTAACAGTTTTAGTAGAGTATTTTATGGATCGTGCATTAAAGTGCAATTGAAGGTATACGGATAAACAAAACATATCCACTAAAAATCTAAACCCAAGATGTAAGTATTGACCAAAAAAATCTAACCATATATCGTTCCTTGTATCATTACTCTACAACAGAGATTAAGGAAAGGACCATAAGAAAATTGTTGCTTACTTTGAACATACAACCTATAGTGGCAATTCCCTATGAAATATCAAAAATGATTATTGTGTTTACCACTGCTGTAATTAATCAATCAAAGCTTGTAAAGGACCATGACTATTGAATATCCCCAAGATTACTAACCCTTACTGGACACAAAGTGAAGACTTTTTCCTGATCAATGAAGACTGAAATTCATTTTATCCAACTATATGCAGGTCAATTGATTTCTATCCTCTCCAGGATACTAATTTTTAATGCTTAATAAGCACAATATTCATGAACTCTCACTTTCTAGCACTTAAAAACTGACTTTTTGCCTTCTGCAGATGACTTGGTAATTTTTTAAATGGTGCATGTACTCTTTCATGGAGTCAATAGAACTCAGCATTGTAAAAATGTTTAACTCTGGTTTTGCGTTAATTCATCAATAGAATACATCTGAAAATAAATTCATGAATCAATTATATCCTTACTATTATCATATGGTCTAATATTTATAACTTATTAAATTTTATTGTTTTAAAGAATACTGATGATGAGCCTTAGTTGGGTTCATGAACTATTAATAGATTGTGGCTTGCATTCTGAAAAACATATTGATATTAGTTCCTTGTCACTTGTATTTATTATGCAATTTATTGGGTCAGACTGATATTTGAATCTCTGCTCCAACACTTAGTAGCTTTGTTACTTAAAAAGTATACTTAACAACCTTAGCCTATATGATTATATGTAAAACATGCTCATAATAATAGCTACCACTTAAGTTTTTTTAAGAATCATATGAGAAAACTTGTAAAGTATGTACTACGGTGCCTAGAACTTACAGTTCTCAATAAGTATTTTACCATGATTATGATCATAGAATTACCATGAGTGTTAATATAATTGTAATAAGTGAGAATCAATTTTTGAAATTACTGTATTAAACAATGCCATTAATTGTAAAGGATATTTTTTGGTATATGAAATAACACTCACATACCAAAAATGCTAATTTATAAAGATTTAAGTGAGTTATGTAATGGATTAGTTCTTCATTGGTAATTTTATGAGAATTAAATAAATTTACCTATATCTAGAAGGTTTGTCTAAGTGTATATTCAAATCTCTTACTGTACCTCTGCGACCATACAATACTCTCTTATTTTGTAGAATTATTAAGCAATATAATGTAAATGAAAGAATCCCGCTTCCTTTGACATTCTTTAAACCTTAATAAGGGGTTGCCTTGTTATGGTAATAATATGAGATATGTTAAATTATTCTCTTATAAAATTTTTATTCTAAAGGATCTTATATCTGTTATAAGGAATAAAACCTATGTTGTTCCCAATGCAGCTTTTTATCTGTGAAGGTCAGATATTTGATGAAGTTTCTAGTAAAGCTGTACACTGGAGTATTTTTATTTAAGTTTGTAATGGGAGAAACATTTAGATTAGATGAGTAAAGTGATACAGAATTATTTGTAAAACTTATTAACATTAGATGTTAAATAGATTTAATAATCTATAATATATTCAAGAAGGACAAATCAAACAGCTTAGTATAAAGTCAGTTGTAAATGTGCAGAATTTGGTTAAATTACATCAGCCAAGGGAACTCTGATCCATTTATATACATGTCCCAGGTGGAAAGTTCCAGTGGGTGACTAAGATAACCTGGATTTTAAGACAAGATGTATTGAAATCAGCTTTACATCTATACTTCCAGACTCTGATCTTTTAAAAAAATATGATATTGACCAATGATATGGAGAGCTGCCTATATGTTTTTCTTCTACAATCAACTTGTGAGCAATGCTCTTTACTTTCATAATATTAAGTGAACCAATACTTTACATCATTTTATTGAAGGAGAAAATAAGCAACTTTGGAATTTTACATAGAGGCAATTTTGAAAATTAAACCACAATCGATTTTTTACATTTAAAGCATATAAATTGTTCAGAATGTAATACAACTATTCTAATTTGGGAAATAAATTGTTGACAAATAATTTGTGCACTTTCAGCAATATTTTCAAACAGAAACATGTTTTATATAATCACAGATATATTTAATTAACATATTAGTTATTATAATCTTTTGGTTTTTTAATGTTTGCAACTCTGAATGAGAAGAAACTAGCTTTGATATTTTAATTTATCCATTACAACCACAAGTGAATCCCCAAACCACGTTATTTTTTTGTTTACTTTTGTTGATCTAATTGAAAGCATCATGCCATTGTTTTTTTAATGCCTAAGACTGCTTAGTGAATTTGAGAGCCTTCAATTATTTTAATTATCTAATATCTCTAAAGTTTTCATTTTTTTCTTATGTATTTTGTAGTTTAAAGTTTAATAAAATGTTTTTTCATGGTGAATTCAGAGAATCATGGATTGTTATCCATGGATAAGATAAAAATCTATTATTTTTATCATGGATTCAGAGAACCAGCGCATTCAGCTATGCTCATTATTGTTTGTATAAAAGCAACTGACTCTCTAAGATACCCTTATTACATCATTTTACCTATTTTTATAGCTTAAAAATAATATTTGTTAATTTAGTGCATTGCATGCAATCTTAATGTGCTTTATAAAAGCCTAGATAATATTTCAGTTATTTTAATCTTTAACAATGAAGTGAGGATAACTTTATACATGATTATTCGCTGAGCAACAAAACAAAAAAAATTGAAATATCTGTTAAGATCTATTATCAGCAAAAATTGCTAAGAACTTGAAAATACTTACAACTGATGTTGTATTACAATTAATGTAAGTGTTTCCACTCGGATACATGAGATCCTCCTGAAAGTTATAAAATGAAGAGCTTTTATAAGCTTTTGATGTTCGGTAAATTTGGTCCTAGGCAACTGTTCTAATATTTTAACATTTTAAATATTTTAATACGTGGTTCCTGAATTTTTAGGATATAAAACATCATTTAAACATAATCAGTAATAAAATATTTAGCAAATTTGTTTTAAGAGATTTTAAGAAGCAGTTTTTCCTTTTTTTCCCCTCCTTAAATTGTACCCAAAGTCAAAATGAAAGTCTCCCACTAAGATAGAAACAAGACAAAGATGCCCACTTTCATCATTGCTATTCAACATTCTATTGGAAGTTCTAGACAGAGCAAGTAGGCAAGGACAATAAATAGAAGGTTCCGCAATTTAAAAGGAAAAATTAAAGATATATCTGTTCACATATGACATGTTCTTATATGCAGAAAAATCTCTCAAAATCCACAAGATAGTTACTAAGAAACAAATTCAGCCCAATTGCCAGGTGCAAAATCAACACACAAAAATTGAATGTATTTCTACATATTTGCAATGAACAATTTGCAAAGGAAATGTAAATAGTAATTCAATTTATAATATCATTCAAAACATTAAAATACTTTAGAGCAAATTTAACCAAGAAAGTTAAATAGATTAATAAACATTTTAATATACACTGAAAAATATAAAGCATTGCTGAAAAAAATTAAACACTTATTTAAATGGAAAGGCAGCCCGTGTTCATGGGGTCGGAGACTTAATATTTTAAGACATCAGTACTACATAGAGTTATCTACAAATTCAAGCCAATCCATATCAAAATTGCAACAGCCTTTTTTTTTTTTTTTTGCAGAAATGCAAAAAGCTGATCCTTAAGTTATGTGAAATTGCAAGGGGATCCAAATAGTCAAAACAATTTTGAGAAAGAACAAATTTAGAGGACTCACAATTTCTAAATTTTAAAAATTATTACAAAGAAGCGCTGATAAAAACCATTTGAGATTGGTATAAGGATAGTTATATAGATCAATTCAATATATTTGAGAGTCAGAAATAAATTTATGTGTGTATTAGCAGCCGATTTCTGAAAAGGGTGACAAGTCTATAATAGAAAAGCAGCATCTTCATCAAAAGGTGTTGGGCCAACTGGACTTCCACGTTGAGAAGAATGAAGCTGGTCTCCTACTTCACACCATATAAAACATTAACTCAGAATGAATCAATGACATAAATGTAAGAGTTAACGTCATAAAACTTTTAGAAGAAGACATAGGCATAAATATTCTGGGCCTTAGGTTTGTCAATGGCTTCTTACATATGACACCAAAGCATGAGTAACTATATAAATATATATATATATATAATTAAATATATATGTACACTTGACTTTCAAGAGACTCATGTACCTGTTCATTAAGCATCAATTATTGTGAACATTACACAGATTTAGGATTTCTTTAAGAATTCTATTTTTTAAATTGTTATTGTGGTTAAATATGCATAAAATAAAATTTTCTATTTTACCTTCTTCTCAATGTATAATACACAAGCATGTATAATACAGCAGCAATGTATAAAACAAAAGCAATGTATAACAGGACAGATTGAATCCAAATGTAGAAGTATGTATATAAATTTGAAAGTCAAATATATATATTTGACTTTACAAAATTAAAATATTTTATTTATTAAAGGATATTATCAAGAAAGTGAAAAAGTAAAGCTACAGATTGGGATAAAATGTCTCTAAAACACATATCTTATGGAAACTAAATATCTAAGATAGAAAGAACTCCTAAAACTCCACAAAATAACATATGACCCAATTTATAAAATGACCCAAGGACATGATAAACATCTATACAAAGAAGATATACAAATAAGCACATGCAAACATGTTCAGTATTATTAGTCTTTAGGGAAATCTAAACCATAAGATGCTACTTTATACCTACTAGGATAGCTATAATAAAATAAAAGAAAATAATGTGTGTTGGCAAGGATGTGGAGAAATTGGAACAATTGAACCTTGCTGGCAGGTATGTAAAATGGTGCAGTCACTGTTGAAAACAGTTTTATGGTCTCTCAGAAAGCTACACATAGAATTACCATATAACCCAAACAATTTTAGACTGTTATATACCCCCCAAAAAATGGAAACAAAGTTTCACATATTTGTATGTCACTGCTCATTGTGGCATTATTCACAGAGCCAAAAGATGAAAACAATCCAGGTGTTCATCAACAAATGAATGAATGGACAAAAGGTGATGTATACATATAGTAGAATATTATTCAGCCAGAAAATGGAATGAAGTTCTGATGTATTGCCATAACAGGTATAACCTAGAAAACATTATACCAAATGAAAAAAGCTAGACATAAAAGGACAAATATTTTCTGACACACTTGTATAAAATATCTAGAACAAATAAAATTATAGAGGAAGAAAGAGATTAGAGGTTCCCAGAGGCTAAGGGAGGAGAGAATGGAAAGTTACTGCTTGTTATGAAGTTCTATTTGAGTGATGAAAAAGTTTTAACAATAGGTAATGATTATGGTTTCACAACATTGTGAATGCAACTCATGCTTCTGAATTATACATTGAGAAGAAGGTAAAATAGAAAATTTTATTTTATACTTATTTAATCACAATAACAATTTTAAAATAGAATTCTTAAAGAAATCATAAATCTGTGCAATGTTCACAATAACTGATGCTTAATGAACACACACATAAGTCTCTTGAAAGACAGAATTAACATTCAATTAAACTTTCCTACTTTATAGTAGTGTAGTATCTTATTTGAAATTATTTATATTGGCATTTATTACTAAATGAAAGTGTATATTACCTGTAATTGATAAGCATTATTATATGCTGGGGAAATAGAAGGTAAAACAGGATTGTATGTCTCAGGAAGCTTCAAAGGAAGAAAATAAACAGGGTGAAAAGAAGGACAGAGAGAGACGAGAGAATTGATAGAATAATTTTCTTGAGAGACAAGAAAATATGTAATTCAATACAAAGATCAGATAGCAGAAGAAACAGCTACTTTATTATAACAGGACAGATTGCATCCAAATGTAAAAGTATGTATATAAATTTGATATTCAGAGAAAATGACTACATGTCTAATAGAAAAGATAGAAATAGATTTTGAAGTGTATGAACAATCTTTGAAAGAGTTGAAATAGAATGAAGATTAGTTGACCAGATATCTTGCCTAGAATTGAAGTGATGAGGGATTATTTCAATTTTAGGATGATCATTTTGTAGTAGGAATAATGTGTCCTGATATTTTATATAGACAGAAATCAGATAGCTTTTTCTTCAGATTAGTATAATGGAAAGAAATAAAGCATGGGCCTTTAGAATAATGTAAAAAGTCTTATTGAATTATGAGCCATGGAATATAAGCTGAAAAAAGAATCATACTAAGAAGAGGATTTTTGAAATTGGGGATAACCTATGGCTTAATAAATTAAGGCTTCTGATAAAATCAGAGTAGGAGTATTTGAACAAATAAGCTGTAAGGTGGAAAGTAAAGGAGTTAAGGAATTGAATATTTGCATGACTGATTTTCCAGCTAAAATAGTGATAGGTATAAAAAAGATATGCCCCTGGAATAGGTATCTGAAATGATGGTGAGGTATAGTTATTAGAAACAAGAGGTTCAAGAACAGAGGTATGTAATTGGATGCGTCATTCACTAGAAGTTTCAACAAAGATTATAAAATAAATTAAGGTTGAGAAAAAGATTGTGAGCCTGTTGCCAAAGTTTTAAATATGACAACAGGGGCCCCAATATTGAATTTCAAAGATGATAACTTCAAGTAAAGGAAAAAATTGTTAAAATTGAACTATAAGATCTTAAAGTGAGTATAATTTTTTAATTTAATTTTTCTTGTGAGGAGAAGGAAACAGTAATGTACAATTGCTTAAGTCTTTTGTATTCTATACCAATTATAGCAGAATTCAGGTCATAGACTTTTTTGTTTTTCTGTCTCTCTGTCATTTTCTCTCTTGCTCTCTCTCTGTCTCTTTCTCTATATATACACACATATATGGAAATCAATCAATCTATATATTCCACATATATATATGAAATTCAATATATATTAGTATGCTTTAGTTTCTCCTAAAGCTGGGAAATAAAATTGCAATATATATAATGCTAAATACAAGAATGATAGTCACCCTCTATATTAAAGATATTTTCATGAGCTTATAAATTGCAACAAAGTTTAATAAGTAGTATTTTTTTCCAAACACTTTACTTACATTATCTCATTTAAGTTTTAACAACATCTGAGATAAAAATTTTAAACCAGTTTTGGACTTGAGAAAAAGAAGACTTAAAATGCCTAAATAATTTGAACATGGTCACATGGCAAGTGGAAGTAATAGTTGGTATTGAAACCCAGGTGTGCCCAGTTTTCCTGAACCAAAATCTATCTTTCATTTTGTTATTCTTCCTAATATGACTAGACAGATATTTATTAATATAAAAAATTTCTTTTATATGTAAAAAGTTATTTTATTTTAGCAACAATTATAAAACAAAACACATTAAACCACAACGAATTGTAGGTTTTCCTAATGAATACAATTTGTAGCGGTTGTACAACACAATAGGTTTCTTAATTTAAAGCACATGAAAACATTGGTAGAAGTACAAAAATTACAATTACAAGAACTTTGCTTGAGAATAACAATCCCCTTTGTCTCTTTTGGTTTGTGTTTTCCTTTGTCACCCCTAGCCTGTTAGCATTGAATGAGAAAGCTAATAAATGTTTCTACATAATCTTACATTGCCTACAGAAAAAGTTTCATTATACCAGCATGGTTTTCATGCGATTTTAAACTGTATCTCTGCATACCAAAACAACAGACAAATCTGGCTCATCCTATTCTGTTAAATTACCATTTACCTCTTCTTTTGTTATTAAATTTGACTAATCTTCCAAACTGCAGCTAAAATTCTACCTTATACATTAAAACTTTCTCAATCCTATCAAGCAGATCAAACTAGTGCTTTCTTCGGGTCCATGATGTATATACTTCATTGCTCAATTTTTCAGAATTTTGTTCATTCTTTTAGTAACTCACCCATGCCTAGATACAAGATCATTAACTCCTCAAGATTAGAGAATGAGAGTTTTTATACTTTGAACTCAGCCTCCAGCGTATAGTACTTGGTAGCTGCATAAAATGTCTTCTTTGGGACACAACTTTTGTCTAAAGACGAACAGTGATTTGATTAACAAAATTAGGAGTGATTTTATTCATTTCACAAAATGCCTACAAGGTAATTAAGATATGCATAATTAAACTAGTGGATAGAGAATAAAATGTCTCTGAGCTGCAAGGAAGAAGTGGGAAAACATGTGGAGGTTCTTGACACATCTTCATAAATAGTCACATATCTGGGAGATCTGGAAGCCATTGTTTCAAAGGCAGGTCAATCTTTTGAATAGTGTCCCATCTATATTTAAAAATGTGTTCATTAGAAATCTCTGGACTGCATGGTGAAAGTGAGGCAAGGCCTCATCTTGCTGGAAAATGGGATAACTGAAGGCTTTCTGTAGCTACAGAAAGAAACATTCCATGAGTGTGTCCAAAAAAACAAATACCTGTGATAGTACCTTCTACAACAAGGAGTTAATTAAAACCTGTGTGCTTCATGTGACACAAAAGACGTTTAGTAGATCCCTTACAAGTGGAATTGTGAAATGGTGGTTTTCAGTGCTCCATGTGTGAGGGTGATAATGTTATTTTTCTAGTCAAAGGTGATAATGATTCATTTTTCCTACTTAAATAAAACAGCTTTGTCCCTGACAGTCAACTCCACTTCCCTGGGACCCTGAAATCTGCTGCAAAACTTGTATCATTTTACTTCATTGTCTCCACTGGGGCTTGGAAGCATGTTAAAGCAATAAGGTTTTATTCTCCATTTATGGAAAATGTACTACATAGTAGGCTGAAGCTTGCTAAATTTCCATTTCCTGGGACTTCTCTAAAGAAGAAAATTTCACCTCACTGTTTCCTCTGCATATGGGGCTGCTCTGCACGCTGTCTTAAGATACACCCTTTCTGCTTCATCTCATTATACAATGGGAAATGCTTTGACTACCTGTTAGATGTCGCTGTCTGGTACACTTAATTACTTTTGCACTGCAGTCATTACAACCAAGTTTACAAGATTTTGACATATGAAATTAAGTGCTATAAGGGTACCTACAAATTGATGGGTATTACATGTTTACATATTAATATGATACTAATACAATTTAAAAAATATTAAGAAATGGTTTATGAAATTTAATAATGCTACCAAAGTCAAAGGATGTAGTTAATTACGTGTAACTTTGAATTCTAGATTGATAGTTAAGCACAGTGTTACATTACATCTTTCCACCCATCTGAGCTCCTAAATATGGTAATAACTTATTGATGTGCTAAACATAGAACTGTATTACCTACTCATGATGCCATGATTTAAATTTTGAGTCTAGGTATTATTATTTTAGGTATTTTATTTATACTTTGTCTTGATTCAAGTGCACTTATCCTAATTCAATTTGATTTTGTCTCTTTGTAAAGAATTTAAGGCAACCATTTGAATTCTATTTCTCTTGTAATGGCCTGCATAGAGATACCTCAAATGAATAAATGTGCCCTCCTCTGTCAGGAAGAGAGTGATAACAATTCTGAAAAGCACTACTAATAATTTCAGGTGATAATTGAATCAAAGGAAACTGTTGTTCTCTTCAGCAAGATTTAAGACAATTTTATTAGGCAATCTTTGAAAATTTTAGTTAGTATGTGCAATATTCTGTGTTTAGAACCTCTGGATCTTTACTGGCCTCTTTGAAACTAATTGATTGTTAAAGTCCAATTCTTAAAGAGGAAATTGCCAGATCACACAGTAGATTCCACAATTGACATGACTACCTTCTTAGCATTCTTGGCTGAAGAGAGAAATACAGATAGTAGATATAAAATTAACTATGCATTTATTACTTTAAGTCCTTGCTTTATTGCTTCTCGGCCTTTTGGCTAAGATCATGAGAAGTCCTTGCTGTATAATATATGCAATAAAAGTTAAGTGAGTAATCTCTGAGTTAGTTCGTGATTTGTGTGTATATCAATGTTTCCATACCTGGGAACTCTAATATGATAACAAATGTTTTACATTAAATTTTATTTTAATTTGAGGTCCCCAGAAAGACTTCATAATAAAATAAAACAAATACCTTCTGCTTAATCTTTAAATTTACTATTTGTCCATGCTTCCTTCCCCGTATTTTTTTGTTGTTGTTGTTGTTATAGCACAGATAAAAAGCCTCAAATATGTGATAATAAACCCAAATTGATTTCTATAATACTTTCAATAAAAAGGCAGTTTATCTGGTTTCAGCAAGTACATGCAGCAGCAGCCAGTGAATTCTGGCCCTGGGTTGGACTAGCATTGGGTAGCCATATATCAGAACTTGTATAAATTATCAGAACTTGTAAAGATTGCTTTAACAGCCAGGCGCGGTGGCTCACGCCTGTAATCCCAACACTTTGGGAGGCCGAGGCAGGCGGATCATGAGGTCAGGCGATCGAGACCATTCTGGCTAACATGGTGAAACCCCGTCTCTACTAAAAATACAAAAAACTAGCTGGGCGTGGTGGCGGGCGCCTGTAGTCCCAGCTACTCGGGAGGCTGAGGCAGGAGAATGGTGTGAACCCGGGGGGGAGCAGAGGTTGCAGTTGGCTGAGATCGTGCCAGCCATTGCACTCCAGCCTGTGCAACACAGCGAGACTCCATCTCAAAAAAAAAAAAAAAAAAAGATTGCTTTAATATAAAATGCCCAATGAATGAATATGAGAATGTGCTAACCTGAGTTAGGTTTCCTATCTAGAAAAACAAAATATGTTTAAAGATTGAGTGGTAACAAAATAACTCCTAAGCATTGATACTCATTTCCTAACACATTTATTTATTCAACATGCATTTATCAATTTTGTTCCTATATATAAAAACAGAGAAACAATTGTAAACAAGACACAATCAATTCCTTCATGGATCAAATATTTAGACTAATGAAGCCTAGGCAAATATTTTGATGTATTAGTATACTTTATTTTAAAATATACTAATTTATTTTCACACAAATCTCAATATCTGAACTTACTTTACTTCATCCAATACTGCCCAGCTCAGACTTTGGGGTTTTTTTTCTGAGACCCAGAAAACTTTTTTTAAACAGTGTATTAGACATTTACAATTAGATGAGCCACGAGAACAACAGATACAAGCTTCCAAAGCTCAAGTCATTGTCTTGCCAAGAAACCTTACTCCTTCTTTGGCATTCTAAGTTATGCTAAATGGCAACACACACCACCAGAAGCTAAGATGTCACCATTAATTCCTTCTAATTACCATAAGCCTAACACAGAATCAATCACCAGGCTCTACTAACATAGCATCTAGTATTGTCAGAAAAAAGCAGACAAAATACGTCTGCCTAAATGAAGATTAGGTGGATAATGAATAGAGATGTAGAGATACAGAGAAAATCAACAGCATATGTAAGAAACAAATATCTCATGTAGTATAATAGAAAGAAACAAGTGTTGTGGAAAAATTTAAAAATAAAATTGAATAGTCTATTTTATGCAATTAGAGAAACATACGTATTAGAAAAATTTCAATTTTATTATGTAATTATTTCACTTCATGCTTTTTGACTATTTTAAAATGAAAATATTTATTTTGGGTATTGAACTTATAATTTTAAGTTGCTTTGATTTATTTATTCTTAATCTTTTGGTTCAAGATAAAAGTGGAACAGAAGAGTAGATTTACATATTTTTAAATGTCCTACTTTCAATTTTTGAAGCCTTATAACTACAGTGTTTCTGGTTTCTTGCTCAAGAGATGTGTTTGAAAATGACACAGAGCCACTGTCTTTATTCATGTTTCTTACCAGTGTAATTGCTCCGAACAATACATCTTTATCTTCTGTTTTTAGTTGTTAGGTATTGGTTCCTGAGAAGAAAATAGTCTTTCTTACTAAGAGAACAAAGTGTTGTTTGTTATAAAGACTTGTTCAAATGAAAGGTCTCCTTTCTACTGTTTTTGTTGAAAAGTCCCTTTAATAGAAAATCCACTTATCCCTCCCTAAACAGACACTACTTTGGTTTTTTGAATGAACAACCCAAAAAGGTATGCAATATTTGTTTTCCCCTTAAACAAAATATTTCTAGTGAGCATGTTATATTTACAGCTTGATCTACATTACTAAGCAATTGCTGAAATATATTTTTCTAAAGAAAAGCTTCTTTGTAGGTTTAGCATAAAGTCTCTCAATATTTCAATCTGTGAATGAATAAATGGATAAATGAGCTTCTGTGAAATAGGTTGGCAGAAAAAGATATCTTACGTTTTTATGTTTTGTGCTAAGCCAATATGGCAATAGAGTATTATTTTGATAAACAGGAAGATATAAATGCCTCAGTTTATTCAACTAAAATAACACTGTCTTGCAATCTTTACATAAAAGATGAAAAGTATTGCTCACTTCTCTCTCTCTATATATGTGTGTGTAAATATATGTATACCTATATGCACATATATATATACCTATATTTTTATCTAATATCCACACATCACAAAACATGATGGAAGTTGGTAAACACTGATTATGTAAATATATGAGTGTATACAGAAAACTAAACAAAATAGCTTTCTAACTTATACAGAACATTTTTTTTTTTTGCAATTCAAGTATTATTTTCTTTCAGCATAACTCAGCAGACTTAGGCATTTGCAGGTTCCACTCGGAGTAATGGAAGAAAGCACGGTGGAAGGAAACATTTATCAAGTGCCTGTTTTAAGCTATTCACCAAGATAAGGGCTTCCACAGTTTACATACACTTGGTAACAACCCTGATGGATGTTAGACAAAATCTGTATTTTTTTTACAGTTCAGATAATTTTTGTCCCAGTAAACAACTCATAAAAGTTGTCACTGAAAACAATAAATAAAAATGCTCACAAATAAAAATACTCTCACCAGTGAATCCTCACCCTAAATTCACATGAGCACTGCCAACATTTGTGTAGATCTATTTAGAGACTCACCAACATATTTTGAAAACAAAGTGTTCTATAGATGTTAGTCAATAGAAGTAAAAGTAGTTACTCTGAGAAATAATAGGTACAGATTCAACTTTGTCCCACATAAAATATGGCCCCCTTTTTCATGCTCACTTTCACATCTGTGATTTATACATACATCGCTCTCCCAGATTGTTAATGCCTAGGATGCTTTTAGCCTCCAGTTGTCCAGTTGGCCTCTTTCCAAACAAAACTCTGTATTTCTTACAGAGCAGTCTTTCTGTCATAGAAAGCTAACCATGCCGCTCTCCTGATTCAATTATTTCAATTTCTGTAAACTAAAATTAAAATTTCTTATCTCAGTGTAAATGGTTCTCCATGACTTTCCTTTTGCTTAATTGAGCTATCATTTTCTTCGTAGTTTCTTCCATGTAACCAACATTTAAATCTTATTAAAACCCATCTATATTTTTTAGATTATTATCCTTTCTTACACTCTCCCCCTTTGTGGTACTTTATCTAACTCTGTAATCCTTCAAGATTCCAATACTTTATGAATTTCCCTTGACTCCTTAAAGTGATATTTTCTTATTTCTCTGTAATCCTTGACTCAGTCATAGTTCTTTTCACTTGGTATTTTTGTTGTTTTGTTATACCTTGCATATTGTACTTCTACTTTAGTTTGCATGTTTTGGATTATATCTGGCAAAGAGGACTATTGATATGTGTAATTAAATAGCTTCCTGGAAAAGAACTCTACTTTGGGTAATGAGTTAGATAAAGCAAAAATTCTTCATTGTCAGAAAAAAATAGTGATTTTCTGCTTCTGTTTCTTTCTCTGCCTCTCATATACATGCTCCATCCTTCTGTCCAGATGCTAATCTCTGCAGATTCCATCTCTCAGGCTTAGTTTTCAGCAGACTTCAAGTTAAGTTTGACAAAAAAGGAGGCATCAGAAGAAGATAAAGGGGAAGAAGAGTATAGAGGACTGGAATATTTGGTCCTTGTTTTCCTCCTGTTGTCCCTTTTGGGTGTTATTAACTTCTACTGTTGCAAGTCTTTGTGATGAATTCTCTTTCCTGCCAGGATCCTGGCTTTTAATCACTCAAATGTATTTCATGGTTTAGTGATTGTTAGAAGAGTGTATAAGAAAATTGAGAGCAGAAGGACAATAACTCAACATTATGAGGAGTATTTCACCAAAGCTCAGTAAGATAGTGAGGACACATATAGCACTCTTTTGGTAGTCTTCTAGTGGAACAAAACATAAAGGCCCTGCAATGCTGGTCACCTTGAAACTGGAAACTGCACCCTTGGATCATGCTTGCCTGAGAATATTTAGAATGGGAGTTGTGGGGCACACAGGAATTTGAATTCTGACTATGCCTGATGAGATGAGGTACTAAATCAAAAGTGTTAAGAGATTGTGGAATATTTGAAATCAAACTTGAAGTCCTACAAAAACTCTCCTACCTTCCATTCTAATACACTTCTTAGATACATATTTCAAGCATTCTTCAAACTAATCACTACCAGCAAAGAATGTATAATATCTGCTATGAACTTCATTAGTTATCTAAAATAATATCACTTATTTTTGAAGAGATAAGGTAAGGGCCCTCCAAGAGTCTTAATTAAACTACAGAATTTAAGATGAGGGATATCACCCAGATGTTTAGAGATTTTCTTTTACATATAGTGAGTTTTTTGAAACAACATCAACACTATGTTAATCCTATTGTTATTGTTTCCTATGAAAGTGGACTGCTGCTCTAAAATCCTGTTCTGTTTTGTTTTTGTTTATACTAATGCTAATTATGATTATTTTGTCATTTTTTGTTAAAGACATAGCAGATTTTTTAAAAGTTCCTGCTCTTATATTGTTACAGTGCTGATTTTTCAGTTACAACTAGACAGTTTTCTTTAATTCTAATTTGTCACACTAGAAGTTATTCAGTAGATTCGTCAAGTACTAACAGCTGTGTTACTGATGCCACTTGTTAGCTGTTGTTCACACTCTGAAATGAGACTGCTGGTCTAGATTTTGACTCAATATCTTTAGCTTGAAAATTTTCCATATTTTCCCTTTCCACTTTTTTTTTCCCTCTCATTTCTCATATATTTATCTTATCCTTTCTATCTTCCACTAATTTCCTGTCTTTTTCTCTCTGGGTATCTTAAAAATAATTTTATATATAATGCATATTATTTAGATGCAGTCACAATTTTTAAAAAATATTTTGTATATTAAGGCCATGTTTGGAAATTCATTCAATTAAAATGGTTATTGTTTATATAACACAGCATTTTAACAGGTGCTTTCAACATCATTGGGTTATTTGATAAACTCAACATAGATTTTATCATTTTACTTTTTAAAACTCAAAATAAAGAGTCATCTTTAATTTTTTCAATACATAAATCAGTATTTTGGAAACATTTTTCAGTGGCTATTTATATGTATGTATTTATTTGTTTTTGAGATAGGGTCTTGTTCTGTTGCTCACGCTGGAGTGCACTGGTGCAAACATGGCTCACTGCAGCCACAACTTCCTGAGTGCCAGCAATTCTCCTGCCTCAGCCTCCTGAGTAGCTGGGACTACAGCCTCATGCCATCATACCTGGCTAATGTTTCAACTTTTTATTTTTTGTAGAGACTGGGTCTTGGCATGTTGCCCAGACCAATCTTGAAATCCTGGGCTCAAGCAATCCTCCCCCTCAGCTTTCCAAAGTGTTGGGATTATAGGCCTGAACCTCTAAGCCTAGCACCAATAGCTCTTTATTAACAACAACAAAAAAAATGAGAGCAACAAAGAAAGTTACTATCCTTATGTGTATTTGTATATATACTTATGCCTATTTTTACATTTATAGGTATGTTTGATCACATGGGTCTAACTATATGCATTTATAAATATTCACTTCTATGAGTTATATTACCTTCAAATATAATATTTATGTTTTATGCAGAAATTTAAAAAGTCAGCAGCACATTAAACATTTTTAAACAATTACTTAATATTTTGTAAGCAATGAGGAATATCTGGGTTTTACATGCAAATATTGTCTTTTTAATTTATTTTATCTTTAATAAAGAAAAACTGAATGGCATTCCATTAAATATCTATAACCACGTTTTAAAAATTCAACTTATTTGTCCATAGACAGACAAACTTAGTTGTTTCCAGGACTTAGGTATTTTTTTTTCTAGGAAATCTTGCCATTTGCAACAATAAAGATGAAACTGGATGAAATTATGTAAAGTGAAATAAGCCAGACATAGGAACAAAAATACTGCATAATCTTATTTATATGTGGACTCCAAAAAAATTTAATTTATAGGTGGCAATCAGGGGTTGGAGGTTGGGGAAATAGTGAGATACTGGTCAAAGGATACAGACTTCCAATTTAAGATGAATAAGCTCTGGAGACCTAACGTGTACCATGATGACTATAGTTAATAATAATGTATTGCATACTTGAAATTTGCTAAGACAATAGATCTTAAGTATTCTTAACACACACACACACACACACACACACACACACACACAGAGTAACTATGGCAGTTAATGGATATATTTAGCTTGATTGTGGTAATGATTTCACAATGTGCACATATACAAAAATGACACATTGTATGTCTTGAATATACACATTTTATTTGTCCATTATACCTCAATATAAAGAGTAAAAGAAGATAGTTTATGGTTTCAAAATAGTTACAACTCTTTGACTAAAATAAATCAATATTTTTATTATTTAATTGATAGTTTTTTTTTTGAGAGAGAGAGTCTGTCACCCAGGCTGGAGTGCAGTGGCACGATCTCCGCTCACTGCAAGCTCCGCCTCCCGGGTTCACGCCATTCTCCTGCCTCAGCCTCCTGAGTAGCTAGGACTACAGGCGCCCGCCACCACGACCAGCTAATTTTTTGTATGTTTATTAGACACGGGGTTTCACCGTATTAGCCAGATGGTCTCGATCTCCTGACCTCGTGATCCGCCCGCCTCGGCCTCCCAAAGTGCTGGGATTACAGGCGTGAGCCACTGCTCCTGGCCAATTGATAATTTTTTATACTATTTTTAGAAAAATGGCTGGCACATAATAATCTGTATTAATTTCCTTTCCTTTTTTGAAAATATATATACAATAAATTTATTTTAATAAAAGATGTAAAGGACGAGCCTTATTTAAATTTATCTTTTTTCTATTCCTCAGATCGCACTGTAATTCTATAGCTCTACAGCTTTGAAAGTTGCAAAGAATGAGAATGGTAGGAAGATTGGTAAATAAAGTAATAAAAAATAAGAGCTTTTGAAACTTGTGGTATGTCTATTTTTAAATCTCCATAATGAAGCTCATAGCTTAAAGGAAACACTGTTTTGTAAAATGTTTCATAAGGAATTTCCCCTTGTGAAATTTATATATATAAAGTAGCAAAGGACAAAATAAAAGGACTATTTTTTTGACAGCCAAAGGGAATTGAACCCAGACAACATGAAAAGGGAGATCTCATTTATGATTATATTAATAGAATTCTTTGAAAAAAATGAATTGAAGCAAAATTCATAGGATTCAAAAACAATCAATTACTTAGCATTCATATATGTTACATCAAAGCAAATGTCATAGTTTGAACTTGAACTACCAGGTACATGTTCCATTATTCTGTAGTAATTCAGCAATGCATTTTAGCTATCTAAAGTCATACATATTTCATATATGAAACCATCAGTAAACCATTCCATAATCAAATAGACATTGAAATACTAAGTACAACAATCTGAAATGTCTGGTAAACTTTAGGGGGAAACAGTAAGCTCCTTTTTAATATTTATTTTTATGAAGAAAATTAACACCTCTACATTTTACTTCTTTATATATAATTTATTTTGTTCAGATTCACTCTGTTTCCTTCTCAGATATTTTTTTCCCTCCAAAAATAATCATAAAACATCTTTATGACCTAGAATAATAAAACATAAAAAGCATAAATCACAAATGAAACAATGGATGATCTTAAGTACATCAAAATTACAATAGTTTTTTTATTGATGAGATCATAAAAATGTCAGACAAGTTACATATTGGATGATGGTATTTGTAACACCTCTAAAATATTAGTATGCAAATCAACAAAGCCCCAAAAATATAACTGAGAAATAGACTAATGAAATGAGCAAGTGTGTTATGAAAACAAACAACAAACTCAATTCGCTATTAAGGAAAGAGATTCAAACTGATCAAAACTTGAATGATTTCAAATATATATGTAATGTCAACCTTCTTATCTGATTGGCTTTTATTTTTTATTCTGAAAATATGAAATTTGTTACATAAGGCAATAGAAAAATTCTAGAAGTAGTGTATATGGTGCTAATATATTTGGGGAATTACTCGACAATATCTACCTAAGTAGAGAATATGAATAGCTGGTGACACATTAGTTCTACTCTTAGGTATATACCCCAGATAAATTTTTTGCATATGTATACTAGGAGACATACACAAACTTTAAGCATAGCAGCATAAAGTTTAAAATTAAAAATTGAAATATAGGACATACTATTTCTGTTAAGGGCTGGCTAGGGTATTTGGCTAAACCCTCATCTAGAAAAAAAAATCATGGTAAATGACTTAACAGTGAAAAAGACTTAGAAAACTGCTAAGCTAATATACAAGGAAGAATGAACAAACTTTTCTCCTGATAATACATACTAAGGTTTCTTAAGGTGGATGAACGGTGACAGTGATACTAAACTCAAAGTCCAGAGCAGACCTAAGAGAAGAGTCATTTTCAGGCCTGTCCATAGGTTTGCAGAACCTCAAGCAAAACGTTTTCTGTTTCTTTGTTTATTTTGCAGGCAGGACCCCGTATATATAAACAATTTGGTCACAAGTGCATTAGAAAATCTATGATCTAATGTAAGATATTATTTTTAATGAATATTTAAAATAATAGAGAAGGGGTAAATATTAGTTTATTATCAGATCCATCCATGTAAAGATTCTTGGTTGTGTCCAGGCCCTGTACCTTTCTGTTTGGGTTCAAGAAACATGTCTATGTTATTCATTGACAAATAAAATAGTACTCTCTCTGCTTTTATTTCTGATTTTAGTTTTTGTATCCCCTCTCTTTGTTTCTTTGTTTGTCTAAATAACCGTGTGTCATTTTTTTTTTTATTTTTACCAAGTATGAAATTTTGGTTGTGTTGATTTTCTCTGTTTTTCCATTTTCTATGTTATTTACTTAAGCTGTAATCTTTGTTATTTCCTTACTTCTGCTAGCTTTGGCTTCAGTTTGTTGTTCTTTTTCCAGTTCCTTGGTAAAGTTAGGGTATTTACTGACTTTTTTTTTAATGTACTCATTTACGGCTATACATTTTCCTCAGAGCATTGCTTTTGTTGCATCCTTTAAATTTAGATATGTTGTATTTTTGTTTAAATTCATCTCAAATTATTTTATAATTGCCCATGTGAATTCCTCTTTGACCCATTGGTTACTTAATAGTATGTTGTTCAATTTCCATGCATTTATAAATTTTTCAGTTTTTATTTGTAGCTTTATTTTATAGTGGTCAGAAAAAATAATTTGTATAATCTCAGTCTTTTTGAATTAAGACTTCTTTTCTAGTGTAACATATTGTATAGCCAAAAATGTGCATCCTTGTTTATACTTCTGTCCCTTCCCCCATGTAAGGACACCTTGTTTGACCTTCTATTCTTTCCACAATGTGAGGACATGTAGATAGTGCTGTCTATGAGGGACGAGCCTTCACTAGATACTGATATGCCAGCGCTTTATCGCCAGCGCTTCATCTTGGATTTCCCAGCCTCCAGAACCAAGATAAAATAAATTTCTGTTCTTTATAAATTACCCATTCTCTGGCATTTTTTAAATAGCAGCACAAACTAAGACATTTGTGCCATTTTCCAATTTACTTTCTATATGGCCTATATTTATATGTATTTATATATATGCACACCCATTCATACATTTATATACATTTACATATATATGCACTGCACAAATATAAAAATATGTATACACACATAATATTGTTCCACAGTTCTTTTAATACTGCCTTCTCTTGTGTTTGAGCAACTTCTCAGTGGTATGTGAATTATAATTAATATTCTACATTTCTAACAACTGAGTTTGAATTTAGTTTCAATAATACGTTAAATCTCTGCTCCTATACAGCTGTCATCACTTTTAGAATGCTCCTATTATATGTTACATGTTTATACATTGGGTGTCATTCAACCTTTATTTACAGTTTTTGTTTTTAAATCATATAGGAAACAAAAAAGAAGTTACATCCAAAAATACTTTAATACTTTTATACTTACCTATGAAGTTACTTTTGTTGAATTCTTCATTTTATATATGTGTGTATTGTATATTTATTTATATGTGTATATATATATTTATTGTATATTTATATGTGGCTTTGAGTTATTGTTTAGTGACTTAATTTCAGCCTGAAAGACTCCCATTAACATTTCTTGTAAGTCATGTCTACCACTGATAAACTGCCCCAGCTTTTGAATATCTCGGAATGTCTTCATTTTTGAAGTTTAGTTTTGTCACAGACAGAATTCTTAGTAGACTGTTTTTTTTTTTCTTTCAGGACTTCAGTCATCCTAATTCCTTCTGCTCTCCATGGTTTCTGGTAAGAAATCTTATTAAGAATCCATTTAGGCCGGCCGCGGTAATCCCAGCACACTGGGAGGCCGAGGCGGGCAGATCACCTGAGGTCAACAGTTCAAGACCAGCCTGGCCATCATGGCGAAACCCCGTCTCTACTAAAAAAGCAAAAATTAGCCAGGTATCATGGCGCGCACCTGTAGTCCCAGCTACTCAAGAGGATACAAAGCCAACCATATCACCTCCTATTAGGCCTCACCTCCCAACACTGTTGTATTTGGTATTAAGTTTCTAATGCATGCTTTTTGGGGGACATAGTCAAACCATGGAAGATATCAACATATGAATTTTGGAGAGACATAAACATTTAGACCATAGCCATCCTATCATGTATTTTTGTAAAGTTTTCCCTTCTTTTTTGTCTCTGGACATCAAGAGGGGTATTTTCTTTTCTTTCTTTTTTTTTTTTTTTTTTGGAGATGGAATCTTACTCTGTCACCCAGGCTGGGGTGCAGTGGCATGATCTCGGCTCACTGCAACCTCCGCCTCCTGGGTTCAAGTGATTCTCCTGACTCAGCCTCCCATGTAGCTGGAACTACAGGAGCCCGCCACTACACCTGGCCAATTTTTGTATTTTTAGCATAGATGGGGTTTCACCATATTGGCCAGGCTGGTCTCGAACTTCCACCCACCTCGGTCCCCCAAAGTGCTGAAATTACAGGCGTGAGCCACCGTGCCCGGTCCAGTATTTTCTATTTATATGTAACTCAGTTCACTATTATTCTGTTATGATGTTTTAAACAACATTTTAGCCTTCTACTTGGTTCTTAATGTGATTATATTTTGGGAATTTTATATTATTGGATATTATGGTTTGGATATTTGTCACCCCAAACCAAATGTTGAAATTTGAACCCCAATGCTACAAGTGGGGCCTGATGGGAGATGTTTGAGTAATGGTGGTAAATCCAACATGAGTACATTAATTCCCTCCCTCTGGAGTGAGTGAATTCTCCCTCTATTATTTTCCATAAAAGCTGATTGTTTAAAAGGACTTGGTACATTCTTGCTCTCTCTTGCCTCCTCTCTCATATGATTTCTGTACACATCACCTGCTGACTTCCCTTTGCGTTTCACTATGAGTGGAAGCAGCCTGAGACTCTCAATAGAAGCAGATGTCACCAGCACCATGCTTCTTGAACTGCCTGTGGAACTATGAGCCAAATAAACCTCTTATCTTTATAGATTACTCAGGCTCAGATATTCCTTTATGACAACAAAAAACAGACTAAAACATTGTATTTTAAATCTACAAATAATTTATTATTTTTATCGATTCAGTTTTATGGCAATATTATTTGTTCATTCATCTATATTGTGACATATATTAATCACAATTATTTTAATATTTGTGCTCAATCTTTCCAAAATCTAGATAATCTGCTGATGAATTTCTTTTTTGCCTCTTGGTTTTTCATTAATTGTCCATGTCTCCTGGTATGCCTTATAATATTTACGAGTGTCATTTACTAAATATGAATAATAGGAGAAATACTTTGAGGCTTTCATTGAATATCAAGCACTTCCATAAACAAACACCCCATAAAACAGTGGGCAAAAGACATTAACAGACATTTTCCTAAGGAAGGCATACATACAGTCAACAAACATATGAAAAAAAGCTCAAAAACACTGATGATTCAAGAAACGCCAATCAAAATTACGATGAGATACCATGTAACACCAGTGAGAATGGTTATTATTACAAAGTCAAAAAATAACTGATGGTGAGATTGTGGAGAAAACCAAATGCATATACACTGTTGGTAGGAGTGCAAACTATATCAGCCATTGTGGAAGGCAGTGTGGTGATTCCCCAGACACCTAAAGACAGAAACACCATTTAACCCAGCAATGTCCTTACTGTGTATACACCCAGAGGAATATAAATAATTCTGTTATAAAGACACATGCACACATATGTTCATTGCAGCATTATTCACAACAGCAAAGACATGGAATCAACCTAAATGCCCATCAATGACAGACTGGATAAAGAAAATGTGGTACATATATACAACAGAATACTATACAGCCATGAAAAAGAACAAGAACATGTTCTTTGCAGGGACATGGATAGAGCTGGAGGAGATTATCCTTAGCAAACTAACCCAGGAACAGAAAACCAAACACCACATGTTCTTACTTATAAGTGGGAACTAAATGATGAGAACACATGCACACATAAAGGGGAACAGCAGACACTGGGGTATTTCAGAGGGTGGAGGGTGACAGGAGGAAGAGGATCTGAAAAATTAACTAATGGGTACCAGGCTTAATACTCGGGTGATGAAGTAATCTGTACAACAATCCCCATGACACAAATTTGCCTATGCAGCAAACCAGCATTTGTACCTCTAAAATGAAAATAATTTTTTTTTAAGAAAGCATTTACTTAACTTTAAGCTTGGCAGATTTTAAGCAGATCATTTCTACCCATTCTGTGATTGATCTAATCAAGTTTTAATTTTGCTCTCTCAGTAGGTATGTCTTCTTATTTGCGCTTACACTTGAAGTACCACTTAGAAATATGGGCCATTATGATATAAACACAAGTTTGTCAATTAAAGCTAAATTACTCTCTCTCTTTCTCTGTTTCTTCCAAATTAAAAATCATAATAGGATATATATTTTGAAAATTTTATCCTTAGCTCTACGTAACACCATAAAGAAAAAATCATTTTATATAGATTAGAGATCTAAACTGGGAAATAAACCACAAAACTTCTAGAGAAAAAGAGAATAATATTTTCCATACCTCAATATAGGTGAAATGTTTAAAAATAAAAAAAAGAAAACACTATAAATTAACTATCATAAAATTTAAAAAACCTGTCCTAAACAAATACAATTAAGAAAGTAATGAAAAAGCAAGTGAGAGAGAGTACAATTCAGATATAATGATATAGCACTAATTCCATTGCATATATGTATATATATAACATAGAACTCATACTGTGATATTGTATACACACACACAGAGTCAATTCAGTAGAAAAATAGGCAAAGAACTTTTCAGAAATTGCTTAAAAGGCATTTCCTCAAAATGTAAAAAATATAAAAATAATAGTATATACACCTGAATGGCTAAAATGAATAAAAAATGAATTACTAAAAGATTTCAACAATGTACAATACAAATACAAAATAGATATCTTTCTCAGAGGTCTGTAAGTAATGGATGGTGATAAAACAGTTCCAGAACAGCATTTAAATATCACATTCCTTAGATGTTTATACTTTTAATAAATATTTCTCCATACATTTATCTTTCTAATACTTATGTATACTTATACCCTTTATGGATTGTTCTAGTAGGTACTCTTTTCCAATTTTTATCTTTTTCAGCACATTAATTTATTTTATCATCCAAAGTTGCCAAACTACTTAAGTATATTAATCCACTGAAATTGTTCCACTAAAATTAGGCATTATACAGAGAAAGGATTCTGCAACTTGATGGAATTGTCAATTGATGGCAAGATGGGTGAAAAAATAAATATCTTTTAGTTTGACTTTTGTTATACCTGATATTTAAACATACATAGAAATATACCCAGAGTTTTCAGTCTCTCAATTTAGAGGACACAAGAAAGACAACAGTTTGTAAACAATTCACAAGCAACTAATATATTAAACAAAATGCTAGTATACCATTTGCATTGAAAAATACAATTTTCACAAAGAGCAAAAAAATCAGGAAAGACAAGCTCATTCTTTGCTTAGGCCAATTTACATGAAGACCCACATCATAAACTGAGACTACTTGATCAGAACACAACAGTCGTATGATTAAATTGTTTATTAAAATAGATAATAAATTTGCAAAGCATATATTAGGAATATGAATTTTAATAACACTTTATTAAAACACTTGAAGTAGCTTTTGATTCTTTAGAATTTTTTTAAATGTATTTTTTTAATTAAAGATATGAATATAGTACTGAGTGTATCTTCTCATGAAAAAGAATTTCAGGACAAAATCTCACGCTGGTTTGAAGCCTGGCCATTTGATTTTCAATACACCCTGGCTCTCAGCAAACACTCAGAAGTGTACAATTTTTCCCAGTTATTCTACTTGTACATGGAAAGACTGTCATAAAACAACTGTCCCAAATTGTCATCTGTGGTCAACAGTTTATACGTTACTTAAAGTCAGAGGGTAGAAATTCCTCAAAGTACCTCACAGGGCAGTCATTCTAATCATAGCATCTCTTTTGCATCTTGTTCGTATTTGTGGAGACATGAAGTTCAGATAATACTCCAGATAAAGTTATGCCACTATGACCTGCACTGTGGGCAACATCAAGTAGTTTAAGATATTTTACCTTTCACCTGGGTCTGTGTTTCTATGCAATATTTACCATGGTGCCAATCCCAGAGTTATCATTTTACTTAGCAATATAATGTAAACATTAAGGCAACAATGACAAATAATACGATAAATGTTAGTGTTTTTCAGTTAGAACACAGATTTGATAAAGTATAGAAAAAAGTATTTTAGTATCTCAATTAAGTAAATAATTTTCAGTAATATGTATCTATTATGGAAACAGTTTAGCCTCCATGTGGAAATAGAATTGAACACTTAAGCACAATGAGAATCTTGAGAACTAAATAAAATAAATAATAATCTCAATGAAAATTGTCAAAAATAATTAGACATAGTCCTTGACCAAAAGAACTAAACATTTTAAAAACATATTTCTTCTTTGAAAGTAATATTCACCATACATCAAACATTTACACCATTATTTGACACATTCTTCTTTCTATTTCTAGCATTGTTGAATGTGCAATTTTTTTTCTCCATCTTTCTATCAGGCTTGAAATCAATACACAAAGCTGCTTGTGGAAAAGGTTTGGCAGCTACAGCCACCCAGATATTAAGATATATGTGCTGTTAGCTCTGGCAGCTGGGTCTATGTATCCTCCCCAGTTACAGTTCTTGTCTGACCTCATGATTGGCTCCACTGTTAGCTGCGGTGACAGCTGTTCAGCTGTATTGAGGTTTGGTCTATTATTTATTATTTATTGCAACACAGGCCAACACATTTAAGTAGCTCTATCTACTAGACGTAATTGTGCTGAACAAATTTCTTGCCCCAGAATCCCTGACCTGGAGAATATGATATTAAGGAACCAGAGGAGCACACAGTCAGCAAAACCAGGAAGAACATTAAGTTTTTTCATCCTGTACTTATTTGAGACCCTTCCTTTATCTCTTCTGCACATCAACAATATAAAGTATAAACTGGAAAACTTTATTTTTTTAAAGTTTAGTAACAAAAAGGCGTACATTGTGGTAGTTTAAAACAAAATTCAAGAATTCAAATTTGCATTATCACTGTAAGAATTTTAACAAATAGAACTCTTGCAACGAATTATAAAGTGTAAGTTTAGGAGACATAAAATGAGAAAATTGATATAATCCAATGAGTACATTTATATTTATAAATTTCTTCCTAAGCACTGTGTTGAAAGCATATCGCAAAAATTTTATTTTGTGATTTTATTATTTTCTAGTGTGACACACTTTCTAATTTCCCTTGTGATTATTTGCTTTGGCCAGGTATTATTTATAAGTGTCATTTCATTTAAAATCAAGTGAGGATATTTTAAAGTCTTTTTATTATTGATTTCAAATTTAATTTTATTAGAAATAGACAACATACTCTATAAGATTTTAATCTGTTGAGATAACTTTACATATTTTTTACACAGTATGTTATCTAACTTAGCATATCACGTGGACATTAAAAGATGTTTATTTTATAGTTCTTAGATTTAGGGTCTGATATGGTTTGGCTCCATCCTCACCCAGATCTCATGTTGAATTGCAATCTCCAGTGTTAGGGGAGGGACCTGTTGGGAGATGACTGGATCATGGAAGTGGATCTCCCCCTTGCTGTTCTCATGATAGTAAGTTCCCATGAGATCTAGTTGTTTGAAAGTGTGTAGTACTTCCCCCTTTGTTCTGTCTCTTCCTCCAGTCATGTGAAAATGACCCCTTTTTGCCTGTGCCTTCCATCATGATTGTAAGTTTCCTAAGGCCTTCTCGGCCATGCTTTCTGTACAGCCTGTGGAACTGTTAGTCAATTAAATCTCTTTTCTCCATAAATTAGCCATGTCTTTATAGAAGTGTGGGAACAGACTAATACAGAAAATTGGTACCAGAAAAGTGGGCATTGCTATAAAGATACCTGAAAACGTGGAAGTAATTTTGGAACTGGGTAATGGGCAGAGGTTGGAACACTTTGGAAGGCTCAGAAGGAAACAGGAAGATGAGGGAAAGTTTGGATCTTCCTAGAGACTTTTTAAATTGTTGTGACCAAAATACTTATAGTGTTATGGACAATGAAGTCCAGGCTGAGATGGTCTCAGAGGGAGATGAGGAACTTATTGGGAACTGGAGTAAAAAGGTTACTCTTGCTGAGCTTTAGCAAAAATACTGGCAGCATTATCCCCCTGTCCTAGAGATCTGTGGAACTTTGAACTTGAGAGATGGTTTAGGATATTTAGTGGAAGAAATTTTAAGCAGCAAAGCATTCAAGACATGGTCTGTCTGCTTCTAACAGCATACATTCATATTCAAGAGCAAAGAGATTATCTGAAACAGGAACTTAAAAGTAAAGCAAAGCTTAAAAGTTTGGAAAATTTAAAGCATGGCCAAGTGATAGAAAAGAAAAACTTATTCTCTGTGAAGGAATTCAAGCAGACTGCAGAAATTTGCAAAAGCAGAGAGTCACCAAATATTAATACCCAAGACAACAGGGAAGATGCCTCAAAGGCATTTTAAATACCTTCATGACAGCCATTCCCATCACAGGCCTGGAGGCCTAGGAGGCAAAAATGGTTTGTGTGCCAGGCCCAGGGCCTCACTGTTCTGTGCATCCTTGGGTTATGGTGCCTGCATCCCAGCCACTCCAGCTCCAGCTGTCACTAAAAGGGGCCAAGATACAGCTCAGGCCACTGCTCCAGAGGGTGCAAGTTTGAGGCAACCAAGGCTTCCACATGGTATTAACCCTATGGGTGCACAGAATTGAGGTTTGGGAGCCTCTTCCTAGATTTCAGAGGATGTGTGGAAACACCTGAATGTCCAGGCAGAAGTCATCTCCAGGGATGGAGCCCTTTTGGAGAACCAGTACTAGGACAGTGTGAAGGGGAAATGTGGGTTTGGAGCCCTCACACAGAGGCACTACCTAATGGAGCTTTGAGAAGAAGGCCACTGACTTTCAGACCCCAGAATGGTAAATCCACCAACAGTTTTCACAGTGTGCCTGGAAAAAGCTATAGGTAATCAATGCCAATCCATGAGAGCAGCCACAGGGGCACAGCTGCCCAAGGCCTTGTGAGCCCACCCCTTGTGTCAGTTTGGCCTGGATGTGAGACATGGAATCAAGGAAGATTTTTTTGGAGCTTTAAGATTTAATGACTGCACTGCTCGGTTTTGGAGTTGCATGGGGCCTGTAGCCTCTTTGTTTTTGTCAATTTCACTCTTTTTGCATGGAAAGTCATGCCCAATGACTGTACCTCAATTATATCTTGAAAATAACAAACTTTTTTTTTTAATTTACAGTCTCAAGGCTCACAGATGGAAATGACTTTCCTTTTCAAAGATGAGACCTTAAACTTTGACTTTTGAGTTAATGCTGTAATAAGTTAAGAATTCAAGAGACTAATAAGAAGGCATAATCATATTTCAAAATGTAAGAAGAACATGAGATTTGGGAGGGTCCAGGGCAAAATAATATGGTTTGGCATTGTGTGCCTACCCAAATCTCAAGTTGAATTGTAATCTCCATTGTTGAGGGAGGGACCTGGTGGGAGATGATTGAATCATGGGGGAGGACTTCTCCCTTGGTGTTCTTATGATAGTGAGTGAGTTCACATGAGATCTACTTGTTTGAAAGTGTTTAGCACTTCCCACGTCTATCTCTTTCTCTCTCTCTCCTGCTGTCCATGTGAAGATGTGCTTGCTTCCCTTTCACCTTCCTCGATGATTGTAAGTTTCCTAAGGCCTCCTCAGCCATGCTTCCTGTATGGCCTGGGGAACTGGGAGTCAATTAAACCTCTTTTCTTCATAAATTAGCCAGTCCCAAGTATGTATTTATAGCAGTGTAATAATGAACTAATACAGGGTCCAAGATATTAATAAAATTAAAATGTTTAAGTACATATAGATAATTTATACTTTTCTGGATTCAGTTATTTTTAAAACTATATTCTAAAATGGGGAGTTTTAACATATGTAAAGGTCACTGTGGACTCGTATTTTTCTCCCAATAGTACTGTTAGCTATCTCTCTGTATTTTGAAGCTTTGCATTCAAAATAAGTATTTGAAGCATACTCATTTTAATGTTATGCTAATTGAAGTAATTTGATTATCATCATTGCAAAATATCTCATTATTTTGGTAATATTCATTTTCTTGACTTCTTTGTTGCTTGAATAAATATCATCACACTATATTTCATTTGCATACTGTATGCATTGGAAGGCTTATCTTGCATTTAGTCTCTACATATCTATATTTAATGTACGCCTTTTATAGAAAGGATATACTTGCCTCTCAGCATTTTTCCCAAGTCTAACAATCTCTAGTTTTTAATTTCAAAGGTTAATCCATTTGTACGTAAGAAAATATTAATGTTATATTGTTTCTAATATTTTCTTAGTTGTTTTTATTTGACTCATTTGTTTTTGAAAAGATCATCTTGTCTAAATTTTCTATTTTTTCTTGGCTCAATCCAATATATATTTTAAATTTTAAATTTTTAAATAATACATAATAGATGTGCAATATTTGAGGTACATATGATAATTTAACACAATCACAAAATTTGCAAGATCAAATCAGTGTAATTGGAACATTCATCATCTTAAATGTTTATATTTTCTTTATGCTGGAAACACTTGAATTTTCCTCTTCTAGCTATTTTGAAATATACAATAATTTATTGGTAACTATATTTACCCTGCTGGTCTACCAAACACTAGTTATTATTTCTTCTGTCAAATTGAATATTTATTTCCATTAATCAGCCTTTCTTCATCTTCTGCCCCCTTGCATTCCTGGCCTCTGATAACCACCTATCTAGTCTATCTTTGAGAGATCAATTTTTTTTTAGCTTTCACATATGAGAAAAAATAATATTTGTCTTTGAATATTGATTGAATATTTCAAATCCTCTCTTCTAGTTTCTGTGAAATACATAATATATTGTTGCTAACTATATATAGTCACTTTAGTCTCCTACTGAACATTAGAATTTACTTTTTCTACTTAACTGTATGTTTCCACTCAATAATGAATCTTTCTTTAATTCCCCCTCCTACACACAAACCATTCTCAACCTGGGGAATCTATCATTCTATCTTTAAACTGCATAAGTTCATTTTTTAAATTTCAGTTGATTTCTAGGGAACAGGTGGTATTTGGTTACATGAATAAGTTTTTCAGTGGTAACTTCTGAAATCTGGGAGCACCAATCACCTGAGCCATGTAAACTGGACCCAAAGTGTGGCCTTTGATTCTTCACCCCACTCTCAGTCATTTCCCCAAGTCCCCAAAGTCCATTGTATTAAATATTTTTGTCCTCATAGTATACCTTCCAGTTATGAGTGAGGACATACGATGTTTGTTTTTCCATTCCCGAGTTACTTCATTTAGAATAATGGTCTCCAATTCCATCCAGGTTACTGCAAATGCCATTATTTCATTATTTTTTATGGCTGAGTAGTATTCCCTGGTATATATACCATAATAAACCACTCTGATTGATGGGGATTGAGGCTGGTTCCATAATTTTGCAATTGTGAATTGTGCTGCTATAAACATGCATGTGCAGGTATATTTTTCATAGAATGACTTCATTTCCTCCAGGTAGTTACCCTGTAGGGGGATTGCTGGATCAAGTGGTAGGTCTACTTTTATTTCTTTAATGAAACTTTATACTGTATTCCATAGTGGATGTACTAGTTTGCATTCCCATGAAGAGTGTAAAGGTGTTCCCTTTTTACCACATCCATGCCAACATCTATTTATTTTTCTATTTTCTTATTTTTATTTATTTTCGAAGATGGAGTCTTGCTCTGTCACCCAGGCTGGAGGGCAGTGGCACAATCTCAGCTCACTGCAACCTCCACATCCTGGGTTCCAGCAATTCTCCTGCCTCAGCCTCCTGAGTAGCTGGAATTACAGGCATTCATCATCATGCCCAGCTATTTTTAGTATTTTTAGTAGAGATGGGGTTTCACCATGTTGGCCAGGCTGGTCTTGAACTCCTAACCTCGTGATCTGCCCGCCTCAGCCTCCAAAAGAATTATGGCCATTCTTACAGGAATAAGGTGGTATTTCATTGTGGTTTTGATTTGCATTTTCCTAGTAATTGATAATGTTGAGCATTTTTTTCATGTTTGTTGGCCATTTGTATATCTTCTTTTAAGAATTGTCTGTGTCTTAATTTGCTTTTTGATGGAATTATTTGTTTTTTACTTGCTGATTTGTTTGAGTTGCTTGTAGATTCTGAATATTGGTTCTTTGTTGGATGTATAGATTAACAAGATATTCTCCCACTCTGCAGGTGGTCTGTTTACTCTGCTGATAATTTCATTATTGCACAGAAGCTTTTTAGTCTAATTAGGACCTGTCTATTTATCTTTGTTTTTGGTTGCATTTTCTTTTTGTTTCTTGGTTATAAAGTCTTGGCCTAAGCCAATGTCTAGAAGGATTTTTCCATTGTTATCTTCTAGGATTTTTTGGTTTAAGGTCTTAGATTTAAGTCTTTGATCCACTTTGAGGTGATTTTTGCATAAGGTACAGATGAGGATCCAGTTTTATTCTTCTACGTGTGGCTTGCCAAATATCCCAGCACAATTTGTTGAATAGGGTGTCCTTTCCCCACTTTATGTTTTTGTTTGCTTTGTTGAAGATCAGATGACTGAAAGTATTTGGTCTTATTTCTGCATTCTCTTTTCTGTTCCATTGGCCTATATGAGTGTTTTTATATCAGAACCATATTGTTTTGGTGACTATGGCCTTATCATATAGTTTGCAGTTGAACAACGTGATGCCTCCAGATTATTTATTTATTTATTTATTTAGTCTTGTTTTGGCTATGCACACTCTTTTTGGGTTCTATCTGAATTCTATAAATTATTTGATTCTCCACTTGGTCACTGTTGGTGTGTAGCAGAGCTACTAATTTGTGCACATTAATTTTGTATCCTGAAGTTTGCTGAATTCATTTATCAGTTCTAGTAGCTTTTTGAATAGGCCTTTTGGGTTTCCTAGGTATACAATTATGACATCATCAAACAGTGAAATTTTGACTTCTTTACCAGTTTGGATGTCCTATGTTTCTTTATCTTGTCTGATTGCTATGGATAGGACTTCAAGTATTATGTTGAATAGAAGTGGTGAAAGTGGGCATCCTTGTCTTTTTCCAGTTCTCAGGGGGAATGATTATAACTTTTTTCCTATTCAGTATAATGTTGGCTGTGGGTTTGTCATAGAATGTTTTTATTACCTTAAGCTATGTCCCTTCTATGCCAATATTGCTGAGGGTTTTAATAGAAAGGAATGCTGTATTTTGTCAAATGCTTTTTCTGCATCTATTGAGATGATCACGTAATTTTTGTTTTTAATTCTGTTTATGTGGCATATCACATTTATTGACTTGCAGATATGAATCCATCCTTGCATCCCTGATATGAAACCCACCTGAGCATGGTGGCTTAGCATTTTATTATGCTGTTAAATTTGGTTAACTAGTATTTTGTTAAAATTTTTGCATCTATGTTCATCAGAGATATTGGTCTGTATTTTTCTTGTTTTGTTTTTCTCTGGTTTTTCTCTTGTTTTTCTCTGGTTTAATCTAGAAGGGTTGTATATTTCCAGGAATTTATCTATCTCCTCTAGGTTTTCTAGTTTATGCACATAAAGGTGTTTATGGTAGGCTTGAATGCTCTTTTGTATTTCTGTGGTATCACTTATAATATCTCCTGTTTTATTTCTAATTGAGTTTATTTGGATCTTCTCTCTTCTTGGTTAATCTTGCTAATGGTCTATCAATTTTATTTATCTTTTCAAAAAACTAACTTTTCATTTCATTTATCTTTTGTATTTTTTTGTTTTAATTTTATATATTTCTGCTCTGATCTTGGTTATTTCTTTTCTTCTGTTGGGTTTCGTTTTGGTTTGTTCTTGTTTCTCTAGATCCTTGAGATGTGACCTTAGATTGTCTATTTTTGCTCTGTCAGACTTTTTGATGTAGGTATTTAATGCTATAAACTTTTTGCTTAGCACCACATTTGCTGTATCCCAGAGGTTTTGATAGATTGTATCACTATTATCTTTCAGTTCAAATAACTTTTAATTTCCACCTTGATTTTATTGTTCACCCAAAAATCAATAAGAAGCAAGTTATTTAATTTTCATGTATTTGTATGATTTTAAGGGTTGTTTTTGAATTTGATTTCCAATTTTATTCCACTGTAGTCTGAGAGAGTAGTTGTTATAAATTCAATTTTCTTAAATTAGTTGAGACTGTTTTGTGGCCTATCATATGATCTTTCTTGGAGAATATTCAATATGCTGATGAAAAGAATGTCAAGCCAGGTGTTGCGGCTCACACCTATAATCCCAGCACTTTGGGAGGCCGAGGTGGGCTGATCACCTGAGATCAGGAGTTCGAGACCAGCCTGGCCAACATGATGAAACCCCATCTCTACTAAAAGTACAAAAATTAGCTGGTCGTGCTGGCACACACCTGTATTCCTAGCTACTTGGGTGGCAGAGCCAGGAGAATCACTAGAACCCAGGAGGTGGAGGTTGCAGTGAGCTGAGATCATGTCATTGCATCATTGCACTCCAGCCTGGGCAATAGAGTGAGACTTGGAAAAAAAAAAAAAAAAAGAACATATACTCTGCAGTTGTTGAGTAGAATGTTCTGTAAATAACTATTAAGTACATTTGTTCTAGGGCATAGTTTATGTCCACCGTTCATTTGTTGACTTTCTGTCTTGATGACCTGTCTAATACTGTCAGTGAAATATTGAAGAGCCCCACTATTATAGTGTTGCTGTCTATGTTATTTCTTAGGTCTAGTAGTAGTTGTTTTAAAAATATGGAAGCTCTAGTGTTAGGTGCATATATATTTAGTATTGTGATATCTTTCTGTTGAACTAGTCCTTTTATCATCACAGTTCCTCTTTGTCTTTTTTGACTGCTGCTGTTTTAAAGTCTGTCTTGTCTGACATAAGAAAGCTACTCCTGTTTGTTTTTTGGTTTCCATTTACATTGGATATCTTTTTAACCCCTTCACCTTAAGTTTATGTGAGTCCTTATGTGTGAGGTGAGTCTCTTGAAGATAGCAGATATTTGGTTGGTGAATTCTTATCCATTCTGCTGTTCTGTATCTTTTAAGTGGAGCATTTTAGCCATTTACATTCAACATTAGTATTGAGATGTGAGGTACTATTCTATTCATTATGCTATTTGTTGTCTGAAAAACTTAGGTTTTTATCATTGTGTTTTTTATAAGTCCTGTGAGATTTTTAATTTAATGAGTTCTATTTAGATGTATTTTGAGAAATTGTTTCAAGATTTAGAGCTCCTTTTAGAAGTTCTTGTAGTTCTGGTTTGGTAGTGGCAAATTTGCTCAACATTTGTTTGTCTGAAAAAAAACTGTATCTTTTCTTAATTTATAATGCTTAGTTTTGCTGGATACAAAATTCTTGTCTGGTAATTGTTCTGTTTAAGGAGGTTAACATAGGACTCCAATCCTTTCTAGCTTGTAGGGTTTCTGCCAGGAAATCTGCTGTTAATCTGATAGATTTTCCTTTATAGTTTACCTGAGGCTTTTGCCTCACAACTCTTAAGATTTTCAAAATTTTTCTTAACTTTAGATAACCTGATGACTATGTGCTTTGGTGATGACCTTTTTGTGATGAATTGACCTGGTGTTCTTTTACCTTCTTGTATTTGGATGTCTAGATCTCTGGCAAGGTTAAGGAAGTTTTCCTCAATTATTCCCTCAAATATATTTTCCAAACTTATAGATTTTTTCTTCCTTAGGAATACCAATTATTCTTAGGTTTGGTTGTTTGACCTTATCCAAAACTTCTTTGAGTCTTCGTTATTTTTTTTTAATCTTTGTAGGATTGAGTTAATTAAAGAGCCTTGTCTTCAAGCTCTGAAATGCTTTCTTCTACTTGTTCTCTTCTATTGCTGAGCGTTTCCAGTACATTCTGCAATTCTCTAAGTGTGTCCTTCATTTCTGGTAGTTGTGATGGTTTTCTATTTATGCTATCTATTTTACTGCAGAATTTTCCATTCATATTTTGTATCTTTTTTATTGATTTCTTAACATTGGACTCCACTTTTCTATGGTGCCTCCTTGATTAGCTTAATAGTTGACCTTCTGAATTATTTTCTCTGGCAATTCAGACATTTCTTCTTGGTTTGAATTCATTGCTGGTGAGCTAGTATGATCTTTTAGGGGGTGTTGAAGAATTTTGTTTTGTCATATTACCAGAATTGTTTTTCTTCTTCACTCTTATTTGGGTAGACTATGTCAGAGAGATGTTCTGGGCCTCAAGCGCTGCTGTTCAAATTCTTTTGTCCCACAGGGTGCTCCTTTGATATGGTACTCTCCCCTTTCCCCTAAGGATGGGCCTTCCTGAGGACTCAACTACAGTGGTTGTTATTTCCCTTCTGGATCTAGCCACTCAGCAGAGTTACCACACTCGGGGTTGGTACTGGGGAATGTCTGCAAAGAGTTCTGTGAAGTGACCTGTCTTCAGGTCTCTCAGCTGTGGATACCAGCACCTGCTCTGGTGGAGGTAACAGAGGAGTGAAGTGGATTCTGTGAGAGTCTTTTGTTGCATTTTTGTTAAGCGCACTAGTTTTGTGTTTTTTGCATTTTGAAGCAGGAGGTTGTGCTTTCAAGAGCACATCCGCTATGGTAGATTAGGGGGAATCAGGTGGTGGGCAGGGTCATAGAGCTCCCAAGAGATTATGTTTTTTTTTTCTTCTGCTACCAGGATGGGTAGAGAAAGACCATCAGGTGGGGTCAGGCTTAGGCATGTCTGTGTTCAAGACTCTCCTTCCATGGGGCTTGCTGTGGCTGCCATGGGGGATGGGGTGTGGTTCCCAGACCAAGGGAGTTATATTCCCAGAGGGATTATGGCTGTCTCTGCTGCACCACACAGGTCCCCAGGGAAGTGGGGAAAAGCTGGCAGCCACAGTCCTCACAGTCCTCACCTAGCTCCCATGCAGCCCACAGCCCAGTAGGCTGGTCTCACTCCCACTGTGTTCCCAAAACAGCACCGAGTTTACTTCCAGGCAGCTGGTGAGCAGGGTTGAGAACTGTCCCCAGCTGAGAAAGCAAGCAGACTCACAGTTCCTCACCTGTCCCACAGAACCACAGAACCAACAGCAACCCACCTCCTTCTGAGGGTCTGTGGATTCTCTTGACTTTCCTGGTATGTTCCTGCAGTAGTTCTTGGAGCAAAATTTGTTCAAGATATGGGTTTCCACACACTGGTTTGTCCATCCGAGTGGATGCTGCAAGTTAGTCCTGCTTCCTGTCTGCCATTTTCCCTGAATCGATTCCATAAGTTTATTTTTTAAATTTAGCTCCTATGTATGAGTAAGAGCATGCAATATGTGTCATTCTATGACTGGCTTATTTTTTGCTATTGAGTTGTTTGAGGGCTTTATATATTCTGGTTATTAATCTCTGGTCAGACAGATACTTTGTAAATATTTTCTTTCATTTTGTTGGTTGTCTTTTCACTATGTTGTTTTCTTTGCTATGCAGAAGCTTTTATCTTTATGCAATTCCACTTGTTTATTTTTACTTTGGTTACTAGTGCTTTTAAAGTTTTTCACAAAAAAAATTTGCTCAGACCAATGTCCTGAAGCAGATCTACAATGTTTTCTTTTAGTAGTTTTATAGTTTCAGGCATTATATTTTAGTCTTTAATGTACTTTTATTTGATTTTTGCATTTGGTGAGAAATAGGGGCCTAGTTTCATTCTTTGGCATATAGATATCCAGCTTTCTCAGCACCATTTTTTTGGAGGTACTATCTTTCCCTTATTGAATATACTTAGTGTTTTGTTGAAAAAGAATTGGCTCTAGATGTGTGAATTTATATTTGGGTTTTGTATTCTATTCCATTGGTCTATATGGAATTTTTTTATGTCAGTATCATGTTGATTTGTTTACAATAACATTGTAGTATATTTTGATGTCAGCTAGTGTGATGCTTCCAACTGTGTTCCTTTTGTTCAGGATTGCTTTTGCTATTTAAGATCTTTCGTAGTTCTGTATAAATTTTAGGAGATTTTTCCATTCATAAGAGGAATGCCATTCGTGTTTTGATAGGGGTTGCATTGTGTCTGTAAATTGCTTTGGGTAACATTGTCATTTAAACAATATTAATTATTCCAGTCCTTGAGCCTGGAATATATTTCCATTTTTTGGTGTGTCCCCTTCAATTTATCAGTGTTTTATAGTTTTCCTTCTAGAGATCCTTCGCTTCTTAGGTTAAAATGATTCCTAGGTATTTTATATTCTTTGTAACTATTATACATGGATGATTTATTGATTTCTCTTTCAGATTGTTCACCGTTGGCATATAGAAATGCTACTGATTTTTGTATGTCGATCTTGTTTTCTGAAGCTTTACTGAATTTGCTTACTGGCTCTAACAGCTTTTTGGTGGAGTGGTCAGGTTTTCTAAGTATGTGATTATGTCATCTCATCTGAGAAGTAGGCTGATTTGACTATGTCCTTTCCAGTTTTGATGTCCTTTATATCTTTGTTCTATTGCCTAATTGCTCGAGCCAAGACTCTCAGCATTATGTTGAATAAAAGTGGGGAAAGTGGATAACCTTGCCTTGTTACAGATCTTAGAGAAAAGCATTTCATGTTTTCTGCTTTCCTTATGAAGTTAACAATGGGTTTGTCATATATTGCCTTTTTTATCCTGAGCTATGCTCTTCTATAACCAATTTGTTGAGTCTTTTTATTATAAAGTAATATTAAATTTTATTTCATACATTTTCAGCATTTTTTGAAATGATTATATAGCTTTTATTTTTGATTCTGCTAATGTGATGTATCGTGTTTATTGATTTGCATACGCTGAATAAATCTGGCATCCCTGGATGGATCCCACTTGTTCATGACCTTTTAAATGTGGTGTTGAATTCAGTTTGCTAGCATTTTGTTGAGGATTTTTGTATCTATGTTCATCACTGATACTAGCTGGCTGGTAGTTTTCTTTTTTTTTGGTTGTGTCCTCTTATTTTTTATCAGTGTAATGGTGGCCTCATACAATGATTTTGGAAGTATTACCTCGACTTCAATTTTTTGGAATAACTCTAGTAGGATTAGTATTAGTTCTTTAAGTGTTTGGTAGAATTCAGCAGTGAAGCCACCAGTTCCTAGGCTTTTCTTAGATGGGAGTCTTATTAGAGCTCCCTAATTAGATCAGAGGAGCTCATTACTTGTTTTTTGGTTTGTTAAGGTTTTCTATTTCTTCATGGTTCAATCTTGGTAGGCTGTGTGAGTCCAGAAATTTATCCATTTCTTCTAGGTTTTCCAATTTGTTAGAGATAGTTGCTCACAATAGTCTCTAATGATTCTTTGTATTTCTGTGGTCTCATTTATTATGTCTTCTGTTTTGTCTCCGATTATGTTTAGTTGAGTCCACTTTCTTTTTTCCTTAGTCTACATGACACTTTATGGATTTTTATTTATCTTTTCAAAACCCAACTTTTTGTTTGTTAATAGTCTATAACTACTTTAGTCTCAATTTCATTTACTTATACTTTGATTTTATTATTTCTTTCCTTATGCAAATCTTGTAATTGATTTGTTTTTGGTTTTCTAGTTCCTTGATTATATTGTTTGGAATTTTATTTGAACTCTTCCTAATTTTTTTCCTTTTAATATTGATTTTGCTCTGTACCAGATATTAGTGTGTTGTAGTTCTATTTTCATCTGTTTCTAGAAATTTTTTAGTTTCCTTTTTAATTTCTTCATTGACCCACTGGTCTTTCAGAATTACATTGTTTAATTTTATTGTGTTTTGTATATCTTCTGAGTTTTCATTTTTTTATTGATATCTAGTTTTATTCCCTTGTGATCAGAAAAGGTACTTAATATCATTTTCAGTTTTTTGAAAATTTGTTGAGACATCTCTTGTGGCCTAAAATGTGGTCTATTCTAGACAATGTTCCCTTTGGTAATTGGAATAATATGCATTCCACAGCAGCCGTATGAAATGTCCTATAAACATTCATTAGACCTATTTGGTCTACTATGTAGTTTAAATCCAATGTTTCTTAATTAATTATCTGTCTGGATTATCCGTCTATTAATGACAGTGGTGTGTTGAAGTCCCCTACTATAATTGTATTGATATATATCTCTCATTTTAGATCTATTACTGTTGGCTTTATATACATGGGTGCTCCTGTGGTAGATGGATAAATATTTATAATTTTTATATTCTCTTGCTGAATTGACTTTTTTATTATTATATAGTGACATTCTTTGTCTCTTTTAATAGTCTTTGACTTGTATTCTATTTTATCTGATATCAGTAAAGCTATCCTTCCTCTTTTTTGGATTCTACTTGCATGGTATATTATTTTTCACCCTTTTACTTTTAGTATGTATATGTCCTTGTAGGAGAAGTAGTTTTCTTGTAGGCAGCATATAATTGGGTATTGTTTCTTTATCCACTCAGAATTCTACGACTTTTAATTAGAGAATTGAATTTACTAACATTCTGTGTTAATATTGATAAGTAAGAACTTACTACTAATATTTTATGGTGTGTTTTCTGAATGTTTTGTAACTCTTCCCTTACTTATTTTTTTTTCTTCCTGTCTTCCTTTGTGGTTAAACAAATTTCCTTGGTAGTATATTTTAATTTATTGCTTTTATTTTTAATGAATCTATTATGGGTTTTTGAATTGTGGTTATCATGAGGCTTATAGAAAATAATTTTAGATATTACATATTATTTTAAACAGATACCATCTAAGATGAATACTGGAAGTAGTGTTAGCATGCATCTCCTACTTGGAAAGACAAAATAGTGTGTAGAGGTCCATATTGCAAACTCTTTTCCAAGAAGCAATGCAGAAACTTAACAGGAAACCACAGACCCTTAGAAAAAAGCATCAGGCTTCTGCCTACACTATGAGCCAGGCAGAAACTTTTAAGTCCCCAGAGTGTGAGAAGGGGAGAAATTGCCCCTAGAATATACATTCCACTGGATGATTTGGCAATCCAGGTCACAAGAGGTCTAACCATACCCAGTGCAGGAAGAGATTTACAGAGCAGTGGGCTTATAAAAGGAGCGGCAGTGGGAAGAGCCTTGCCATCATCCCCAGTATCTAGCACAAACCTAGGGAAGCTGTTTCTGATTTTGCATTACAGGGAAACTCATAGAAGTCTGCCGGCTAACTCAGGCAGCGGTTTCAAGATGAGTGAAGCTTCCAACTGAAATATGTAATATAGTTCAAGTGGGGAAAAATTATCTTGTCCAGAACCACGGTCAAGTGGGAAGTCTGCTGTAGCCACAAGTGTAAGAGCTAGGCACCCTGGTTTTGTGGGCAGACTGAGAGGAAAGCCACATTGTTGTCTCCATCAGGAAGTCTTATGGCCTGGGGCAGATTTGAGTTCTGAGCCCAGACTGCCTGGAAGATACTGAGCTGCAGCTTATGAGACACTGCATGTGTGGGACCAGCCTTGCCAAGTGTGTGGAAGTCAGGTGGGTCTTCCTGCTGTCTGTTACTACCCACTTCCTTTGCAAACTCTTCTGTGCAGAAGAGGCAGCTTTGTTCCTCCATGTAACGTTACCTCAGTGGGCAAAAAACCACTCCCCAAATCTCACATGTGCTGCTGCTTGCCCCACATGTGGAGAGACAGAGTGTGGACCTACCTGACACAGCCCCCACTTGATTTTGCCCCTCCACTTGCCCTAGTAGCTTAAGACAATGGAGAGAATATTTTGGAAGCTCTATGGCCCCACCCAATTGCCTGAGAAAGGAAAGTACCTCCCTAGGTAGCATAAGGCAAGCACTAATCCCACCACTACTACCACAGCTGGCACTTTTTTTGCTAGTGCTACTTCCTGGCTGGAGGCCAACAGACACAGTCCATTATAGCATCTCCAGGTAGAATAACACTGCACCCAAGAAGGAGAAAACTTGTTTGTGACCTCAGCCATCACTATTGCCTGTAGCATCCTGGCTAACAAGGAGGTCCTGAGTCTATCCACAAGACCAGTTTACTACTACTAAAACCAACATTTGACAAAGCCAGCACAATAAGGTTATTTACTACCAAGGAATTTCTCAAAATCTACGTCACTCTCCTGTCACCCACATCAGAACTGGCACCTGCTGCTGGGAGTCTTGAGGACAGGTCACATCACTGGATCTCTTGCAGGCATTCCCTAGCACCAGCCTGGAGTGTGGCAGTCCCACTGGTAGTTGCCAGTGGGACTCAGAGGAGCGGCAGCATTCACAATAATCTGACTCTCAGGCACTCTTACTCCTAGAGGAAGGGGGAGTGCACTGCATCAAAGGACTGCCCCATGAGACAAAGATCTGGACGGCAGGCCTTGAGTTCAAGGACTTTCTTCTGGTGGGAAGTTTCCTTCAGAAGAGTCACAAGTGCTATGCTGGGCTCAGTAGAGAAAGTCTGCAGTTCTACCCCAATCATCAGGCAGCCCTAGGGCTCATGAAGGGTCTTGGGGGAGGGAAGTACTTTTCCCCCTTGTCCATCACTGCAGGCACAGCTTGGGCTTCTCCCATGGGAGCTTGGTGTGGGTGCAATTATAGGGAGCCTTTCTGGAACATTTCAGGGTGACTACATCCCCACAGGAGGAATGCCCTCCAGGTTCAACTTTTCAGAGGGGTAGAGTCACAATTCCTCTCTACTTTGAATATCAACATTCTTGCAGATGAAAAGAGGTGCCTGTTTGATCTGAATAGCCAGGACACTTGGTTAGGAGTATGTCTGGGAGGTGTATCACTTTCATGCTGGCCTGGCGTAGGAGCTAGGTGGCTCCTACCCTTCCCCCTAACAAGACCTCAGTGCATTTCATTGAGTGTTCCTCTAACAACTTCTGTCAAGGCTGGGACCTCTACACAACATGAGGTATTGCATTTACCCACCTATTTTAGCCACACCAGCTTCTACCCAGGGACACTTTCCCTTCAGACCTGAATCCTGAACTATTCAACACAGTAAAATAAAATACGGAAAAAAATACATATAAAAAAGTACACACCATAGGGGAATGATATAAGCTTCAAGAGATCTCTTCCATTCCAACCCCATAGAAGAGAGTGAACTTGTTCACACACCAAACACAATGCTACTACAACCAGCACTTGAGAAAGCCATCATACAAAGACTATATAACAAAGGAATCCATGCAGATGCTTCACCCCTGAAAGCACCAAGAGTTGATATAGGTTACAATAATCTATAAATATTAGTCACATCCTTAAGGAAGAAGAAAAGAAGTTTAAAAATAAAACACAGTTAAATAAAAAAATAAATTCAAGAATAATTAGAATAGTCTACTCAAATGAGAAAAAAAAACAGGAAAATAACTCTGGCAATAGGACAAAACAGGATTCTATAACATCTCCAAAATATCACAACAGCTCTCCAACAATAGATCCAAATGAAAATAAAATATTTGAAATACAAGATAATGAATTCAAAAGGATAATTATTAACCTACTCAAGGAGATACCAGAGAAAGATAAAAATAAACTTAAAGATATATAAAAACAATTCAAGATATGAATTAAAATTTTCTAAAGAGCTGGCTATTTTAAAGAAAAATCAATTAGAACTTCTGGAATTGAAAGACACATTTATGGAATTTAAAAATATAGTGGAAAGTTTTAACAATAGTCTAGACCAAGTAGAACAAAGAATTTCAGAACTCAAAGACAAGGCTTTTAAAATAACCCAATCAGACAAAAATAAAGAAAATAAAATCAAAAGAAATGAAAAAAATGTCTCCAAGAAATATGGGATTATGTAAAATGGCCAAACCTAAGAATAATTGGATTTCCTGAGGAAAAAGAGAAAGCAAAAATTTGGAAAACTTATCTAAGAGAATAATGGATGAAACGTCCCTGGCCTTGCTAGAGATTTAGATACCCACATACAAGAAGCAGAAAGAACTCCTGGGAGATTTATTGCAAAAAGAACATCACAAAGCCCTGTAGTCATCAGGCTATCTAAAGTCAACATGAAGGAAATAATTCTAAGAGCTGTGGGGCAAAAGTATCAGGTAATCTATAAAGGACAAATCTCTCAGACTAACACCAGACTTCTCAGAAGAAACTTTACAAGCCAGAAGGGATTATGTGTAGCCTCCTTAAACAGTATAACTATTAGCCAAAAATTTTCATCCAGCAAAATTAACTTTCATAAATGATAGAGAAATATACTTAGTTTTGGACAAACAAATGCTGAGGGACTTTGTTACTACAAGACCAGCCCTATAAGAAATACTAAAAGGAGTTCTAAATCTTGAAACAAAGGATGGTATGCACCAGCAGAGAACCTCTTGAAAGCATAAAACAGTGCTTATAAAACAATAACACAATGAAGCAAGCAAAGTGTCTAGGTAACAATTAACATGATGATTGAAACAGGGCCTCACATTTCAATATTAACATTGAACACAAGTGGCTTGAATGCTCCATTTAGAAGACACAGAATGGCAGAATGGATAAAAAACATCACAAACCAAATATCTTCTGTCCTCATGAGACTCACCTAAAATATAAGGATTCATATTAACTCAAGGTAATAGGGTGAAACAAAGCTATTTCATGTAAATGAAAATCAAGAGCATGTAGAAGTAGCTATTCTTAAATGAGCTAAAACAGACTTTAAAACAACAAGTTTTTTTTAAAGAAAAAAGTCTTTATATCACGATAAAATGATCAATCAAACAAGACTATACTATAATCCTAAATGTATATGCACCTAACACTGGATCTTTCAGATTGATAAAACAAATACCACTCGACCTATGAAATGATATAGACAGGAACACAATAATAGTGGGGAATTTCACCACTCCCTGATGGCTTTAGACAGATCCTCAAGACAGAAAGTCAATGAAGAAACAATGGATGCAAACTACACTATAGAACAAATGGGCCTAACAGATATAAACAGAATATTCCACCCAAGTACTGCAGAATATACATTTTTCTCATCAGCACGTGGAACATTCTCTAAGATAGACCATATGATAGGTCATGAAATGCGCCTTAATGAATTTTTAAAAATTGAAATCATATCAAGTATCTTCTCAGACCACAGTGGAATAAAACTAGAAATCAACTGCAAAAGGAACTATCAAAACTATTCAAACACAAAGAAATTAAACACTCTGTTCCTGAATGATTTTGGGGTAAGCAATTAAATCAAGATAGAGATTTAAAAATATCTTGAAATAAATGATAATAATGACAAAAGTTATCAAAACTTCTGGGATACAGTAGAAGCAGTACTAAGAAGAGAGCTTACAGTGCTAAATGCCTGCATCAAAAACTGAAAGATAACAAATTGACAAATTAACATCACACCTCAAAGAACTAAAGAAAGAAGAACAAACAAAACTCAAAGCTAGCATAAGAAAATAAATAACAAAGATCAAAGCAGAATGAAATGAAATTGAAAAGTTAACAAAAAATACAAAAGAAAAATAAAACAAAAAGTTGATTTTTTGAAAAGATAAACAAAAATTGATAGATAATTAGCTAGATCTATCAAGAAAATAAGAGAGAAGATTCAAATAAACTCACTTAGAAATGAAAATGAAGACCTTACAACTGGCACCACAGAGATACAAAAGATAATTTGGGACTACTACGAGCATCTCTTTGCAGACAAACTGGAAAACTTAGAGGAAATAAATAAATTTCGGGAAACATACAACCCTCCTAGATTAAATCAGGAAGAAATAGAAACCATGAACAGACCAATAACAAGCAGTGAAATTGAATCAGTAGTAAAAAAAAATAAAAAATGCCAACATCACAAAAAGCCCAGGGCCGGATAAATTCACAGCTGAATTTCAGCACACACTGAAAGAAGAATTGGTACCAATTCTACTGAAACTATTCCAGAAAATTGAGAAAGGAAGTCCTCCCTAACTCATTCTATGAAGCCAGGTATGACCCTGATACCAAAATCAGGAAAGGATATAACAACAACAACAAAAAGCTGCAGACCAATATCTTTGATGAATATAGACGCAAAAATCCTCAACAAAACTCTGGCTAACAGAATCCAACAGAGGATCAAACAGATAATACATCATGTTCAGTTGGGTTTTGTCTCTGGGATACAGAGAAGGCTTTATACACACAAGTCAATAAATATGATACATGACATAAACTGAATTTAAAACAAAATCTATATGATCATATCAGTAGATGTAGAAAAAGCATTTAATTAAATTCAGCATCCCTTTGTGATAAAAACCCTCAACAAATTAGGCATACAAGGGACATATCTCAAAATAATATAAGCTAGGCCGGGCGCGGTGGCTGACACCTGTAATCCCAGCACTTTGGGAGGCTGAGGTGGGCAGATCATGAGGTCAGAAGACAGAGACCATCCTGGCTAACACAGTGAAACTCCGTCTCTACTAAAAATACAAAAAATTAGCCGGGAGTGGTAGTGGGCGCCTGTAGTCCCAGCTACTCCACAGGCTGAGGCAGGAGAATGGCCTGAACACGGGAAGCGGAGCTTTCAGTGACCGGAGATTAAGCCACTGCACTCCAGCCTGGGCGACAAAGCGAGACTCCGTCTCAATAATAATAATAATAATAATAATAATAATAATAATAATAATATAAGCTATGTATGACAAACCCACAACCAACATTATACTGAACGAGGAAAAGTTGAATGCATTCCCCCTTATAAGCTATGTATGACAAACCCACAACCAACATTATACTGAACGAGGAAAAGTTGAATGCATTCCCCCTTAGAATAGGAACAATTCAAGGATGCCCACTTTCATCACTTTTATTCAACCTAGTACTGGAAGTCTTAGCCGTATCAATCAAGTAAGAGAAAGAAATAAAGGGCATTTAAACTGAAAAAGAGGAAGACGAAATATCACTGGTCACCAATATTATTACTAGTTCTGCTATTCACCAACAATGACCAAGCTGAGAATCAAACAAGAACAGAATCTCTTTTACAATATCTGCAAAAAAAAAAAAAAAATGAAATACTTTGGAATATAATTAAAGAGGTAAAAGGTCTCTACAAGGATACCTACAAAACACTGCAGAGGAAGGAAATCATAGATGACATGAAAAAATGAAAGCACATCCCAGGCTTATGGATTGGAAGAATCAATATCTCAAAAATGATCATATTTCTCAAAGCAATCCACAGATTCAATGCAATTCCTATCAAAATACCAACATCATTTTTCACAGAATTAGAAAAAATATTTCTAAAATTTGTATGGAACCAAAAACAATTCTGAATATTCAAAGCCATCCTAAGGAAAAAAAAATCTGAAGACATCACATTATCCAACATCAAATTATACTAAAAGGCTATAGTAACCAAAAAAGCATGATACTGGTATAAAAGTAGACATATCTACCAGTGGAACAGAATAGAGAACCCAGAAACAATGCCAAATGCATCCAACTGATTTTTGACAAATATACAGAAACATAAATTAGAGAAAGGACACCCTATTTAATAAATTGTGCTGGGGAAATCAGATAGTGACATGTAGAAAAATGAAACTATATATTTATCTCTCACGTTATACAAAAATCAACTCAAGATGGATCAAAGACTTAAATCTAAGACCTGAAATCATAACAATTCTAGAAGAAAACCTAGAAAAAGTTCTCCTGGGAATTGGCCAAGGTAAAAAATTTATGACTAAAACCCCAAAAGCGAATGTATAAAAAATAAATAAATGAGACCTAATTAAACTAATAAGCTTCTGTTCAGCAAAAGAAATAATCATCAGAGTACACAGAAACCCCATAGAATGAGAGAAAATATTTGCAAACTATGCATCTGACAAAGGACTAATATCCAGAAACTACAAGCAACTCAAACAATCAGCAAGAACAAAAACAAGTAATTCCATCAAAAAGTAGGCAAATGCCATGAATAGACATTTCTCCTAAAAAGAAATACAAATGGCCACCAAACATATGAAAGAGTGCTCAAAATCAGTAATCATCTGGGAAATGCAAATTAAAACTGCAATAAGATACTACCTTACCTTTACAAGAATGGCCATTATTAAAAAGTCAAAAAACAATAGATGTTGGCATGAAAGTGGTGAAAAGGAAACACTTATACACTGCTGGTGGGAAAGTAAATTAGTACAACCTCTATGGAAAACAGTACTGAGATGTCCTAAAGAACTAAAAGTAGATCTATTATTTGGTCCAGCAATCTCACTACTGGGTATCTACCAAAAGGGAAAGTTATATGAAAAAGACATCTGCACATGCACATGTAATTTTTGACAAAATTCATAATTGTAAAGATATGAAACCAACCTAAGTGCCTATTGGCCAATAAGTGGATAAAGGAAATATGGTATATATACACTATGGCATACTACTCAACCATAGAAAATAACAAAATAATTTCTTTTGTAGCAACTGGGATGTAGCTGGGGGCCATTTTCTAAGTGAAGTAATTGAGTAATGGAAATCAAATATTGTATGTTCTCACTTATAATGGGGGCTAAGCTATGGGTATACAAAGGCACACAGAGTGATATAATGAACTTTGGAAACTCAGAAGGGAGAGGGTGAAGTGGGGTAAGGGATTAAAAAACTATATATTGTGTACAATGTGCACTTCTCAGGGTGCACTAAAATCTCAGACTTCATCACTATACAATTCATCTATGTAACCAAAAAACACTTGTACCCACAAAGCTATAAATATGTTTTTAAAGTTTCTAAAGAGATGACATCTTTTCTGAGATAACACAGATAAGAATACAAAAACAATAAAAATACCCTCTAAACATTATCTTCATTCCCCTCACATTTTGACTTTATTTTGCCTCAATTTACATATTTTATATTGTCTATCTCTGAATAGGTTAATATTAAATATTATTATTTGTAATAGATTTGTCTTTTGAACTTCATACTACAGTTATAAATGGATTGCACATCATAATTATGGTATTAGACTATTCTGGGTTTGTCCATGTACTTAATTTTACCAATGTGTTTTATACCTTCAAATATTTTTGCCTATTAGTATTTTTGTTTGTTTTATTCACGTAGAAACCATAAATTGATGGAAAATTTTTGCACACTTTGTGTAAAGAAGAGTCAGGGAAGCATCATTGCAAATCTGGAAGTTTCGTTCTCTCTTACCATCTGCTCAGAGTTTTGTTTTGTTTTCTTTGTTTGTTAGTTTGGTTGGTTGGTTTTTAACTTCTCTGTAGCCCCAGGAACCATATTTGGCTTCTGAAATATTACTGGTGATAGTGTCTGTGATGTATATTTGCCTTTGGTTTTCTGTGGGAGGGACTGAAGCCAACCTGCTTCTCTGCTACCATTTTGGAACCAGAAGTCAATGATGTATGTTTTTAATTTATGTCTTGATTTTGAACTAACAGAAAGATTATCTATCTATCTATCACCTATCTATCTATGCATCTATCTATCATCTATCTATCTATCTATCTATCTATCTATCTATCTACCTACCTATCTTTCTATCTGTATATCTTTTATATATACTGACATATTACTACTTAATATGTTCTTTTTCTCCGGTCAATTCAAGTTTTCGTTTATGTTGATTCCCTTCAGCATGATAATTTTCCTTTATTATGTCCAATAGTATAGGTTTACAGTTAGTAAATTATCTCAAATTTAATTAATAAAATTGACATTATTTTATATTGATTATCTAAAGGGATTTTATGTTGACATGAAATTATGTGTGGGTAATGTATTTTATTACTTTATAGAGTTAAAAAAATATATTATTTCATTTTCTTCCAACCTCCACTGTTTCTAATGAGAAGTCAACCATAATTTTTGTTGTTTTTATCTTCTATGTAAAATGTCATTTAAAAAATTTGACTGCTCCTAAAATGCCTTTTTCATGTTTTATGTTCAGTCATTTGGAGGGCTTTAGGAGTTTTCTGTGTATTCATTTAATTCGTAAGTTTATATTTTACAACATATTTTGGAAATTTTTGGCCACTATATTTTCAAATGTTTTTCTGCTCATTTTCTTTTTTTTTTCTGTTTTTTGGGCTTTTAAGTACATGTATAATAGATAACATTTTCTTGAAGGTCATTAATAGTCTATTCATTTTTTTAAATGAAATGAATTATAAATGAAAGTATAGTTTGTTTTACACCAGCACTCATTCAAGGTAAATAGAATATGTATACAAAATAATTTTAAATTTGTATAAAGAGATTGGTAATCAAAGGAAGCAGTAAGGGTTTATGATGAAGGTAAAAGCAAATAAATAAGAGAAGCTTAAAGAAGTGGGCACATTTTTTTTTTGTCTTTTTTCCCCAACAAATGTGTGACTATTTGACAATAGCATGAGAGTTGCTGAAATAGACAGCATAGCTCTCGGTATTCACATGAGGCTGGCAAGGGTGAAAAAGTTGGACTTCAATCTCCAGTAAGAAACAAGAGACCTAACTAGCATTTTCGGCTTTCATTTGGGCCTCAGCAGGAGTAATCTTGTAAAAGTTATACTTGAAATATCCAGTCTTCACAGTGAGATTAATCACAGATTCAGGTGGATACAACACCTTTACAACAACAATTTTCTTAAAGCAAAAGTGTATTACTAGAGTAAATTAACATCATTAAGTCCCTCAAAATTTCCTGTCATGTTTCTAAACTCAGTGCCTAACATTTGTATAAAAGTAACAAAGGCATCAGAAGCAGGAGGAAAAAAAAATTGACCTACAGTAGTTTGCTGACCAAGAGTTTGAAAGATGTATGATTACAAATGTAAAGAAAAAATAAAGCAAAAGGAAAAATAATGAGAATAAAATAATAACAGATCTTACGAACCCAAATGCCCACTTTGTACAAAATTGGGAAGATAGGCTGGTATCTGCTTTAAAACATAAAGTGCCTTTTTTGGAAACATCACTTTCCCAATTCTACACAATTTTTCATCTTCACTGCCAATTATGCAATAAAAAATTATGAGCCATGCTAAAGGATATATTCTACTGTCCAAAACTGAAGAGCAACAATAGTTAATTAAAGCACATCTGCAGGAAATTGGATTGTTGAGAATTGAAAGAATTTTAAATTACTGTTACTAATATGTTCAAGATAATAGAGAAGACATACCAAAAGGTAAATAATTTGGAAAGTTTTGACAAAAAATTTGCAGTTAAAAATATCAATAGTAAGTAGTGCAAAATACAACTATGAGATGAGTTTAGTAGAAGACTGAGCAGAGTAATCTGTTAGGTGGGAGGATTAATATAGAAGCAGAACTAATTTCAGGCTGGCTGACAAAAGCTCTATCTCTTTCTCTGGGGATACCTAGATACCTTTCTTTGATTTTTGGTTTGTTGGTTTTATTCTTGGCTAAGATAAGGGCAGTGGCATTTATGGTATACTTTTCAATGTCTGAAATTTTTCTTGTGACACCTAGTTAGTCTCTTTACTGTTGCTTTGTAATTACCCTATTCAGTTTAATAAGCCTGTTTGACCACGGAGTGAACCAGAGAGCTTTTTAGATGTGTTCTCTCAAATCCAAGATTCTTTACATAAATCTTGATCATTCAAGCTAGTCTCAATACAGTGCAGCTTGTAAGACTGGCCCAAGTGAAGGCTTACGCTGCAGTTACCAGTTGGATCTCCAATGCTTGCCTTCATTCTCTTTCTATTGCTACACCACGTGATTCACTTTAAATAAAAGTCTCACATCCATGTAATCTCTGGTATCTGGTAAGTAGCTTCAGATATATGAATTGAGAAACAATACAACTAGTGAGCTGAAAGATAAATCAAAAAGTTTATCTCAAACAAGGGAAAATGAAATACAAAGTAAAGTGTAAGAGTAATATAGAACAAAAGGAAGGAAGGAAGATGATAGAGAATTGGGCAAAAGCAATGTGACAGTGAGAAGATGTGATAATGAGAATTTTTTAAGTGAAAACTTCATCCCCTGGGCAATATCTGCTTCAGTAGTGAACAGACTCCGTGATATTAGAAAATAAGCTTCTAGTGTGCCAATGATCTATATTAGTTTTACATGCTGCAAGACACACTTTCTCCAAATTTTCAGGATAAAGCAATGCCTATTTATTGCTTCAATTTTTGTAGGTCAGAAGTCTAGACAAACTACCATTAGATTCTCTGGTCAGGGTCTCACAAAGTAGAAATTAAGGTGTTAGCCAGGCTGCATTGTTATGTGGAGTTCATAGCCCTCTTGTGAGCTCATTAGGCTGTTGGTATAATTTAGTTCTTTCGATTGTAGAACTGAGGTCTCCATTTTCTTAACTGGCCATCCATGGAGGTTGTTCACAATGCCTGGAGGACATTTTAAATTCCTATCCATCTATCCCCCTCACAATATAGAAACTTCTCTTTAAAGCCAGCAGGATAACCATTCTCAGATCAGCAATGATCTCAGCCCCTCTTTTAACATCTTGCACCAAACTGATTCTTACCCACCCAGAATAGTCTTCCTTACAATTCACTAAAAATAAACTGATTTGGGACTTTAATTGCATATGCAAAATCCTTTCACCTTTCCATATAATGTTGCCTTTTCACAGAAATGAAATTCCATCATTTTCACAGGGAATTCCTACAATCAAGGGGAGAAGATGTACAGGGTGTGTACAGGGTTGGAGACAAGAATCTGGGAGGTTATCTTAGAATTCTATTAACTACATGATACTAACAGCAATTGAGTACCTACAGAAATTAAGTGATGATGTGACTGGAACTACCCCTTAGCATTATTAAATCTGCTAAACATATCAGGCGCAGTAGCTATCTATCAAATAACTTAAATGACAATTTGCTATCAGGGTTAAGAAGGCACATTGCACTTTTCTAACACAATCCTTAGTAACCTAATGAATAATTCATAACATGGGACCCTGCATGCATTGCCTATTTTTGCATTGACCATTTCTCTCAGCTCATGTCTATAACCTTATGGGTGAGGGAAACTTTCTTAAAATCATCTCATAGAAGAGGAAATATAATTGGTCCTAGTTTACATATGGGTCAACTTGATATGTTGGAATGAGATGAAAATAGACTGCAATTGTAATATTGCACAAGTCAGAGGATGTGGTTCTGAAATACATTAATGAAGTGAATCCTCTCAGCAAGTAATTTTACAAGCATTACTCTTTGTTGTCCACTTGATAAGAGTGTAAAGGTGTAAAGTGACCCAAGAAATCTGGCCCAGATATGCAGACTGCTGTAAAGGATTAAATGGCTTGGCTTGTTGATAAGAGCCGTGAAAAGAGCATTAGAAAATCAGATATATTGAAGTCTGGGGAAGAGGCTTGTGGATGGACACATGGAAGTGAGCACAAAATGTGTGAAACTTTGTGTCTCACATCAATGGATCCCAGAAAGTACCTGCGCCAGAGGAGGCACTCAACACTTGTTAGGAACATAGCCAATGATGTCAACTAGTTTCTATCCTCTGCCACTTTAGACTTATCTTCCAGGCTCGTGAAGAGTGCAGTAATGCTAATGTTGAGAGATGTTAGGCACAGATCACATAGCATATTCCTCTCATCATCCTGTCAGGAGCTGTGACCAATTCTCAACCCTACAAATGGCACAGATCTCAAGATGATATGCCTGTCACTCACTGGTACATTGATTACAATCAATACCTTCTACCCTGGAGGGATGAGTTATTTATTCTTATCAGAAATTATGCATAATCTGGATATGAGTTTATTTCCCTAATATGTTCCTTGCCAGTATCAATATCTGAGAGTTTTGCATTTTTCTAACACAACCCCTACTAATCTAATGAATAATTCATAACATGGGACCCTACATGTATTGCCTCAGAGTAATATTTTTTCACAGCCAATTAAGTGCTTAGTGAGTGAAAGATCACTTAAAGTATTAAATACTCTATGACTGGAAGGAGCTGTTCTGATAGATTATTGGAATGGCCTATGGATTGCTCAGCTAAGGCATCACCTCAGAGGCAGCATTCTGCATTAAATCAGTGGCCACTTCATGGTGTTGTGTCCCACAGAGTTAAATACGTAAGTCTAAAACGAAGGGGTGGAAGAAAGTACAAATGGCTTTTCTTAGCAGTATTGCAACTATGTTTTATATTTTCACAGTTTTATACTCTGGTGAGTTGGAAAGCCTGATTCCTGAGGAAGTCAGTGGTACTTCCAGTGGGGGCAGAATGTGGTGAAGCAATAACTGCCACATGGACTCCTCAGGCTGCTGCTCAAGGAGGGATAAAAAAGAGTTATTTACCAATGGGAGGAGTCAGGCCTGGTAATTATGGGGAGTTCGCACTCATGATAACAATGTACATAGGGAGGAGTATGTTTGAAACCTGTTATTCTCTAGGGTGTCTCTTGACACTTCTATTTGAATGTTAAAAGTTATGGGGCCATTGAAGGGACCATTGGAAACAAGGGCAAAGGGCTGTATTATCCAACCTTGTAGGTGAATTAATTTACATAAATGGCTGTGTGAGAATAAGCAAAATCTACAGTGAATGGTGTGGGAAAGAGATGATAAAGATGAATACCAGCTTAAGGGTCAACTACAGAAGTGGACACTTTTACTTATTCATAGTTGAGATAAAAATCCTTAAACATTAATCATAAACAATATTGTAAATTAAATCAGAATGTATTCCTTGTTAACTGAAACAAATTTTGAAAGTATCACAGGCAACGCTGGGCACAGTAGCTCACACCTGTAGTCCTAGCACTTTGGGAGGCCGAGGCGGGTGGATCCCTTGAGCTCAGGAGTTTAAGACCAGCCTGGGCAGCATGGTGAAACCCCATCTCTACCAAAAAAAAAAAAAAAAAAAAAAAAAAAAAAAAAAAAAAAACTAAAAGAGAAAAATAAAAGAAAAAGAGGAAAAGGGAAAAATAAAAGAAGAAAAGAAAGGAAAGAAAAGAAAAGAAAAGAAAAAAGAAAAAGTACCACAAGTATTAGAAACATACCCATGTTAGGCACAGATTATATAGCATATGTCTCTCTCATCATGCTGTCAGAAGCAGTGACAATTTCTGAGCCCTACAAATGGCACAAATCTCAAGAAGACATGAAGACATGCACGTCTTCTTTGCCTATCACAGGTAAATAAAAGACAGTTTCATTAACAGAAGAAATGTGGAAAAAATATTAACAAACTAATAAGATACATAAGATGAAAGTAAAAACAAATATATAGGGTTTGAGGTAAAAAATCTGTTTAAATTATGTTGAAAGACTTTGAGATGATAATTTTACAACCCCATATGTTAGTTATTAATTAAAAGATAATGAAACAGAAAAGTTAAAATTATGTACAGGCAATGCAATTGAAGTAATAATAAACTCATTGAAAAGGGGGGTTATTAATTCTGATTAAAAGTACAGGCTATAATTAATGTAATGATCTATTTTATAAAAAAGACAAGCATTCAGAAAAAAGTAACTTTAAAGTATAATGAACATGCATTAACCAACATCATTATTAAATGAATGTTAATATGTAATCCTATTTGTTTTAAATTCTTTATTTTAAAAATGAACATTTGCAGTATAAAGGAGCCCCTTTGAACCTTTGTATTTCTATTTTGAAGTCAGAATTAATTTTTGGTCATTTTTTTTAAAAATTTGACATATATAACCCTATTTATCAATTATATTACAAGATTTTTCAAAATATTTAATTTTTCCCAGAACTGTAATATGATTTTCATCATTCTAGCTATTTTTACTTAATGATATTCCTGAGGTTTATTCACAAAGCTTATGCACTTCAACATATTTAAACAATTCCATGGTTTGAATGAACCAAAAATAAAATATTCAGTCCCATATTATCGTATATTTAGGTTGTTTTCAGTCTGCACTATCATAAACAAATTTGCAAAGAGTATGGTTCCAAGTTTCTCCTTGCATATCTCTTTGCATAAGTTTCTTGTATATAAACTTGGAAATGAGATTTGAGGTTTTCCTTTATTAGAGATGTCTATTTCTTTTTATAAAATGTCACACTATTATTTTATAACCACCCAAAATATTGAAAATCCCAATTGTTTTTCCTCATTCACAACATGTACTCTATGACTTTTTAAATGTTAATATTTTAAGTACATGAAATATTCTTAAATTTTATGTTAATTAAATTTTACCAAGTAAGGTTATACTTATTTTTACATATCTTATTTTTTTTTTAGAAATTGAAATGTCCTGGGTGCTAACAACTTTGACGTTTTTATAAATATCTTTGCCATTTGTGTTTTCCTGTCCTTTGAATTGTACTGATGACCTTTATCATTTTTTCTTTTTTAAATTTTTATTTTATTTTATTTTTATTTATTTATTTATTTTAATTAATTATTTATTTTGAGACAGAGTCTTGCTCTGTCAGCCAGGCTGGAGTGCAGTGGCGCGATCTTGGCTCACTGCAACCTCTGCATCCTGGGTTCAAGCAATTCTCCTGCCTCAGCCTCCTGAGTATCTGGGACTACAGGCTCCCACCACCATGCTCAGCTAATTTTTGTATTTTTAGTAGAGACAGGGTTTCACCATATTGGCCGGGCTGGTTATGAACTTTATATTGACTTTTTCTTATAATATATACAACATTAAAAAATGCTAGCTTAGCCTTTCTGTGTGTATAATTTAGTGCCATTAAATAAGTCCACAATATTGTGTTTCCATCACCACTATCTATTTCAGCTTTTTTAATAATCTAAAGTAGAAACTTTCTACCCCTTAAGCAATTACTCCCAATTCCTTCCTCTGGTACCTTCAAATCTACATTCTGCTTCTATGAATTTGCCTATTCTAGGTATTTCATGTAAACAGAATCATATGATATTTATCCTTTGTGTCTGGCTTATTTTATTTAGGATAATGTTTCCAAGGTTTGGAATAGATGAAGCATGCAGCATTTCAGTTTTTGCTATTTTGCCTCTCTTTTCTGTATTACAGACATTACTTTAAAATTTGTTTTATCATAATCTGTTGACAATTCTATTGGTACTCAGCACGTTTTTATCAGCGTTCACTTTTGCACACCAGAAGCTTTATGATATGAACTCTTGTAATGTTTTTCCTGAAGTAGTTTTTCTGGTCACAGAACTATTTTTTTTTAAGCACATGAGTGGCAAAAATGCTGAAGTGGTATAGACAATGGTAGTGCCTACAAATAAACAATTATAGACAGAGAGTTGGTAAATAATACCACAGCTTCCTCACTTCTATGGTGGAATAACTAGAAAGCCCTTATTCTACATTGCCCCCTAACTCTCTAGGAATATCAAGCTCTAGTTGCCCATATGGGTAACTAGCTTGATAATGCACACATCTCTCTTCTTTCACTTTTCCACTCCTACCAGTATTTCCTGGCATCACTTCCCAAATAACCCACTTGCAATTGAATTTTTGTCTCAGGTCCTGTTTCTGTGGGAATCTAAACAAAAAGGGATGGTCTATTTGGTATCAGAGGCAATCTAAAAATGTAGACAAGGATTCTGTAAAATATTCTGGAATTAGATAACTTATCAACAAAACAACTGATAAAGTAGTAAATAATTGCTGGTAGAAATTTGGAATATTGATAACTCCACATGATGCATCTTCACAATTGTGGAGACTCCTACTTGTAATTAATAGGGATAAGCTCCAGCTAAATTAGGATTCACTGACTTATGCAATAGTTCTAACAATTGAGAGATATGAGGGACAATGAAGTATTGTGGAGTAAGTTTACTACTGTAAATTATAGAAACCTAGAAAGTAAACATAACAGGGTAGCCAACTATCAGCTCAGGGCAGAATATGAAAGTCAGAATGTCATCATGGCAGCATTTGAAGATCTCTTAATTTTGTCCAAAAAGAACACAAAATGCTGAAAATTGCAGAGGTTATCTAATGGTGAGAGTTAATAGTGTTACAAAGAAAATTAGTTACAGCCTTGACAAGTACCTACTCTATGGCCACAACTCAGATAAGAAAAGAGTGATGTACTGATACTTGTGAAGAGAAGATCTTGGATAATGTGCTTAAAAACACTGAAGTTTAAAGCAGGCAAGCCATGTTGGCTCGCATTAGTAACCAACTTCACCCTTCTGAAAGGAGCTTACGTATGGTGCTTATGGGAGTGTGCAGTGCAGATCTCCTTCAGTGGAACCTACTGCAGTGAGGAGTGTTGACGGACAAACCTAACTGCTTTGGTTCCAGCAACACATTCACACATGAACATGGTTCACATCCTGAACATGGTGGGAGTACTAGGTTCAGACCATTTCTGCTTAACAGGGAACTCCTCCTACAGGAAAACTTGTCTCAAGAAACCACACAGTTTTGGCTGATCTGCACTCTGAAGTTCTTCCTAGACAGTTTCTCCTCTCACTTTCACAGCTGTCAGACCTGTATTACAATGTGAATGCTCTCCCTGCCTACTGTTGCTGTCTCCCACTTCATTCTTTTCAGAATTTTCCCTAATAAATCTTGAAAATTTCTAATTCTGTAACAGCATCTGCTTTGGAAAACTTAAAATGATGCATATTTTAAAGGGAGAGGGAGGAAAAATAAATTAGTTGAAATATAAGAATTACCATCACAACTGTCTATTTCCAGTTAATAACTACCATACTTTGTAGCACCAGTATTTAACAGGATCAAATGTATTTCTTGTCAGTCAACAGGTCATTTGGGAATTCTGATGATGTCATGAGTGTGAATGTGGGAGAGCTGGCAATGCAGCCAAGTGATGGCATGCCTAGAAGTTGAAGCTTTCTTATGTAAATTACAATGCATTCAGAACCTCCTCAAGCCAAGTCACATTAGTGATACCTACATTTATTAATGGAATAAGTTACTCTGGGCACAGCAGATATAACAAAGTTGAAGAGGTATTTTAGAGTTTTTAATGGGCACTTTGGATTGACTATTATGCTCATATCCAGACATTCAGGGTATATTAGAGCCCATTAGCAAGTCAAGAGTTGTTTCTCACAAACTACTTACCAAAAAGCAAGGATTTATTTCAAAATCCTACTGATGTTTATAGTGATTTTCTTTCGTGGTTTGGAACAGATTGCATATAACATTATATTTCACAAATGCAGACAGAACAAATGATTTCTCTGGCTCATAAAGTCCAACTGACAGAAATTCTTGGATAATAGCTTGGACAGTTGCAAGAGTTTCATCTATCCTGTGTCACCTGGTAAATGTGTCAGAGTTATACACGTTAGACACGTGCTTTATAAAATTTCAATAAATCCACAAATGAGTGCCCCCTTTCTTTAGTGTAGCATGCAAAAAGGAAGCAATGTGAATTTCATTCTGAAAGGGAGAGAACTAAAGCCATAGACTACCAGAACTTCAGTAGTTTTGTTAAATAAACAGGTTCCTATTTTCCTTTGAGATTTATTTCTTGCACTGTATCATTCATAGATCCTATTAAGCCATATTATACGTAGTACCTGATTTTTTTTCTATACTTAAGTTTTTGCCAGTCCGATGTTCTGTAGGATGATGAAATGATTAATAATTCTGCCAAATAAATCAATACAGAGTAAGGTGGTTGCAAATACCTGAAGCAAAAAAAAAAGATGATTATGTGTACTGCTTCCAGGGCCAGGTAGTCAGGTGAAGATTCTGGTATTCTCTGATTATTAAATTTCCAACATATTGGTGTTAATCTCATGAAGTTTGGACTGTCACTCACCAAAACTCATGAGAAATTCCAAGTACTGCAGGTGTTTCCCATGGATGGTACACATTCCACAAAATGCATATTCACATAAAGACAATTAGAGTAGAGAATGACTGAAAAGTTATTAAATATAACTTCTCATTTCTTTAGCATATATTACAATATCATAACAAACAGTAAATAATTATCTGCATTAGCAATTAAAATGTACCCTTAACAATATGAATTATTTATGTAAAAATTGTTATTGTTTAGGTTAAAATAAATTTTTTCCATGTCTTCCTTATATGCTTACCAGTGTAATTTAGACTCAATTTTAAAGGGACAAAATATAATCTGGATGAAAGCTGGTATCAAAAATGCAAGCATCTATATTAGCAGTTATGTCAATATTCTCAAAGTTAATGGGAATATAACAAAATTCTTTATGACTCAACAGCTGCCCCAGTGATTGAAGAGATTTATGCATAGATGTCTGAGCTACATGATTCCAGTGTTGCACCATTTTTTCTCTGTGTGTTCTTCTTTTGCTCTGACATTTCCTGCTAATTGGCATTCCATATCTTGAGTTTGAATGCCTTGAATGAGGATCCACTTTCACAACTTAGACATCTAGCATGCAATATTTCTAAAGGACTATAAGATCTTAGGGCCAGTTCTTAGGCCATTGGACAGATATAGTCCACTCTCTTTGGGTCAGGCACCCATTCCTGGACCAAGAAGATTTGATAGAGATTGCAAGAACTCCAGATACAGTACAAGTAACACCATGTAAAAAGAACCTTTGAAACTTATTTAAATTATAGTGAGGAATCTGAGGAATGTTATGATGGGCAAAGTAACTCAAAATATCTTAGATTATTTCCAAGATCTTCAGTCATACATTTCATTTATCTGTTAATGTAAACATAGGAGATTTCTCAATAACTTTTATAGTTTAGTTCAGTGATTCTTTAAGGGATCGTACACATATTACTCGCAATATTTATTTACAAGTAGATAAATTTATTTAGAAGAGAGAAATTTGGATACAGTGAGATTTTGGTGGGGTCCATTAATGGACCTTTTAAATGAGCACCCACGTTATTCCCATGCAGATTGTCTGGCTTCAATCATCTGAGAGAGAAAAAATAATCTGGTTAGACTTATTAGAGTGGCTAAGAATTCAAATAAGTGGACGGGTGCGGTGGCTCACGCCTGTAATCCCAACACTTTGGGAGGCCGAGGTGGGCGGATCACGAGGTCAGGAGATCAAGACCATCCTGGCTAACACGGTGAAACCTCATCTCTACTAAAAATACAAAAAAATTACCTGGGCATGGTGGCGGGTGCCTGTAGTCCCAGCTGCTCGGGAGGCTGAGGCAGGAGAATGGCGTGAACCCGGGAGGTGGAGCTTGCAGTGAGCAGAGATCGAGCCACTGTACTCCAGCCTGGGCGACAGAGTGAGACACTGCCTCAAGAAAAAAAACAAAGAATTCAAATAAGTGACTGCAATTCTCACCTTTACTCAGGGCAAATTTGATTTTTCCTTCCTGGCTAAGGCTCTTCGAAAATTTCCAACTGGGACGTAACTGTCCCAAAAGACCTGTGGCAGCCCCTGCCACACAATATGATTGCAACGAATCTCAGCTTGCTTTCTCTTGGTGGTACTGCAATCACTCAGTGTGACCCGAATGTGTACAGTTTGGTTTCAGGACTAACTGAACGTCTTTATCTTGTGAAGAAAGCAAGAGCTATCTGACCAAATGACATTTGCTGGCATAACTCAATCTTGTACTTTTGAGTGTTCACAGAACCCTTTGTCCTACTTCTTAACACTATTGATGTCTTAAACTTTCATTTATCAAAGGCTGTATCTCCAAAAGAGAAAAATCAAACATAGGTCATTTTAATGCAAGGATTCAATCAACTTTTCAATTTTAACTTGATAGAACTAACAGATTTGAGTGTTTTTAGTCACTCGCAACATTCTATTTTAGCCTTCAAAAGAGTTGATCTAATTTTCTGCTTTTCTATATCCATCAAAAAATTAATTTACCTACCTGCTCACCACCTAAATGGCCATATAAGTATCTTCCTGCTTTAACTCATCTGCTTACATTATTACATGCTCTGTATGTATGTGTAACTTAAAAATTGATATAATTTATATCTATAGATAGAAGATACAGATATAGATTGTAGAGATGGATGGATAGATTCTACTATTCTGACTATTATACATCTTATGTGTATGCTATTTCAATTCTGACTACTGTAATGCTATGCCTCTCTTTAGCTGAAGTAAATAATTTGAGTCTGGAAAAAACTTTTCCTAGATTCTGGATGATCTGAAAAGTCTACCATGAATGGCACATAAAATTAACACCAAAAGTAAAAAAAAAGACTAGAAGGTATAACCTAGGTAATTATGGCAGACTCTTAATTCACATGAATTTCCTTTTATGAAGAGCAACATAAATTGTATAAAACTAGTGTCTGGATGTTAAACTCTGGCGTCAATGAATTGACTTTTTAAGTTTTTAAATATTGTTTAAACAGTAAAAACTAGTATTTTTGCCTTGCCAAAGCACAGAACTATATTGAATTATCCAGTAGAACTATATAAATTATTATGTATTTGGAAAAGGGGATGAAAGTGAGCGTATGTATATACATATAAAACATATCACAATATTTATAATATAATGTATTATATATAATATATACACTTTTATATAAATAATAAAATAATATATATTTTATTATATATAATAATGTAATATAAACTATACAATTATATATTAATTATTTATATATTAATAATTATAATTGTAATTGTTACAATATAATATAATTTTATTATATTTATATAATTATATTATATTATATATTAATTATATTTTTATATTTATATTATAATTATATTATGTTATTTTTATAATTACATTATATTGTAATTATAGTATGATTGTAATAAAATATGATTAATATATATTAATAATTATAATATTAATAATTCATATATTATATATAAACTGTTTTAAAATTTTGATTGGTCCCTCAAAGTAGTAATTTCTTGAAGTGCTTATTGATTCAGATTAGAAAATTTTCTATAGATACTATTTCTCTCCATTTATTTTCAATAAACAACAAATATTTACTGAGCACCTACTATGCTCTAGATGCTTGAAATCAATCACAGATTCTTTCCCACATGAAACTCCCATTTTTCTGTGTTGAGGGGTGATAATAAACAATAGCAAAATAAATACAGAAAAAATGTTGATTATATGACAGAAGGAGAAATATGGAATAGAAAAAGAAGAGCAGGCTAAAGGGAGTCAGGATTATGTTAGGGGTGGGTGGTGATGCACTTAGGTGAGCCTCATTAGGAAAGAGCTATTAGAGAAAAGGCATGAAAACAGTGAAGAAACTGGTTACAGGTATGGCAGAGGCAGAATGGTCTAGAACAAAGGCACAGCAGTCAAAGTCTTCGAGATATGAGAGAACAGGACCTGCTTGAGGAGGAACAAGGGAACAGCCAAAGCTTGGGTAGAGTGAGTGAACAATAGAGAAGTCAAAGAGCTAACTTCTGTGCAGGCCGTGTTGGATTTGATCATAAGAACTTGAGACTATCATAAGAATTTCACATTTTCTGTGTGAAATGGGGTAGAATGAAAGAGAAACAGAACAAATATTCTAACAACCTATAGTCACAGAGCTATTTAAACTTTTTTTGGATTTTTTACATTTATTTTATGCAATGCCTTGTATTCAATAGCATTGAATGTTAACTTCTTATACAAAGCATTTTTGAAATAACTTGAAATTTAGAATATTTTGTAATATTGCTCCAGATAAGTAATATATTTTTTAAACCAAATCAGGTCTTCAAAGAATGAATAGGATCTAGTATTTGATAGCACAACAGGGTGACTACAATCAACAATAATTTATTGTATATTTTAAAATAACTAAAATAGTGGAATCAAAATGTTCATGGTACAAAGAAATGACAAACACTTGAGGTGACTGATTCCCCATTTAACCTGATGTGATTATTACACATTGTATGCCTGTATCAAAATATTCCATGTGCTCCATAAATATAGATATTGATATGGTTTGCCTGTGTCCCCACCAAATCTCAACCTGAATTGTATCTCTCAGAATTCCCACGTGTTGTGGGAGGGATGCAGGAAGAGGTAATTAAATCATGGAGGCCAGTCTTTCCTGTGCTATTCTTGTGATAGTTAGTGAGTCTCACATGATCTGATGGGTTTATCAGGGATTTCCACTTTTGCTTCTTCCTCATTTTCTCTTGCCGCTGCCATGTAAGAAATGCCTTTTGCCTCTCATCATGATTCTGATGTCCACTCAGCCATGTGGAACTGTAAGTTCAATTAAACCTCTTTTTCTTCCCAGTCTCAGGTATGTCTTTATCAGCAATGTAAAAACAGAATAATACAGTAAATTGGTACCAGTATAGTGGGGCACTGCTGAAAAGATACCTTAAAATTTGGAAGCAACTTTGGAACTGGGTAACAGGCAGAGGTTGGAACTGTTTGGAGGGCTTGAAGAAGACAGGAAAATGTGGGAAAGTGTGAAACTTCCTAGAGACTTCTTGAATGGCTTTGCCCAAAATGCTGATAGTGATATGGACAATAAAGTCTAGGCTGAGGTGGTCTCAGATGGAAATGAGGAACTTATTGGGAACTGGAGTAAAAATAACTCTTGTTATGTTTTAGAAAAGAGAGTGGTGGCATTTTGCCCCTGCCCTAGAGGTTTGTGAAACTTTGAACTTGAGAAAGATGATTTAGAGCATCTGGCAGAGGAAATTTCTAAACAGCAAAGCATTCAAGAGGTGACTTGGGTTCTGTCTAAGGCATTCAGTTTTATAAGGGAAGCAGAGCATAAAAGTTTGGAAAATTTGCAGCCTGACTATATGATAGAAAAGAAAAACTCATTTTCTGGAGAGAAATTCAAGCTGGCTGCAAAAATTTGCATAAGTAGCAAGAAGCCTAATGTTAATCCCCAAGAACATGAGGAAGATGTCTCCGGGCCATGTCAGAGACGTTCATGGCAGCCCCTCCCATCACAGGTCTGGAGGTCCAGGAGGAAAAAGTGGTTTTGCAGGCTGGGCCCCAGGTCGCTGGTACTGTGTGCAGCCTAGGAACATGTTGCCCTGTGTCTGAGCCACTCCAGCCATGGCTGAAAGGGGCCAACTTACAGCTCGGGCTGTGGCTTCAGAGTGTGGAAGCCTGAAGCCTTGGCAGCTCCCATGTGGTGTTGAGCCTGCAGGTGCACAAAAGTCAGTAATTGAGGTTTGGGAACCTCCGCCTAGATTTCAGAAGATGTATGGAAATGCCTGAATGCCCAGGCAAAAGTTTGCTGCAGGGCCAGGGCCCTCATGGAATACCTCCTCTAGGGCAGTTCAGAAAGGAGATGTGGGATTGGAGCCCCCACATAGAGGACCCACTGGGCCAATGCCTAGTGGAGCTGTAAGAAGAGGGCCACCATTCTCTAGACCCCAGAATGGTAGATCCATCAACAGCTTGCACCATGCACCTGGAAAAGCTGCAGCCACTCAATGCCAGCCTGTGAAAGTAGCTGGGGGTGTAGCTGTACCCTGCAAAGCCACAGGGATAGTGCTGCCCAAGACCATGGATACCCACCTCTTGCATGAGTGTGACCTGGATGTGAGACCTGGAGTGAAAGGAGATCATTTTGGAGCTTTAAAATTTGACTGCCCTGCTGGATTTCAGACTTGCATAGGCCCTTAACCCCTTTGTTTTGGCTAATTTCTCCAATTTGGAAAGGCTGTATTTACCCAATACCTGTACCCCTATTGTATCTAGGAAGTACCTAGCTTGCTTTTGATTTTACAGGCTCATAGGTGGAAGGGACTAGCCTTGTCTCAGATGAGATTTTGGGCTGTTGACTTTTGGGCTAATGCTGAAATGAGTTAAGACTTTCAGGGGCTGTTGGGAAGGCGTGACTGGTTTGGAAATATGAGCACATAAGATTTGGAGGAGTCAGGGGCAGAATGATATGGTTTGGCTGTGTCCCAACCCAAATCTCAACTTGAATTGTAGCTCCCAGAATTCCCACATGCCATGGGTGGAACCCAGGGGGAGGTAATTAAAACATGGGGGCTGGTCTTTTTTGTGCTATTCTCATGATTGTTAATAAGTCTCATGAGATCTGATGGGATTATCCAGGGTTTCCAATTTTGCTTCTTCCTCATTTTCTTTTGCCACCACCATGTAAGAAGTGCCTTTCACCTCCTGCCATGATTCTGAGGCCTCCCCTGCCATGTGGAACTGTAAGTCAAATTAAATCTATTTTTCTTCCCAGTCTCGGGTATGTCCTTATGAGCAACATGAAACAGACTAATACAGACACCTTCCATGTACACATAAAAATGAGAAATTAAAAACTAAATCTAGTAAAACAGCTACTACTCACCAGATAGAAGTAAATAGCTAATAACTAACAATATAAAATATATTTTAAGAAAATTGAATTTGATAAAGATAATAACATAAACTAGGGAGGTACAGATGGATGAAAAATATTTAAAATATTTTATGATAAACATTTTTTTCATATATTTAGTACATTGTTGATATTACTTGTCCTAAAATTTCTGCTATGATTTTCTTTCCATTAGTCATTACTTAGAGCAATTATAAATTAATTATTGTTTTCTTCCATCAGATGCTCTTATTCTTTCTCCTTTTTATGAATTTGCCATCATCAGGGATATATTTTGTATGAAAGTATTTCCTACAACCTAGTGCAAAATCCAATAGGTTTTATGTTTTGTAATTAGGGGTTACTTCCCTTCTAATAGTGATACTTGCTTATCTATTTCTAATAATGTACTTTTTTTCATAGTAAGCAAACAGTATATTTATTATTTATATTCAAATCCATGATTTGTATGATTTTAAATTTTAAGATAAACATAAATTCTGCACAAATTCCTGTCACTTTTATAACTATATATAATATAATAAAATTGCATACAGAAATTCTCTACATCAGTGAAAAACAAGCACTTTAGTAATGTACACAACATTTAGGTTTCAAATGTGCCATAAAAAAGTTGAAAAATGTACAGCTTATGCATATGTACAGGAGCTGTTCACAGCTACCCATATTTAATGTAATTATCTGCTTTACCCATGTATTCCTGATTTAAAATTATTTAAAGAAAATAGACTTTGCATTGAATTTTTTAATGTTGAAGTATAATTTATATATACAAAAGTGAAGATATCAACTCCACACCTCAATTAATTTTACATGTATAAATACTGTGTAACCATTACTCAGTTCAAAATATAGAACACTGTCAGCAGCCTAGGAGGATTTCTTATGTCCCTTCTAAGTTAATATCACTCCTGGAGGTAATTTCTATTCTAATATGTATCACTCTGAGGTGATTTTACCAATTCTTGAATGTCATATAAATGGAATTAGATAGTATATTACTCTCTTGTGTGTGACTGCTTTTCACTATCATTATATTTGTAGGATTCATCATGTTGTTGCATTAAGAAATACACCATAATTTATGAATTCATTCTAAGACTAAAAAATATTGTAGTCATTTTTAAAGTTTGGGGCTATTATAAATAAAACTGCTATGAATAGCTGCAGACTTTGGTTTCCTTGCTTGTTTCATGGACATGGGCACCCATTTATCAGGGATCTATAAGTAGTAATGAAAATTTTGCATACTGTACACCTGTACTTGGTTGAAGTTGGTACTGTCAGTATTTCTAATTGGAAATTTCCACTTCCACAGACAATGAATAGGAGGCCCAAGTAGAGCAAATCTATGTCAATATTTTCTATTCTCAATATATTTATTTGTACCCATGGTACAACATATGTTCAATGATATCACATAGTGGTTTTAATTTACATTTCCCTGGTAAGTAGTGGTACTGAGGACTTTGTCAATACATGTATTGTTCTCTCGTAATCCTCCTATTTAAAGAATCTGTCCTAGTTATGTCCCCTTCTTTTGGGTTGTTTGCCTATTTCTTATTGATTTGTATGTGATTTGTACATTCCGGATAGAAGTGTTTTTTTTGTCATTTATATATATATTATCAACATATAACATTCATATCAATAAAAAATTTCTAAGACTAAAACATAATTCTATGCCAGTTCCTTTGTTATGCCTTATAGTAAGCAGAATTTAGGACTAATGTATACTTTGTATAAAATAACAAATCACTTCAGATAAAAATGTGTATAATGTACTATGGCAAATTTATAAGGAAAAAACCACTCTTATAAATGGTGCAGATTATATTTTCTAATGTATAAAGGAATACATATATACACAGATATACATATATTTCATCCTACACATTCTTACATATATAAATATAAATATGTATTTATATGCATATTTCTCCAGTAAAATTAGTGCGGGAAATAGAAGGTGACAGCATAGATATCTTATATCTTAGATAGGAAAACACAGATTGTCTAGGCCATAGAGAAAATAACATATACGATAATAAATATCAAAGACAAAATTTTCATAAAGTGAAATTCATTATTCTTCAGAAAATATTTTCTACTTATTTTCCAATTATTACAGATTATAAATGTATTGCTTACTTTTTTATTATTACAGTATTATTTATCATAGAATATTAAAAAGCTATTTTAATGCTGCCATGGTAACAAAAATACAAATTTAAGTATAATTGATAGTAGCCAGAAGTTTACCATTATAATAATGAAAAGACATCAGAAACTTTCCAAATTAAGAAAAGAGAATGAAATCTAACCTGGCCAAGCAAACCCATTTAAAGTTAGAGAAAACAGTAAAATAAGAGATAAAAATAGTAAATATAACTAAAAAGGAAGGCATACATTTTCCCAAAACTTGAATGGGTTTAATTATTTGAACAAATGACAAAATCAGATTAAATTTTCAAATTTATGAGGTTTAGCTATAATGAAATATTCAAAAAGGCACCAAAAAAAGGACAATGCATAGGCTGAAAATAAAGTTATAGATTAAGACATACCAAGGACAACAAATTTTTAAAAAGAATGTTTGACTATTAATATCAAGCATCATTGGATTCAAAACCAAGATTGTTAAATGAGGCTATTAATCAATCAAAATTTACTTAATGTCTTCTACCTTGTTTAGGTACTGGTGAAAAGTGGTGAACATGATTGACTTTCTGTCAAAAGATTGCCAAACTATGACAAATGATTCAAGAATCATGCAAATTAATGACTTAGTTTATTTTACTGATATGTGGAATACAAGTAGATAGGTTAACGTGACAGGGATTGCTTTTACTTTGTATTCCAGGAAGGCTGCTCTGAGGAAATCTCAAATGAGTGCATGCGAACTTGCAGGCGAACATCCAGGTGAAACTGATCCATGGACAAGGAACAAGATGGGGTAAGGCCCTAAAATTGGGACTACTTTGATATGCTGAAAGACAAAAAAAGGCCCTTGTGCTTTGGTCATAGTGAATAGAGATATGTAAAGAGTTGAGAGACATTAGATGAGGAGATTAGAGACCTATCAGGTTATACAGGACCTTGAAGGCAATGATAAGATAACTGAATTATAGGCAGGTAGATTAAGAAACAACTAATGAATTGTAAGCAGAAGAGTAAACAACTTCTATTAAATAATATATGATTTATACTAATTGTCCAATAAATATATGTAAGAAATAAATGGGAGATATAAGCATATTTGTACTTAGCAACATCCACTCCCATGGTTCTATGGGGAAATACTTGAGAGGGCGGTTCAGGTGACATGCCGATGTAGTCCAAGCATAAGAACATAGCTTGGATTATGGTTTTAGCAATAGAGAAATGTGGCATTATTTTTGAAATGAATACAAAATAATAAAAAATAATCCAAACTTAAAAGTGTTTTAAGGAAAAAGTAAATAATTATTAATTATTATTTTTGAAAATTAGACTGAGGATTGTGCTCTCACTTTATTTCTGTTTGGAAAATTTCTGTTTTGCACACCCTGGGGTAGAGCGTAGTAAGTCTAATAATTCTTGACTTAGCCCTAGATTTCGAAGATCTTCTAATTTTTCCCCTAAAATTTGTATAGCTTTACATGTTACACTTAAGTCTATGATACATTTTGATGATATAGCTTTTTCTGTCACTTTAGTTTTTATTTACCTTTGCTAGTGTGTTTAAGTGTTTGTATAGATTTCTTAATGCTTGTTCTAGTGTTTCTATGCATGAACTTATAGCCTATTGACATCAATATTTAGAAAATTTACTTTAATTTAGATCTACTTAAATCTCCCATTTTCAAAATTCAGTTTTCTTAAATATTTTCTCTACACACATTGAGCCCCATATCAATTAAGTTATAATATAAATTCTGTTTCCACCATTAAATCTGATTAAGAAACTCTTGAAATGAAGGATAGTCTACATGTTTATCCACATTGTTATACATTGTTTTATCCTTGTCTGAAGTTTCTACTCTTTTGTTATCACTTTATTTCCATTGGCAAAATTCTTTCTTGCATGCCTTAAGGGTAGATCCTATGGTGGCAAAATTTCTTAGTTTTTCTTTGAGAATGGCTTTCTTTTTTTACCTGTAAAGGATAGCTGCACCTGACAGAAGAGTTACTTTGGCAATTTTGTTAAAAGGTTAAAAATGTATTCCACTATTTGCTTTTGGTCTCAATGGTTTTGGATGAGAAGTGGGCTGTCATTTGAACTTGCATTCCTCTAGAGATTATGTGTTGCTTCTCTCTGGTTCTTAAGGTGTTTTTTTTTTCTATAGTTTTTATAAGTATAATTCTTGTCTGTCTTGTTAAAGGTTTCATTTGTTTGTTTTTAATCATCTTTGGGGTTTGCTCAGCTTCTTAAGTATGTGGGTTCATGTCTTAACAAGTTTGGGTATTTTCAGATATTATTTCTTTAAATGTTTGTCCTGCCCTTTCATTTTTCCCTCTCCTTCTGGGACTGCAGTGATATGGATGCTAAATCTTTTGTTACCTTTTTACATATCATTTAGACTCTGTGTATTTTTAAAGTCGATTTCTCTGTGTTGTTAAGATCGAGCAAACACTATTGATGAGTCTTCCAGTTCACTAATTCTGTTCTCTGCTATCATCTCCATTGTACTATTGAACTCATCTAGCAAGGTTTTTATTTCAATTATTTCATGTTTCCATTCTATAATACCTATTCATAATCATTTCATGGTTATATTTGTCAAATTATGTTCAGGATATTTAGGTGTACTTTGTGGAAGAAGTGGGTGGGGAGGTAATCGTAGAAGCCAGAAAAATAGATCTACATCAACTTTTCCCAAAGTCAGAAGTCTAATTTTGACTTCTTAAAGTTTCAAAATTAGCTGCAAAGAGATCTTTTCTGCTAAAAATACTACATTATACATTTAACTAGAGAAGTTATAATTATTATTGCAAACAGTGTACTTCTCTTCCCCTCTGCTTTATTTCTAAACATCAAATGATCAAAATAAAGTAGAAATATAGATATGAATATAATACCTTTACCTTAATCTTTTATAGTTGTGATATATATAGAACTCATGTGAAGTGTTATTCTTATGGCTCCACAGTTGATAGGCAGCCAAAGTTTCCAGAAAAGAAAAGTAAAATCACTTTATCAGTTTTATAAATAAAATTTCCCCAAACTTATTTATATATGGCTTCTCAAAACCTATGGCATGGATATTCATTCATATGATAGCATAACAAGGCCTCTGAAGATACAGTTTTTGTGATTCTGTTTTATTAAACATCAAAAAGTGTTATGTGGAAGGCTTATGCTGAAGACTCATGTAATGTAATTTACCATTACCATCTAACCTCTCTCTCTCTTTCTCTCTCTCCTTCTCTCTCTGTGTTTCTCTCTCTCTCTTTCTCTCTCTCAAACACACACACACACACACACACACACACACACACACATATTTTCCAAAGACACTCTGTAAAAGATTTATGCTATCATGCAAGTTTTATATCAGCAAATTCACTAATGGCTTTTACCAGTGAATCCCTCAGGAGTGCATCTGCCTTTTAAATGTCAAAAAACTGCTCTTAAACTTCAACAAAGTAGAAATTTGGTGTGAAAAGTCTAAGAGCAAAAGTTGAAATAATATGTTTTTAAAAATAATGGCCCTAACAGTTCAAAAACCTTACTCTTCTATGGTAAGTTCAACAGAGCTCCGTGTTGTAACCCAAATTGACCATACAGCAGCTTACTACATATCAAGATGTATGACAGCATATTTGTCACATAGTCTCAAAAGAAATTTTAAAAAGACTATACTATAATTTTATCCTACCAACTTCCTTCCTTATTAACATGTTTTCCAAGGCAAAATTTTATTTTTGCAAATTCAGAGTCACATTGTAATTGTAAAATATAAAAGTAGAGATTCTCTCAAGATAATCTATTTGCTAAAATCCCAGTTATTTTATAAAACAAAAAAAGAAGAAAGAAAAAAAAAGAATAGTCCTTAAATCCCTGTATCTCAATAGTGATTTTGAGTCAGTGTTGTGAGATATTAAACACATGCAGGATTTAACATTTGGCATGTGTTTTCCAAAATATCTAACTCATTTCACTTAAAAACTAAATCTATAAGGTGTGTGCTATTATTTTCACCACTTTAAGCATAAAGATATAAATACACAACATTAAATTGTCTTTGGTCATGTTGCTAGTAAGTGGAAAAGCTGGGAATTGAACCCAACTAAGCCTGCACTCCCACCATAACATTCATAATCTATTTTCCTTATCTTGATCCTGTTGTTCTGAACCATTAAAAAATCACGAGTTTTATCCTTGTAATGAGGAGTCACTAAGGAGTCACAGACTTTTATTTTTTATACAAAATTCAATTGCATTTTCTGCAACTATTTCGATTAAGAAGTTTTCAAATGGCCCAAATCCTTTTGACTAGAATTCATCTTCATAACATTAGTGTGATTTATGGCTGTAATTTCATGGGAGCTGACTCATTGTTGTATCCTAGTAATATTCCTTGGGTGTGGGCATTTAAAAGTGCAATGACTTCTCCATCCTTACCTCACTTGATCTTTTCCCAAACTTCAGTGTATCATTAGAGAGGATCATGCAAATATTTTTGGGTCGTTATTTTCAAATCAGTTTTTAGTAAACATTATTTTTACTTGAGATCAATTTTCTCAGTATTTATGCATTCATTTTTTGAGATGGAGTCTCATTCTCTCTCCCAGGCTGGAGTGCACTGGCACAATCTCAGCTCTCTGCAACCTCCACCTCCAGGGCTCAAGTGGTACTCCCACCTCATCCTCCTGATTAGCAGGGACTACAGGCATGCTCCACCATGTCGTTATTAGTATTATTTAATGAGCTATTCAGTTGAACTGTTATTTATTCAATAAATCACTTAATCAACAATTCATTATTGAATGTCTACAATACCTTCAAGAAGACACCAGCTGATATAGGCCATTAAATAATTTAGGAAATAAAAAATTAAGTATGCTAGATTTTAATAAGAGCTGTGATAAATATGGATGAGCTCTTGCATAAGAACCTGTAGTCCTGATTGAATAGAGGATAGCAAGAATTTTTCTATAGACATCTATAGAAAATGTTGATATCTCCCTCTCACATCTCTCCTTTCTCTTTTTCCACCTCTGTATTATTCCATTTTCAAAGTACTATAAAGCACTGCATGAGACTGGGTAATTCATAAAGGAAAGAGCTCTCATTGACTCACAGTTCAGCATGGCTGAGAGGCCTCAGGAAACTTACAATCATGGCAGAAGGCAAAGAGGAAGAAAGTCATCTTCTTAATAAGACAGCAGGAAAGAGAAGTGCCAAGTGAAGTGGGGAAGAGCCCCTTATAAAACCATAAAATCTCATTAGAAATTACTCACTATCATGAGAACAGCATGAGTGAAACTGCCCCATGATTCAATTACCTCCACCTGTTCTCTCCCTTGACATGTGGGGATTATGGGGATTACAATTCGGGTGGGGACATGAAGCCTAACCATATCATTCTGCCCCTAGACCCTCTCAAATCTCATGTCCCTTTCACATTTCAAAACCAATTATGCCTCCCTAACAGTCACCCAAAGTCTTAACTCATTCCAACACTAACCCAAAAGTCCACAGTCCAAAGTCTCATCTGAGACAAGGCAAGTCCCTTCTACCTATGAGCCTGTACAATCAAAAGCAATTTAGTTACTTCCTAGTTATAATGAGGTTGCAGGCATTGGGTAAATACACTGTTCCCAGTGGGAGAAATTGGCCAAAACAAATGCAAGTGTGAAATCTAGCAGGGTAGTCAAATCTTAAGCTCCAAAATGATCTTTCACTTCCTGTCTCACATCCTGGTCTTCCTGATGCAAGAGGTGGGCTCAGATGCCCTAAGACAGCTGTGCCCCTGTGGCTTTTCAAGGTACAGCCCCACTCCTGGCTGCTTTCATGAGCTGGCATTGAGTGTCTGTGGCTTTTGCAGTACAGTTCAAGCTGTCAGTGGATTTACCATTCTGGAGTCTTGAGGATGTTGACCCTCTTCTCACAACTCCACTAGGCATTACCACAATGGGGAATCTGTGGGGGCCCCAAATCCAAATTTCCCTTTTGCACTGCTCTAGCAGGTGTTCTCCATGAAGGCTCTACCCCTGCAACAAACATCTGCTTGGACATCTAGATGTGTCTACACATCATCTGAAATCTAGGCAGTTGTTCCCGTACCTCAATTCTTGACTCCTGTTCACCTGCAGGTCCATCACCATGTGTGAGCAGCCAAGGCTTGAAGCTTGCACCCTCTGAATCAATGGCCTGAGCTGTGCATTGGCCACTTTTAGCCATGGCTCGAATGCAGGGCACCATATTCTGAGGCTGCACAAAGCAGCAAGGCCCTGGGCCCAGTTCAGGAAACCATTTTTTCCTCCAAGGTCTCTAGGCCTGTGATGGGAGAGGCTGTCGCCAAGATCTCTGACATACCCTGGAGCAATTTTCCCCATTGTCTTGACAGTTAACATTTAGCTCCTGGTTACTTATGTAAATTTCTGCAGCCAGCTTGAATTTCTCCTCAGAAAATGGGTTTCTCTTTCCTATCACTTGTCAGGCTGCAGATTTTTTTGAACTTTTATGCTCTGTTTCTTTTTTAAACATAAGCTCCAATGCCAAACCATCTCTTTGTGAATGCATAAAACTGAATGCTTTTAAGAGCACTCAAGTTACCTCTTGAACACTTTGCTGTTCAGAAATTTCTTCTGCCAGGTACCCTAAATCATCTCTCTCAAGTTCAAATTTCCACAGAACTCTAAGACAGAGGCAAAAATACCAGTTTCTTTGCTAAAGCATAGAAAGAGTCACCTTTATTTCAGTTCCCAACACATTCCTCATCTCCACCTGAGACCACCTTAGCCTGGACTTCATTGTCCATATTACTATCAGCATTTTGGTCAAAGCCATTCAACAAGTCTCTAGGAAGTTCCAAACTTTCCCATGTCTGCCTATCTTCTCCTGAGCCCTCCAAACTGTTCCAACCTCTGCCTGTTGTCTAGTTCCAAAGTTGCTTCCACATTTTTGGGTATCTTTTTAGCAGCAACCCACCCTCTGCAGTACCAATTTACTGTATTTGTCCATTTTTGTACTTCTGTAAAGAACTGCTTGAGACTGGGTTATTTGTAAAGGAAAGATATTTCACTGACTCACAGTTCAGCATGGCTGAGGAGGCCTCAGAAAACTTACAATCATGGCAGAAGGCAAAGGTGAAGCAAGTGACCTTCTAACCAAGGCAACAGGAAGGAGAAATGCCAAGCAAAGAGGGTAAAAGCCCTTTATAAAACCATCAGATCTCAGGAGAACTCACTCATTATCCTGAGAACAGCATGGGGAGAACCACCCCCATGATTTAGTTACCTCCACCTTGTCTCTCCCTTGACAGGTGTGGATTATGGGGGTTATAGGGATTATAATTCAAGATGAGATTTGGGTGGGAACACAAAGCCTAACCATATCGCCCTTCTTTCCTGTCTTTCTGTTAGAACACACAAAACCTAAAAATACATCTGCAAAAACATTTCAACTGGGACATGATCTTGTGCCATTATAAATGCACCTTCAAGTATGGCTACTTTTGCATATCTCTACTGCTACTGTCAAAGTCCAGTCTAATAAGATCTTGTTCTTTTATTCATGGAATAATGTTTTAATTGTTCAACTTGGACACATTGTTGGTTTCCACAGTCAATTCTTAACAATTATCATTATTTTCTCTAGAGTAAAGCCAAAGTCTTTTTTTAAAGACTTTGATAAATTTTAAGGATCTATTTTACTTAGTTTTAATTGTCTTCCCAATGTAATTACTAATTACACTCTAACTTGCTCATCCTTATCCAGTTACACTTGCCTCCTTGATTTCTTTATAACTTTCTAGGCATGACACTGTTTGATGATCTTTGCACTGATTCTTCCCTTTGTTTACATTCCTTGCTCTCCAGGTTTATACTGCTAATTATTTGAACTTTCTCAATTATTTGCTGATATGTTATCTTGTCAGTAATCCCTACCATGATTAGAATATTTAAAACTAATACCCTTTTAACCTCCATATTTTACATCTTTACTTGCTATGAATTATTTTCCTCAGGAATCAAGCACACTATTCAAATACATATAATGTGATTATATATTATGTTTATGCATTATGCTGTTTCTATCACAAATTTAATTTAGCTTTATTAGGGCAATACTTTTTGGCTATTTCATTCACTGATATATATCTCAAGTTCCTAAAATAGTTCTGAGCATAAAGTGGCTGCTCAGTATATATTTTCTTAAAAAATACATGAATATTCATTACTTGTGGTAATGATGGGAGAGTAAAATGGTCATGTAAAATTTTCTTGGGATAAAAATTATAACATGTAGATAAAAATGCATGAATATTTCAAAAAGGATTCAAAAGAAGGAGTAAGTACACAAAACAAGCCGAAGTCAGAGGAGAGTTTACTTTTGAAAAGTTTCAACAGTAAGGGGTAAGAATGTTAACGTTTTGTTTCCTGAAGATATCCTCCAATGTACTTTGCTACAGCAGAGACAAAATGTTTTCAATGTGAAAAATCACACTGATGCATTGCAGGCTTACCAGCTCAATATGATAGAAAAGAAGTTCAAGATTAAGTAATTTAAGATGGGATACTCTGGAAGTGAAAGAATCACAGAAAGTGTGTGATCTATAATTTCAGCACAAACTTAAATTTCTGAATGGTCACTAACATAAACTACACATATGCATTAGAGATATCCATTTAAAAAGAACATAGAGACCAAAAGTATCTATTCTCATAAAATAAAGCTCTTCCAGGTGAGTTCTGTGTACTTGTTTTCTTATTAATTGATGGCATTCCTCAACCGTATTCAACTTGGACAGCAAAAAGCTGAAGCTTAATGACTTGGAGATTCAGAGGAAAGAAACCAAATCTATGGAGCAGCTGTAAATTAGTAGAAATCCCCAGAAACAAGGAAATGCCAGGAAGATTTTGCCTCAAATTTTGAGTACAGTCATCTCTCTATATCTGTGGGGGATTGTTTCCAGGACTCCTGTGGATACCAAAACCCATGGATGCTTAAGTCCTTAATATAAAATGGTGCAATATTTACATATAACCTCTACACATTCTCTTGTAGACTTTAAATAATCTCTAGTTCTCTTATAATACCTAATAAAATATAAATGCTATGTAAATAGTTGATCTGCTGTATTGTTTAGGGAATAAGGACAAAAAAAGTCAGTATATATTCAATACAAATGCATTTTTTTTGATGTTTTTGATACATGGTTGTTTGAATCCATGATGCAAAACCCACAGATAAGGAGGGTCAACTGGTAATCTCTGTCTCTTTTATGTTGAGAGACAAATTAAGCAGAGACAGTGGATACTGGAGGACAATTCTCCAGGTGGCCTTGGACTAACCCAGTTCTCCCCCCATTTTTTACTTGTAGCTCTCAAGAATAACTGTAAAATATGTTGGGAATGTAATATCCTAAAATAGAGAGGGACTGGCTGGAAAGCCTGGACTCTGTTTCAACCTGCCCACCCTCCCTCTCTCCAAAACAGGATGTCCTTCCCCACTTCATCCTAAAAATTTGGACAATCCAGGGGTATAAAACCGAGCTCAGGCTGCTTACCAGGGTCCCTCAGCTGCAGTGTAAGTGGGAGACATGCAAATGAGATTCCATCCATTCCTGACAGCTTTTCTGAGCCTTGTGGGACTGGTTCACATGAATCCTAGACTTCTGTTTTTTCTTCCCACCTATTTGCATGTAATAAACACATTTCATATTACTTATAGATGCATGAGTGTTCTGTTTTACTGGACTCAGACAAGTCGGTGACCAGTCCAAGTGAACCTGTTTCGCAGAGATCTTTAAGAGTCCAGCCTAAAAACAGCATCTTGAGGGCACAAAAATTGAGCAGACGCTTTAGCCGATGCCTAATGCTTGGAAAATAAAGCTAGCATTTCAAGTCCAAACAAGGTTACTATTTAGAAGACAAAAATAAGATAATAATTATAAGAATCCATGTGTGCTAGTAGTATGTTATTTATAATTTTTCATGAATGCAAAGAAATGGGAAAGTGATAACTTACAATAAAGAAAAAGAGATGATGAATAAAAACATTCAAGGTAATGTCAAATTTTGGATTTAGAAAAAGAGATTTCACAGAAGCTTATTAAACAATATTCAAAGAATGAGTGCATATGTCCAAAATTTAAAGAAAAATGGCAGTAATGAGTGAACAGAGAGCGGAATTCTGATAGGACAAGGAAAGGAGAAAAGATGGAATTTTAGAGCTAAAATGTCAAATAAATTAAAAGAAAGACTCAATGAAGGAGTGAAGATGACAGAAAAAATAACCAGTGACCATGAAAATAGATCAATCTAAGTAACAGAAAGATAAACAGTACATAAATATACTGAGATACCTTGCCAAGAAGTTCATGTCTATAGTTGTAGTGCCAGAAAGAGAAACAGAAAGAGAAACAAAATATTTGAAGAAATAACAACTGAAAACTTGTCAAATTTTGTAGAAAATATTGACTTAGAGATCCAAGGAGCTTCAAACTAAACACAACAAAAATGCAAACCACATCATAGACAAAATGCTAAAAGCCAAAGAGAAAGAAAATCTTAAAATGAACCAGTGAGAAAGCAAACATCACATACAGGGAAAAATGATAAGATTAATTGCCCATTGTTCATCAAAAACAAAGAAGTCCAGAAACATTGAAGTGTCTTGTAAAAATAATTAATTTTATAACCATTTTATTGTAAGATATGTTCCACTGTAAAACAATTTGGATACAATATTCTCTTAAAGTAATGCCAAAACAACTGTGTATTCTTCTATGAAAACGTGATTTTCCCCCTTACTCAAGTCTTGTAAAAGTAATTTCTAGGAATATTAAAAATTAAATTTGATAGCAAAGAAATATGATTTTAAATGGTAACATATAAGAATATCTTCATGGTATATTTAGAGAAATATTTTTAAGTAAACAAAAATATAACTTAAAACTTATAAATTGACTACATTGAAATTAAGAATTTGTCTTCATTAAAAGACACTGGAAAATGAACAAAAATACAAATCATCAAGTGGGAGAAAATATATTCAATACATATAACCACCAAGGTCTAGTGCTGGAAAGACACAAAGGAAATAAAGTCAATGAGAATAAAAACAACAAATAGCCCAATTGAAAAAAAGATCAAAGAATGGTTTAGAATTCATAATTCGTAAATATTAACTCCAAGTGGTTAATAAACATAAAAAAGTCTTAACTCTTATTGATGATCAAGAAATTAAAAATTAAAACTACAATGCTACCCAACCATGTACTTATTGTATTGGCTAAAACTAAATAGATGTAGACCTCATTAAAGTCTTTCATACTCTGCTGGTTGGAGAGTGTGGTACAACCTCATTAGAAAAAAATTTAAATATTTATCTAAATCTTAAGGTAGACATATCCTATGACACAGCACAACTAAATATTTATCTTAGAAAACCCATTGGATAAATACACAAAAATATTCATTACAAATTTTTGACTAATTTTCTCAGGTAGGAAACAACTAAAATTTCATTGTGTTTATTAAATGATGGACAATAAATTGCCATAAATTTTATAATGTAATATTACACAGCAACAATGATAATGAAGGAGTGACAACAGTAAGATTTGAGATGAATACATTTTTAAAGAAAACACTAATTTTGAGCAAAATAGCAAGATTAAACTCAATTTAGTTTGATTCATTTATATAAATTAATAAAAGAGATATATTAGTTTTCTATTGCTGCTGTAGTAAATTGCCATAAATTTAGTGGTTAAAAAAACTCACAAAGTTATTATTTTTTTTTTGTTCTGTAGGGTTACTTTAACACTGGTTTCTTTGGACTAAAATTAAGATATTTGTCAGGCTGTGTTATAATCTGGCTAGGAATAAAATCTCTTCTCTTGACTTTTTCAATTATAAGATACTGCAGACATTCCTTGCCTGCTGTTTCTTTTTTTTTCCATATTCAAGGCAAAACTTTGCTTCCCTCTGTGTCACTTTTCTATATTCACATCCCTCTAATTTTAAAGAACCGTGTGATTAAACTTGGTACAGCTAGATAATCCAGGATAATCTTTCCATTTTCAGGTCATTAACTAAATGACATTTGAAAAGCCTTCTTGCCATATAAGATCACATATTTTCAGATTCCAGGGATTAGGACATGGGCATCTTTGGGAGACCATTATTTTGCCTACCACAAGAGGCAAGAGCAAATTATATTGTCCAGGGAAAAAAATATAGTTATGAAAACAATAAAGATACAGAGAAAATAGCTATCACAAAATTCTAGTAGGAAAGGTTTGCATAGAAAATGGTATCCCTTAGGTCACAGAGAGCAATGCACTATTTCTTGATTTAGGAGGTTATTTCATTGCCATTTTTTAAGCAAAATATTAAATTTCACTTTTATGTTTTATACACTTTCATACTAAAACTAATTAATCATAGATTATATGGGATTTCAAATTGAGTGAAGAATCACTTTTTTGGAATCACTGCTGCTGTTTTGGCTATACAGTGATGGGTTGAACTGTTTTTGGCAGTGTATAAAGAAGGAAAGACTGAATAGATTAGTGGGATTTTTCAGAACAGTATAAACAAAAGATTTTTTAAGCTTGTAAACTTTGGAATTTTATTATTTTTCTCCCTTTCTTTTTGGCAGATTTTACATATCTCTAGTGATTCATATAATGATTGATTATATAATCTTTTTGAGAATCGTGAAATGACATCACTTAACCCATGTTTGAGAGGACAATGTTGAGAGTCATTATGTCTGAATTTGTTAATTTTTTTTCACATACACTTTCTATTAGGTACAACTTCTGTTTGTTATCTTAATTATGATAGATGATGATTCTCATGATACTCCCTTTTTATAAATAACACCTTCATAAATATTTGACTATCATAGCTAAATAATGCAAAAATCTTGCATGCCAAATAAAATGTGATGCAGTTTAAAAATCCCAAAACAACACACATTATTGACAGTAAATTTTAAATATTATAAAGTTTAAATTTTAATACAAAATAAATTTTAAATACTTTAAGCTGTTTACATATTTTAAAAGTTATTATTTTGTTCTATCAATATAATCTTTCTGCATTTTGTTAATTTAATTGAGTTAATCTTACCTAACCAATTTCTTTCTGTAGTTCAAAACTTTACAAGCCCAAAGTGTTAAAATTTCTGGCATCTCTTTAATATACACCATTTGGTCATACAAAAAAGGAGAAATACTATTTTAGATTAAGAGACAGATGAAAAATAGTAGATAAAATAATATTGATTTCAGATGGAAGATAACTGATGATCCTAATATTAACCAAGTGTTTTTTTTGTTTGTTTGTTGTTGTTGTTGTTGTTTTGAAACAGAGTCTCCCTCTCTTGCCCCTGCTGGAGTGCGGGGTTGCTATCTCTGCCTCTTGGGTTCAAGTGATTCTCCTGCCTCAGCCTCTCGAGTATCGGGGACTACAGGTCCCCAACACCAAGTTCAGGTAATTTTTTTGGTATTTTTAGTAAAGGCAGGGTTTCACCATTTTTGCCAGGCTGGTTTTGAACTCCTGATCTCAAGTGATCCACCCGCCTTGGCCTCCCAAAGTGCTGGAATTACAAGCGTGAGCCTGTAGCCAAGTTTTATATACACTGGCAAATATGTTATTTAAACTTTCTCTTCCATGATGCCTAAACTGAAAAATCTTACAATTTATTATTATGTGCCAAGATTTGTTGTGAAATCAGGTGAGGAAAAAAAGTCTAATGGAGCAAATTGATTACCTAAAAGGATCAAATAACCCAATCATGACTTCTAGCTATTAGTGGATTGTAAATGAGAAAATTTTTAAAGAAAAGTGCATGGACATATCTTTCCTTCAAAAAATAAATGTGATAGGTATACTTATTTAACAGTTAAGTTTTCTCAAAATTTATACAATTGTTCATTTGATAATAATACATTATGCTACAAAATCAGCTTGGATTTATTAAATCCATGTTAATATGAATCTAAAATGAGCTTTGCATTTTCTTTATAAATTATAAATATTTTGGGTAATTATTATGGTTTTTATTGTTTAGTAGGCTCAAGAAGAACCACACTAGCAATGATGTTTAAGTATAAGCAACCCCCTTTCACTGTTATAGATCAAGTGTCTCAACTAGTATCTTGAAAATGTTTGCTCAAGGAAAGGAAAAGAAGGAGAAAGAAAAGAGAAGGAAAATGAGGACATGGAGGAAAAGGAGAAAGAGAAGCAGAAATACTTCTCTCTCTGGGTGTAAAGAGTGTGAAAAATAATAAGAAAAGATTATTATGAATGTAAGAAAAGGAAATGGTAGCACAAATTTGATATAGTGCATCTGTTTTTGCTCCTGAACTAATTTTAAGCAAGGTGTCACAAAATCAGATTCCTGCCTGCAGGTTATATGAATATATGATCAATCTGAGTGTAATAAAGCAATAAGAATTGGTGTCACAAATAGGAAATTGCTTGCTCTGTCTTAGGGCTAAACCCATTCAATTTGTGTTTGTTTTTAAACACTGCCTTAATAAAATGACTCCAGATTACATTTGCCCTCCAAGGCAAACAGTTTATTACCCCCTTTGAGAAGGAAAGAACTTTCTATATTTTTATCCACATTGTGTTTCAAAGATATTTTACCATCAATATTTGTGGACAGGACAATTATAGTGCTCCAAGGTTTTTCATGAAGTGGTAAAATATTAAGGATACATGTTTTAGTCTAAAGTGGTAGAACTAAAAGCTAATAGAAGAATTATATTGAAATAAAAGAACAGATGGTATAACTAGGGAAAAATTAAGAAAAATAGGGGACAGGGAGAAGGAAAACTTATTCACACTTGAGGCTAGTAGTCCATAATATCAAAAAAACCTGAAGCCATTATCTAGTTTGCGAAAGAGAAAGAATATCTCCTGGATCTGATTTGAAATGTTCTAAAAAGGGGAGTTGCTATGTTTCTTGCCAAAGCTCTAGTAACATCAGAGAGTTAAATTTAAGCAAGCTAAACCTTAACTCTGCACATTTTTTTGATTCACACTTGTAAAATCACAAAAATTTTTATTTCAGAAAATGTACTTTGCTACAGATAATATTTAAAGCTTTCTTTGCTAATTGTGGAATTGAAGTAGATATAAATAAATTTAGATATTTACATGTCACCCAACATTAACAAACTTCTCTGGGTAAGCTTCCAGACAAAATTAAAATTTATGTAATTCCCTTGTTAATATGATTTGTTGAAAAATGTATCAGAGAACACCTTTGGAAAAGGTTACAATAAAGCCTTATTGTATCAGCCAATTGGAAGTAGAAAGCAATAACTACTTATAAACATACTAATGCAACTTCCTAAGATGGATACCAAATAAAAACAAGTGATTTCTTCAATATGCCAGTGGAATTATTCCCGTACAAGTTAATATACATATTGTCTGGCACAGGCACAACAGCTTAACGGTAGTATACAAACACACACAAAATCCGACATCCCGTCCACTTGCCAAAGACGTTGTCACAAGGTGTATGATAGTGTAAGGGCTGCCACTTGTAATGAACACAAAGTACAATATGGCCTGGCCATCCCTCAGGCTCATGTTGATAATCATATCAATGAATCAATATTAAATTAGTTGCATGTTTATATCCATGTAAATATAGGTACTTGTTTAAATCTAATGATATGAGGATACTAAATATGCTAGCTGAATTCCATAAAAATATAATATACTACAAGTTTAACTGTGATGGAGTAACCAGTATTGAGGCAATTTCTGTTGTAAAAATTATAAAACTTAAAGTACTATATGAGGCAAAGGATTTCAGACATTGAACAATAGACTATGTAGTACAATAATTATTGAAAGAAGGGAAACATGAGCTTAATTAAACTTTAGTTCATAGCTCCAATATACCTGACTTTAAGTATCTTCTGTAGGCTTACATGGTATGTGTATTGTGGGAGTATAAAGAGCAAGCACCAAAGATAGTTACACATCATAAGAGTGTGCTTCATAGAAGATCCAATTGTTGCCTGATTGATATTTATGCCCAGTGGCAGAAAATCAGTTGTTTAAATGTATTGTAAAATTATCAGGGCTTTGCAGAATAATTTAATAATTGCCACAATGGACATAGTCATAAAATTTTTGGATCTGCCAAATTTTAATGTTTCCCCAAATAGAATGGTTATTAGCATGGATGGTGTACAGCGTGAAAGAAAAAAATCAATGGTTTTACACACTATTTAAGACAAACAGGGAGAACAGATTCATACACAATCATAATATTTACTAAATATATATCTATTGGCTTAATAAGAAGTTATAGAATTTTTTTTCAAGATAGTTTACCACATAATTTTTGTGTGTTTTACGGGGCTGATTAAAAATTATAAATATACCAGAAGGGAAAATAGATCTTAATGTATCAATCCAATTTGTAGCTTAAGACATTTATAGCTGTCACAGGACATAGTCATCAGAAAATTTCTTGCCTTGGACTTTACTATCTGGTCATCGTGATCAAATCGTGAGGCAATGATTTTCAAGAAGTCATACTCTTCATGACATTGATTAATTCCATCAGAAATCTATTTAGTGATATACAGATAAGATTTAGAAAATGTTCATGGCCATAAATTGAATTTTATATTAGCTATATATCATGTTCATATGCAGGTAATAGCATCGGTTTTTTTCCTACCATAGAATTAACAGTGGAAACAGTTTCTATGTGTCACTATAAGACACATAGTCTCTAAAGTCAGATTTACCTATACTACAATCCTGACTCTGCTGTATACTATCAGTTTAATAGTTGACAAATTTATTTTCCAAAGCTGTTTTTCTTTAATCCAAATAATGGGACAATAATAATATTAAAATCATATGTGTTGTTAAGATTAAATGAGATATTCTCTATAAAATTTATATCCTGGAGTTAGTTTTATAAGGACCTTTTTATTGATGTAACATGAATTTTCAACATGTTTGTGAACAAGCAAAAGAAGAAGAGGAGGAGTTGCAATGGAAAAGGAAGAGAGAAGAGAAAGGATAAGGAGAAAGAGGTGGAGGAGAAGAATAATTCTTCTAATGGAATTTGAGATATCAGAAATATAAAAGATAAACTAAAACTTGAGAAAGTACTTTATGCAAGACGTATGTGTGCTTGTATTTTACATGCCATTTTTTCCTAAAATAAAATATGTTTTAACTGTCTGAGTATCACATAACATATGCTAATTTTATAATCATTTAACTAACAAAATGAATAAATAAGAAAATTAAAATATCCCAAACCACAAACAAAATATACAGTAAAAGTTATCAAAAAAATTTCCAGAATGTGGAATTGTGGGTTCCATCACTCAGTGTGTACTATTTATTGGCTTTAAATCTTCTAGATTTCTTTCCATGTCATGAGCCTAAGTCTCATCAGAGCTAATGTAAGGCAAACTTTAAAGAACATGGCCTACTATTTACTCAGAAAAATAGTGATATGTGATAATCGACTGATAAAGAAACATGAAATATGAAGCTAGCGTATTCTCAGAAAACCTAGTTTTATAGATGTATACATATCTATGTGCACAGAGTGTATGTTTATATACAGTCATGCACCACATAACAGCATTTTGGTCAATGATGGACTGCATATAAAATAGTAGTCCCATAAGATTATAAGACTGTATTTTTATTGAATCTTTTCTATGCTTAGATACACAAATACTTACCAAGGAGTTATAACAGGCTACAGTATTTAATATAGGGACATGCTGTATAAATTTGTGGCTGAGAAGGAATAGACTGTAAAATGTAACCTAGGTGTGTAGTAGGTGATACCATCTAGGTTTGTGTAAGTGCACTGTATGATGTTCACACAATGATAAAATTGCCTAATGACACATTTCTTAGAATATATCCCCCTCATTAAGTAATGCATGACTGTATACATGAGTATGTGTGTATGTGTGTGTAGATCCTTGTGAGACAATTCAATGATATGAGCTATTTGCCTAAGATTCTTTCAAGTTACACTGAAATTCAATTTATTTTGAAATCAAGCTTATTAAATTTTCTTCCCCAAAATATGCACATATGTTTATTATCAAAGTGCAATGATTAAATTAAAAATATAATAAATCCATAAATCTATATGATAGATCTATCTATCTATCTATCATCAACCTATCATCTATGAGCTGTTCAAACATTTTTAGCAAATAATTATTTCTCAAAACAGATTTTATTCAGAAATCTACAACACAAAACAGATAATATTTGAAATGTGCCATTTGAAATGGGAGTCTTCTACTGAGGTTACGTGCATTAGTCCACAGTGACAAATTATTTGGTCTCTGAAACTAAAAATATATTATATATGATAGCTTTCAAGGATAATATTAAGTTGACTAGTCATAAAAATTATATTTAGGGCTAAGTAACAAATGGATTTATAAATATAAAAATAAAATATATATTGTTCTTTTAAATTGTTGCATTGATTTGATAAATGTGGCACAGCAGAATAATATACTTCTCTTTAAATTTTAAATCAGCTTATTGAATAATTTTACAGCTTTAACTAATAACTATCTTTAGATTAAATAAAAACCATTGGAGACAGATTTAATTATTAGAAACTAAAGTCCACTTACCTATAAACTGGCATCCCTCTTTACTGAACCTTTCCTTCTATATTTAAATTTTCTTTCATTTGTCCTCTTTATTCAGGCTGTTTTTTATAAAGAACACTTTAATAAAGTTGAAAGTCACCATAAATCACACAAATGATTTCACCTTGGGAATAATATTGCCTATCACAGAAAAGTAAGCAACTTACAACATAGGGTCATCTAATTTTTATACTCTTTATTGAAATGTCTTGACTTATATAAAGAATACAAATCTGTAGCAGTGAGAAGGCAGTACTGTCACTAATATCTGGTTACTCCTTTGATTTTTTTACCTCAATACAACTACATGAGATCAACAAATGTTGTTTTGGAAATATTTTTTAAATTATATACAGAATTTTAATACTCATAAAAGTTCCCTTGAAGTGTTATAACTTCATAAACAATTTTCATGAAATTTCTGACATGTTTTTATTGAGTTGTTATTTTCTTAACAAGAATTTATGGTTGAAACCCACATGTCTAGTCTGAGTAAAAAAGAAATTATATACAGTCGACAGCCTAACTCTATATAGAAAAATAAAAAAATAGAAAGTACTTAAATGATCACTAATCATATACTTATCTTTCTTTTAAATCTTGTATTTTAAAACCATATTAAATGTATCAGTAATTGAACAATGTATAATATACAATATTATTGAAAATAGAGTTGTTTTTGAACTGAATCAAATATTAGATGTTTACAGAAATATTAATTGTAATAAATATCTATTAAATGTTATGTACTTTAATGAAAAAAATCACATGTATATTTAGTATAATACCTACCTGCATGCAGCTCACCACTCTTTTCATTATTTTATTCATTCAATCAACCTCTCCCAAAACAGATGATTTTATTTGTGCAACGGACATAGCAGTTTAAAGACGATGTGATGCCTTAATTATATATTTGTCTAGAACAACAGGCAGCTTTGCAGAAGGTTAGAGTCATTAATAATATGTATAACAACTGGCCACTTGACATTTAATTTTGAATCTGACAACTTTGGGCCAGTTGTTTCAGAATTCTCACACAACCTAGTGTGCTGAAGAATGAATGCGAGGTATTTCAGTGATGGCAGTACATTAAAACTATACTTAAAAAACACTTTTCAGTGATAAGTGGAGTTTTAAAAATATATAATTCTATCATGAGGGAGTGATACATTTTTTGAGAAGGCTAGTTTTTAAACTGGAAGGACTGAGTCTATTTATTAAACAAGCCTAGAAATATCTGCAGGAAATCTGAATAGAAACTGTTAAGTGCTTTGTAAAGTATACCTTAAAGTTATATTGTTACTTACTTTAAGTTTTTTTTATTTCAAGTAACAAACATGGAATGAGGTTAACTTAAGTAAGAAAAAAAATTGCTTGAAATAATAAACTGTGGTTTTCCAAATCAAGGGAATATTATGCAAAGAAAAGAACCTAGAAAAGATAGTGGGGAGTTTGTAGGTATACTGAACATCATTTTCTGAATTCTTATGCAAGAAAGAATAAGCTAGAGTTTTTGTTCTGTCTCCTTAAAAGTGGGATTCCCAGGAAATAAGCCTAATTAATGGGCTTTAATTATACATCACGTATTAAATAGGAGAGTGGAAGAAAATTTGATTGACAAAACCCATTGATTGTGGGAGGGGTGGATGTTTAAAAAAATGGAAAACCAATGCTGAATTGCAAAAGTTTTGTTAATGTATAATTCATTTTGAAATCTCAACTTCATTTACATTTTTAGTAACACTACCAAAAAATTAATCAACTCATTATCTTCATTTCATTTTAAGGGAAAATGGAAAACAACTGCCATCCTTATATTATAATCTTCAATTTATAAAAATCTTCCAAGGCCGGGCGCGGTGGCTCACGCCTGTAATCCCAGCACTTTGGGAGGCCGAGGCGGGCGGATCACGAGGTCAGGAGATCGAGACCATCCCGGCTAAAAAACGGTGAAACCCCGTCTCTACTAAAAATACAAAAAATTAGCCGGGCGTAGTGGCGGGCGCCTGTAGTCCCAGCTACTTGGGAGGCTGAGGCAGGAGAATGGCATGAACCCGGGAGGCGGAGCTTGCAGTGAGCCGAGATCCCGCCACTGCACTCCAGCCTGGGCGACAGAGCGAGACTCCGTCTCAAAAAAAAAAAAAAAAAAAAAAAAATCTTCCAAATTTTCGATAAATTCTTGAAATTTCAAATATTTTCCCCATAACAACCTTTGTACCTGATCAAGAACAGTGATATATTATATATGGACAATAATATTATTACCCATTTATTTAGTATGTAGATCAGGGGTATATTTCTATGGGAAAGGAATAGACAATTAAATATTGAATTTTATGTGTCAGAAATGCTATTGTATTTAATAATTAAAAACATGCTTTGAGACACGCATTAAAATTATCGATTTATTAATAAGATAGAAACAATTCAAAGAGATTAGTTTCTTTAATTACTCACAATAAGAAGGAAGAATATGAATGAAATATAAAATTATTTCCTATACACTCCTCTATTTTATTCTGTTAGATTATTTAGAAAATAGAAACAGGAATATCATGCTGTCTTCACAGAAGTTATATTTTCGTCAGTGGTATAAATCATGTAAATTAAAATGTATTAAGTGCAGAAATATGTACAAAATTATAAATACGCTTTCATTTTATTTATTTATTTATTAGGAGACAGAGTCTTGCTCTGTTGCCCAGACTGGAGTGCAGTGGTGCGATCTCAACTCACTGCAACTTCCCAGTCCTGGATTCAAGCGATTCTGCTGCCTCAGCCTCCTGAGCATTTGGGATTACAAGCGTGAGCCACCATGCCTGACTAATTTTTGTATTTTTGGTAGAGAAGGGGTTTCACCATGTTAGCTGGGCTGGTCTCAAACTCTTAGCCTCAAGTGATCTGCCCACCTTGGGCTTCCGAAGCGCTGGAGTTACAGGCATGAGCCACTGCACCTGGCCTATAGATATACTTTCAGAGAAAAAAAGAGATTATTTTGGTATGAGATGAAGAATCAAAGGGTTCTTTGTAAAAAGTTTAGAATTTGATAACAGCAATTATTTTAAAAGACACATATCAGATGAAAAAATATTTTATGTGCAAGGAATATTGTGAGTTAAATCAGTGGGATGGGAAGAATTTAACGTGTGGTTTTTAACATAAGGATAATAAATAATTTGTAACTATTTAATATAATCCAGCATACTCTGTATGAAATGGAGAAAACTTTTTCTATCAAAATACTCTAAGAGGAAAAATATTACAGCAACTATTCTCACTAATATGTTTAGTAACATAATATTAAAAATTTTGGAAGAAAGTTTCCATCCTACATTTCCATTAAAACTAAAATAATAAATTTCAATGAAAATAATTCCTACTTGAGTTTTGCAAAGGAGAAACTTGAGTCTTATTAGTATAATTTTAATCATTTTAAATATACAATTTTAATGTTTTTTTAAATAAACTCTCTTCACTAGATACTGAATATTTTTAGCTCACTTTTTTATCATTTATAAAATTCCTTTGGGACTGAGGAAAAACTGGTTTTCAAACTTTAGAGTATTTTATAAATAACAAAGGTAGCATTTTATCTGCTACCGTTTTGCACTTCACTGCTGCACAGAAGTGAGGAGGCCAAGTCATTTGGGGATCTGGGCATTAACTTTCTTACAAGAAGGTTACTATCCAATATTGGACAAGTATAGAATTTTCCAAAGAGGCATATTTCATTCAGGTTGTGCAATTAATGTTAAGGTCCCAGAAGGTCATTATCCTTTTCAAGTCAGTTGGAATGACATCTGCCTCAAGCAACCTAGAGGCACAGCTGATTGTTCTAGTTCTATAGTAAGAATATAAACTCTTCCTGTAACTTATGATTTATGTCAGTATAACTCTAGTGGTAGAAGAGATGCATTTGGGAACAAGAAGTAAGAAATATAAAGCAAGTTGATTTACTTAAAATATGATTGGATTATAAATGGAAATATATACAAATGGCTATTAAAATAAGTGTGGTTTTAAATTTCAAAGCCTCATTGAATTGTTGGATGACAGTAAAGGGAAAACACTTAAGTCCATATTCATGGCTGGGTTTCTTGATTGTATTTCTTACAATACTGCTTATCTTTGCTTAAAGAAATGAACAAATCAAAACCATATATATATATCCCCATTAGAGAACTCATAATTCAACCTGATACTTGTTATTCTTATTTTTGTTGTTGCTGTTATAAGCTCTGGTCCAAACCTGGACAAAACTTTTACTCCCAATTCCCATTAACATGACCATATGCTATATTTCTTTCCTGCTCAACAGGAAATAATATGCAATGTGGTGCTTTTGCTTAGAGGAGCTGTGGAAGATGCAACTAAAACAAAGAAGAGAGTATAGATTCTTACAATAATCCAAATTTTGGCTCACATTATTTTCCAAGATTTCCTTACATTAATGATTTAAAAGAAGATCTCATTAATCCTCTTGCAATTGGAAAATATATAATCTATTCCACCTCCAAAGATCACAAGTTGAAAGGGAGCCAGATCACAGAATCAAAGCTCAGCCGATAGTTACTCCATACTACAAAATATACAATTGTATCAAAATTGGAGCAGATTCCTGAGGCAGATATTATGATTACAATTTAGTCTGTTGCTGTACCTAAAATAAGATATAAGACCAAGTTCAGGGCTTTGCTACCTACTGATAATTGCAGAGTGGCTGGTGGGTGGAGAATATGAAAAAGTTGTGTGGTTTTTAACTATCCTATCACCTTCCTTAAAAATAATCACTTCAGGCCGGGCATGGTGGCTCACGCCTGTAATCCCGGCATTTTGGGATGCCGAGGTGGGCAGATCACCTGAGGTCGGGAGTTCCAGACCAGCCTGACCAACACAGAGAAATCCCCTCTCTAGTAAAATACAAAAAAAATTAGCCAGGCCTGGGGGCACATGCCTGTAATCCCAGCTACTCTGCAGGCTGAGACAGGAGAATTGCTTGAACCTGGGAGAATTGCTTGAACCGCAGAGGTTGCGGTGAGCTGATATCACACCATTGCACTCCAGCCCGGGCAACAAGGGTGAAACTCCATCTCAAATAAATAAATAAATAAATAAGAAGAATCACTTCATTCAACTCAGATGCATTAATAGATTTGCTTTATATTTGTTAATGACTTGCTTAGAAACATTATTTTCTTACATAAGCCCACTAAAAGAGAATAAAGCTTTGATATTGATGATAAATTTAGAGCATGTACAATTGTTATTTACTCTATTGGTGAGTCACAAGTTCCAGGATATTACAATTGACAGGTTAATTTCACTATTTTAATGATTTTCATAGATCACAAACACATGCACACTTTTCTTTATTCTTGAATTTCAAGACAAGATACTTTTGCTGACCACATTTGTTATCGTTTCACTGTGTCCCCACCCAAATCTCATCTTGAAATCCCATGTGTTGTGGGAGGGACCTGGTGGGAGGTAATTGAATCATGGGGACAAGTCTTGCCTGTGCTGTACTTATGATAGTGAATAAGTCTCATGAGATCTGATGCTTTTAAAAAGAGGAGTTCCCCTGCACAAACTTTCTCTCTTTTTGCCTGCTGCCATCCAGGTATGACGTGACTTGCTCCTCCCTGCCTTCTGCCATGATTGTGAGGCTTCAACACCAATGTGGAACTGTAAGTCCAGTTAAATCTCTTTCTTTTGTAAATTGCCCAGTCCTGGGCATGCGTCTATCAGCAGCGTGACTAATACACTAAATTGGTCCCAAGAGTGTCGTGCTGCAGAAAAGATACCCAAAAATGTGGAAGCGATTTTGAAACTGGGCAACAGGCAGGGGTTGGAACAGTTTGGAGAGCTCAGAAGAAGATTGGAAAATGTGGAAAGTTTGGAACCTCCTAGAGACTTGCTGAATGGCTTTGCCCAAAATGCTGATAGTGACATGGACAATAAAGTCCAGGCCAAGGTGGTCTCAGATGAAAATGGGGAACTTGTTGGGAACTAGAGCAAAGGTGACTGTTGTTATGTTTTAGCAAAGAAACTGGTGGCATTTTGCCCCTGCCCTAGAGATTTGCGGAACTTTGAACTTGAGAGAGATGATTTATGGGATCTGGTGGAAGAAATTGCTAAGCAGCAAAGCATTCAAGATGTGACTTGGGTGCTGCTAAAGGCATTCAGTTTTATAAAGGAAGCAGAGCATAAAAGTTCAGAAAACTTGCAGCCTGAAAATGTGATAGAAAATAAAATCCCATTTTCTGAGGAGAAATTCAAGCCAGCTGCAGAAATTTGCATAAGTGACAAGGAGCTGAATATTAATCCCCAAAACAATGGGGAAAATGTCTTCAGGGTATCTCAGAGGTTTTCACAGCGGCCCCTCCCATCACAGACCAAAGATCTAGGAGGAAAAAGTGGTTTTGTAGGATGAGCCCAGAGTCCCGGTGCTACGTGCAGCCTAGGGACTTGGTGCCCTGGGTCCCAGTTGCTCCAACCATGGCTGAAAGGGGCCAATGTAGAGCTCAGGCCATGGCTTCAGAGGGTGCAAGCCCAAAGCCTTGGCAGCTTCCACGTGGTGTTGAGCCTGTGAGTGCACAGAAGTCAAGAATTGACGTTTGGTAACTTCTGCCTAGATTTCAGAGGATGTATGAAAATGTCTGGATGCAGTGGCATCCAAGCAGAAGTTTGCTGCAGTGGCAAGGCTCTCATGGAGAACCTCTGCTAGGTCAGTGCAGAAAGGAAATGTGGGGTCAGAGTCCCCCACACAGAGTCCCTACTGGGGCACCATCTAGTGGAAACTGTGAGAAGAGGGCCACTGTCCTCTAGACCCCAGAATGGTAGATCCATGGACAGCTTGCACCAAGCACCAAGAAAAGCCACAGACACTCAATGCTAGCCTGTAAAAGCAGCTAGGAGCTAGGAGGGAGGCTGTACCCTGCAAAGCCACAGGGGCGGAGCTGTCCAAGACCATGGGAACCCACCTCTTGCATCAGCGTGACCTGGATGTGAGACATGGAGTCAAAGGAGATCATTTTGCAAATTCAAGATTTGACTGCCCTTCTGGATTTTGGACTGGCATGGGGCCTGTAGCCCATTTGTTTTGGCTAATTTCTCCCATTTGGAATAGCTGTATTTACCCAATACCTCTACCCCAACTTTATCTAGGAAGTGACTAACCTGCTTTTGATTTTACAGGCTCATAGGTGAAAAGGACTTGCCTTGTCTCAGATTACACATTGGACTGTGGACTTTTGAGTTAACGCTGAAATGAGTTAAGATTTTGAGGGACTGTTGTGAAGGCATGATTGATTTTGAAATGTAAGTACATGTGATTTGGGAGGGGTTGGGGCATAATGATATGGTTTGGCTGTGACCCCACCCAAATCTCATCCTGAATTGCCATATGTTGTGGGAGGAACCCGGTGGGAGGTAAATGAATCATGGGGGCAGGACTTTCCTGTGTTGTTCTCGTCATAGTGAATAATTTTCACAAGATCCGATTTTCACAAGACTCCTCAAAAGAGGAGTTCCCCTGCACAAGCTCTCTTCCTCTTTGTCCGTTGCCATAAAGTACATTCTATTTAGAAGACAAAGAATACATAGAAAAACTATTTAGGAATATCATGCTAAAAAGAGTGTTGTGAATTTGTCTTCTGAATTTCTGTGAACATCAATAGCAACTCATCAACCAATACTTAAGGGCCATATATGAATCAAAATCTACTGGATATTTATATTACCATTACATTGATTGAAGCAATGAGTATTATTTGGTTATAACCGATGGTATAATTGTGCAAGGTCATGCAGACTGAGAGAGTACCTTATCCTGAAAGCATTATTTTTAATTCTCAGGAAATCATATAGTTAATTAGAGAAGGTGGAATATTTAACAAAATTAGGAGAAGGAAAGTTTTATTGGAAAGTAAAGTGAATATGCAAGATAAGCAGGAATCTTGTAGACTATCTTGTGGTTAGATACTATCATTATTTCTATTTTAGAGATAAAGAAATAAAAACATAAAGTAATATATCTAAAGATGTGAAGCTAATCAGTAACAAATACTAGCAAGAATGATTAAAAAGACCCTATCAATATCAGAAATGTAAAATATCAATTTATGTCTAAAAGCATATCTCTGTTTATGTCTAATACATATCCAAGGTACAAGAAATAGAGAAAACTAAATAAAGCAAAATATTGTAATAAAATAATCTTTATATATAAGAAAGATACACTTAAAATTCAGTTGGAAATATATAAAAATATTCATGCTATGGAAAACTTTCCATTGTGGATTTATCTTCAATTTTTAGATATGTATCAAGAAATAATTTGTAACTTTAGAGTCTTACTTAACTGAAGCATGATATTTTAAATTTAAAGGTAAAATAGAAATTATGTGAATCCAAAGTTAAGTATTATGTTAACTGCACAATCTTACCAGAATTAAGAAACTCAGGAAATGAATGTTAAATTGAACTGTGGCATATAGTCAACCTTTTAATTCGTATTTCTCTCACAATTCTCATTAAGAATTAGAGCTGGTCTGGCTTTTTACAAATCATCAGCATTGCCAAGATGGTTTGGAATAGTGCAGCGTTTCAGGGCAGAGAGGTTCATAAGGTTTTATTAGGTCCCATGGGAGAACATCAACTTGTTCTATTCTCCCCCAAGAAATGAACAAATTCACTCAGTGAAAAATCCTCTGTGAGTGGATCTTTGCACACTGATAAAGAGATGGTACAATAGTTGGCATTATAGAACTTTGATGATGTGGAAGAGACACATGGAAGTCATACTTTCTGGGTAAATCAACAAGGTTAGTTACACACAAATAAACATATTTTTCCCTACGAGACTAATTTTCTAGAATTTAAATTCCACTTGTAATTATAGAGAAAAAAGTGGTAAAATATATACTGTCTGCATTTATTCTTGACCAAGAAAATCCTGAAAAGTATAATACTAAAAAATCAAAAAGGAAATGCTCATGCGATGTAAATATTAGGAAGTTTCCAACTCGGGAATTGAGGTGTTACAGAGAGACTAGGAAGCAGCTACCTACATCAAAGCTGGGTGAATTAAACAGAAGGGAGGTACCATTAATTAGGTTAATGAGGAACCTTCAGTGGACTGGTTCTTATACTTCTGAGGGGGAATGATATAGATGGAGTTGGAAAGACCATGGGAAGCTCAAAGATTTCAGCTGTATATTTCTTCTTTTAGTCAAGCAAGCTGAAAGAAAATATTTACCTACCTGTGGCGAATGTCTTGAAAGCTACTGTTTCGCATATGTTGTCTGGTGTTTTAGTTTTGGCAGAGTGGTCACTGTGGTTTCGGCTGGCATTGGAAGTTTAGAGCAATTTGTCTTAAAATATTTTCATTTGCAAAATTCAACAACACTGAAAGATGCTACAAAATGTAGCTTGGCCCCAGATGCTTATCAAAAAGGCTTATTGAGTAGCATCGTAGCTTATATAAATTATTAATTTCAATTATTAAGTATTAAGATACAGTAAGAGTTTAATACAAGGTGATTACATCTTTCCAAATCAAACTAAGAACCTCTTAATCATCTTTGAGTAACATTTTTGGATAAATTTTTTGTAACATTTTCCAAGAATGGCTAATAGCATGTTTGCTTCATTTTTCATGCAATAAAATGAGTGTCAGTGTTAGTGAAACAGAAGTTCTGGCAGAAAGTAAGACTGGAGGGAGAAAACATTAAGAAAAACAAGAATATGCAACTTTAAATAAGATAAAGATAAATATTTTATTGTTATAACACTGTATACCCTATTGACCTTATGAACTTTAAAAATAAATGTAAAATATAAATCAAGAATATTCTGTATGGTGAGATTATAGAATCAAATAGCAATTCAAAGACCCCAAATTCCAAAATGTATTCTAAGTAGTATAATTTTTTTGTTAGTAAGTGTAAAATCTATTTCAATCATATCTAATCAACTTGCTCATTAGAAATAGCGTATAGTGTTTTCAGCTATTAAATGAGTCTGTCACCTATGATTCATGTGAAGAATTCTCATACATTTAGTCAGAGTATTATCTTATTTTATGTGAAAATAAATAAACTTTTATTTGCCCTGGAATTATGTTTAATCTTGGCTCCAGGAGTTATGTAATAAACCATTGGTATAATTGAAGACTTCAACACTGGTCTTCCTGTTCCATATACCTTAGAGTTACTAGTTCCTTCTCACTTTTGAATAATTTTTTTGTTGTTGTTGTTTACGGAGACTCGCGCTGTTGCCAGGCTAGAGTGCAGTGGCATGATCTTTGGTTACTGCAACCTCCAACTCCCTGGTTCAAGTGATTCTCCTACCTCAGCCCCCCGAGTAGCTGGGATTACAGGCACTACCACTAAACCTGGCTAATTTTTTTTTTTGTATTTATAGTAGAGATGGGGTTTCACCGTGTTGGCCAGAATGGTCTTGATCTCCTGACCTTGTGATCCACCCGCCTCGGCCTCCCAAAGTGCTGGGATTACAGGCATTAGCCACCACGCCTGAACTCTTCTGACGGATTTTTAAAATTTCTATATGACTTTATATCATCTAAATTTTAACTCAAATGCACTCATGTGTGCATTTGTTAGCATTTTATTTTTTATTTTTCTGGATACATTGTAGGTATTTATATCTGTGGCATATATGAGACATTTTGATATAAGTATACAATGCGTCAAAATCACATCAGGACAAATGGAATATCCATCACCTCAAGCATTCATCCTTTTTTGTGTTACAAGCAGTCCGATTATACTCTTTTAGTTATTTAAAAATGTACAATGAATTATTGTTGACTGTATTCACCGTGTTGTGCTATCAAATTATCATAACCAGAATAACTTCTCAACCTATCTCCGTATTTTACACTGATGTTGAAAAGTCAGTTGCATAGAAAGCAATATTTCAATTCAAATAATAAATTATAGCCTTGTTAAATGTTATTAAAAATGTTACAGTGAAGAATATAAAGAGATTACATAAAATTTTCCCCCAGTTTAAAATAATACTCTAATGCCTAAATATGTCAGAGATATTTCTAATGATGTCTTTGTGTATCTTTACTCACAAATATTATTTGAAAAATAAGACAATCTTCTATTTCTTTATACATATTTACATACGTAAGCCATTACCTATTAGCTGGCAATTTTTAAAAAACGTAATTGGAATATATACCTTTTAACTTTATCATTCATTGATACCATTGACTACAAGAATAAAAATATATAAGTAAAAATATATATTTTATATAACCAATGCCAAATTATATGTGCATTTATCAAACTTTTGGAGACTTTTACATGAGAGGGCTATTACAATCACTGAAAAAATTTTTAGAGTATAAAAGCTCTCTAATTTCAAGGAATGTAAATCTATTAAGAGGCAGGCAAGTGAAAAGTTGAATCAAATTCATCAGAGGAAGGTCTATATCAAAATAATGGATAATTATTGAATTTTGAAAGTTTTTTGTTAGAAATATTACTTGAAACTTTGTCTCTGTCTATGGCTTAATTTTTTGTTATCTTATGTTTTTTGAAAAGCATTTTTTATTTTTTTAAATTTAAACAATATAATTAAGTACAAATTATAAAACCCTTCCATTGGCTAAAGTTATTAATTTATTTTTAATTATTATGGGTACATAATAGTGTCTATATTAATGAGGTATATGTGATGTTTTGGTAGTGACATACAATATGTAATTATCAAAACAGGGTAACTGGGATATTAATCACCTCAATTATTTATTATTTCTTTCTGTTAGGAACATTCTGAGTCTACTTTTTCAGTTATTTTAAAATATATAGCAAATGACTGTTATCTACAGTCACTCTATTGTGTTACTGAATACTAGATCTTATTCATTCTAATTGTATTTTTTTGTACCCATTAACCATTGCCTCCTATCCCCTTGTTCTGCTACCTTTCTCAGCCACTGAAAACCATCTTTCTACTTTCTCCATGAGTTTATTTTTTAGCTTCCACATATGAGTGAGGAGGTATAATATTTGTCTTTCTGAGCCTAATTTATTTCACTCAACATAATGTTCTTCAGTTGCATCCATGTTGTTGCAAATGACAGGATCTCATTCATTTCTATGGCTGAATAGTGCTCCATTATGTATGTATACTACATTCTCTTTATCTGTTCATCTATTGCTGGAAAATTAAGTCAATTTCATATCTTGGCTATTGTGAATATTGCTGCAATAAACAACTGCTGCAATATTATTGCTGCAATAAACATGGAAGTATAGATATCTCTTTGGTGCACTGATTTACTTTCTTTAGGATGTACACCCATTAATGGTATTGCAGGATCATTTGGTAGTTCTATTTTTTGTTTTTTTTTTTTAAAAAAAACCTCCAAACTGTTCAGAGTGGTTACACTACTTTACATTCCCACCAATGGTGTATGAGATTATTCTATTCTCCAAATCCTTACCAGCATTCTTTATTGCCTATCTTTTGCATAAAAGTCATTTTAACTGGGATGAGATGATACAACTTAAAACGACAATGAGAAAACCCTACATATTATTGGAACTAAAATCAACAAAATTGATCATGGCCCGTGTTGTTCTGGATGGAGAATAAATAAAAGTCTCACACATTTGGGTAAAAAATCAAATGTTATAACCACCTTGGAAAATAGTTTAGCAGCATCTTCATACATTGAACATAATACCTGCCAGCTATTTCATCCTTAGATATTAACTCAAAATAAAGGATAATATATGTCCATACAAAAACTTTTACACTAATCTTCATAACTAATTTTTTCCTAGTATCCCAATACTGGAAACAACCCAAATGTCTATGAATAGGGGAATGGTGAAAAAAAAATGGACATATCCATACAATGGAAGAGTGTTTGTCAATAAGAGAAAAACTCTTCATACATGCAACAACATTGATAAATCTCAAGAATTATACTGAGTAAAAGGAGCCAAACTATTACCTGCCTCCAAAAAGAAGACAATTTTAAATGGTTTCATGTATGTAACATTCTAGAGAACACAAACTATTCCATACTGACAACAATAAGGGCAATGCTTCCTTGAGGATGAAAAATAGGCAGCATTAGGAGAGTGAGACTAAAAGGAACATGAGAAAACATTTGAAGGTAATGGATTTGTTCACTGTGTAAACACAATGCATTTTTACTTATAAGACTTACCAACTTCTACAATTTAAATATGCACAGTTAATTGTAAAAAAAATGTATAAGTAAATAGAAAAGAAGCCACAAAGTCACTTGACACTGAATAAATTTTTCAAAAAAGTTATTGTAGAGAAGGGAAAGCCTTATATATGCTGTGAAAGTTAAAGGACATGCCACTAGACTAGATGCATAATGTGGGAAGGAGGGGAGAGCATTCCAGGCAAAGGAAGCAAAGGAAGAATAAAGCATTAATGCCAAGGAGTGTGGAGAAGGAAGTGATAATACTGGGATGAAAAACTGCAACAGGGTGAAGAACAGCTGTGAACATAACATTGGTAGATAGATTTATCCTCTATGAGATGGCAATATGATAAAAGATTTCCAAAAAGGTTCACATAATGAAATGAGTGTCAGTGTTAGTGAAACAAAAGTTCTGGCAGAAAATAAGACTGGAGGGAGAAAACATTGAGAAAAAACAAGAATATGCAACTTTAAATAAGATAAATATAAATATTTTATTGTTATAACACTGTATACCCTATTGACCTTATGAACTTTAAAAATAAATGTAAAATGTAAATCAAGAATATTCTGTATGGTGAGATTATAGAATCAAATAGCAATTCAAAGACCCCAAATTCCAAAATGTATTCTAAGTAGTATAATTTTTTTGTTAGTAAGTGTAAAATCTATTTCAATCATATCTAATCAACTTGCTCATTAGAAATAGCGTATAGTGTTTTCAGCTATTAAATGAGTCTGTCACATTTCATTATTATTATTATTAAAGTATTATTAGTATCTATTTCTTTCCTTCAAAGTCATAACAGCCTATTCACTAGATAAAATCAGCTAATTTTTCCAACATTACACTTAAAACAAGTCTTTTTTCTGAATTGTTTGATGGTGACTTTTGAAAAGAACTTTCATGATGTAGACAAAAATAAACTACAAAATACACATTTATAAAACATAATTAAAACACAATGATACATGAATCTGGAATTAGAGAAAATAATCAGCATATAAATAGAATCTAAGAAGAAGTATTACCCTTGAAAATAATGGTTGTATCATTTGTAATATATGTAATATTCATAATATTCATCTTGTGGGTTTTTTGTTTTGCTTTTAAACAAACTGAGACAGTTTTGGGTTTTGTTGTTTCATTTTACTTATAATTGACACATATTTGTACATATTTATGAGTTAAAGTATCATGTTTCAGTATTGTATACATTGTATAATGATTAAATCAGTGTGATTAGCTCATCCTTAACATTAAACATTTACCATTTCCTTGTGATGATAGAATTCAAGATAATCTCTTCTAGTTATCCTGAAACATACAAAGCATTATTGTCAGCTATTGTCACTTACTGTATAATAAAACACTAGAAGTTATTCTTCCTGTCTAATTGTAACTTTGTACCTAATATTCAGGTAGACAAGTAACTTTGCCATATATGTAACCTGGTCTGAATGAACAGTAAACAGTGATTAGCCTTGGTTTATTATGTTGACTAATAGAGAGATCAATGGTCATAATAATCTTTATTCAAATGTGTTTCCATTTGTAAGAAAATTTTATTTATAATTTGAAAGTTCTCAGATCTACTTTTCTATATTGTTTTGATACAGTTGTCCACAGTTGTATGCTTTTGATGCAAATATTTAGGTTATTTAAAAGTATTAGTAAGGAAAGTTAAAATCACAACATATTAATACATTATCTAGCATGTTTATTATAACCAAATAAAAAAATTTGTTCCTCTTTTAATAGAATTTTAAACACATGTGAGTTGCTCTTGTATTCTTTTATGAAAAATGCTCATTTCAAGGGAACACATTTTAAGTCATATTTTTATCAAATATATTATTTAATTAAAATTATAATGTCATTTCAAGCTTTATTCAAACATAATTCTCAACCTGTAGCCTACTAGTCATGATAGTCTGAAATAATAATGACATAAAATACTTTGATAGGACAAATAAATTATTCTCACTTTTCTTGGGAAAAGAGAAAGACAAAACAAAAATCAGTAAAAGATATAAAAGCAGTTTTCTGGAGTTTATTGGTTATAGTTACTTGTCACAAGTATCTGTGTTCATCTGAGTCTGTAATTACATAGCTGACTCTCTGAAAAGGGAACACAGTGATGAAAAGACAAAACTTGAAATTACACAATTAATTAAAAACTATTTCTCCTAAGGCTATATATTACACCTAGGAGAGCCTGAGCTTAAAGGTTATACTACTAATTCTCTTTTCAAATGGTACTTTTATTAGCCATTAAATATCACTCAGTGTATGATTATTTTTACCCTTGTCTTAGAAATTGTGAACCTGAGACACTAAAATGGGTTAATGGCTCTAAATCAGGCAATATATAAAAATCCCAACTAATTGGTTTTTATAAATTGTTTGGATCAAGATACATGCAAAAAAAAATGAGTACAAAGCTTCAGGGAAAAACACATTAAATAAATGTGTGCTGTACAATATGAAAATTATAAAATATCAGCTGTTGTACTCATCTTCTGTTCAACATCTTTATCTTGAGAATGAGTGGGCTACTTCTGTAGTGAAGAAAACTCCCAGTAATTAATCTGTTGCTAGGTATATATATCTATATCTGTCTATCTATCTATCTATCTATCTATCTATCTATCTATCTATCTGCCATTAGACTCCTGAAATTTTAGATATATTATTGTATTTTACAGAACATATTTATCATAGGCAATATTAAAAAACGGGGATATCCATTGGCTTCTTAAAATAAAGAATAAAGTCCAAACAGTACTACAATGAAAGTTGCCCACTAATAGGGGTGTGTTTTTCTCACTTTTATAAATTCAGAGTTTGAATAGAATATGGGCCAATACATTGATACTGCATATAAAATAATTAAAAGTGGAACATATCATCAGGCAGTATACAAATCTTTCGGGATACATAGCATTAGGTATGGGCATAAGCTACATAAGAACTTAGGAAGTACAGTGGGTCAGGGACAGATGGTACAAAAACAGTTATCACAAAATTTGCATTTCATATTTGGGTCCAAGCACACAAACACACACACACACACAGATACACACACACACACTCTTATACAACATGGATTTGATACTTTTTGATACTTTTTATAGACTTTTTTTAGGAAAGTGCCCTTAACCCGTGCACACAAAAGACCTCGCTCAAGTTAACTCAACTTGTCATTAAAAGCAGAAGAAATCAAAGCATTGTGGTAGTTCATCTTGGAAATATCTGTAAGGTCTTTATCTGATCAGTTGGCTTTTTTTACGTTTTTGAAACAAAATAGAATTTGGAAAATGCAGGCTGTATATTATATTTGTAATGAATTTTATCCTTCAAAAATGAAAGTAAGTAAGTGACTTCCCAGTAGTAAATATTTAAATACTTCAACAATTCTAATACTTAAATAGTGGATTGTAAATTTATTATTAAACTAAATAAATTCTTGAAAGGTATTTTTTTTTAGTCTGTAAAACATTGTGAGTTACCTAGCTTTATAATTTAAGGAGTTTTTCTTCACCTATAATAAAAATTTTAGTCTCTGAAAATATTATCATAATTGTATAGTTATATGTGTTTGATTTTCTAGAGGAGCATATACTCACCAAGTTTTTTATATCATCAAGAAGAGTAAAGGAGTAATAAAATTATTATCACATTGTACAGATGCTACAAATAGTATGCTATGCTGCTGTTTCAACAAAACTATAATTTTTTAGGCAAGTAACTCATTTCTGATATATCAGATTAATGATTATGAAAACTAAATATGTAAAGAAGGTATAAAGCAATAAATTTTTTTCTACTTCTTAAACTCTGGAGACATCTTTATATCAGGAAATGTCTTTACTCTTAGTGATGGTTAGAATAGCCACCCTTTTTAGTAATGCAAAAGGGATGAAAATGCCTTTTACCTCATGACTTATTTCATTTAGGTCACCATTTTTTTATACTTATTTGATATGTTATTTAATTTTTTTATTTTAATTTTATAATATTGCATGTTCTCACCTATATGTAAAAGCTAAGAAGGTTAAAATCTTGAATAAAGAATAGAATAATGGTTTCCAGAGGCTGTAAGGGTTGTGGGGAGGAGAAGATGAGGAGGTATTGGTTAACGGGTAAAAAATAAAGTTAGATAGAATCAATACAAGCCAGCATTCTGGCACAATAGGGTGATTATAGTTAATAATAGTTTATTGTATGTTTCAAAATAACTAAAAGAATGAAATGGGAATGTTTCTAATGAAAAGAAATTATAAATGCTTGAGGTGATATATATCTCAGTTACTCCAATTTGATCATGATAATGCATTACATTGTAAGCTTGCTTTTTAAACATACATACATTTTGAAGAATCAAATAATCTACAAATTTATCTATTACAAAAAAACACAGTAGCCAACCCTAGCTCTGTTTTAATGACAAAAACAGAAAAACCAAGGAGCAATGAGAGTATAAGCATGACATTTAGAAATATAGGGATTATATACAAAAGTACACAGCTATCCCAAGGTAGGGTGAGTGGCCAGCTGCTCCCTTCAGCTAAGGCACTCTCAGAAGGCTGGCAGCTCAGGGCTGTTGCAGGTGGCCCTCCCAGCACTGCGAGTAACACATAATTCTGTACTGAAGGAGGATCTTGACAGTGTCACATGGCTTCTACCCATTCCCTACTTTGGTGTTGGATCACCTTTTTTTCAGAATTGCATATTATTTCCTTTCTTGGTATCTCCTTTGTTTTGTTGTATGCTGTACTGTAGTTTCCTAAAGAAAAGTCCATAGGAGTTAAGATTTCTGAGACTTTGTACATCTGAAATCTACACTTAACTTTCAAATAATTGTTAGCGTGGGATATAATTTAAGTTTGGAAATCAAATTTGCTTCAGAAGTTAAAGTCATTGCATCATTCTCTCTCAGCTTCCAGAGATGCTGTTGAGAAATCCAGTGTCAATTTAACTTTTTATCATTACTATATTAGCCTTTCCTCTTTGAATTCACCTAGGATATTCTCTTTTTTTCCCAAATAATCTTAAATTTCAGGCTTATTTGCCCCAGAATTGATCTATTTTCATCTATTTTTTGTCTCTCAATGGGGTCTTGCAACTTAGAAATTTTAATTATTTGTTCAATGATTGTCTACTCTCTATTATAACTGTGTTCTTTTTAAGTATTACATTATTAAATTAAATTTACAATATATTAACTATATATCCAATAATATATTAAAATATATATTAACATTATCAATGCATATATATTATGCATTACATTATTATATTTTATATAATATATATCAGAGGTATTTTATTAATCTATATTAAAATTATGATGTATAACATATATCTATATATACATATATATGTTTATGTATACAATGCATATGTATACATAAACATATACATATAACATGTATATACGTGTGTGCGTGTGTGTATGTATATATATGTAGTTAGAGTAAATTAAAATGGAGACCAGACTGGAGAATTCCTGAGTAGACAAACCCATTAAGGCCTCATTAGTGATATTATATTAATCCTGCTATTAAGGCCTCATTAGTGATATTATATTAATCTTGCTTGGTTTGTAAACATAATTTAACTTGAGCTATCTCTCCTACATACCCATATTAAAGAAAAAATATTTTCTTTAATTTTAATTTTCTAAAATTTTAATACCCATATTAAAAAAAAAAATATTTAAGGCTAACCAATCAAAAGCCATCAATTAATTATAGCTATTTAATTATGAATGTTGCAGAAGGATAGACCAAATAAGGCTTTGTAGGTCTATTTTTGTATTGATAATAATGTTAATATATTTGACTTTAATGAGTCAAAAATTGTCATTACTTTACTTCCATGTTCTCTGTATAAAAGCCTTCCTCTGGCATTCCTTCAGCACAGCCACGTTTGGTTTAGAGCAGCCTTATTCATGAATCACTGGTAGTTAAAATTAAGTGTAGTGTTATTGTGCTTTTCTTTACCCTTTAACAGACAAATTTTATATATAGTTATATATAAGCATATATCAATATACATTTATTTATCATGTATAATTTGTCTATATTATATACATATATATGGTCTACAAAAGTTCTGGTTTGGTTTGCAATTTTAAGTTTCACTTTTGTTCTTAGAGTGTCACAACAATATCTTTCAGTCTTTCTACTAAATTTCATTTCTCTGCTCATATATTTAATTTAAAAAATTCTTTTGTTCTCTAAGTATTTATGTAGTACCATAATCTTGTTTCACAGACGTGATAGCACTTCTTTTATCTCTGAAATTGTGATGAAAGTTTTTGCTTTTTTCTGTTTTTATTTTATTTTTAGTTACCTCCCTTCATAGTCTGTTTTTTCCAAGTTGCTTTCTTTAAGTGTCTGTTTAATATTAGAACATTCCTTTCGTATCTGTGATCTTGACTCATGTTTAAGAGTCATTAAATCTTATTTGAGAATTTGTACACATGCATGCTGTTTGTGGATTGCACATGTGGTGACCTAGCTAGCCAATCTTACTGGAAAATACCCAGAGTCAATGTATCAGGTCATTTTTGAGGGAATAATCAGGTTTCTGAAGATATAAATCTTTCACTCTTTAGCTGCCCCCACTTCCTATTTTGGTGTGGTATTCTTCCTCTCAATTGTGGTAGAACTTTGGCCAGAAACACTGTGGTCCAGATACTTTTTCTACCTCAATGGGTAATAAATTTCAATTTTCTAAGATGATGAGAGACAGCCTCTTCTGATTGTTTGAAGTAGAAAATCCAACTTTCAAGCAATCTTCCAATTTTCACCCTTTCTCCTAACCTACCTCATGTTGCCAATTACTGAACCCTGCAAAAGTTCCACAGTTCACGTCACTTTGCTGCTCGGCTGTCCGTACTGCCACTTTAGGATTGTACTTATTATGGCCAATTGACAGTTACCATTAGGCTGTTTTTTCTTTGCTTGAAATACTTTTGCTATTATTTCCCCTTCTAACTCTCAGAAGAAACAGATGCAAATGTTTGTGTTTAAAGCAATGTCTTCAAACTGGAAATTCACATTTACTAAAATCACCTGATTTAGCTCTTTAAAAATAGAGAACAATTTAATTCATTTAAATTATTACATATTTTCAGTAACACTTTAAACTCCTTTATAACATGTGTATGATTGAATTCCAGTTATCCCAGCCTCATTTATTGAGAAGGGAGTCCTTTCCCCATTGCTTGTTTTTGTTAGCCTCGTTGAAGAGCAGAAGATTATAGGTGTGTGGCTTTATTTCTGATTTTTCTATTCTGTTCCATTCGTTTGTGTGTCTATTTTTGTACCAACATAAAGCTATTTTGGTTACTGTGGCTTTATAGTATAGTGTGAGGTCGAGTAATGTGATGCTTCTGGCTTTGTTCTTTTGGCTTAGCATTGTTTTGGTTATTTGGGCTCTTTTCTATTGCCATATGAATTTTAGAATCATTTTTTTCTAATTCCATGTATAATGACATTGGTAGTTTGATAGGAATAGCAAAGCAAATTGCTTTAGGCAGTGTGGCCATTTTTATGATATTGATTCTTCCAATCCATGAGCATGGAATGTTTTTTCTATTTATTTGTGTTACCTTTGATTTATTTCAGCAGCGTTTCGCAGTTCTCCTTGTAGAGATCTTTCACCTCCTTGGTTAGCTGTATTCCTAGGTATTTCATTTTCTTCGAGGCCATTGAAAGAGGAATTGTGTTCTTGATTTCACTCTTAGCCTAGATGTTGTTGGTGTATGGAAATGCTACTGATTTTTACACATCGATTTTGTATCCTGAAACTTTACTTATATTGATTATCAATTCTAGGACCTTTTTGATAGATTCTTTAGCATTTTGTAATAGATCATACCATCAGCAAAGAGAGTTTGAATTCTTCTTTTCCTATTTGGATATCTTTTATTTATTGCTCTTGCCTGATTGCTGTGTTTAGAATTTGTGGTACTATATTGAATAGGAGTGGTTAGAGTGGACATCCTTGTCTTGTTCCAGTTCTCAAGGGAAGAGTTTCCAGTTTTTGCCCATTCTGTATGGGGTTGACTGTGGATTTGTCATAGATAGCTCTTATTATTTTGAGATATGTTCCTTTAATGCCTAGTTTTTTTAGGGTATTTAATATTAAGTGTTTTTGAATTTTATCAAAAACCTTTTTTGTATCTTTTGAGATAATCATGTAGTTTTTATTTTTATTTCTATTTATGTAATAAATTTCATTTATTAATTTGTATATATTGAAACAACCTAGCATTCCAGGAATAAAGCCTACTTTATCATGGTGGATTAGCTTTTTAATATGCTACTGGTTATTTTCATCTCTCTAGGTGTGATTTTAGGTTGTCAATTTCAGATTTCTCTAACTTTTTCATATGGGTGCTTTGCACTATAATCTTTCAAATTAACACAGCTTTAGCTGTGTCCCAAAGATTTTGGTGTGTTGTATCTTTGTTTTCATTTGTTTCAAATATTTTTTTTTTATTTCTGCCTTAATTTAAATTTTCCCCAAAGTCATTCAGGAGCAGGTTGTTTAATTTGCATGTAATTATATCGTTTCAAAAGAGATTCTTGGTATAAATTTCTACTTTATTGCGATGTAGTTTGAGAGTGTGGTTGGTATAATGGGTTTCTTAAGGACGTCTTGCCAGGCTGGTCTGGTGGTAATGAATTCCCTTGGCATTTGCAAATCTGAAAAGGATTTTATTTCCCCTTCACTTTTGAAGCTTAGTTTGGCAGGATCTGAAATCCTTGGTTGGATTTTTTTCTTTACAAATGCTAAATATAGGTTCCTAATCTCTTCTGGGTGGCAGAGTTTCTGCTGAAAGGTCTGCTGTTAGTCTGATGGGGTTCCCTTCGTAAGTGACCTAACCCTTTTCTGTAGCTGCTTTAATATTTTTTCGTTCACATTGACCTTGATGAATCTGATGATTATGTGTTTTGGGGATGGCTGTCTTTTCTACTGTCTCACAGGAGTTCTCTGAATTGCCTGAATTTGAATGTCAACCTCTCTAGCAAGGTTGGGGAAATTTTCATGGACAATATTCACAAATATTTTTTCCAAATTCCTTGCTCTCTCTCCTCTTTCAGGGACACCAATGAGTGGTAGCTTTTGTCTTTTTACATAATCCCATATTTCTCCGAGCTTTTGTTCATTTGTTTTTATTCTTTTTTCTTTATTTTTGTCTAGCTGAGTTGATTCAAATAACCGGTGTCTGAGCTTTGAGATTCTTTTCTTAACTTGGTCTATTCTTCGGTAATACTCCTCAATGAATTATGAAATCCTTGTAGTGAGTTTTTCAGCTCTATTTGATCAGTTTTTTTTTTCTTAAATTGGCTATTTTGTCTTTCAGCTATTGTATCATTTTACTGGTTTCCTTAGATTCCTTGGATTGGGTTCCAACTTTATCCTGAATCTTGATGATCTTTATGGCCATCCAAATTCTTACTTCTGTGTCTGTCATTCCAGCCATTTCAGTCAGGTTAAGAAGCATTGCTGGGGAGCTTGTGTGGTCATTTAGAGGTAGAAAGGCACTCTGATTTTTTGAGTTTCCAGAGTTCTTGCACTGATTCTTTCTCATCTTTGTGAGCTGATATTCCCTTAATCTTTGAAGATGTTTTCCTTTGAATGAGGCTTTTTGCCTCATATTCTTTGATAACCTTGAAGACTTAACGGTGCTATAAGTTGGATTCATTCAACTGGCATCATTTCTGAATGATTTCAAGGGGCCACGGCTCAGCTCAGCACTCCAGGGCTGTGTGCTCTAACCCTGGCACGGTTTTGTTCTCTGGCTCCTCGATGTGGAGCACCTGCTGTGCTAGAGGGACTGATGTGTTCCTAGTCTGCTGGCAACAACATTCTTGGGGGATACCAGCAAAAGTGCTTCACTGGGGCAGCAGGGCATTGTGTTCCATACTAACATGCACACTGCTGGTGGCAGGGCTACAAGGTTTGCACACATACTCATCAAATCAGTTGGGGAGGACTGTGGATGAGTGCACACTGGCAAAGCAGAGGCAGGAGGCTGTAGGTGGGTGCATGCCAGTAGTTGCCTGTCTGCAGAGGCTTTCTGATGGTTAGGCAAGGTCTACTGGCAAAGGAACTATGGGAGTAGCCACCGGAAAGTGCCCCCGTTGGACAACTGAGGCTGTGCTATATGTGAGTTCAGCCAGGCAGAGACCTTGGGAGAGGCTGGCAGACACGAGGACAATCAGATCAGACTGGCTCCATCCCACCACCAAGAAAGGCCTGTTTTGTTGAGGTCTGACAATCAACAGAGGCCTGAGTCACTTAGAGGAGCATGGTGAGCATTGGGCTTTGAGTTTCTCTGAATGTGCCTCACTGCAACCATTCAAATGCCAACCCTTCTGGGCTTTGCACAGGTTGGAGTCCTGTCCCTGCCAATTCTACAAGCAGTTGCCCCTACCAGCTCAAATGTCTCTAGGGATCATGGGGTCTCCTGCAGCTAGGATTCCAGAAGTACATGGTCAGATTGGGACACTCCACACCTATTTATCTCACCCCTTCCCCAAGAACTCCACAGAGCCAGGAATTAGTTCTGTTATCACCCACCCCATGCAGAATTCCCGACTTTCTCCCACTCCCTCCTAGGGTCTGCAGCCTCCCTCTATCCAATCTCAATGCATTCCTTCTGAAGATCTGCTTAGAGTGTGCCTGTCTTCTTGATAGTCTGGTCTGTCAGTGGGAGAAGCTCCTTCTGGCTCAGTATAGTTGTCCATCTTTTTGCTTCATTTATTTTCTAATGTAAACATTAGCATTAATAGATTTCCTTTTATACACTACTGTTGTGGCATGTAATAAATTTTGATATGTTGTATTTTTATATTTATTTAGCTCAAAATATTTTCTAAGTTCTCTTGTAATTCATGTCTGACCCAGTTGTTATTTAGGTGTGGTTCATTTGATTTTCAAATATTTCAAATTGTTTATATTTTCTTCTGTTTTTGATTTCTCATTTAAGTTCATTGTGGTTAGAAAACATATTCTGTATGATTTAAATTTGTATGAATATTAAGATTTCTTTTATAGATTTGTGGATGATTTTTCTGTAAAAAATTTCAGTGAAACAAATGTGCATTCTGCTGGTGTTTTGTGAGGTGTTCTATAGATGTGAGCTAATATAGTTTGCTTGATAATGTTGTTCACATCACCTATGTTGTTGCCAATTTTCTTTCTAGTTCTTTCCATTTTGAAGAGTGATGAACTTCACCAACTGTTGCTGAAAGTCTATGTCTGCCTCTAATTCTGTCAGCTTTTTCTTCATGTGCTTTGGTGATATCTTGTATATGCATGTGCATTTATAATTATTATGCCTTCCTCATATATTGACCCTTTATCATTATACAATATCCTTAATTGTCTCTCTTAACTTAATTTTTTGCCTAAAAGTTTATTTTTTCTGACATTATAGCCTATGAATTTTTAAAATTTTATACACAATAGTAGTTCATATTTATGAGGTACTTGTGATATTTTGATACAAGCATACAATGTGCAATGATCAAATCAGAATAATTGCAGTATCCATTAACTCAAGCGCTGATTATTTATTTGTGTTAGGAACATTTCATTTCTAACCATTTAGTTATTTTGAAATATAGGATAAATTATTGTTAACTCTTATTACTAAACACATGTATATATATGTACATAGATACATGGCAACTCAATATAAAAGTTTAATCTTAAAATTGTATATCTCTTCCCATTCTTCCACATTTAGCATAGTTGTGTCTTACCTTTAAAGTACAGTTGACCCTTGAACAAAAAGGATTTGAACTATGCAGGTCCACTTACAGGTTGATTTTCTTCTGCTTTTTCCAACCCTACAACAGCAAGACCCACCTTTCCTCTTCCTCCCACTCTTCTTAGTTTCACTTAATGAATAATAGGTATATTTTCTCATAATTTTCTTAACATTTTGTTTTGTCTAACTTACTTTATTGTAAGAATGAAGTACATGATACCTATAATATGCCAAATATGAGTTAAGTGACTATGTTATCTGTAAGACTTTGGTCAACATTAGTCAATTAGTAGTTAGGTTTTGGGGGAGTCAAAAGTTATATGTATATTTTCAACTGTACAGGACATTTGTACCCATAGGCCCCATGTTATTCAAGGGCTAATTCTATCTTTCTTTTGTAGGTAGAGTATTGTTGAATCTTTTCTTTTCTTTTCTTTTCTTTGAGATGGAGTCTTGCTCTGTCACTCAGATTGGAGTGCAGTGGCATGATCTCAGCTCATGGCAACCTCTGCTTCCCAGGTTCAAGTGAGTCTCCTGCCTCAGCCTCCCAAGTAGCTGGGACTACAGGCACCTGACACCACGCCCAGCTAATTTTTGTTTGTTAGTTTGTTTTTGAGACGGAGTGTCGCTGTCGCCCACGCTGGAGTGCAGTGGCGCGATCTCTGCTCACTGCAGGTTCCGTCCCCTGGTGTTCATGCCATTCTCCTGCCTCAGCCTCCCCAGCAGCCGGGACTACAGGTGCCTGCCACCTCGCCCAGCTAATTTTTTGTATTTTTAGTAGAGACGGGGTTTCACTGTGTTAGCCAGGATGGTCTTGATCTCCTGACCTTGTGATCAGCATGCCTCAGCCTCCCAAAGTGCTGGGATTACAGGCAGGAGCCACTGTGCCCGGACTAAATCTTTTCTTTTTAAGTACAGTCTAAAAATCTCTCCTATTTAAACGATGTTTAATCCACAATATTTAATATTATTGTTGATATAATTGTATTTGTACCTAACAGTTTGCTACTTATTTTCTATATGTCATGGATTTTTAGATTTATTCTCGTTTGTTGTAATTTTTATTAGAGGGGTTAATTATTTTCTAGTGCATCATTTTAATGCCTTTGATGTTGAACTTCTTTTAAAAAAGTTATTATTTTCGTGGTTACTTCTGGGATAATAATGTCTACATTAATTTATCACAATATTCCTCAGAATAACATTAACTTAATGTTGCTGAAAAATAGAAATTTTGTTCCAATATAGTTTTAGTTTTTCCTAATTTCCTGTATATATTATTATCATATGTATAATGTTATGATTATTGCTTTAAACGTTTTTATGTATTTTAAATATATTATTAGAAGGAGAAATATAACTATGGAATTTTAAGCTATTATCAAACAAATCATTTGGAACTCTCCATATGGTAGCTGCATTATAGATCATGAACCTTGTGTTGTATTTATCAATCATAAAGATAAGTTGTATTCTCTAAATTTGGGGGATATTTCATCATTTAAGCCTATGCCAACTATCATCGTTTGTTTTCTTAAAAGTGGCAATTAGAGAAAAATATATTATAAAACATTTCTGTTTCTATAATTTTTAAGAAGGAATTTGATTTAATAAACAATAAAATTAATAGCAAAGCTCACTTAAATCAGTAGCTTGGTGTGATATGGATCAAATAATTGATTTGATTAAGGCTCCTTTTTAGAAATGTAGCATATGATGAGCAGAAATACATTGAATGAATTAAAGCTCTGAATATGGCAAAGCACATTATTTTAAAAAATGATCTTTCTGATTATTTACTGTGAGAAATTTACCTTGTTATTAATCCCCTTTTTATTTTAAACTTTGTATCAGTAAAATTAGAGATCAGATACATAATCTATCTTGATTTGTTAGAGAATCACTAACAAGTCATTGTAATTATATTCTTCAGGTTAACAAATATAATTCTATTAATGGCATGTGATTATTATAAATTAATTACTATGAATTAAACACCTGTTTTTCAAAGAAATCTGAATATAAAAATGGTGTTTCATGTTTTCTGCCTCAGATATGATTGACTTGTTTATGAATCATTTCTTACATTTATTAATACAATTAAGCAAATTTACACACAAATGAATACCATTTTACTAATGCATAACACATTAGAGAATTATTTGTGTATATATTTCTCTTTTTTTTTCTACTCACTGAATCTAAATTGAATTACCAGATACCATCTGCACTCAGGAGAAATGTGATGATATAAATCTTCCTTGGCAGAGAAAAATGACAGCTACACCATCCCAAGTCTTCATCTATTGGAGCATTCTCATTCTTTAACTCTAAATATTGGAAAATCTGACTAATATGGGGATTTTGATAAAGAATATCAAACTTTTACAGGCTAAATAAAATATTAATTCCATTTCGTCTGTTCAACTACTTCATTTCAATTTGGGTATTTTTAAAGAGCTGTAGAATTGTCTTCAGAAACAAAAGATGAAATGCTAGTTTACTTTTTGTGGTTATAAATGATATTTAGTATAAAATCATCATAAGGATAGGGTGAAAATCCTAAAACTTAAAGCCATTTATGAATCAATAAATATTTTATTACATGAAGATAATTGCTAATATACATAATAAAGAATGGATTAAATGAATAGAAAAGTTGACATAAGATGATTGAATATTTAACCTGAGATAATGGATTTTTTAGAATGGAATAATAAAATACAGAAATCAATTAGATTACTATGAAAAATAGCAGAGAACAGCCATAACACTATTATTTATAAATTAAATATTAGAGATTAAAAATATAATTTATATTCCAACAAAAATATGGCAGGAAAAAGGAAGCAAATAAATTAAATCAAAATAAAAATAGCTGACTTTTATAAATATCAGCCAAAACAGACTGTAAGGCCAAACACCATTATTAGAAACAGAAGGGGTAAAGGCATAGTGATTAAAATTTGAATTCACCAGGAAGCTATGCTTTTTAAAAAATTGTATAGTCCTAGATATGTGACATGAAAAAAATATACATGTATATATGTGTGCATCTATATGCATATATGGTGAAATTGATATATGGACAGTCTCCTTTGAGTAATTGGTAAGTTAGATAACAGTTCATTTAGAGTATTTGAAACAAATTATCAAAATTAATCTTAAGAGTATACATTGAATATTGCATTTCCAAATTGGAGAATATGCACTCTTCTAAGTTCATTTACAAAAATTAAATGTAATCTAATGCTATGCCATAAAGCAAGTTTCAATCTCCACAATTAGATATCATAATGGTCATATTTCATAATTAAATTTTGAGTAAGTTGACATCAGAATAGGTAGCTAGACAAGCTTGTATACTTGAAAATTCAAAAATTCTACAAAAATATTGCATCATAAATTGAAATAAATGCTGAAAATATCAACTACTACTGTATAAAAACAAAATGCTACATTTATAATTTTGTGGAATACAACCAAGACAGTCTTCACAAAATAACACATAGCCTAAATGAAGGCTTATAATGGAAATGGCTCATTTTTACTTGAGCATGTCCATTGTTAAATTTTTAGAAATTTTATGAGCTTGCCGACATCACGTTGGTAGCTTGAATGGTGGAAGCATCCATTCCACCATTATCACTGTGACACTACAGTTACAGTTAAATGCTACAATTCATACATTTTATTATTTTTTTTTGCCAGAACACCATTGCTTACATGTTTATATTTGAAAAGAATATTCTAAAATATAAATTGGAATAAAAATAGAGCTAAATAAAACCAAAGAAAGCAGAAGAAATAATAAGATAAGAGAAGGAAACAATAAAGTAGAAAACAAGTATCCTACAGACAATATTCAATATCTCAAATTAATTTTTTTAAAAAGACTTAAAATAGAAGAAATATAAAACATTACAAGATTTATCAGGGAAAGATAACACTGAAATAAAAACAATATTAGGAATGAAATAGAGGTCATCAAATATGAATGTAACAGAAATTAAATATACAATATATATTATAAATAGATGTATTTTAACAGAAATAAAACAAACATTTCTGTGAACAATCAGATTGGTATTTTTATAAGGATTGCATTGCATTTAATCTATAGTATACATTGGATCTGTAGTATTTGGTAATATAGACATTTTAACAATATCAATTCTTCCAATTCATGAGCATGGGATATCCTTCCATTTTTTTTCTGTCTTCTTCAATTTCTTGTATCATTGTTTTATAGTTTTTCTTGTAGAGTTATTTTACTTCTTTAGCTAAATTTATTTATAGGTATTTTATTGTTTTGTAGCTATTGTAAATAGGATTACTTTATTTTTGTCATATTGATTGCTGTTTGTGTATGGAAACACTATTGATTTTTGTATGTTGGTTTTATATCCTGCAAGTTTACTGAATTTGTTTATAGGTTCTAAGAGTTTTTTAGTGGATTCTTTAAGTTTTCCTAAATATAAGATCATGCCATCTGCAAAAAAGAATTGTTTGACATCTTCTTTTTCAAGTTGTTTTCCATTTATTTCTCCATCTTGCCTAATTGCTCAGGCTGGGACTTCCAGTACTATGTTGAATAAAAGTGGTGAAAGGGAACATTCTAAGTGGAAAGGCTTTCAATTTATACAGCTATTATATACCAATAATAAAGAAGTAAAACAAAACTAAAAAATTACCAGAAGTGACTCAAGAGTAATAGAAAATTTGCATGGTCTTACCATTTTATAATTGGAGCCAATATTTTAATACCTTCCCATAATAAATAACTAATATAGATTACCAAGTTCTTTTGTAAGAAGGATTTACAAACATTCAATAGTAAATAAACACATCTAACCTTATAAAACTTTCCAATAGATTAGAAAAATATAATGCCATATCACTATTAAACATCAAAAACTAGATATAAAAATACAGTGCTAGTGAAAATCTAAGAAATAGAATAATTTATGTAGTACAATTCTTTAGGCAAATAAAAAAGGCAAAATTACGGTATTATAAGAATATATATGAGTAAAATTATAAACATCATTTGAAATATTCTATATGAGATAGAAAAGAGTTTAAAAAAGATTTAATTATTAGTTTCATCAATATTTTGATTTCCATTAATTAAATCTACATAATTAAATGTAATTAATTATTATAATTGGTTAAATTATTAAAATTAAATTGAGTTGAATTAACAAAGAAACCCAAAACAAAAGCAAAATGCAGGTTCTCGCATAAAACAAGAGAACTATTTTATTTTAGGGAATATTGGTTGCAATAGTTCAAGTACTTTGATATACTTGGTCCAAATCAATACTAATTTCTAATGTGCTAATATATTATATTACTTACTGATGATGATAAATTTAAAAATCATCTGCAAATGCCTTCTGCATTTCTTGTTATGGTTTCATAGCTTTAGTTGTATGACAAAGAATTAAAAGTGATGCAGACCATATTGCTTGATTTCAATTATACAAGTGAAAAATAGAAAAAATTATACACTCATATAAATATATAGTATGGGGTAGTGACTAGAAGGGGGCCTGCTAGGGATTGTACAGATACTGGTAATGTTCTGTTCCTTAAAAAATTCATGTTCATCATATTAAATTTTTTTACAATATGTTGTCTTTTTTGCATTAAGAATAAGTAGATTTTTGTTTGTAACCCTAGAGATGAAAGAAAGAGAAAGAAAGGACTAAAGATAGGAAAGACATTTCAAAGTGGAAGGAAACAAAAAGAGAAAGAAAGGAGATAGGAGAGAAGAAACATTTTCCTTAAGCCACTGGTCAAGATATTGGCACAAAATGTAAATTAATTAGGGTTTTTAAAATAACTTGTATGTCTTTGTATTAAAGAGTGTTAGGACTATATTGCTGTATCCAAAACAGAATTGAAATCAAAATAAAGCTGTTTCCATGCAATATGGTTACAAATTGTTTAAAAGAAGAAAAGATCTAACCAGAAGTAATAGCTTCATACTTTGAATATCTTTAAAACATGAATCACAAATAATTTGGAAATGCAATCTGAAAAATATATCGAAATAATTTAATTATTTTACCTGGTGGTATCTATACCAAAAAAAATTTCTAAAACCCTAGCATAAAGGATCATTGTCATTCTGTTTTATTTCACAGCATCTGGTGGCACTTGAGTCTTATTTCTTCCCCATTTTAGTAACTGAGCAGAGAGCTGGCTCAGGGGGACCTGGCCAGACACTCAAAACTATTCACACACGTAGCTTTTCCTGGGCCCACATATCTCCTAATTACTTCTTAGAAAAAAGGAGTCTTACCTCCCACTCCTCTTAGGCCAACCCAGTGTTTCTCAAACCTTAATTAGAATCATATTGAGTGCTTATTAAACGCAGATTGCTGACCTCACCACCAGAGTTTGTGATTCAGTAGATCTGGGGAGTTGCCTTATAATTTTTATTTCTTCTAAGTTCCCATGTGACACTCATACTTTTGATCCAGGAAACATATTGTGACTCACTGGGATCACCTAACTACATGTGACACAGTGTGGGAACAGGGCTTGCTCTCTCTTGGCCAAGGAATACTATTTTCTGCTGGAATAATCATATTTACAAAATATCTATGCATTGCCTCTGCTTTGGAATAATGAGACTTCAAAAAACTATGGAAACCATCACTTCTTTACTTGAAAATTTTCTCACAACTACATCATATATGTAAGATGTGTGCCTGTCCCTCTTATGCAATAGCACACAGAAGACAGGTGGCCTTTTTGAAACATTTATTTTATTTATTTATTAAATTGATAGTGATGGCAGCAGCAGCCCATCTTGAGTGGCTGCCACAAAGACGCCAGATGCAGCAGGGGAGGCCTGGCTGGGGCTGAGAGCTACACGAAGCCCGTGGGAGCCAGAACAGGTAGGGGCCCCACCCTCTTCTGAGTTGGTGGGGTGCCCAGCCATAGTTGTGGACCTGGACATCCCTGTGCTCTCAGGGCTCAGGAAACCCCTGGACACTGCAGGCGTGGGAGTGCCTGCTTCCGCTGCCTGGCCTCTCCCTGCTCCTGGTGTCTGCTCTGATTTTGGTGCAAAGTTTGGGCCGAGCCTGGGCGCTATCACGACCCCTTCGGGTGTGTGTGCACTCACGGCGGTGCTGACATGCCAGCCCCCTGCCACCTCATCCCTCTCCGGAATTTGGGTGCCAACGAGCATGCGAGGGAGGTCGAGGGGGTGCTGAGGTCTGCACAGAAGAAAGGATGACCTGCCTGCCAATAGGAGCTACCCACTCTGGGTCTCCTCTCTGCTGAGAACTGGACACTTATTGGGATGACCTGACTGTAGGTAGGAGCTACACACTCTGGGTATTCTCTCTGCTGAGGGCTGCAGAGACGTTGGGAGAACCTGCCTGAGGAAAGGAGCTATCCACTTCAGGTCTCCTGAAAGCTGTACTGTTGCTCAATAAAGCACCTCTTTGCCTTGCTCATCCTCCAGTTTTCCGTGTACCTCATTCTTCCTGGATGTAGAACAAGAACACAGGATCTGCCGAATGGTGGAATTTAGAGAGCTGTAACATGAACAGGGCTGAAACATGCCCTGCCCCTAGCCACGTTGTGGGCGACGAGAAGGAGAGAACAGAAAAGGAGAGAACTGTGGCCCTTCAGGGAACCCACACTTAGGAGCGGCCCAACAATGGTGTCTTATCTTCTAACAATACTGATTACTTTGGTCTCCAAGAGACGGGCAGACCTTGGCATATCCTCTATTGAAGGATTTGGTAAATCCATGGCCTATATTCAGCTTACAATCTGTATTTTTATATACTGTCTAATTTGAATATAGTGACACCTGTTAGTTTTATATTATCTATTTTTTAATGGCAAGAAAACTAATGACTCACAAATTCTAAAGTATTTATTACATAAAATACATGCCCTGTATTTTAAAAGTGTACTGATCACTTATCCATTGTATTTGTCATGTGATGTAGGGGCTGAAGAAGATTCAGTAGGTTTAAGTCGAATGGGAACGGCCTCAGGGAACATCTGCTTTTCACAGCAGCTGCCCATGAGGGGTGGTTAACAAAATCAATAATTGCTAAAGAGTTGATATTTTCTGGTGCAAACATTGACCAAGTAAAAACAAATGAGAAAGAGGCATCAGATAAGTGAGCATCAATCTTTCAGTCAATTGCCTGATCTGAAATATTTTCACCTGATCTGAGATATTTTTGTATCCCTATAGCGTATTTGAAGACTTTCCCTACAACGAGGCACTCAGCTGTGATTACTTGTGAAGGTACGTACAGTCCCTTAAAACGCCCTGATTTTCTGCTTCATGTATTTTCTCATTTTTTGCTTAGCTGAAATTCCACTCCTCCAATAAAACATTGACATCTAAACTTTACCTCAGGCTCTCTATTTTCAAGAGATCAGGATGAGACATTGTTTATTTATTTTGTATCATAACATTTCCCCCAAAAATTCTAGAGTGTGTTTTTGACATTACTTCTATATTTATGTTTCATTTTTCTGAAATAAGAAATTCTATCAATTTCAATATTCTGTATCAGGTATACGTTTAGAGTATTCTTCACCCCACACATCATTTGTATGTTAAAGATATTTTCTCTAAAATAACGATTAATTGATGAACATGAAAAGACTATACTCTAAACCATTTCCAATGCACTTGATCTTTGGGATGTAGTGTGACCTGTGAAGCCACTGAATACAGGTTCTGTTTTTATAAAGTAAATTAGAAAAAAGATTAAATCACCATAATACATTTCTCTTGGGCTCAAATAACCCCCAGCTCTGCCTGGAGTGATGTTCGTTGAGGCCACTACATACCTCAGGATGTGAGACTATACTGCTTTTCCTTTTTTATTTGGTAGTTATTATGCTGAGAGTTATAGATTCTGAAATCATATATGAAAACTAGGGTTAGAAAATAGAAAAGAGAAAACACTTCCTTAAATTTCAAAGATTCCTCATGAAGTGGGGTAAAGATAGGCTGTTTCTCAAACCCAAGAATCCTTTATGTCCTGCATAGATGCAAACAAATTCTATAGATAAAACAAAATTCCCTACTTCCCCTCCAGTCCTTACAAGTTCTGTTAAATAATAAATGAAAGAATGTTTAGGGTAAGTCTTCAGTTGCAGAAGCTCTCCGCAGCACTTTTCACATGGTTTTCTTCATCTTTTTAGGAGTCATTGCCATTGCAAGAGATTGGCTTTTTGGTGTCTTCATGAGTCAGTTAATGGAAAGCTAGGCAAGAGTTTGTATGTATGTGCTGTCAGCATGACCCAGTTTTGAACATGTATTAGTCTTTCTAGTAAATTTTGTTAACAGAGTCAGAATAATTACCGAATTATTGTCCTTCTAGTTTCAGGGAGAATTCACTACTTGTACCACTGTCTGTAATGTGTTTCACCACATTATAATATACTTCATATCACATGTGGCTGATAGTCTCTTGTCTTCAGCACCTATGAAAGAAACCTATGCAGATAGTAGTTTTAAATACATAAATAGAAAATTAAGAAACATATATTTATATCAAAATTTATATCAGATATGACCAGGTTCTGTCAATAAAGTGAAACAACATCGGCAATTATCCAAATATGAAACTTGTTAGTAGAATGAAATCGGCTTTTGCCTTTCTGGCTCAGTTGGATCCTTTCCTTTTACTGCCAAGTGTATGTTACATAAGATGTTTGAAGTAAGACAAACTTTAGAAGGCTGTGACTGTGTTAAAATGACTTAACCAACAGAAATATTTACTGTTTCCCCCTCTCATCTTTACAAACTGAATAATCTGCCCCTATTTTTAAAATGATATGGACATATCATAATTTATTATTACTAAAAAATCTTATAGACTAGTGTTTTTTAAATATGGGATATTGCACATAAGAACATCCTACATGTTATCGGAAATATTAACAGTGATCAATTTTGAAAGTGAGATCACAGGTAATTTTAATTTTTTTCTTTTCAGTTAGGCATATTTTCTAAACTTTCTAGAATGATTATGCTAACTCAGGTAAAAAATACCTTTCAAAATACAAAGCATCAGGCAAATATTCAACTTCACCTTTGTCACTGATAGTGGGGTTAAAACCTTCTATTTTATGAAATAATGAGTCAAAAAATTTCCTTATAGCCATTTATGTTTGAATATTTGTACACTAATAAATTTATTTTTAAATTAAACTATTTATTATGATATAACCCATACTCGTTTTGAAGGCTCTAAATGAGCCAGAAAGGCAGGCAATTTCATTCTTTCAAAACTATTTCTCTCATTAATTTTAGGTTCTGTAAAACCAGCATTGACAAAAGAGAGATTCTCTTTCTAAAATAAAGTACATTCTGTTTAGAAGACCAAGAATAAATAGAAAAATAATTTAAGAATATAATGCTAAAAAGAGTGTTATGAATTTTTCTTCTGAGGTTCCATGAACATCAATAGTAACTCACAAACCAATATTTAAGGACCAAATATGAATCAAAATCTACTGGGTATTTATATTACCCTTATATTTATTCAAGCAATAAGTATTATTTTGTTATAACCAATGGTATAATTGATGCTAAGAGGTCAACAGATAGGCCATGAATTCAGGTTTCTTTATTATTAATAAGAAGTTCACAAATTTAACACCATCATAATAGGTACACAGACCTGGGCCTTTGCTGTGCTCTCAATTCAAGCAACAAATTTCTTTTGCCTACAAAATTCCCTGCAGCTGCTAAATTGCTAAAAATGACAGAAGATTTGCATTAAAATCTGATTAAATTATCTAGGAAATATCCTTGGTCATTTTCAAAGTGTTTTTTTTTTTTTTTTTTTTTTTTTTTTTTTGAGACGGAGTCTTGCTCTGTCACCTAGGCTGGAGTGGAGTGGCACAGTCTCGTATCACTGCTGCAACCTCCTCCTCCTGGGTTCAAGTGATTCTCCCTGCCTCAGTGTCCTAAGTAGCTGGGATCACAGGCACCTTCCACCATCCCTGGCTAATTTTTCTATTTTTTAGTAGAGATGAGGTTTCACCTTGTTGGCTAGGCTGGTCTTGAACTCCTGACCTCAGGTGATCTGCCCACCTCAGCCTCCCAAAGTACTGGGATTACAGGCGTGAGCCACCATGCCCTGTTTTAAAGTTCTTTTGTTTGTTGGTTTGTTTTAAATAATATAGACCCCTTCTAAGGATTTGTTACATGCTGTTCTGTTCTGCAGATGCAAATATTTTGGACTAAACCAAACAATTTTAATGGGCTTCATAATTGTGGTTAAGTTTATTTTTTGGTATTAGTTTGTCACAGTTTTTTACTAGATTTTTTTTTTCTTTTAAGAGAAAGGGTCAAGCTCTGTTGCCCAGGCTAGAATGCAGTGCTGTGATCATAGCTCATTGCAGCCTCAAACACCTGGGCTCAAGGGATCCTCTCACTGCAGCCTCCCAAGTGGCTGGGAATACAGGTGAGTGCCCACCATACCCGACTCTAGATTTTTTTTTTTAAATAAAGGTTAATAATGACTGGTTATATAAAATAAACCAGGCAGAATTTTGTAGATGGTCATTCTATACTTATAGTTTCTCTAACATCTTTTCTGATAATGTATGATGTATGTTTGTTGTCAACATAGTTCTCCCTTTAATAAATAATTTAATGTGAACGATAATCATTCATAACTCCACTTTTTCTGATGCTGAAAAGGATAGACATATCTTCTATAAATGATATGGTTTGGCTCTGTATCCCAACCCAGATCTCATCTTGTAGCTCCCATAATTCCCCTGTGTTGTGGGAGGGACCCGGTGGGAGATAATTGAATCATGGGGGCAGTTCTTTCCCGTGCTGTTCTCGTGACAGTGACAGTGAATGGGTAGAGATCTGATGGTTTTAAAAACGGGAGTTTCTCTGCACAAGCTCTCTCTTTGCCTGCCACCATCCACATAATATGTGACTTGCCTCTCCTTGCCTTCTGCCATAATTGTGAGGCCTCCTCAGCCATGTGGGACTGTGAGCCCAATTAAACCTTTTTCTTTTGTAAATTGCCCAGTCTCAAGTATGTCTTTATCAGCAGTGTGAAAATGGACTAATACAATAGATAACACACAGGCACTCAAATATTTAAGGTGTGTTTGGATGGGAGAAGCTAGAGACTGCTAATTCTTCCAGTCTTGGGTGCTAATAGGAGAAATATACCTATAACCCTTTGGAACAGTAGTATGCTAGACAATTGGGATACCTTGAGAGCTGCGGGTCTTTAAGATACATGAAGCCTCCAGAGTGCTAATAGGCAGGTACAGTGGGAAATAGGGAGGGAATTACATGCAAGATATGTGCCTGCAATAAGACTAAGTATGAACAGTACTAGTATAGAACTTAAAGAGAGTAGGCTAATTACCCTTGATGTGATGGATTTGTCACTTACTATAGAGACTGTTTAGAGACACTATTGTAGACACACTATTTTATAGTAATTGTTTTTGTGTTATACAATAGTAATTTCCCATCACATTGAGCTAAAATTCATGTCTAATGAATTCTGTTTCTCAAGGAATTTGAAGATAAATGTGTAATTTTTACAAAGTGTTTATTGACATTTACCATTTCAGTATGAGGAACTGGTAACCGCTGACCATGTCAGCATCCACTTTCAAAATAGCAGTGATTTTTATGACCTGAAGTTGACAATTTAGCTTGTGAAACTGCAGAAGATATATTTACATATTGTTCTTTAAAGCCTGACTTTTCATTTAGATCAAATGATCATTCTAATTTTATTTAGCTCATTTTTGCTTTCATGTTTTCTTTTACATGTATGAATAGTGAAGTAATGATTGCTGATATGTCAGTCCCATTAGCAGAAATGGAATTTCACATTCAATTAAATGATGTCCTTTTTATATAAGCCTCATTTGATATTTCAAGAGAATATAAAATAAAGAAATTAAATTTCGTAATGATTTGCTTTGTCCATCAAATTTCCTAAGTAAAACTTAGGAAGTTCATTCTGTATAAATTAAAACACTTGACATCATTGTGACTGATATTATAAATTCAGTTAAGTTCAGGTTAAATCCAATCGTTAGTTTTTTTGTTGATAGAATTTTGATGAAGTATAATATCAAAATATTATCATAACCACATGTTCTTTACCAAATTAGGAACAATGTGGAATATAGATATATTTGTAATTGGTGGCGGTACACATATTATTCATAATTTTTTACAAATTGTGAGTTTCTATATGTGCATACAAAATGTGATTATAGAAATGTCCCTGGATGTGCAGTTAACGTCTGAAAAATCCATAGTGGAGTTTATTAAAAAGGAAGGAGGCAGTTTCACCTCTTAGAAAAGTAAATTACTAAAATATGAGTTTATAAGTTAATTAAATATGATGACATAAATCAAACATATATATCAATAGTAAAAAGAAAAATATAAAATATTCCTAATAGTTTAGAAATTACAACTTAGTAGTTACATTAGCATTTGAAAAATTCATTTTAAGGGTCTAAGATGAATAAGTAGTTGTCAAGTATGTACTATTATTATTGCACATCATAGTTACTGCCTAATTCATTACCAAAATATTGTCTTTGTTTATTCTAATCATATGTAACTGCTCATTTGACAATTTATTCATATAATTTGAAGACAGAGAAAAAATTTTATCGGTAATGTATGAAAAAGACTAGCACCCAGATAAGTATTTAGTGAGGATGATAAATGTGGAACATATGTGAATTTGTGGAGAAAAATGTATTTGCTATTTGGATGACAAAATAAGAATCAGGGATTGCTTCTGCAGTTGTACAGTTTGGGGTTAAAGAGATACAAATAGAACAGAAGTATAATTTTTTAAAATGACACATAAGCATCTAAGAGAATCCAAGTCTCCCTGTTTGACAGTTCCTGTATTTGCTATTTCTTTATTTCATATAACTAATTAAAAACGGTTATGCATTTTATATTCTAATTATTTATAAGAAAAATAAACCTGTAGTTTAAACATAAAAGCCTATAGTATTCCCATGTCTACTAAAATTCTTTAAAAGAATCTTTCTCAGGAGAAATATAAAACTGGTAAAAATTCTAGATTTCTTTCAGACTTGACTATTTTCTTAGGTTGTTTCAATTTCATCCACTGAAATTCATTTCAATACAGATTATAACATATAGAAAAAGTAGGCCAGCCTGCTTTTAATCAAAATATTTACTTTAAGATGAATAATGGGTTGCCAGCACCTCAAGAGGGTTTTTAGGTTACTTGTCCCTCATGAAGAGAACCAGAAATTAAATGTCAAGGATGGTTTTATATAACTGATTTCTAAAAACTTCCATCAAATAATTTTATACGTAATTACAACTTTTACTGGCTTTCATTCCTTCTCACTTCAATAGGCTCCTGCACAAATCCAGTTTGGTTTAACCGTTTACTGAAATGACTGATAATGGTATTTAATCCAGTTTTGTTATTTAGGATATGTTCTTTAAAATAATGTTATATATAATTTAAATCTGCTCATGCCCACAATTAAAAAAAAATCATTATAGCAAACATCCTATTGGAATTGAGATATATTTTATCAGAAAAGCATTTTTTTCAAACTGCATTTTAAAATTTGTGGGTGATAGCATGTGGATATCTTTGGACATCCAGAGGTACCCAGGCTTTCTCTCTTTTTTTGTTGTTTTTTTGTTTTTTGTTTATTTGAGAAGGAGTCTGGCTCTGTCGCCCAGGCTGGAGTGCAGTGGCGCGATCTCGGCTCACCGGAAGCTCCACCTCCCGGATTCACGCCATTCTCCCGCTTCAGCCTCCCAGCTGGGACTACAGGCACCTGCAACCACGACCGGCTAATTTTGTTTTTGTATTTTTAGTAGAGACAGGGTTTCACCGTGTTAGCCAGGATGGTCTCGATCTCCTGACCTCGTGATCCGCCCACCTCAGCCTCCCAAAGTGCTGGGATTACAGGCGTGAGCCACCGCACCTGGCCAGTACCCAGGCTTCCTTACATCACTCACTAGTTATTTGAACTTGACAAAGTTGCCTATGCATCCATGCCTTTGATTTCTCACCTCTAAAATTATAATGAATTTTAAAATGATGCTATGGTCTCAATGTCTGTGTCCACCCAAAATTCATATGTTGAAACCTAATCACCAAGGTAATTAGAAGATGGAACCTTTGGGAGGTGATTAGGTCATGAGGGCTTTCTCTTCAAGAATGAGATAAGTGCCCCTGTAAAAGAGACCCCAGAGAGCTAGGTCACCCCTTCCACCATGTGAGGACACAGTTAAAAGGCACAGTCTATAAGAAAGCAGGTCCTCACTAGACACCAAATCTGCTGACACATTAATCTTGGACTTTCCAGCCTCCAGAACTGTGAGAAATAAATTTCTGTTATTTATTTTTCTTATTTTTTTTTTTTGAATTAGGTTCAGGAGGTATGTGTGCTAGGGCATTACATGCATAATGTGGGGATTGGGCTTCTAGTGGACCCATCACGCAAATATTGAACATTGTACCTAATAGGAAATTCTTCAACACTCACTTCCCTCCCACTATGCCCCATTTTGGAGTTCCTAGTGTCTTTTATCTTCATTATTATGACTCTATGTACCAATTGTGTAACAGTGAGAATATGTGATATTTGATCTGCTTCTGCTTTAGTTCACTTAGGATAATGGCCTACAGCTCTGTCCATGTTGCTGCAAAGGACATAATTGCATTCATTTCTTTTTACAACTGCTTAGTATTCAAGTAGTATATATACCTGATTTTCTTCATGCAGTCAGCTGTTGGTGGACCCTTAGATTATTTCTATGTCTTTGCTATTGTGAATAGTGCTGAGTGCAATGTCTTTTTATATAATGCTTTTTTTTTCCTTTGGATGGATACCCAGTAGTGAGATTGCTGGATGGACGCCATTTTCCATAGATGTCAAACTAATTTACATTCCCATTAACAGTGTATAAGTGTTTCCTTTTCTCCGCATCTGTGACAACATCTGTTATTTTTATTTGACTTTTTAATAATAGCTATTCTGATTGGTGTAAGATGATATCACAGTATGGTTTCAATTTATTTCTTTGATAATTACCGATGTGGAGCATTTTTTTCATGTGTTTGTTGGCTGCTTACATTTTTTTCTCTTGAGAAATATCTGTTCATATCTTTTGCCCAGTTTTTAATGAGGTTTTTTGTTTTTCTCTTGTTGAATTGTTTGAATTCGCTGTGGATTCAGGGTGTATATCAGAGGCCAATTTGCAAATATTTTGTCCCATTCTGTAGTTTGTTTGTTTACTCTGTTGATTGTTTATTTTTCTGTGCAAAAACTTTTTAGTTTAATTATGTATCATTTGTTTATTGTTGTTTTTGTTGTGCTTGCTTGTGGGACCTTTGTCATGAATTCTGCGCCTAGGCTGATGTCCAGAAGAGGTTTCCCAGGTTGTCTTCTGGAATTTTTATAGTTTCAGATTTTACGTTTAGGTCTTTAATCCATCTTGAGTTAATTTTTGCATATGGTGAAAGATAGGGGTCCAGTTTTGTTCTTCTGCATATTACTGGCCAGTTTTCCCAGCACCATTTGTTGACAATGCTGTCTTTTTCTTATAGTTTACTTTTGTTGACATCATCCCAGATCACATGGTTGTAGGTATGTGGCTTTATTTCTGTGTTCTCTATTCTTTCCACTGATCTATGTTTCTATATTTGTACCACTGCCATGCTATTTTAGTTACTATAGAATTGTAGTATAATTTGAGGTCAGAAAAAAATGATGCCTCCAGATTTTTTTTTTTTTTTTTTTGCTTAGGAATGCTTTGGCTATTTGGCCATTTTTAAATGGTTCCATCTGAACTTTAAAATTTTATTTTCTAATTCTGTGAAAAATGACATTGGTAATTTGGCAGGAATTGCACTGACTCTGCAAATTGCTTTGGGCAGTATAGTCATTTTAATGATATTGATTCTTCCAAATCATCAGCATGAGATGTTTTTCCATTGTTTGTGTCATGTCCAATTTCTTCTGTGGGTGTTTTCTCCTTGTAGTTCTCCTTGTAGAGATCTCTCACTTCCTTTGTCTTTTTTGTATCCTGAGACTTTACTGAAGTTTTGTGTCCTGAGACTTTACTGAGTTGCTTATCAAGACTAGGGATCACAGCTACTTAGTTTATAGTATTTTGTTATAACAGCATGGATGTACTAAGACAGGCAATAAGGATGTATAAGGCTTCTTCTGATTATGTCTCAAAAGTTATAGCTGGGTCCACCTACTTAACTGTTGTTAACCTGTTGTTGACTTTTCATTTCATTTTCTAGGGGTGAATGTGGATGCAATGTTATGTTTTATATGGATGTTCTAATTAATATTGCTATTCATTTCTTTATCTCATCACCTGTGTTTGTATGTCCATCTTCCTAAAAGGCTCTCTTGGTGGCCATATATATTTCTAAAATGATTTTACCCATTAAAACTGGGTTCATATACTCTGAAAAACATTTCCTAAACATTTATTAAAGTAAGTGTTCTTTCATAGTTTTCAAAGACCTTAATTACTGGTAATTTTACACTTATTTACACTTACCACGTGACTCCCTATTTCACCTAATGTTAGATTCCTGAGTGAAATTTATAGCAGAGGTCTTCTCTGTCAACTATTTCTAAAATATTTCCCACAATCACATTATTCTCAACACCATTACTTTGCTTTATTTTTATTCGTAACTTTTAACCTGATATTCTGTACACTTACTTTTTATTTTGTTTTATATCCTCTTCACTGCAATGTAAATGGCTTGAAAACAGAAATTTTACCTATCTTCATCATTCTACCAAGCACTAGCCACAAATTTTAAATATTTCTTAATAAATGAGTAAATTGTCAAATTGATTTAGTATGAATGAGTAAATAAATATAAGATGAAATATATAAACAATGTATTCCTGATAAAACATTGGGTATTTGTTACATACTACAAAACATTTCTGCTTTCAAATGGCTACAATGAGTTATGCTGTTAAACAAGTTTGTGGCAAGAGTTTCACAGTGTAAATAGAAAGAACTAGGCATTTTAAGAAGTGTACGATACAGAACATTCAGGTTCATGGAAACCACACCATTTGCCTTTATATCTCTGTCAGCCACTTCCAAATACATAAATCTTTTCTTCTACCTGCTGTGTGACCCACTAGCACATGCTATTCATTTTGCACTCCAGATGACATCCTGAAATTCAACATCTGGGAAGCATTTTACATGATGAGTAAAGTACTTGATTCTCCTTGGCACTATCGCCAAGAGTCACAATTTATGGAGCATGCCAAGATAAAGTCATGACCTTGTAAGCCTGAAGAGTCTTTTCGAGAACCACTATTTGCCTAATACATAAATGAAAATTACAAATAGGAAAAGTTCTTGATAATGACCCAGAAAAACTTTCATTCTCACATTATTGACCTTCCTGCTGTTTGTTTACTAATTTATTTATATATTTATTTATGTGTTTGTTGTAACTTGAGTTTTTGCTTGGGGATTTGAGAAATCATTATGTAGTTTCTATATAAGCCTCTGGTCTGAACCTGATAGCTTCAGGACATTATTTCTGATTTCTTAGATTTTAATTTGTCCATTGTTTTAGCCTCATTTTCTCCCGTGTGTTAGTGTTTTGGGAGAGATATTTCTATTTTCTACCAAGCTTGAGAAAAATACATTTCTTACAAGGATAGCCCCACACACTAACCGTCCTGTGATTATATACATGTTACTTATCTGAGGCTCAGTTTCTCCAACCACAAAAATAGCCTAGGAGAATTTAAATATGCAATAATATTTAAAGAGGTAATATTCACAATTATTCTATAACATTCCTTGCCTATATCTTACAAATACTGCATACCAATCAAGCACATCATAAGGCAAAACAATCCTCAAAGATAAAAGAAACAAAGTAAATATACTTTGTATAATAAATAATAAAAATATAATAATATTCTAAAGATATTCTAAAATATCAATGGAAAATTCACTTGGCTCTAAAAATAAACACAAAATTTAAAACTTCCATCCACTTTTGCCATTTCTTTCTTATTTTAATACAGGACAATTTTAACTCCATTTGCAATAACATGAGGCTAAAGGAATATCCTTTCCTTACTCAAAATTAAAATAATTACCTTAAACTTGGAAAATTAAAAGTGAATCCTACTACAACATTTCCTTAAAGATTAGGATAAATATAAAATACAAACATTTGCATTGGTTTTATTTGATTAAAATGTAAAGACATTTTATTTTACAACATGTCTCACTCCTATATTGTAATATATTTTTACATGTAAATTGTTGAAAATATGTATTAAGTACATTTGAGACAGAATTAAAATACATAATCTCTGGAAATTTACAAATAAAAATATGCTTTCTTTTATAATAGAATAATTTAAAGCATTTAATAAAAGTATCCTTTCAGACAGTCTAAAATAAAACATATGGTAATTAGTAATCTGCAAATCATTATACTACTTAAAATAATTCTTATAAAACTTCCCAAAATTAGACCAAGCTCATTTGTCATTATATGTTAATCTAATAGTCACATTATATTGGATTTCCTGCAATGAAATGTTCCATGTAGCCATCAATCAAGGAAGAGCTAGAAACCTCTAGAGGTTCTTTCTTGATGTTGAAGCAATTTGCATCATAAAAAGTGTCACCTTCTCTTTCTCTGTGACATTTTTCCTGATCTCTAGGGTGACAGTTTCTCCAGCAGCACATTGATTCTCTTTTACACTCCCAATAACATAGTGTTTAAAATGGATATGTACAAATATGTACCATAAATGCTACATTGCACAGTTGTTAAACAATCTGGCTGTATTTTAAAAATCTGTATATTTGTCAAATGATCATTATGGCTTTAAAGTTTCCTCAGCTTGACTAAACTTTGGTCAGTCTTCTTATTGACTCTAGACCCTAAAGCTACCTTTGCTTAGAGCAATTTCTTTAGAGAACTTATAATAGAAGATTCTTTCTCTGCCCATTGAAGATATAAATCTTCTCCCAATGTCTTGACAGTTTTACAGTCTAGAAATGCCTTTTTCAAAGACCTGGTAGTCATTATTTGAAGTGTAATTATCAAGGAGGATAAAGACCCTGTCTCCCAGTCTCTATGGGAAGGTAGAAGCTTGACATCACTAAGTACCAGTCAGCAAATGCAGATGCCCTAACCACATTGACCAGCCACCCCTTACCCTCTCAGTGTCCTCCATTCCTTGTCTACTAGCCCACCTCAGTGCTTAAAACTTCCCCCCTTTTGTTTCAGTGGGTTTAGGTTCTCTCTCTCTCATTGTAATAGTTTTGAATGAAGTTTTCCTTGCTTCTTAACTCCATCCAGTGTGCAGTTTTTCCCTGACACAGGCCTAAATATAGTGTTATCCGAAAGAAAGAATTTACTTTTATTTGCCTCCTTAAAATATTTTTTATTTAACAAAATTATGGATATCAAGTGCAATGACAAGGGAAACTGCAAATCAGGTAGCAAGTGATAAATTACTTAGCATATCCAGGATAATTGGAACTGAAGCCATCATCAAAGAAAATAAATAGCAAAGAAATTCATTATGATAAATCTGAAAGTCCTCAGAGTCTAGAGATGCACTATACCCTAGAAAGTAGTACAGTGGTTTACACCACAAGGTTTGTTTGTAAAGGAAAATCACCAGCCTTTATTAACTTAACAAACTCTTAAAGTTAATTTTCTAGAAAATTACAAATAAATAACTGGAGAGAATTTTCGACTGTAAGATGTAAAATATTGGTCTAGCTAAGAGTGTTATCCTGAAACCCGGAAGATAAAGTAATCATCTATATAATTAACTACAACAAAATTAATAAGTAGAAAATTTAAGTTTTTACTAGTAGTAGTTAATATCTATTTTTTTAAAAACATTACTTCCCATTTTAGACAATGCATATATTTAAATGTAATTCTATTGTTATTTCTCCCTAAATGGTTACAACAACTCCTCATAAGGAATGACCTAAAAATAACCAGGTAATATAAACCATTTAAGGTTAAGACAATGTATCACAATGATATTATATAGTAGTATTGATTTGTTGTGACTCTAGATCTTCTACACTTCAATTACTGTAAAGTTGTATCATCAGGTTTTAAATATTTTGCATGAGAGGTGTTGATAATAAGCACTGGAGTGTTTCTAAATGTCTCTAAATGAATAGATTTTCTTCTTTCTATTTCACTCTTTAAAAAACAATTTAAATAAATCAGTGTTAAAGTAAGTTACTAGTTTTTTAAATCATTTTAAAAATGAAGCTGGACATTTTACAATAGATTTTTGATTACATGAATTGTTTTTTGGCCAAAGGAATCATTGATATAAGTTTTGATCAAAGCAACATACAATTTCAGTATTATAACTAAAAACAAAAATCCTATTTATGGCAACAGTATGAAAAATGAGTGTATTAAAACAAATTTAATGTTACCAATAACAGGGTTTTAGCTTAATCCATATATCAAGGTTCTATCTGTCCCACATCATTTTTTAAAAAATTTTATTCAATCTACTTAATATAGAGATATACAGTGATGACTAATTTACTTTCTATTTGTATATCTTTGCTTTGCTGCTGGTCCCACACGTATAATTAATTGTCAGACATAAAACAGCTAGATATACATCTACAGCCAAATGAATTTTAGTTTTCAGGTACTCATTTTTGTACTGTAAAAGAGTAGGCAGATGGAAGACGCAATGAAGATGTGTCTCTCAACTCTTTGAGACATTTTAAGCTTATAAACATGAGGATAACTTGTGAAATTTCATACACTAATTCAGTTTCATGCTCAGTGTCCAGTAAATTAATACACAATAATTTGTCCTGCTTTACTGTACATTCTACTTTTTCATTCAGCAGATGTGCACAAAAATAATGTTATAATTATTTTTACATTTGAAGTAGTATATATTTATATTTCAAACTTTGACTTAAAATGTCATAAACTATTGATAAATTAGAATAGGACTTTATATTTACTATAAGATTATGACACTGTAATAGCAAAGTAAACATTTCTCAAGTAAATAAATAAATTCAGCAGTAAATGACTCTAAATCACATTAGGTAACCAATGCATTATTTTTCCCAATATAGATGTCACTTATAAAATCAAATCCCTTGAGCTCCTCTTAACCAGTTGGCTATACTTAAAAGGAAACAGACAGCCAATTATCCATTCAAAAATGATATTTTAAATTATCCATTCAAATTTCTGCTGCCTAACCATTAACCGAAAGACTCATAACCACGAGTATGGCTCTGGAGTCAAGTTGTATGAATTACAATCATGGTAAGTCACTTCTTTTCATGTGAACTTGGGAATTTTTGTTAAATTTTATACAGTTTATATTTATCTCTCTCTCTTTTTTTTTTAACATGGAGAGTAATTATACTTGCTAATTAATAGGAGGTACTTTAAAAATAGGCACAATTATGGGGTTATGTGAGAGGTACACAAGGGCCGGAGCTCGCAAAGGTCAAAGTTGAAACAATTTGAGCAACAAAATAAAATATTATTGAATAAGAATATAATGTGTAAAATGAATATCTTTGAGTCTTTGCTCATATAAATAATTGAATAAATAAATAAATGTAAAGAATAAACAAATTTCCAGCTCAGAAGATCTTAAATAATTTGTGCAAATACTCTGCTTTCAAGGAGGTGGAGTACAACTTCTCACTTAAAAAACATTATGTACAACAAATAGTTGTACATATTTATGGGATATTTTGTGATATTTTGATCCATGTGATATATTGATACAAACCTACAATGTGTAGTAATGAAATCTGAGTAGTTATGATACCCATCACCTTAAACATTTGTCATTTCTTTGTGTTGGGAACATTCCAAATCTACTTTTCTAGATATTTTAAAATATATAATAAAATATGTTAACTATAGTCACACTACTATGCTATCAAACATTAGAAATTATTTCTTTTTCCTAACTGCATTTTTGTACCCATTATCCATCCTCTTTTTATTACCCATCTCCCCTACTCTTCCTAGCCTCTGGTAACCACCATTCTATTTAAATACCTTCATGAGACACATTAATTCCCACATATAAGTGAGAACATATGATATTTGTGTTTCTGTGCCTGGCTTCTTTTTCTTAATGTAATGTTTTCCAGTTGCATTCATGTTGCCACAAATGAAAATATTTCATTCTTTTTTGAGCTAAGTAATTTTCCATTGTCTATATATTCTACATTTTCTTTATCCATTCTTCTGTTGATAGACATTTAAGTGGATGCCATATTTTGGCTGTTGTGAACAGTGCTGCAATAAACATGAGGATGCAAATATCTCTTCAATATACTGATTTTCCTTCTTTTGGATAGATTCCCAGAGGTGGGATTACTAAATCATATGGTAGTTCTATTTTTACCTTCTTGAGGAACCTCTATACCATTTTTCATAGTGGCTGTACTAATTGGTATACATGTACACTGTTGGTGGGACCGTAAATTGGTACAACTGCCTACTCTTTAAGCATGGGTTGTGCATAATAACCTTCTTCCAAAATGTATAGAATGGAAAGAAGGAAAAAAAATAGTAATCACAAAAATATTAAATATTTGATGCAATGGATGCGTTAATTATCCTAATTTAATTTTTCCACCTTGTATTAGAAAATAAGAACATCACTTTTCACCTTATAAATACATAAAATTATAATTTATCAATATGTAGTAAAAACGTAACTTTTCAGAGGAGAAATCGGATAACGGACCCCACCTAAGTGATTAAAGTTAACATTAAGTGTAATAATTCATATTGTTAGTATATACGCCTTCATGAAAGGCACTTTCCTTTTGTGGTCTTTTCCCCAAAATACAAAAACTCTTGTCTGATCATGAGAAAAACATCAGACGAATCCCACTGAGAGATATTGTAGAAAATACCTGACCAGTATTTCTCAAAACTCCTAAGCCATCCAAAAACAATGTCTGAAAAACAGTCACAACCAAGAGGAGCCTAAAGACAGAATAACTGCATGTAATATAGTATCCTGCATAAGCTCCTAGAACAACAGCAACTAAAAGACATTAGGTAAAAATTAAGAAAGTCTGAATGAAGTACGGATTTTTCTTAATAATAATGCACCAATATTGATTCAGTAATTGTAAAAAATATGCTATTCTAAAGTAAGCTCTCAATAGGTTAGTGCAAAAGGAATTGTGATTTTGCACCATGAATTTAAAATTATTATAACTAGACTCAAACACATCTTTATTAATCAAAATAGGAACCATTACAATCAACACATTTTTGCCAATGAGAAATAACTTTGTGCATTCCTGTAGTGTAAAAGTCAATGCTTTGGGATTCAACAAACTCTTGGAAAGCATTTTTTTTTTTTTTTTTTTTTTTTTTGCATCCTGCTGGTGTGGAAGCATTTTCCTGGCAAGTTATTGAGATGCTTTAAGAAATGGTAGTAAGTTGACGATAGGTCAGGAGAATATGGCAGATGAGGCGAAATTTCATAGTCCAATTTGTTCAACTTTTGAAGCGTTTTTTGTGCGAGATGCAGTTGGGTGTTGTCATGGAGAAGAATTGGGCCCTTTCTAACCAAAGCTGGCTGCAGGCATTGCAGTTTTTGGTACATTTCCTCGATTTGCTGAGCATACTTCTCAGATGTAATGGTTTCGCCAAGATTCAGAAACCTCTAGTGGATCAGACCATCAGCAGACCACCAAACAGTGACCATCACCATTTTTTGGTGCAAGTTTGGCCTTGGGAAATGCTTTAGAGCTTCTTCTTGGGCCACTCACTGAGCTAGTCATCACTGGTTGTCGTATAAAATCCACTTTTTATCTCATGTCACAGTCAGATAGAGAAATGGTTCATCGTTGTTGCTTAGAATAAGAGAAGATGACACTTCAAAAACTGTGATTTTTTTTTTTTGATATTCAGTCAGCTCATGAGGCATGCACTTATCAAGCTTTTTCACCTTTCCAATTTGCTTTAAATGCCAAAAGATCATAGAATGGTCTATGTTGAGTTCCTCAATAACCTCTCGTGTAGTTGTAAGAGGATCAGCTTCCAGGATTGCTCTCAATTAGTCATTGTCAACTTCCAATGGCCGACCACTATGCTCCTCATCTTCAAGGCTCTCCTCTCCTTTACAAAACTCCCTGAACCACCACTGCAGCGTACGTTCATTAGCAGGTTCCTGGGCCAAAGGCATTGTTGACATTGTAAGTTGTCTCTGCTGCTTTAATAAAGACCCATTTTGAATTGAAATAAAAAAATCACTTGAATTTGCTTTTTGTCTAACATTATTTCCATAGTCTAAAATAAACAGCAAATAATACACCATTAGCAAAAAACATAAAGCAAGAATTGCTCATTAAATGATGTATAAAAAAACCACATTTATTTAAGAATGTATTCCAATATCAAACATTAAATTCCAACAATGCAAAAACTGCAATTACTTTTGCACTCACCTAGTAACAGAGGAAACTGGTTGTTGGGTGTAAGGAAATTCTTTTTACTATCTTCATATTCTTAATGTTTATCTAAAACTTCTAGAATCAAATGATTAATTTAAAAACATTTACTGACTAAAAACAAGTGTTATAAACATCTGAGACATTATTTGGCAAGCGTGTAAAAACATATACAAGAATATACATTGTTTTCAATAGTGACAAATTGAGAAAAATTTAAATGCATATTAATTAATAATCACTTAGATAATTTAGAAATTGGCCAATAACTTAACACCATAGATAAATTACCTATGTAGATTTATATTTATTGACCAAAAAATATGGTCACAATATATTGTTTAAAGAGTAAAAATGTCAGATTAAAGAATAACAATAATAGGATGATAACTATGTTGATTTATTTAAAAAATGTACATGTATAGGCAGATCTGAAAGGTTGTAAACAAATACAATAGCTCTTTATGAATTATGAAATGATGGTGTTTTTTCTTTTTTTTGTATTAAGCAAATCTCCTGCAATAAGCACATAAACTTTTTAAAAAATACATATTTTACATAAAAATTTAAAAAAAGACTTCCAAAATTTGTAACAATGGTTCCCTGAAAGTTAAATAGAACTTCATCAAGCAACCTTGAAGCAAAAAGGAGCTCCAGAGAGTGGATCTTGTATGCAAAATATAAACACATAAGATCATGTCATATGCAAAAAAAAAACCAAAACTATGTTTATATATTTTTGTTTGTTTGCATAAAGAAGCTTATGACTATGGTTTTTTCCTCATTTCATACATCAATGATATCGCTGTACTTAAGGAAATAGTGTTGAAATACGTAGTTATGAAAACCCCAAAATCATAAATCTAATGTGCAATGAAATGTAAATCTAAGGTTTTATATTGTTCATCATTGTGGCTAAATTTTTCTTTTAACTTAGAAGAAAATGTATTTCTGTGATACAGTAGTTGGGTTTTTTTCAAACACAAAAATTGTAATAAATATGGCAAAAATAAGAATTCTCTCTAATATAACTATCTCAGTTCTGCTATATTTAAAATGATAATTTGAAGAGTATTTAATATTTAATACAGATTACTATTCATATAGATTTATGGAACTCATAGAGTAAATTATTAAATCACTTAAAATTAAATCACTTCATAAGGACATGTGGAAGAAATTGAAATGTAAAAGACATAGTTCTTATTTCTAAAAGACTTCAGCCAATAAAAGTATATTAAAAAATATGTTGAGACCAAGCATAGTGGCTCATGCCTATAATTCCATTACTTTGGGAGGCCAAGGTGAGTGGATTGCTTGAAGCCAGGAGTTAGAGACCAGCCTGGGCAACATAGTGAGACCCTGTCTCTACAAAAGAATTAAAAAACCAAGAAAAAAAGTAAAAGAAATTACCTGGGTATGGTGGCATGTACCTATAGTCCTAGCTGCTTGGGAAGTTGAGATGGGAGGATTGCTTGAGCCTAGACGTCTGAGGTTACAATGAGCTATGATTGTGTTACTTCACTCCAGCCTGGGTGACAGAGTGAGAGATCCTGTCTCAAAAAAAAAAAAAAAAAAAAAAAAAAAAAAAAAAAAAAAAAAAAAAAAAAGGTCAAATTAGAATTAAACTTAGAAGGTAAAGCTTAAAGGAAAGGCAATAAAAAATGGTAAATAACTGCATAAATAAAATATTTTCCCACTTAAGTTAATTAAAATAAATTTCACTTGGAATAAAACTAATACCAAATAGAACAATAAATGCAAAATATAATGAGAACATTTTAGTTCTACATTGGTACAATGTTAACTAAATAGAATGTGAAAGTGTAGTTTAGTATAGTTTAATTTATACAGTGACTAAGAAAAGAAAAATGATGCAATGAAATATAACCAAGAAGTCAATACATAAATGTGAGTATTCAAATAATTCTACAGCAGGCAGGAATAGGGAGGAGAGCAACAACAACAAACAGGTGGTACAAACAAAAATAAATAATAAAATGCTAGATTTGAATTCTAAATAAATACATCTAAAGTAATTGGCCTATATAAACAAAATTTAAAAGGGAAATTTCAGATTAAAATAAATAAAATGTGTTCCAAATACATACTGGATACAAAAAGAAATGAATACATTGTGATGTCAACAAGTTAAAAGTAAAAGAAAATAGAAAAATACAGGCCTGCAAAAGGAAAATGAAGTGGCCAATTTAATACTTGACAAATTAGACTTTAAATCAGAGAAAATTACCAGTGATCAGGTAGTTGTTATTGTTCTTTTTTATTTTTTATTTTTTTATTTTGTTTTTCAGATTTCTAAAAAGAGGCAACTTTCTTCTGGATTCTGTAGGTCTCAACAGTCAGCCATTGGCTTGTTGTTAGTACTTTGATTTATTTTTTCTTACCTTGTGTGTGTATGTACACTATCTGACTTGAGGTTTACTAAATTCTTGTATAGGTGGACTAAAGTCTTTTACTAGTTTTTAACAAGTTAAGCTATTATAAACCTTCTAAAATTGTTTTTGTATTATTTTCTCTTGTTTCTCCACCTGAGACAACACATACATATGTTGTAACTTTAAACTGTGTCTCAGATCTTCTTTATTCTCTGGTATCTTCTATTCATTCTTTTGTGAATGTTATGCATTTACTTTGCTTCAAGTTGTCAACTCTTTTCTTCTATTTTCAGTCTCCACTTAAGCCAAATCAGTACCTTATTATTTTCAGATACTGTGATTTTCAGTATGAGAATATTCTTTTTACTTTAATACATTGCTGCTTTTTTAATATACACCATTATTTCTTCCATTTTTCTTGATGTATTTATAATAATTATTTTATAATTGGGTAGGGTATGCTAGTTCCTACAGATGTATCATTTGGAAGTCAGCTTCTTTTTTCTCTCTTGATATCACTCATACATTCATGTCCCTTTTTGTCTGCCATGAAATTATATGCTGTAAATTTGTTTATAAAAATGTGGATCCAGAATTTGATATAATTTCACCAGGGAAAATTCACTCTTTGCTCAATCAGGAAGACACTATAAAAACCTGATCATCTGAAGCCAATCAGCTGATTGTTTCAGCTAAATCCAGTTTACCTCTGATTTCAAAATCCTGATAAAAAAATAAATTGTCACATGTATGCTGCAGGTTTTGTTACCTAATGATTTTTTCTTGCCTAAAATGTCATGTAACCATGGGAGATTTCACTTCACCTCCTCAGCCCTTAGCAAATATCCAATGGGAATAATTCCCTATGCATTTGGGGATGTTCTAGATTCCAGTCTCTCAGGCAAGGTTACCTGACTGACCAAAGGTCTGTTGGTTTCTCCTGCCACTGCATCCCTCTACCTGTGTTAAACCTATTCTTCGCCTTGTACTCAGACTCAACAATTTTCCCTGGAGAGTGAGGGTGGCAATGTCTGATGATCTTATGTCACCTAGATAGTACCGTTCGTTCCTCTGGATTTTTTATTTCAACTTGTATTTTAGAGTCAAAGGGTACACATGATGGTTTGTTGCATAAGTATATCACATGATGCTGAAGTTTGGAGTATGAATTAATCTGTCACCCAGATACTGAGAACAAATACCGCATGGTCATTTAGACAGACACGGAAAAAACACTTTCCATAAAATCCAGCATCCCTTCATGATAACAAAAAAATCCCAAAAAACTAAGCATTGAAAAAATATAACTCAAAATAATGATTCATCTATGAAAATCCACAGGCAACATCATACTGAACAGGCAAACTCTGGAACCATTCCTTTTGAGAACTGGAACAAGACAAGTATGCGCACTCACACCACTCCTATTCAACATGCTGGAAGTCCTAGCCAGAGCAATCAGACAAGAGAAAGAAATAAAAGGTATCCAAACAGGAAAAGAAGAAGTCAAACTATCTCTAGTCTCTGGAATTTTAATTTAACTAAACTTATTTGTTTAATGAGTATCTGATATACTTGAAAATATGATTTATTCAGGTTATTCTAGTTGTTTCAATCTCTACCATATTGTAACTAGATTCAGAGGCCCTATAACTGCTTTCAAAATTCTTCAATATCTCACTATAGTTTAGAATTTTTTGGTAAAAACTACTCTTTTGATTATCAAACCACTCTTAATGTTATCATTTGGAACAATATTTCATGTTAATTTCCTTTTATCCACTCTTTAACATGTAAAAGAACATTTATTTCCTAATATATCTGGCCATCTCACAGTCCTTTTGTCTTTCATAATTGCCTGATACGTTCTGTGCTAAATTGAATCTACCTGTTTTTTCTGCCTGTTGAACTATTACAGTTTCTTCAAGGGTGAGTTCACATTACATATTCTCAAGAGAAACATATTCCTAAACTTCTTTAAATTTCTCTCCTTTTTACTGTGATAAGACTCAAGGCATGAATGTTTAATTAGGTTAGCCTGTTTCTCCCTATTCATCTACCAGCCCCTTACAGAAAATTTTGTACATCTCAATTTCTAAAACCTGGCAGTATCAATAATGAGGTAAGTTATGCTCACAGAAATCTAATTAGAAAGGTTATATACAACCTTATGTCTAATACATAAAGATTAACCTTAAGTATAAACAGATATGTTAACAATCACTGTGTTATCGAAAGCAAAAATAGAATATCAATGGGATTTTATCACATTGTGGTATAATTTTGGAGGCAAATTTACTTCCAGCTCATTATTTTTTAATTAAAGTTTTGACAGTGGAAACAGTCCAAATAAAAATTTCTAGTATTTTTGTTTGTTTGTTTTAAAGAATTTGCAGCATCTCTCAAATTCTATTGGATATTTGGCTAACTGTGGTAAATTTTCTTTTTTCACAATTTGATTTTCCCTTTAAGAAAATATATCTAAAAATTATGAGAAAGACAATCATTAGTACTACACAATTCTGTATGTATGTGTGTGTATATATATATATGTATGTATATAATAATCAATTTAAAAATCTGATAATTTCTCTGTAATTTATCCCAAGCAGCTTCCAACAGTGAGTTCTAATGTAGGTTATATACAAATAAAAATTTGCAGAGTCATAAACAATATTCTCTACTTTGTGTTTTATCCAATAGATAGGTAACAATTTACCTTGGGATTAGTATTTTTCCACAAGAATATTATGTGCTGTAAACAGTCTTGAGAACAGAGAGGAGAAACACAGAAAAATACATTGTATCCATCTGACAAAGGTCTAACATCGAGAGCCTACAAGGAATTTAAACAAATTTACAAGAAAAAACCCCATTAAAAAGTGGGTGAACATCCAATTGGATGAACATCCACAATATAAAGTGAATATTAAGTTAATATACCTAATTTAAAAAAAAAATAAAAATGCAAATATGGCATTATGAAATTTTCATTAGTGGTAAATATATTTAAAAGAGGTAATATCCATTATGTATCTCATTTTAAGAAACAACATTTTGAAACTTTAAGCTAGGCAATTTTAAAATAATTTAAATTGAATTTTAAAGTAAACTGGCAAATGTAATATTTTAATATTTTGTTATTTTTATTATTTACAGATGTTGTATATTCTGATAGCATAAGCCCAAATACAGACCTAAAATATTATACTTGTTTCTTAAAAAGATTATTTGTGTTATTTACAAACATAAAAATTGTACAAAATGTTTTGTCTTCATGTATTAGTATGTAACTAAATGGTGAAGAACATTGATTATGACAAAAATATTTATCTGTTTTTTTACCTAAAAGATTTATATTCTAAACTTTTATACTCTAAAATTTCCTAGCAGGTAAACAAATACATAATTTAATAAATTTAATATAGTTGTGTCATACTTAGGTGAGGCCAAATTAAATAAGGCAATATTTTTCACCTAAAATTAAATGTAAATATGAACCATGCCACCACAAATTTTATGCAGACTAGTTCTTTTTGATTCCAGGTATGTATCAGTTTGCTAAGGCTGCCAAAACAAAGTACCTCAGACTGAGTGGCTTAAAAATTTGTCACAGTTCTGTGGGATAGAAGTCTAAGACCAAGTTGTCGGCAGGGTTGGCTTCTTCTAAGGTCTCTGTCTTTGGTTTACAGATGGCTGTCTTCTCCCTGTATTCTTGCATAGTCTTCCCTGTGTGTGTATACATGTTCTAATATCCTTTCCTTATAAGGAAACCAATCATATTAGATTAGGACCCTGGCTAATGACCTCGTTTTTACCTACCTTTGTAAAGTCCTTTCTCCAAACACAGTTATACACAGAGGTACCACCTGTGGCAACGACTTCAACATAAAAATTTTGGGGAACACAATTCAGGCATAAAAAGTTCCCAAAGAAAGTTACACTGTTTCATTTCTTCATTGTTATATGGATGATATGAGATTAAGGTGTTAATCACAGAACAATTTTAGTGAAGAAAAATGGATGAAAATTATCTGAAAAGTAGATGGGTCATAATGGTGACATTATCAGGCTTACTAAATTTTTTTAGACTTAGAATGAGAACTATAATACTTACTAGTTTTTGTTTTTTTATTGTTTGTTTTTGTTTCCCATACGTGTTTGTTTATTAACTTATGGAGCCAGACATCTGCTGCTCCCGTGACTTTGTAGACCATATACTGATCATAGTAACTGCATAGGATGTATTACAGGTCTGAGTCTTAAGCAATTATACCACATAATTAAGAAAGGGAAGTGATTTTACACTCAAATATCAATGAAATACCTATTAGTATCTGAGCTATTCAAATTATATCTTTTAGTAATCACAACTTCATAAATGTAGCCTTTCTTCAAGGTTTTATCCATGAAATTAAAATATGTGCATCTGAAAGACTCTCACTTCCCTATCCCAAGTTCTAGAAGCCTTGATTAAAGGACATATATTTATTTGAACCATTGCATTAGTTAATGCATGTAATAGACACAGGAGAAGATATTGAATTATTTCTCTTTGTCCCAACATCAATTATTTTTTAATAAACTAGAGGTATCTTCTGGTACATATTAATGAACTCCATGTAAGAATATCTTAAGGAGCCCTACTTTAAATAAGAAACTTATCACACTAATTTGATAGATAACACACATAAAAGCTCCACTTGTTTGGCATCAAACATAACAGTGTTCACTTCTACATTACAATTTGATTTAATAAGATGAACTCTTTTATAAGTTTATATTCAAGTTTTATAGACAGTCCAAATATTCCCTTTCCAATGTTCAACATTCCTTCTCTCACTTTTAATTGATTTATCATGATACTACAGAGTTTTAGAACATATCCATTTGAAATAGCTTACATTATACTATTTTATGACTGTAACCCTTAGCGTATTAAACAATTTCATATATCCTTCTTATTTGTTTAGCTTCTTTAATTGTTATAGTTATTTTTATATTATTTCCTTAGTTGCTACTTTAGCTGTTTCCCTGATGTAATGCTGATTAGCCTTACCCTAATGAGTACTGTTGCAGACTCCCAGTGGAAGCCTATAAGCAATAACACAGTTTAGCATTTCAGTCCAACAATTGTTCATTTCTACCTTAATTTCAAGCATTACAAGAGATCATTTAAAATATAATTATTAAATTTTTAGGCTTAAAATAATTTTCTCAAATAATAAATATGTGAATCAAATAATTAAATTACATTCCTTTCTTTATGTTTTGAGTTTGTGAATACAGAACACTACTAACATCTCTATAATATATAGCTCTTAAATATTTATGTTTGAGAACTTACAAATACATAAAAATTAAATATAAAGAGGTGAAATTCATTTTAGTTTGAAACGTAGGAAGGCATTAAAGCATCTAATACTTCAGGCATCACTGTATGTCATCAAGCAAAATACTTTTTACATTAATTTTAAGGCAGAAACTTAGAACTCATTTTCAGCATGAGAGGCTAGTAAAAGAAGACACATCAGGTCAGAAAAGACAAAATCTCTTCTGTGACACAAGCCACAATCACAAACAGCTCTCCAGTCCTATAAAACCTGTGGAAGTAAAGTATAGACCTACTCCAGTTTTACATAAAATAAAATTTCCTATGCACGAAACATGCAAAAGAGTGAGAAATACACTGTAACTGCAAATTGTTGTGTTAGGCATCTTCCTCAAAAACTTCTCTTTTTTTTTCCCCAAAGGAGAATTTTAGGAACGTCAGCATTGGCATTTTAGGCACAGGGCTAAGAATTAAGAATGGTTTGGTGAAAAATATGAATAAAATATCATGCTTTACACTCTTTATATTCAAGAATGATGCAGTAATTTTGGTACTTAAAAATTCATGCTAAATAAAAATATTGTAGATAATGTTTTTGTTGATATTAGTTATAAACAAAAAAAACATACAAATGTGTTTCCAAAATAAATATAAGGATTATATCAGACTACAAACACATACTGGACTGCAGCACCATGTGTACTGCTATTGCAGAAATAACATAAAATATTTATAAGATGTAAATCGTATGACATGAATTAACATAAATTAAACTAACAAATGTTGGATTAATTCTAAGCAATATTCATTAAAACAAGCATTGTAAAAAAAGATGAGAAATATAATATTTAAGTTGGATAGATTTGAAAAACTCTTGAGACTTTATATCACTGATTTATTATAAGTTATTTGACCCAATGATTTATTGAGCCAGAAAAGTACTGCTTTCATTGAGTTGACATTGTGATAAACTGTTCTCAGACCCAAATATTATTCAACTTGAGCCCTCGTTTAGTTTAAATAGAAGTTTTGGTCAAAATATTTCTTTCAAAAACCTTCTTCTATATGAGCAAGTAACAGATGAGTAGGCATGACATAGGAGGTCAAGTGATATCTTGTGAAGATAATTTTTTTCGGTGGGGGCCGGAGTTTCACTGTTGTCGCCCAGGCTGGAGTGCAATGGCACGATTTGGGCTCACCGCAACCGCGGCCTCCCAGGTTCAAGCAATTCTCCTGCCCCAGCCTCCCAAGTATCTGCGATTATAGGCATGCATCACCACTCATGGCTAATTTTGTATTTTTAATAGAGACAGGGTTTCTCTATGTTGGCCAGGTTAGTCTCGAAGTCCCGACGTCAGGTGATTTGCCCGCCTCAGTCTCCCAGAGTGCTGGGATTACAGGTGTGAGCCACCACGCCCAGCCAAAGATAATTTTATAGTGGTTTATATTTTGAAAGAAAATGAATACATTTACTTCTGAAATAACATAAGGGCATTGCAGCACACATGGGAGGCTGGGAAAAGTAAAACCAAGCCACATAATATAATGATTTTCTGCCCATCACTGTTTTCATTTTGCTCTATTTCTAATTGTCGTTTTCCTATTATTTTCGTAGTAATAATTATAAAAGAAATGTCCAATTATATAAGAGAATTAAGAATGAGAATATAAATCCCATTTTCTAATTCACTCGCTCATCATTTTCCCATTCTACAATGTAAATCACAACTGTTTTCTGTATATTTTCTAATAAATATTATACCCATGTTTAAGAATGTCACTTTCTAGATATGTCTATGTATACATCCATATCTATATTTCTATATTAATATTTTTATAATAAACAGGATTTCCCTATGACATGTTATAAAACTTGTGTTTTGCTTTTTTAAAAATTGTAACAATATAATAAATATTTTATGTCTGCATGTATACATATTTTTTCCTTCTGATTATTATTATATAATATTGATCTCTCATTATTAAAATAATCACTTCCTATATATGGATAAACAATTTATTTCCAGATTTTGGTCTTATAAACAATTTTGTAATGGTAATGATAGTGAATATGAAAGAGGGTAAAGGGGAGAAAGAAGGAGAGGCAGAGAGAGGGAGGTAAAAGAATGATAGATAATTATTACCCTTATGTGACTTGTAAAGTAAATGCAACCTAAGTGCAAAAGTTATCCTTTAGTCATTTAAGCAAACACCTGGGGAATCTTTCACCTTGCCAGTGACTGAGTTAAGCAAAAGCCTCTGCCACTCTAGCTAATAGACTGAAAAAAAATGTGTCTGCTTGTAGGCTGCTGTGCAAAGTTGTTTGGTTTGCAAAAAGAAAACTGAAGAGAAGATCTCCTATTGTACGGAAGAGCAGACAGGCGTAGCTTGTGAGAGGGCACTTGTTTATTTGCAGTGGAGATTCCCATAGGTCACTACCTGCAAAATTTTCAATGCTTAGGCTATTACTCTGTGCCTGTGAATATCCATGTTCCTCCTTCCACTCCAGATTTGGTGTTCCTTGACAGCTAGGAAGCTAATATTAAGTACTGTATGACTGCCTGTTTTCCTAGTCCACTCTTTGCACCATCTGTGCCACTTTGGATTCTCCAAGATGACATCAAGGCAGGATGTGATATGCAGAGTTTGTTCAAGAGAAACAGTTGTGACAAATAAAGAGGAAGAGAGAATAACACAGAGAACTTCTAGGTCTTGATGAATATCTAATACCTTTTAAAGGAGAGAGAGAAAAACAGAGTGGATAGAAAAATCTGCCGGCTGCAGTGCAGCTCTAAGAAACTTTGATCAGATCTATGGGAATCTTCTAACAAAAGTTGCTCACAGAAAGACCCCATATCCAGGAAAGAATGGCATAGTTCCAGGTCCTTTGCTGAGTTTAGTGACTGTAAGAAGGCTGGGAGAAACAGAACAAAGATGTCGCTGGAGAGTGAGTCAAATATACTTCACATAGCACGTTCTCTTGATGGAAGATCTAGATAGAATGTAACGATGGAAGATCTAGATAGAACATAACCTTGTTTATCATATTGCTCCTATCTTAGTATAATTTCATTTTCTCTGCAATTGCAAATACTGCTGCTCTCTCTACAGTTGAGACTCCATTCAAGCAGAATACATCATTGTGTGTTCATGTTTGTGTAAAATATCACGTAATACTAATATGTGTAATTTCATTATTGGCAAGACAAAAAGAGTTTACTAGTAGAAATGTTTATTATCTTCTCACTGTTTAAACATTCAGACTTTGTACAATCTATTTCCCAGCTATAGTGGATTAACTTTAAATCTCTTAACCAAAATTAACTGCAAACCTGTACTTAAATACAAAGAAAATTTCTCAAATAACTAATGATGTTGCACATCATTTCACTTGCTTATTTGCCTTTCATGTATTTTATCTGGTAAAGTGTTCAAATACGTTTTCTTTTTTTAATTTAGTTCTATATTCTCTTATCAAGTTATGAGTTATTTATATATTCCAGATAAGTGCTGTCTACTGCAAATCTAATGCAAGCAACTTGACAAATTTTAAGTTTTACAGAGGCTACCTTAGAAAGTAAAATAAAAATAAAAAATTTATTAAAAATATATTCTATTTTACTCCATGCAATCAGAATATCATAATTTCATCATGTAATAAATATAAAATTACTCTTGAAGTATTTTTTTACATTAAGTCAATAAATTTAGTGTGTATCTATCTTATACTTCCAAGACATCTCAATATGGATCAGGCTAATTTCAAGCACTCAGTAGACACTTGGGGCTAGTCTGCCATATTTGTATCTTTATTTTTAAAGTGATTTTTTATAGGTAGCATATAGTTTAGTACTACCCATTACATTTCATCTATGTGACAATTTCTCTTAATTGTGCTAAGATCATTTAGATTTAAAGTTATTTTTAGTATAAATGGGTTCAAATTTGTCATGCTATTTTTTCTAAACATTTGTTTCCATTTTTGTTTCTCTCTGCTTTACTTGAGATTAAGTATTTTTGCTATATTTTATATTATATGTTAGTTTATTAAGTACTATTTTTTCTTTACTTTTGTAGTTTTTCAGGGTTTATAGTATATACCTTTAAATTATCATTGTCTACCTTACAGTAATATCACTTCACACAGAATATAACATCTTTGCAACACTATTTTTCCATATCTCTATTTCTAAATGCATAATTTTGTCATACATTTTACATATACTTATGTAATAAGCACCACAATACATTATTACTATTTTTGCTTATTCGGTGACTTATCATCTAAAGAAAGTTCAGTCTCACATTTACATTCCTTGTATAAATACAGATTTGCATATGGAACTATTCCACTTCTGCCTGAAGAATTTCCTTTAACATATCTAGTAGTGCAGTTCTGAAATTGTTGAATTCTTTTAGCTTTTGTAGGTCTGGAATACATACACATTTTACCCTTTGTATGTAATGGTAATTTTACTTGGTATACAATAGTAAATTAATTCTTTTCTTTCCTTTTTAAAGAAGTTGCTCTACTATCTTTTGGAGTGTATTTTCTATGATGAGAAGTTTCTGTTATTCTTCACATTTATCATTTGTGCGTGTATGCTGTTTTCTCTAGCTGCTTTTAAGTTTTTCATTTTTTACTCATTTTAAGCAACTTGACTTAGATATTTATTGGTGTAATTTATATTTGTTGTGCTAAGAGTTTATTCAGCTTATTGGATCTGAGTTTATCATTTTTATTGAATTAGGAGTTTTTCAGCCTTTATTTTCTTCAATGATTTTCTGTCCTCTATCCTCCATGGAGGACTGCTATTACACCTACAGTAAGCCATTTAAAATTTTGTCCACATTTTCTGGGTCTCTTTATATGGTTTTTCCCCAATATTTTGCATTTCATGCTTCATTTTTGATAGTTTCCATCGCTAAATAGTCAAGTTTACTAATCTTTTTGTCTCTCATTTGCAATCTCTCAGTACCCTTAGTTCATATTTTCTTTCCAACATTGTATTTTTTATCCTTATTCATTCAATTTTGCCCGCTTAACATGCTCAATCTTTCCTCTAGCATCTTTTAAAATATTTTTTCTATTAATTCTAACATACATGTGATTTCTGGGTCTTTTCTCATTGTTTGATTTTTTTTTTTTACTATATGTCATATTTTCTTGCTTCTTTGAACATATCGTAATTTATTTATTGAATGTCAGGTACTGTGTTTATAACTTCTTTAGCACCACATATTTTAGTGTTAATATTGTTTTGAAACTCAGTTAAGTTACTTAAAGCCAATTTAACTATTTTTAGATGGGCTTTTCAGAGGATGATGGCCAACTAGATGCAGCCAGGAGGAACATCTGCCATTCAGGGACTGGGACACTGGGAAGAGTGGTACACTCTGAGCCGATCTCTGGAGGGAAGGCATTGAGAATGGATGCAGGGAGGACACAGATGTTGGGCTGAAGAACAAGGAGGCTCGGAACTCTGGACAGGGCTACCACACACTGGGACTCATTCCTGGCCTCAACAACTCCTGGAGAAGGCACGAGTTAAGAAGGTAAGGAGCAACCTGCTCTCACCACATGCCTCTGAAATCCTGTTAACAGGAGACTCCACAACTCCCATGGACACTTGAGCTGGGAGAGAGAGAGCTGCTTAGAGACTTAGAGAAGTGGTAGGGGCAGGACTCCAGCCTGAGTGAAGCCCAGAGTATTTGGTGTGGCAACATCTGCAGTGGAGCGTGGCCATGGATGCCCATCTCCAAAGGCTCACTTTGGTCCCCTAGGAGATATTAGACTTAGAGGACCTATCAGACCTGAACAGAGCAAAGTGACTCTGCCCGTGAGACAAAGCCAGTCCAACCTGTACAACCCCCTGTCTGCTGCCCTCTCTTAGGCCCCAGACTAGCCACACCTGCTTGCAATGTAGCCTTCATGCACAACCAGGGGACTTACATCATACTTTCTGTGCTGGCAAACCGTGTCTGACCATGAGAGAGCTCCAGCAGAGTGGTCCCCACTGACACACCAGGCCACACACAACCTCCCTCTACCATAGCCTCCCTGCACTACTTGGTTGGCTTGCATTCGCCCATGGCCACACACCCACTCTTTTGCCACCATGCATGCATGTGGGTGATGTTGCCTCCCCTTCCCCACCAGCACATGCGTGCACATGCACCCCACTCTACCACTGCTGCTGATGCGACTTCACCCAGCCCACCACCGGCTGCCAGTGTGAACGCATGCACAGAGACCAGCAGCCCCACATTGCCACCACCAGTAGTGTCAACACGGACACAGAATCCACCAGTCCTGTTCCCACCAGCACTCCACCCCCATCACCAACACTGCTGCCAATGAGAATGTGTCCATGGATGCCACTGGTCCTGCACCACCACCACCACTAAAGTGAACACACACGGAGGCTGCCAGCCCTATGCCCGTCAGCACCTCACCACAGCCAATGAGAAACTGCCACTGCTGCTGGCACATGCAGGTGAGCACACATCCCACTGCCATCACCTGGTGAAGCACTTTGGCTGTCACCACCCATTGGATTGTTGTGGCCAGCAGTCCAGGAACTCTTCAACACCTCCAGGACAGCAGATTCCACATAGGCCAATGGAACAGGATAGAAAGCCCAGAAATAATGTCACACACCTACAACCATGTGATCTTCAGCAAAGTCTACAAAAAACAAACATTTGGAAAAAGACTCATCATTCAATAAATGGTGCTGGGATAACTGGCTGGGCCATATGCAGAAGATTGAAACTGGACACCTTCCTTTTACCATCTACATAAATCACCTAAATATGGTTTAAATATTTAAATATATATCCCAAAACTATTAAAACTCTTGAAGGTAACCTAGGAAATACCATGCCCAACATAGGAACGGGCAAATATTTCATGACAAAAGGCCAAAAGCAATTGTAACAAAAATGTAAATTAATAAATCAGACCTAATTAAACTAAAGAGCTTCTGCGTAGCAAAATAAACTATCAATAGAGTGCACAGATAACCTACAGAATGGGAGAAAATATTTGCAAACTTCGCATCCAAAAAAGTCTAATATCCAGAATCTATAAGAAACTTAAACAAATTTAGAAGCATAAAAACAAACAACCCCATTAAAAAGTGGGCAAAACACGAACAAACACTTTTCAAAAGAAGACATACATGCAGCCCAAAAACATACTTTAAAATGCTCAACATCACTGATCACTAGAGAAATGCAAATCCAAACCACAATGAAATGTCATTTAGAGCTCACAGCAGTCAAAATGGTGATTATTAAAAAGTCAACAAAATAACAGATGCTGACAGGTTATGGAAAAAAGGGAACTGTATTTTTTTTTTTTTTTTGAGACAGAGTTTTGCTTTTGTTGCCCAGCCTAGCGTGCAATGGTGTGATTTTGGCTCACTGCAAACTCCACTTCCCGGGTTTAAACAATTTAACTGCCTCAGCCTCCCAAGTAGCTGGGATTACAGGTGTCCACCACCATGCTCGGTTAATTTTTGTACTTTTAGTAAAGATGGGGTTTCACCATGTTGGCCTGGCTGGTCTTGAACTCCTGACCTCAAGTCATCCACCTGCCTCGGCCTCCCAAAAAGGGAACTCTTGTACACTGCTGGTGGGAATGTAAATTAGTTCAGCCATTATGAAAAGCAATTTGGTGATTTCTCAAAGAACTCAAAGGAGAATTTCCACTTGACCCAGTAATCCTATTACTGGATTTAGTTTAGTTCTCATAAGTGAGAACAAAACATTGAGTATACATGGGCACAAAGAAAGGAACAACAGACACCAGACCCTACTTGAGGGTGGAGAGAGGAAGAAGGGTAAGTGTGAAAAACTACCCATCAGGTACTGTGCTTATCAACTGGGTGATGAAATAATCTGTACAACAAACCCCAGTGATAAAATTTACCTGTATATCAAACCTGCACACGTACCTCTGAACCTAAAATAAAAGTCAACAACAAAATAAGAAAATCTTTCATTTGCTGGAATAAATCAGTACATGATAAAAAAAATTTTAGATATTCTTTTTGAACTGTTTTGTGAGACCAGAGTAGTTTTTAATTTAGGAATAATGTTGGCCCACTATTGAGACAATAATCTTCTAAATACTCTTTCCTATTCCCCTTCAGTTATTAGGTTCTTCAATCTGACTAGTGGCAGCAGAATTATTTCCAGCTTTGTGTAAGCTACAAGGATTTTTCCATCTTTTCCTTTTGGGTGATCTTTGCTTTGACCTCAGGTGTTTTTCTCACAGATAGAGGCTGATTTGTAGGCAGCCGAAAACTAAGGTAGGGGAGGAGGCTTTGTAGAACTCAGAACTCTTTTCCTACACAGTTGTCGCCTGAGCACTCGCTTCTGTCCATATTTTAGCTGACTGGCCTCTCCAGCTTCCCACTCCTATTTCCTCAGTTCATGAAAACCAGTTTCCAAGTACCTTTTTTGGCATTGCGTCCAGTAAAGGATTCCAGGGAGTATGCTAAGCCAATTATAGGTTCAATTCATTTTATCTGTCTTTCTCATGGATCACTCACCTGTGCTATTTTATACTTCAATGTCTGAAAACCCTTGTTTTACATGTTTTATCTTTGGTGATTTTTTGGTTTGTTCTGTTTTTTCTTTTGTTTGTTTGTTTTGGTAGTAGGGGAAATATACTCTCTTAAATTCACCTATTCTGGAAGCAGACATTTCTCAGATTATATTTATATCATTTGTTTCTATAACATGTGACACAAATTACAAATGCCCATGTCATCTCCCATCCCAGAACTAGCTACACAGCATGTGAAACTGAGCAAGTTTCATAGAATTAAGGAGGTAATACAGCCAATTTTGATTGTTTTAAAACAACATGAGTACTATGAAACAGAGGAATAGCACTGGCTTAGGAGTCTTAAAAAATGTGTTTAGGCATTATATTTTCAACTTTTACCCAAGGTAATCCTAGATATAATTATTAATTTTTTAATTTTTATTTTCTCATTTGCAAAATGATAATGGTTATAATTCTTACATAACACATTAGTACAAAATTCAACAAACAATATAAGTCTACCATCTTCTTCTTACCAAAAATATTTTTCTTGGATATTTGTCTTGCTGAGAATGCTGTGTTATGCAATTTAATATCATGTTGATCTTTTAAAATATTGTGTGACATTTTAATAGATATTTGCTCAATATATGTGCATGTATATCCTTCTGTGATGTAAGAATATATATGTTTGTGAATGTATTTAGACAGGTATTTCAATCATCCATGTTCAGTTGACATTATTATAGTCTAATTAATAATGTAAAGTTCAATGCACTATTTTAATTAAAATACTCATTTTTTTATTTTTCATTGTTTTTGTAGCTTCTTTCATATTATTTTGTAAGAATTGGTGTCCTCTTCAATTTCATGCATCAATGTTATAGTTTTTATTATACAAACACTTGAATTCTTTGTTTCAGTTTATTCCTAGGTATTTTGTTTTATATATAGCTATTGTAAATAGGATTACTTTCTTGAATTCTTTTTTGTGTTGTTTGCTGTTGGCATATAGAAATGCTACTGTTTTTTAATGTCTATTTTGTATCCTGCAATTTTACTTAATTTCTCAGTTCTAATAGTTTTTTTTAGTGGAGTCTTTAGGTTTTTCCAAATATAAGATTATCTTATCAGCAAACAAGAATAATGATATGGTTAGGCTTTGTGTCCCCACCCAAATCTCGTCTTGAATTGTAGTTCCCATAATCGCCACGTGTCATGGGAGGGACCTAGTGGGAGGTAATTGAATTATGGAGGCGATTTCCACCAGACTGTTTTTGTGAAAGTGAGTAAGTTCTCATGAGATCTGATGGTTTTCTAAGGGACTTTTCCTCTCTTCATTCATTCTTCTCCTTCCTGCTACCATGTGAAGAAGGTAGTGTTTGCTTCTCTTTCTGCCATGATTGTAAGTTTCCTGAGGCCTTCCCAGCTATGCAGAACTGTAAGTCAATTAAACCTCTTTCCTCTATAAATTACCCAGTCTTGAGTATGTCTTTATTAGCAGCATGAGAACAGACTAATACAGTAAATTGGTACCACAGACACTGGGGTGCTTCTATAAAAATACCCAAAAATGTGGAAGCCACTTTGGAACTGGGTAACAAGCAAATGTTGGAACAGTCTGGAGGGCTCAGAAGAAGACAGGAAAATGTGAGAAAGTTTGGAACTTCCTAGAGACTTGGAAGGCTTAAAAGACAGGAAGATGTGGGAAAGTTTGGAACTTCCTAGAGACTTGTTGAATAGCTTTGACCAAAATGCTGATAGTGATGTGGCAATGAAGTCCAAGTTGAGGTGGTCTCAGATGGAGATGAGGAACATTTTGGGAACTGGAGTAAGGGTCACTCTTGTTAGGCAAAGAGACTAGTGACATGTTACCCATGCCCTAGAGATCTGTGGAACTTTGAACTTGAGAGATTTGATTTATGGCATCTAGTGGAATAAATTTCTAAGCAGTGAAGCATTCAAGAGAAAGCAGAGCTAAAGGTTTGGAAAATTTAAAGCCTGACAATGTGATAGAAAAGGACGCCCCATTTTCTGGGGAGAAATTCAAGCCTGCTGCAAAAATTTCCATAGGTAACAAGGAGCCTAATGTAAGTCACCAAGACAATGGGGAAAATGTCTCCAGAACATGTCAGAGACCTTTGCAGCAGCCCCTCCCATGACTGGCCTGGAGGCCTAGGAGGGAAAACATGGTTTTCTGGGCCGTGTCCAGGGCCCCCAAGCTCCGTGAATCCTAAGGACTTGATGCCCTGTGTCTCAACCTCTGCAGCTGTAGCTAAAAAGGACCAATGCACAACTCAGATCATTGCTTTAAAGAGTACAAGCCCCAAGCTTTGGCAGCTTCCATGTGGTGTTGGGACTGCCGGTGTACAGAAGTCAAGAATTGAGTTTTGGGAACCTCCCCCTAGATTTTAGACATACGGAAACTTTTGGATGTCCAGGCCGAAGTTTGCTGCAGGGGCAGGGCCCTCATGGAGACCCTCTGCTAGGGTAGTACAGAAAGGAAATGTGAAGTAGGAGCCCCCCTACAGAGTCATCAATGGGGCAGTGCCTAGTGGAGCTGTGAGAAGAGGGCCACCATCCTCCAGGCCCAAGAATGGTAGATCCACCAACAGCTTGCACCATCCACTTGGAAAAGCCACAGGTACTCAACACCAGCCCATGAAAGCAGCCTCAAGGGAGGCTGTATGCTGCAAAGCCACAGGTATGGAGCTGCCCCAAGTTGTGGGAGCCCACCTCTTGCATCAGCATGACCTGATTGTGAGACATGGAGTCAAAGGACATCATTTCAGAGCTTTATGGTTTGACTACCCCACTATATTTCAGACTTTCATGGGGCCTGTAGCCCTTTCATTTTGGCCAATTTCTCCTATTTGGAAGAGATGTATTTACTCAATGCCTGTACTCTCATTGTATCTAGGAAATAACTAACTTGTTTTAGATTTTACAGGCTCATAGGTAAAGGAATTTGCCTCATCTCAGATAAGACTTTGGACCTGGACTTTTGAGTTAATGCTGTAATGCGTTAAGGCTTTGGAGGACTGTTAGAAAGGCATGATTGTGCTTTAAAATGTGAGAACATGAGATTTTGAATGGTTAGGCTTTGTGTAGCCACCCAAATCTCATCTTAAATTGTAGTACCCATAGTACTCGCATGTTTTAGGAGGGACCTGGTGGGAGGTAATTGAATCATGGAGGTGATTTATGCCATGCTGTTCTTGTGATAGTGAGTTCTCACGTGATCTGATGGTTTTATAAGGGTCTTTTCCCCTCTTTGATCATTCTTCTTCCTGGTGCCATGTGAAGGAGGACATGTTTGCTTCCCCTTCTGCCATGATTGTAAGCTTCCTGAGTCCTCCCAGCCCTGTGAAATTGTGACCCTATTAAATATCTTTCCTTTATAAATTACCCAGTCTTGGTTATGTCTTCATTAGCAGCATGAGAGCAGACTAATACAAATAATTTGACTTTTTTTTTTTTTGCAATTTGGATGACCCCCTTTTTTTAATTTCAAGTTTTAGATACAGGGTGGTACATGTGCAGATATATTACATGGGAATATTGTCTGATGTTGACATTTGGAGTATGAATTCTGTCAACCTGGTAGTGAGCATAGAACCTGATTGATAGTTTTTTACCCACTCCTCCCACCTTCTAGTAGTCTACAATGCCTATTGTTCCCATATTTATGTTCATATGTGCCCAATGCTTAGGTCCCACTTATCAGTGAGAATACACAGTATTTGGTTTTTTGTTCCTGCATTAATTTGCTTAAGATTATGGCCTTCAGCTCCATCCATGTTACTGCAAAGAACATGACTTTATTATTTTTTATGGCTATGTAGTATTCCATGGTGCATATGCTTCATGTTTACTTTACCCAATCTTCCATTGATGGGCACCTGGGTTTATTTCATGTCTTTACTATTGTGAATAGCATAGCAATGAATGTACAAGTGTATGTGTTTCTTTGATAGAATGATTTATTTTGGGGGGAGTGGTGGTATATACCCAGTAATGCGATTGCTGGGTCTAAGGATAGCTCTGTTTTAAGTTCTTTGAGAAATCTCTGGAATACTTTCTACATTGGCTGGACTAACTGACATTCCCACCAACAGTGTATATGCATTCTGCTTTCTCTGCAGCTTTTTGACTTTTTAATAATAGCCATTCTGATTGGTGTGAGATGGTATCTTATTGTGGTTTTGATTTGAATTTCTCTGATATTTGGTGATGCTGAGAACTTTCTTTCTTTCTCTTGCCTGATTGTTTTAGCTAATAGTTCAAGTACTATGTTGTCTTGTTCCACATATCAGAGGAGAAAGGCTTTCAGTTTTTCTGCATCAGTATGATATACTAGCTGTGGGTCTGTTATATATGGCTTTCATTGTGTTGAGGTATGTTCCTTCTATACCCAGTTCTTTTAGAGTGTTTATAATGAAGAGAGGTTACATTTTATCAAGTGTTTTTTCAGCATTAGTTGAAATGATCAGAAGATGTTTTGTCCTTCATTCTGTTAATATACTGTATCACATTAATTGATTTGTGTATGTTGAGCCATCCTTGCATCCCAGGGATAAATCCTACTTGGTCATGATGAATTATCTTTCTAATTTATAGTAGAATTTGGTTTTCTAGTATTTTGTTGAGGATTTTGCAACAATATTCATCAGAGATATTGGCCTGTGGCTTTTATCTGCCATGTCTTTTCCTGGTTTTGATATAAGGTAATACTGGCCTCATAGAATGAATTTAGAAGTACTCTCTCCTCCTCTATTTTTGGAATAGTTTGAGTATGATTGGTATTATTTCATCTTTAAATGTTTGGTAGAATCCAGCACTGAAGCCATCGGGTCCCAAGCTTTTCTTTGCTGACAGACTTTTTACTATAGCATCAATCTTAATACTGGTTATGGATCTCTTCGAGTTTTGGATTTCTTCATGGGTCAGTCTTGGTTGGTTGTATGTGTTTCAGAATTTATCTATTAATTTTTCACCATTTAAAATGATATCTGCTTATGTAGAGTAAAAATATGTTTAATGTTTGTTTTTTCTTTTTATTTATCTTTTACTTACAGTTGTTATTAGAAATGCCTGCTGGGTTTTTGAAATAACTTTTAAGCAGTATACTTCATTTTGGAAATCTGATAAAGTGTTTGTATTATTAACTACTGTTCTTGGCAACAGGAGACTGAATCTTCCTTCTAGCTTAAACAATAAAATTTTGTATGAAACTAAACCATTTTGCATGTATTACTGGGCTGATACTTAACAAAAATAATAGAAAGCCTGTGAAATAATCAGCTACACATTGTTTTTTCCTGAGTTTGTCTACAAAATAAAAATTTGAGCTTTTGCTTTCTGATTCACAGAGTGCTAGGAAGAGGGGCTACCAGTTAGGATCTGTCTCAGTTGTATAATCTCATAGGAGATTACTACAAATATTAGAATGGTAAAAGGGTATACCAGAAATCAAACTCAATACACAGAAAGGGACACAGAGATGCTTGTTTCTCTCCACTTTAATTTGGTTAGAGATAAAACAAAATCATTCCTAAGAATTCATAACCATAGCAAGACACCAGATACTTTTGTAGCCCAAATCCATGCTGTGTGGTCCACAAAGATTCAAGCAGAGAATTTAATTTAGTTTAATGTACTCTCATATTAGTCATGCCTCAGGCAAATTGCTGAAGCAGAAGTCAATATTCTCATGAGGAAAGCAACTTTATTCTGTGGTCTTGAAGAGATATAAAGCCCAGTGGAATGTAAAGAATGCACAGTCAAAAATCTCTTAGTGCAAGAAGAAACACCACATTATGTACAAATAAAAACCACTAAAAATAACAGAAGTAAATTTTAAACCATGAAGCAATTATTGGATTTTATAGTTAAAATAAATACATGTTATATATTTAAAGAAATAATATTGAAAGACAAAACTGTTAGCAGCACATAGGAATAATGTTAAAGAATAAAGGAGATTTGGGAAGAACCAAATACAGCACTGACGAATTCTAAATTATTATTTCAGATCCAAAGAAAGCCAGGTTATCCTATATTGTTGCTGAAATATAAAGGAGTTGTTGCCCTCTAGTGTATTTCTCAATCTCTTAGTAAATGAAGTATCTTTTGTACCTTGTTATGGTACGTAGTTGGGGAATAAGTGGGTATGTATGTCACATATGATAAATCCACTCCAACTTTCCTATCTAACATTTTCAATTCTCTCCTTCTTGTCATGCCAGCTAAGCAATGGCATTCAAAATTCTCTAAATGTAGGCCAGCAATGCATAAAAGTTTCAGTCAAACAAACAAGTGATTAGAGGCACCTTCAGCTATACAAAATAATACATTAAACAGAAATCACTGAGAAATACACATGTATCAATGAATTTGCTTGTTTCAGTGTTATATTACACCCTCCTTGTTTTAACACCATTAGAGTCCATTACTACACATGTTCCTCAGGTATTTGGTGATATGTATTACCAGGGTGATATGGTTTGGCTGTGTTCCCATCAAAATCTCAACTTGAATTGTATCTCCCAGAATTCCATTGGGACCCATGGGGGAGGTAATTGAATCATGGGAGTTGGTCCTTCCTGTTCTGTTCTTGTGATACCGAATAAGTCTCAGGAGATCTGGTGGGTTTATCAGGGGTTTCCACTTTTGCTTCTTCCTCATTTTCTCTTCTGCCACCATGTAAGAAGTTCCTTTGTCCTCCCGCCATGATTCTGACGCCTCCCCAGCCATGTGGAACTGTAAGTCCAATTAAACCTCTTTTTCTTCCCAGTCTCAGGTATGTTTTTATCAGCAGCATAAAAATGAACTAATACAGTAAATTGGTACCAGTAGTGGGATGTTGCTGAAAAGATTCCTGAAAATGTGGAAGTGACTCTGGAACTGGGTAACAGGCAAAGTTTGGAACAGTTTGGAGGGCTCAGAAGAAGACGGGAAAATGTGGGAAAGTTTGGAACCTCCTAGATACTTGTTCAATGACTTTGACAAAAATGCTGATAGTGATATGAACAGTAAGGTCCAGGCTGAGGTGGTCTCAGATGTAGATGAGAAACTTGTTGGGAACTGGAGCAAAAGTGACTTTTGTTATATTTTAGCAAAGGGACAGGTGACGTTTTGCTCCTGCCCTAGAGATTTGTGGAACTTTGAACTTGTGAGAGATGATTTAGGGTATCTGGCTGAAGAATTTGCTAAGCAAATAAGCATTCAAAAGGTGATTTAGGAGCTGTTAAAAGCATTCCATTTTAAAAGGGAAACAGAGCATAAAAGTTCAGAAAATTTGCAGCCTGATGATGCAGTCAAAAAGAAAATCAATTTTTTTGAGGAGAAATTCAAGCTGGCTGAAGAAATTTGCATAAGTAACAAGGAGCTGCATGTTAATCACCAAGACGATGGGGAAAATGTCTCCAGAGCATGCCATGGGTCTTCATGGCAGCCCCTCCCATCACGTACCCAGAAGCCTAGAAGAAAAAAATAGTACTGTGGGCGAGGCCAAGGGTCCCCATGCTGTGTGCAGCCTAGGGATTTGATGCCGTTTGTCCCAGCTATTCCAGCTGTTGCTAATAGGGGCCAAGGTACAGCTCAGCCCATGGTGTCGGAGAGCGAAAGCCCCAATCCTTGGCAGCTTCCATGTGGTGTTGAGACTGTGGGTGCACCCAAGTCAAATATTGAGGTTTGGGAACCTCCACCTAGATGTTGGAAAGTGTATGGAAATGCCTGGATGCCCAAGCAAAAGTTTGCTGCAGGGTGGGGCCCTCATGGAGAAACTCTGCTAGGGCAGTGCAGAAGCGAAATGTGGGGTTGGAGCCCCCACACAGAATCCCTACTTGTGCACTGCCTAGTGGAGCTGTGAGCAGAGGGCCACCGTCATCCAGACCCCAGAACTGTAGTTTGACCGAAAGCTTGCACTGTGCACCTGGGAAAGTCACAGATACTCAACACTAGCCTGTGAAAGCAGCCGGGAAGGGGGCTATATCCTGCAAAGCCACAGGGGCAGAGCTGCCCAAGACTATGGGAACCCACCTCTTGCATCAGTGTGACCTGGATGTGAGAACCCTGGAGTCAAAGTTGATCATTTTGGAGCTTTAAAATTTGACTGTCTTGCTGGTTGTTGGACATGTATGGGGCCTGTAACCCCTTTGTTTGGGCCAATTTCTCCCATTTGGAATGGCCGTATTTACCCAATACCTGTACCCCAGTTGTATCTAGGAAGTAACTAGCTTGCATTTGATAATACAGGCTCACAGGTGGAAGGGACTTGCCTTATCTCAGATGAGACTTCACACTGAAGACTTTTGAGTTGATGCTGAAACGAGTTAAGACTTTGAGGGACTGTTGATAAGGCATGATTCGTTTTTGAAACATGAGGACATCAGATTTGGAGGGGCCTTGGGCAGAATGATATGGTTTGGCTCTGTCCCCACTCAAATCTTAACTTGAATTGTACCTCCCAGAATTCCCAGATGTTGTGGGAGGGACCCAAGGGAGGTAATTGAATCATGGGGGCTGCGCTTTCCCATGCTATTCTCATGATACTGCATAAGTATCACAAGATGTGATGGGTTTATTAGGGGTTTCCACTTTTGCTCCTTCCTCATTTTCTCTCGCCACCACCACGTAAGAAGTGCCTTTCACTTCCCACCATGATTCTGAGACCTCCCCAGCCATGTGAAACTGTAAGTCCAATTAAACCTTTTTATTTTCCCAGTCTCAGGTATGTTTTCTTTACAGCAGCATGAAAATGAAATAATACACAGGGTTCTGAAATTCTTTTGTATAGAAGTTATTTATTTCTCATAGTGTGTACCTGAATCTTGAACCATGCTTAGATTTGATCCTATTTATATTCTACCAGAAATGGAGGTTATTTATGGTGGATCCTGAGGAGAATGAGCATTTCTTTTCATGATATGTACACCAATTGAGACTATCACAAGATTTTCAAGCTGAGAAAGTCTAGTTGTTTTGGACACAGAAAGAAAAACTACTTTTACTAGTAAAAAAATCTCAGAAATATTTGGGTGTTCAAGATTACCAGTTGCTTCTTGATCCAGCCAGCTGTACCCATTTCATAATTCACAATTCACTTCTTCCCAAGTAATGACCTAACTTTGGCATGAAAAACCAAAAAGGCTATGAATGTAATTCTCATTGTAATTTGGCAACTCATACAATTAAATATTGTTTACCTTTTTAGCAATATCAAATCTGTAGATTCAAAAAACAAGAGACTCTTTTAGAGCTGTTATGGAAATTGTTTCTTTCTCAGACTATAACTTGAGACGAAAGTTAAAGACATTAGCTTGTCATTTTCTTTTTTAACACTCAAGTACACTCAAATAATATCACCCACATCAGGGTCTTTACAGTCACAGTCACTCACAATGATCAAGTTTCAGAAGCCAGTTGAGCTCCCAAGGCCAGTGGTTGAATTGGCACTTCATCAAAATCAACAACAAGTGATTGCAGGCTTACTTGTGATGCCATTGTATGCCACAGTTTACTCATCTTATATTCCATTTCTAATTGGCATGTAATTCAGAATTGCAGGCAAGCCCAAAAGGCACGAACAAACCATATCTAAATTTCCTCTGTTGAGTTCTTCCCCTGGGACCACTTCTGATACAAATTCTGCGGTAGTCTGAGTCAAGTCAGGAGACATAAACCACACAGTAAGTTAAACAGGTTGAAGTTTAATACAAATAATTAACTATGATTAAAATAACTATAAAATATAAGGAAACACTATATATTTTGCTAGGACAGAGAGAGAGGACTCAAGAAAAGACATACATGGAAGAGGTTCAACCTTCACTGGGGATGTTGTGGTGTAGCCACTGGATAGCAGAGAATTTTGCTTGGTGAACCAGGCCAGAGCTGGTCTGAAGATGCTGGGAAACCTCTGGAGTCCACATTATGTAGGGGCTTGCTGAAGGAATCTGGACAGCCTGCTGCTTCTGATTTTCATGTCAAGGGTGCAGAGGAAAGGTAATTGCTAGACTGGTGCTGGGCTGGGAGAACAGATTCTGAGGCTGTGATCAGGTGCCACTGGATATTCTCACACCCATACTCATCACCCTATCCCACACTAGAAAATGCAAAAGGTCCCTTACTCTATATTATAATGTCTTTAATAAGCCCTCTAATGATAAAGTTAGTTATTGTGCTCATTTTAAATAAGAAATGCTTAAAGGAATGTTATTTTTTTTATTGTTATTTTTTTGAGTCAGAGTCTCACTCTGTTGCCAGGCTGGAGTTCAGTGGCACTATCTCGGCTTACTGCAACCTCCATCTCCTGGGTTCAAGTGATTCTCCTGCCTCAGCCTCCCGAGTAGCTGGGACTATAGGCACATGCCATCACACCAGGCTAATTTTAGTGTTTTCAGTAAAGACGAGGTTTCACCATGTTGGCTAGGATGGTCTCGATCTCCTGACCTCGTGATCCACCCACCTCGACCTCCCAAAGTGCTGGGATTACAGATGTGAGCCACTGTGCTAGGCCATAAATGTTATTATTTACTTAGATAAATAATATATCTTATGTATATATATTAAATTATGCATTTGAAGTTGAGAGGCAATGAACTGATAACCGAAACCTATAATATATTTGGCAAAATCTTACCAGAGTTTAAAAGATTGTTATAATTACTATTATTTTAATGTTCTTTTATCAGAACTATTCAGAAATGTTTATGTTCATGAAAAACTATAGACTCAAAAACATAAGGGTCAAAGAACAAATACTATATGGAGCAATTGACATACCATCTAAATATAATACTTTAATAATATTCCTCAAAAACTAGTAAGTAAAACAGACAAAATTTGTAAGAATCTAGACTTTAATCACCTAATTAACATATTTAATCTAAGAGATATACAACCAAATATGAAAATAAATTTTTAGTCATAAACATGGATATTTTCCAAATATTGGTATTTTTGTTTTTCAATTCTCAACTCTATTTAGGAACACCATTCCTTAGGCTTTCCACTCACAAACTCAATCTATTTTTTTGAGATGTTGATAACGGTTTATTGATTTTTTACAACACTTGATAGTTCTCCATGGTATTAAAAAGAACACATCTCACATTTAAGAATTTTATGAGAGTCCTTATAGCATCTTACCAGGCAGGCCTCTAGTGAGTAGTAGTATCCAAAACAGGAAGCTTCCAAGTAGCTGTAAAGCAGGCAGGCCTAAGCTTTCCATCCCTGTGTCTTTCACACATATTAGAACTGCAAGTTTCTATGACTGATTTTACATCTTACTGGAGTCTCTGACAATTAAACTTTCTTGGAATTCTCTTGACTTTTAATTTCTGAACTTAAAGTTTTTATCCAGCCATTGAATAATATATACATTTTGAGAAAAAATTACTGGTTTGTTATAGGGCCCTAGTGGAGATAGATGATTTGCCCAGACATATCTATCTTGCAAGAGTTTTCTCTGAACTAAGATATTAAAGGTAGGGTAAGTACCAGAAAGTTCTATCATAAAATGGAATAATAGTGCAATCACAAGTCTAGCTGGGCCCCTGAAGTCTCAGCTGGCTACAAAAGCATCATCATTTTTGGATACAGAAATGACTTCCTGATGTCAATCATGGATGAAAATTTTTAATTTTCCTGTGAAGATTATGACAGTAAATATTTAAAGCTTTACAGGCTGTATTAGTCTGTTATAAAGAACTACCTGAGACTGGGTAATTTATTTTAAAAAAGGTTTAAATGACTCACAGTTCCACAGGCTGAATAGAAAGCATATTTTGAAGGCCTCAGGAAACTTCACAATCATGGCAGAAGGTGAAGGGGAAGCACACACATCTTTACAGTGGCAGAGCAGGAGAGAGAGAATGACGGGGGAGGTGCCACACTTTTAAACCATCAGATCTCATGAGAACTCACCCACCATAATGAGAACAGCGTAGGTGAAACTGCTCCAATGATCCAATCACTTCTCACCAGGTCCCTCCCTCAACACGTGGAGATTACAATTCGATATGAGATTTGGGTGGGGACACAGAGCCAACCCATATCACAGGCTATATGATGTTTATTGAAGTAACTCAACTTTGCCATTGTAGTGTGAAAGCAGCCATAGAAAATTCATAAATGAATGAGCATGGCTGTATTCCAATAAAATATTTTATAAACTGCAGTGATCTAGATTGGGCCTGTGGAACCTAGTTTGCAAAAACCTTGCTTATGTTATTAACTATCTGATAAAAATATCTAATTTCCTGATGGGACTTCATGTCAGAGAAGAGGACAGTTCCAGTGGAGATATGACATAATGATGACAGAATAATAACTAGCCATAGAACTAGGTAACTCATGATATGGGCTCAATGTTAGGCAAGGAGGTTTGCCATAGAATAAATTACCCCAAAGTTAACTGAACTATATTTCTAGAGAGTATCGGACTGTAGCTAAGGATCATAATGTAGGATCAGGTCACTGCCTTACCCAAGACTATACTACTAAGTTAGACCAATAGAGGTCACAGACTTGTGCAAGTGAATAGAAATTGTTGTCATTAATAGCCTGCAAAAATGATACTACTTGAAAAGAATCTTGTATTAAAAAGAAAAAAATCTGAAATGATAAAATTGACTAAGCATGTGCATCTGATTCTGTGCGTATCATGACAATAAACTATTGTAAAAAAAGTTAAATTCTAAAAAGACTTAATCTGACAAATGAGGACTTAACCAACATGATTTCCCAGTTTACTATAATTATAGAGCAATTAAGACAGTGCTGTGATGGTGAAATTATTGACATTTTGATGAATGAAACAGGATAAAGTGCCCAGAAAAAGAACTGCACATTTATGATCAATTGATTTTCAGCAAAAGTGTCAAAGCAAAATAATGGGGGAAGGAAAATCTTTAAACAAAATATTCTGGAAAAACTGGATGATTCTATGGCAAAAAAGAATATAAATATAATCTTACATCATAAGCAAAATGAATTGAAATGGACCATAAACCCAAATATCACAACTAAAACACAAAACTTGCAGAAGAAACTGTAAAATAAAATATGATTCTTATATAAGTATCAAATTATAACTTTATAAACATCAAAAACTATTGTTCTTTAAATAATATTATTAAAAAGAAAAAATGGCAGTAGGAAATTATTAGCAATACATGCATCTGATTATTAATGCATATGTAATTTCTAAAATAATTAACCAATAATGAGAATACAAGTAACACAATGAAATATTACCAAACATGTTGAAAAAGCTTATGAAAAAAATACCCAATAGACAGAAAAAATAGATTGTCAACATCAGGGAAATGCAAATTAAAATAACCATAAGCTATCATTACATACTCATTGGAGTTGCTAAAATTGAAAAGACGTGCATAATTCAAGGTAAGGAACTAAGTGAAACAACTGTGGTACAACATTGTACAGTTGTTTTTCATTTCGCCATTTCACTTTTTGTTATTTAAAAAGGAATCAAAAGCCTGTATTTGTACAAAGACTTGTACTCAAATATTCACAACAGTTTTATTTCCAAAAGCCAAAACCTGACATGTCCCAACAATCTATCAACAAGTGAAAGGACAAACAATACTTATATGCCCATATTTTGAAATGCTACTTATCAAGAGATAGAAATGAACTTCTGATACATATAACAACGTGAGTTAATCTCAGACTCATTTTGCTGAATTAAAGGAGCCAAGCACAAGGCCGGGCGCAGTGGCTCACGCCTATAATCCTATCATTTTAGGAGGCCGAGGTGGGCAGATTGCCTGAGCTGAGGAGTTCTAGACCAGTCTGGGCAACATGGCAAAACCCCACCTCTACTAAAAATACAAAAAATAGAATAATGGTTCACTGCAGTCTGGAACTCCTGAGCTCAAGTGATCCTCCTGCCTCGGTGCTCTGGGTACCTGGGACTACAGGCATGCACCACTATGCCCAGCTAATTTTGTATTTTTTGTAGAAACGGGCTTTCACTATGTTGTGCAGGCTAGTCTCGAACTCCTGCATTCCAGCAATCTGCCTCCTCTCAAAGTGCTGGGACTAGAGACACCATGCCCAGCCAGAACACTTTTAAACCTTAAAAATTATGGAAATTTTGTAATATGTGATAATATAAATGAACTTTGAAGGACCATATGCTACGTAAAATAGGCCAGGCACAGAAAGACAAATACTGCATAATTCCACTTACATGAACTATCTCAAACAGTCAGATTCATAGGACCAGAGTGGAGTGGTGGTTACCAGAGGCTGGAAGAAGGTGAAAATGGGGAGTTACTAATCAAGGGGCAGGAAGTTTCAGTAAAGCAAGATTAACAAAATCTAGAGATCTGCTCTGCAACATCCCGCCTATGTTATCAACAATACAGTATTGTAAGCTTAAAAGTTTAAGATTAGATCTTCGTTAAGTGTTGTTACCACAATAAAATAAAATAAATAGTAAGAGAACCCCTATAACTTGTACAAGCTATCAATATATCTCTGCATATTTGTTCTGCATATATGTTTTAAAAACGTTGGCTGTGATATTACATTATACATGCATATAATATTTTGATAAGATATATGGCACTAAGAAATGCTGTGACTTGTTATGGGCCATATGTGTGCTTCTCCATTTGATCTTGTGTGCAAATTTTACAGAGCTTCCAACCTAACATATACATTTGTTCTCTTTATTTTCATAATAGCAGGGAAAAAAGAAAAAAGAGATTTTGTATGGGCAGGGTGTCAAGTTATATAGGATGAACTACAAAGTCTCTAAGAAAAGACATAGTTAAAATGACAAAAAGAGCCATGACATATTTTGGTGAGACAATTTCAGAAGTCTCCACAGTAAATGCAAAGGCAAAGGATATAAAGCACTCATGAGTTTGACATTTTTCTAGTTCAGCAAGAGTCAGTGTATCTGGGGAAGAATGTGTGAAAATGAGAGTTGCATTAGGAAAAAAAATAAGAAAAAACAAAAAGATCAATAGGGTTATATCATGTAAGAATGTACAGTCTTTGAGAAAGATTTTAAATTTTATTTTGTAAAAGGTTTGATGGTTTTGAGCAAAAATCATAATTATGATTATAATGGCTATGAAGGGATAAGATGTAGAAAATACAAAGAATAAGTAGAGTGTAGATGACATGAAAATGGATTTGGAGTATGACGATAATAGTTGGTGAAAGGTGGTCACATTTGGAATTTTTTTAAAGTAAACAGGACTTGGTGATATTTGAATAAAAGTTATAAAAAATAGAAGAGTTGAGAATAACCACTAGATTCAGGGATGAATATAGATGGGAGAAATTTCATGCCATTAATTGAGTTGTGAATGCTTAGGTAAGGAAAGAGATTGGAGAGGAGTAAAATCTTTACTTTGAACATATTAAATTGAGATGTATTGTACATACCTAAACAGTGATGATATGTAAAGAGTTAGATGGGCAGAACCCTGTATATACAGCAGTCGTAAAATGATAATTTTTTATAAATTCATGGATATGTGTGAAACAAATATGTAGAGAGACAAGGAGAAAAACATACTCTCTGGGATTTCTTTTATTTAGCATTTTTGAAGGTAAGTAACAAACAAGAAAAACTTAGATGCAGAGAAAATCAAAAGAATGGTATGCTAGAAGCCAGCATATTTATAATGGAGTTTCTTTATTAATACAATATGTTATGGATTTTTTTATAATGGAGCTTTCTACATTAAGCAAATATTAAATTATTTCAGTATATCCATAAAAATAATAAACATTTAGTGATATTCAAAATAGTAATAAATACTGAGTATAATATATCAGTGTTAAGAATCTGAAGGGAGAAATTATATATACAACTTGTATAGCACATTATAATTTTCTAAGTCTTTTAATACCTATGATACCATTAAATTTCTCAACAACTTTAGGGTAAAGCAATTAATATATTAATTTTACCCATGAGAAATTTAATGTTCACAAGGATGAAGCACTTTGTCTGAATGAGAATAATAAATCAATAGTTCTTCCTTTGATAACAGATTAATTGAATCCCTTATAAAAGTGTAAAATAATATTTTTAAGTGATACCACTTTTTTTACTTTTATTTTAAGTTCGGGGTACAAGTGCAGTTTTGTTACATAGGTAATTTGTGTCATGGGGTTTTGTTGTACAGGTTATTTTGATATCTTTAAAACATAAAAAGAAATAGATAATGTTAAAATGTGGTTACTTAATTTGGGCAACATCACATAGTATTTCCCAAAACATGTATTTTTAAAATAAACTTAACCTTTTAGAGTAGTTTTAAAACTACAGAAAAAAATTGCAGATAGCCCAGGACGTTTTCATACTCCATACCCACTTTCTTCTATTATTAAAATTATAGAATAGTATGATATATTGTATATGACTACTGAATCAATATTGATACACTATGATAAACTAAAGTCTATGCTTTAAGTTTTCTTAGCTTTTACCTAATGTTAATTTGCTGTTTCAGAATCTTATCCAGAAGACTACTTTATGTTTTATTGTCTTATTTCGATAAGCACAATTTGTCTGTAACTATTTGTCATACTTTGCTGGTTTTGATTATCTCCAAAGATTTGAGGAGTACTAGTCAGGTATAGTTTCCCTCCAGTGGGGTTATTCTCATGCTTTTCTTCATCATTAGATGAAGGTTGTGGGTTTATGGGAGGAAGACAAAGAAGGTAAAATACTGTTTTCATCACACCATATTGGGTGTACATGCTATCAACATGACATCACTGCTGATGCTCTCATTAACCACTTAGCTGAAGTAGTGTTTGTCAGGTTTCTCCATAATAAAGTTGCTCTTCGTGCCCACTTTTCCACACTCTGTTCTTAAGCAGGGACATTATGTTCAGCCCACATTTAAAAATAAGAAGTTATGTTCCACGTTCTTCAGGGCAGAGTATCTTCATATATTGTTTGGAATTCTTCTGCACAAGAGATTTTTCCCCTTATCTATCTATTTATTTAAACAGTGTGGACTCATTGATATATATTTTATACTTTAGCTTATAATCAAATGCTACCTACTTTTGTTCTCAAATTGTTCTACCATTGGATATAGAGTACTCTTTCAGTTGGGTAGTGTATCACTTTGACATACCCACAACGCATATCCAAATTTTTTTTTTTTTTTTTTGGTGGGAGAGGCACTGAATTTTTGGCACTCTAAAATGCTGCATGCCCATCTTATATATTTCCTTGTATAATGCACCAATCCTATTATCATTTATTTCTCCAAGAAGTTTCCTTATATAGTTATTTTTATAGAAAAATTACCAAATGGATCATTCTAGCCTCCTCTCATGGCTTATCTGTTAGCTTCCACTCCAACAGCAAGAAATATATCTCACACAACCCACCATAAATTTATGACAACATTTTTTTCTTATTTCACATTTGTGTAGATTTTATTTAAAACAAAAAAATACTGATATAGGACACTATAATTCTTTAGGATTTTGTTTCCATTTGCATCTATGAGTGCACAACGTTTTATTACATACCATTATTTTCATAGATAACATATTTATTTGTTCTCTTTTATACATATGGACTAAAGCATATTTTTACTGTCGGTATAATGTATTGTTATATGAAAATGATTTGCATGTATTAATAATAAGCAAAGATAACCACAAATCAAGGCATTTTCTTGCAAATTTGAATTTCAATTCACACATACCAAAGTCACTATTATACATATCCTCTATGCACCATGCTCAAAATCATATTTCATTCTGTCAATAATTTAAAATTTCTACAGAAATGCAAAGATATCAAGAAATGTTTTCCCACATGTTCATGTGTTCTTTGAAGTAAAGTGTTTATTTGAATAATATATGAGACTGAACATGTTCAAAATTGATATATGTGTTACTGATAAAATTATTTCCTTCTTATTAAATGGTAAGAATAGGTGACTAAATAGTTTGACATAAAAACACATATACCAATCAACTGACGAGATAACAAACACTTGCTTTCTGTTATGCTTTGAGAAGTTGTTTAGGATTTGACAGATGTGATGGTCATGAAAAATGTAGTGTACAAATTCTAAGTAATAGCTTGAGAAAGTATCTTCCACACATCCTTTCAAATGAATATAGTTTATATCTTGTGGTTTGCTTGTTATATCCTGCTTTCTATTATATATTTTTTACTTTTATTGTCATTTTTTGTATCTAATTCTTTTCATGTGCTATACATTATTGCAGCTATAAAATTCTATCTTGAATTGATATTTATTTACACAATAAAGGCTATTTCATGGTTCAGGAAAATAAAAAGCATATGCTAATTTTATTTAAGTTCATTTTCTGAAAAATAGTATGTGAAAAATCCATAATTTTCTATTTCATAGAATCATGTAAACTACAGTTAACCAATTGAATTAGGATTCTATTACAACTCCACCAATGAACAAAGCGATTTATGTATAATAGAAATAAGTCATTCAGGAAAAGAAATATTCAGCCTCAGTAAGGCTAGAACTAATGTTTCAACAATATTCAGAGGGGTATACAGCAAGTATAACTTCTCTATAGACACACACATAGTGTATGTTCTCTATTTAAAAATTGATGTACTTAATAATTACTGTAGGGCTTTTATGATGCCCAATCTATTTTAAATTCCTAAGAGGAAGTATTACTGAGGCAAGTTTTCTTGTAAGATTAATAACACTTGTGAGGTCCATTTATGGACATTCACACTTATAAAGGAAGGAATCATCACATTGCTTTCCAAAATCACTCATTCGTCTTTCTTTGCTCACACAATTTCCAAATTTTTTTTACCTTTTTTTAATCTAAAGAAGCAATTAGTTGAAAGCAACTTAGAAAATAAAATATCAACGGCTTGCATATCTAAAATTATCAGCTCATAAAAATTACGGCTTCAGGACAAGTATTTTCAGACATTTGCAGAAAAAGCAATTTGAAAAAGCAATCTGTGTAAGAAACAATTCACAAAGATTTTAAGTTGACACTCATATTGGAGTACATGCCAACCTAAATCAGGCTCCATTCAGGATACGGAAACCTCAATTATTAATAAAGAGAAGTTAGTACAAAGGATTATTAGCTAGCCATTAACTGTATTTAAAAGACAATAGAAAAACACTAAGATATCATAGAGGTATCAAAAGAAAGAAGCCACTACTCATCCTAGAACTGAGGAAACAAACTGTATTTGAAATTATTAAAAGTTATAAGATTAAAGCAAAACCGTTGCAAAGCTGACACTCAGACATTGAGTAGGGGGTGCTTCTCAGCTGGGGCTGTTGCCCTTGAAGTTGCAGAAGGGGACAAGAGATTCCAGACCTCTGAAAGGCGCACTGGTAGGCTAGGGCTAATTTTGTTGGGAGGGCAAAATGTGCTGCAAGTTTAAGTACTGGAAAAAGCTAAAGAGTGTATTGAGTCTTGTCATTAAAATATACTGTCACACCTGTAATCCCAGTACTTTGGGCCTAGGCGGGCAGATCATGAGGTCAAGAGAGTGAGACCATATTGGCCAGCATGGTGATACGCCGTCTCTACTAAAAATACAAAAATTAGCCGGGCGTGGTGGCACGCGCCTGTAGTCCCAGCTACTCGGGAGGACGAGGCAGGAGAATCACTTGAACCTGGGAGGTGGAGGTGACAGTGAGCTGAGATCGCGCCACTGCACTCCAGCCTGGCGACAGAGCAAGACTCCATAGCAAAAAGTAAAAATAAAACTAAAAACACTGTCACAGTCAGAAGGAAGAAATGGTAGGCGATGTTCATATAAAAAAAAAAAAAAAAAAAAAAAAAAAAAACAAGAGGCTGAAAAGGAACAAGAAACAAATTGAAGGAGTAACTCTTTCCTCCAGTTTTCTGTTTTCCTCATCCAATGCTATTGGCTGAATTTTAAAAGATGACAGCTGCCTCTCCAGAGAAATGTGAATTGCAGTGTCTCAGCCCCAAATCCCAAACTAATGTTTAGAAGAGTGAGTTGACACAAACTCCAACTCTTTAATTACTAAGAACTTGTGCACTCACTTCTTCATGTGTTTTTACATTCTTACAATAAAGAAACAACTTTATGCTTCCACTAACAAGATGTGCAACTATCCTTCATATTAAAGGTCAACAAAATGTTTCTGTAAAGAGGTATGTGGTAAATATCTTAGGTCCTGTGGGCCACAAATGGTCTGTTGCATATTCTATTTTTATTGTTTTTATTGTTGTTTATTAGTTTGTTTATGGCAACCTCTAAAATGTAAACAGCAAAACAAAATAAGCCACAGTTACATTCTTAGGCTGCATGTGGTATGAAACAAGCTTAAGGGTGAATTTGGCCCGTGAGGTATTTTTTTTTTCTAATGCCTGTTTTATAGAATCAAAGATACTCTCATCCTGTCACCAAATTGAGAAGACACAAAGTCTCAATAGTAATTACATTTCATTTATGGGAAACAATTGTCATAAGTTCTATCCATTTCTTGGCTATGTTACTTACTTCTCATTCTGATAACAGTCTCAACTGAACATTCTCTTTCTAAAGATTAAATTATAAAGTTAACTTCCAACAAAATATCTATTAAGTAATAAGGAAATGAGGAGAGATAAAAATAATTAAGTTATTGTATAAAAATCTATTTAACTATACACATAAGAAATGAAGATATGTGCAGCTATTATGGTTCTTAATTTAGTAACTGATTACAAAGTCACTGCTAATATCAGTAACCTCTAAATCCCCTACACATTCCATGCTTTCTTTGCCCCCAGACAGGTCCAAAGGTAGACTTGGTTCATGCATAGGGTGACCTGAAACTTCATTCATTAAAGGTCAGCATTCTACATACTCTTGAGTTCTCTTTGGTTGCTATAATTTTTTACTATCATTTGCTCTTGGATATGAAACTACTAAAAATTGCCCGAGAATATTTCCTGGATGCTAGACTTAATTCTTTCTGACCCTACTCTGTGGCAGAAAACTAATATCCACTGGGTACTCTGGATCAGTCATTCAAAATAAGAAAACCAAAACTAAAACAAAAACAAAGCATTCTTTGCCTTCTCTTTCAGTAGCAAAAAAGGAAAACAAAATGACCAGGTAGCAGTCTCAACCTCCAATTAAATGTAACTACTGTTGCTTCAATTCCTGGAAGTATTCTCTTTTGAGATCCAAGAACTTCAAATTGTAGTGGCCAAAGTGGCAGGAATTAAAAGCAAATCTTTATGAATGGGTTATTAGTTATAATAGTAAGAGAAGCCATTCTCACTTTTGCTCTGCTCCCTTGTATTCCGGCTATAAGAAACACATCACAGGCCGGGCACAGTGACTCATGACTGTAATCCCAACACTTTGGGAGGCCGAGGCAGACAGATCATCTGAGGTTGGAAGTTTGAGACCAGCCTGACCAACATGAAGAAACCCTGTCTCTACTAAAAATACAAATTAGCTGGGCGTGGTGGTGCATGCCTGTAATCCCAGCTACTGGGGAGGCTGAGGCAGGAGAATTGCTTGAACCTGGGAGGCAGAGGTTGCGGTGAGCCGAGATTATGCCATTGCACTCCAGTCTGGGCAACAAGAGCAAAACTTTGTCTCAAAAAAAAAGAGACATATCACATTATATATTGAATCCCGATTCAGGGCATGCACTAAATCCTTTAAGATAAAATATTACACATTCAGATTGTGGCCTTCAATGAAGTTAGCACCATTACTGAATTTTCAGTGAGCCATGCCATTTTATTAAAACCACTGCTTTTTAGAGATGGAGTATGTAGTAAAGCCTTCTGTATCATATATAAGATCCTATTACTGTATTCCTTTTGTTTCAGAATGAGTTCCTTAATCTGAAGTAACATTGTACAGAATGTCATGGCAATTAAAAGGGCATTCCAAGGATTCATTCGTGGTAGTTCTGATAACAGGATCACAAGAGCAGAGGTTCAACTCATATTCAGAATTCATGATTATTTTAATGAGTACAACAAATCTCTGGCCCCTTCATGATCAAAGGGGTCCAATGTACTAAACATGTTACAGGTTGATTATTAATAACTGGAAAACAGTGTCATTAAAGGAAATCAGCATTGCTCTTTGCTGTTTATCCACTTGGAATTTGTCAGAAATAAAACCGTGGTGAAGGAGAGTCCAAGTGACTAACACAATGGATTTCTGTATCCTGTCCACTACCATCCCTGAGTAAACTTTGAAATCTGACATTCCATAAACTATGTCACTTTATTCAACTGATTTTCAAAGGTTCCTCTCCTGTGAATGCCATATGTAGACATTTACATGGGATTCAAATATCTCACAGTCTTTGTCCATTTTGAGAGGTGCATCCACATGGATCTTCGCATACTTCCTTGCCATCATCATATAGCTCTTCTTAAATTTTTGATGAACCAGGCAAACCATTTTAAACTATGTGTTCATCACTTCTAAGCATCTGTTTATCTGGATAAAGGGGAAAACAAAATGAGCTGCTAAAATCCTACCCACTAGAAGATTTTCTTCACTATTGCTCTGAGGCTCACACATGAATGGGACTGTGATATTATAGCTGTGAACTTCCAAGTTGTACCAACATATATTATAAGTAGAACCAATTGTAAAGTAGCACAAAGTTTTTTTGTACCTTTTGATCTTTTCTCTGTGTTCAACTGAACATCAATAACTTTTCATGATGCCATAGTGTGGATTAAGCTAAAGCAACAGGTGTGAGCATCAAGGGAGTCTAAGAAACTTTCTCTTGCTATTTATTGTTCCTTAAAGACCTTCCACAGGATGGTTGTGCATATATCATTTCTGTTTGATAAATAATTTGTTACCACCAAACAAAGATAAGGCTTGGTGGGTCAAATATTATTCAGTTCATGAAGTACACTTCAGGTCTCATGATCAAATAATGGGCCATTTTAAGTTTTTCATCTCTACCAAGATCCAGTAGCAAGCTGGAGGTTGTTTCTCAAAAGAATAGTCACTTGAAGAAGCAGACATGATTTATCTAAAACCACAGAGAACTACCCTGCAATTATTGTATCATAATATGCCAGAGGTTTGATTTTCCACAGACACTTCAAGGATCATTACAGGGGAAGACCAAAGGAGAGCAGTTTGCAGTGAAGATTTGCTGCAGACTTGCTTGTTTTTGTGTTCAATTTCCTACTCAGTTCTCGCAACCTTAAGAATTGGGAAATAGTTGAGTAGCACAAACTGATGTAACATATATTGCCTCCTAAATCCAAGAAGTCTGATCAAGCAATGTGCCTTTATTATACTGGTATGTGGTGCAAGATGCAACATCTTATCTTTCATCATGGAGATGACGTACATGTGATATGGTTTGTCTCTGTGTCCCCACCCAAATCTCATTTTGAATGATAATCTCCATGTGCTGAGGGAAGGACCTGATGGGAGGCAACTGGTTGATGGAGACAGTTTCTTTCATGCTGTTCTCTTGACAGTGAGGGAGTTCTCATGAGATCTGTTAGTTTTAAAAGTGGCAGATTCCCCTGCACTTGGCTCTGTCTCCTGCTGCCTTGTGAAGAAAGTGCTTGTTTCTCCTTTGCCTTTAGGCATGATAGTAAGTTTCCTGAGGCCGCCCCAGCCATGAGGAACTGTAAGTCAGTTAAACCTCCTTCTTTCATAAATTATAGTCTCAGGCAGTTCTTTATAGCTGTGTGAAAAGAGACTAATACAACATGATTGAGACAGTTGTAATCCTGGTGATTCGCTGAGGTTATAGAGCCTAAAAAATTGGCACAGTATTTTATTTTAGAGAGGCAGGATAAAATATGTTTGCCATTACTTAGAATGCAAACCAGATCAACCTTATTTTTTATTACTCTAGTAATATTGAGATTTGGAAACTTATATGTCTAGAAATCACTAATGATATAATTTAAAAAGAGGTTACAATATATTCCTATGGCATAAGAATTACATATTACATAAACTTAGAACATTATTTTTATTTTAAAATTAAGATAGTTTACTTAAATTTAGTTTTCTTGCAACCTTTATATAATCACTTTTATTTTAAAATATTATATGGACTCTACATTTTTTTGATCAATAAGATTTCACATGTTAAAAATATGTATATAACAAAAATGTCTCAAAATTCTTTGTGTTCTTAACCCTACAATATTTATTTATAAAAAATATAATCTCCAGAAATCTACTATTTGAAAAGGATGGATGTCCTCATGTAAAATAATTAGAAAAGACCTGGTCATATATGCATCCTCTTAGAAAACACTAAGATACTCGTGTTTTCTAAACACTGCCTTCAACTATCAGTGAAAAATAATTCATGGATAATTTTTCAACTTCTCTCAAACAGAAATCTAGTTTATCAACTCACGTGATTTTATTTGACTAACTGGCTGTCTTGGCAGCATATATATATTATTTATTCTCTATAACTGATACATATAGAATATAGTACTTGCTTAATACTTATTCAGATAAGTGAATAAATAAAAGGATGCTTGCTACTTTTAAGACTGCTCATTAGGAATGATTTCTAATAGGACAGATAAAATAATAAGGTTGAAAGCAACCAAGATGCAATCACAGTTATTAAGGAAAACTTTAAAAATAAGAGTTACTATGGAAAACTTTAAAAACCAACAAATGAAAGATAAGTCTGCTAAATAAAGCTTGAAACTCCTTGAATAAGTATGACTTTTTCAAAGAATGTTGTATAGATCCACGATAAAATTAGTTAATATGTAAAAAACAAGTCCACCCCACAAAAGCGAGAGTTGTCACATTGTCACATTATGACATATTCTCACAACCCCTGGAAACGATAGCAAGAAAAAAAAGCTTCTGAGAGCAAATATTTTCTTTACTTACTACCTTATAATAACACCTATGTGGGCTGTGTGGTGACTGTCAGGAAGCCCTGAGCCTTGATTACAAATTAACTTTGGTATTATAGGACAATGTTTTACTTTCCTAGAGTTGGTGTTGGAAAACTTTTGCTAGGGAGGCCAAGGTATTACATATTTTAGGCATTTTGGGCCACAAGTCTCTTTTGTGACTATTCAACTCTGCCATTAGAGCCCAAATGCTGCTATAGACAATACATGAATGAAGGTGTAGCTGTGTTCCCATAAAGCTTTTTTAAATAAAAACAGGTGACTGACTGGATTTGATCCAATGGGCTTTAGTTTCTAAGTTCTATTTAAGTTCATCTAGTTGATATTAGCAAGTGAGATTTTCATAGCCCAGAATTGTTCTGAATTTCTCAATCATATGTTTTAAGATGTGTATCTTCAGCACATAATATATAAGCATTAAAAATTTTTAATATATGCCGTTATGTGCTGTTTGGTGATAGAGGAGGAGATTGTCAAAGAAATAATAAGTATCCATTTAATAGCAATCCTTATTTTTTATCATATCTGGCTTCTCCAGGAGACTTTTAGTAACATTTTCATTTATCTACTGCATTCACCGTGTATTGATCTACAAAACCACTAAAAGTAGTTTCAGATATAGTTTTATCTTGAGCACATTGAATTTTGAATGCTATAAGATGGGTCAAATTTAGGTTCAAGTAGCTGTTTTAGCTCATATTCGTTGTATGACTTTAAAGTTAATTAAATGTTGTGTTACAGAGCTGCATGAGAATTCAATGAAAGAAACTATGCATGAAAATGAAGCACTGTACCAGGCTCATGTTAAATACTCAGTACATAATAACCACTGCACTTAATGTCTGTTAAGGAAATGTAGAAAAAATATTTTAAGACTAAGTTTTGCTTTTGGTTTTATACTGAGATTTTTTAATAGAGTACCTAGAAGATAGAAAGATTACTTCTTTCTCTGTATGCCTCCAAATTGTCAGGAGATTCAAAAAATGTGCCATACAGTTTATTCTCCAATACCTGGAGTGTGAGAAAAGTAAGCCTATATAGGTTGCCTATAAATTTTACCATTGTCTCAACTTAATACAAACTCCCTTATACTCAGAAAACCATATTTCCAATTTCTTATTAAGTTTAATAATTATATGGTCTTAATAAACCATTCCCATTAAAAATATAAAGTATCATACCCTTTATTTAACACATTAGCATACGAGGCCTCTTCCTTAGGTTTGTAAGGGAGTAAACATATGTCTACTTATACGTATGTTCTTGCAATTTTACAAGCACTGGATGTCTTGTGCTAATCTCTGTCATATGCTGTAATATAGAGACTTGTGTAAATTCCATTTTATATTTTTCCTCCTTCCACCTGGGTTATTGTTATTCAGTTGCCAGATAAATTTGATTGTTTCCCTTTTCAAGAAGATGATCTAAGTCTAATAATTTAGATAAATCATCCACACCTTTATTACTACTTTTTATTCTCCTATTCTCCTATGTGCTTTTTGTCAATGACAAATCCATTGACAAGCTTTTTTCTGTTTTTGTTTTTTTCTCTTGGGTCAACATCCTATGCAAGAACATTATCAACATCACCTTATATAATTTTATATGCCTTTACTGTTTTATTTCATTATGGAAAACAAAGTTTAATGCTGATTAAATCATATGTAGCAGGGCTCTTTAATCAAGGCTTAGGCTGGTAGCACACTACAAATTCAGATATCTCTGAGTATGGTCAAAAACTAGAAAGTCATTTCAATTGAAGGCATTGTCATCTAAAAGGAATATCAGGGTGGCTAAGTAATAGAAAAGAGAGTTTTATTGGTGCTATCAGTTTGCAAACAGAGACAGTCTCTGACACGACCTGAACACACTCTTCAAAGAGGGAAGGGAGAGGTTGGCTTTTAGGCTTCACAAGGTCTGTATTACACAATAATGACATAAATATTTAGCACGTTTCAGGGAAATTATTCATATTTATAAGGTGAGTCAAGTGCATGTGCAATGGTAAACATGTGTAACATACATTTCATGTTCACTTTGGAGTGGTGTTTTAGTATTAAAATAAAGTGGAATTTGGCTCCTTACTTCAAAAAGTGAACCATAGGGCACAAAGACAGTGTGCACAGTCTCTAAAAGCTGGCCAGAACTGACTTGAAGTCTGTGGCTGTTTTTCAGGAAAGAATGTTTTTAAGTCCGGTCCTATGTCCAATCAGACTGGGTAGTAAGTAAATCAGAGGCCAGAAGGGTCCAATATTTTGCCTGATAGCTCTTATTTGCTAGGCAGCTTAGCAAGAATGTGATTTTGCTTTTGTTTTGTGTTTTATAGCCGTGTGAATTTAGGGAGCTGTCATGCCAACCAATCCCTGAGCCCTAGGCCAGTAACTTTTTGTTTCCTTAAACATAGGGTTTATTATAGCTCTTAGTTGATAAAGGGGCATCTATTTGGATCTCTTAAATCACAGTCGTGAGAAACTACCTGGGAAAAACAATATCTCCCTCATATTTCACTTATGGTTTAAAACTTTAACCTTCTGGTGAAAAAAATCTAAACCCTTAAAAGTGGAGGTATAGATAGAACTTACTCTGAGACACAAAGTTAAATCTAACAAATTTTGACTGACATCAAAATATAAGAATGGAAAAGGACAATTTTGCACATAACTCATTGTTCACTGCTCAGATTTTCCCCTATCTTATATCCAAAAGGTATACTAAATTATTATAAGATGTGTAAAAAAGGAGCTAATTGAAAAGTATACATATATAGATACATACATACACACACACACATGCACACAAACAATTCATCGTGAAGTTCTTCATGCCCCATCAAATAAAAATTGCAGAAAAGTTTAACTCCAATAAAAAAGGGCATTTTTGATTTTCAAGTTTTTTTTAAAGGGGAGATTAAATTAAAGAGCATCTATATAGTTGACTGCATCTGTTAGCTATTGTAAAAATACTACCTAGCACAATCTTACTGTCATGAAACAACAAAAAAAGTATTATTGCTGTTGTGTGTTGGATAAGGCAGGTCTGATCTTTTTCAGGCTTGTCTGGGTGAGTCCACCTGAGACTGTGATGATTGGCCCAGCTTGGCTTTTTCCTGCAGGTCTGTGTGTTGACTGAGGTGGCTCTGGTCCACATTGCCTTCTTGGATGGACCAACAAATTTGCAGAAACATGTTATTCTCATAGCAATGGCAAAGGACAAGCAGGCAATTGGAAATACATAAAGTCTCTCAAGGCATAGGCTTGGAAGGCTCATTGTTACTTCTGTCTACATATCATTAGCTAAAGCAAGTCACATGGGCCATGTCAAGGCTGTGGATCCTGAGTTGAGTAGTGTGGAGAACTGGACTAATAATTCAGCTAACCATATGTCAAAGTTGATAGAAAATATCAGCACAATAATGTTCTTAGGAAAAATGCAAAATGTGATTTTTAAAAAATTTCAATAGTTTTTGGGAAACGGTTTTTGATTACATGGATAAGTTCTTTAGTGGTGATTTCTGAGATTTTGGTGCACCCATCACCTGAGCAGTGTACACGGGACCCAAAGTGCAGGGTTTTATCACCCCACTCCCAGTCATTTCCCTTGAGTACTCTAAGTCCATTGCATTATTCTTATGTCTTTGTGTCCTCATAGCTTACCTCCCACTTATGAGTGAGAACATATGATGTTTGCTTTTCCATTCCTGAGTTACTTCATTTAGAATAATGGTCTCTGGTTCCATCAAGGTTGCTGCAAATGCCATTATTTCATTACTTTTATGGCTAAGCAGTATTCCACGATATATACATACCACATTTACTTTATCCACTTTTTGGTTGATGGGCATTGAGGCTGGTTCCATATTTTTGCAATTGTGAATTGTGCTGTTATAAACATGTATCTGCAAGTGTGTTTTTCATATAAAGACTTACTTTCCTCTGGGTAGATACCCAGGAGTGGGATTGCTGGATCAAATGGTAGTTCTACTTTTATTTCTTTAAGGAATCTCCATACTGTTTTTCATAGTGGTTGTACTAGTTTACATTCCCACCAGCAGTGTAAAAGTGTTCCCTTTTCACCACATCCACGTTAACATCTGTTATTTTCTGATTTTTTAATTATGACCATTCTTGCAGGAGTAAGGTGGTATCACATTGTGGTTTTGATTGGTATTTCCCTGATAATTAGTAATGGTAAACATTTTTTCATATGTTTATTGTACATTTACAGACCTTCCTTTGAGAATTGTCTATTCATGTCCTTAGTCCACTTTTTGATGGCACAGGTTATTTATTTTTTCCTGATGATTTGCTTGAGTTTCTTATAGATTCTGGACATTAGTCCTTTGACAGATGCATACTTTGCTACAATTTTTCTCCCACACTGGGGGTTTTCTGTTTACTCTGATGATTATTTCTTTTGCTGTGCAGAAGCTTTTTAGTTTAATAAGGTCCCATCTATTTATCTTTGTTTTTGTTGCATTTGCTTTTGGGTTCTTGGTCATAAACTCTTAGTCTCCCATTCACTTATCACAGTGTCCTGTCCTGATGAACCTCTGTAAATAACCCTTCCTACACCATCATTTGGTTCCACCTAATATACTTTAAGTGTATTTTTTAAATTATCTCTCAACTTAATAATTAAGTTGTCTTTCAATTCAAAAATATTATCAGTCTGCATGTCAACAGAGGCCTTGGGGTTTTGCTAACCACTGTACCCTCAGGTCTTAGAACGGGGCCTGATCTACAGTGGGCCATGGTTAGCAGTCAATAATTATTCATTGAATGACATATTTTTGGACTTTTATACTTTTATTTAAATAAAGAGTGAATTTATCTGTAGATATATCACTTTTTACATTACAACAGATAATATATCACCAGGTTTTTCTGGACATTGTTCCTTAATATACCCAGGGTTTTAAAAACCTACATGCCGACTTCTTTTATAGATCATATTTTCTTATTTCTGCTACTGCAAATCTCCTTTCTATTTTACCTTCCTTTGACATATGCTCTATCTAAATAAAGTAGCATTAATCATCTTTCATATTAGAAATTGAGATCATATGTTTTCTTATCAGCAAACTACATCTGGATATCTGTGTTTATGTGTACCTATTATCTCTATGTGTTTATCTACTTATCCTCACTCCCAAGACATCATTTCCAGTTTAACTATTTTAAAACAATACAAATGCCAGTCGCTGATGCCCACATGTATCTGTACCTTCTTAAATTAACTTTTTCTAGATCAAGTTGATTGTATAAAATGACAATAACTTAACAATAAGGTAAAAAATGTAAGAAATGTATATCTACATTATGTAATACTTCCTGTAGAGCAACTGGTGTACAGTTGGCAGCTTCAGAATATCTGCTCTTGAAAGAATGTAGCATGTTAAAAACAAACTCTTAATTTGTTTGGACTCAGGGGACAATTGAAATTAGTCCAGTAATAACAGTTAAAACATTATAATTGATCTTCAGTGCTTTGGGTCTCATAACAACACTTGTCTATTGTAATGTTGGGCTTAGAACTTGACGCAAAAAATAATAGGAAGATAATCAGTGAAACAAGAAAGCAAATCTAATTAGTGAGGTAAAGAAAATTTCTTTAGAACATAAGATCAATATGCAAGATCTAAAACAGCATCAACTAATGGTGATATTATAATTTCTTGTTCATAGAAAAAAATATAAACACACTTAGAAATATCCAAAAATATTAAGTTTTCTTACAATGACTAGTGAGCACCATAAGAACCAGAAATGTTTCATAACAATTGTGATTTTTTAAATTTATTATTTTGAATTTTAATGAATACCTAATGGCCGTACATATTTATGGATTACATGTGATATTTTAATATAGGCAGACAATGTGTAATGCTTTTGAAGAATTACTCAATTTTCATTCCATTTGGGTATGTATGCATGGAATACCTTGCAGAAGCAAAATTCTTACATATTCACATGATTACAAATTACAAGAATGAAAGAAAGGAAAGAAGGCAGGCAGGCAGGCAGGAAGGAAGGAAGGAAGGAGAGAAGAAAGTAAGGAAGAAAGAAAAAAGCAATTGTAACAGAAACTACAAATTCTAAGCAAGGACACTTAGACATTGAATTTCAGAAATAAATGCCTCTGTATAACAATGCCATAGCATTGTAACTACTGTCACATGAAAATTTATGAGCGTGTGCCTACTTCTTTTGAAAAGTAACTCAGTATTTTTAGAAAATTTTAGCTAATTTAAAATGAAAGAAGTACACTGCAAAAGTAAATTTTGACAAATGCTTGATAGCACATGATACTTAGGGGATAATTGTGTAATTCTAACACTATAACTCCTTGTTCTAGGAGAATATATGAGCAGTTTTGCACTGTAATATGTTTTTACACATTAGCTCTGTCACCTCATTAGTAATGCATTTCATCTATCCTGTTTTTATTTAGTCATTAACAAAGTACTGTATATCATTTAGATAACATGTAAAATATCTTAATATGTAGAAAGTGTTAATGAAGTACAATACAGAAAGTTAAAGTTGAAGAATAAGCATTAGACTAAAACAAAAGGCCAAAACAAGCCACAACTTCTTTCTGTGAAAAATGAGGGACTTATCACTATCCTTCTTTGCTTAAGTTATTGTGTTATAATGTTTATATACAACAATCCTCCTTTATCCTCAGTTTCGCTTTTGCTTTCAGTTGTTCCAGTCACCTGGGATTGATCATGGTTCAAAAATATTAAATAGAACTTAAAGTATAAAAAAAACCTTTAAAACTCAAAAAAAAATCCAGAAATAAACTGTTTATAAGTTTTAAGTTGTGCACTATTCTGAGTATTGTGATGAAATCCCGCACTATCTCACTCCATCTCATTCAGGATGTAACTCACCCCTTTGTCCAGCATATCCACACTGCATATCCCACCCATCCATTAGTCAGATAGTAGCCATCTTGGTTATAAGATTAAAGGAAAACTGGAAGAGTGAGTACAATACAATAGGCTATTTTGAGAGAGAGACAGACTACTTTCACATAACTTTGATTACAGTATATGATAATTGTTTTATTTTATTATTATTGTTTTTAATCTCTTAATGTTGCTAATTTATAAATTAAACTTTATAATAGGTATGTAAGCATAGAAAAAAAACATAGTATATATATAGGGTTTGGTACTATTGGCTGTTTCTCGCATCCATTAGGAGTCTTAGAATTCATCCCCAGCAGATAAGGATAACTGCTGTATTTCACAGTTGCTAACAGTGGAACCAGGAACTGAAATCCAAGAATAAACAGCATGAGTATTTGTTGACTGTAGCTCTTCCGATCATCATCAGTGGGGGCATTATGAAATGTTGGCCTCAAAAGTAAATAAAATTGATCAGGATTGCTTTGGCTATTTTAAGTTTTTTGTGGTTCTATATAAATTTACAATTTTTTATATTTGTGAAGAATGTCATTGGTAGTTTGTTAGGGATTGTTTTGAGTCTATAGATAATTTGGGGTAGTATAGATATTTTAACAATATTGTTTTTTTCATCAATGAACACGAAATATCTTTCAATATTTTTGTGTCTCCAATTTATTTTGTGAATGTTTTATAGTTTATATTGCAGAGATCTTTCACTTATTTTTGTCAGTTTATTCCTAAGTATTTTATTATTTTATAGGTATTGTAAATGGGCTTACTTTCTTGATTTTGTTTTCAGAGTGTTCTTTGCTGGCGTATAGAAATGCTACCGATTTTTTATGTTGATTTTTTATTCTGACTCTTTATTGAATCAGTTTATCAGCTCTAATAGACTTTCTGGTGGAGTCTTTTATTTTTTCCAAATATAAGATTATATCACCTGAAAACAAGGACAATTTGACCTTTTCCCAATTTGGATGTTCTTTCTTTCTCTTGTCTAATTGCTCTGTCTAGGACTTCTAGTACTCTGTTGAATGAAAGTGCTAAAGACAGGAATTATTTTTTTTGCTCCAGCTTTTATAAAAAAAAGGCTTTCAGGTTTTTCCCATTTCTTATTATGTTAACTGTAGGTTCATGATATATGGCCTTATTATTTTGAAGTATGTTCCATCTATACCCAGTTTTTCAAGTATATTTATCCTGAAGGGATGATGAATTTTATTGAATGCTTTTACAGCATGCATTGAAAGGATCACAAGGTTTTTGTCCTACATTACACTAATGTGATGTATCACACTTATTGATTTGCATACATTAAGCCATCAAGCAAACAGAACAAAGCTGGAGGCATCAAATTACCAGAGTTCAAAGCATACTACAAAGTTATAGTTACCACAACAGCATGGTACTGGCATAAAAACAAACACATAGACCAATGCAAGAGAATAGAGAACCCTGAAAAAAATCCACATACTTACAGTCAACTCTACGACAAAGATGCCAAGAACATACAATCTCCTTAATAAACAGTTCTAGAAAACTGGATATCCATATGCAGAAGAATGAAACTACACCCCTCTCTTTCACCATATACAAAAAGCACACCAAAATGAATTAAAGATTTACATGTAGAACATGAAACTGTGCAACTACTAGAGGAAGACATTAGGGAACCCCTTCAAGACATTGGTCTTGGCAAAGATTTCTGAAATTCAAATGTCTGTGTGTCCTTGCTTAGATTAGAGTTTGTTGTTGTTACAGCTGTCTTTTCTCTCTTTCCTTTTCTTTTTCTTTCTTTCTTTCTCTTTTATTTCTTTCTTTTTCTTTCTCTCTTTCTTTCTTTTTTTCATTCTTTCTCTCTCTCTCTTGCTTTCTCCTTCCCTCCTTCCCTCTCTCTTGCTCTTTCTTTCTTTCTTCTTTCATTCGTGTAATCTGTGATCATGTCAATGTGTAAGAATCTTGTTTCTGCAAGATAGTCCATGCATACATAACCAAATGGAATAAAAATTGAGTAATTCTTCAAAGGCATAGTACAATATACATAAAGTAAATATAGATTCCAATATAATTTTGATGGTATATAAAATGGACTTCTGTAATAGAATTTTTTCTAAGTAAATTTAAGCTATTGATGCTGGCATTTTCTATATTGGGCTTAAATTCTTACATCATTGAAGAAACAAAATTATTGAAAATCACTTATTACCATGAAGATTCATCTACTGATATATGTTGATATAATTTTTATGAGGGAAACAAATATTTATGTAAAATAAAATTTCCATGTGGTACAAAAAAATTATAATATTTAAAAATATATATGAGAGTTTACTAATTATAAAAAAGCACATAATTCTACAACAAACATTTTTGAGTATACTAGATGTAAAGGCATGTTTTTGATTATTTATATTGTTTTGTTGTTTACTGAACACTTTAGGGAAATTTATAAACATGAGTCTTTTGAGAAAATTAAATTTTCATAATGGGAACTTCCAATTAGTTGATGTTTGACAAATATGCTTATACCTCATTAAATATGACTATCGTGAACTACATCAACAAAACGCATCTGTTGATGACATATGGGAGACATTTTCAGTACATTTTTAGTACATTTTTAATGAAAAGGATCTCCTCTGAAATTACTCATTCAATTCAACCTGTCATCACCAAGCACTTCTGTGCCATCCCTTTGAAAGATTGCATTGATATGTTATACAATAACACAGACGTTCAGATTAAAGTTTGTTAGTCACTCTAGGATAATTTACCATAGAGAATTAAATAATGTAAAATAAAAACTAAATATCACTTCCAAGCATCTAGGCAAGCTTACTACTAGACCTATACATTTTTGTGCTTCTCCTGGATTGCTCTTTAAGGGGTAAAAGCTCATAGAAGTAACAAGGCTCAGCATGTCCAATATGAAAAAGTGTGTATGTGTCTGCAAAAAAGAATAAGTCTGGAGAAAGAGATTTTGAGGTTTGAAAAGAGATAGACTATTAATTTTTGAATTGACTAAAATAAAAAATAGATATTAGAGAAAAACATTTAGTTTGTTTTTAATATGACTGCAGATTTTGAGTTGAGAAGTTATATATATAGTAAATATATATATAGCAATCTTATATATACATATAAGATTACATACACATATAATCTTTCACACAGTTGCAACACACTAAATTCATTGAAGAAATAGGAGTTAAGGGTACATTTAGAGGAAGGCTGAAAGCCTTGTAATCCAGCTGGGTCATTTTGACTGGTTTTTGAAGCCAGTGGAAATTTAGTTAAAAAACATAAACAGAAGAATATTATAAACACATTGACATTTGCAAAGATAAATCTTGCAGAAATTTATAAAAATGTATCATGTGATGGCAGCATTATAGTCTGAGATACTAGATTATAGACTGTCCAATAAATTCTAGCAAGAATGTACAGCAACCTAATGTAATAAAGAAGAAAAAACAATAAAACGTGTAAATATTTTACAAAAAGTAATCACTTTATAATTCGGTTCAGTAAGGCAAAAGGAAGATACATGAATGTTTTTCATATTTATATCTTAATGGATTGGATTGATGATGGTGTGAAACATCAAGATGGGAAATATAGAAGAAGCAGACACACAGCAAGTGAGTGACAAGTTAAATTTTGAACTGGTTGTGTTTGTGATATCTGTGGTAAATTCACATGAGCAGCATAATATCTGGGGTTTTAACTTCATAAAAGAGACTGATCAGCAGACAGTAGTTTAAAATTAACCACCCGATATTGGTAGTCTGTGCAAATTATAAATGCGTGTTCCAGGGTACAAGTAATATAGGATGAGAAGAAAACTGAACCTGAGAAAAACTATGAGCAATTAAAAATATATAGTAAATAGGGGAAGAAGAGGATCACACAAAAGAAAGTGAGAATGGACATTCAGGAAAAAGAAAGATACAGATTCTGAGAGGGAAGATGAATTTAAGAATGGGGAATTGATTAGCAATGTTATATGCTATATAACATTCATAATGTTATAATAGTTTAAGATAAGAATTTTAAAATGTCAAATGGGATTAGCCTAAATGAAGTCTTTAGTCACCTTATTGAGGGAGAACAGCTTTACTGAAGAAATATGGGAAGAAGCTGAAAAACAGTACATGCTACATAGAAGATGTAGAGTTATCATAGGGTGACCATATGCTAAGAACTTACACTTCTGAGAGTAAAAAGCAGCACTGAATTATTATCATATGAATGAATGTTTAGACAAAGACAATGTTACACTGGAAACAATGATAAACTAAAAATTTCCTAAACATAATAGGATATATGACCATCCCAAGAACAAATTATTTATATATTGTATAGTATTAGAACAGCTATGACTTCATTAAGATTTTGTGTAGAATAAATAGAAGCTAGCACTGACTTAGTACTTAATGGCAGGTCTTCTTCTAATAACGACATATAACAACTCACTCGTTATTAGAGTAATGAGTGGTACTATGTACCTCAAGGGCAGGTAGTATTACAATGACATTGATTAAGGACAGAAAAATAAGGCACAGTAAGGTTAAATAAATTGCTTAAAATCATACAAGTTTTTAGCTCCCACAAATTTGTCATGTAATTTTAAGCAATTTACTTAACCTTACTGTGTCTAGTCAATAATAATTTAATTGTACCTCTTAAATAATTAAAAGAGTATAATTAGATTGTAACACAAAGGATAAATGTTTGAGGTGATGGAAATCCTATTTACCCTGATGTGATTGTTACACATTGCATGTCTGTATCAAAATACGTCCTGTATCCCATAAATATATACACCTACCATCTAACCACAAAATTAAATTTTTTTTTAAATCGCACAAGTAAAAATAAGAGTCAGGATTTGAACCCCATCTTTGCAGTTATTGAGGGCATATTTTTAAACAACTCCATTGTATTGTCTTTGGGCTCAGTTTGTTACCATAATACTGTACTCCAACATTATAATATGCTTGGTGTGTTTGTGTGTGTGTGTGAGAGAGAGACACCTTTCCTTAGACACGGTAAATAATACCAACTGTGAAGGGCTAATATCAAATAAAGAACATGGATGACCAATGAATGAAAAAAATGTCCTGGAAATTAAGTGACCGAAGGAAAGTAAGTTGCTTAGACAATTAAGTGAGCGAAGGAAAGTAAGCTGCTTAGACATGTATCTTATGAAGTTTAGTAAAGCGATGCTAAAAATCATAAATCAATGTATACCTCTTAAACTGTGTTATGTGATCAGTTCACTTATATCATAGGACAACAGTGTCAACATTATAGATGATATCATTTGCACATGGAAATTAAATACTAAACCCTTACAAAGATCTACTGAATCAAATGTTTTTTATTTGGGCTTTTGACATTAAGTGGTGACATCTTTTATGGGTCCCATACTGTCTTGAATTTCTTCAGCCCCAGCAAGAGATAATGGATAAACAACTTAATTCAGCCCAATAAACCAGTGGGGTAGCACTGTGTATGCAGTCAATTGTTTAAACAGGAGACACAACCTTCTTAGACATTTAATTAGATCTGAGATACATATGAAAAAGAGAAGTGAAGAAAAGAAGGCTTTAATACTTGTTAAATATAATTTTTCTTGAATGAGTGGCTTCTCCAAAGTAAAGGGCAAACACCACAAATTGCACATGAATGAAAGAAAATTATATAGCAGATGCTAATATAATATCAATATACTTTAACAATATTCACTAAAATAAGCAGGGATGTAATTGGGAAAGTGAAAACCCAATTAACCTGCTTAACCTGCTTATTTAGGTTATAAGTTGCTAGCATACCTTGCATATCATTTCAGTAGTGTGGAAATACTTGGTGAATTCAAATGAATTTAACACAAAGCAAAGAGTAAAATATGCAATTCTAAAGGAAAACATGAAGCAATATTAGATTAAAGTAGACTAAATTACGATATTAAATATCCAGCATTGAAAAAGCTTATTTACCACATCCCACAGATATTTTAATTCATATAGTAAATAGCATTTCAATTAGAAATGGAAAATGACCAAGTGCTATTCATATATAGGACTGAGAGTATGTACTGCACAGTCCTTAATATGCTACTTTTGCAAACCAAAAGCAATTCAATTATTGCATTAAAAAGCACTGCAGAGATATCTGGAAGAATGAGTTGTACAAAGAGGCAGGGAGAAGGAGGATGGAGCTTTGGGTCTCTTTCCCCTTAAAAGACAGATGTGATTGGAGAAATTGAGAAACAAGTTCAGTGAAAATTGCAAACATTCTGTTGAGGGTGTGTAAAGGCATCTTTATATTTTGCAAATATATGAAGAGGAATTGTATTTTCTCTTAAAATTCAGTATGCAGTTCATTTCAAATTCCCATATGACTTCAGCTACACCTCATGGCATCAATGACTACCTGCTGTGGTCAAGGACATTATGAAAACTGATTGAAAGCTGGCAATTTATTCTACTGTGAAACCATTTAATATTTCCTAAAGCGAAATGATATACACTTAATGTGATGCAGAAAGCTGAGCAACATAAACAATAAAACAAAAATTATTACTTGGGAGACTGGCAGAAAATAGTTATAAGATCATCTCTCCCTGTTATTATGGGTGATTCATCATTACTCATCTATGTGTTCAAAACATGTAAGACATCCTGAGTTTCCTCCTGCTTACCAATTTTAGAAGTGCTTTTTTAAATTGCAACTGATTTTTAACCAAAATTATATGCCACAAGAGTACGTCATTTATATAGAAAAGCATTTTACACTTTCCCCTTTTCTTTACCTTCTTGCCAGCATGATGCAATCTCAAATAGTAGTAATATATAATAGAAAAACTTTGTAAAAGTAACTTCAAATAAAATTCATACTTGAAGGACTTTTTCCCAAAACTAAGATAATTTTAAGGAAGCTGGATTGATTCTTAAAAACAAATTTACATTACTATTAATGATAATTGCATGTTCATTATAAAAGTTCTTCAGATACATTTGTTTTAATTTAGAAATACTAAATATTCTAAGTTCTTAGCAGATTCCATAGGCTTAATACTGTACGAATGCAAGCAAAACCAAGAGATGACTTTATGCAAGGTTTTTACTTAAGGATTTAAATACTAAAGTAGTTAATATTGAGGTTGTTGATGTTTTAAATGTAGCCTAATTGATTCATATGAATAAATATTATTTACTGCTGGTATGTCTGCAGAGTGAACAATACTCTCTTTTTACCTTGAAATTTATAAAATGCTGATGTTTCTGCTAAAATACAGATGAGATTGCTTGGCTTACAAAAGGTTGAGTGTAGGCCTCTCTGCACTGAACATTTTCACAAAGAATATGACAACTTCTGTAGATTTAGTTGTTTCTGTCTTTAGAGAGCAGTTAAAATCTCTCTTTATTTTTCTAGGATACTAAACTTAATTAACCTATTCGATAATGCAAACAGAATTTATTTGTAAGTAAATATTTCTTTTGCATGCAACAACATGGTGTTCAACACCTGCTATATTCTCTTTTATTTTTCTCTATAGGTAAATTATGTGGCTATACATTCCCAGAAAGAAACATATTCAGTAAATATTTCAGAAAATAATACACCATATAATGTAATCTCTTTTCTTATAACATAAACCATTTGCTACAAACACACATTTCTGCACATTAGGTTCAAATGCAATATTTAAGCCAGAGGCATTATCTAAGATTCATCCAATATTTGAATGATTTCTGTCCAGATTATGGCCTAGTGAAGCATTATGACATTTATTTACAAGATATACTGGCAGAAAGTTTTCTATTTTCTATACACAGAAAATCCCATTAATATGGTTCTTTTAGGAAAAATAGTAAGCAATCTAAAAATAATCATAAATGTCTGTTAATAATGATATATGAATACAAAAATATTTTCGCCCATTTCCATTTTTATTTCATTGGTCATCAAAGTTTGACAAGTGAATCAGTAAACCTTCCAAATTTAGATGAAGAAGGAGGAGGAACAGGCAAAGAGGGAAGAAGAATAGAAATTATCACTTCAGTTGTCGTAGTTGTTAATGTCCCAGAAAACTATTGAAAATGGAATTCCTACAGGAGAAACACTTGCATTTACCTTTGGAGAGAAAAATACAGACAGGAACATCTAACCTTTAATGTGAAATAAAATTTCAAAACAAAAACAAAAAGGATAAAATCAAAGATTTTCAGATTATGGCCAGATACTAATTTAATTTTGTGTGTTTCAATCTTGGTGATAAATTTTAACAAAATTTATCTTTAAAACATTACAATATATTAATGTTGATGCAAGTATCTGTTCATTTGTTCAACTAATATCTATTTAAAATAATCTATTTGAAAGTACTTCAGCAACTAGAGGTAAAACTACAACTGTTACTTCCAAATAATTTGTGTAAAAGTACAAAATTAGGAAATAACAAAAATCAGTGATAGATATAAACAGTAATATACAAGTCACAGATATATAAGGTACTAATATGAAGACTTTGCAAAGTATGATATTTTACAGTTCAATTTCAAAAAGTTTTAATGACAAGATGATGATGCCTTGTTTATCGTATGAGTGACAATAAAAGGAAATGAAAATAATGAATAATACCCCATGCTTCATGTGAGTTGATATAAAAACGTGCTGTCTAATGCAAAGGTAATGTTCTTTAAGACCATTATATAGGAAGATAAAAGTTTTGCATATCTAGAATTATTCAAGAAATAAAGAACATCATATATGTACCTTAATGTACAAAAATATCCAGTAACTGCAAGTGAGTTTGTTCTGGAAGAACAGAAATAGTTTATAAGTCAAAATTTAAATCCCACTATTTGTCTTAATATTGGGCTTGTGTAAGTTGTCGAAGGCATTGGGGGTCTAGGGTAAACTCTGCTGCATTCTTAATTTTTAATCCATTGAGAGAAAGAGCAAGAGAGAGCACAGAAGCACTTGTTCTAAAGGAAGTAGACTAGAGGACCTCATACTTAATATGGTTTTACTGTGTCCCCCAGCAAATCTCATCTTGAATTGTAGTTCCCATAATCCCCACATGTTGTGGGAGGGATCCGATGGGAGGTAATTGAATCATGGGAGCGGTTACCCCCAGGCTGTTCTCGTGATAGTGAGTGAGTTCTCATGAGATCTGAAGGTTTTATAAGCGGCTTTTTCCCCTTTGCTTGGCACTTCTCTCTCCTGGCACCTTGTGAAGAAGGTGTCTTGCATGCCCTTCAGTTTCTACTGTGATTGTAAGTTTCCTGAGTCTTCCCTGGCCATGTGAAACTAAGAGTTAATTAAACCTCTTTCCTTTCTAAATTACCCAGTCCCTGGGTAGTCTTCACAGAAGTATGAGAATGAACTAATAAAATCCTCAACTAGGTATTTTAAACCAACAGTAAAGGAAGTGTTTTTTGTGAATAAGGTTACTACTTATATAAGATTTCCGTAATACATGAAGGAATCCTACAAAGGTCAGAACCTCTTCATAAATCATACACTGGAATAGGTAGTCACCCAACCTTTAAGAGAATTGCTACATAATTATCAATGTACATTATGTATACATGTATATATATATTATATTTAAGACATGACAATATAATTAGGTATTTGTATTTGATAAAATATCTTTAATTTTAGAAGATTAACCCCATAAGTTTCTTTATGTAAATTTGACTGTATTCACTATTATATAAAGATCTTTTTGATCACATGCAATGCAGATAATGATGTACTACCAGTCCCATCAATATTTATTTATCCTGCCCCATCCACTGGGATAATGGTCCCTTAAACAAAAATTGGAACTGATTTATCATGATGTAATATGTGGATTAAAAAACTAGAAATATATGATAAATTCAGCCCTAGCTTTGATTACAACTTTTTATGCATAGGATCAGGCTTGGAGCAAATGTTTTTGTGTGTGAAACATATACACATACTAAAATATTTGCCCTTTATAATGTATAGTTTAATATGTGAAATATATCTCAATAAATATGTTTAGTATGTGAAATATATCTCAAATTTATTGATGTATATTTCAGAATTTGAGATATATTTTACATACTAAAACATTTGCCCTCTACAATGTATAGTTTTAACAAATGTATACAGTCATGTAACAGCCACTGTAATTAATATGTAAAGCTTTCCCATAACAGCAGATAGTTTCCTTGTGACCCTCTGCCATCAACCAATTCATACTTTCTTTATTCATTGAACCTGCATCCCTTCACTCATCACACTGCATTCAAGAGTTACCCAGGCTTGTATTGATAGTTGGTTCTTTTTATTACTACCTACTATTTCATTATGTGAATAAGTCTCACTTTGCTTATCCATTCACCAAATGAACAGCATTTGGGTTCTTTCAACTCACTGGTGACTACCAAAAGAACTGTATAAAATCTATGTACATTTTTATATGAAGATAAGCTCTAGTTCCAAAAGTTAGTAGTATGAGTTGGATTAGTGGGACATGATTAACTTTATAGTAACTACCACACTGTTTTCTAAGTAATGTATAATAGCTCCAGTTGCTCTAAATCCTCATAGCACTCGCCATTGTTGTGCATTGTGTTATTTTGTTAAAATTCTAGAGCTGTGTAGATGAATCTCATAATTTTAACTTTAGCTTCCCTAATAAGTAATGACATAGTTATTAGACACCATATTCTCAAGGGTGAGTCAAAATTTTTTTGATAACTCCAGAAAAACCAGTTTTCTATTAATTAAAAAAGAAGAGCAAAGTAGATTATGAGTTAGTTGATCATTAACTATTTATGTCACAAACACTAATAATATCCTGTTAATATTTTGCCTCTCAGTTCTGAAGCTAGATATACTTTTAAAAGATGTAAAAAGCCCAACCACTTCTTACACATTCTCAGGTCTCACCTTGGCTTATCTTACCATTATTTCCCTCAAGATTATTAAAATAGCATCCTAACAGTACTCTTTACTTTCACACTTGAACCTTGCCACAGCCTATATTTTCACAGCTTGAATAAGCCTTTTCGGTCTTAAATCGGACATAATCACTGTTTATCCCTCTAATGGCTTCCTACCTCACTCAGAACAAAAACCAAACCTTTAAAATGAAACAATCCACAGCTGAACTTAATTGCTAAAACCTTCAGCATCCAAGGGAAATTATTATGAGTGCAGTGTCTATGATAGATTGGAAGAAGATTCCTTGAACAAGAAAACCACAAAAAATTAAATGGGGTAATATAGGAATAGGAGAGTAAGAATCTATTTTAGAATGATGTCAGCTGGATTCAAGAAACAGGGGACATATTGTGAAAAAGTATGGGTGAGAGATCTATATAAAATATAAAGAAAAATAACTTCTTAATATACTATCTTTAGTTATTTTATACATAATAATTTGATACTGACTATATATTTCTAGCACTGCTAGGCTCTGAAGCTAAAATAATAGATAAGCCAAAGTGTCTGTTCTGTATTAGCCTGTCGTCCAGGAGGGTCATAAAAATAATAGGAGTTAAAGAGAGAGAGAGATGCGCTGGACAGCAGGTGCCCACCTAACATAGCAGGAGGACTCAAGAAACACCCTGCAGAGAAGATAATAACCATGCTCAAACCAGAGTAACTTTAAGTCCAGTGAAATGAAACAAGATTAAAGGTACTCCAGGAATTCATAGCAAAAGATACAAAAGCATGGAGACAGTGCAAAGGATGAGATTCAGGTTAAACACAATGTGAGCCATCAATAGAAACAGAATTGCTTAGAAAATTGTATTATTAATAGTTACTTTTCAAGTTATAAGGATGTCAAGATAAGTTACTCGTCTGAAGAAAATTAAATAAAATTTGTAATGATGTCAAGATAAGTTACTCCTCTGAAGAAAATTAAATAAAAATAAACTGATGAGTCAGTAAGAAGGATGCAAAAAAGAGAAGAGAAAATTAGAAAATAAACTTAAAATAAATATATACATTGTGTGTGTGTGCATACAAACATGAGTTAATGGAAACTAAGTAACCCTTACAAATCTATTGATAATGCAAGTTTATTAATGAGTAAATATTTACATAAATACTCACCTCTCTTTAAATTTTTGTAAGTTTCAAATAAATGCAATAAAAAATTTTTTAATTGACTTAGGCCCAATTCAGAACTAGACTGATGTACCTTAGTAATGTTATTGCTGAAGATAATATAATAGTTTTTTGAAAAAATCATGAAGCTATCATGTTCAATTAGTGACTTCACAGATTAAAAATTGAGATTCAAATTCATTTATTCTTCACTGAATATACATAAAGCTATATACAGAAAATCATTAAAAAATAGAAGTTTATAATTGAAACATTGTTTTAATGATCACGTGCTCTCTGTATTGATGGTTTAAAAATTATAAGAAAATTTATAGATTTCTTATATATAATTTATATTTCTACACATCCTTATAACTTCACTTTTATTTTACATAGATAAACTAAATTTTTTCATATTTAAAATTTTGGATATCTATTTTTCTACTATTGTACATTGAAAATGTTATGATTTATCTCTCTACACTCTAATATGACAATAATGGGAAAGGGTTCTTAGGCTCCAAATTTCTACAAATTGTTATTTAATTGGATATATCTACTCACATATTATTTGACTGAAAATCATCAGTTCTGACAATGCTTTTACCTCAAACCTTTGCATTATCATGTAGAATAGTTACTTGGTGTGCTTTTCTCTTTTTCTTATTAACTTACCTAAGAGATGCCTTTATGTAGAGTTCATCTTCAATTTTTCTATATTTCTTGCAACAAAGTTTGGCACACAGTAGGCAGTTAGTAAAGGTTATTAATAGAAAGTGTTAGATACAGTCTTCCTTTATTTTCTGCAGTATTAAAAGCCAATGTACTACTTTTAATTTCTGAAGAAAAATAATATAGAAGTAAAAATATATTTTTTACTGCCAAAATTCATTTTCCATGCAGACCTACTCCTTTTGTTACCTATTACTGTTACTCTATTTCTTAACTTTGCATGCTATGTCTCAAATGATTAATGTAATTTAAAATAATATTGAATAAGAGAAATAGCACTTTTTTAAATGACTAGGCTAGGCACTTCTCAGGTCAACATTTGTTTCTGAGTGGAAATAAAACTCAACTATTACTAGCAATGTCATTACAGTATCAATGAATGTAAGGATACATTTACCAAAAAAAAGGTATTTGGCTTTCTGCAAATACCATTCACGTAAATTATATATATGTATTTATATAGTTATATAACTTTACTTGTTTTTTTCTTTACTGTTTTTCAATGTATTTTGTTACCTACATGAAACTACAGTGAAATTTTTCTACTTATAAAAGCAGACATCTATTTGGGGAAAAATAAAATCCCTGAATGTATTAGTGAACTTTATCTTGGAGACTTTCTGATTTAATTGATGTAATCTGACCTTGCCATTAGTCTAGCTGGAGGCAAGCTATTTCTGTCTGCATTACTTTTCATTATTGCTTCCTTGTAGAAATTCAGTACCTGCTGCTCCATATAAATGTATGACAAAGCTAAAGAACATAGTACAGAAAGTCATCCAATTTTCATCTGCCATTTTCCCATCAATGTGAACACACAATTGTATTCTTCCTAACCTTCATAGTTAAAAGATGATTATTTCAACTGAAATTTGGAAAACCTACATTCCGACTTGAGATTTAGAAGAAAATTGATATTCCTTATTTATCTAATGTCCAAGCATCATCAACCATGATATAAATCACTTGAATTTCCTAGCAACTTTTTTTGCAGTGGTGCCTAAGCTTATTATTAATTTACTCTGTTCTTCCTAGGTGCAGAGTGGAGACAATCAAGTCATATATCACATAAACAATTAAAAACTCTCCTTTGGCTGTAAGCTTTTTGAAATGATGAAGTGCTGGTACAGAGTGAGCTGTCCTTGAGTTACTTTCATTGGTAAGTATTAGACAGCATGATGAATTTTTTACAAGCCAGACATTTGAAATAGTGTCTTCAAAGCTGTGTCAGCTGCCTATTTATCTTTATTATGGCCTAGAAACTGATAGCAAAAATACAATGTTAGTGCATGTATTACATTAACAACAATTATGGGCTTTATTTTTTCTTAGAGATGAGTGCAGGAAGAAAATGTGCTTTTACAGCAATGTCATTGCTATCTTTTCCCCTCCAAAGATAAAAAGTAATTTCAACGTAGATATGTGATTGTAGTTAAAAATTAAATTATATTCTATGCTCAAAAGTAAATCCTTATGAGAATAAATTCAATTTTATAATCTTCCTTATAAAGTATAGGTGACAAGTATTTTAAAGCATAGACATGTTTAATATTTTATAAAATAGGTACACTGATGTACTGTCTTTGTCTTGAAATAATTCTCATTAGTGCAATGATATAGTATATATCTCATATCCATATAAAAACAGATTTTCTCACATTTTGTATCCTTTTTTCTAATGAATTTAAATTAAGGATATACATATACTGGTGTATGTCAATCTTATTGTCATTTCAAAAAAAAATTTTTTTTTTTTCTTGAGATGAAGTCTCGCTCTATTGCCCAGGCTGGAGTGCAGTGGCACGATCTTGGCTCACTGCAAACTCCGCCTCCCGGGTTCAAGCAATTCTCTGCCTCAGACTCTCGAGTAGCTGGGATTACAGGTATCTGCCACCACGCTGGGCTAATTTTTGTATTTTTTAGGGGTTTCACCATCTTGGCCAGGCTGATCTTGAACTCCTGACCTTGTGATCCACCCGCCTCAGCCTCCCAAAGTGCTGGGATTACAGGCATGAGCTACTGAAAAATTATTATTTTAAAGGAAAACTGATAAATGATATTACAAATATATACATAGTCATCATTGTATTTGTAATATAATCAATATTGTTTTAAGCTGGAAGGAAGATGACTCAGCTCAAACATTACATGAGTATGTTACAAAAACAGTCTAGCATACACATATCCTTTTCTATTTTAAGGACACAATGCAATACTGAAGGGCTACATAACTTACGTAGAGCTAGTCAATGTTGAAACTGGATCCAAAGAATGCTCTTCCAACTCCAATTTAGAATTCCTGCCGGGGAGTTGCTGTTCCTCCCAGGGCATGTATATGTCTCTGTTGGTTTCTGTTTACATCATGGCTCTAAGTTAACATTGCAGATATTTTCAGCAGTATTCACTATTATTAATGTTACACATTTAAATATTAACAAAATATAACGTGGATTTGCTAAATGAATTTTTAAAATCACAAAATTACTATTATCATGACTAACACTATTTGTATCCTGATGAATAGAGCTACAGAGACACAAACATGTATATACAAACAGACACACACATGTGTTTGCAACAGTATTCTTAAATTATTCGCTACTCTGATGAGATGTCATTGTGATAAAATTATATCCACATAAAAATTACTTAGAAGCAGTCAACCAAATTTAGAGCCATCTGTGTTTATTGTGTACAAAATGAAATTGAAAATTTGAACTGTGAATAAAATAAAGAGGCATGGGTTTTCATATATGAGTCTATATACCACACATAATTGATATTAAAGGGGACATCAAAGTTTATATGCTTACAATGATAATCAGATTTAAGTTTTATATTTGTACTTTATAAAAACTAAAGTTTTTTTGTTTTAATTTGTTCATCTGTCTTATTAAAAATACTCTTAATTAACCTGGAATAAAATGTTTCAAAGGACAAACTGAATTTGATTTTTAATATGGGTATTCTACAACAGCATAAGTTCTCAACAGATGAGTTCAAATTCATCCCATCTTAATCTCATTTGTCTCAAATATTCTTTGCTCATTTACCTTTTGCTCAACTCTTTGCAGCCCATTATGTTTATATTTGCAGGCCCCACAGCACTACCTAACGCCATCTCTACCATTAACAAGCTGAGAGATTTTAAGTAATCATTTCTTTGAACAATATAATGCATAAATCAAATTGATTATCATTGTGATGAAATGTATTTGACATAAAAGAAGTCTCTAAAATATGGTCTATCTACATCAAATATTTTGTTAAATAGTATTAGATGAATAAATATTGATATTGATGCCAAAAAATATGCTACTAGTCTCATATGTGCTTTTTTCTTTTCTTAAAATAAGACTATGTAGCATGCATTCTATTACATTTTTGTAATTGAAAAATGTATCTTTGACTTATATCAATTGCATTTCAAGAAAAGTAGTCATAAAAGACAAAAATATTGCTTTAAAAATATATTAAGTTTATTGTTATCAAATTCCTTCAAATTTTTATGAACAATTAAAGTTACAATATTAAATTACAAATAAAGAAACTGGATATTCTGGTAACTTCCAGGGGGAAATTGTTGGAAGCCATCTGTATAATAATAATTTTAAAAAAAAAGCTTTTTCTCAATTGGAAAGCACCATCAAAGTTATCTTAACTTTATGCAACACTTTGACCTATTTTGACAAGAATAGAGTTTGTAAAGAGAAACAGAATTTGTATAACTTTTCTGAGTTCATAGCTTCATACACCTCTTACACTTTGCTTGGCTAAGAAAAAAGGCTATTATTTCCAGTTAAAATCTTATCTTCAGTTACTTGAATTTGGTATCTCTTCAAGGACATTTTAGTGTTACGTATCAAGGATGTCTAGTTTACCACACTTGTAAACGTATGTTGCATTCTTTAATTGAGGTCCTTGTGTGTAATTTGTTAAATGTCAATTTCCATTATCTCCATGTACTACCTGCTGAAATTGTCTTCAAGATACAATTTTGTATCAATTTACATCCAGCTCCAGTACAGTTAATCTTGTATTATGCTATGTTTACAAAAATTTTTTTCATATCTCTATTATAACATTTGTCATATTAATTATATATTTTAATTCATTATAATGTGAACTAATTAAAACTGAAAACATCATTTCTGTATACTTACCATTTAAGAGAATGGATTTTTAGAAATGGCTTGATGACTAGTAGGAATAAGGGGGAGAAAGTAAGTGAAAATTAAATTGAAGTAAAGAAAAAATGAAAAATAAAATAAAAAAGGAAGGAAGTAAAAAAAGAAAGAGAGGGAGGAAGGAAGAAAAAAGAAAACAATGAAAAGGAAGAAAAGGGAAAAGGGAAAGAAAGGATAATCAGGAATGCTTATGTCTGGCAGAGCTGTGTAAATATAGTCTCTTTAAGGTTGACTACTGGTTGCTCCTTCTTAACGTTGATTTCCTCCTGCTTACACCTATGTTGTTAACTATAATCTCTTCAATAGAATGTGTCCTTTAGGAAAATAATTAGTATCAGTCAATAATTACATTACTTGCAAATTCAAAATTTCCTGTGTTGATACCCAAGCCCTCATACTGCAAAAGTCTCTTCTAAAATGGTTTTAGAAAAATAGTTTAATATTACAATTTTATAGATTAATTCCTTAAAATAATAATAAAAAGAGAACTCAATTTTGTGTCCACCTGTAATATAGAAAGCAAAAAGCAATGAGAAAAGTCCAGCTAAACTACTAAGCCAGCACTTGTTTTTAACCCATGAGAGAGGTAAGATCCTAGGAAAATGGAGTAGCCAGAAAGGTAAGGAAGATGGTCCTATGTCAAGGGAAGACAATACTTGACTGTCTCATCTGCGGCAGAGCATGGGATGAAGGAACAGCCTGACAGAAAAGCTGATAAGAAATGAGCTAAAATTTTAATGGCTATCAAAATATCCAGTGTAGGTTAGTGTGACGGTGTAGCTACAATGAGATTCCCATCAAGACAGGGAAGTTCACATTCACTCATATCCTCTTTTTCTCAGTCCTCCTTTCGCTGCTGGAGGAATGGAATAAGGGCAGGGCAGAGGACAAGAGAGACTGCCGGTAGTGCAGGCTTGCAGGAAGGACATTGGCAGTCAGACTCCCTGCAGGATTTTTTTAAGACAAGTTATTATAGAAATGATGTGGCAAAGCAAAGAACTAGGGGACCCTAAACACTTTAGTAAAAGAACAACTTTAGAGACTTACTAGTAGCCTGCAGTAATACATAAATCATATTATTGTCAAAACTATAGACATACCATTCAATGAATAAGAATAGAGGGTGAAAATAGACTTAAACATATATAGTCAATTGATTTTTTGACAAATATGTCAAATCTACTCAATCCAGAAAAGATAATCTTTCAACAAACAATATAGAATTTCATAGTTCTATGCCCCAAAAAAGAACTTTGATCCATATTTTCACCACATAAAAAACCACCTTCAACTGAATCATATATTAAATGTAAAATCTGAAACTATTGAACTTATAGAAGAAAACATAGGAGTTAAAACTTTGTGATTTTAGCTTGGACAAAATTATCTCAGGACCAAAAAAAAGCATGAAATAGAAGAAAAACTTGGATCAAAATTAAAACTTTTGTATTGGAAAGACATTGTTAAAAGTAAGAAACAGTAATTATAGATTGGGAGAGATATATAGTATTCACATATACACATGTATATTTAATAAAAATATATATATTGAACAAATACATATTTAATGGTTATATAATGGGTATATGTAAATAAGTATCTTTAAATTATTTTATATACATATATATGACCAATATCTGACAGATAAATACAAAGAAAATATTAAAAATTCTGACAACTCAATAGTAAGAAATTAAAATACATCTAAGGAAATGTGGCCAGAAACAGTGGCTCACGCCTGTAATCCCAATAGTTTGGGAGGCCAAGACAAATGGATTGCTTGAGCCCAGGGGTTTGAGACCACCCTGGGCAACAGAATGAGACCCTGTCCCTATAAAATAAATACAGAAAATTAGCCTGGCATGGTGGTGTGTACCTGTAGTTCCACCTACTTGGTGGCTGAGGCAGGAGAATCATTTCAGACTGGGAGGCCGAGGTTGCGGTGAGCCGAGATCAAGCCACTGCACTCCAACTGAGCAACAAAGTGAGACTCTGACTAAAAAAATAAACTAAAATAAAGAAAAGTATTTAAATGGAGACTTCAGCAAGGAATCAGTGGCAAAGATATTATGTGATGCTTAACATTGTTAGCTGTTAGGCAAATTCAAATTTATACCACAATGGATACAAGTAAAACATTAGAATGTTTAAGGACTGGTATCTCAGCACTTTGGGAGGCCAAGGCAGGTGGATCACATGAGGTCAGTTGTTCAAGACCAGCCTGGCCAACATGGTGAAACCCATCTCTATGGAAAATACAAAAATTAGCCAGGCATGGTAGCCCATGCCTGTATTCTCAACTGCTCAGGAGGCTGAGGCACGAGAATCACTTGAGCAGGGAGGCAGAGGTTCCAGTGAGCTGAGATCACGCCACCGCACTCCAGCCTGGGTGACAGAACAAGACCCTGTCTAAAAAAATAAAAAAAAAAAATAAGAAAAGACTTAACAGTAAGTGGTGAGAAAGATGCAAAGAAATTAAAACTCTCATTTGTTGCTGGTGTGAATGCAAAATGACAGACGTCTTGAAAAAGGTTTGACACTTTTCGTATCTCTTACAATTTCACTCCAGAAGAGTTAATGGAAAAAATATAAAATGCATTTTCAGATACATACATATATACATTAATCACCAAAAACTAGAAATTAAAAAGGTACTTCAAATGGTGAATGAAAAAATTGTGGCACATATAAATAGCAAAATACTACTGTGCAACAAAAAGGAATGAACTACTTATATTTCTAACAACACAAAATAATTGCAACTATATGTATATGTATATATTTGAGATGGAGTCTCGCTCTGTCGCCCAGGCTGGAGTGCAACGGTGCGATCTCCTCTCACCGCAAGCTCCGTCTCCTGAGTTCACGCCATTTTCCTGCCTCAGCCTCACTAGTAGCTGGGACTACAGGCGCCCGCCACCAAGCCTGGCTAATTTTATTTTTTTGTATTTTTAGTAGAGACGGGGTTTCACCGTGTTAGCCAGGATGGTCTTGATCTCCTGACCTCGTGATCCGCCCTCCTCGGCCTTCCAAAGTGCTGGGATTACAGGTGTGAGCCACTGCTCCTGGCCGCAACTATATATTTATAAGTAAAAAAAGCCAAATCAAAAGCCTAGATAATATATGACTTAATTTTTAAGAGATTCTGGAAAAGGCAGTAACTGTAATGGTAGACTATAGGTCGATTTTTGGCATGGTCTAAGGAGCTAGGAGGGACTACAAGGGATATGAGTGTACTTTAAGAGCTAGTGGAAATGAACTGGAGATTGTAGCGGTGGCTACACAACAATGTATGTTTATCAAAATGTATAAAAGATACACCTCAAAATGTACAAAAGATAAAGTATGTCAATTATACCAATTCTAATAAAATAAACCTGATTTATTTGTATAAAGTCAACCCTCTGTCATGTCTTACTATGTTTCCTAACCAACAGTGAACATAGGATCACTGGTTTCTTCTTGAGATTTAACCACATTTGGCCTTCTGCACAGAAAATTAATTTAAAAACTTTTTTACTCATATAATTTTGTATGCATACAATTGTAAATATATGTTTTAAAATAAATATCAATATGATTGAAGCTACTTTTAAATAGACTAACAAAGCAGATTTAGTTCTAGGAAAGAACAAAAAGCCTCAGATCATGACATGATTCAGCTGAGACTGGCAGTTGAAACTATTTCTATTTGGTTTGATTGGAATAGCATATAAGTGCCATCTACTGGGCTTAAGAGAAGCAAAACTCCTCAGTCAGCCGGCAAGATGCTTTAGGAAGAGGTTAGGTTGATATCTCTTGTCTTCTAGATGGAATAATCTGATGACCGATAACCAACCGCAGTTGAGCTCTGAGCTGGATACCTTTTTCCCAAGCAAGCATAGCAATGTTATTCTCAGAGATCCATAGTATTGAACAAAGAATTTAGAGACAGTTTATAATAATCTTCTCTTGCCCACCCAATGATTTTATGTATTTTACTTTCAATCATGGAACATCAGTATTCTATTATCAAACTTTCATCAATCCTTTCTAAATTATTTTACCAAGTACGTTGCTGTATCTTGCTTTGTTATAACGCCAGGACATAGAGTGATGCTGTCTATATTCAATAGAAAAAGCAAAGTCAAATAAATGTTTAATTATCTTTATTTTATACCCTGACTTCAGAGCTGCCAATGATATCCTATGAAAGGTAAATAAATCTGCAATTGCATTCAGAGGCAGCACATCATAATATAAGTTATTTCTGATTTTCTCATTTGAAGTTTATATCTATATGAAAATTTTAGGAAATCAAAGGGTACATATCCATATACTATGCAAAATAAAAAAACATGTAAAGCTAAGTAAAAGAAGATGATCTTGAAAGTGTTTTTCTGTGCTGCATATCTTTAGTGCTTTTATCTGAGATCAGTTTCTAAACTTCTAATAACTTTATGTGTCGCCCTTTGTTTCTCTCTCTCTCTCTCTCACACACACACACACACACAAACACACACACATACACAAGCACATTCATCTTAGTCAATTTGAAGTATAGTGAAACTTATAGAATATTAAATATATATTGTAAATATCACTGAAAAGTCTTTAGGGATTAACTTGTTATCATTGGATATGTACAAAAACATTATATTATCTTCCGTAGTTGTGAGGGGTAATTATAAGATCATCCAATACATTGAAATTCTTATCTAGAGAACACAGTTAAGAAGTAGCTCACAAGATATTGAATACAAGCAAGCCTAATAATTGGCTAGTAATGAGCCACACCTTTGAAAATGAGTAAAAGAAAAAAATCTTTCTAGGTTGGCAATGACTAATTACCTGGAGAATGATTAATTTCACTCAAAGTTTAAATCCTATACAATTATCTATTCTGTCTATATTTAAATCTGGCTTGAATTAGATGCAATAGTATAACTACATAGGAGAACACATTACTTAGGTCGTTGTCTATTTCCATTTGTATGGTATTCTCAGTTATGTTCCCTCATAAATCAGTCAGATGGAAGACATATGTACCATAGCCCCATTGTAACTTCATTTTCTACTGTAGGAGAGCATGCACTTGTTTCTCTCCACTCATGGTCTTGAAACAAGAGGTGATAACAACAGCATTGTTGGAGTACTGAAGGTGATAAATGGTCAATTAGTCAACCAGAAAACTGAGTCAAATTGGATAACAATTTTAGAAACTAATTTCAAAAACAAATCTTAAATAAGATTATGAACAATTACTTCTGAATACCCACAAATTTGTTCTGCATAATTTAGCCCTTGCATTACAAGAAAAAGAAGCTTCATTTTTATTATTGCTGTCTTCATTATTATTGTTACTATTACTTTTTTATAATAATTGATGACAACTATTAGTGTTCTTGTACTATTGATTATATGAATACTACAAAAAAGTCAGTGAATGTTTTTAATTGCCACTGAAGAAACTTAAATACCAAGTTGCCCATGTAAATTGCCAAGCACGTACAAGTAAGTTGCTGCAAAAGCAATTGCAGCTTCTGCCATTAAAAGTAATGACTAAACCGCAATTACTTTTGCACCAACCTAATAATATGGAAATACAATGTGCAAATTCCAATCACTGACTTCAAAGCCTTCTAAGCACGACTCCATTATCATATAGAAAATATCTATGCTGAAAGAGAGGCTGATTTGTAAGCCTTCTGTGTATCCTCCTGTGTACCTATGAAGAGTTTGACTATTCAACATTGTTTACACCCACATGAACAGAACATGTGTAATCTTAAACTGTGATTTTTGCAAGATCAAAACCGAATAGAAAACTAAGTCATTTAGTTGTTAATTTCAGGAGAGAAGTAATTTGATGCTTTAGACAATTTCTGGTGGCTCGCACCTGTAATCCTAGCACTTTGGGAGACCAAGGCGGGTGGATCATTTGAGATCAGGAGTTAGAAACCAGACTGGCCAACACGGTGACACCTGGTCTCTACTAAAAATACAAAAAGAAAAAAAAAATAGCTGGACATGGTGGCAGGCGCCTGTAATCTCAGCTCCTTGGGAGGCTGAGGCAGGAGAATTGCCACTGCACCCCAGCCTGTGTGACAGAATGAGGATCCATCTCAAAAAAAAAAAAAAAAAAAAAAAGGAAAAAAAACTGTATTTTTATACACATAATGAAGACTTTATTTCTTGCAGTATGATATGCATTCTCTAGTTTTATTTTACTCTATAGGTTCACATATAAAATTTCACATAGAAATGTTTAATTAGTTTTAGCTTGATCAGCAGATGAATGTTATTTCCCACAGGCAACCAAGGAAATGGTAACTAGTATTGAAATAGCAGGGAAAAGGAGACACAAAAGGAAAATACCATGATCAATTCCATCATAATTTACTTTGGCTTCCTCTTTAAAGTGTTTAGTGTTAATTATGGATTTCTGAAAACCTCAGCCATGATCCCACAGAGGAGGAAAGCCTTTGCTTCACACAGCAGGAGATGTTTCAAAACTATTTCTCATTGCTTGCTGGAAGAGAAAATTAATTTATATTCGTCATGTACTTTCTAGTTTTGAAAAAGTAGGTTTCTGGCCAATTACGATGCCCTGAGGATAAACATTTAGTTTTTTTTTCCCCCAAATTAGTTGAAACTTTTAATTCATATTCAAGAACAAACGGTAATTATAAAGAAAATATTTTAACACACAAAAGTAATTCTTAGTGAATCCTAAATTTCTGCCAAATGTTTATTTAGAAGTATTTTATGTGCATGCAATATTTTTAAATTATTTTTTTAATATTTATTAATTTAAATTCAACTTTTTAATTTCACTTTGGAAGTCTGTATATCACTTTACCTTAAAATCATAATAATATCATTTCAAATATTGAAATTTTATCTTAAAAATGAGAAACATTTTGGTATCTTTCACTGGAGTGTATGACACGTGTGGACTGTCACCATTCATCACATTGTATCCTCAGTATTACTACTTTATCTAGGCAGTGGTAGGCATTCAATGCACATCAAATTCAAACTAATTCTGTGAAAAGATACCCAGAGAGCTCACCCTTAGCAGATTACACTGCCTCTAACGTAACATTTCAGATTGCATTTTCACTACTTCTTTCCCTTACCGTTGAAGTAACTATTTTTATCTAAAGCTAACTGATCACCAGTGCTTCTCACCACTATGCAATAGTAACTCGTTTTGTAAGTTATTTATTAAGGTTATATCAATTATCTGTTTAACCCTTAATCTTCATTTTTAATGTCTTACTGCTCCCCTTTTTTTCTCACAATTAAGCTGTCTTCAATATTCTAAATATATTAAAAGAAGGATTAAAAATCTTTAAAGCAAGCAGATATATACTTTCTTTGTACACAGCTATCACCTCAAGATACTTTCCTTTTATTTTTCCTTTTGTATTACTCAACATATGATAGCATAATCTGTGTGTAAGGCCTTCAGTTATTGACTCGTTTGCTCTGGCTCTTTCAATTTTACTCACCCATTTAAACAGCTATTATCACAAAAATCACTAATAACTTCCTATATGCCAAAGTCAATAACCCATCTTCTTTTGTCATAATTTTTAATTTCCTTTTAGCATTGTGCCAATTTATTATCTCTATTCATCTTAAAATAGTCTCCTCTATTGCCTTCTGTGGCAGGTGATTACCGATTGTATTCCTTGTCTTCTGAGTGTTCCTTCTGTGTTTATTTGTTCTTTTTCACCTCTCACCACACAAATGCAGTGATTCCCCCCTGAATGACATCTCTTGCCATTTTCCTTATTCCATTTTAAAGTTTGCCACTATAAACTACCACTTATTGTTAAATTGTTAGCACCATCTGACTATAGATCATTGCCAAGTTTATATTAATAGCTTGAACATGTTATAAGCTATGTTATACATTTCTAACTGCCTAATCATACTGCCCACCAAAATATCTTACAAGCAAATAAAACTCAATAGACCTAGCACTAAATTATTTATCTCTTCCCTAAATTTTTATCCTTAAATTAAAAACACTGCCTTTCACTCTGGCACAGATGTATAAAACATTGAATCATTTTCCATGTAAATTAGCAGATTTTATATTATATATATTTATATGAATTATAATTATAATCTTAAACCATGTAAATTTAAATATTACATATAATAAATGTTAAGTACACATATACACTTAATATGTATTTGTACACTTAAATAGATAAATGTGCTTACAAGTACAAAGAAAAATTCCACACACACCAATCTCGGTGTATTACAGTGCTACAATTAGCACAGCAGTGTTACAATATTTCATTAAAGAATTCACACTGGAAATATAATTTCACTATCCCCAAAATTACAGTAATATCAGTCAGGCATTGGGCTTTTTTCTGAGAAAAATAAGGAATTTCTCTTGAGCCTCTATTGACGGTGTGGCACTAGTGGGCTGTAACATATAGCATTGGATCTCCAACATTTTCTTTTCTCAGAGTTTCTCCCAGTCTATAAGAAATGGGACCAACATTTCCTACTTAAAAAACTAGGAAATAAAATGCCATTTCTCTAAACTTATATGTTCAAAAGTTATCAGCTTAATATTAGAGTTCAAAGTACATTGATTCGACTTAAAATAATTTTTCCATCTAGTTACAAAAAGAGAGACATTACAGAACTATTTTTTCACCTTGGCTTAGTATCACTTGGGAGAGTTTTAAAAATCCCAATGCCCAAACTACATCAGAATTTCTGGAGGTGGCACTGAGGCATCAGCATTTTTAATGCTTTTAAATTCTATAGAAAGTCAAAATAGAAAAAAACTCTATTTCAGTAAAAATGGTGGCACAGTTGATATGTTCTAGCTCACTACTACCACAATGGGTGTAAGATTTGCATTGTTGTTTTGTTTTTGTGTTTATTTGAAATGGTGAAGTGCTATATTATCTTATATGCGACTCATACCCCAGGGTCTGAATAATTTTGGCGGGGGACAAATTTTGCTGCCCACAACAGAGAAGTTTCTTGGCAGGATTTCTCAAACATGGCTCTATTGACATTTTAGACTGGATAATTGTAGATGCCTGTATGATAATCAGAAAAGTTTCCAGACGTTGACAAACATCCTCAGGGGGTAGGGGGCAAAGTCAATCTGGGATAGTTAATAGAGGAAAATGCCTAAGACAAAAACCAACAGGAATTAACATAAAATTTGTGCTGGAATGAGAAAAAGTGACGAGATTGTGTTTTGCTCTCAGGTAGAAATAAGAAAATTCAGATAAGAATAGCATTTTCTTTTCAGCTCTAGGATGTTAGTGTTATTAAATCTACCATTGAGTTAAAAAACTGTACTTATTAAACTGTGATACACTATCTATTATTAAACACATTTCCGACACTGGAAATGGCAAAATGTAAGGTAAGGTAGAACTCAAAAATCAATGAAATCCAGCGTATTCAATATTTTAGACTTTACAATTTGCAAAGCTTTGGAGACCTTTAAATTTATATGTACCACACGTATATTTCAATTTAATGTTTTTTTTTTTTAAATCACATTACATGGGTTGTTTTGTGATTTACTTTCACTTAAAATTACATTATTTACATTGTGTCCTGCATAGTACCTATTTCTATTTTATTAGGATGTACCTCAATATATTAAAATACAAAGCAGTCTTTAGTAATTTTTCTAATTTAAGATCCCATTACAAGACTTTTAAAAAATCCTGACAAGTGTGATATTTTAGGGTTATGCTATTACCAGGCTGAAGATTCAACTCTAAAGTTCTCATGGTCAATATAGAAAAAAAATCCCCATATTTGAAATAACTGGCTGTAAACTTGAAAATTAATAACTTGCACTATCTCCTTTTGTCAGCTTTTTTGTAGTAAAGAATGTTAGCAATGTCAGGATCTCTTGTCTTCTCAGAATTCTCCACTTGACTCCTTCCACCACAGATTTAAAAACTCAACAATGTAAGGGATGTTCCAAACAAAAGAATACTGTTAGTTATGAGAGTGCTTTGTCTCCTATGCCTGAAATTAAAACCCCAAATGTGGTCAGTTTTAGATTTGACCTTGACACTCCAAGCATCCCATTAGGCCCCATCTTAATCTTGGCCCCTGAACTTTTACAACTTGATCAGAAAAACAAGTTGGGGGAAGTCTCTCAGAAAGATAGCACCAAAATAAAATGATTTTTTCCCCCAAAAACCTAGCACAGAGCACAGCTGGCCTAAATTCTCCACCTTTATATGGAAGAGCCTTCCTGAGATAGAGGAAGCTTTAGTCTCCATTTACCATGCCAGTTGGAAGAGAGGAAAATTCCGAAAGAAGGTTAAAGTCAAGAAAGTGTGAATACAAAGTAATTGTATAAAAGTGTTCTAAAGAGATCACACATTACAGAATAGAGAAACAGAAGAGTTTAAACTTCTTTGATCACCAAACTTTTATCTTCTACTCTAGTCAGTGATGCTGGAGTCCTTATTTTTGGTACCATGCCTCCTAGGTGTGGAATAAGGAGGGTGGAAGACTGGAACACCCTCAGAAACAAGAGTAGAGACTCTTCCTACAAGCAAGAGGATGCCTGCTTTCAGCTACTGATTCCTGAACCCTGCCTTTTCTACCTTCTCCCTGGGTTCCTTGGGATGGAGTTTTATCCACACTGTCAGAAGCATTAGGCCAAGAAACTCTTCAGAATTCCATAGAATGAGATGATTCTGCTCTCTCTTTGAAACTCATAAAAATAGTTTGGCTTTTTTTTTTGAAACAGAGCTTTTTCATGTAGCTGTAGAAAAATATGAGATTCTCCACTTATATGCTTATTTAAAAAGAAAACCGTATTATTCTCAACTGATAAAGTATTAAGTAGAATTGTTTTAGAACATCTATCGAACAGAATTAACCTAAGAAAAGGATTTTCTACATTCTTAATGTTATATAAGGAATTTCTTCATTCCACCCTAATCTGAAAGGTAAGTTCTAAATGAAGTTGCTGTAGTGATTCCAATATTCGTTAAGATATTAATTTCTATAAAATTTTGAACTATTCTGATTTATCTCATTTACTTCTGAAGATTACAGTAAGTCACAAAAGAGCAATAACTAAGACAGCAAATCACTATGTAGACATGTGCCCAGTGATCAGAATCAGGGAAAATGATCTTCATTAAGCTATGAAGTACAGGTGAAAATTAAGTTTATTTATTTCAGTCCAATTGTTCAAATACTGGAGGAGTAGTTCTACCTCTGTTTCTTGTTCTAGTTGCCATAGAAAAAAACTGGCATAACATTAAATTGGAAATAAAATATTACCCTTCTGCTATACCCTAAATCATTCAGGTAATATTTATATTATACTTTAAACCTAAGAAGATAATGTAGATCTAGCAGAGTATTATACATTTTGTTTTCAAATTTTAAAATATACTTTTGAATTATAACTTCTGTTTTGAATGCCAAATGGAATAGTGATCACAAGCTGTCTTATTCTAATGAGTGCCCAGGGGTTGGGTGATGGGCAGCTAATTGAAAGGGTCTTTAAATTACAAGTTCTTTAGGGCATGGATTTATCTGTATCCTAACCTTTCTGAGGCTCTAATTCCATTTGCATCACTTTATGAATAATGAATAATAATGACAGAGCAAGTTCTATTAGAGATTTTAGTGCCTTGGTAGGTGAATCAAATTCCTGCTTATAAATTAAAGTCACCATTCATACAAGTTGTAACATTTCATACTAGTGTACCTCTAAATGTACGAAAGTTTTCTTTCCCCTTGAAAATATGTTTTCCTAAGTGATACATACAGTGAAACAGATAATGTAGAAATTCATTAGAATGCTACTTTATTTGTTCATATTGGAGAATGATGTAAAAATTTAGAAATTAGAAAACAAATTAGAATTATAATATTCTTATTAAACATTCATACCATGTCTATTAATAGGTCACAATTGATTTCACTATCTTATGTTTCTTTGGAAAGTCTTTTTATTGCATAATTAAAAATCGTCTAGGGAAACATCTACTTCCAACTATGATACAGTAACTAGTATTGGGCTAGCACCCTAGGCTAAACAACCATAACACTGGGCAAAATATGTAGCTGTTTTGAGGCAACAGACACTATAAAATTATTAGAGGAAAACACATGAGATGAATCCCATTTTTACCCTGGTTTACTAACAGGGGAAATTCCAACCCTGCGATGAAGGGTGCTGAATTCCAAACCAAATGGGGTGCCGGGGAAATCCACTGAATACAGAAGGTACAGATCAAAGTTAGGAACAGAGACATGTCTGTGACATGAGACAGATGCCAGAGAAGAAGGAGCTGCGACTGTAAGGTTATTTCCTGACAGTCCTTGGTAGAGGACTGTTTGATATATTGGCAGGGTGAGACTACAGAAGACTTGCCTGAAATTGGCCACTACAGAGTTGAGAATAAAACAGAGATAATGAAAATCAGATTAAATTTATGCTGTTTTACGGAGAATCTGTGAGGTGCCCAAGGTATTTATCCTACTCTTTTAACTTGACAGGATTCAATATTCCAACTCTGCCTTTCCTGTAGAGATTGCATTCACCATGCCTTAACCCTTCATATGCCCCTGGTGGAACCTAAGAGGATACTATGAAAATATGATTGGTGGGGAAATTATAAGGTTCTCTATCTTGAGAAATAAGAAAAGTTTAAAATCTGTTATCCAAATGGTAACTTTAAAAACAAGAAAAAAAAAAGCTAATTGAAACCAAAATAAGTAGAGGTAAATACAATTTTTTAAAAAATTTAGATCTTGGAACAGTTAACAAGATAGCTAAAACAATGTAAAGATTAATGAAGACAAATGAGAAACACACACACTCAAGTGCACACACACATAAAGTACCAGTAACAGTACCAGTAATCACCATAACTCCTACCAACATTAGAAGTACAAAAAGGAAATACTATGATCAAAATTGTCCTAAGCATTTTACCAACATAAATAAAATAAACAAGTCCTTAGAAACCACATATATTTCTGACACATAAAGTGTGTTTTGTTTAATTAGTAATATTTTCCCACTTTATTTTAGATTCAAAAATAATGAGAGTTAGCATTTTGTGAATGTTAAATTGTGAATTTAGATTTAGTATTAGGCAATAGGGGAGGAACTTTCACGTATATTGTTATATTTTGTCTTTAATATAATACTCTGAGGTAGGAATTATCATCAAGATATTTTAAATGAACAAATGAACTAATGTCTTCAACATCTCATCATTTGTGAGTGGTAAAGCCAGGATTCACATACAAATAGTATTTAAACTTAAAAACATAAGTTACAAAGAGTACTCAAACTGTTCTATTTCAGTCATAAAAATTTCCTAACCTAAGGTAAACTGGTTACATGTTTCTGATCAGAAGAAATACAAAAATTAATTACAGAATGCATTTAATATGTATTGAACAATGTATTAAATGTTAGCAAGTTTAATCTTACACTGAGATAATTATAAATAGCAGAACTATGAAATGAGGATAAAATATTTTGTTTATAGCTACTTTATTAAATTTTGCTGTCTTTGTTAGCATACACTTCACTGAATATCCAAATGAAATATTAAAAATTATTGTGCAACTGTACACCGAGTACATTTATAATTATGTAATCTACACATAAATATGTTGGCATAAAGGGCGTAAAAATAAAACATCATAATTGTCATATCAGAGATACATGAATTTTTTCTGTTCTACATTTTATACTTTCTTCTAAAATTTGTTGACATCACTCGTTTGTTAATGTCTATGCTAGTGCCTTTTATATTTTCTTATAATACAAGAGTCTGCATGGTCTATAATTCAGTTAGCCACAATTAAATTCAATACAGTCATGCATTCCTTAACAATGGTAATACATTCTGAGAAATGTGTTATTAGGTGATCTTGTTGTGCAAACATCATAGAGTGTATTTACACAAAGTTAGATAGTATTGCCCACTATACACCTAGGCTGTATGCTATAGCCTATTGATCCTAGCTACAAACTAGGCATGATGCTGTACTGATACTAAAGGTGATTGTAACACAATGTTAAATATTTGTGTATCTTAGCATAAGTAAACATAGAAATAGTTCAATAAAAATATAGTATAAAAGATTTTTTAAAGACAAGCAGTAACTACCTGTATGAGGTAATTACTATAAATGAAGCTTGCAGGACTAGAAGTTTCTCTGGGTGACTTAGCGAATGATTGATGAGTGAATGTGAAGGGCTAGGACATTACTGTACACTACTATAGACTTCATAAACACTGTACACTTAGACTACACTGAATTTATTTTTTAATATTTGCTTTATTCAGTAAAAAATTAACCTTAGCTTTCTGTAATTTTTTTACTTTATTATACTTTTTAATTTTTTAAACTTTTTGACTCTTTTGTAATAGTGCAGCTTAGAACACACATTGTACCACTGTATAAAATATTTTCTTTATTTATATCCTTATTCTATATAGGTTTTTATATGTGAATCTTATTTTCTTTTACATTTTATACCTTTTTGTTAAAAACTATGACACAAACACACACCTTAGCCTAGGCTTACACAGGGTCAGGATTATCAAAGTCACTGTCTTGCACCTCCACATCTTATCCCACTGGAAGGCCTTCAGGGGCAATAACATGCATGGAGCAGACATTTTCTATGATAACAATACCTTCTTCTAGAATACATCCTGCAGGACTTGCCTGGGGCTGTTTTACAGTTAACTTCTTTTTATAAGAAGAAGGAGTATGCCTTAATGATAAAAAGAATCACATAGCAGATACATAAGCCAGTAACATGGCCATTTATTATTATATTCAAGTATTATATACTGTACATAATTGTGTGTTACATTTTTATATAACTGGGAGTACAATAGGTTTGTTTATACCAGTATCATTGCAAACACATGAGTAATGTGTTGCACTATGACTTTAGGATGGCTACAATGTCAAGTCAATAGAAAATTTTTAGGTTCATCATGATCTTAGGGGATCCTATTTTATATGCTGTTGGTCATGGACCCAAAGGTCTTTATGCAGCACATGACTGTGATTTAGAAAAAAAGATATATGTCTCCTGAATAATACACATTGCTTAATATTTAAATGCAGTCAATCTCTATTGAAAATTGATTGACTAATTGCAGTAACATGAACTGATGGCTCATTTTTTTTCTGCTTAAAACTCTCACATTCTTGATGCATACTGTTGGCATACTGTATATGAAAATTACTGATTTTGAACAAGCAATGTATGCCAGAAAATGTCATAAAGTTAATTTTATAGAGATAATATATCCAAAAAACTCTAAATTTTTAAGAGAAATCACTTCATCAGTAATATCCATGTACATTTAGATGTACATGGAACATTTAAATGATAGAACATTTAAATGATTGTGTCTGACAATGGGTGTGGCTACTACAACAGTTAGCAAGAACAACTTTATACGTGTTGGATCCAAGTGCTTCTTGAGATCCTCTGCTTTCCACCACCCATTCAAAGAGTGCCTTGCTCCAGTTGACTGACCTCTATATGACAATAGGAGAATAGAATTTTAGGTCATGGGGCAAAAATAAATGTTTAGGTACCAGAGAGTCTAAGCTTTAGTGGTAACCACTTATTATACAACTGCTATGAATTGCTGCCAGATGGCAACCGAAAACCTAAAGGAAGTTAGGACCATGCTCATGTTCAACTACTGTGGTGTGGGAAGCTCCTTGTACTATAAGATGCTGAGTTCAGTTATAAAACATGCACTTGGGGAAGTAAATGCCTTGGGTCCCATCCATCTTACTGAGAATCAATCCCATCCAGCTTAATGAATTGCTGCCACCGGGCAACTGAAAACCTAAGGGAAGATGGGACCAAGCTCATGTCCAACTATTGTGGTGTGGGAAACTCCTTGTACTATAAGAAGTTGAGTTCAGTTATAAAGCATCCACCTGGGGAAGTAAATGCCCTTGGTCCCATCCACTTTACTGAGAATCAATGCAAAGGGAATGTCTAGGGCCATGCATCTTATAATTCTGTTTGTGCCTTTATTTCTATTTTTTAAATCATGGGTCAGTAAAGTTTCATCTGTGGTCCAAATCTTGCTTGTGGTGTGCTTCGGAAATACAATTTTACTAGAATTTAGGCACAATTATTTGTTTACACATTGATGATGGCTGCTTTCAGGCTTCAACAGCATAGCTGAGTAGTTGTGATAAAGACAATGAGCTCTCGAAGCCCAAAATATTTACTATCTAGCTCTTTCAGTAAAAGTTTGCTGAACCTTCCTGGAACTCCCATTGTCTTTTTTTTTTTTTTTTTTTTTTTTTTATCTCATGAATGAAGTGTTTCCAAAAGAATATCAACTTGGGTTGTGTGTTTTTGTAATTATATATCTATATATTTAGAAAGGTATTGTTTAGCATTCTTATGTTCCAGTTATGTATTTTGAAAATCCTGTAACCTCTCTTTCACTTATGCAATGCTATGTATGACATCATTTCTCTGTCCCTTGAATAACAATTGGAATTTTTAATGAAACAAAAATTGATGTACTCAATATTTTAATGTGCCCACCAATAATGCATATATTTATGTTTGTGCCAGGAAGTGAGAAATACCAAATAAAACTCAAATAAAATAACAGCTTTTGGAAACAATTGGAAATTGCTATTTAACCTCATTTTGATGAAAGCCACTACAATGGAGGGGTCAGGCTCACATTTGATTCAACTCTATTGATCGAATATAGCATTATTAAAAGTGAGAGAATCAATCATTTTGTGCCTCCTGGTATGAAGTAAACAGCAGTAAACATCATCATCTTTAAAAATTTTGCCAAATATATTAAAACTATATTTAATCATGCTTATGGACCTATTTAACAGTTTTCAGGAAATAAAGGGACTAGAAAAAAATAACTATCAGACTTGAAGCTAAAACTGTTGGGAATATCCTGCTCCAGGGTGACTATAACATTCCTGCATCCATATTAGTTACTACAGGTACAATCCCAGAAAAACAGCCCACCTGAATCTAGTTCAAATAGCGGAATCATGAACAAACAAATGAATGTTGTTTTAAGGCACGATTCTGAGGTGGTTTCTCACAGAGCAGCAGAAAATTGATACTTTTGATAAAGTTGGGCGATTGTACATGGACAATATTTTACTAATCTTGCTACCTAAAAATATACTTGATGTTTTTATAATTTTTCAAAACTATGCCTTTTAGACCAATCTGTGGCTATAGTATTCCAAGTTAATTTGGTTGTTAAACATGTACACTTGCAAATATTTGAGAGGTAGAAGTAAAGAGGAGGGTATTTCCTTGCCCCTTTTGGCCACTTTCATGCTGGAAAGAAAATTCATAAAAGTGTGATTATCCAGAGATAACTGAAATATCTGGAACAGCATTTCAATTTCCAATATGAACTAACATTACAGGCATTCTTGGACATCACCTCTTGAAACCCACTTTTCAAGTTTTGCTAGTTATTTTATAACCCTATATTTGCATGTATTAAATCACTTTGTTGCTATAAAACTAGAGGGATATTAATTGACTGCACTGAACTCTAACTGATAAAGTTCTTAATTTCATAAAAAGAACAGGAGTAAAATAATCTCAAGATAGGAAATTTGAGTTTAGATGCCAGACCTAGTTGAGATTAAAATCAGTAATTCTTATTAGTTTGAAAAGTTGGCCTTCATTGCCCACCATATGCAGTAGTCATTATACTGTAGGAACAGCAGAATAATTAAAAATTTTTATACTCTAGAAAAGAATACACTTATGAAACATTCTTTGTCAATTGAAATTATTTATTTTATTTCTCAGATGATTCATTTTATTGTTTTCGGTTTAAAACTAGTTTGACTAGAAGTATTTGAATCTTAAACCAAAAAGAGCACAAACATTGAATCATTAAGCGTTTTATGTATATGTTTTTAGTAAATGTGTATTCAAATACCGTGCTAATCTTTTTCAACATCTGTTACCTGACAGTGAGTTATTTAACTTAGTTTTCACTCCACTAAGAAATCAATAGGCCTTTTTATGAAAGGAAAATTTTGTGAGTAAAACAATTCTTCTTTCATGTCTGCATCTTCCAGTCTTAAAATTGAGTTTTACTACAATCCTAAAAATATCCTAAATAATGTATATATACTGATAGAAAACATTCCTATTGGATACAAGCAAGTGCAAATAATCTGGCAGTCAAAATATAATTAAATACATGGAAAAGATAAAAGCAAAAATTAGATTCATTTTAAATTAGATTAAAAATATGACAATACTATTTACAATGGTTTTATAGCACAATAATTTAATGAATTTTACTGTAAAATTTATAGTACTAAATGTATATTTGTTCATTATAGTCATATGTACTTCTCTATGTCAATATTTGATGTTACTATAGATATATATACACACACATATATAAACAATTTCACAAAAAAATGAATTTGGAAGATGTATAATATAAAATATAAAATGTTAGTGATTGTGTTTATAAATAGTTGGATTAACAAAAACAGCAAATTGTTTCTGAAAAATAATAAACTATAACATTAACGTATTGGTGTATATACAGTATCCATGAAGTAATTAAGAAGAGCATATGTCACAACAATAATGTTGAGCAAAAATGTACTGTGAAGTTATTTCATGTATACTTTATTTCCATATAAACATAAATAACAAGATAAAAAGGATATGAAGAAAAAATAGTCTTTTGCTTTTACTTCTATGAATTCACTCCAATGAGACTTGATCATCTTAATATTGATGTTTATAATTTAAAGAAAGTCCAAAGATATCTTCACTATATGCAAGCACTTAGTTGAGCAGAATGATGAAAATTTCACACTACAGTCTTTAATATTGTGTCTTAGTCCGCTTTGCATTTCTATAAAGAAATATCTGAGGCTGGGTAATTTATAAAGAAAAGAGGTTTATTTGGGTTACAGTTCTATAACCTGTACAAGAAGCATGGCACCATCATCTGCTTCTGGCGAGGGTTTCAGGGAGCTTCCACTTATGGCAGGAGGTAAAAGAGGGCAGGCATCACATGGGAAGAGGAACAAAGCAAGAGAGAGGGCAAGAGGAGGTGCAGGGATCTTTTTATAAACAGTAGTTCTTCCCATGCCACCAAGCCACTCATGAGGAATCTGCCCCCATGACCAAAATACTTCCTACTATCCTACACCTTCAACATTGAGGATCAAATTTCAACATGAGATTGGGAGACAAATATTCAAACTATATCATATACATACAAGTGTTGGGTCTTAGATCTATTAATGTAGATTTCTGGTGCCTGGATTATTGGTATAAGCCAGAAAGTATCAGAGACAGGTCTCAATCAATTTAGAAGTTTATTTTGCCAAGGTTAAGGATCATGACCCAGAACACAGCCTCAGGAGGTCCTGAGAACATGTGCCCAAGGAGAGTGGTTTACAGTTTGATTTTGTACATTTTAGGAAGATAGAAGTTACAGGCAATGACATAAATCAATACATGTATTGATACATTTCTACATTTCTTCAGCCTGAAGAGGCACGTCTCAAAGCAGGAGAGCTTCCAGGTCATAGGTGGATTTAAAGATTTCCTGATTGGCAATTGGTTAAAAAGATTAAGCTCTGCTTGAAGAGTTGAAATTAGCTTGAGCTAAGGTAAGAAGAGGGGAGCTTGTGGAAGCCAAGGTTCTTGTCATGTAGATGAAGAGATGAAGACTCCAGTTAGCAGGCTTCTAAGAGGATAGATGTGTTTTAAGATCTTCATTTTAAAGTTAATGCTTGTCAGTTGTGTCTAAACTCCAAGAGAAACAGAGCAAAATGAGACATGTCCAACCCTCCTCTTCCTGTCATGGCCTGAACTAGTATTTTCAGGTTTGTTTGGGTCCCCTTGACCTATAGAAGGGTCCATTCAGTTTGCTGGGGGCGCTTAGAATTTTATTTTTTGGTTTACATTTGACATTCATTTAGCTTATTTTGTTTTTGTTTTTGTTTTTCTGTGTTTCTTTCAGATCCTAGATTATATGGAGCAGTGGAGAGAATGAGAGTTAAGGAAAGAGGGAATAGAAGTCAATGGTTCTAGTATGTTCAAAAAGGCGTTAGAAAAACTTAGATTGTACTATCATTTAGGATGCTTTTGTCTGCAGGAAACTGAAGGCTCTAACTAAAGTGGCTTAAGCAATAGATTTTTGTGATACAAAACATGAAATTAGATGTAGGGCATTATTTGTGGTTGTTTCATTCAGCTGTCAAACATTGTCATCAAAGACCAGGTTTGTTTCTCTGCTCAGTGACTTGACACATAAATAAAGCATTGCCTTTATCCTAAGTCTGATTCTTCTTATGGTCATTAGATACCTATCACAGCAATTTTAAAAAGTATAATTTTTTCATAATGAATGATAAAAATCAACTATATATTTTCCAATATAAGAAACACTACCTTTTCCCTTTGATTGACAAAAACAATGTCAATTGGATCTATAGCAGTCATCAAAGAAAAGCAATTTAAAACTAACCAGAGCCCATGTCATAATTGCACTATTGCTTCATGTTTATTTTATTATTGATAGCCTATATTTTAGAGCAATTTTCACTTTATAGAAAAATTGAACAGAAAGCACAGATAGTTCTCATACACTTTCCTCATCTTCAATTTCTCTCCTTATTAACATCTTGCATTTGTGTGGCACATTTGTCATAATTGATTAACCAATATTAATATGTTATTATTAACTCGCCTATAGTTTACATTTATATTCACTTTCTACATTGTACAGATCTGTCACTTTTGCCAAATGCATAATATCATGTATCCCCCATTACAGTGTCATACAGAATTATCTCATTGTCCTAAAAATCTCCTGTGTTCCACCTATTTATCCATCACTTCTCCCCGAACTATCTTATCAAAAACTATGTGTTTTATTTATGTAGTGAATACATTAAAAAATAATAATAAAAGTCTGTTCAAAAATAGGAAATTGGAAATGGATGCCTGACACAAAATTATTTGTGTCCACCATATGAAGAATGAAAGAATAAGTGAGGACTGTGTTACTTTGCTAAATAACCCATTGGCAAGTTACAGAGTTAAAAAAAAAAAAGTACAAACTACATTATTTGAGACTCCTCAAAAAACTAAAAATAAACCTACCACTTGATCCAGCAATCTCACTACTGGCTGTTTATTCAAAGGTAAGAAAATCAGTACATCAAAAGAATACCTGCATTTCTATATTTATTGCAGCACTAGTCACAATAACCAGGATATGGAATCAACCTTAATTGTCCATCAACAGATAGACAGATAAAGAAAATGTGGTATATATACATAATGGAATATTAGTCACCAAAAAAAAGAATGAAATTGTGTCATTCATAGAAACATAGGTGGTACTGGAAATCATTATGTTAAATGAAATAAGCCAAGCGCAGAAAGACAAGTACGGCATATTCTCGCTCTTATGTAGGAACTAAAAAATGTTGATCTCCTAAAGGCACAGAGTAGAATGATGGTTATTAGAGGGTGGAAAGGGTAAAGACAGGGAGGGATGAGAAATTGGTTAATGGGCACATACAGCTAGGAATAGCACAGTAGGGCAATAGCATAGCAGGGCATATGAAAAATTATATTTCATAATAATTTATATCTTAAAATAGCTTGAAGAGATTTGAAATGTCCTCAACACAAAGAAATGACAAATGTTTGAGGTGATGGATATCCTAAATACCCTGATTTGATCATTACATATTGTATGCACGTATCAAAATATCTACAATTACCCCTTAAATGTGTACAACTATTATGTATCAATTTAAAAAAGTAAAGAAACACACACACACACACACACACACACACTCAAATAACCCCAAACATTTGTCTATTAGACAAGGTGAGTTCATTTATTTGCTAAATTGAGGACTGAAAAGGGAAAGATATAAAAGATACAATTACGTGTAGATCATTACAAGTAAAATATATTTTCTATTTGAACAAAAATACAAGAAAATGACTACCGTGAGCAATAAGAAAAGTAGAATAAAGTCACAAATTATCAGAGTATATCCTGAGGTGGAAGTGCTCAGAGGCCATAGACAGTTTTTATAAAATTGTCATAATCATCAGTTACTGAATGAATTAATTATTGAAGGCTCAGAGAAATACTGAAATAAATAAAATAATTTTTTAAATCAATACATTTTGACTTTACATGATCACAAATGCTTTATGTTCCCACTCCCTATTATCATCTAACAAGTTATTATCTTATAAAACACATACTGAGAAATATTGTTTCAAACATTATAAGCCCTGGAATAGTTAATGGATAAATATGAAATTGTTATAAATTAAGTCATTGTATAGACTTTTATTATATTTTCTAGTAAATGATGCCTTTAGATGGCTAATAAAATTTATACCCTTTTGGAGATATCTTAATTGATAGGAATTTGAATTAATTTGGGAATAATATAAATTTTATTTTCTAAGTCTATGAAGATGCATATATCTGTTCACTATATCTTATTTCATTTTTGCCTTAATATCCCTGAAATTGTCCACAAACTTATGAGACTTTTACTGCAGTTTCTATTTCCGTGGCCATAGCTACCCTCTCATTCCTGAAAGAATTGAAAATGTCTTTGCTCCTTGAAAGCTTTTTGTAGGTAATTTTCCCTCATAAATTTCTAAATGAGCTCAGTAGTGGGAATGATACCAAGAGCTAATTAGAATCTTTGACACCAGATGGATTAATCTTGTAAGAAAAAATTCCAGGAAACCCTTTTCTGTTTTCAGCAGGAGTATAATTTTCTCCCAGCTATAACTAGTTTGTGCTGTTGTTACCTCTTCAACCAGGTAGAATTAATAGCATCAGCTGTGTGAAACCCTCTTCACACAGTCATTTTCTTCTTCATCAGTCATTTTCCCATTCACTAAAAATGAGCCAAATCAGTTTCTCTTCCCTGTTTTATAGAATTGACATAACCAAAAAAAAAAGAAGGAAAGATAGAGGTGGAAATTATAAGAAAACACCACCATCATTTACTGAATACTTAGGACTTCAGCAGAAATAAAGTGGCCTGGGACAAATATTTGAACACAGCAAAGCATTATCAAATAATATCTAACACAAATATATATCTTCAAACAAGACAGAAAAAGCTTAAGAAATATAAATAAGACGTCAGAGAGCCTTATATCCTCAATTTTTTATTTTATAGTAGTAAGCTCTTCTGTAAGTAGAAAAGATTGTTTCTTAGTTCTTGTTGCTCTTACTCAGTAACCCCGTGGAGTCAATTGGTAGGAAGTTGTTTTTCAGAAAAGAACTTTTAAGGGTGTGAGCACTGGAGAGCATAAAAAGAAACACAGTTGAAAGAACTGCTATGTAGAGATGTGTTTAATTAAAAGAGCAAGTCTCATACTTTCTCAAAATCCTGTAAATTCCAGAGAAATTCTATAACATACAATTGATATAATTATTTCAAAAATGACCAAAAACAAAAATTAAGTTAAATATTATGAAAATTAATGAGTTGACATAACATGACTTATTCAGATAAAAATTTTATCTTTATTGTACTGAACTTTTAAATATACCTAGGATAGGGATTGCATTGAATCTATAGATTGTTTTGTGCAGTATGGTCATTTTAATGATATAAGTTCTTCCCATCCATAAATAAGGGATATTTTTCTATTTGTGTTTTGTTTGTGTCATCTACAATTTTTTTCATCAGTGTTTTGCAGTTTTTTCTTATAGAGACTTTTACCTCCTTTGTTAAGCATATTCCCAAGTATTTTATTTTACTTTTTTTGTAGTTACTGTAAATGAGATTGCCTTCTTTATTTGATTCTCAACTTTATTGTTGTTGGTGTGTAAAAATGCTACTGATTTTTGTACATTAATTTTGTATTCTGAAACTTTGCCTGATTCATTTATTAAAGTTAACGGATTTTTGGAGAAGTCTTTAGGGCTTTCCAGATATAAGATCATATCATCAGTGAACAAAAATAATTTGACTTCCTCTTTTCTAATTTGGATTTTTTATTTCTTTTTTCTTTTTCTTTTTTTTTTTTTTTTTTTTTTTTTTTTTTTTTTTGCCTGAATGCTATGGCTAGGATTTCCAGTACTTTGTTGAATAAGAGTGGTGAAAGTGGGCATCCTTGTCTTGTTCCATTTCTCAAGGGGATTTCCTTCAAATTTTTCTCATTAAGTATGACTTTTGCTGTGGGTTTGTCATATGGCCTTTATGACTTTGAGGTATGTTTCTTATATGTTTAGTTTGCTAAAGTTTTTATTATGAAGTGATAATGATATCATTTTTCACAGAATTAGGAAAAAATCCTAAAATTCATATAGAACCCCAAAAAAGCTCAAATAGCCAAAGCAATCCTAAGCAAAAATAATAAAACAAGAGACATCACATTACCCAAATTCAAAATAAATTACAAGGATTTGGTAACTAAAAGAGCATGGTACTTGTAAAAATAGACACATAGATAAATTAAACAAAATAGAGAACCTCAAAATGAAGCCAAATACCTACAGCCAACTTATCTTTGACAAAGTAGACAAAAACATGCACTGAGGAAAGGACACCCTTTTCAACGAATGGTGCTGGGAAAATGGGACTGTCATAAGCAGAAAAATGAAACTAGACCCCTATTTCTCACCATATAAAAATCTAGTCAAGATGGAATAAGACTTAAATGTAAAACCTGAAATTATTAAAATATTAGATGAAAACCTAGGCAAAATTCTTCAGGATAGTGGATTAGGCAAAAAAAAAAAAAAAAATTATGACTAAGACCTCAAGAGTACAAGCAACAAAAACAAGCATAGACAAATGGGACTTAATTAAACTGAAAATCTGCACAACAAAATAAATAATAGAATAAAAGAATAACAATAGAGTGAACCGACAACCTGCACAGTGGAAGAAAATGTTTGCAAACTGTGAATCTGATAGGGGGCTAATATCCAGAATTTACAAGGAACTCAAATAACACAACAACAACAACAACAAACAAACAATCTCATTAAAAAGTGCACATAGGTCATGAATAGACATTTTTCAAAAGAAGATATACAAATGAACAAGTATATTAAAAAACGCTCAACATCACTAATCATCAAAGAAATGCAAATTATACCACAATGAAATATCATGTTATACCAGTCAGAATGGCAATTACTAAAAAGTCAAAAAATAACAAATGTTGGTAAAGGTGTAGAGAAAAAAGAATGCTTATACACTGTTGGTAGAAATGTAAATCAATACAACTTCCATCAAAAAAGTATGGAGATTTCTCAAATAACTAAAAGTAGAACTATTAGTTGATTCAGCAATCTCGCTGCTTGGTATCAATTCAAAAGAAAAAAATAATTATAAGAAAAAGATAACTGGACTTGTTTGTTTATCACACTATTCACAATAACCAGATATGTAATCAACCTAAGGGTCCATCAACAGATGAATGGATAAAGAAAATGTGGTATATATACACCATGGAATAATTTTTTAGCCATACAAGGGAATGAAATCATGTCTTTTGCAGCAACATGGATGGGATTGGAGGCTACTACCTTAAGTGAAACAATTCTGAAACAATGTTAAATATCAAATTCTCACATATAAGTGGAAGCTAGGTAATGTATACAAATGGATTTTGAGTGTGGAATAATAAACATTGGTGACTAAAAGCTGGGAGAATGGGAAGTGGGTGAGGGATGAGAAAATACTTCCTGGGTACAATGTGCATTATTCTGGTGATAATTCTTCAAAAAGCCTAGACTTCACCACCACACAGTATATCCATGTAGCAAAACTGTACTTGTACCCCTTAAGTTTATACAAACTTGGAAAGAAAATTTTTAAAGCATAAATAAATATTTATAAAATCACCCAATATTTATACATTTTTATGTGTTATTGAAATTTAAATATACATGTAATTTATATTATGAAAGATGAAATTAAAATAATTTTGATTATACTAAATTTTATTTTAAAATATGAAAGGACAATAATGTTTCACAAGCTATTGGCAAAAAATCAAAAAATGTTTATATACTTTCTCCCACTTGGTATGTTTAAGATATTTTTATATATAATAACTGTGATGAATAATTTTATAGCCTAATCCTTTGTGACTTCTATTTAAGTAATCCCTTATGTGTGTTTTGCTTTATAATTTTAACAGTCCTGAACTTTTTAAATGTTTTCCTTTATATTTGCTTTAGATTCTTTTGTTATTTGGGGGTCTAAAAATTGTTTGACAGTATGTTATATGTCAATCATATTGAATCTATCCATTTTAGATTAATTTTTATTTTCTCACTTTTTTCTCAGAGAATGTAGACTCAATGCTATTTATGTTTTGTAACCATTTTTAGTCTACCATGTTATTTATTTCTTCAATTGTATTATTGCCCAATGATATATTTAGGTTTTATATGCCCATGCAAATGAACAAATTGTGTTATTTAAATATTTGATGCATCTGCTAATTTTTAAAAACTTTTTTCATAATTTGTGTTAAAATTCGAACATATCCTACATCCCACAACTATTGATTTATTTAACTCTCCATACAGTTTGTCCACTTTATTTAATTTATGTTATGGGTCTGTTCACAAATGCTTATGATAGATATACATTCTTGTTCCATTGTTACTTTTACCAGTACACAATACGTAATTCCATGCCTTGACCACTAAAATCTTTTGTTTTTCTTGAATATCATTCCCATCTCCCAGTCTTTCTGTGTGTATTTGTGTGTGGAAGAGGGGTGTTGGAAATTGTGTTTATTGTCAATTTCGGATAGTGTACTGGTGAATGATGTTGCTTTAGCCAATATGCAAAAAGATCTTTGGATTTTACTTTGTGAGTTTAACTCATTTAAGCTACATTTAGCAGATCATTGTTCAGGTTTTTCCTACCATATTTTTTCATACTTTTTATTTACAGAATTTCTTTTGTTAATCCTCCTGCCCCACTTTTGTGTTTTGCAATACATAGGCCAAATTTTCTCTGTTGGATTAATAGTCATGCATGTGCACTCTATTTTTATGTCCATGATGTTCCACTACTAGATAATCATGTATGTTAATATGTACCAATTGATTAAGTAGTAATATATATATATATATTTATATAATCTCACAAAAGGAGTATTTCAGAATGCTCTTATTTTCTCATTTAGCATAAAAATGAGACATAGTCTGTAATAACATTAGGTATTCTTTAGTTCTCAAAAATAATAGGATGGTGTAAGAAACTATTAAGTGGCAAGCTATTTGAACATTTCCATTTTCTATGTCTTCAAGCATTTCCTTGATTTATTTCTGTAAATATTAATATAAAACCTTCAAAATATTTCAACCTGCATTTTGTATGGTAGAACACAAATAACCTGTTTATCTAATGGTTTCTTTATTCCCCAAATTAAGTAAAAGTTTGAGTAAATGTGAAATTTAGATGCTAATGTATTTAATAGTTTCCTGCAAAAAACAAAATGCTCTATTTGTCTTCTTGCATGTAATATTGCAGGTGAAAAATCTGATTCATAGTATAATTCTTAGAATGAGTTCCTATTCTTCTATAAAATTTTAGAATTTTCATTTTGGCCTCTGATATTCTTAAATTTTATATACTATATATAGGAGTGCCTTTTCTTTCCTCTCCTATTTGTGATTTTATGGAATTTTTAATGTGGAGCCTGGGGGCCATGATAGAAAAGAGGTTAAGCACATTACTCTGGAATCAGATCCCTTATATTCAAAGTACACTGCTGGTAATATTTACAACTTACTAGTCAAAGGATGTGTGGCATGTAGAATATTTACCTTTTTGTGCCTCAGTTTACCCATATGTAAAAAAGGAAAAATGTTAGTATGTAACTCATTGGGTAGCTTATTGAGAATTAAATGCCAATTATCATAAATCACTTATAGGTTTTATCAATGGCCCTATGCTAATAAAAAATTATAAGATATACTTGAGCAAATTACAATTTTTATTGGAATATATATCTCCAGTATTTCTCCAAATTTCTAACTTGTAAGTTGAGAATAGTAGTAAAAGCAACAGTTGTTATAAGGTTAATTTAATTTACATATGTGTTTATAACAAACATATATATTGAATATATATGGATATATACATAAAATGTGTGTGTATGCATGCATATATACACACACAGATATGCTGCATACACACACTCCACAGATATGAACATATGTATATGTATTTGGGTCTGTCTGTATGTATGTGTTTGTATGTAAATCTTAGAAAAATGACTAACACATAACAATGACTATACAAATTTTATATATTTCTATTATTAATATGTTTTTAGGAATGGCCATGAATTGTGGAAAACATGAAAAGTAATTATCTACATGCATCAAAGAGACACTTTTTTTGGTTATTGCTTTTTATTATTTTAAATCAATGCTTTTATTTTAGAATAGTTTCAGGTTTACTAAAGGTTGTGAATATACTACTGAGTTCCCATATACTCAGCACCCAGTTTTTTCTATTATTAATATCTTACATTTAGGATAATGCACTTGTTAAAATGTATAAACCCATATTGATACAAGTCCTTTTTCTCTTTCAAGTTTTGATCCAGGATACCACGTGACATTTGGTAGTAATGTCTCCTAAGCTTCTCTTGATGTCAGTTTTCCATACACTCCTTGATTTTGATGACTTTCACAGTGTTTTGTACAGGTGAGATATTTCATAGAATATTTCTCAATTGGGATCTGTTTGCAAATTTTTTCAGGGTCAAAGTTATGGGTGTTGGGGCAGAAGACTACATAGATAAAGTACAATTCTCAGTACATCATATCGAGGGTAGACACTATGCAAATGAGTTATCACTGATGATGCTAACCTTGATCATCTGGTTGAGGTAGTTTTTATCAGGTTTCTTCACTGTAAATTTACTCTTTTTCCCTTTTCCATATTGTATTTGTTGGAAGGAAATCACTATGTATAGCCCACAGTTAAGAAGTGAGGAGCTATGTTTAACCTCCTTCATAACAGAGTAGCTAGCTATCTAAATTATTTCAGATTTTTCTGCAGAGGACATTTGTATCTTCCTTGCCATTGATCAACTCAAATTATATGTTTATGTCAACATAGGCACATGAATATTTATTTTATGTTGGGTTAAAATCTAACACTACTTTATGTATGTCCTTGCTCAAATTGTTTCAGCCTTGACTATTGGAAGCTCTTTTAGTTGGCTTTGTGTCCTTTTGACATACTATTATTGTTGGGGTTTTTTTTGTTTGTTTTATTTTCTTTTTTGAGTATGTTATTACATTCTGGCACTACAAAATACCCCAGGTTCATATTATATATTTTCTGCCCAGCCCAACAACCATCCCTTTTCCCACAGAGAACCTAGTTTCTTTTACTAGAGATTGCGGTTAGAAACCATAATCAGCCTGCTTGGTTTGCTTGTTGCTAATGGACTGTCTTTGCTACTAGAACCTCTCGTGTGCCAGAATAAAGAAATATGCATGTGTACTAACCAAAGTATGTACACATATCTATAAATATTCCTATATGTAAGCATGTCTATTCATATTAAGTTAAACATGAGTTTATATTTATGTTTCCAAATCTAGTCTACTACCACACAATCTAACTTAAACCCCTTGCTTATCTGTAACATTCTACTTTAATAGTAAGAATGCCTGGCTTCTACCATTTGTCATCATTTGTTTAATAAATCAACTTCAGGATGCAGGTATAAAGATTTTAGAATTGTTAATCTATATTCTGGTGGAAAACACCTTATACAAATTATCAAGCCATGGTAAATTCCTAAATACCTATTGCTAAGCTAAATAAGCCAGTCTCTAAAGTATATATACTGTATGATTCATCTATTGAAGGACATCTTTTTTTCTTTCCAGTTCTTGGTGATTATGAATAAAGCTGTGATGAACATTTATGTGCAAGTTTTTGTGTAGACAAAAGTTTTCAAATAAGTTGGGTAAAAACCAGGACTGTTCTTTCTGTATTATGTGATAAGACTATGTTTAACTCTGTAAAAAAATGTACCAAACATTTTACAAAGTGTTTGTACCATTTTCATTCCCGTCAACCATGATTGAGAGTTCCTGTTGTTTTGCATCTTCACCAGCAATGGGTGCTGTCAGGTTTATGGATTGTAACCATTCTAATAATTCTACAGTGGTAGCTTATTATTGATGGATCCAAGGAAAGTCATTTATTTTCAATTTTCTTAACATGTTCTTGTTTTAAGAATGGAATTGCAACTTCCATGTGCTTTACATGCAAGAGCTAAAACCAGAAGTCCTCACAGAGGCACTTTTGATAACTCTTGACTGAGACCACTTGGCCACGTATTTATTTAGTCAGAATTTCACATTTATCCTCTTAAAGGGAAGTACAGATTTTGATCCAGTAAGTCTTCAACAAAAAGACTTGCTTGACACTGGCACTGGTAGTTCTGAATTTGTTGTTGCTGATTTCATCAATAAATGTCTTGGCCTTTATTGCTTTAAAGCTATGGAAATGTGTACCAGCATTATCAGAACATAAAAATATTTTTTTCTGCTATTCCTTCAGAACTGCCTCTGACTTCTTTCTTTATCAGGTTTTAACCTACCTTTTCCTTTCTAGCCCTACCTACCTTCAACAAATGCACAGCAGTCCAATATTGTTTATAGCTTCTCCAGAGTTTCTCACATTTTTAAAGTTAATATTTTAAAGTACTCTAAAATCCTTCCCAAAGACAGTATAGTATGATATATGCAAGTGTATGTGTGCGTGTCTGTGTGTTTTTTCAAATAAATTCAATTATAATTCAGATTGGCTAGTCTTTTACTAGCCAATACAATATACATTCAATACAGTACATACACAATACAATAAAATACTTTATACATTTCAGGAGTGGTCAATTATCATTTTATCAGAAAGTCTAAATTCCAGAGGTGGTTCCTACAAATATTTCAGCTACCTTTATCTCTGATCTAGACCAGAAATGTTGCAAATTATTAAAGTGAAGGTCATAAATAGTTTTGTATTGGTACAATTAATGTTTTAATTAGCATTATAAACACTAGATGTAAATTCTTATTAGTAAAATTTAAAGTATTCAAGTTTTTAGATTGATTAAAATACTCTCAACACCCTACATATCTAACAATGCCTATAACCTATATCTTTAACGAAGTCATCTGAGGTTTAATTTCTAAATGATCTCAAGTCCAACTATTGGTATGGCTAACTTATTATTGCTTCAAGTTGGCCATAACAGTAAATGAAACCTGCCTTCAAAAATAAGCCTCAGTGAGCTTTTCTTGCAAGTCAGTGTTAGACAATATTTAAGATACAGCAAACTAGAACGTTGTTAGACTTTATAAATAAGTCCATCTATTTCAAATTTTACCAATGGCTACAATTATTTATCAAAAGGAACTAAGAACTCTGCACAACCAGATTAACTAAGGTTAATGTACAAAAGTTAGTTCCTGTAATTTACCTTCACCTTTACATCTTGGGTTCCACAACGTTGATTTTGAGGAAAGAAACCCAGAGGCCAGTGATAATTTTTCTTATTTTCGGGAGGTGAAAGTGTTGCTATTTCTCTGTAATATAAAATTATACATTTTTAGTTCAATATAGTGTTACATGCTTTTTGCCAGACCAAATGACATATTTAAGTGACTTTGGCTTTATGTTCGGCTAAATAAAGCATCTGATTTTAGATTATTACTTACTGAACACTAGAATTTGTAAATAGTAGCATTCACTGTTAAATTTATTCTAACTATTCTCACTGGAATTTTTCTTGCCTATACTCAAAATTTTTATTTTATATAATTTCTCTCCTAAAATACTCCTTTTTAAAATTGAATGTACCATATGCTACAAAGAAATATTTTCTTTCATTTCCAGAACTAAATATTGTAAACACTATATATTTTCCATACTTATGAATACACAAATAGTTACAAAATCTTCTCAACAATATTTTCCAGTTTTCATGTGTATATTGCATAAGACTTTATCCTAAAAACAACATCTTTTCTTCCCACTATATCCAAACTGATTGAGGAGAAACAGGAAAGTAAAGATAATTACTTTAATGATGAATTTTAGCCTCGTATAATATACTACTGTAATAAATTTGAAATCTAATTATGAAATATAAATACGGTATTGTCCATTTAATAATATAGTGGATCCCAATGATTTTATGCCAAGATTATTTTTGGCTGATAATAAAAGTTTCATCCTTGTTTCAACAAACCTTGCATAAAGGAATTGTTCATGAAAATATCGCTATTTCTATAATTGCATTAATCAATATTCCTATATTTAGTAGTTTGGAAATTCTCCAAGAATTTTTTGAAACTTATTGTGATTTATTTCGAATTTTACTGTTGAAATTTATGTCACTTAAGAATGATTCCGGCTGGGCGCAGTGGCTCACACCTGTAATCCCAGCACTTTGGGAGGCTGAGGAGGGTGGATCACGAGGTCAGGAGATTGAGACCATCCTGGCTAACACGGTGAAACCCCATCTCTACTAAAAATAAAAAAAATAAGCCAGGCATGGTGGTGGGCACCTGTAGTCCCAGCTACTCGGGAGGCTGAGGCAGGAGAATGGCGTGAACCCGGGAGGCAGAGTTTGCAGTGAGCTGAGATCGTGCCCCTGCACTCTAGCCTGGGTGACAGAGCAAGACTCTGTCTCAATAAAAACAAAAACAAAAACAAAAACAAACAAAAAAACCAAAACTAGAATGATTCCACAGAAATGCAACAGTAAATCAGTGAATTTCAATATCTGACTTTTTAAAAATATTTTTAAGTAAACTTATGTCTGTAAGGACTGGGCCTGAAAAGGTTAAACTGCAATGAATAGAACATTATCAACACACCAGAGACCCCTTTGTGGTCCCTCTGAATCACCATTTATTGCAATGACATCATCACTTTCTAACTTCTAACACATAAACATGTTTTACCTGTGTCTTAGATTTATATTAATGGAAACATGTGGCCTATATTTTTTGTATACATCTTATACAAAAAAACATACAATTATATATGTGAGTCTCATCAATATTATACTTCATTCTCAATGGTGTATAATAATGTGTTATATGAACATACTATATTTTATTTATATATTCAATGGTTAATGAAGATTTCAACTATTTGAAGGTTTTTGGCTATTACATTACGATGCAATGAAATTTTTGGTTGTAACTTTCTATTCATAAAGGCATATGTTTTAAGGATGTGAGTGGAAAAAACAGTTTTTCTCTGCTCTCACAACACAACGATCAACATGAAGACTTCTGTGACTACATGTGTGGGATTTTCTTCCCACCAGCAAGCAAGCAATCAGTTATTCAGTGGATAAAAGACAAATGTCCTCCAATGAAATCCCCATACTGTCTTCTATGGAAATACCATCAAATTCTACAGGTTGAGGGCTCAGTCCCACAAGACCGCTCCTCACTTTTGATGCCAATCACAAGCCTCAGAATGTTGTACCTGTGCTTTTGACTGATGGGCTATAAATCAGAATTCCCACAACTCCCTCCTTGGGTTTAATTTGTTAGAGTGGCTCACAGAACTCAAGTAAACACTTACGTTTACTGGTTTATTATAAATGATACTGCAAAGAAAATAGATGAAGAGATGCCTAGAGCCAGGTAGGAGGTAAAGGATGTAAAACTTCCATGCCCTCCCAAGGTGAACCACCCCCCGTAATATCCATGCATTCAGTCAACTGTCCTGGAAGCTCCCCATACCCTGTCTTCTCAGGCATTTTCTGGAGAACTTTGTTAGGTAAGTAGGATTGAAGTAAGGACAATTGTATAGACTAGACAAAAGGGTGTGATCTAATACTAATAGACTGTTTAAGGAAACACAGCACGGCCTGTCTGTTTAGATTCTTCTTGGTCTTTCAGTGAAGCTTTCCTTCCTACAGGGTAGGAGGCAGGACCCCTTCTGAAATGGGAGTCATATTTGCAATCAGATAAGGGAGGTCAGAGAATTTCAAAACAGAAACGTAGGGGAAGATTCCTGCCCTGCCTGGGGAGAAAAAAAGAGCAAATGTAAGGAGATCAGCAGGTCAGAGAGTGAGATTCTATTTTCTAAGGTCTGCTTCTCAGGTCTGACTCACCCCAACATTATAACAAGGGCTATGAGAGTTATGAACCAAGAACTATCGATATTAACCATATGCACATGATATCATAATATCACAGAGGGTCTATATCCAAGCCTGGAAATTCTGGTCATAGGTATACTAATATCTAGTTTTAATAGTTATTGCTACACACTTAAAACTTCTTATAAATTGATAATAGATAACATAATTAAAAAATGAAATAGGCAAATACTTGAAGAAACACTTTACCCAAGGAAATATATAGGTGACCAGCAAACAGGAGAAGGTATCTGATCAAATTTCATTAGGGTCAGAGAAATGTAAATTAAATATCCAAAGTAATACTTTACATGCTCAGCAGAAGAACTAAAATTAAAAAGGATGACAATACTAAATAATGGCAAAGGTGTGGAATAACAAAAACTCTCATACTCTGCTAGTAGGAGTATAAACTGAAACACAAATGGAAAATCATCTGATGTATCTGGTAAACCTCCATAAATACACATACTCTTACACATCACTTTCACTATTAGAAATATCCTGAGCAGAAAGAAGGAGTTATTCACTACGAGATAGGTAATAAAAATATATAGCTATATTAACAATAATAACACCAAGATGAAAATATCTCAAATGTTCTTAATACGAGAATACATAAAGCATAGTATTTTTATACAATGGAAAATATATAGCTATGAAAATCAAAGAATCCTCACTGCATGCAACCACAAAGATGAATTTCACTGAGGATTTGAGTAGAAGAGAGGAAATAATATATATTACATGATGCCATCTGTATAAATCACAAAAACAGGCAAGAACTATGGTGTGTTAGAAAACAAGAGTGGTAGCTATATGTACAATAGTAATGACTGGGAGTGTACTCCAGGAGAAAACTGGAGTACTAGTAAACAAACACATAAACTTGTTGTTTTTATGGTCAAAAATTGTTAAAACTTGGAATTTCATATAGTTCAAACTGTCTTTTAAATAACTAGATGCTGCTTACATGGGCATTTTTTTGTGTGTAAATTCATTCAGCTGTATACATATCTATGTAATCCATAAAAATGTACTTAAAAATAATTGAATGAAAATAAAAACAGATTGATACATAAAACTAGGACAAAACCAACCAAGGTACTGCAAGAGAAATGGTGCAGTTTACTCAAGGAACCAGTGAGATACTTTGGACTCAGATTTCATAGGTAAGTGGAAGAAAATAATGGAGTTGAAAACAGAAATTATTTAAAAGGCTATGCAGGTAAGTCTGTCAACTGATATCTCAACTTCTGTGGCCCACCATGGAGACAAACATAAGCAGCTCCATTTATCTTTAAATTGTTGATAGTATTCTGAAAAGATTTCTGATTTTGTATTGAATGTAATATGAGTAGGAATAAATACATTAGGTAAAGCACTTATTAGAAAAATTATAATTTAGATAGATTTGGAAAAAGATACGTTTGAAAAATATAAGGTTTGTAATACAAATTGTTACAGGATCCTTGGGATGTTGCTTCATCAGCTGGAAACCTCTGTGGCCAGTGGTACCTTTGCCCGAGTTTTACTTGGGCCTGCTTGGCCCACTTGGCCTAGCAGGCTGCACTTGGCTCATGCTACTGGCTTGAATCCCATGCCTGCCAAGGGCAAGGAGAGCAACAAGGGGTGTGTGCATGTGGTCTGGCCACTGAGCAGGAAATGCAGAGCCCCAAAGATGTGTCACAGGCCTGGCTCAGGGAGCTCCTAGGCCTGGACTTCCCAAAGGGCCGCAGCTCTTCTCTCCTTCTTGTCACCCCGCAATGTGGTGAGCAAGGGACATGTTTCAGCCCTGTTTGTGTTACAGCACTTTCAGCCCCACCATTCAGCGTGTCCCAAGTTCTTGTCCCATGCCCAGGATGATTAAGATGCACAGACAAGTGGAGGGTGAGTGAGGTGAAGAGGAGTTTTATGGAGTGATAGAACAGCTCAGAGGAGACCCACAGTGGGAAGCTTCTCTCCACAGCCAGGGTGTCCCTGCAAGTGTTGAGCCCTCAGCAGAGAGAAGACACTGGAGTGAGTAGCTCCACGTTGTCCCATCATCTTTCCAGCTCTCCGCAGAGAGGAGACACTGGGGTGCGTAGCTCCTCTCTGCAGCTGGTCATCCTGTCATCTCTTTTCAGCTCTAAGCAGAGAGGAGACCCTGGTGTGGATAGCTCCTCTCTGCAGGCAGGTCATCTCATCATTTTCTTAAGTCTGGCTGAGTCACGGGTTTTGATGGACTTCAGAAGAGAGGAAGTGCATGCTGATTAGTCCATGGGCAGCCATGGGTGGGCCCAGACAAAGCACCATAAGTTTCCACTCCAGTCTACAGGACTGGTAGAATGGCCCCCATGCTTCAGGCCTTCCCCATCTTGAAAGTGGGGCTTTACCCGGGACCCGCCCCTTTCCACCCAGAGACTGTCTACCTCCTGCTGCTATTCAGGGTGCCCAGGCTGTTCATGCTGAGGGGCACCTGCAGGCAGCACCAAGCTACCCTCAGTCCCTCCTCAAACTCCCTCCCATGCTCATTGGCACCCAAAGTCCGGAGGGGGCCGAGAGGACAGGGAGCTGGCATGTAAGTGCTGTCCCAAGCGTGGGCTCACCCAGCTGGGTTGCAACAGCTCCCAGGCTCAACCTTAACTTTGCTCTGAAATCAGAGTGGTAGCCAGGAGTCGGGAGAGGCTAGGCAGTGGGAGCAGGCACCTCTGAGCTTGTCGAGAAAGAAGGCTTCCCAGGCACCCAAGAGTGCAGAGATGCCTGGGTCTGCAGTCGCAGCTTGGGAGGCTGAAGCTGGACCCAGGAGGGAGGAGCTCCTCCCTGCTCCTGGTCCCCAAGAGCACAGAAATGCCTGGTTCTGCAGCCGTGGCTGGACAGCCGCAGCTGCACCTGGGAAGCGGGAGGCTCCTGTCCTGCCAACTCAGAAGTGGACTGGGCTTCTGCTTACTCCTGGCTCCTCCTGGCTCCTCCTGGCTCTGTGGAGCTGCAGCCACGGCCATGCCTCCCCCATTGCAGCCTCCTTGATGGCAATAGCCGCTCCAGATGGACCACCGCTGCCATCAATATAATTGCAATGTAATTGCGTATCAATTTAAATGATTTTCCTGTGTCCTATGTTTATTGCTTGTATAGTTGATTCATTAAGATAACTTTGAATTCGTACATTTTAGGACCATTTATGTTATTTCAAATAATAAAAAAACTGAAAGAGCTATCCTAATTTCATAAATATTAAAGAATATTTAAGAATGCAAAAAGAGGAAAAGGTACATTTTATTTTAGAAGTTTATGTCTAACTGAATGATGCAAATAAATGCTGAGTTGAAAGTTGAAAGCATTGCTAAAATGTTTACTGTCTACATATTGAGAAGAAATGTTGTACTCCAGACGATATCATCACTGAAAACTTACAAATAGCCTAATTTAATAGCCATCATGGTTTTTATTAGTCCTCTGCAGCTACTGGTCCAGTCTCTTTTATAACTGAGATAGTGCTACTCCTAGGTCTTCCAACTTCCGTGTGCCTGTCTTTGCATTTTTTAAATCTCCTCATTAACTTGAAAACAGGACAGCACATTTCTAAGTTTTATGAAAATTTTTATCTTATGTAAAATGATAAAAGAGATTACATTTTAAAATCCCTTTTAGATACATGTTATTGTTTCTTCAGTCTCAGCTGCACTTCAACATCACTGCATTTCTTCTCTCTGATTCTTTTCCAAATGCACTTAACCTGGATTTATATATTTCCTCACTCAATTTCAATGTATTATTTTAATTCGATTATATGGAACACTTTATCACTGCCCCAGCAATTACTCCTGAGTTTGCAAACATGAGCCGACTAAGTCATTTGAAGCCACCCGCCCCCCAACCCCTCAATGAAAAAAACAATCTTAGATAAATGTTAAAACAAACAGGCAAACAAACATACGCATGTACAAACATACCTGTCCTTCCCTCCCTTTCTCGCTCTCTCGCTCTCACGCACACTCACCCATACACACACACACACACATATACACTTCTCAAAATAAAGGGCCATCGACTTAACAGACCTACTTTTACTCTCATAAACAATCATCACGTTTATAGCAATTAATTAAATATTTTATATTAATAGTTTTTGTAAGGCACATACATAAAGATAAGTACTAAAGGCATATTTGTGGAAAAAGCTCTATACTGTACATAGTCATTTCTTTTCTGGTGTAATAGAAGGAGTTATTTATTGTCAGTAAACACACTTATTTTTTGCTCTGGTTTTGTGTGAAAGACAGCTTATTCATTTTCTCTTCCAACCAAAACTTTTTGGAATACATCACATTAATAGCCAACTTATTTTAACACCATTTCCAAAACTCTTTTTTTAAACCTAAGTGTTAAGCACATTACATTACAGTGTTATAGTATATATCTACATTCATTCATGACCTATGTTCTTCTTCATTTTTCACAATTTTATAAAAACATATTGCATACATGTTACATTCCAAATAATTCATCCTCATTCTTGTGACAATACTTTATTGCATATAAATGCTGTATTTTGTTCTTGTATTGCTTTTTAAATGACGTATCTTTGAGCATTTTATAAATTATGTGTTTTCGTTATGCCAAAATATAATTGTACAAAAAATATAGGGTTGAGTTCTCAACAGGCTTTTAAGTTTAGCAAGTAGATCCTTAATAGAAGACTCACCCCTTCTTCTTGGAAGGATGGAAAATGGAATTTTATCTGCTTAATTTTCATATATACATATGAAACATATATAATATATAACATATATGAAACATACATAATATATGACATATATCAAACATATATAATATATAACATATATATGAAACATATAATATATAACATATATATGAAACATATATAACATATAACATATATAAGAAACATATATAACATATATATATATAATATGGAACACTTTATCACTGCCCCAGCCATATATATATATATATATATATATATATATATATATATATATATATATATAATGTTATGGACTGAATGCTTGTATCCTCCCCAAAATTTATATGTCAAAATTGAAACCCCCAATGTGATTGGATTAGTAAGTGAAACCTTTGTGAGGTGATAATGGCATGAGGGTGGAGCCCTCATGAATGGGATTAGAGCTCTTATGAAAGAGACCCCAGAGAGATCCCTTGCAAGTTCCACCATGTGAGGATACAGGGAGAAAATGGCAGTCTATGAACCAGGAAGCAAGTCTTCACCAGAACCCAGCTGTGCTAGCACCCTGAACTCAGGCTTTCAGCCTCCAGAACTGTGAGAAATACATTTTTGTTTTTATAAGCAAGCCAGTCTATGTTGTGTTTGTTATAGCGGCCCAAACAGACTAGGGCAATATATTATTGAGAAAGATAATGTTTCCCTTACACGCCAGAAATTAATCATCTGTATTCAGTAAAGCATACATTTTCTAAATCCAAACAACTTACTCAAAATTTTTAGACTTTAACCTCTAATTATATTTTTTACTTTAATATATTACATTTTATATACATTTAAAAATATATGTACCTATTCCATTCATTTTCAGCATCTTTTATCTTTTTGTTTTTTTGAACTTTGTAGCTCCATGTCTGAACTCATTTCTCTTTTGAAATGAGTAAAAATATATTTTTTTTCAAAAGGTCAATTCTGCCATTGTCATTTTGTTGCCTAAGGTATGAAAACTATATAAATGCTCATAAATGCAGTAAAAAAATAAAAACTTTCCTGTGAATCAGTATTGAGGTTAGTGCTCTTATCCTTGATGATGGAAAAGGCACTTGGCCTTGAGATCTTTGCAAGCTGAGGAGCTGGTGATTTTTTGTAGTTGTTACCTGATAATGCATTTTCACTTAAAAACTTGTTTCTCTCATTCTGAAAAGTATAAAAAATCAAGTTTTAACATTTTTTGAAGTTTTTTTCTATTTTCATATCTTTCTTTTATTATACATTGCTATGGCTGTATTTATTTCAGAAAATTCTATAAAATCTAATTCATGTAGAATGTAATATTAAATGTTTTTCAATATTTTAACAGATTTTATAATGAAATTATAGTACAGTACATTAAAGGACAACTAGACAACTTTAGTATTATCTTTACCCATTTTAGAATCCATTGCATGCAAGGAGATTTTATTACTTTGTTTTAAGGTAATAATTTTTAAAATGTATAGCCAAAAAAAATTAAGTATTAATATTGGGAGCTATCCCTTTAGCTACAACATCATGTCTATAGAAAGTGTTACTTCATTAACAAAAAGCTCTAGAAAAAATCAGTGATATGGTTAAAAGCTCCTGAGGTTGTAAAATTTTATACTGATTTTTGCTTTGCTACTTACTGGTTGTTGATCTTTAGAAAAGCTATTTAACCTTTCTGCTTCCATTATTGTTTCATTACCTACAGCAGAATTTTCAACTCATGAACTCTTATTTTCCAGAGTGGTTCATAACTTTTTTCATCATGAAAGTCATATCAGGGTTCTAAGCAGCAGCAATTAAGACAGTTGTTCTCTCAGCTCAAAAGGGCTAACAAATATTGCCTAAGATTTCCTGAGTTACCAGATTTTCATAAAGAATTACCTCTAAACTGTTAATTTCTTAAGGTCGAAGTATAGTCTGATTCTAACAAAGTACTAGCTTATTTATATAATGCTTAAAAAATAAAAATAGTAAAATTTGGAGGATGTAGTGTTTTCTTCCACAACTGTATATCAAATTATGTTTGATATTCTTTCTCCTACATTTTTTTCCTTACAAATAAGGCTGATACATATACGATCTACTTTCTTGTGGTTCTTTCAATCATTATTCTCTCTGGATTTGCCAGATACTGGGAAGCTTATTGATTTTTCAAACACTAAACTTGATTCTTCTAGTCTCTTCCCCATACTTCATTATATTAGTGAATATAATTTAATCTTATCTCCCAACACTACCACTAATATTTGTACCATGAATAAAAAATGCTGTAGGTTATAAGGGAATCATACTTGAACAAGAAAAAAAAAAAAACCTCATTCTCTCAGATAGATGGTGGAATTCCCAGGCCTAGCCCCCAGGGAAGAAAAAAAGGAAAAAATCTTTAATAAAAAAAATTTCTTGACACTATAATTCATCTTATCAATTGATAAAATTTTCATTACTGGATAAAAGAAGAACAAAATCTTGTTTTCTGCTATTGTCCTATTAAAAGTTAATAATGCCAGTGCTGGTCTGGGAGGTTAGAATCTAATGTTTTGAAGATATTTTTTATCTTTTAGATCCTCAGAGCTTTATAGCCTTTCAGTTGAGAAATATGAAACACTGAAAATCAAAAACAAATGCTGGAAATCTTCTGTAAGTCAAATTTATTTGCTTCATCTTTTTCATCCATGATTATTAATGTGATATAACTGGTAAAATGATACACTGTAAAAGATGTATTCTATGATTGTTTCTTAACAAACAATAAGAAATTAGTATGACCTATTCTTACTATAAAGGAAAAAATCTTTATGTGGGGTCAGATAATCTAAATGTTATTGGAGATCAATATCACAATTGTAGCTAATGCCTAAAGAAAAAAAGACTTGAAACACAGAAAAGCAGAAATAACTTACCAATGAACTTCAGGAATAAAAACGAGTGTGGTCTTAAAAAAAAAAAATGAATAGCTGGCTAAAACTTCCCACCTGTATTAATATAAGAGGAGAAATATGTACAGGAAAACAGCTCTGACCCAAACCATCTGACTTTAGATAACCCACTCTGCCAAGTTCACTCAGTCAACAAATGCTGAGATGACAGTTTCCTCATCTGTAAAATACAGATAATGCAAGTACCACTATAGCCTGACAGATTCTTCTTGCCCAGAAAAGCCAATACACTGAGAACAGCAGGAGTGTTGCAGCAGAGATTTTAATTATTACAAGACAGTCAAACAGAAATATGGAAGATATTTGTCAAATCTGACTTTCTGAGATCTTGGAGGCTAGGCTTTTTAAGGATAATTGACAGGCAAGGGGTTAGGGAATCGGTGCAGCTTCTTGCTTGGGGAGGAAATCATAAGAATGCCCAAATTGTCTTCACACATTGAATCAGTTTCTGGGTGGGGTTTCACTGACCAATTCTTCAAAGACTTTAAATAACCAACTCTGCCAGGTGGGTCCAGATGGTATCAGTTGGTCCACTAGAATGCAAAGTCTGAAAAATATCTCAAAGACCAATCCCAGGTTTTTTACAATAGTGATGCTATCTATAGGACCAATTGGGAAAGTTCTGAATCTTATGACCTCAGGCTTCATGACTCCTGAGCAGTAAGCAAGCTATAGAACCACAGCTGGTTATTGCCTAACCTTTGCACAGGTTAAGTCTTATGCATAGGTCTTAGCAGAATTCAAGCCCCTCCCAGAATTCTAACCTTGTGGACTTTCATTAGTTTTATGAAGGTGGTTTTGGTCCCTGAACAAGTAGGAAGGCAGTTTTTTCAAAAGAGCTATTATCATTCTTATTTTAAGGTTAAACTATAAATTAAATTTCTCCCATAGTTAGCTTGGCCTATGCCCAGGAATGAATAATCCCAGTTAGCTTGTGAGTTTAGACACAAGATAGAGTTAGATATGTTAGATTTCTCTCACTGTAATAATCTTTCCAAAGGGGGTTTTTGTACTTACCTCATAAAATTTTTATGGGGATTAAATATAATAATTGGCAGAATGTTCTTAGAATACTGGCCTCTCTAATTGCTAAATAAGCATTATTATGTGCATTTACTCTATTGCAAAGAACTTCAAATAGCTGATCTTCGCCCATGCTATTAAAGGAAATTTGTTTTGCTTTGCTTTCCATCATCTACTGTCTTTATAGTATCTGCCTTACTTTTTCAGGTTAAATTCAGCTGTCTGAATTTGCTCCACAAACTTCACCTTACTATTCTCCAACTTCTTAAAAGATATTTATTCTAGTCCCAAGTTTTCTGAGTAATAGGAATCATTAATCCTACACTCAAGTGTTTCAGACCCTAACTTTCACTAAGATAAATTGTAGAAATAAATAAATAAATGGGCTTTTTATATGGCACTGAAATTTTCACTGATTCTGTCTCTAACAACACAGAAACACTTAAAATACTTGGGCAAGATTGTGCCAAGGAATCTTGTTTTGGTTTCTGTTTCCTGAAATGCCTGGTTCTTGGAAAGTTTAGTCAGAGAAATAGGAACCATCTATTGTATTAATTTCTGAGGACTGCCATAACAAAGTACCAGGAACTGACTGGGTGGCTTAAAAAAATAAAATCCATTCCCTCACAGTCTGGAAGACAGACAACTGAAACCTAGCTGTCAGCAGGGTCATGATCCCTCAGACAGGCTGAGTAGAATTCTTCCTTTCCTTTTCTAATTTATGATGGTGATCAGCAATGTTTTTTGGTGTGAAGCTATATCCCTCCAGTCTCTGCCTCTGTCTTCACATGGCATTCTGTCTTTCTTCGTGTCTCTTTTTTTCTTAAGACACCAGTCATATTGAAATAAGGGTATACCCTACTTTAGTATTATCTCACCTTAACTATTATTATAGTTAACTATTATTATTATATATTATAGCAAACCCCTATTTCTGAATGCAACCACCTTTGCACAATTATAACTAAGGAAATCATGACAGTGAGAAACATCAGACCTAACCAACTCCACCTTGCTTCTAATCCCTACACTGTCCTTATCCATTCCTGGGTGTAGGCCAACCCAGCCTTGGGAAGGAATTTAGTTTATGGTTTAAATAATAGCCCTTTCCAAAAGTGAAACTGATCTTGTAAACGGAATGAAAAACCGCCAGCCACCAAGTTAGAATGAGGGGGCTAGAATTCTAAATATTACCAGCCATTATTCCGGAGGTCATAAGATTCTTAACTTCCCCAATTACTCTTTAAGGGAACATCACTATTGTGAACCTAAGATGAGCCTTTTGAGATGTCTTTTCAGGCTTTGCATTTCTCACAACTGGATGGCCCCACCTGGACCTGCCAACCAGTTCTATGGCCTCACTCAAGAACCGATGCAGCAGAAGAGAACAGCTTGGACTCTCTATGATTTCATCCCTGAGCCAACCAATCAGAACTTCTGATTTACTGGCCCCCTACCACCATATTATCCTTAAAAACTCTGATCCCCAAGTTTTCGAGGAGACTGATTTGAGTAATAATAAAACTCCAGTCTCCCACACAGCCAGTTCTATGTGAATTATTCTTTCTCTGTTCCAATTCCTCTGTCTTCATAAATCAGCTCTGTCTAGGCAGCGGGCAAGGTGAATCCACTGGGCAGTTACAAATCTGGGGGCTCGTCAGGGATTGCCCTTGTGGCTACCTGCCCATGCAAGGTTTAGTAGCCCCCCTCCAGCAATGGATTCAGAGATTAGCCCAAGCAGCTGTCTAGTTCTCTTGGACTGGGGGCTGACCCTGGTAGTTTTTGCTACTGGCAGGGTGCTGCCAACCCAATATGCATGAATTTAATTATAATAGAGAAATAGTTCTGGGGAGATGTCCCATCACTGTAACCCTATCACAGGGGGTCTGTCTGTAGCCCCTTGGTAAAGTGTTTGTCTGTAGCCCCATTTCTGGGTGTCTGTAGCCCCATTTCTGGGTGTCTGGGTTGGTGAGTATCCTAGGCACTGCCAATGCCTCCTTCCGTCTGCCGACTGTTTCTGTAGCCCTATCATGGGGTGTATGTCTGTAGCCCCATTGCAGGGTGTCTATAGCTCCACCATGGGTTGTCTGTCTCGGTTTGGCTCCTGGGGGGTCTTGGTTGGCTTTCCCTAACGAGTAGAAAAAGTCTTGGTTTGGGAGTCTTCTCCTCAATCAGGAAGATTTCACAGAGATTTCTCAGACAAAGTATAGGTGAGTAGTTTGGAAGGGATACTCTGGAGTTCTTGGTTAGGAATCTTGATTTGGAAGGCCTTCTGTCCATCTTGTCTTTGTGTGTATGTTTGTGTATGTGGAGGGGATATCTGAAGGAATTGCTGGCGGAAGTCCAGCAGGCCTAACTTGGAGAACTCTCCATATCTATCTGGTCACATTCTGTGAGTCCTGAAAGAAATTTAACAAGCCTGATTCAGGGTTACTGCTTTTCATCTTGCTCAGAGACCACCCATTGAATTCCCAAAAAGAGGTCACCCCTCCCCACTCTGAGTGGATCAAAGACAACAGGAACCAATGGGAAAAAGTTTTTGAGCCTTGCCAGGTCGATGTTGGGTATTGAATGAGGTGACCAGTGTCTGTTGGGTTACATGTATTTTGCTTCCACTGGGATGGAAAATGTTAATTTGGTTTCCCATGCAGCCTGTCGGGGAGCATCTTGAGAAATTGAGAAGCTTTTGTCTGTGGTTCCATAAAACAGAGAAAGATGACTTTCTTTTGTAATGGGGCTTGGTCCCTCACAGCTATGTCACAGTGAACAGGGCCATCAAAGCCTGCTCCAATCTTCTGGAAGCTGCAGAGAAAGGGAACCCGGAAACCGGGTATGCTTGGCTGTAAGAAATTCTTACAGCCGAGATGCTGGTCTCTCTCTCTCTTTCTGCATTGTGTGTCGGGGGGAGAGGTGGGGCGTGGAGGGTAAATGATAAGCCTCACTGTGTGTCTCCTCTGGAAGGGTTTGATTAATAGTGAAAAAAGAAAAAGATTTGTGACACTAGTCTTAGGCTGTAGCAAATTTGTTGCACTTTGTGCTAATAATTTGTCTTTCTGTAATGGAGAGAGGGGTATCATAGGATAGAACATGAGTTTAGGACCCCTATAAGCCTGCTTTTCAAGCCAACTCAGTAGGCTGGTCAGTTACAAGTTTGCTGCAGGTCTCTGAAACTGATACCAGATGACATTTCTGTCTTGCTTTTGCTCCTTAAGAGCTTAACCTTGTGACCATGTGAAGACACTTTATCTTGGTCTCTACCATCCACAGGACAGAAATTTTGGGGTTCATGTCACATTTAGCCCTAAAAATTTTCTTGAGGAGTTAAAAGGCTTTGCAAGCTTGACATTGGCTGTTCTAGATTTCTTCTGGGAAAACCAGTCGAAGCTGCTCAATGCTGTGTAACTCAGTAGCTAAGCCTTTATCTCCTGTGGTGACCCAGGTTCAATTCTTGGCATCTGGAATGATTCCTTTCTGGCTTGTTATTTCTGTAACTGCCATTTATTGAGGTTGCCCCCCTACAACCCCCATGGATAGCTTTTGACTTCCTGTCTTGAATTCTCCTTTCTCTGAACTCCCTTTGGGGAGTTTCTAAATCTTGTAAAAAAAAAAAAACAAAACAACAACAACAACAAAAAAAAACAAAACTGCTTACCGTAATTTTAAAATACCTTATGCATCTATGGTTAAGTTATAACCTTAATTAAAACTTACTAATTTCATGTAGGAGGTTAACTAGGGTAGAATTCAAAGGCCAGACATATTGGCTGTCGTGGCTGGAGTGTGGTAATAAGAGATGTTTTTAAGATTTTCTGTTTTTAACAAAATAACTCTGTGGTTAAAATTGGCTTAATTAAAAACAGATATCCAAACCATATATATTTAAAAGGGCTTTATCTTTCTTCTATTCCTGAATCATGTTTTTCTAATTAAAAAATTTCCTTCTCAGTTGACTGAACTGTTTTTCTCCATTTTGTCTTCTTGCCACTCTTGATACCCACATGAGAGAATGCAAGATATTACTAATAGCCTGTAACTTCTGGGGGAAAACAGGAGGCACCATGGACCCCATTCTGCGAAAAACCTCTGTTTTCCCATAGAACCCCAGGAATTGACATGAAATAAACCTTTCTCAAAATCTAAGACTTTGTTCTGTTTTGTCTTGTGTTAGCTGACAATTTTGACTTTTGTGAGTATCAAAAATTACTGTGTGTATTAGCCTTGGTGTGTAAATAACTAGGGAGGAAATATACTTTACAGGATGGCTAAGGCAATTGTGGAGAAATACTTGCCTCTTTGCACACTTGGATTAGAGAAGCATGTTCTTGGCCACCTGGAAGATATGGAAGTATCCCTACCCCCTGCTGAGAGATGAGACCCATGGGGGATGGGGCTGATTGGCTTTGGGTTGCCTTGCAATGAAATGCATGGTAGAAGCACTGCACTATCTCTTCCCATAGTATTTCCCTCTATTTTGGGGATCCAAGATCCAATATAAAATGGCACTCTTAATTTGGGGGATCTCTTTTTTGCCTTCTAGCTGTGCCTGCTTATTAGGCTCTAGATACTGCAAGCTTTCCTGGTTCTGTTCCTCCAAGGGCTCCACCCTGAAACCAGTAATCTAATTAAGAAACTAGCAAAAGAAAAATCTTAACAACTACTGGATCTTCTGTCTGTCTGTATACTTATATGAGTTGTATGTATGATGTTTATATAAAAGATATCTGATTAATTGGATCAGAAAAATAAACACTTAAATCATATTATGTCAGAAAAGTAGAAACTGATGATTTTTTGTTCATGTGACTTTAGTAATCTTTCGGAAATAAAGACAACTTTAAAGATTATTGGTAAAATGAAAATGTCTTCAAAATTTGAACATTTGGTCTAAATTAAGGTCAAATATAAAATTTGCCTTCTTTGTCTTTTGAAAATTGTTCAATTTAACAATTGTGGAGCATTAGATTCTAGATAACTCCCAGAGACCCCATTGAGAGGTTACACAAACAGGGTCTCATTCTGAGGTTCATGAAATAACATAAATTTTGCAGGGGACACTATCCAACCGAGTGCATCTCTCAAGTTTTTTATTGCTGTTATTTGTTTTATGATAAAATGAGTTTTAATAAGGTGATTAGAGACAATTACCATTGGAAGGTTGTAGAAGTAATAGAAAATACAGGGTCATAGAGGCTACAACTAGTGATCTTAGCTTCCTGCAAAACCAAAGAGACTGCCTCCAGGATGACACCCAGGGATTCTGGATGCTCCATTCTGGAGCCTTATATTTTGAGAAAGGTTTATTTCATGTCAATTCCTGAGGTTCTACGGGAAAACAGGTTTTTCGCAGAATGGGGTCCATGGTGCCTCCTGTTTTCCCCCAAGAGTTCCAGGCTTTTAGTAATATCTTGCATTCTCTCATGTGGGTATCAAGAGTGGCAAGAAGACAAACTGGAGAAAAACAGTTCAGCCAGGGAATCTTGGCTGCTTGAAATCTTGAAACAGGAGATTCTTAAAAGGACATTTGAAAGTAATGAGAAAAACTTTTCCATATGTTAATGCCCACACTTTTCAGCAACTACTACTCTAAAAGGACAGCCTCTCTCTTTCGTCTTCCAAATGTCTTACAAGTATCTCTAATGGCTAAACTCAAACCAAACCCTCAAGAGTTTTCAGCCAACACTTCCCTTTCAGTACAGGGGACGGTGAAAAAGGATGGAGATAGTGATATGTGTCACAATCAGTATTTTTCACAGAAAGGTTTCTAATCACCCTGCTGGGACAAACACCTCAGTGACTGTCCACTGGAACATAAATATTTTATTCTGTCCTTTGATAGTTCCAGGTAAGCACAATTCAGTTGTAATCATTGTAGATAGAAAGAATGTACAGCCACATTTGGAAATGAACAACTGTCATCAAAACAGCACAACAGCATTAGAGGCTCAAATGTAACCTTATAAATGGGCAGAGTTCTTGGACAAAAATTTTCTTCTAAGGCAAAGTCAAAAACCACAAAAATATTTCTAAGCACCAGAAAATGTAAAAGATCCATTTAATCTCTAACTCCTTCCATGCAAGTACAGAAGCCTGGGCACATGTCAAGCCATTATGGTTACTTCGTCACAAAAGAAGATAATTATGCTTTCTCTCCCAGTGCTCTAATCACTGAGCAAGTTCTTTAACTTTGATTTAATGTGCTCAAAAAAAGATCTAGGATTTTTCTTCATTCAACAAAAATTTTATGAACACATATTTATAGTTCTCTGTCTCTCTCCACACACACATATACATACACATCATATATACATATATATAGACAGTTAATAGATACAAATATATAAAATTGATATCAATATTGATACAGGTATATAGAGTTGTGTCAATATATATAGCAAAAATACATACTAAAATAAATATACATATATAGAAATGTATACATACTTTGGTGTGTATATATAGCATGCTCTCTCTCTCTCTATATATATATATACACACACATAGCAAATATCTAAGTATCTGTCTACAGTGTATGTGCATGTGAGAGAAAGAGAGATTGATTTGAATAAGTATTAAAAGGATTGGGAGAAAATATCCACTTGATTTACCAGGCAAAATGAAGACAATCACAATTTCTTTCTTGGCCCTCACCAGAAACTTGTACACACTCCAATGCTATGACATTTCTAGATACAATTTTAAAGAGGAGGGGAACCAAAATTTGATAGATAAGTACAAGTAATAACTGTCCCAAGTCACAATTTTAGCCAGGATCAGCACAGAGCAAGTGTTATTAACCTCTAACTATCTAAGTTTCTAAGTTTTTCTTAGAACCTCACTGTCTACCATGAATAAGTAAAGTGAAAAAGCGGGGATTATTCTGCAAAGTGTTGATTACTTTCAATCTGTTCATGTTCTATCAAGGATTCTTTTTGGAAAGATCTCCTTCTGGAATAATTCTTTAACTCATGCATCATGTGGAATATCCAATATCTTTAACTTGGATAATTATAATAAAATTATAAGAAATAATTGCATGAATATGTGACTCAAGGTTTCAGGATAATAATTGTTTCAAAATAGAAATCTTCCCATCTCCAAAGTGTATTTACATTATTTCCTTCTACCCAATTATTTAAATCAAAATGTAATATTTTAGCATTTTATATGAATAACTAATGAAAACCTTTTTTTTTTTTTTTTTGAGATAGAGTCTCACTTTGTCACCCAGGCTGGAGTACAGTGGTACGATCTCGGCTCACTGCAACCTCCGCCTCCTGGGTTCCAGCAATTCTCCCTGCCTCAGCCTCCCAAGTAGCTGGGATTACAGGAGTCCACCACCAAACACGGCTAATTTTTGTATTTTTAGTAGAGACGGGGTTTCACCAGGTTGGCCAGGCTGGTCTCAAACTCCTGATCTCAGGTGATCCACCCGCCTCAGCCTCCCAAAATGCTGGGATTACAGACATGAGCCACCATTCTCTGCATAAAAACATTTTAATGTGAAAGTACATGTAGTATATGAAAAGATATTATCCCTTCCACTATCCAAAATATGAATATTTTAGTTGCTCTATTGGATATCTAACCAGGGATATCTACTTGTTGCAAATGAAAACAAAAATACACGTATTTATTTATTTGGGTCAAAGTGTGGTTCAAAGAAAATGCAATAGTTTCTGGAGACAATATCCCTTGAGTATGTCATTTGGCAACACAATGACTTGAAGGAGTTAATTTTGCTTCCAACTGCAATAATTGCTGGTAAAGGAATGTATTAGTTGCTGTGGTAAAAGTGTTAAGTGCAAAGTAAAGAAATAAATAACAACCACAAGATGATGGTCTTTAGCACATAAGGCAATTGACCAGGTTATTCAAATTCTTTGGTTACCTGTGAAAAAAATATATATGTAGGAGATCAATTATATGCAAGAGGTAATATTTAAATGTTAGTGATTTAATAATAAGGTGCATCCCAGCATATTAGTAACCATTTTTAATTATATATTTACTCTTTTTGATAATTTTTTTATTTGAAGTAATCTTGGTATACATTTTCAAAAATGACTGGGGTCATCATCTTACTGATTCTTTAATTCAATAGTTAGTTTTTAGGTAATTCCAAATACAAACATTAATCTGTTGTATCTGATTAATGTGCTAAATTTATAATGTTGTACATTAAAATTTAAATTGTATTTTCAATAATTTTGTTTTAAATACAAGTTAGAGATTGTTTTTAATAGTAATATAAAATAAATTTCCTGACTTTTTACTTATCATCTTTTCTAATTTTTAAGTTGCAATGTTGAACGGTGCTTTTATTATATGAAAACACTTATTTAACATAGTTCTATGAACTTTATCCAAGTAAGGTCACTATGTAAATAAAAGAGATAACGATATAGTCTAGGCTGAGACATTTAAAAAAACTGCTTTAGAAAAAGGTAAAACCATGGTCATTGTATACTCTGTCTTCTTTATCCGTGGTACTGTCTTGTGTAAATTTTAACTTACATTTACTAATATAAAAGTGCAATCTGTTTTCAATGCATGTTTTATTAATATTTCTTCCCTGTCATTTTAAAGTTTTCTTTTGAGTGTCTGAGGGTTTTCAAAAGTGGAGACATAGCTTCTATTTAGTGATATGTAAAATGATGTTCTTCGGAAAATACTGAAGTGAAATAAAGGAAACATACTCATTATCTATGGCAGAGGGACATTCCAATTTCAATGAAAAATGTTTATACAAATTGTGGATTACAGTTATTAACTTAAATGAAAGAAGCTGTCAGTGATTTGTATTATTCCTCAGTAGTCAGACATCATCTTTTAGTTTGCTAAAATAAGTCATTTTAAAAGTACTATTCTGAGAAATAAAAAAGATAATCACTTGCATTCATTTTGTTCTCTTTTCTCCTCTTTTCCTCCCCATCTTATTTCATTAAAATGTTTTAAAAAGAAGCAAAACAAATGTATACCTATGTCCTTAGATGGAAGAAATAAGAGCAATCAAGTAATATGATTGACAATGACGCAGGCAACAACAAAAACTCACCACGACCTTTGGCGCATGTACACAGCAGAAAAACATAGAAAGCCAAGCCTTTCTCAAGGCCATTTCAAGCCAGCTAGGGTCCCAATAATGTGAAAAATCATCTTTGTAAGACATTCATCTCTAGAATTTTCATCTTTCAAGGGTTAGTTGAGTTTCTCTAACTCTTATCAAGTTTCCATGGTTTTAAACTAGTTAGCCAATTATCTTTCCTCTGTAGTAGTGGGTAAGATTTTTGGCACAGATACCCAGTTTGAGGGTACTGTCAGTCAGTCTTTTGAGAATCCTCTTTACCAACTTCCTTTATTTCCTGAACTCCCTCATCCCATCTTCTCAGATGCATACTCATAGGATCCTGGCTACAATGGTTAATCCACTAGAGAAAAGCACCCCAGGTCCAAATACAGGGAAAAGTTTTATGCCTGGAATTCAGTATAATTTAGCCAAACATTGAGATTAGACTGATTCACTACAGTGCCAGCTAATATTGACGCATATGAAACACCAAAGTACGATGAAGTAATTTATTTGATTCCCTATATTTTAAAAAATTGAAAATTTCCAGTGAACCTTTATAGCTTTGAGTTATCAAAGCAAAATAATCATTTCTGTTTTCAAGTTTAAACTCTATTAATAATAGGAATAGATCCTTGTGTTAGTTAGGGTTCTCTAGAAAGAGAGAGATGTGAGGGGATTTATTAGTGGAATTATCTCATCTAATTATGGATGTTGAGAAGCCCCACAATAAGCCATCTGCAAGCTGAAGAATCAGGGAAGCTGGTAGCATCAGTTAGTCCAAACTCAAAAGCCCCAGAACCAGGGAAGCCAAAGGTGCAACTCTAAGTACAAGACTAAAGTCCTGAGAAACTGTGGGAATACTGGTACAAGTCCCAGTCTCTGAAAGCCAAGAACCTGGAGTTTTGATATCCAAGGGCAGGAGAAAAGAGTGTCACAGCTTCAGAAGAGAAAGATAATCCAACTTTCCTTTTCCTTTTGTTTTATCTGGGCCCTCAGCTGATTAGATGGTACCCATCCACACTAGGTCAGGATAGATCCTCTTTACTCAGTCCACTGAGCCAAATGCCAGTCTCTTTTGGAAACACCTCACAGACATACCCAGATATAATGCTTTACCAGCTATCTAGGTGTGCCTTCATCCAGTCAAGTGGACACCCAAAAGTAACCATCACAGTCCTGCTCATACATTTCAGTTATAATATACATTTAGTGTTTTGATTTTCTAAGAACATATGCTATAATAACCTATTGTGAAAAACCAGGTAAACATGATCATACAGCTTAATTGAACCATATTACTTATTTATAAAATAAAATAATATTTAAACTATAAATTAGTTATAAACTATTGATACTTAAACTATAAATTATTATATAATATATTCTAAATTCTTACAACTAGAATACATTAGTAGTCATTAGTACTTAGTATATTAATCATGTATAAATTGGTATGTTTATTATTTTGTTTACCTTATGTGAACATAAATATTTTTCTCATATTTTGATTTAACAAAGTTACATTAAAATATATTTGGAATGTTTGAGGTGTTCTTACCTTATTACAATAACTGGCATTAATAACAATTGAGAAAACTTTTTTATAATAGAATTTTATTTATGGGTAAAATTAGATGAATTATATATAATTTTAGGTGAATAAAACATTGCATTGAAATAATGTCCTATCACTCTCCTTAAGTCATACTTCCTCATAGTATTAATTTCTGGAATCAGATGTTAAATGTAAATAAATAAATAAACAAAAAATACCTAATTCTATGTGATTTTAAAGTTTTTATTTCTAAGTCAAATATAAATATTATTTCTAAAACATTGACTGGTTGAAAAATAGAAAATAAATTTAATTTACAACAATATATTAAAGTCTACTTTAAAATATTAATAAAATAAATAACTATACAAATTAGTTTCATCCAACCACTCAGAATCAATTCTATTTAATGTAGCTTTCTGCAGTGCCACAAACTGGTGACTCACAAACCAAGCTGTAGTGTACGTGACTTTTTTAAAAGGTATTCCTATAATTTCAACATGTCTGACACCAGATTAACTTATAAAGTAAATCATTCTCTAAACACAGTGTTAAACTTATTCATGAGTTTCACTGGGTAACTAAAGTTCATAAATACATACTTGTTCTCATACAAAGATCATCACCAACATTTTAAAGTTGAAAGTCATTATTTAAGGACACATTATTATAGTTTGAGAAATGACTGGGAAGACTTTAATATCAAAATTGATGAAAGTACTAAAAGTCTTGCTACATTTTAAATATAGGTTATTAAACTTTTCAAAGCTTTCCCTTTGCAAATCATTTTTATTTTTATATTAATTCTGCCAGGAGGACAGATCATTCATCTAAAATATTTAAGATATCTTAATTTTAGACAATTCTGATTCAAAAGGAAGCTGAAATGACAGAAGATATAGTTGATAAAATACTATATTTCTAATTAGTTTCTGATTGGATATTATATCTTACTGCTTGCAAAATGATATTACATCGTATTTTATAATGCCAGGTGTAAATGGCTAAAATTATGCTCCTTCTATAATAGCTTAAGTTTGTCTTAATTTTGTAATACCTTGCATGGAAATTTAACACAGATTAATGTCTGTCAAGAGAAATAAAGTGTTGTTGATTTTTTGTATTTCTCTTCTATATCTAAGCTATCTTCCATTAATATCCTAGAACAATAAATAAGAGATGTCTATAAAATAAATTATGGTCTCACTAAATTTCTTAAGGTAGAGAGCATTTATAACATTTCAGACCTGGTATAGCCAAATCAAATAATTTCTCTCTGGCAGGCCCAGTACATTTTGATAATACCAAGACATTGTAAAGAACTTAGAGAATTCAGATACCTAAGGTTTATTTATTTATTTTTAGTAAACTGATATCATTATGCAACCTGAGAAATTATATCTGGCTTTAAAATATTAGGCCTTCACCCTCAGGCTTAAAAATATTTTCGATTCTTTCTATCAGACCTCATATAATGCTATGGATTCCAAGAGTACCAATTCTTGTGAAAGTCCCTCTCTCAATTAAATGAAAAATTTAATATCATTATATTCACATTTCTTAATTGCAAGGTCATAATCAGGTTATAATGTGTGTTGTCGGTTTATGGAGAATTATGAATGGAGGATAGATGTTCTGCTGTAATAGCTACTGCACGTTAGTCATAGACATTCAGAAACGTTGCAAGCTATACTTTCTCTGAGTGCAATCAGTGATTTTTGATTTGATCTCCAGTAATTTCCCTACTCATAAAACCAATGACCAATTTTCAGCTTTCATGTCACTTGATCTATCATTGTCATGTGGCATACTCATTTCTTTAAATAGTTCTTTGTTTTTACCAGGACAATACTTTCTTTTTTGTTATTTTTTTTTTTTTCTTGAGACAGAGTTTCACTCTTGTTGCCAAGGCTGGAGTGCAATGGTGCTATCTGGGTTCACCACAACCTCTACCTTCTGGGTTCAAGCAATTCTGCCTCAGCCTCCCGAGTAGCTGGGATTACAGGCATGTGCCACCACGCCTGGCTAGTGTTGTATTTTTAGTAGAGACGGGTTTCTCCGTGTTGGTCAGGCTGGTCTCAAACTCCCGACCTCAGGTGATCCGCCTGCCTCGGCCTCCCAAAGTGCTGGGATTACAAGCGTGAGTCACCACGCCCAGCTACCAGGACAATACTTTCTATTGGTTTCTCATCTATTTCTCATATTAATTGTTTTCATTCTTGCTCCTCATCTCTTTTACTTTAAACTTAAAGTGGATTAAATAAAAATAGCTAATTCATACATATTCTCTACTCTAGATTTCTCCCCTTAACTTGCAAATTGGATGTCAAATAGACTATTCCAACTCAACCTATCCAACACTGAATCATCCTTGAAGACCAACTTTCTCTCAAGCTCCACATTCAGTCAATCAGAAAATGTTGTTACCGCTATCTTAAAATCATAACTAGAACCTAAGCAGTTCCTGTCACCTTTAATGCTACCACCCTGGCCAAGCTACAAACACCCCTTTTATGGCAGTAGCCTTTTCACTGATCTCACTCTTTTATCCCAACCAACCCTTCCCCCTTCAGCCAGAAAGATCATTTGCAAGATGTAAATTGGATTATGCCATCACTCTGCTCAAAACACTTTAATGTAATTACAATCACTTGTAAGCAAATCCAATGTTCTTTTAATAACTTAACTGTGTATATGAACGGGCCCCATTTCCCCTCTGACCTTATTTCCTTATTTCCTATTTTCTCAGGGTTCACTCTGATGCAGATACACTAGCAAAGTGACCTCCTTGTCTGGGGTGACACCCGAGGTTCATTGTCTCACGGCCATGGAGATTAAGTACATGGACACACAAAGAGTGAGGTTATGAGCCACAATTTAATAGGCGAAAGAAAGGATAGCTCTCTGCTATATAGGAGGTCCTGGAAAAGTGGATTGGCGATCCGCAGTGAAATGAAGTGGATTTTATAGATGAGCTAGTGGGGAAGTGGTGTCTGATCTATATAGGGTGTGAAATACCAGTTATGACCAGGTGTGCCATCTACATAGGATGCAAATCTCCCCACCCCAATCTTTTATTATGCAGATGGATTCTCGGCCTGAGCTTCTCCATGTTGCCCATTTCCTTCTTACTGCACACGTGCTAACAAAAAAGAAAAGATAGAGCTTCCATGTTGGACATTCCTGACCCCGGGGGAGCCCTTTTCTATTGGTGCAGCTGCCGGCATTCCCCTGTGCAAGCTTCCAGCTTCCTTATGTATGTTTGCAGCTCCATCTCTCAGGCTGCTCTTTGTTAGCAAAGAAATGATTTCTTGGGCTGCGTTATACTGGGATGGAAGTTTTGCTGAGGACTCTTTTGCCCTCACTATCGGCCTAAATAATTTCATTCTATCTCCTGAATCACTAGTCTACCTGAGTTCCTATATTATGCCAAAAATTCTCCTTTCATGGGGATCTGCATGGGCTATTTTTCTTATGTCTGAAACCCTTCCCCCCCAGCTTGCTCTGTCACCCTGCTTCTTCATTTATGTGTCATCCCATCATTGATCTTTTCCCTGACAATATTATGAAAAGTAGGCACACGCCGCCATAACAGCTTTCCCACTTAGCCATCTTTATTTCTCCATAGTACTTAAAACTATCCGATATTAAACACTAACTTTCATACTACATGTGGATATTAACCTACTGTCTACTACATGCTCATGTATTAAACAAAGTAAACATTCAAGCTATCATAAAAGTCTTGTTTCATTAGGAGGGCATAGGTAGGAAGCCAGTAAAAATAATAAGTTTTATATTTGAAACATTCAATTAATTATAATAAAATAAGAAAGAGGATACCAAGTGTAAAAAGGAGAGAGGAACTTCATATAGGAACATCAGGAAATAATTTACTAAGAAATGGCATTTGAAGAAAGACTCAAACAGAATAAGAAGGCCAACTGTATGTCTAGGAGAAAAACATTCTATGCATAAGGAATATTAAGTAAATAGCTGCTGAAGTAGAATTGTAATTGGTGTATTTGGAAACAGTTCGAATGCTGGTACGACTAGATTAGAATGAGAATGAGGAAGAATTGAAGTTACTATGCAATATTAAGTAGGTTTGCTACGGCAGGTCTTCCTACAAAGATACATTTAAGAGGATCCCTGAAATAAGAAAGGAATTATATACAGGAAATAGCATTTCAGAATAAAAAGAGAGAAAATGCAAAGTCTCTGAGATGGGTGTATGCCTGGCATGCTTGAAGTGGAAGCATAAAGCTAAAATAAAAGAAAAGTGAACGTGTTAGGAGATGAAGTCATTGGTATTTGAGGCACGGTTACTTAGAACCTTACAGGACACTGGGAAGATGCAACATTTGCTCTGAGAGAAATTGGAAGATATTGGAGGATTTTAAGCAGAGGGGTGACATAAAGTCACGGACATTTTAATAGTAACTTTCAGGCTACTATGCTGAAATACTACATAGACTATTTTGATACAAATTGGATAAATAATTTGAAGGCTACTACAATACTCCATACAAGATATAATGATGGTTTAAACCAGTGCTAAGATTTGAGAGAACAGGAGGAAAAGAAGTAAAGGCAACTCTCAACTCCTTTAAGAATTTTTTCTTCAAATTGGTGAACAAAAATGGTGTGGTACCTGAAGACAGAAAGTGCAGTCTAGATGGAAAAGGGAAAATCTAAATTGAAAAAATAACAGCATGTTTGTGTGATGATAGGAAGTGGTCTGAGATTGGATATAATTTGAGATTAAGGTAACATTTGTCTATTTATTGTTCTCTTCCACAGTTGAATGAATACTGTAGAGACAGGCACCTTGTCTCTTTTGTTCAATTCCATATACAAAAGGCCTACAAAGTGCCTAGTGCCTGAAATGTATTTCATAAATGTTTATTGAGTATATGCATGAATTATGGGATTGCTGCTTAATGTAAAAAAAAAAAAAGAAGAAGAGTGCTAGTTTTTGTTTGTCAATGAAAGAGTATTGAATTATGAAGCAGGATAACCAAAACAATCACAGTGTGTTTTGGAAGAAAACCTTAATTCTTCTAGCAATATCTGTCATATACAGGGGCATCTTGTCACTAGAAAATGGCTGTGAAATTTAATGGTTATATATTGTCTCTCATACGCCGAACAAATTCAACCAAGTCCAGTAATATTTTCTTCATGTTCATTCTGTACCACATAGAAGCAAAATAATGATGAAGACATAGTACTTGTTTACACAATTTAAACAGTCATAAAAATTAATTCTGCCTTAAGTAGGATGAATCTCAGAGATAGGGCCATATTACAGGAAGGCTTTTACAGTTACATATGATTTTGTTAGATGGAAAGGAAGATCATCATCAGAAATAAAGAATATAATTTACAAATATAGTACACATATGTGGATATAAAGCAATAAGATAGAATTATTCCTTCATCTTCTGCAGCTGGAAGAGTGTTTTTTTGTATAGTACAAAATGTGCCTTAACATCACGCCATGGAGGGAAAATACTTTATGCTTAGAGCCTCTTCTAGAGTAATGTTTTCACTCTCAACAACAATGACGCGAACTACCACCACATACAACACAATTCTCCCTTTATTTCAGTACACAGAATACACAATAAATTGGTCCTGGAACACTTTCAGTTTATTTTACAACCAGACATTTGATGAATGCTGTAATACCTTCCTACAAAACTGTAATGTACATTTGTGCATACACACAAAATTTTAAATACTCTTTCATGTGAGCTGCAGGGAGTCCATGAAATACAACAGTAAATGATCATTTCAGATTAGTGATCCATGAGATGTACATTTTGAAGCACATATTGAATGAGACAATCTTCCTAAGCAGTAAATCGCTAAGAACTCTATCTATCACTAGAGAAATTGAAGCATTTGCTGATGTAAACATTGAAATATTTTTATATGGTAAGAAATAATTTGAAATACTCAGAACATGAAGAATATAAACCTTCCAGATGCTTTATGTAAGTAACCTTATTTCCCCCTGAAAATAATCTTTAATATTAAGATAAATATTATCTCCTTTACCATATCAGGAAAATAAGACAGAAATGAAGCAACCTGTCATAGTCACGTGTAAGTAAATGGAGAAGCCAAGATATAAACCACGGTGGTCTTGTTCAGAGACCTGCTGTGCTAATCAGAATACTATATTTCTTTTAGCAATGCCAATCAACAAAAATGAAATGTGACAAGGAAGTAGTTCAAAATAGAGTCAACCATCTGCCCCACACTGATTAAACAATGTAGCAAAATCTGAGTGAAGAAGAACTGGACGTTTGTTCCATGTCCACTAAGAATCTGTGCTGCTGGTATTGGTTGAATAGTTTGTTACCAAACAAGTCACCCATGAAAAAAGTGGAACCTTATGTGTGGCTGTGGTTTAAGAGTTTAAGCAGCCATGCTACAGGGAGAGAGGGAAAATGCCAGAGTGAAGTGTGCACATGTAAGGAGAGGTATTGCCAACTTCACACTTTTTCATTTGGGAAACGCAGAAATCCACAACCTAGAGTAAGAGCAAAGCATAATGAGACCAACCCTTAAAAAATTGATACCAATACTCAAATAGCCAAATTCATGGTACAATTAAGGCAATCCTTCACCCATGCTCGTTGCCTGCTGAAGCATAAGTAAATCTCTTACTCAAAAAAATTTAACACATTCAATATCACATATTACTTTTCTATAATTCTCCCTACAAAAAGTCTTACATGTAGTTTAAATTTACCCAGTAAACCAGGAAAAAAGAAGATGCATATTCACAGAAATATAGATAATGATGTTATAAGACAGTCTGAATTAGTTATAATTAATTTACTCTAGAATTTGAAAATTAAGATATATGACTTGAGAGAATAAAAAAACTGTATAGAAGATATAAAGTACAAACACTGGAACGAAATGAATAATCCAATTGGTGGCTTAACTGACAGAAGATTAGATGGACTAAAAGAGATTAAGCGAATTGGGAAACACTTCACAAAAATATAATAAAGTTAAAACACAGGACATGAAGAAAAGAGAAATAAAGGTTATAAGAGACATAGGTAACATTCTGAAATACACACACATACACACGTACACTGCAGGGGGTGGTCTCTGAAGAAAAGGTAAAAAATAAAACTAAAACACCGAGAGCTAATAAAAACAAGGAAATTACATTTCCAAAAGGTAAAACAATATAGAGGCAAATCTAAGATTTCACATACAGTAAAAATATTTCTCAAAATTACATAAAAATAAAAATATGTTCAAGCATACAAAAACTGAGAAAAATGTAGTATAGACGTTTTATAGAGAAGAAAAATAATCTAATGAAAACTCAGAAATGCTCAATAAAAAAGGTGAATATATAATTGATTATACATGAACACTGCCTATATTAAACAAAATTAAGAATGATGATGTCTATGAGGTTTAAAGTACCAAAAAATTTTAAGTACATTGAAAATCCATCAAGAAAGTTAGGTTACTACAATAAAGAATGTATGTGGGTCGTTTGTAACTCAAATGATAAATACATGAAGGGATAGATACCCCATTCTCCATGATGTACCTATTTCACAATTAATGCCTGTATCAAAGCATCTCATGTACCCCATAAATATAAACGCCAACAATGTTCCCACAAAAATTAAAAAAACAATTTTTTTTAAAGTTAGACTGCCATAGATGAAAAGTTTCTAATAGCATTATTCAGTCATGGTAAAAGTCAAGATTGTATGCTGTAGACTAATATGAAAGAATTAGTAAATATTGTGTGTATGTAAATGTGCATAAGTAATAAGTGGAAAACATATATGTCAATAAATCTGATTCAATCCAAAAAAAAATAGAAAGGGTAAAAAATACAAAACTGGTGAGACAAATGAAAACAGAGTTCTAAGAAGTGTACTTAAATTGGCATGCAATTATTAAATATAAAGAAATCACATATAAAGATTTTTATATATATTAGAATATTATAATTTCATAACATAACTCATTCTTATAATTTGTCATTGTCTCAATGAAATATATAAATTAACAGATATTTTAAAATTATTCAATATTTCTTTGGTTGCTACATTAAAAATAAAGCCAAATGATCATAATATTGTTCAATTTGTTCAAATATCACATCAATTGAGAAAAATGCTTTTATCTATAATGGCTAGAAAATAATATCTTATAGGTATTACATTTGGAATTTTTCATAAGTATTTTCTCCATCATACTCCCAAAGAAATTTTGTTACCTTTTTATGATTACCTTTATTTAACTCTAATGTCACATTTGCTGATATTTCACATGTGATTTATTTCCATTTAGAGAAACAAATCTGCATAATATTAGAGGATTTTATTTTAATATTAAAAATTATATACTATATAGTGAATATTCCAGCCTGGGCAACGTGGCAAAACCCAGTCTCTAAAAAAATACAAAAATAATTAGCCAAGTGTGGTGGCATAAGCCTGTAGTCCCAGTCACTGGAGAGGCTGAGGTGGGAGGATGGCTTGACCCCAGGAGGTGGAGGCTTCAGTGAACCATGATTGCACCACTGCACTCCGGCCTGGGTGACAGAGCAAGGCCTTGTCTCAAAAAAAAAAAAAAAAAAAACCCACCAAAACCGTATTTTGAATATCATGCATTTCATACATATTTAATATCAAAAATAAATAACATATAATCAATATCCTTTAAATTATTTTTAATTTGTTAAAAAGTAAAATAGCAACAACCAGATTTGATTGGTTTTATTGTCAGCTTTTGTTAACATTGTTAGTAGCAAGTAACAGATACAAATAAATGTGAATAGTAAAAAGTAAAAATTCAAAAATAATTTTGCATTTCTTCAAATATTATGAGTATAAGTTTTTATTATATAAAGATGTTGCTTAAGTGCATACTATATTTTAATTAAATTACCTAATTGGTTTAACAAAACTTACTGGTTATTTTAATCGTATATCTGAGTGATTGCACAGTTGAATGTAATGTTAATCAAGATGTTTGTTGTGTTGATATCAAAATTTTGTATATTCAATTTGAGTTGCTCTGAATATATGATTGACGTATAACTGAGACCATGTCTTATAGTAGCAAACGTACATATTAAACAGAAAAATGTAAATTCTTTTAATAAATTTTCTGTTTTGGCATCCATTTTTAGGCCTGACACAAGTTATTTAAAACCTAGTCTTACCCCATTATTTTTGGCCTAGTTAAAACTCTTCCTTTCCCTGTGGTTGTTTGCAGTATAGCCTGCTTGTTCCTCATCCCATTGACCCAAAACCCAAAACACCCATAGCTACTGGCCATGATAAAACCAAAATGAATTTTGGTAGTAAATAGCAAAATCACGTAAATAAGGCTCCCCTTTGTACTTGTTTTCTTTAAACTAGCCAATTCCACAGGAAAGCCTAAAAGATAAAATCTATGGGTCATAATAAAGTATAGTCCCACAGGTCTTCTCTCTCTTGCTCCTCTCCCACTGGCCTCCCATCAGGGCCTCTAACCTCTCTGGAATCTGCAAGTAATATACTTCTGTTTCATTCATTTTTCTTTTACCTCCTCATTTTGTCTCATCTGACACATACACCTGAACTTAACTTTCCCTCGAGCAGGTCTCTCCTAGAAAGTGGCTATCTAGGCTTATCGACACTCTACACAAAGACCTAGAGACCAAATTAAAATAAAAATCACAATAAAAATGCTTCTGAATTTTCTGGATTATATACCTATTGCTTTACAACACTAACACCATTAACAACACAGGCTTAACTTCCACAATATTTTAAATTAATGCACTAAATTACTTTTCTCCTTTATGATTCACTTAAGTGTTAATATCAATTCTCTAAACAGATATAAAACAATGACATATATGTTACATTTTATTCACTTGTTTTCCTTTTAGTTCAACAATATATAATAAATAGGAAGTCTTTAGCATTATTTTTCCAACCTCATAGAGTAGTATTTATTCTCTTATTTTGCCTGACTTATTATATCATCCTATTAATTTTCCCATTAATAATTTCATTTTGATACTGTCATTCTCAAAATTGTGTTTATTTTTATCGTTGTTTTATATGCTCAGTCATCCTTGTAGCAAATTTTAATGTCATATTCTATGATTTCTATAAACACTTTCCTGTTAGTGCCAAAATATTTATCTCTATATTTAGCATATATTGGATACTGGCTTATAAATTTTCGTTTACTTAAAAATAGTATGTAAGTTTTTCTTATTTACACATCTGCGTTACATATTGTTGATTCTATGTTATTTATTAAATCTCTCTCTTTTTTTTCAATTCTAGTGTTAGTATGCAAGTGTAATTTACTTTTTATTTTTGTTTGTATTAGAGAATGTAAGTATTTCCAGGCAAAAAAATCCTTCATTGGTACTGCTTATCTTGTAACAACAAAATCTATCTCTGTTTTCTTTTTCCTATGACAAAAATATATCTGCATTTGAATTTAAAATATAAATTTGGTTTTTATGATTTTTCTCTACTTCTCAATATATTGGTACAAAATACAATTACAAATGTTCTGTCATGATCCCCCCAGTGGACAAATCATGATCATTACTTTGAATTGGATAATGTCTTGTTGGAAATATCCCCATGCTGTCACAAAGATGACTTGGTAATTTTCCAAAAACATTCTCTAATAAATATAATAAAGCACTAAAGCACCAGGGGTTTGATTTTTCTGGTCTAAATTACCAAATTCATGAATATAAAGGTGTTCAGGTTCTAAAGGGCAATCCAAAGTTGCATACATTGTATATGAGTTCTGAATATAATGAGAATAATACTCATGTGCATTCTCATCATTCTGATCAGTAACTAGATCTTTTTTAAGCAAGAAATTTGAAGTTGCAAAGCTTTGATCTAACTTGTCAAGTTGTATATTTGATGAGAAGTTTGTTGCAAAATATGCATTATTATAATTGGTAAATAAGAAGTCATTAATTAAATAATGCATACTGTCCTTTGTGAATATATTGCCTAGGTAATACTATGCAAAATCCTACCACTCTCTCTATTTCCAATTCTTAAAAAATAGAAAAAAATACTATTTTAAGGATTGTTCCGATTTGTATTCAGCCATTTTTAATATCACATTTATTTTATATTTATCCTTATCTATTATGTTATTATTCATATTCCCATAGATTAAAAAATAAAATGACTGTACTAACTAAAAATACTATTTACCTTATTTCCAGAAATTCTATTTCTAGCTATACATTCAATTAAACACAAAATAATACACATAAAAAGTCTTTTACCAGTGTTTGTAAGAGCATTGTTCATAATAACTCAAATCTGGAAAGAATCCAAATATCTATCAAAAGTATAATGAAGCAATCCTTTGTGATAAAATTACGTAATAGAATAATGCATAACAATGAACATAAACAAATTACTACTACATAAACAGCATGAATAAATTTTCCAAACATAATGTTGACCAATAGGTGCCAAGCACAGAGATAACTTACATTGTGTTATTTATATCAAATTCAAATATAGTAAATTAAAATTGATCATGATCAAAGTCACCAAAAATTTCTTACAGAATGTAGACAATGTGTCAGATTATCCAGTAGTTTGTACTCTGTGATAGTTTATCAAATTGTAATCTTATTATTCCCTTATAATAATGTCTGCCTGTACATTTACTTAAATGTAATCATTTATGTCTAAAATTTCATAAAAATAAAATATTTTGGAATATATTACTTAAAATAGAGGGGGAAAGGCAGAATGACTACAACCTCCCCAACTTTCCTCACCACCACCACCTCCTAATCCTTAAAACCTATAAATATTTCACCTACTGTGGAAAAAGGCATTTCACAGATGTGATCAACATTTAGGACCTTGAGATCAAAATATTATCTGGAATTGTTCACTTGGGCTCAATTTAATCATATGAATTTCTAAAAATGGAGAACCTAGTCTACTTGAGTCAGAGAGAGAGAGAGACTTTTCTAAGGAGTTGGAAAAGGCAAGAAAATGGATTTTCCCCTTGAATACTGAGAAAGGAATGCAGCCTTGTAGCTCATTATTTTTAGTCCAGTGAGACTTATGTTGAACTTCTACATACAGCAATGAAGGATAATAAATTTGTGTAATTAAGAGTAGTTATGTTTGTTTTAACTTGTTACTTCATTGATACAAAACTAAGTCATAGACTAAACTGGGTGACAGAGTGAGACTTTGTTTCTAAATAAATAAATAAAGTAACAAACATATTAAGAAGCGTGAGATACTAAAGGATAAACATGGGAAATATTGGAAAATATATATGTAACTACAAATTTTAAAAAGAGAACGTACAGATTATGTATGATATAATTTTATTCCTGGAAAACATCAAAATACCAAGAACTTCAATAAGATGGCAGGATATTCAATTAACATGTAGAAATTTAATTCATATATTTAAATAACTGTTAGGAGATGCTAAAGTATTTTACAATGTGAATAAAAATATTTCTTGGGGAAAGTAGTTGTAGGATATAAATTAATCTATATTAAGAAAATCATGAAATAGTCTTAAAGAGTTTCAAGGTAAACCTGCACAAATGGGAAAGCATAATATGTGCCTTGATACTACTTTACATATATGTCAGTTCCCCTAAGGTAAACTACAATTTTTATGGTGTCTAAATAAATATAAAGTATAATATTTTGAAACAAAAACACTGTCTAGCTCACATAGAAATATAAAAAAGTTCAAAGAAAAAAATATTTTTTAAAAGTGTAATAGGAATCCTAATTTACAGTAAAATATATTAAAATAGACTGCAAAGCATCATTATATAAACAGTATATACTGGCACATGAATAGAGGTAAATATAATGTACAATGGTTCAAAGTCTAAAAGTAAATAAACATACTATTGTATGAAAATCTTACTATTTCAAATATTTGGGGAAATTTTAAATTTTTAAAGAGACTGACATCTAGAAGATCAAAAAAAGAAAACCTCTTAACACATAAAAATATAAATTTTAAATAAACCACATATTTAATTAAAGAATTGCACATCATAACTCTACTAAAACAAACCGTGGGCTAATTATTTTACAAGTTAGGATGGAAGACATCTTTCCATCCAGTTTTCACATAAAACTTCTAAAAGCATAAAATTAATTATTGATAAATATAAATGTATATTAAAAATTTTCTACATAGCAAAAAATGGTCATAAGCAAAGTCAAAAGAATAATAATATGTGAAGTTAATATCTGCAGAAAATGCTGATTCTTGACAGAATTCCTACAGGCCACTGAGAAAAAAAAAACTCCATCCCAAATAGAAAAATAAGACAGAAGATATAAAGAATCCATTTCAGAAAATGCTAATGATCCTTAATTATGGGAAATAATAATTTCTGATTAGAGATAAAATTTTAAAAATATAGTCACAAATATTTCTTATAATGGCAAAGATCTAGAGGTTGCATAAAATAGTGGAATGAAAGGGGTGTAAAGAAACTACAAAGCTCACTCACCTCTCTCACCTGAGAACTAATGGGCTTAGCTTCCAAAATTAGAAAAGATCAGGCATGTTCAGAGTGGTATGGTTGTAGAGGAAGTTTAGTCATTTCTAATTGGAATATAAATTTCTGTAACATCTATAAAGGACAATTTTGCAGTATTTGTCACAATAAAAATGTGCATTCTACAAACATTGCTTCTAAAATATTTTTCTACTCAGCTATTCTAATACATATGAAATGAGTACAAGATTGATTGTTACAGTCTTGCAACATTATTTTTAATAGTAAAATATTAGAAATAACATAAGTATCCAAAATAGAAGGCTGCTTAAATAATTGTGGGTGTATTCACTAATGGAATAATTTGGCTCCCCAGTAAAATCAACAACTATTTAGTTTACTTTTGAAAAAAATACCTCCAAAATATAAAAGCACACCTGAAATCCCAGCACTTTGGGAGGGCGAGGCAGGTGGATCACTTGAGCCCAGGAGTCGAGACCAACCTGGGCAACATAGCAAAATCAATCTCTACTAAAAATACAAAAATTAGCTGGGCATGGTGGCACACACCTGTATTCCCAGCTACTCAGGAGGCTAAGGCAGTAGATTTGCTTGAGCCCAGGTGGTGGAGGTTGCAGTGAGCCGAGATTGCACCATTGCACTCCAGCCTGTGTGGCAGAGTGAGACTTGGTCTCAGGAAAAACAAAACAAACAAGCAAGCAAACAAAAAAAAAAACACTTGGGGATTATAGGGTATAGTGCATTTGTGTAAAAACATAGAGAAGTAACATATAAATATGCATTTATACATACATATAATAATATATTCAGGATGCCTGGTAAAATAATATTTGTATTTACTCTTGGGAAATTAATAAAACTAGTAAAATATTAATAAAACTAGTATTAATAAAAACTAGTAAAAAATACTAGTATTAATGTATTTTAATGTATTAATAATGCTAATACTTAAGCATTAATTATAATGTCAAAAGTGACAGAAAAGTAGAGCAAACCTATTCCCAGAAAGGATCATTACTCTTCACTTTAAAAACCTTTAAAATGGTGTTATTGATTAGTCTCAATTCAATTGAGTACAACATTGAAAGATTTTAGTATTCTACCATATCAAGCCTCCAGATGCTACCGTGCTCCCCACTGGCAGTCATGGAAATTGTTTGTGGTGTACCTGGTCCAGCCACAGTCTCATAGAGAGCTGGCAACCATGCCAGCACCTGGAGCTGCCTGCCCTGCTGCAGCAGCTGGTGTGCCTGGCTGTGCACAGTGGCCGGACACCACACCAGCTCGCCCACACACCCATTGCTACTCCATGCCTGGCTCTTCCTTGGCAGACGTAAGATCCAGGCTGGTAGCATGAGCATCGCACAGTCTGATAGGCCGAGTGGGCAGAACCTGCCCAGTGGGCCCAAGCCAAACTCGGGCAAAGGAGCTACCAGTCACAGAGATGTTTGACCAGAAAAGCGACACCCCAAGGATCCCGCAACAATATTTTCTCTCTGAAAACCACAGCTCTAGATAGAAGAATATGCAATTCTTCAAAGAACTAGGGTTGTTTCCCCAAAAAAAAGACAGATGCTTAGTAACAACAACAGCAAAAAAAAAAAAAAACAGAACAAACAAATATAGCTATATGATAGATACATACATACATGCAGACATGTACATACATAAATACATGCACACATACAAGACTCATAGAAAAAATTATATTTTATACACAATACACACAAACAAATTTATAATTGATCATCTCTGGATAGTAACATGTGAATGGTTTTTTATCTACCAGATTTCTATAAAAAAATTAAGTTTAAAATCAGAAGAGTAGATATTATTTAAATTAAATACAAAGAAATACAAAACAATATTGATCAGCAATATATTCTGACATTTTAGTATAAAAGAGAAGTTTTTGGTTTGGAATCACTTAGAAAACTTGGGTCTTAATTATTTGAACATTTCCAACCTCAGATTTTAATAGGTTACTTGAAGAATAAATTCCAAATAGGTTCAAAGAGTAAATGAGAAAATCTATGTTAATGTCTAGGACAATATCATTTCCTGTTTAATATCACATTTTACTTGCATGGTTACTACATATCTCTAAAAAATGCATTATCATAATTGTACAATCACCATTTAAAATTAAAATAATGAAAATGGGTGCCTGAGCCACAATGCACCTTACCTTCTAAATTATATTATTGCAATGCTGTATCTAAAGGTACAAGGAGACTTTGAGCACATAAACTTTCCTTACTCTAGTCATCTGTAATAACTGAAAAAGTAATATATATATGTAAAATTCATAATCCAAAATGTAAGTTTAAAAACTTGATTTATAGCAATATAAATAAAGTCATTTACCACAGTTTTGATTTTGGCTCTCTGATACAGGATATTTGCAAGAGAACTTTAATCAACTAAAAGCTCTCTGCTCCATAATGCCACATGTTCAAGTTCTTCAGTTAAATCCAATCATTTTCATGAACACGGAGCACAATTTATCAATATGTTTGTTGCCTTGAGTGACACAAATTATTTCCCAGGGATCTCTGCTTGGGGATCAGTCAATTCCCCAAGTTTTATAAGTAGGGCATTTACCATCTGGCACATTTGTTTCATGTTAATGGAGAGTTACTAACATATCATATATATGTGCTTTACTGATAGTTTTATTTTTAACTTTCCCTTTGAATAAATATCAGTGCTCATGTAGACAGCATTTCTCAGAGATATAAAAGATTGTTTGTCATATTCTCACAATTTCTAACATAATTAAGTTTGCAAATATGTCAGAGAATGTTGTTATCAGTTATACTCAAACTTTTGTGAGTAGAAGTGTCACCTGGGACTTTGTAAAAATGCAGATTACATGGAACTATCAAGAAGTCCTGGGAAGTTTCAGGATCTGCATTTTTATAAATCATCCAGAATGATGCTAACAAAGTTTATTCATATATAATTAAGTTACTCAAATATGATGTCAATGTGATAATCGCAATTTCTAAATTTAAAGCCTCATTTTAAAATTCCATAAGATTGAAAGCACAACAAAAAGTAATTTTGATCCAAATTACCCTTAAACTTGATAGTGGATCATTTGTCATGTCTTCGTAACCATAAACTTACATAAATAAACTTAAGGAAGTTTACATCTCATTTCTTTTTTTTTTATCTTTCACCCTTATTCTATGATACTTACTATTACTACTACTATTATTATTATAAATCTCACTCTTTCTGAGGGGCAAATAACCTATTTATTATAAAATAAAGAAGTTAGTTTTTTTCTGGGAAAGTAGGATCCAAAATAGCATTATAGTGAATAAATTATTTTTTGTTCAGTGAACTTTTATTATAGTTACTTGATAAAAGTTTCAAATGTTTAAGAATGTGTGTCATGAAATCATTGTATTTCATTAGAAATTAGCAAATGAAACGTATAAAAATAGACATCCAATAAGATTTTACTCAACACTAAATAATAAATAAAACACTAAATAAAAGTGTCTATTTTTATAGTTTTCTTAGTGTATTTTTTTTACTTTAATTTGTGTTGTTATAGATTAGGGGGTACAAAACAGTTTTGTTATATGGATATATCGCATAGTTGTGGAGTCTCAGCTTTTAGTGTAACCATTACCCAAATACTAAATGCTGTAGCCAAGAGGCAGTGTCTTATCCCACACCCCCTTTCATCTTCCCACCTTGTCAAGTCTCCAGTGTTTATTATTTCACTCTGGAAGCCCATGTGTACACAAGAAATGTTTATTAAAATATTGACATATTGTAATCTCTTAAATTGGAAATAATTAAAATATAATAATACCTAAAGTCAACTATAATATAAACAAATAATTATATTTATATCTGCATGGAGAATGTAAATTGCCACAGTATTTAAAAGCATGTATCAAAAGTTTTAAAAATGTACATACCATCTGGACTAATAAGTCACTACTAAAAAGCAGTCTGTCAAAAAAAAAAACTGAGAAAATAATATAAACATACATTCCTAAGGAATTTTTATCCTCTAATAATCTTATTATCACCCTGCTTTGGTCACACATCCTGAAGATCATTCCCTAGGTCTTATTGGCCTTATCTAATGAATAATTTGCCTTCCACAATTCATATTTCAGACCATCCAATTATCCTTTCCACATAGTTACCTTTCCTACGCCCTCCTACTAATCTCATTCCAGTAATTCTTCAGACTTGCCAAATTGCATAGTGCATTGATCTGCTGACTTTTTTTTTTTTTTAACTTTTAAGTTCAGAGGTAAATGTGCAGGTTTGTTACATAGGTAAACCTGTATCATGGGGGTTTGTTGTGCATATTATTTTGTTGCCCAAGCATTAATCCTAGAACCTATTAGTTATTTTTTTCTGATCCTCTCCTCCCTCCCAGTCTTCATCCTCTGGTAAGCCCCAAAGCCCCAGTGTGTGTTGTTCCTCTCTATGTGTCCATGTGTTCTCATAATTTAGCTCCCACTTATAAGTGAGAACATGGAGTATTTGGTTTTATTTTTCTGCATTAGTATGCTAAGGATAATGGCCTCCAGCTCCATCCATGTTCTTACAAAAGACATAATCTCGTTCTTTTTTTTTTTTTTTTGTATGGCTACATAGTATTGCATGGTGTATCTGTACCACATTTTTGTTATCCAGTCTACCTTTGAGGGACATTTAGATTGATTCTGTCTTTGCTATTGCGAATAGTGCTGCAATGAATGTATATGTGCATGTGTCCTTAAAATACAGTGATTTATATTCCTTTGGGTACATACCCAGTAATGTAATTCCTAGGTTGAATAATATTTCTGTTTTGGGCTCTTTGAGGAATTGCCACACTGTCTTCCACAATGATTGAACTAATTTACACTCCCACCAACAGTATATAGACATTCCTTTTTCTCCACAACCTTGTCAGCAACTGCTATTTTTTTGACTTTTTAATAACAGCCATTCTGACTGGTGTGAGATGGTATCTCATTGTGGTTTTGATTTGCATTTCTCTAATGATTAGTGATGTTGAGATTTTTTACATATGCTCGTTGGCCACATGTCTTCTTTTGAAGAGTGTCTGTTCATGTCCTTTACCCACTTTTTAATGGGGTTGTTTCTTTTCTCTTGTAAATTTGTTTAAGTTTCTCTTAGATGCTGGATATTAGACCTTTGTCAAACACATAGTTGACAAAAGTTTTCTCCCATTATGTAGGTTGTCTGTTCACTCTGTTAATAGTTTCCTTTGCTGTGCAGAAGCTCTTCGTTTGAATTAGGTCCCATTTGTCAATTTTTCCTTTCGTTGCAATTGTTTTTGGTGTCTTCATCATGAAATCTTTGTCTGTTACCATGTCCAGAATGTTATTGCCTAGGTTGTCTTCCAGGGTTTTTGTACTTTGGGGTTTTACATTTAAGTCTTTAATCCATCTTGAGTTAATTTTTGTGTATGATTTAAGAAAAAGGTCCAGTTTCAATCTTCTGCATATGGCTAACCAGTTATCCCAGCACCATTTATTAAATAGGGAATCTTTTCCCCATTGCTTGTTTTTGTCGGGTTTGTTGAAGAACAGATTGTTGTACATGTGTCGCCTTATTTCTGGTCTCTCTATGCTGTTCCATTGGTCTATGTGTCTGTTTTTGTGCTGGCGCCATGACATTTTTGTTACTGTAGCCATGTAGTATAGTTTGAAATCAGGTAGCAATGTGCTTCCAGTTTGGTTCTTTTTGCTTAGGATTGACTTGGCTATTTGGGCTTTTTTTTTTCTAGTTATGTAAAGAATATTAATGGTAGTTTAATAGAAAGAGCATTGAATCTATAAGTTGCTTTGGGCAGTATGGCCATTTTAATAGAATTAATTCTTCCTCTCCATGAACATGAAATTTTTTTATTTGTTTGTGCTATCTCTGGTTTCACAGAGAAGTGTTTTATAATTCTCATTGTAGAGATCTTTCACCTACCTGATTAGCTGTATTTCTAGGTTTTGTGTGTGTGTGTGTGTGCAAATTGTGAACAAGATTGTCTTCTTGATTGGGCCCTCAGATTGACTGTTGTTGGTATATAGAAAAGCTAGTGATTTTTGCATATTGATTTTGTACCCAGGGATTTTGCTGAAGTTGTTTATTAGCTTAAGAAGCTTTCAGGCTGAGTATATAGGTTTTCTAGGTATAGGATCATGTCATCTGCAAATAGGGATAGTTTGACTTCCTCTCATCCTATTTGGATGCCTTTTGTTTCTTTCTCTTTCCTGATTGCCCTGGCCAGGACTTCCAGTACTATGTTAAATAGGAGTGGTGAGAGAGGGAATCCTTGTCTTGTGCCAGTTTTCCAGGGGAATGCTTCCAGGTTTTGGCCATTCAGTATGATGATGGCTATGGGGTTGTCAGAGATGCCTCCTATTATTTTGAAGTATATTCCTTTGATGCCTAGTTTATTGAAAAATTTTAATATGAAGAACGTTGAAATTTATGAAAGCCTTTTCTGCATCTATTGAGATAAATGTGTGGTTTTTATCTTTAGTTTTGTTTATGTGATGAATCACATTTATTGATTTGCATACCTTGAACCAACATTGCATCCTGGGGATAAAGCCTACTTGATCATGGTGGATAAGCTTTTTGATGTGTTGTTGGACTTGATTTGCCAGTATTTTGTTGAAAATTTTTGCACCAATGTCCATCAACAATGTTGGCCTGATGTTTTCTTTTTTTATTGTGTCTCTGCTTGGTTTTGAAATCAGGCTAATGCTGGCCTCATAGAACGAGTTAGGGAGTAATCTTCCCTTCTCAGTTTTTTGGAACAGTTTCAGTAGAAATGATACCAGCTCTTCCTTATACATCTGGTAGAATTAGGCTGTGAATCTATCTGGTCCTGAGTTTTTTGTTGTTGTTGTTGTTGTTGTTGTTGTTTTTTTTTTTTTTGGTAAGCAATTTATTACTGATTCAATTCTGGATCTCATTACTGGCTTGTTCAGAGATTCAGTTTATTTCTGATTCAGACTTGGGAGGGTGTATGTGTCCAGGAATTTATCTGTTTCTTCTAGATTTTCTAGTTTGCGTGCATAGAGATGACCATAATATAATCTGATGGCTATTTGTATTTCTGTGTGGTGAGTTGTAATATCCCCTCTGTCATTTCTACCTGTGTTTATTTGATCTACCAACATTTTTATTGACCCTCAATTCCTTATGTTATTTTTCTAGTCATTCTTTTTTCAGGTACTTTCAAATATGTTTTCCTCCTTAACTTTGCAATCTCTACTTATCAAGTAAATAACACTGATTAAATCTATCTCTCTGCCTACTCTAGCTGTATCCAAGTAGCTGAACATGGTTGCAGCTGAAGAGGCAGCCATTGTGACCGATCTCAATTTAAATTTATGTTTCTGTATCTTAATTGTACTCTTAAAGCTACCCAAGGTTTATATAGTTCTTTTTCTATTTATTTTCTCACTCTTCTAAATACATACTTTTTAATTTCTATTCCCAAATTTTCAGTATTCCCTCTCCATACTTATATTTAATACATATTTTTGATTTATTTTCTTTTTGTTTGTTTGTTTGTTTTGAGATGGAGTCTTACTCTGTTGCCAAGGCTGGAGTGCAGTGGTGTGATCTTGGCTCACTGCAATCTCAGCCTCCCAGATTCAAGTGATTCTATTTTTTTCAGCCTCCTGAGTAGCTGGGATTACAGGCACCCACCAACACGCCCAGGTAATTTTCGTATTTTTAATGGAGATGAGGTTTCGCCATCTTGGCCAAGCTGGTCTCAAATTCCTGACCTCAGGTGATCCACCTGCTTCAGCCTCCCACAGTGCTAGGATTACAGGCGTGACCCACTGTGCTTGGTCATGATTTATTTTCTCTTTGTTTTTTCTTTGTTTTATGTTTACATCTTTATTGATGTTTGATCCACAAAAAATTAGTTAAGGTGTATAACATGATAGTTTGATATGTATATATTTTGGAATGTTTTCAACAATCAAGCTAGCACATCTACCACCTCACGTGGTTACTATTGTGTGTTTGCTAAGAACACTTGAGATCTACTCTGTCAGCAAATTTCAAGTATACAGTATAGTACTAATAACTAGAGTCACCATGACTATAGTCAACATACTGTATATTAGGACTCCAGAATTTATTCTTCTTACAACTAAAAAATTGCATCCTTGACTTACATTTCTGTTGTCCCCTTCACCCCAACACTAGCCCCTGGTACCAACCATTCCATTCTGTTACTATGAGTTTAACACTTTTTTTATTTCTCAGATTCCTCATATAAGTGACATCATGCAGTATTTGTCTTTCTATGCCTGGCTTATGTCACTTAACATAATGTCCTCCAAATTTATCTTTATTGTGACAAATGACAGAATTTCCTTCTTTTTTTTAAGGCTAAATAGTATCCCATTGTGTATATAAACCAAATTTTCTTTATCTGTTTATTCATTGATGTACACTTAACTTGATTCCACATCTTATCTATGGTGTTTAATAAGCAATAAATATAGGATGGCAGATAGCTTGTCAACATACTGATTTTATTTACTTTGAGTATATATCCAGTAGTGAAATTACTTATTCATATGGTAGTTTTATTTTCAAATTTTGAGGAACTGCCATAGTGTTTTCCATAACGGTTGTACTAAATTTCCACCAAATGTGTCTGAGTGCTCCCTTTTGTCCATGTCCTCTCTAACACTTGTTATCTTCCATCATTTTGATAATAGCTATGTTAACAGGTCTGAAGTAATATCTCATTGTGATTTTAATTTGTGTGTTTCTGATGATTAATGATTTTGAACATTTTTTCATATAGCTGTTGGACAATTATATATCTCTGAAAAAATATTCAGATACTTTATACATTTTAATTGGGTTATTTGTTTTCTTAAAATTGAGTTGTTTGATTTTCTTCCATAGTTTGAATATTAAGCCTTATCAGATGTATGGTTTGCAAATATTTTCTCCCATTCCACAGGTTGATTGCTTTCTTGGCTGTGAGGAAGCTGTTTAGTTTGATGCAATCCCATTTGTCCATTTTTGCTTTGTTGCCTTTGCTTTTGGGATTATACCTATAAAATCACTGTCAGACCAAATATCATGGAGCTTTTTCCCTAAGTTTTCTTTTAGTAGTTTTACAGTTTTGATTCTAACATTTAAATCTTTAATCCATTTTGAGTTGGTTTTTGTAAATGGTATAAAATAAGAGTCATATTTTACTTTTCTGCATGTGGCTATCCAGTCATTCAAACACTATTCAAGGCAGAGACTGTCTTTTTCCCATTGAGTATTCATAGAACTTTTGTTGAAGATCAATTGACAATAAATGCATGGATTTATTTCTGGACTCTACTTTGTTTCATTGTTTCTTTATGTCACTATAATGCTGTTTTGATTACTATAGCTTTGTAGTATATTTTGAAGTCACATCATTTGGTGCTTCTAGCTTTGTGTTTTGTTTGTTGGTTTGTTTGTTTTTGCTCAAGATTGGTTTGGCTATTCTGGGTCTTTTGTGTTTCCATGAAATTTTTAGAATTCATTTTTTCCATTTCTGTGAGAAATGTCACTGGAAGTTTGATAGGGATTGAATTGAATCTTTAGGTAACTTTGGGTAGAATGAACATTTTATTATTATTAATTCTTCCAATTCATGAACTTGGGATTTTTTTTTTTTATTTTTGTGTGTCTACTTAAATTGTTTTCATTGAATGATTATAATTTTTAGTGTACAGATCATTGACCTCTTTGGTTAAAATTATTCTTATTTTTGACAGCAGTTAAATGAAATTGTTTTCTTGATTTCTTTTCTATACAGTTCATTGTTAGTGTATAGAAATACTACTGATTTTTGTATGTTGATTTTACATTTTGCAACTTTACTAAATTTATTTACAAGCTCTAACAATTTTTTGGTGGATTTTTAAGGTTTTATATAAATAAGATCTTATCATCTGCAAACAGAGGCAATTTAACTTCTTCCTTTGCCATTGAATGCCTTTTATTTCCTTCTCTTGACAAATTGCTGTGGCAGAACTTCAAGTACTATGTTGACTGGTATTGGAAGAGTGAGTACGCTTGTCTTGCTGCTGATCTTAACAAAAAAGCTTTTGACTTTTCACCACTGAGTATGATTTCAACTGTTAGTTTGTCATAAATGGCTTTTAGTTTGCTAAGGTATCTTACCACTATGACTAATTTGCTAAGAAATTTTATCATTAAAAGATGTTAAATTTTGTCAAATGCTTTCTCTGAATCTATGGAGATGATCATATGGCTTGTGTCCTTTAGTCTGCTAAAGTGGTATATCACATTTATAGATTTGCATATGTTGAACCACCTTGCATCCTGGAATACATCCCACTTTATCATGATGAATAATCCTTTTAATGTACTGTTAAATCCAGTTTATTAGTATTTCATTGAGTATTTTTTTTGTGGCTATGTTCACCAGTGTTATTTGCCTATAATTTTCCTTCCTTATAATATCTTTCTCTGGGTTTGGCTTCAGAATAATGCTGGCCTTTTAAAATGAGTTTGAAAGTATTTCCTCTTTTTGAACTTTTGGAAGAGTTTGAAATGAAGTGGTATTACTTTTTTAAATGTTTGGTAGAATTCAGCAGTAAAACCATAAGTTTTTTTACTTTTCTTTGATAAGTGACATTTTCTTACTGATTAAATCTCTTGCCTTGTTATTGGTCTGCTCAGATTTTCTATTTGTGTATGACTCAGTCTTGCTAAGTGGCATGAGTCTAAGAATTTATTCGTTTAAGTCATCTAACTTGTTTGTGTATAATTGTTCATAATATTTTTGTATTATCCTTTGTATTTTGGTGGTATCAGTTTTAATGTCTCATCTATCATTTCTGATTTTGAGTCTTCTCTCTTTTTTACTTAGTATATAGGTAAAGTTTTTTAATTTTTTTTTTATCTTTTCAAAAACCAACTTGTAGTTTTTATTTATCTTTTCAATTGTTTTTCTAGCTTCTTGTTGTTCTGGTGTTTATTACTTCTTCCCATCTGCTAACTTGGGCTTAGTTTTGTTCTTGTTTGTCTAGTTCTTTGAGGTATAACATTAGGTTCTTTCTTTAGAATCTTTCTTCTTTTTTGATGTAGGGGTTTGTTACTATAAACCACCCACTTAGAACTCTTAGAACTGCTTTTGCTGCATCCCACATGTTTTGGAATGCTATGTTTTTATTTTAATTTGTCTGAATAGATTTTTTATTTCCCTTTTAATTTCTTTATTAACCTGTTGGTTGTTTGTAAAACAACAAAACAACAAAAAGACAACAAAAGTAAACAAAAAAGACAACAAAAGTAAAACTGGAAAACTTTAAAGGAAATTTAAAATATATTAAAATTCCTGTCAGATATGTCACATAAACATCGAAGAAAAGAATACTTGCTAATTTCTAAGTAGCAACTATTTTGAACCTAAAATCCTGTCTCAACCAAAGTTCAGTTCAGAGCAAAAATTCCAAGATAAATTTGAAGCTGGCAACCACTAAAAATTCAGAGCACACTAAGCCCTGTAAATTAATATAAAAATCTTGAGAATTTTTAAAGAAACAAACAAGAATAAAGTTACATCTATCTATTGATACATACAAACAGATTTAAATATGTTAGTTTTTATACTCTCAAAAGCCTTAACCACACAGAACAAATACATATGTTCTATTAGGGTCAATTGCCAAAAAGAAATTAAGCTAACCATAAACTTTTGTTCTAAAATATTTAAATTAAAAATGTATAATAGAATAAACAAACTATGGTTTTAAACTATTTATAAATCAACAATAATTAGAGAACTTAATACAAAAATTTGTGAGATTCAGGAAAATCTTTAGTCATATATAAACTAATAGCTATAAAATTAATCCCTCAAATAGACAGTGCTTTTAAAAATTTTAGTTGTTATATAATTTAACTTCAAAGGCACACTGGGAATAGTCATAATAAAAATCTTTGGGGCTTATAGTATAATCAGGATATAATAATATGATTGACTTACCAGATGACTGATGGAAGAAACAAATTTTTAATCTTTCATAACTTTTTTTTTCAGTTAACCCACTGTCTATTGATTTAGACCTTTTTAAATAAAGACCATGTGTATACATAAAGAAATACTAAAATAGTATAAAAACCTATACTTTAAAATTTTCCCTAATCTTCCAAAGGTACCTTCTTCCATTCATTATCATAATACAACATTAAAGAAGGGAAATGGGGAGGCTGAAGCAGGAGAATCGCTTGAGCAGGGGAGGCGGAGGTTGTAGTGAGCAGAGATCGCGCATTTGCACTCCTGCCTGGGCGATAGAGATAGACTCTGTTCAAAAAAAAAAGAAGGGAAATGTACCAGTGTAGAGGGGTTACTAGACACCAATTTTGAGATACTAATTTCAGGGGAAGAATAATTACTGTCGTCTACCTCATAGAGGAATTTTATGAAAAACAGAGGATAAAAGGAAAAAGAATCAAAACAAAACAAAACCAAGCCTTATTGAAGGCTCTTTGGCTCCCTGCACTAATCCCATAATTAATTCTCTGGATACTTGGCCTTTAGTTGTAACCATAGCTAGTGTACTCCCCATATTAATTCTCTAACCCATGGGTTAAGACCTGTTACAATCAAAAGGGGACAATAAATGACCTAATGACATTAATCTTATTCAAAATTCAAGATTGAAAATAATAATGTATATCTAGGTTTATCTCAGAAATTAATGACAGCATGAAATAATTTAAAGATCCACAAAACATTATTCTTATCACATCTACAATGAATTCTCCAGTTTGGACAATACAGAAAATGACTATGTCTTTGAAATTAATGGTAAACTATTGTAAACATATTAGGTTGGTGGCTTTAAACACAGACACTTTTCCAGATGGACTTTTTATTATTTATTTATTTATTTTATTTTTCCATAAGTCATTGGGGTACAGGTGGTATTTGGTTACATGAGTAAGTTCTTTAGTGGTGATTTATGAGATTCTGGTGCACCCATCACCCAAGTAGTATATACTGCACCATATATGTTGCCTTTTGTCCCATGCCGCCCTCACACTCTTCCCCCAAAGTCCCAAAAGTCCATTTTGTCATTTTTATGCCTTTGTGTCCTCATAGCTTAGCTTCTGCATATCAGTGAGAACATACAATGTTTGGTTTTCCGTTCTTGAGTTACTTCAGTTAGAATCATAGCCTCCAGTCTCATCCAGGTCATTGCAAATGCTGTTATTTCATTCATTTTTATGCCTGAGTAGTATTCCATCATATATATATATACATATATGCATACATATTCCATCATATATATATATATATATATATACACACACACACACACACACATATACATATACCACATTTTCTTTATCCACTCATTGATTGGTGGGCATTTGGGTTGGTTCCACGATTTTGCAATTGCAAATTGTGCTGCTATAAACATGTGTGTGCAAGTATCTTTTTCGAATAATGACATCCTCTGGGTAGATACCCAGTAGTGGGATTGCTGGATCAAATGGTAGTTCTAGTTTTACTTCTTTAAGGAATCTCCAGTCTGTTTTCCATAGTGGCTGTAATAGTTTACACTCCAACCAGCAGTGTAGAAGTGCTCCCTGACTGCTGCATCCACACCAACATCCACTGATTTTTTATTTTTTGATTATGGCCATTCTTGCAGAAGTAAGATGGCATTGTATTGTGGTTTCAAGTTGCATTTCCCTGATCATTAGTGATGCTGAGCATTTTTTCATGTGTTTGTTGGCCATTTGTATATCTTCTTTTGAGAATTGTCAACGTCATGCCTCACTATTATGCCTATTTATCCAATTGAAAATATTTGCTTTTCATCCATTTAGAGTTTCAAGGTCTAGTGATACAGAGGTAATAGTATTAAAAGTTTAAATTCTTCTGCTAGTGACAGTACAATAATTACTTTAGTTTACAAATTGATATTTCAGTTTCTGCCTCCAAGAAAAACATGTGAAAATGAAGTAGTTGCTGATTTGAATAAGCTTTACTATGAAGGTGAAATGGTATGACTGCTAAAAATGGGGGCAAAAGACAAGTATGAATGGGACATAATCATTTAAGTTATGGTGCCTTTTTCTATGTCATATCTGGTGATAAAAGCTAATGAAACACTCTTGACTCCATAATGTATGATCAACGAGAGTCATACATCTGAAGAAAGAAGGCTTAGTAACTATTAGTTCTTAAATACTGACCAATTGATGTTTATATAACAGAAAGAAAAGATTAAGTAGAAATAAAGAAAAATCATAACCACTTATAAGTTGTTATAAGCAGAGAAAAAGTTAATCATTTCTTTTCCTTTTTTATTTTTTAAATATTTTAGGGGTGTGTGTGTGTGTGTGTGTGTGTGTATAAAACAAATTAATGTTTTCCCATATCTCAATGTTTTTATTATTGTATATAAGGTTGTATTGTTAATGATAAATTATATAAATGAGCATAAAGGCTACTGAATATTGAAACAGGGTGAACATAGAACTTGAATGGAAATGTGGTCCTGAGCTTTGATCTTGATGATTAATGGATGAAAGTGGGACATGATTCACTTTGGAGACTGGATAAATGGATTCTTAATATTAAGAGTTAATTTCTATGGGAACATTCTTGGAAAGTATAATAATTGAAAGAAGGCAATGAGGCTAAAATTTAATGGGTATTTAATTGCTTAAAATTTGAACATTTTGATTTTTCTTTAGTCTCAGTAAATATCTGGACTTTTCTTCCCATTATAAGGAGAAGAAAACAAACATTTTTTCCCAAGCTGTTATATGATGCTACCATTTGCAGTTATAACACATACTTATATAATTAGTACCCTATATTTTATCTTGGCACGATTTCAAATGTATGAGTATGTGTGTGTGTTTTATAGCTAAAACAGAACGGAACATGCTTGTATATACATTGTATTCTTTTTGCCGAATATATTCATATATAAATTATAAAAGTTTACTTGTTAGATAAAAATTGTAAAACTGTAGAAACTTTTAATATATAATTTATTTGTTTAGGGAGGTTGTAATATTTACTTCCACACTGACAGTTTTTGAATGTGTTATTACAACAACCTCAAAAGATCCTTTATTGGACAATATATTAGATTTATTTTAAGTATTATTAGTTTATAGTACAGTTTGAAAATTTTCAATATAATATTAATTACCTACATCTGCTTTTAGTATTTTTCCCCTAATAAGCTGTTTATTTTGGTGGATTTTGAAACATTTTATATTAAGAACTGTGAAACCTTATCACATATGTTGTATAAGTTCCCCTATGCAATTCATTTGTATTTTATTTGACATATTTTTTCCATGTGGAAAATTTAGGTTTTTGGCAATTCATTCAAATCTCATCAGTGAATTTTTTAAATATATTTTTAATTATTATGCTTTAAGTTATAGGGTACATGTGCACAACATGCAGGTTTGTTACATATGTATACATGTGCCATGTTGGTGTGCTGCACCCCTTAACTCATCATTTACATTAGGTATATCTCCTAATGCAACCTACAGAATGGGAGAAAACTTTTGCAATCTACTCATCTGACAAAGGGCTAATATCCAGAATCTACAAAGAACTCAAACAAATTTACAAGAAAAAAACAATCCCATCAACAAGCGAGTGAAGGATATGAACAGACACTTCTCAAAGGAAGACATTTATGCAGCCAACAGACACATGAAAAAATGCTCATCATCACTGGCCATTAGATAAATGCAAATCATCAGTGAATATTAACTGAACATCTACTTTCTAACTGCCACTGTTTTAGTAATCCACAAAAAACAATAACTAAGATAAACAGCATGCTATCCTTTTAGTTAATATGGGCTATAAAAGACAATAAACTAATATACAAAATGCAAAAGTAAAAATCAGGAAGTGACAAAAATTATCTAAAAACATAAAAATAAGATAATTTAATATAGATTGACTTTGATTACCTAAGATTAGATTTTCAGGGAAAAGAAAATATTTATTTACAGATGTAAATGTTAAGAAGCAGTTTGCCATTTGAAGATCAAAGCAAAGTGAATTTCATTAATAGACACAGCTAATGAAAATTTTTAAAATAGAAATATGCTTGTTATTAAAAATATAGGAAGAAGCATAATGATGTTTAGTTTTTAAAAACGATAATAATTACAAATTTTATAAGTTTAAATCACTGAATACTTTTACGCTTGAACGGTATAGTAAGAATTTACAGTGTTTTGTTTTGTTTTGTTTTGTTTTGAGAAAGGGTCTGTGTTGCCTAGGCTGGTCTCAAACTCCTAGGTTTAAGTTATCTTCCAGCCTCAGCCTCCTGTATAGCAGAGATTACAGGCCCAAATCACTGTACCCAGCTATGGAATTTACACTTTTAAAAAGATCACTCCAGCTACTTACTGTCTATTGACAGAATTATAGTGGGCAAATCTGGAGTGAGTAAAAATGTTGTTTCAGTAATTCAGATAAAAGTTTAGAGATGATTTACTTAGAAGTTGCAGTAAAGGTGAAGTAAGGAATAGAAAGAGGAAAAACTACTTGAAGAGAAGTATATTGTAGAGGGTAGAATAAAGGTGCATCTCTCTCTGGAAGTAACCACTCTCCTTTCATTCATGATAATCATTTTTGTGCTCTCAATGATAGTTTTACCAACTATAGACACATCCAAAAACAATAACTTTAAAATGTGTGTTTATTTTTTGTCTCACATTTTTTCTTATTATTTGTGAATTTTCATAATTATTGATAGCAGCTAGAATTTGTTCTTCTTCATTGCTAAATAGCATTCCATTAGATGAGGATACTACATTTTTTTAAATCAATTTTAATGTGTATAAACATTATATATTTCTGAGTTTGGGTGCATTATAGAAATGTTGGTATGAATACATACCTTACTGCATAAATACCTGAGTTTCTTTAAGATGTTTACTTAAGAGCAGAATTGTTGCCATAGGTTTGGATTTCTTTAGCTTACCTAGATAATGTTACATTGTATTCCAAGAAATTGTGCCAATATATGACAGAAGATAAGAGATGTGCTTGGTCTATAAACTCATTTGGCATTGTCAAATATTTTTATTTTTGAAAATCTATCATGTATCTACTATGGTCACATTGTTATTTTTCTTTTAAATTCCTGGGATATAATGATATTATTCTAATGTGATCATTGGCAATTTCAATTTACTCTTTTTGTAGTAACTTTTCAAGTCATTTGCCTATTTATGTAGTCTATTTTTAATTGATTCATGTATTCTTGTTTCTATATTTGCCTGTCATTTATTAGTGATATGGTTTGGCTCTGAGTCCCCACCCAAATCTCACCTTCAGTTGTAATCCCCAAAATCCCCACATGTCAAGGGTGGGACCAGGTAAAGGTAATTGGATTAGGGGGCAGCTTCCCCCATGCTGTTCTTGTGATAGTGAGTGAGTTCTCACAATCTGATTGTTTTATTAGTATCTGCCATTTCCCCTGCTTGCACTCATTCTCTCTCCTGCTGCTTTGTGAAGAGGTGCCTTCTGCCATGATTGTAAGTTTCCTGAGGCCTTCCCAGCCATGCAGAGCTGCGAGTCAGTTAAACCTCTTTTCTTTATTAATTACCCAGTCTCGGGTATTTCCTTATAGCAATGTGACAATGAACTAGCACAATTGGTTATATGAGTGTTGAAAATATCTCCTCACAGACTGTAGTTCATTTACTGCCATGCTGTGGGTTATAACCCAACATCACATTTTTATTCTCTTTTTAGTACCTTGTGGTTAATTGAATTCTTAATTTTAATGTTCTGTCTATATTTTTCTTTAAAATTTGTATTTAAGAACTCTTTCTCCACCATGGTTTCATAAAGATAATATACTATGATACCTTTTAAATACTCTGTGTTTTGCCTATTACTATAAGGTAATCAATTTACATGAAAGTGATCTATTTTTATGGACTGGAACAGGGACTCATTTTCATTTTGTAATTCCCCCATAGTATGATTTATTAAAATGTTTAACCTTTTTCCATTTTTCTGAGTACCACCTCTGTTATATATCCAAGTATATGTGGATCTGTTCCTGTGTGCAAGACCTGTTACATTAAATACTTTGTTCCCTGCTTCAGTATGGCAGTGTAGTATATAGCATGGCTTTATAAAAGGTCTTCATATTGGTAGAACAAGTCCTTCCACCTTGGGTTTGTTTGTTTGTTTTTGACATTGTCCATTATCAACAAATATTAACTGAACATCTACTTTACTATTTTCAACATCTATTATTTTCAACAATGTCCACTTGTTACAGGACATCTAGTCTGTCATGCAATACCAGCTGATGTAAACCCATGGAGTACGAGAAAACTCCTGAAGACATAGTTCTAAAGCTCTTTTGGAAGTCTCTTATCTTGTGTTGTTGTGATGACCATGTACATTGAAAATTCTCATTTGGATATGAGTTAAGGAACTACCTCTCCTCTCAGTGGTGTAGGGGTTATAGAAGCTCTGTCATGAAATACCTGTACTCCAAGGCAGCATATTGCTATTACATGGTACAATGTTTCTGTCCTTTTCTTTCATTATTATTTATGTGTTTCGTGACATAGCAAGTGTGGCCATAAGCATTTCTTTGTTTCTTGTTTTTTCACTGATCTCATTTTGAAAATGAGATATTTAAATTGTTTGTTTTAATCCTAGCCTTAATTTAGATAAGTTGGTTTCTATTCTAAAAACACTGTTAAAAAAATTTTATCTTCTGTGCTCACAAGTCTGATGATTTTAAATGAATGTATGTATGTACATAAGTTACATAAGGCCCTGTAGATATCTGTCCTGAAAATTGTATTTTTAAAAATAAATTTATGCTACGGGGAATGTTTCAACCAAATAATTTATGTAATTCCTTAATAATTGGTGATCCTATGGTAAAAGATGGTATAGTTTTCTTCTTCAGTGTGCCTTTTGTTATCTTTATTATCATCTATTTTACAAGAAGCTAAATAATAATTAATGATAATAATAGATTTGAGTGAATATAAGGTAACCAGATTGTTTCTGGTTTGGGGCAGTTTCGAGACATATATAGGAAAAGCGAGAAATTATGGCGATTGCATGTGGTTTGTGAATTTACATTTTTTTAAAAAATTCAACTGCAATCAATATGAGAATTATTACAAACCTTGTGTCTTCCACATACACACAAAAATAATCCTAGTATTTTAATAAAATGCCATGCATACACTCAAACTGAGTAGTTAAAACTTTATTTTGCTAAATTTGCTGTTATCTACATACTGACTATAGCAACAAACTTGCTTTCTTTCCCTTTTACTGGGCCCAAAACATTAGAATAAAAATAATATTTTTCACCTTGAACATATGCCAAATATAGAAATGTAATATACTTCCCCATAACTAGAGAAATAACAAAATTATGCATGGGACTCTTACATTACAAACCACTAATATAAACATTTTGTTATCAATGTCAGCTTTTATCTCCCTGAAAATGGTCACCTTCTTGAGTCAGAATATTTTATCACATTGTATTTTATTTAAAAAAAATATCGGTCAAATAGCAAAACTGTTTTAACATATTTGATATTTTAACCTGCCAGGGCTCAAAAGGCTTTCATTTCTACTAAGAAAAATTACAAATAACATTCTGACTCTTTTACAAGGTTTTAAATCAACCACATGCAGAAAGCTGATAAGTAAAGAAATAGAATAAATTGTAATTCTATTATATTCTTTTTCTTTAGTACACATTTTCTGGTAGGTTATTTATGATGCATTATCTCCTGTTTCCAAACTGTCAAAATGGTGAGTAGACATACACATTATAACTTTCACTGACTTTAATAGGAGCATCTGGGCAATTTTAGAGGTGCCAGTTGCGGGCTACACCCACACTAAGATTAGCCAAAGTGGCCACTGATATGACAAATGAAGGAGATGAATTTCTCATTTGAATTATGCCTATATCAAATGAGTCTGCAGGCAGAGAGTAATCAAGGTGATATTTTTGGATTCACATTAACCCTTCATCATAGTCGTATTTTAAAATCACATTGGATTTCCATAGACTTTCTAAATACAAGACAATTACTTAGAGAATAAGTAATTACTTAACGAGAGCCTTGAAACCATCTTTTAGCTAAAAATCATCATCTAAAGATCAGGAATTTATGTAAATATTTAGGGTACATTTTTATAACACAAAATGAATAAGAAATGTAAATACTACTAAAAGCAAATACAAACATTTTTTCTTTTAACTAATTTTTCATTTAATTTAATTTAAAATTGAGAATTATATACTAAAGATTATGCAGTAATGTGTACCAGTTGTATGTAATGTGATACCATAGAATGTATATAAACATTAGATTCAATGTGAAGTTCAAATCCTATACTCTAGCTTCATACTAGATGTGTGGTCTTGGGGAAGCTATTTATTCTTCCTGATTTTTTTTTTCATTTGTAAGCAATAATAAAATAACCTGTAATATAGAGTTGTGAAAGTTACACAAACTTGAACTAGGTGATGAGACCAAAGTATCTTGCCCTTACTGGTAGCAGTTGCTCAATATATCTGCTTTCTTTTATCCTTAATGTCTCTTTATTATGGTACTTTCTACATCTTTCAAAGTTCATACACATATCTTTAGTTTTAACAGTCTATGAACTATATTTTATTACACAATAATTCCTGTTGAGGAAAATTTAAATGTAGAGAAGTTTAGTGATTTACTCAAATAACAGCACTAATGTGGAGTTTCTACTCCAGACAGGGAATTAGGCTCTAGGAGACAGTAATTTTTTTTTTTAAACTTAAGAAAAAATCAAACATGGAATTTAGCATATAATTTATAATTTTGCATGAAAATTAGCATCAAAAAGTAACTAGAACAATGTATGATGGATTTTGTAATTGCTATGATAGGTGTGAATTTGCCTGATAAGGAAGAAAAGAGGAATTTAATAAGGCAGTTTACTTACATTTTTATTTATGTTTTTTACAGTAACTGAACTTCAGAGACAAGTGGCCCGGGGCTATCCAGTAACCTAAAAGTATCATTAGCATCCCATGCTCTCTCTGTCTTCCTCTTTTGATATTTCTAGCATGACTCACCCATGCTCACGTTTTTATCATGTCTCAAAGTGGCTGCTGCAGTTCCAGTGACAGAATTGATGTGTCAGACAGGAAGAAAAAGGAAAGTAGGAAAGACAAAATTTTATAAGTCAGCTAAATGGAAAACATGGAAAAGCTTTAATCCCTATCATTGATTTAAACAAACAAAATCTCACACATTTAAAATAAATGATGCAAAGGAAAATGTTGCCTTAAATTCAGTAATGCCGTTATGTAAAACATATCACTTTGTCCATCAGTATAATCTAAACTCTTTAAATGTTTTATTTTATGTTGTCCCAGGTAAATTATCCAGTATATTGCTTTCCTATTGTTGCTTTAAAAAATTACCAGAAACTTAATGTCTTAAAACAAACTGAAATTTTACAGTTCCTGAAGTGAGAAGACTAAAATGAGTCATTAAGTATGTCTTCCTCCCTGAGGCTCTGGGGGGAGAACTCATTACTTGGGCCTTTCTACCTTGTAGAGGCCAACTATATTCCTTAGCTCATGACCTCATTCTCCATCTTCAAAGCCAGCAGTGCAACATCATCTAATATCTCTGCTTCCACACTCTGCTTCATCATGACAGTTTCTTCTCCGACTTTTCTCTTCCATCTTCCGTCTTTCAAGGATCCTTGTGATTACACTGGACTCACTTGGATAATCCAGGATAATCACCTCATCTCAAGATCTTTAACTTTCTCACATTTACAAAATTTATTTTCTCATCCATTTAAGATATCACGTTTGCTGTTTCCAGGGACTAGGACATACACATTTAGTGGGGGTGACTACCTACCACATTGAGCGACTATCTCATCTAGACATAAATAGGAGGTATCTCTTGAACAGCCTACATATCCACACAGATGTTTAACAACAAAAAGGCAGCTCTCTATTTCATAAATCAAGTTATGTTCGAATTTAGCTCTCATTCTTAAGTCTTGAAATATTATTTTTGTAAAATTTATTAATTACTTAATTTGTGGGGTTAAATAAAATCAAATATCTTTTTAAATAAGTTAGGCATATATTTTTATAATTTTAATAGAAATTTTAATGTTTGACATGTAATTAACATACTTGCATTAACACAAGTAAGACAAAAATGCCTCTGAATGCTGGAAGGGCTTCTCTAAAGTCTCCACCTCCTTATAAAAGGTTATATAGTTTTTACACTTCTCAAACTCTTAGATTATATAGAGTACAGTTGTCTTATAGCATATGGGAGGGATTGATTCCAGAACCATCACAGATACCAAAATCTGAGTATGGGCAAGTTCCTTATACAAAATGATGTACAATTTGCATATAACACAAGCAAATCCTCCCTAATATCATTTGGATATATGTCCCTGCCGAAATCTCATGTTAAATTATAATCCTCCGTGTTGGAGGTGGGGCCTGGTGGGAGGTGACTGGATCATGGGCTAGGTTCTCATGAATGTTTAGCACCATCCGCTGGGTGCTGTTCTCCCTGTTCTCATGATAGTGAGTGAGTGAGTTGTCATGAGAGCTCATTGTTTTAGAAGTGTGAGCACCTCCCACTTCTCTCTCGGTCCTGCTCCTGCCATGTAAGACAACCTCTCCCAATTTGCCTTCTGCTATGAGTAAAAGCTCCCTGAAGCCTCCCCAGAAGCAGATGTCGCCATGCTCCCTGTACAGCCCACAGAACCATTAACAAATTAAGCTTCTTTTCTTTGTAAATTACCCAGTCTCAGGTATCTTTATAGCAATGTGAGAACAGGGTAATATATTCTCTTATACTTTAAATCCTTTCTAGGTTACTTATAATACCTAATGTAATGTAAATGCTGTGTAAATACTTGCTATACTATGTTTTAGGGTCTCTATTATTTTATTGCTGTATTGTTTTTTGTTTTATTAATATTTTTGATCTGCAATTGGCTTAATTGTGGATGTGGATCTCACAGATATGGAGGGCCATCTGTATAGCAAAGCCTAGTGGACCATGGATATGGCTCCATCACTATCTTTTTCCAAATACTATCACACATAATAAAAGGTTGGTCTAAAAAATTATTGGAGAAATAACCAAATTCTGCCCTAACTTCATGGTACTCTTCATCTAAGTGATTCCTCACAATTTGAATACATTCCACTATTGAAACCTCCATCATGTATGATTATTTATTGTTTTTACTCACCCTCTCCAACATTTATAGCTGCTTAGTGCATGGCTAATTTAATTTAATTTAATTACTTTTTGAGTATTGACTGAAGAACTATATTTGGAAATACTAAGGAATCTCCAACATTCTTTACCATATGTCCAAATAATTTTAAAACTTGTAATCCTTCACGGGTGGCTGCTCTCAAAGTCATGACCCCTATACTTTAAATATTATCTGAGTCATTACTCTGGAGAATTTGAAAGCTTAATAGACCTACAGTGCAATAATAAGCCCAAATCACCTTACAGTTTTCAAAATATGTGTAAATAATAATACTAAAATGATCAACAGTTTTTTTGGCAATTTTTCTTGAGAAGACCAGCCATACAAAAATTAAAAATATCTTGATTTTATTATTTTCTGTTTTGTATATTTTAGTTTTTTTCTAACCCTAAAGGAAAAGCACACATTTATCTTTTACTTGGCAAACTAAACTGAAAATGACAAAACATATTTAACTCAGATTTCATGTGGAAGCAGGGTGGAAAAAAGGAAATACAAATAAAATGATAGCAAAGTTATGGAATCAACCTAAGTGTCCATCAAGGGATAACTGAGTAAAGCAAGTTTGATGTATATAAACCACATTGTTGCAAAGCACATGATTTCATTTTTGTTCATGACTGCATAAAAAAGAATGAAATCATGTCCTTTACAGCAACACGGATGAAGCCGAAGGCCATTATCCTAAGAGAAATAACTCAGAAACAAAAATCAAACACAGCATGCTCTCACTTACAAGTGGAAGCTAAACAATGGATACACATGAACATAGAGATGGAGACAATAGACACTGGGGGCTCCAAAGAGTGAAGGTTGGGAAGAGTGGAGGGCTGAAAAATTACCTGTTGGGTATTATGTTCACTCTTTGGGTAATGGATACAGTAAAAGCTTAAACTCCACCATTATACAATATAGCCATGTAACAAACTTGTACATGTACCTACTGAATCTAAAATTAAATTAAATTTAAGAGAAAATGACTTAGAATTGAGAATTATTTCAATAACAGTAAAGATTAAATTGAAGTGTGTATTATTTCATCTTATTTCAACTCCTCCGGACAATACAAAACTCTTCATATATGTAAGGAATATATATCATTATTATGATACTTTTCTGCCTAAAGAAAAGTAAATAGCTGGCTGGGTACAGTGGCTCAAGCCTGTAATCCCAGCACTTTGGGAGGCTAAGCCAGGCCGATCATGATGTAAGGAGTTCGAGACCAGCCTGGCAAACATGGCGAAACTCCGTCTCCACTAAAAATACAAAATTAGCCAGGCTTGGTGGCATGCGCCTGTAATACCAGCTACTTGGGAGGCTGAGGCTGGAGAATCGTTTAACCCAGAAGGCAGAGGTTGCAGTGAGCCAAGACTGAGCTACAGCACTCCAGCCCATATGGCAGGGCAAGAATCTGTTTCAAAAGAAAAAAAAAAAGAAAGAAAGAAAGAAAGAAAAGAAAAGAAGAGTAGATAGTCAACACATTGTAAAGTGCTCATTATAAATTAGAAAATTAAAAAATAAAAGTACTTCTGGCAAGTAGCATATAAAATGGTATATGCTAACTTGCTTTTCATCAAGAAGTTATTTTAAAAAACAAACTACTTCCCATATGCTAAGACTGATAGTAAAAGAATATAAAAAATTATATAATATGTATTTATTTTTGCTTTCTTTATTCATTTATTTACTGAATATGTATAGAAAGGCTATTGATGCCAAGCTACTAGATGCTGAATAAAATGAAGTTCATTATTTAATTGGAAATACAAAAAAGAAATAAATACAATAATCAAAGGTAATTACAAATTTGGGTAAATGCAATGAAAATGAAACTTCCTTGCCCTAGAGAGAGAGTGAAAAATTTGCAAAATATGGAGTTCTAGAATTCAGGCAGGAATCAGATTACGCAGAATGACCTAAACTACAGAATAATGTAGCCTAACAAATGGTATTATTATACTTGAAGAAACGCCCAAAGTAAATGTAACATCTATATGAACACTAGAGATTAAGAATTTGCTGTCTTTATCTAGTATTTTCATTAGAGAATGAAGGAATCTTGCCATTATGACTAAAGTCTCCTTTGAGGGATACAGCTTTTTTATAATTCCAGTTCCATGTTTTGTTTTATTTTATTTTTTCTTCTTACTTGTATTCCTCAGAATATTTTAAGTCATGTGATCAAAATAAATACATGTAAAATAAATAAATGAAATCATTACTAAAGGAAATTCTCAGTGTGGTCATAATGAATTCTTCCTTGAAAGTCATAATTTCACTCTATGCTTATTCCAAGATCACTAAACAATCTTTCATATGGAAATTCACAGATTTATTGTACCAGGAGAAAAATTTGTGTATTCTTTTTCTATAAATAATATTTCTCAAAATAAATAATTACTCATTTTGGTTATAAGCCTAAATGTTTATTATTTTGGTTAGTAGGAGTCAAATACTTGAGTTACTCAACACTTGTATCTTGACATACTACAAAATTTCATGAATACTTAGGAATACTCTAATATGTGAGATACACTCATTATTCATAGAATCATAATACAATAGATAGCACAACATGTCTTACATGATCCTATTTTATCTTAAAACATCAAGTTTTGAAAGCAAGATATTAGGTTGACATATGTTAGTTAACTTCTTCTTCCTGGTGGACCTTCTCACAGCGCTCTCAAGTACTAATTCTAAACCTGAGTTAAAATGTTGTGAATACTGATGACTCAATTTACTTCCTATTCCTGTGATAGTCTGCACCTGTGACCAGAAATAATATATTTTATTTCTTTATAACTGTTACAAAGAAACTGATTAAATATAAGTATTTGATAAAGCCATGAGAGAGGTTAATTTGGGCAAAAAATAAATCTGTAATTGAATATACACCCATTTTATATATATATATATATTTATATTGCACCTATGGTGCAAATCACCTTACAGTTTTCAATATATGTATAAATAATAATACTAATATATATATAATATATAGTATATATATATTACATATATATTAAATATATATATTATATATAATATATATATTATATACATAATATATATAAAAAATCCAGATTTTTTTATTTTATGTTTTGGTATTGGAAAATATGTAATGAAATCAGCATTCTTAAAAATGTTCACTTAATATCTTTTTACTACCTCTTCCCCAATCTTTATTTTTTTTTTTTTAAAGATCAGGAGTTCTTCTACAGATTGAAAACCTGCACAGTAGAGAATACAACCTAAGGAGTATTTTACATGCCTTCCTTTGTATCAGGGCAGACTCATGATTAGTGGACTTGGAAGTTCATAAAATTTGGAGGGTCCTCTTTAAGAAAGAGAGGAAAAGGTTATAAATACAAAATTAGATGCAAAGGTAAGTATTTATTTCAAAATGATTCCATTAACTGGTTCCATTTCTTTCGAGATCTCTTTGCCACAAATGCTTACAGAGAAAGGGCCTCTTCATGTCTCCTCCCAGCTAGAACATGGACCCCCAACTCTGAGGGCCCCTGCAACAGGGCCTCTGAAATTTAAACTTCATCAACACATCATGTCAATCCTTCTCTGTCTCTTTGAATACACTGCCGAATCAGTGAGAATATAACTGGTTAGATGACATCTAGAAAGCTGGAGAAGACATTTAGTTAGAATTAGCTGTGAAATTACTCATGGTATATTTCTAAAAGTAAATAAATATCATTGACTTGAATATGACAATTTTGATTATGAAAACTAGAATTTTATAGCACTTTGAAGTTTACAACATACATCCACATATATAATTTCATCTTCACAATAAGCCTACATAGTATACAGAATACCTTACATTATTCATATTTACAGATGATGAAACTAGTACTCAGATTTTAAAATAAATACTCTGGAGAGTAGCCATGCTGGGGACAAAATAGCAGATTGGAAAGGGGACACGTTTGGGATTTGATGACTTGTGTTGAAAGCACAGCCGATCTAACTAATTATCCAGGTGGTTTCAACAAGCTACTTGTCTTCTCGGAGTTTCTTTTCTCATCTCTCAGTTGGAGGTAATAATAACCTTCCTTGTATTCGTGATAAGAAGATTAGAGGTAATGTAATTATAGACTTGCCACATAATGGTCATTTAATAAATGCTAGTTGACTTTATCATTAGTAACATTCTGACTATTATTATTAACTAAAATCTTTCGATTTTACATAAAGGGCTTTTTTTATTAAAAAATAAAAGGTAAAGATAAAATACATTCCCATTTTCTTTCTTGGAACATAACCTAAAGCCATATACAACATAATTCCTTAATTGAGTATATTTTAATAACTTTATTGAGGTATAATTTATATACAATATAAATTGTTTAAAGTCTACAATTTGAAACATTTTGACTTAAATCATCACTACAGTCAATAAAATGAAAATGTCAAATGATCCAAGTATATTTCAATCTTTAAAAATTTATGCATAACTAATATAGTAATATTTTCCGTAGAGGATATAATCAAATTCAGTTTATTTTCTCACTTTTATTTGATTCACAATTGTTCTTCGAGGCTCAATTAGCCTTTGCTTCTTTTTTATCTATTCTGTATATATACACATACCTATATATATGGTATTCTATATACCTAGAACTATATATGTGTGTGTGTTTACACACACAGTTTCCCCCAACTGTTTTAAATTGTTAGAAATATTGTGTCATGTTAAGTAGGTTTTCCTACTAACAGTGGCTTAGCTAATAGAGCAATTTAATTCTCAAATATACAGTCTTTTATTATACAATAATTTAAAAACTGATGCGTCAACTTCATTATGCCACCGTGTACCCATCCTTAGGAGGGATATTTTTCCATGTTTAAGACTGTTAGTTTATCGTCACAAGTTGGCTGCTGCTGCTCTGGGCAACACAAGAAGCCTGAAAAAAAGCGAGGTAGAATCAGTCGTGTTTATTCCTTTCATTAGGAAAGCAGAAAGTTAACTCAAAGCCTCAACACACTTTCCCTGGGGAGTAATTGATTAGAACTGGGTCTTAGGACACCTCTGATGGCAAGGAGTGTGAGAAATTGAGTCCCCAGAAGAGGAGAAAAAGATTGCTATGGTTGGCTTGACAAATAATGATAATGTAATTGCCTTGGACCAGGGCAGAGTGCTACACCTAAAAGATCGTGGATCTCCTAATAATGAGGAAGAGGAACGGATATTAAAGACAAAATTAGCATGTCCGCCACAGTTATACTGTATCTCTTTATATGAATCTATGATTCATGAGAAGACTAAGACAGATGAGCATTCAAAATGAGGTTTGACTTTTTAAAACTATAATCATAATTGTTAACAACTACTGGATATATAAAAATGACACATAAGAATAGAAGAAAATGCTTCAGAAAAAGGAAGAATTTTAATGTGTAAAAGAAAATTCTATTAGTAGAAACAACGTCATAAAAATTTATAAAGGAAATCATATAAAACATATCAGGAAAGTGAGTGATGTAAAAATGTAATGAAATATAATATTATCTCTAAAAACTGAAAAGTAAAGCATGCTTTTGTTAATATAGCCTCACAGAACTATAGATAAAGGACACGTTTTCATCATTCTTTCTATTATAAGCACAATACAATTCTGGAGATTTTTAAAAATCCAGCAACCTTATAATTGTTAAATAAAATAATGAAAGAAAAATAAAGAAAATGTGTCTGCTTATTATATGCAATTTTAAAGGCTGATATAGTTTATGAGTCAGAAACAAATAAAAACCTAAGTACATTTTATTAGTGGCTATGTATTTAGATTTTCAAAGGAAAGTGTATTCCACAGCAGTTATTTAAAGAAGCTGGAAAGGGCTGGGCATGGTGGCTCATGCCTGTAATCCCAGCACTTTGGGAGGCTGAGGCCAGACGATCACTTGAAGTCAGGAGTTCGAGAACAGCCTGGCCAACATGGTGAAAACCCGTCTCTACCAAAAATATAAGAGATTAGCCGGGTGTGGTGGCATGCGCCTGTAATCCCAGCTACTCAGGAGGCTGAGTCAGGAGAATCCCTTGAACCCAGGAAGCAGAGGTTGCAGTGAGCCAAGATCACACCACTGCACTCCAGCCAGGGCAACAAAGCAAGACTCCATCTAATTAAAAAAAAAAAAAAAAAAAAGAGGCTGGGAAGGGTGTGTTTCTTGTTCTGGATGTTGGTAGCACCATTCTGTTGTTTGTTGTAAGTCAGATAACTTATGTGAAATATTCTGCTTGTATATTCCATATCAATAAAAATTGTTAGCATTAATTGCTAAATGTTTGTATTTAAAGAAGACGAAGTATAAAACCCTTGACAAAAACAGTAAGGGGTATCTATGTGTGTTTGTGTTCATGAGTTCAACTAGTGATCACAATAGGCTAAATTCTATGTCATATCAGGTAGAGGATAAAAATATTTAATCAAATTAGATCTTAAAAGGCTATTTTATAGAAATATATAGAAAAGTATTCTTAAAAATATGTTTACTAAGCATTGCAAATGTAAACTCTAAATAAATAAATTAAATACATCAACAGGTGGAAAGGAAGAAAATAAGAAAAGGTTAAGAGATAAAGTAAGGAAAAAATGAACACAAAGTTTTTCAAAAATGTAAGCAGAACAAAATAAGATGTTAGAAATAAGTCAAATATATAAATACCAAAAATGTAAATAGATTAACTTACCCATGATTTAAAAAAATATAACCTTTCAGCTGTGTAGTGTGTACAAAGCACACAAAATTAAGTAACAGGATTTTTAATAAAATTATGTACATACAAGGGTATATGTATGTGTACATAAGTGTGTGTCTGTGCACTATTGTGCAGAAATTCTGTAGCATTGAATAACAGCTTTCCTATCATGATAAGCTGAACAGTTAAATTCATTATTTCTCAGTCTTCCTTACAGCTAAGATTCCACATGGTTTTGCTAAATCAGGATATTTATACAGAGTTTTATAAAAATCCTTATAGGATGCTAAATGTTATGAATCATTACAAGAATAGTGCCAAGAAGGAAAATCCTGAAGAAGTCACCAGTTGGAGGGGCAGTATCCTGATTTCATCATTTCTAACTGTTGAAAGACAGCTTACATCTAGAAGAATTATTTTAGGAGTGATTTCTGAAACATCATTCTAATGTTTGTGTCTTGTCTTCTAATGTCTTCTATTAATATCTACAACCCTTAATAAATACTTATTTGCTTGAAATAACTACAGTGTATTCTGTCATATGCTTCTAATCTTCAAATAATAGACTAGCATATCACAACAAAAAAAGCTAGGAAAAAGAACTGAATAGATATCGTCTATTATGGGCTGAATTGAGTTCCACTAAAATTTGATTCCTAACTCCTCAAAATATGACTCTATTTGAAGAAATGGTCTTTAAATAAGTAACTAAACTGAAATGAAGTTATTAGAGTGGACCCTAATCCAATATAAATGGTGTTCTTCTATGAAGAGGAAATTAAGACATAGTCATGTACAGCACAAAGACCGTGGGGTGGAAACACAGGATGAAGATAGCTATCTACAAGCCAAAGAGAGAGAGGCCTCGAAAGAAAATGAATTTTGTTGAGACCTTGCTCTTCTAGCCTATAAAACTGTGAGAAAATATGTTGCTGTTATTGAAGCCACCCAATCTTAGGTACTTTATTACAGCAGTCCTAGCAAACTAGTACACTTCATACTTTACAGACAACATAATTATCTCCATTTACAATCCAAGAGACTCTACATGCTATATGAACTGAAGAGAGTTCAAGAAAATTGCAGCATAAGCAACAAATAAAGTAATCCCTCCATATGAGGAAAAATAATTAGAAATGGAATTAAAAGGATTAATAAATGTGTTATCTATGATTAAATCTAAGAGTACTTGGAAGTTATTAATGTTGAAAATATACACACTTTATTAAAGATGTAAAAAGGACTTATTTAATGGCTAATATGGCACGTTCACAGATTAAAATATTTATTTCATAACACTACACAATTTCCAAAAGAAGCCTAAAAATTTTACACAATACCAATAAAACTTCTCAACATATTTATTTGAGAAGGGTTAACCTATTTTAAAAGTTGAACAAGATGAGCATGTATCAAACCTACTTTTAAATTATTGTAATTAAGCCACTGTGGTCTTGCCACAGAATAGACAAGAGGTCAAATCTACTGAATCTATAAGACATAAACTTGACATGTGACAGTAGCTGTTTTATAAATAAATATGAAATAAACTAATTATTTAAAAATTGGTAATGGGGCAATTAGTTAACGAAGTTAAAAAATTAAAATCCTTTCTTACATCATATTTAGAAGTAAAACCTTTATCTGAGTTATTTACCCTTACCTAGTATTTTATCTAATAAAAAACTTAAATCTGAAAACCAAAACTTTCAAACACTTGGAAAAATAAGAAAGGGATTTATTAAGCAAAATTCCTATATTACAATTAAAAATAAAAGGTGAACTTAAAAGTCAATGTAAATTAAAATTATTAATAAGAAAGCAAAACATGCACTTGTAAAACCATATTTATAATATACATGACTAACGAATGGTTAATATTATGTGTTTATGATGATCTCATATCAAGAAAAAACAAATCAAAACAGAAAACAGAAAAGAAGGCAAAAGTTTTAACTAATTTACAGATGAGAAATTTTGAATGGTCACAGGCATTTAAAAATATTTGGGACCTCTCAAGTAATCAGAGAAATGCAAATTGCCAGAATTGGCAACATTTAGAAAACTCATAATATCAACTATTGGTGAGTGCATGAAACAATGGGAACGTTTATACTTCAGGCATAAATGTCTACAACTTTAAAGCACAAGTTAGCCATATGAATTCCACTTCAGGGTATACAACTTAGCAAATGTTCACAAGGAAATGTGGAAAGAACGTTCATTATAGCATTATATCTAATATTAAAATTTGGAAACAACCGAAACTCATTGGGCTAAGGGATATATTTAAATTGCAATATATTCATATTATGGTGGACCATACTAAAGTTTAAATGAAAGAAGTAAAAGTACATGTATCTACACATTTACACTCAAAAAGAAAATACAAAATTTTGAGTGAAGAAAAGTACATTTAAATATGAGTGCTGTAATTTAATTAGTATAATTAATCAATATGTAAAGCCTGAAAATAGAAAACTAAATATTATATCATTTTGTAATGCATATCTATATAGTACTAAAATAATGTCTAGCAAATTATAAACACATTTAGGGGAGTGGCTAGATCTGCAGCAGAGGGTAAATGGTACTAGAACTGAGTCCATAATGTTGCAGGCTTCAGTTTTACATTCTGAACTGGGAGATAAGAGTGGCTGTTCTGATCCCAGCACGTTAGAGGACTCTGTCAGACCCTCTTTTGTCAGCACCCATCCCCAGAGGACAAAGCAAAGATAAAGAACATGAACCACTAGAGCCCTTTCCAGCTGTTCTTTCTAGACCACATTCTGTAACTCTAAAATTTCTTAACCTACCATGTTCTATGTGGGCCACTTGCCCAGGCCAATTTTTATGAAATAAAGGCACAGTTCTGATTTTGTGCACCCTAGGCTCAAGGAGTAGCCAAATGGTGTCTATTTTAAAAGGTTTGGACAGAGATAGGATCTGAGTGATTAGCTATGAACAGACACGTACATGTGCACAATAGCCCTAATGCTTAAAGAGAGAGCCAAGGACAAAAAGAAAGGAATAAGAGTTGAAGGCCATGGATTCTCATTTTATTCTTGCCTCAAACTACTCTATGTTAGGAAAGAAAGTTTTGTTCAATGTATTTGGTTAAGAAAAGCGAGAAACAAATGTAAAATACATTAACAACTTTTAAAAGATGGCTTGGGTACATGGCTGTTTATTATTATCTATATTTTTCTACATGTTTAAGCTATTTCATAGTAAATAATATTTAAAATTAATGTTTACATACTTCTCAAAACAATCTTTTGTGTAGGAAGATAGCAGTGTGAACAGTGCAACTTGTGCCCATCTGATTAATGTGGCTCTGTTTGGAGAAAGACATTAAACACCTACTGAGAAAATAATCATTACATAAATATTAGTTTGTTTTTTTTTAATTTCAAGTTGAGTTGGTCTTGTACGTAGTGGCCATCCCAGCTGAATTTTTAGGGCCTAATAAGGAAACAAGTTAATCAAGTTATCAGTGTCTGCTTGTTGAATGAATAAGTGCATAACTAAATAAGGAGAATCTGAAAAACTGGTGACTTTAGGATTTCTATTTGTTATAGGAAATTAAATTGCTTCTGAATTTCTCATATTTATTTAGTTCTTTTGACAAATATTCACAAATAACTTACGAACAATGCTTTGTGTGAAACCCAGGCATATATATTAAGACATTTCTGTTTTTTTATCTGGTTGAGAAAATAGAAAACACACAAAATGTTTACTAACATTGAAATAATAGGAGAAAGTCCTGCCTGCTTCTGAAACAGATAAGAAAGGGTGGGCTCTTACCAAATAAATTTTCCTATGGACAATGACTATGAGCTCTAGAAAACAACAAAATAAACAAGCAAAACAACATTCCTAAAGTCCCTGAGAGTGAATAAAAAGCAGGCATATTTAAGAAATAGTTAAAACTTGAAAGAAATGGATACAAAGATGACTCAGGCACTGAAACTTGCAAACAGGAATGTTAAAGCAGATTTATGCAAGGATGGTTCAATATGCAAAAATCAATAAATGTGGCCAATCACACAACAAAATTTAAAACAACACCATATGATAATCTCAATAGATGCAGAAATAGCATTTGATAAAATCCAAGATTCATTTATGATAAATAATGCTCAACAATCTAGGCATCAAAGGAACATACCTCAAAATAATAAAAACCGTACATGACAAACCCTTAGCCAACATCATACTGAATTGAGAAAAGTTGAAAGCATTTCTCTTAAGAACTGGAACAAGACAAGAATGCCCACTTTAACCCCTCCTATTCAACATAGTACTGGAAGTCCTCACCAAAGCACTCAGGCAAGATAAAGAAATAAAAGGCATTCAATTTGGAAAAGAGAAAGTAAAATTATTTCACTTCACTGACAATGCAACCTTATTTCTAGAAAAACCTGAAGACTCCCCCAAAAGACTTTTTATCTTGATATATGACTTTAGTACAGTTACAGGATACAAAATCAACATCCAAAAATCAGTAGCATTTCTATACACCAATAACACTTAAGCTGATAACCAAGTCAATAACTCAATCTCATTTACAAAAGCCAACACACACACACACATAATATCTAGGAATACTTTTAACAAAGAAAGCAAAAGATCTTTAGAAGAAGAACTAAAAAACACTGATGGAAGAAATCACAGAAGACACAAACAAATGGAAAAACATCCCAAGCTCATGGATTAGAAAAATCAGTATCATTTAAATGACCATACTGCCCAAAGCAATCTACAGATTCAATGCAATTCCTATCAAATTACCAACATCGTTTTTCACAGAATTAGTAAAACAATCCTGAAATTTATGTGGAACCAAAAAAGAGCTTGAATAACCAAAGACATTGCAAGAAAAAAAGTGAATTTAAGATGAACTATACATGACAAATTATGCTGTCAAGTCTTCTTTCTTGAGAGCTAATTATTATTTATCTTGAGAACATCTAATGGGTTATGTCTGCTTGGCTGTATAAAAGGGAACAATTTATTTCTGTATTTTCAGTTTCCTAGCAGATTGTCTGTGATGCTCAAGCAGATTGTCTGTGATGCTCATCACATCCTGGTTTCATTATTCACTTTCTTTTCTAACTTGGTAGGAAGATTTTCTGAGTTCACAGGAGATTTTGTTTTCACTTATATTTCCATATGCCTGGTGACAAGGACAGGATGTCTAGGACTTCCCAAATTAAATGGAGCAGCTAAAAATTTATGTTCGCACAACAACCAGGTAAAAGATCCTCCAAGTGCTCTCCGCTTTTGGGAATATGAATCTGACAAACTTCTCAAAATCCAAATATTACTGTTGAATAACTGTGGAAAACATGGGCTCTAATAACCCATTGGGATCACCATGTGGTTGGAAAATATGGGAAGCCATGAATGCTGCCTCCAGGTCTTTCTCTTAAAGAGCTAATATTTTATGTCATATTTGAAATGTGTATGAGAATCCACTCTTGCAGTGGCTAAAGAATGCTTCTTTTGATTTAGATGAATGAATATGTTTGCAGAAGCTTATCCCAAGCAAATGAATTACTGGCACTTATGAGATAAATATCATTATAAAAATTATTTGAATTACTAAAAAAATACTGAGATAAATGAAAAAGAAAATGCCACCATTAAGCGCACTTTCCCTTTCACAGAATTCTTGTCTTCTTTCTCATCTGTCTTCAATAAATCCCTCTGCTTCCCTTACCACTTTCCTTCTCTCCCTCAGACTGAGTCCTGAAAAGAGAGAGGTGATGATGTTTGTATAGGTTGTTGCCTTTGTTTGTGAACTTCCCTGAAAAAATGGATGAGGAATCACAACTTCTTTGGTGATTAACAAATTACCTACTCTGAGGATATAATTACAGGTGCCTCTAGAGCTATCCCAGATTCCACCTCCAAGAGTTCCCTAACACCTTCACAACCTATATCTCGGTGATATGGTTTGGCTCTGTCCCCACCTGAAGCTCATCTTGAATTGTAGCTCCCATAATTCCCACTTGCTCTGGGAGTGTCCAGGGAGTACATAATTGAATCATGGGGGTGGTTTCCTCTATAGTGTTCTCATCCTAGTGAATAAGTCTCATGAGATCTGATGGTTTTATAAGGGAAAACCCTTTCACTTGGTTCTCATTTTCTCTAGCCTGCCACCATGTAAGATATGCCTTTCACCTTCAGCCATGATTGCGAGGCCTCCCCAGCCTGATGGAATTGTGAGTCCATTAAACCTCTTTTTCTTTATAAATTACCCAGTCTTGTATATGTCTTTATCAGTAGTGTGAGAACAGACAAATACACTTGAAATGCAGATTTGATAAAGATAATTAATCTGGAAATAATTGAGAACTAGGATAAAATACTCTACCTCCATATGAAGACAGCAGTATGGCGAGTAGATATTCTAATCGTTTAGAAAATGGTAAACAAACAAAGCTTTAAGCTGAGGAATGTCAACACAGGAAAGCAAGCCGAAGTGCCATGTAATTTACATTTATCTTGTCTCATTGCCAGAAAAACCATGCCTTTCCTATGTGGATAATCAGCAAAGCTGAGGACATCGGGAAGCAACTCAGGATTGCCAGGTAATTCATATTCCTTTCTCACCAGCTGATATTACATATTTAAAGACTTTTTTTTTCCTGTGCTCCAGACGCAGATGTACTTCACACAATGTTTTCAGTTTACAGCTCTTCTGGATGTGCACTGGTTAATGCATGGAATTCAGCAACAGCAGACTTTGTTCCTTTGATGGATCCAGAAGATCGCCACATCAAGGAATATGGTGGTAAAACTGCAAGATAATCTGCCACCCCTAACAACTATAGAAGTTCTAAGGATGTTAGAGACTCATAGAGAGGAATTCTAATGGCCATACTTGAACCGTTGCAGCAATACACTCAGAAGATTGGTGAAAGAAAAGAAAGGCATTTTGAAAGTGATTTTCAAAAAACAGTTAATCCAGAATTCCATATTTAGCAAAATTATACTTCAAGAATGAATGTGACATGATAATGTCAATGAAAAGAAAAACAAAATAATTTGTCACCCCAAAAAATTATTGAACAAGAATGCTAAAGAAAGTAGTGTATAACGTATATGGCTGTGAAATATATTATGATTAAAGCCTAGAGGATTTTGGAAGATGTGTTAAATGGGCATGTGTGTTTCAAGTTTTCTACATTTAAAGTAATGCTATAACATCCATTGAAGTAGGCTGAGAAATGTTAAGAATAAATATCATACCTGAGAATCAGTATCTGAGAGAAAAATAATGTGGGACATACATGTAATTTTAAAATATATAATAGCCACGTTTGAAAAAGCAAAATGAAACAAGTGAATTTATGTATTTTATTTAATCCAATATAATCATTGCATTATCTATTTAATATGTAATTGATAAAAATAAAATATATATATTCTTTTATTTTATAATTAATTTTTGAAATTCAGTTTGTATTTGACCCTTATAACAAACTTCAATTTTGATAATTTTTTTAAGTAGAAATACTTTATCTGCATTTGAATTCCTAAAACTTACAGGTGGAAAGGTAGCATAACATGCCTAAGTTGTTCAAACAATTTAAAAATTTTCCAATAGTGAACTTAAATGTAAGTTTAATATATATTTAAAATTAAAATTAAATAAAGCTAAAAATTCAATACCTCAGTGACAATAGCCACATTGTAAGTTCTCAGTGAAGATATATGACTAGTGGCTCCTAGGTTGAAAAGCAAAAATACATAACTGTATAGCTAAGAAGCCAATAAATGACTTAAAAATGTATTCCAAGCAATATTCAAATAATCAATGGAATAAACAACATGGGAAACAGTGAGGAATAATCATAAGGATCAGGCAGAATACAAATAATGGTCAACTCTAACTTGTCCTCCTTAATAATTATAGCATATGTTCAAAAAATATATTGTTTATGTATGATTTATAAGCTGCCTGTATGAGATAAAATTTAAATATAAAGACAAAGATTAAATATAAAAACAAAATACATTAATTAAAAAAATCATTCAAATAGCAAGCAATAAGAAGTCTAGGGTGGTTAAATTGATATCAGATAAAATATACAACCAGGCAGACTATTACAAAAATAAAGTGAGCCATTTTAGAACTTTAACAGGGCCAATTCATCAGGAAATCATAATAGTCATAAACATGTATGTGCCTATCACCATCATTGTAGGACAATTTAATATTCTTCTCATAAATTGCTAGAAAAATTTGTCCATCTATTTTTACACATTTTGGTCTCAAACCATTTATATTTTTAAAACTTTTCTTCATTAGGTTATATGTACTGTTACCATTTTATGAAATGAGTAAAAGTTTAATATTATTAATTTATTATTTAATTAATATTTTATTGAAACACAAATTCTTACATGCTAAATACATATCTTATCATTACAAAAACATAACTATTTGTTCAGAAAAGGAAATTAGATGCTTGGTATTATTTTACACTTTTTTTTAGATCTATTATGTAATTTAATAAAAAATGAATGGATTCCATTCCAAGTTGGCCAAATAGGAACAGCTCCAATCTGCAGCTCCCAGCATGATTGACACAGAAGACGGGTGAATTCTGCATTTCCAACTGAGGTACCTGGTTCATCTCATTGGGACTGGTTGGACAGTGGGTGCAGCCCACAGAGGGCGAGCTGAAGCAGGGCAGGGCATCACCTCACCCGGGGTCAGGGGATTTCCGTTTCCTAGCCAAGGGAAGCTGTGACAGACGGTACCTGGAAAAACGGGACACTCTCACCCAAATGCTGTGCTTTTCCACTGGTCTTAGCAAATGGCACACCAGGAGATTACATCCCGTGCCTGGCTCAGCGGGTCCCATGCCCACGGAGCCTTGAGCACTACTAGCACAGCAGTCTGAGATTGACCTGTGAGGATGCAGCCTGGTGGGGGGAGGGGCGTCTGATATTGCTGAGGCTTGAGTAGGTAAACGAAGCAGCCATGGAAGCTCGAACTGGGTGGAGCCCACCGGAGCTCAGCAAGGCCTGCTGCCTCTGTAGATTCCACCTCTGGGGGCAGGGCATAGCTGAACAAAAGGCAGCAGAAACTTCTGCAGACTTAAATGTCCCTGTCTGACAGCTCTGAAGAGAGCAGTTGTTCTCCCAGCATGGTGTTTGAGCTCAGAGAACAGACAGGCTGCCTCATCAAGTGGGTCCCTGACCCCCATGTAGCCTAACTGGGAGACACCTCCCAGTAGGGGCTGACTGACACCTCATACACGCAGGTGCCCTTCCGGGATGAAGCTTCCAGAGGAAGGATCAGACAGCAATATTTGCTGTTCTGCAATATTTGCTGTTCCACAGCCTCTGCTGATGATACCCAGGCAAACAGGATCCAGAGTGGACCTCCAGCAAAATCCAACAGACCTGCAGCTGAGGGACCTGACTGTTAGAAGGAAAATTAACAAACAGAAAGGAATAGCGTGAACATCAACCAAAAGGACATCCACACCAAAACCCCATGTGTAGGTCACCAACATTAAAGACCAAAGGTAGATGAAACCACAAAGATGGGGAAAAACTAGAGAGAAAAGCTGAAAATTCTAAAAACCAGAGTGCCTCTTCTCCTCCAAAGTATCGCAGCTCCTTGCCAGCAGCGGAACAAAGCTGGACAGAGAATGACTTTGACAAGCTGACAGAAGTAGACTCAGGAGGTCGGTAATAACAAACTTCTCCGAGCTAAAGGAGGATGTTCAAACCCATCACAAGGAAGCTAAAAACCTTGAAAAAAGATTAGACAAATGGCTAACTAGAATAAACAGTGTAGAGAAGATCTTAAATGACCTGATGGAGCTGAAAACCATGGCACGAGAACTATGTGACACAAGCACAAGCTTCAATAGCCTATTTGATCAAATGGAAAAAAGGGTATCAATGATTGAAGAGCAAATGAATGAAACAAAGTGAGAAGAGAAGTTTAGGGAACAAAGAGTAAAAAGAAACTAACAAAGCCTCCAAGAAATATGGGACTATGTGAAAACACCAAATCTACGTTTGATTGGTGTACCTGAAAGTGAGCGGGAGAATGGAACCAAGTTGGAAAACACTCTTCAGGATATTATCCAGGAGAACTTCCCCAACCTAGCAAGGCAGACCAACATTCAAATTCAGAAAATACAGAGAACACCACAAAGATACTCCTCGAGAAGAACAACCCCAAGACACATAATTGTCAAACTCACCAAGGTTGAAATGAAGGAAAAAATGTTAAGGGCAGCCAGACAGAAAGGTCGGGTTACCCACAAAGGGAAGCCCATCAGACTAACAGCAGATCTCTCAGCAGAAACTATACAAGCCAGAGGAGAGTGGGGGCCAATAATCAACATTCTTAAAGACAAGAATTTTCAACCCAGAATTTCATATCCAGGCAAATTAAGCTTCATAAGTGAAGGAGAAATAAAATCCTTTACAGACAAGCAAATGCTGAGAGATTTTGTCACCACCAGGCCTGCCTTACAAGAGCTCCTGAAGGAAGCACTAAACATGGAAAGGAACTGGTACCAGCCACTGCAAAAACATGCCAAATTGTAAAGACCATTGATGCTAGGAAGAAACTGCATCAACTAATGAGCAAAATAACCAGCTAACATCATAATGACAGGATCAAATTCCCATATAACAATATTAACCTTAAATGTAAATGGACTAAATGCCCCAATTAAAAGGCACAGACTGGCAAATTGGATAAAGAGTCAAGATCCATCAGTGTGCTATATTCAGAAGACCCATCTCACATGCAGAGACACAAATAGGCTCAAAATAAAGGGATGGAGGAAGATCTACCAAGCAAATGGAAAGCAAAAAAAAAAAAAAAAAAAAGAAAAAAAAAAAAAAAGCAGGGGTTGCAATCCTAGTCTCTGTTAAAACAGATTTTAAACCAACAAAGATCAAAAGAGACAAAGAAGGCCATTACATAATGGTAAAGGGCTCAATTCAACAAGAAGAGCTAACTATCCTAAATATATATGCACCCAATACAGGAGCACCCAGGTTCACAAAGCAAGTGACAGAACCAATGACAAAAACCACAAGATTATCTCAATAGATGCAGAAAAGTCCTTTGACAAAATTCAGTAGCCCTTCCTGCTAAAAACTCTCAATAAGCTAGGTATTGATGGAATGTATCTCAAAATAATAAGAGTTATGAATGACAAACCCACAGCTAATATCATACTGAATGGGCAAAAACTGGAAGCATTCCCTTTGAAAACTGGCACAAGACAGGGATGCCCTGTCTTACCACTCCTATTTAATATAGTGTTGGAAGTTGCGGCCAGGGCAATCAGGCAAGAGAAATAAATAAAAGGTATTCAATTAGGAAAAGAGGAATTAAAATTGCCCTTGTTGGCAGATGACATGATTGTGTATTTAGAAAACCCCATCGTCTCAGCCCAAAATCTCCTTAAGCTGATAAGCAACTTTAGCAAAGTCTCAGGATACAAAATCAATCTGCAAAAATCACAAGCATTCCTATACACCAAGAACAGACAAACAGAGAGACAAATCATAAGTGAACTGCTATTCACAGTTGCTACAAAGAGAATAAAATACCTAGGAATCCAACTTACAAGGGATGCAAAGGACCTCTTCAAGCAGAACTACAAACCACTGCTTAACGAAATAAAAATGTACCCAAACAAATGGAAGAACATTCCATGATCATGGATAGGAAGAGTCAATATCATGAAAATGGACAAAATGTCCAAGGTAATTTATAGATTCAGTGCCATCCCCATCAAGTTACCAATGACTTTCTTCACAGAATTGGAAAAACTACTTTACAGTTCATTTGGAACCAAAAAACAGGCTGCATTGCCAAGACAATTCTAAGCAAAAAGAACAAAGCTGGAGGCATCATGCTACCTGACTTCAAACTATACTACAAGGCTATAGTAACCAAAACAGCATGGTACTGGTACCAAAACAGATATATAGACCAATGGAACAGAACAGAGGCCTCAGAAATAACACCACACATCTACAACCATCTGATCTTTGATGAACCTAACAAAAACAAGAAATGGGGAAAGGATTCCCTATTTAATAAATGGTGCCGGGAAAACTGGCTAGCCATATGTAGAAAGCTGAAACTGGATCCCTTCCTTACACCTTCTACAGAAATTAATTCAAGATGGATTAAAGACTTAAATGTTAGACCTAAAACCATAAAAACCCTAGAAGAAAACACAGGCAATAACATTCAGGACATAGGGATGGGAAAGGACTTCATGACTAAAACACCAAAAGCAATGGCAAGAAAAGCCAAAATAGACAAATGGGATCTAATTAAGCTAAAGAGCTTCTGCACAGCAAAAGAAACTACCATCAGAGTTAACAGGCAACATATAGAATGGGAGAAAATTTTTGCAATCTACCCATCTGACAAAGGGCTAATATCCAGAATCTACAAAGAACATAAGCAAATTTACAAGAAAAAACAACCCCATCAAAAACTGGACAAAGGGTATGAACAGACACTTCTCAAAAAAAGACATTTATGCAGCCAACAGACACATGAAAAAATGCTCATCATCAGTGGTCATCACAGAAATGCAAATCAAAGCCACAATGAGATACTATCTCACACCAGTTAGAATGGCAATCATTAAAAAGTCAGGAAAAAACAGATGTGGCAGAGGATGTGGAGAAAAGGAATGCTTTTACACTGTTGGTGGGAGTGTAAACTAGTTCAACCATTGTGGAAGGCAGTGTGGTGAGTCCTCAAGGATCTAGAACTAGAAATACCATTTTACCCAGCGATCCCATTAGTGGGTATATACCCAAAGGATTATAAATCATGCTACTATAAAGACACATGCATACCTATGCTTATTGCAGCACTAACCACAATAGCAAAGACTTGGAACCAACCCAAATGTCCATCAATGATAGACTGGATTAAGAAAATGTGGCACATATATACCATGGAATACTATGCAGCCATAAAAAAGGATGAGTTCATGTCCTTTGCAGGGACATGGATGCAGCTGGAAACCATCATTCTGAGTAAACTATCACAAGGACAGAAAACAAAACACTGCATGTTCTCATTCATAGGTGGGAACTGAACAATGAGAACACTTGGACACAGGGCGGGGAACATCATACCCCAGGGCCTGTCATGGAGTGGGGGCAGGGGGAGGGATAGCATTAGGAGAAATACTTAATGATGACTTAATGGGTGCAGCAAACCAACATGGCACATGTATACCTATGTAACAAAGCTGCACGTTGTGCCCATGTACCCTAAAATTTAAAGTATAATAACAAAAAAAAAAGGATGAATGGATTATCATATCAGCTTCTGCATTTAATCTGTTGCAATACATTGTTTCGTTGGTTGTGTATAAAGAAAAACTTGGCTTAGATACATATGATGCTTATAAATGGAGGAATATTTTAGTAAGTATTTCAGGTAAGGTAGTATCTTTTTGATACCACATCATAACTTGATTAGTTTGGTAAACTAAAGCTCAATTTTAACATGAAAAATGAATCCATATTAGTAAACTTTCATATGCTTCTACATTGAAACTCATCATTCTATCTTGCACGCTTGCTGCATGGATCTTTGAGGGTTCTTGGTGGCCCCAGGACTACCTGGATTACACTTTGAGAATCAACAAACTACACAAAAAAACAGCAAATATGTAGATTGCCTGAGCAACATTATCAACCATAATTATATAATTAGTATTTATGGAATACTATACTCAACAACTGTAAAATTCACGTTTTTAAATTATATCTGGTATATTTATTACAGAGTAACCATATCCTGGCCTAAATAGTAATTAAAATGACTGGAATCAAACATACATTCTAACCACAATAGAGTTAAACTATACATAAATACTGAGAAGACAGTTAGCAAAATAGCAAACATTTAAGGAATTAAATAATAAATATCTAAACAATCCGTGGATCTAGGAGAAAGTAGAAGGGAAATTAGGAATAGTTTTACCTGAATCATAATGAAAATAAATATCATCGTTTTTGATATAAAGCTAATTTAGTGCTTCAGAGGATATTTTTGGTTTTATTTTTACAATTACATTTCAAAAGATAAATTCACTAATCTTTTGTCTTATAAAAGATAAGCTTGTCTTTTATAATTAAAAAGATAAATTCACTAATCTTCCACATTTAAAGATTAGATAAAGGAGAGCAAACTAAAATCAAAACAGATATAGGAAAGGAGATTAATAAAATAAGATCTTAAATTAACATCGCAAAAACATAGATAATGGAACAAAAGTAAAGTCAAAACCTGGTTCTATGAAAAAAGATCAACAAAATTAACAACCTCAAAACTAGATGGATCAAGAAAATAAGAGAGACAACACAAGCCAACAATATCAAGAACAAAAGAGGCGTTATCAGACAGAAACTGCAAACATTAAAAAGATACTGGAACAATATTATGAACAACTTTATGCCAATAGTACTTAGTCACAATGGACAAATTTCTGGCAAAATACAATCTATTAAAATTAATACAAGCATATTCTTAGATTTATATAAAATTTACAGCATTGAAGAATATCCTCTGCAACCTTAAAAATCAATAAAATTTAGAAAACTATTTGACATCAAGACCGACTATAAAGTACAATAGTTACTACAATGTAGAATTAGCTTTACAAATTTCAGATATAGAAATGAACAGAAGAGAACCCAGAAATTATATATCAATTACCTCATACAATATTTTTTTTTCCCTAAGAAGTTGCCAAAATAATCCAGTGGGAGAGGCAAAATTTTAAACAAATGTTTCTGGAGTCACTGGATATCTATGTGGGCAAAAATGGAAATTTGAACTCCTTATTTCATATTATATACAAAATATAATTTGATATTGATCATAGACCTAATTATAATAGTTAAAACCATACAACTTTTTAAAAAGAAACATGAGAGAATATTATTGTAGCCTGGGGCTAGTGAAAAGATTCTAGTTAGGTCACATAGTGCCATAACCAAAAGATAATGGAAGAAAACAGTGATTAAAATTACTCAAAGAAAAAACTTCTCCTCATCACACATTGCCAGAAAGATAATAAATAATCAAGCCACAGAATGGAAGAATTTATTTGCAAAATATACATCTGACAAATGACTGGTATCCAATAAATACAAAGGACTCCTACAACTCAATAAAAAGGGAAAACAAAAGAAAATGAAATAGTCAAAGATTTTAGTAGGCACTTCAAAGAAAAGCAAGTGAGCAATAAGTGCATGAAAAGATCTTCAACACCATTGACAAAGGAATGTAAGATTTGTGCATAGATTCACCAGAGAAATAAAACCAATTTCTCTCCATCATATCGGTTCTATTTCCCTGGAGAACCCTGAATAATATATGCACAAATATATTGGAGAGAGAGAAAGAGAGATTTTAAGGAATACACTCAAATAATTGTGGGGTAGGCTGGTAGGTGGGAGACCCAGGGAAGAGTTGATATTGCAGCTAGAATTAAAAGATGACAGTTTACTGTCAAAATTTCCTCTTCAGTTGATGTCAGTCTTTTTTCTCTTACGGTCTCCAACTGATTGGATTAGGCCAAGCCACATTAAGGAGGGTAACCTGCTTTACTGAAAGTCTACTGGTTTATATGTTAATCTCATCAAAAATATGCCTTTCCAGAATCATCCAGTGTAGTATTTGACCAAATATCTGGGCACTGTGGCCTAGGCAGATTGACACATAAAATGATTCATGTAAATTAAATCCACCACAGTGCATTTTTGTTTTTACATTTTATATGAAAAGAAAAAGACAGCAAAGAATTTTTAAACCCTAGCTAAAGACATGGAGGCTAAAATATTGGTGGAGGTGGGGTAGTCATAATGGCTGCAATTTACATTAAAATGTATCAAAAAACTCTGACGGATTGGTGAACAAACATTGGAATAGATAGATACATAATAAAACAAGTATCATGGAATGCTAGATTTTAGATTGTGGGTGTACAGATATTCACTGCAATGTTGTTTCATGTTGAAACAAAATAAGTTATGTGCCAATCATGTATTTAAGGGTGAAATTAATGGAAAAGGGAATTGAGAGGAGGAAGACTCACCATAGAATCACTTGATCATCATATATTTGCAGCATGACTTTGACAAATGAGGAGAATATCATAACCAGAAGGAAAGGATGGTGAACTAACTCTTAAGTAGAACTGAGGCTTCAGAATAAAGAATGGGACACTCGACTGTAATACAATTAATGTTGGAGAGTGCTAACTCTAATATTCTCCATTACCTATGTAATAAAAACTATCTTAGTTAGGTTTTCACTTAGGAACATAAGGGATCTGGGGCCCTTTTCCTTTCCACCATTAACCTTTCTTATTTACATATGTGGGTCACGTAGTCTAATTCAGTGCCGCTCCAATTGAGCTTGAGAAGAGATTTCTCATCTCTAAGAGTGCCCTCAATTTACTGTGACCTTCTGGAACTCTTTCTTCTCCCCAGCACAGACTTTGCATGTACCACCTGTCAGTGCTTAGTTAAAATGATACCTCACTTGATTTCCCATGGTATCCAAGTTATCTCTTTTACCAGTGCTTTATCAAACCACTTTATTTGTATTGCTTTTAAAGCATTCATCACATTGTTTAAATTAATCCATTTTAATCTTTGTATCCACTTATTCAATCACATTATATACAAGTACTGTCTTATTTGCCCAACTAGAACATAAAGTCATCCTGGTCGGGAACTGTGCCTTATTTACCTTTCTTCTTTCTTAATTCTTAGTGTACACTTCCTCTACAACATGGACTAAAAATAAGTTGGTAAACGTGTTAGATCTCTATTACTACCTAATAAATTATCACAAATTTGGCAGATTAAAATGACATTTATTATTTCGTAGTCAGGAGTCTAGAAACTGCTTAAGTGCTCCTACGTTCAGGGTCTAACTATGCTGCAATCAAGGTGTCTACTAAAACTGTGATCCTAAATACAGTTCTATTCCACGCTTATGTGGATGTGGGCAAAATTCATTTTCTTGCAGCTTTATAACATATGGCTTGGCTCTTTCAGGACAGCAGGGAAGAAGAAACCTTTAATATCTTCTATCTCTGATATCCAGACCCTCTTATATAGTGCTCATTTGATTAGATAAGATTTAGCCAGGAAACTTGCCTTTTGAATAACTTAGAGGCAAATGATTAGAGGTCCTAATTGTATCAGTAAAATCTTTTCACCTCTGCCATATAATATAACATGATTTCAGGAGTGATAGCTCATCAGCTTTGCTATGTCCTATTGCTTAGGAAAAAGTTACAAGTCCTTGCCACACTAAAGGGGAGTGAGTTGCACAAAGATATGGGTCAGTAGGAGTCATCTCAGAATTATCTTTACCATAGGGAATAATAAATAATAATGATACATGTTTGCATAATTCATTAAAATGACCAAAAAGACATCGATGCAGTTGCACATATTATATCATTGAATAAGCTGACAGGGAGTAGTCAACATGTGTGTTCGCCAAGCACTCAGTACATGTCTCTGTCTCTGTCATAACACTGCAAATTGGATAATCATGGTTGTTTTCTAATTTTTCTACATTTTTAGGTTCTTGACATTTGTCTTTAATGAGTTGCTGTCTTTCCACTGCCTAACAATATGCTTGGTTCATAATGAGATTGCAATTGTGGATTAATAGATATAGTAATACTCAAAGGAAATGTAAATTATTAAAAATGGCAATTGAAGGTAAAACACCAGCATTCAGAATGGATGATAAATGTGTCTAAAGTGAAAGATATAGAATTATAAATTTATGCATGGGAGCATAAAATGTTAGTTGACATGTTAGGAATACTTCTGCACTCAGATTTATTTGCTGTTTCTTAAAATCTTTGATCAAACCTTTCTAAGGTGTTGAAATTACCATAGCTCCATGTTATATTTTCACTGAAAACAAGAAGTATACATAGTACAAAGCAAATTTCCTAAGGGCATAATGTATTTATGGCTCAAAGAATTTTATATTTCAGGTTTTTTTAAACTCTGATTTACAAGAATAGTCTATGCTTAATGAGCTAACAAATTTCTTAAAAGCTTGTTTTTTCAACTCCAGCATACAACAAGGCAATAAAAACAAAACTAAAAGGGAAAAAACAGTATTGACCTGTCTTCTTTGTTGTGGCTGGCAGACAATAATTGTCTTAGTCCCAATTCATAGAATGTTAATGCAGCATTTAAATGGCACATTAGTGCATCCCTTCTATGGAATAAAATTTATTGCCAGTTCTCTCCTCTTATGAATCTCTTCTCTTTATCTAATAGAGTAGTTGTAAATGTAAGCATGGCAGAGAAAATGAAGTAAATTTGTTCCATAATGTATTATATTATCTCACAAATTTGTTGTTTATTAAAAGCAGGATAATTTTGCAGAATAGGCTAAAGATCCTTTCTGTAAGCAAATTTTATTATATGATTTGTTTTAAAATTTAGAATTAATGTTTAATTACTCTAGCAAGTTCTACTTCAAATAGCATATCTATTTCTTGAAAGGATAATATGAGGTACAGTTAAAAGATGTCTGCTGTTCCTACAGCAAGTAAATAAAAAATTAGGGCATTTTATTTTTTAACACATATTTTATGAAACTCTTAAAAATGAAGCTGGCTGTGTGAAATAAAATATTTATTCAGGCAAACAAATTGCTCTGAAAACAAGTTTGTTTTTTCCTCTCAATTGAGCAGCAAAAAGTTTTTAAAAATCTGTACTTTAATTTTTTTTCTGAAATGACCCATACAAACACAACAATATTTATAATAGTCAGAGAATGGAATGCTGTAATTTAAAGCAGATAATTTTATTTCAGCCTATATATGCCAAACCTATGTACGATAATTACTAGTCTTGAGCACATTACTTAAACATTTTTTGCATTGGTTTATTCACAAAAAGATGATAAAACATATACCTCATTTTTTCATGTTGAGTTCACCATGTTGCACAACAAATCTCTCAATCTTATCCCTCTTGTCTAACTCAAATTTTGTACCCCTTACTCATTATTTTCCCAATCCTCCCAGCCCACAGCCCCAGGGAACCATTATTCTACTCTGCTTCTATGAGTTAGTGGTTTTTAGACTATATAAGTGACATCATGTGGTATTACTTTTTCTGTGCCTAGCTTATTTCACTTAACATATGCCCTCCAGGTTCATCCATGATGTCTCAAATGACAAAATTTCCTTCTTATTTAAAGGCTGAATTGTATTCCATTGAATACATGTGACACATTTTCTTTATAGATTCGTCTGTTGATGAACACTTAGGTTGATTCCACATTTTGGCTATTGTACATAATGCAGTGAAAATGGGAGTGCAGCTATCTCTTCAACATACTGATTTCAAATCCTTTGCATATATACCCAGTAGGAATTGTTGAATCAAATGGTAGTTATAATTTTTGAGGAATACCCATACTGTTTTCTATAATGGCTCTATTAATTTATATTCTCACCAACAATATACTAAGGTTCCCTTTTATCCACATCCTGTTCAACACTTTAAATTTTGACCTTTTGATAAAAGCCATTCTAATAGATGTAAGGTGATATCTCATAGTTTAATTTGTAATTACTTGATAATTAGGGATGTTGGACATTTTCATATACCTGTTGGTCAAATGTATATGTCTTTTTATTTTTGAAAAATGTCTATTCAGGTCCATGGCCCATTTTTAAAAACAAGGTATATGTTAATTAGTTTGATCTAGCCATTCCACAATGTATGCATATGTCAAAACATTATGTACACCATATATATAAAATTTTTGTCAATTAAAAACAAAAATACATACCTTAGAAAATTGTTGCAAATGTTAATTGGAAAATTATATATAAGGCATACAGAATGATGTCTTTCATGGTGTAAGCTGTTTAAGCATTGCAAGTATTATTATTACTGTGTCTCGTTTAGACTGTTTCATAAGTATAGACATTTTTATTATAATTTTAAAAATAAAAACTTAATGTAGTCAATTAAATTTTAACAAAATCACAATGTAGTAATGCTTTACACAGTAGGATATGTAAAGATCAATAATAACAATAACAGCATATGTTTCTCTAATATTTTCCATAAATCTTTATGCCTAAATTGTAGCAAATCATGTGCTATGCAGATCTAGTAACTGAGGTTAAGTGATTAAAAGCTTACTTCTGAATCACAAAATAATTGGCAAAAGTGAGATTAATTATGGTTTTCAAATCTAAATTCCATACTTTTCATTCTAAATGAAACATATAAATAGTAATTACCATTTAAAGAATATTGGTATTCTTTCTCTCGTCATTAGTGATGATTGTTTCCTTATTTGAGATCTGGACTTTTGTAGGAATATTTTAATTCCAAATTTGTAAAGAAGGGCAATTTCTCAGATAAACAGAAATAAGAAATGAAGGGGAGGTTGCATTTTAAACTCAGACTTTTGAAATGAGCATATTGAATTGGACACATACAATTCTCCTACACATGTAATGGAATAGAAGAAGAGACCTGAAAATAAATGGCAATCATAAATTGCTTAACTTCAAATTATTACAATTTATGAGCTCTGCATTGGGAGTAAAGAGTAAACAGAAAAAAAAAGACTTTCATGAGAAGGTAAGGCTTAAAGTTGATAAAATGTTGTTAATCTTGCTAAAGGTAAAAAATATATATTGATATATGAGAAGCAGGAACACACTTTTGATATATCTGATATATCTGTAACTTCTCTCACACAGTGACTAGTGGAAGTTTATTTTCTATTTCTAGAGCATTATTAAAGGCTTTGCATTATGAAAATATAAAAGAATACCTTTCTATTTATGGTATGAGAGCCCATAGTAGTCATTCTTATGGTCCTCTTGAAGGAATCATATATAAATATGTTCTGCTAATATTACTGCTTTACAATCATATTGAATTAATTTCTGCCTCTAAATATTATGACATTTAGTTCAGTCACTGTGGAGGTAGACTTTCCAAAGGCACTTTGAAATGGAATGGGCAATTGCCATAGATTGAGGGGAGCTAAGGTGTGAGTCAGTTATTTTGACATCTATATGAAAAAAATAGTTTCCGCTGGTTCTACTACTTTCTAATATCTGAACATTTTGACTCTGTTTAAGAACTAACAGTTCTAGGAAGAACATAGTTACAAATACATTGTTGATTTGTTATGCCTACATTTCTAAGTTATGTAGGAAAAACTGCCATGCCTTTTATAGCTCAATTTTTTTATGGGGTATGGTAGATATAATTGTAGGTGAAAAATTTAACAGCTGAGGGTATTAACTTTGTCTTCAAAAACATCTTAATAAAATTTGAAATAAAAATTGAAAATCTGATTATGTAGGATATCAACTGTCAAAAGATAGGGCAAAATATAAATATAGCTTCCCTTAATGAGAGTAAAGCATTTCTACTCTGAGAGATGAAAAGAGCACAAGATAAAGAGCCAAAGTGCAGTGGAAATAAAGGTTTGCAACATGGTAGAATCCTAGAAACGTATAAAATCCTATCCTAGTGACTCCTTGGTCATTCTTAATGGGAGTTTTTTAGACTTTATTTTATTTGATTTCTAAGCATTATAACGGACTCTTAGCATAGGGGTTAGGGGTATGGATGCCCTGCAGGGTCAACGATTTGTGTATAACTTTTGACTCCCTCAAAACTTAATTACTAATAGCCAACTGTTGACCAGAAGCCTTATCAATAGCATAGTCAATTTACATATATTTTGTATGTTATATGTATTTATACCATATAAAATAAAGTAAGTCAGAGAAAAGGAAATATCACTAAGAAAATCATAACGAACAGAAAATATATTTACTATTTATTAAGTGGAGGTGGATCATTTTGAAGGTGTGTGTCTTCACAGTCTTCACATTGAGTAGGATGATAAAGGGGAGGAAAAGGCGGAACTAGTCTTGCTATTTCAGGGGTGGTAGAAGTGAAGAGATGGAGGAGGTGATAGGAGAGGTAGGAGGGGTGGGCACACTTGGAGAAATTTTATGGAAATACATCATGATTTCTTTCTGACTCTTCTGCTTTTTTTCTCTAAAAATGTCTATATATGGCACCAATCCTTCTTCCCGTTTGTTTTAGTTTTAGTGTCCATATTATAGAACGGTCCATTCCCAAAATAGGTCAAAAGCAATCTTAAATAATCTTAACTCTTCTGCCAGATTGTCCAACATCAATTTGTTTTCTGGCACTGCTTCTGCTGCTTCTTTTACAACCTTCTTTTTCATTGTCTGGCACTGGTTTGGAAGCACTCATCTCCATCAAGTCATCTTCTGCTAATTCCTCTTTTGTGGTGTCTAACAGCATTCTTGAAACCCTTCATTCCCCATCTCTTTTTTGTGTGTGTCATAGCCACAATCTCTTTCATGATTTCCTCGCTTATCTCATTGTAAATCCTATGAAGTCATGCACAACCTCTGGACATAGCTTTCTCCAGCAGGAATTTATTGTTTCAGGCTTGATGGCTTTCATATCTTTTTCTATAACAAGGATGGCATCTTCAATGGGGTAATCTTCACAGATTATTATGCTGTTCTCTCTATCAGGGTTCTTCTTTTTGTCATTGATGATTCTTTCCATAGATTACCATGCTTAATAAGCCTTTAAAGGTCCTTATGAGTCCCTGATCTAGAGGCTGAATTTGAGATACTATATTTGGGGGCAACTAGACTACTTCAGTACCTTCAGTGTTAAACTCATGGGGTTCTGAGTGTCCAGGAGCATTGTCCAATATCAGAAAACATTAAATGGAAGTCCCTGACTGGCAAGGTACTTCTTGACTTCAGGAATAAAGTGTTGATGAAACTAATCAGAAAAAAGATTCTCATTGTCCAGGGCTTTTTGTTGTCAAACCAAAAGACTTCCCTCTGATGTTTATCTTTCTCCTTCAAGGCTCAGAGGTCAGCAGCTATAAGGTAAGGTCAAACCTGATCATAAAGCCGACTGCATTTGCACAAAGCAGTAGAGTTAGCCTATCCCTTTCTGTCTTAAATCCTGGCTTGCTTCTCTTCTTTACTAATAAATGTCCTTTGTGCCATTTTATTCCAGAATAGCACACATTCATCTGCACTAAAAATCTGTTCAGGCAGACATCCTTTCTCCTCAATCATTTTCTTAACGGTGTCTGGGGACTTTGCTGATTCCTGGTCAACAGAAGATGTTTCTCTTGTTAACTGACATCTTTTACACTAAATCTCTTTCTAAAATTATCAAATCATTCTTTGCTGGCATTAAATTCTCCAACTTTAGATCCTTCACCTTCCTTTTACATTAAATTGTCATGAAAGGACTTCACTTTTTTTCAAATTGTATTAAAGTATATAGGTATGCCTTTCTTACAGCAATCCCATACCCACATAAAAGCTGCATTTTCAGTATGAGATGAAAAGATATTTTCAAAAAGCATAAGATTTTCATGCTTGGTGGTGTTGCTGCAGTGACAGCTTCACAAATTTTCTTTTCTTTTTTTACAATGGTCCCTATGCTGGATTTATTTATCTTGAAATGGCAGACAACCACAGCTGCAGACCTCAATATATGATACCTATCAAGCAATTCAAGTTTTTTCTTGCAATGTCATGACTTTTTTCTGCTTCTTGGGAGGACTTCCAGCATCACTAGTGGCTCTTCATATGAGTCCCATGGTGTTATTCAAAGTTTATGGTATTGCACTAAGCGCAATGAAAAATACATGAGCGCTGTGAGAGATCCCTTTTTGCTGCAATATATGATTACTAGAAAGACAAACTGCTCACATGAAGACAACTAGCATGTTGTCATGGCATTTCAGTAGATACTAGCAACACATGAGCACACCGCAATAGCAATAGGAGATGTCTATGAAATTACCACAGTACTGCCTTATCTAATAACATATGTGGTACATAATGTACCACAGTAGTACATTATGTAATATCAAACTGCTCACGTGTAGACAACTAGCATCACATGGCCTTTTTGGTAGATACTAGCAACACATGAGCACACTGCAGTAGAAACAGGAGGTAGCTATGAAATTATCACAGTAGTACGTTATGTAATACCATTAATTTTATGCCATTACAATTTCATACTTCATTTTTTTGTTTCTCTACATTTTTCTCAATTACAAATGCAGCCATGAATAGTGTGTATGTGAGTGCATAAGTTTTGATAAAGTTTAACATTTTATAATAAATTTCTGTATATTTTCTGCCAGTAAGTCATAAAATAAACTAGTATCTACATACATTTTATGCATTTATAACATGCCTTATTCTTATTTTTAAAATATTTTTAGGCAAACTCTCATCTGTGAGGTTTTCGAATTGTCAAAAATCTCCAAAAAATTTTCCCATATATTTATTTTAAAAATCCACACATAAGTGGACCTGCACAATTCAAAGCCATGTTTCTCAAGGTTCAATTGTGTTTAGCACTGTTGACAACGCTCTTGTTTAAACATATGTTGCTCAGAGTTGTGATGCACACTGCTCACCTGGATTCTTTCCCAACTGGCCACTTAATTTCAGTCATCTTTTGTAGGATTAGCTAATCCTTATTCAGAGTTCCTCATTGTTTAGTTTTAGGTCTTTACCTCTTTGTACTCCATGCACCGAAATAAACAACTCAGCTAATTCAGTTATTGAGAAAGAGTCATATGGCTCCAATTAAATGCAAAGTGTTGTGACTGTAGTCTTGCAAGGTGTTAAGGAAGAATAAAATATGGATATATTTATTAATTAGCCACAATAAATTATAGCAAATATACAAATTATATTAATAGGATGTTTAGAGTATAGCCCAAGGAGTTACAATTGGCTCAAACATGTCTGAAGTTTCTGAAGTCAATTATCTAATAGAAAATGAAATGGTTTAGCAGACTGAAAATTAACTAGCAACCAGTTGTCAGGTTTTTTGTTGTTGTTGTTATTTACTATATACTAACAAGAAGAATTACCTCTTTACGTGATAAGATATATAGAAAACTGCAGGAAGCAATTAAGTACATTTCTACTGACTAGATAAAAAGGAAAACCTAAGTTTGATTAGAACAAGTAATTGTGACCATTACATAAGATTTTTGCTGCAAGCTACTGGCCCTGGATTCTTTCAATGTATGAGGTTGATTTGGACGGGAACTAGAATACATTCATCAACAAACAGTGAAAAGCAAAAGAGAACCTATGTGAAGTCTCTTTCCACTATAGCATTATCATGTTTTAGGTAGTGGAAAATAAATTGGAAATTACAGAAACAAACAACTTTTGGATGTGTCTGGTTTTGTGATGAGGCGTTGAATATAAAAAATAAACAGCAGGCACAAAATAAAAAATAAAAAAAACAGGATTGCAATTAAAGTTATTGAGGAAAAGAAAATGATTTAAGCCTGAGACTCCATCTTTCGTCTTGTGACCCTGAATTTTCATTTTATAAGGAGGTTCATGAAGTACAAGAAATATACATCTACAAATCATACATTTTACTGATACAAATAATGTGTATGTAAAACATTTTTGTGAATTCCATGTATCTATTTTTCTGGAAAACGTGAGTTGATTTTGCTAAACTTTTATATCTGCAGCAATTATATTGTTGGAAGTGATAAGCAGATGTAGTTCTGACATTGTTTCTTAATGTTTTTATTTACATTAATGAATAAGGTGAAAATAAAACAGCAAAGACCTTTGTCAGAAATTCAGTCTTTTTTTTTTTGAGATGGAGTCTCCCTGTGTCGCCAGGCTGGAGTGCAGTGGCGCAACCTTGGCTCACTGCAACCTCGGCTCACTGCAACCTCCACTTCCCAGGTTCAAGCGATTCCCCTGCCTCAGCCTCCTGAGTAGCTGGAACTACAGGTGCGCACCACCATGCCCAGCTAATTTTTCTGTTTTTAGTATAGACGAGGTTTCACCATGTTGGCCAAGATGGTCTTGATCTCTTTAGCTCGTGATCCGCCTACCTCGGCCTCCCAAAGTGCTGGGATTGCAGGTGCAAGCCAACACGCCTAGCCAGAACTTCACTCTTTCTTCAATTATAGGACTGTATGTTCAACAATTTAGCATAAATCTTCACAAGCCTAAATATCTACTTTTTGTTTTATTTTGTTTACAAAGTGCTCTCATACTTGTTTTTAATCTTTTAATTTTTCTTTTAAAAATGTGAATTCTATATCAGTAAATATCTACCCCATTATGTTTCACTGTGTGTCTGGAATTGGTTCCTCACAGTGAGTGTTAAAGTTCTTAAAGATGGCGTGTCCAGAGTTTCTTCCTTCTGGTGGGTTGGTGTTCTCACTGACTTCAGGAATGAAGCTGCAGACCCTCGTGGTGTGTTACAGCTTGTAAAGGTACTGCTGACCCAAAGAGTGAGCAGCAACAAGATTTATTGTGAACAACAAAAAAACAATCCTTCCCCAGCATGGAAGGGAACCCAAGCAGGTTGCCTCTGCTGGCTGGGGGGCCAGCTTTAATTCCCTTATTTGGCCCCACCCACGTCCTGCTGATTGGTCCATTTTACAGAGCACCGATTGGTCCACTTTACAGAATGCGGATTGGTCCGTTTTTACAGAGTGCTGATTGGTGCATTTACAAAACTTTAGCTAGACACAGAGCACTGATTGGTGCATTTTTACAGAGTGCCGATTGGTGCATTTACAAACCTTTAGCTAGACACAGACCGCTGATTGGTGCGTTTTTACAGAGTGCTGATTGGTGCATTTATAAACCTTTAGAGAGACAGAAAAGTTCTCCAAGTCCCCACCCAACCCAGAAGCCCAGCCAGCTTTGCATCTCAATTGTTTAATAATATGCAGATTCATTATTCATCTTAATATTCCATTATTGATGGATATTGGGTTATTTCTGACCTTATCTCTATTTTTGATCAGAATATTTCTATCACTATAAAACTTATACATTAAAAATGAAATAAAGGGGCCGGGCGCGGTGGCTCATTCCTGTAATCCCAGCACTTTGGGAGGCCTAGGTGGGCGGATCACGAGGTCAGGAGATCGAGACCCTCCTGGCTAACACGGTAAAACCCCATCTCTACTAAAAATACAAATAATTAGCCAGGCATGGTGGCGTGTGCCTGTAGTCCCAGCTGCTCGGGAGGCTGAGGCAGGAGAATGGCATGAACCCCGGAGGCAGAGCTTGCAGTGAGCCGAGATCACACCACTGCACTCCAGGCTGGGTGGCAGAGTGAAACTCTGTCTCAAAAAAAAAAAAAAAAAAAAAAAAAAAATGAAATAAAGGACAAATGAAATAAACAAGATTAGTCATTATTATTAAATATTAATAAGTTGTCTCACTCCTGTGTAATAATATTGATTTTTCACACACTAGATAAATTTTGAAATGAAGTTTTAGTGCTTCTGTATACAACTTGGACTAATATGTATTATTTTGTCTCAGATAAATAGGCCTTGACTTAGTTCACAGAGAGTAGAAGAAACAGGAAGAGAGAAAAAGTAAAACGGAGAGAGAGAGAGATTCTACCCTATTTTTTATAAGCTGATCAAAATAGATAGTTTAAAAAATCATAGCTTTCATTTTCTTTTTTAAAAAGTATTGTGTACTAGAGCTAACATTTAGAAGACCAAGTTTTACCTGGCATGGCTGTTATTACCTTGATATCATAAGGAAACTATTTCACAGATTTTACAACGTAAGATTGTTTTTTATAACTATGCTTTATGCATCATTTGAAGTTAAATGATGCATCCTAGAAATTCTAACACAGGAAACTCTCTCTTCTGTTCAAATATGGCTTGACTGATGTCACCCTGCCTCAAGTGTATTACATAAAAAGCAGAATGCAAAGAGAACAGCTGTCAGGGTGAGAAGTCTGAACACATGTTTGAAAGTAGCCTGGTGCTGACAAAATGCATTTAGTCATGCTCAAGCTTCATGAAATTGAGTTTATTAGATGAGAATTTTAAATCATATGGCTAAGAAAATTCTTTGTATCTAAACAATAAATAAAACAAAGATATAAACCTATAAGAAGATGTTAAGATTTTAATAAATGAGTTCATTTTTTCTTTCAAACTTGCATGTTTTTCTTTTCTAAGAAGCTGAAAATAGGGGAACTCTGATAACTCATTTATTGTACTGCAGTCTGAAATAAAAAGAACAAAGACTTGTTTCTTCTTCTTTCCTACTAAACTTAACAACCTTATTTGTTTTCATGGGAACTCTGTGTGGCACCACAGAGATAATTGTACCATAGTCTGAGATAGGATGTTGCAATCTATAACCCCAAGTGACAACTAGAATTCAATTAGGGGAACAAAAACTGATTTTTTTTCTGTATTAGCATTTGATAGTTTCCTCAGTATTATCCAAGAAGTTTCCACCTTTTTACAGAATAATTAACTCCTAGTAAAATACCTGGAAACCAATAATAAAATATGTCAGCAGAAAATATAATTAACAATCACATACTTTAATACCAAGCCCAGAAAAATACACTACAAGAAAAACAACAGCAACAAAAGAAACTTATAGGCCAATACCCCTGGTGAATATAAATACAAAAGTCCTCAACAAAATACTAGCAAACCAAATTCAATGGCAAAGTAGAAGGATCATGACTAAGTGGAATTTATCCTTAAGATTCAGTGATGGTTCAAAATAGGTGAATCAATTATTGTGATACACTAAATTAACAGAATGGAGGATAGAATCACTTTATCATCTCAGTAGATGCAGAAAAGTTTTTAACAAAATCCAACGTCCTTTCATATTAAAATCACTCAACAAACTAAGTGTAGAAGGGATTTATCTCAACACAGTAAAATCCATGTAAGAAAAGCCCATAGTTAACATTACACTTAAGGATGAAAATCTGAATGCTTTTCCTCTAACATCAAGAACTCTTACCATTTCTATTCAACATAGTACTGGAATCCCTAACAAGGGCAATTAGCCAAGAAGAAATAAAAGACATCAAAATAGTCAAGGAAAAGCAAAATTACCTCTGTTAGCAAATGATATGATCTTCCACAGATAAAATTCTAAAAGCTTCACCAAAAAACCATTTGAAATAATAAACTTATTAAGTAAGATAGCAGAATACAAAATAAATATACAAAAATCAGTTGTGTTTCTAAACACTAACGATGAACTATCCAAAAAGGAAATTAAGAAAAATCCCCTTTATAATTGCCCCAAAATTAATGAAATACTTAGTAATAAACTTAAGCAAAGAGTTGAAACAATTGTATGCTAAAAAGCTACAAAGCATTTACTAAAGAAGATCCAGATAAATGGAAAGACATTTGTATTTATGGATTGGAAGACTTAAAATTTTTTAAATGTCCATACTACCCAAAGTGATCACAGATTCCAGCAATGTGTATCAAAACTTCAATGCCATTTTTTACAGAAAAGAAAAAAACACTTCTAAAATTTATATAAAACCATAAAAGACTCAGAAGAGCCAAAGCAATCTTAAGAAATAAGAACAAAGCTGGCGGCATCACACTTCCTGATTTAGAAATGTATTACAAAGCTACAATAATTAAAACAGTATTGTACTGGCAAAAAATATAGACATATAGAGCCCAGAAATAAATGCGCACATATACAGTAAACTGATTTTTGACAAAGATGTCAAGGATACACAATGAGGAAACTAGTGTCTTCACTAAATGGAGCTGAGGAAGCTGGATATACACATGTAAAAGAATGAAATTGAATGCATAACTTTTACCGTACACAAAATTAACTCAAAATTGATTAAATATTTAAATTTTGGACCTGAAAATATAAAGCTCCTAGGGAAAAAAAGGAGAAAAAAATTATGATCGGTTTTGGTAATGATTTATTGGATATTACACCAAAAGCACAAACAACTGAAGCAAAAGTAGACAGGTAGGTCTATAGGACACTAAACAGCTTCAGCACGCATACACACACACAGACACACACACACACACACACACACACACACAAAATCAACAGTGAAAAGGCAGCCTTCAGAATGGGAGAAAATATTTTCAAATTATGTATTTGATAAGTGGTTAATATCTACACTATATAAGGAACTTCTATTACACAAAAGTAAAACAAAAACAAAAATGATCTGAAAATAGCTAAATCGCTTAAATAGACACTTCTACAAAGAATAAATACAAACAGTCAACAGAGATAGGAAGAGATGTTTAACTAAGCATCTCTAATCATAAGAGAAATACAAATCAAAACCATCATATCACCTCTCATTGGTTAAAATGGCTATTACAAAAACTACCACCACAACAAAACAAAATATAACAAGTGTTATTAAGGATGTAGAGAAATTAGAATTCTTGTATACTGTGGGTACGAATGTGAAAATGGTATAACCACTGAAGAAATTAAAAACTATTTCAAAAGTAACTGTAGTAGTCATCAAACTATCATATGATCCAGCAATCCTATATCTGGGTATATATCCGAAAGAATTGAAATCCGAATCTCTAAGATGTATCTGCACTTCCATCTCATTGTATCATTGCTCACAATAGCTAAGATATGAAAACAATAAAAACCATCTATAGATGGATGAATGGATAAAGAAAATGTGGTATTTACATATATTGGATTAATATTGAGCCTCAATAGGAAAAAAATCCTGCCATATGCAACAAAAATGATGAACCTGGAGAAAATTATGCTAAGAAAAATGTGCCAGTCACTGAAGGATAAATACAGTATAATTCCACTTATTTAAGGTATCTAAAATAGACTCATAGAAACAGAAAGTAGAATAGTGGCTATCAGGAACTAGAGGGAGGGGAGAATGGGGAGTTACTGTTCAATGGGTATAAAAGTTTCAGTTACGTGAGATAAACATGTTCTAGAGATCTGCTGTTCAACATTGTGTCCGTAGTTAACAATATTGTATTGGGCATTTAAAATTTTGTTAAACGGGTCAACCCCATGCTAAGTTGTTCTTACCATGATCTTAAAAGTCACAACACATGATTACTATGCATAAGTATGTAGCTACTAAGCATATAGAATCTATAACATAAATATTAAGATAAATGCATTCTGCCAAGTAGTCATACAGAGATTTATTTGATAATTTATTTAAACTGTGGGGAATAAAGTTGATTGTATTTTTGCAAATTATGAATTTAACATTATCAGATGGTATTTTACATTTTGATTTCTCTAGAGATTAAACCTTACAAGTATGGGATGCTGCATTTTTTATTTTTCTGAAATATTTATTCATTCCATGTGTCCCATTAGAAGAATTGTTTATGCAATGTAAGTCTTGCTTCCCATTATACATTTTTCTTGTTGTAGGCATTCAAGTAATGTTCTTAAAACACCTTTAACAAAAGGTTCCTCATTAATTAAAATTAATGATCCAAGTCATAAAAGGCATTTCCCTTTCCCCATCAGGTCCCTGAGGTCTCACTGAGTGTTATTAGCAAACATTTCATTTTAATGGATGAAACTTCCAACTGGGTTACTTCCCACCTAGCAATTTTGTGGCTGACATATTTGGTGACATGGTTTGACATGTCACTGAGAATAATTTCCCCTATTAGTGTTTATATATTCTTAAGCAAACAAAAACAAAACAAACAAAAAGCTACCTTCCCTCTTCTCACTACGTCCCTTCCACTCTCATAAACAATAATCAGTGCAATATTACCAGGAGAACACTGAAAATTATTCCTCCTCATATTCAGTAAATTGTCCTTATTGTCTCCTTCACATCTGGGAGGTATTTTGCCATCTTACTTAGGGTAGTTCTCATGTAGGGCTTGGCAGCTTTCTCCTTTCCTGGGTTAAGGGTCTTCATTCCTGTGCCCTGAAGCACATTCAGAGCTCTCTTTTTCATTTTCTCAAAGAAGCTGAGGGAACTAGTATATTAAAAAAAAATTCCTGTCTTACATTTTGGAGTTTCTGAGGTATATATATATTACTTTGTAGCTTTTGCTAACATTCCACAAATCTAAAATAATTTATTAGGAATTTGTGATAGAAAAATGAAAAAGAAATATTAATCAAAGAGGGGAAAAGGAGAAAGAAAAGCAGAGAAGAGAAAAAGAAGGTGGAGGTGGAAAGAGAAAGTGTGGGATAAACAGAGAGAAAAAGAGACAGGAAACAGATGAACGAAAGGTGAGAGAAGAGTTGGGGGAAGAAAAGACACCTACTCACACTATACAGTATAATACTATGTTTAAATTTATAGATTTTAAAACCAGACTAGCTGTTCACATCCAATTTTCACTGCTTCATGACTAAAAAGACAGTGAGATATTTGTTCAACTTTCTCTTGCTTCATCTTTCTCATTTAAAAAATGAGAAATTGTATTTAAACTGAAAATTGTATTTAAACAGAAAAAATGAGGTACACTATTACTTTATGGTGAGCATTATTAAATATAGACGCACAAATGTGCACACTCCATGGGCTCCTGAGGAAGGAAATCCTTCAACTAGCTTTGAGCCACAAATACATCAGAAGGTTTTTGTTGATTGATTGTTGATGATTCATAGACACTGATTCATTTCAATTTACTCTGTTCCAGAAAACTGAATGACTATTCCATGCACCTGCACAACACACGATTAGACAGAGAAGTAGAAAAGATGAATCATTTGTCAGGGGATATTCAAAGCTTCTAATGCACATTTCTTTCATTCTACAACCTCCTACCTTCACTTATCTGATATGCCTTCATCTAAGAGTGATTCATTAGATCAGGAGTAGCATGTTCCATGATCATCTTATCGTTGTGTTTTGTTTGTTATACAATCATTTTTACAGAATGTTATTTAATGTGGTTGCCTATATGTTTGACTACCTTGTTTTAACATTTAATATATTGAGAGCGTATCTTAAACACTGGGACATAGAGACTAAATTTCAGTTTCAGAAATGTTCAGTTTTAGAAGTCATAGTACACTCCCCCAACACACACACACACATATATGTATACCTGTAAAGCCTTTATGTTAGCCAGTAGCTTCCATCATCCTAGAGATTTCGGTTATGATGCCCTGAATTTCCTCCTTGTCAATGCACATTGGCTTCTAATTCCCTCTTAAAAATATTGAGAAACTCCAAGATGATATATCCCTACATTTTCTCATCATTTGTAGGCTAGGCTTCATCTTTCTGTGTCCTTGCCCTTTAACTTAACAGCTCTGTCATGAAATTCAGAGAAAGACAAAAACTATATATTTTGATGTGTGCGTATTCAAAAATTTAAAAGTTTTACCCAAGAAATTTTAATTATTTATACTTTCATCAGGTTATTTCTGTTCGATCATGGAAAGATCCCTTAAATTAGAAAATATGTGTCTTAAATCAGTTGGCATTGTTTTTAATTCATTATTTCACACTTTTAAAACCCAAACAAAATAGCTTCTTAGGCAAATAAATCCAAATATTTTCAACGGCTGGACTTTAATTTTCTATGAGAGTTTATCTCATAGAAAAATTATACATGCATACACACACACACACACACACACACACACACGTCTTTCTCATTCTCATTTGAACGCTTAATGTTTACCTTAAAGCATTAAGTAGGCATTATCATACTTTCCACTGAAGAAATTCTTTGAAACTTGCTTAATGGTTTCACAGTCAAAGCAATTATCTCTATCACTGCCTAACTGGGCAGCTTGTTCTCCAGAGCAAAATTAATAGATATCATTTAATGGTCAGAGCTATTTCTAACCTTTCCATGACTCTAGGGCACTGAAACTGTTTGTTCAATCTACTGCACTTACATAAAAAGCTGCTGCTAACAGCTTGGATTTAGCATCAATTTTTGATAACAGAAGGTCTTTCACAGCAGGGTCAGCACACTCAGTGTGGTGCAGTACAATGGCAACAAGAGCTGTCAATATTATGAAAATGCAACTCAGGACACTGATGTTAAAAAATGTGCAGCCTAGGTTTCTTATGGATGTATACACTGTACCTTCATTCATGCTATCACATGTTTTTGAGCTGAAAAGAATATATTACAACATAAATGGAAAAAAAAATGAATGAATCATGAAAACTGTAATTCAAATATGTGAAGAGGAAATCCAAACCAATGAAATCAGAATACGTAAAACAAAATAGTTTGAAATTTAAGTTTTATGTATGTAAATATTTAAGTGTACTTGTTCCTAAAAGTAAACATTTCCATAAATAAAAATAATAATATATATACCTTCTTGACATTTTTTACATTATGGTGACTGTATATGCTAAAATATTTTAAGTCAAAAAATGTAATGGGATATTTCAGCTCAGAACACAATATGATAAAATAGATACAGTACTGGTGAAAAGACCAGCTGTACATTTTATTAGTGCCATGAGAGGATTTCAATAATATTAGCAATAATTTTTGCTACTGTGCTGCATACCAAGGGAGCTGACTCCTCTGAGAAAGATGATTATACTGAGTATTGTTTGAATAAATATAACTATGTTTAAAATATAAATTTTATTTCATTATTAAATAAATCAGTCAATACAAATATAATGTGAATCATTTTTAGATTATGATTTGTTCTAAAATGTTATTGTTCATGGAACAGGTTCTGTAATGCAGCAATATGTGTTAATCTCACATCTACTAATAATAAACAGGTTTTTAAAATATTAGAAAATGTCCTCTGGTCTGTATTCTGGTATTGAATAAATTATAATTATTAGTATCACCAGCTGTATAAAAAATTATAAAAATAATGTAGGCAATGTGTCATCTATAAAAGTACATTTAAATTTACTTTGGAGACAAAAACTTGGGATAGAAATTTATTTTCTAAGGTCTTAATTTTTCAAAAAAAGTGCTCTAAAAAAAGATGAATTAAAATATACCACTGCATAGCACAACAAAACTAGCTACATCCAATACTATCTGAATTCTAATGGAAGGCAGGAATTCAACATAAGCTTTTTAGAAAAGTTATTTAAAAGAGATTAAGTCTAGGAGGAACTAGGTGCAAATACCATAAACAAAAACTTGGCTTTTCTTGGTCTTTATAAATTGAATCCCAGTGTTGAACTCTAACTGTTTTCTCATATCTCTCTCTCCTTATTTTATTCAGCTTCTGTGGACTCTTCCGTTTGGTGACAACTAAGGCTTTAAAATTGCTGGTCTGCAGATGAAACTGCCAGAAGCAATTCTGTTAATGGATCTTTTAAAAGTGGCTTAGTAAAAAACAATATGTTTGTGAACGTTCTTTTGGGTTAACTAAACAAATTATCAACTAAACAATAACTAAATATTACAACAGAAATGTTAAAGCAAATAACAAAATATAACTCCCTTTTACAGAGTCATACCATTAATATTTGCATTTCTTTCTATTAAAAAATGTAAAAAATGTATATCCAATAACTACAAGAAGTATACACTGAACTTTTCCTTGATTCTCCTTGGTGTGAACTTCAAATGTCCTTTTCACTGTCTGAACAGTGTACTATCAGTAATGTTAGCTCTGAGAAGACTTTTAGAATCTTCAAAGACAACATCCTTTTATTTTTATGACAATCAAACGAGCTTATAAATTTTTCATCAGATGATAAAGTGTCAGGTAGCTTAATTGATTTACTGGTTTCTTAAAATAAATAATTGCTCAGAAATTATCATTTTTGCATCTTCACCATAGCCTTATAAATGTCATTTAGACAGTGGAAACAGAAAATCCATTAGTATATATTTAGTTGGCAGTTCTGAATGCTGTATAATATATTTTTAAATATCTATTTGATTGAATTAGGATTGCTTTGTCCTGGTATATTGGAATTACATCAAAGTTATGATGGATGGTGTGCTCTCACACCAAGTCACTTTTCATTGTAAAACCATAATGATTATAATCAAAATCAATTTCAAGGGCTCCAAGCCCTTTAGGATGACTACAGTGGCCAAAATAATAGAAAATTAAAATGATTTAAAATCCATCTTAGCCCTGTGTATCTTAAATATTATACTTTATCACATTATGTAAATTACATATATTTGCAACAGAGTCTAGTTTAACAGCCTCTTATGTCCTCATGCAAGTGATAAGGGTGACATACTATCTACTTTGTAATGAGTGCATAAAATGATAATTTTGTAGGCAAACATTCCCATCCTGCTGGCAGATGGTATAAAGGCTGTTCAAGAACCTTTTCAAAGCAAGCTGAAATAATCTGATAATGAATAAATAGCAGATGCTGTCATTATAAATTTTAGAATATACACACAAAATACATTCTAAGATAGATTCTATTGAAAGCACACTTTAGCCAAATTTGTTCTAGCATATTTATTTTTAGTGTAATCTTCTCACTACTTCACATGGATCACAACTATCAAATACTGCTATAATTATCTCAGATGGTATCCTCAAATGACCTCCTAACTATATTTATCTATTTTGATTATAATCATACAAAAACATGCAGTATTTTTCAATATATATGTTTTTTAATAAAAAATATATTGTGCACTAAAATATAGCTGCAATTCTGACTTTCAATTTAATTCACCCACTTTTTCTGAAAATAAAACTTTAAAGCCTTAAGTAAAGGGTTTATTAGTTTATTCTCATTTTTTAAATTATTAGATAGAAAGCCGACTTGCAAGAATTCTAGAAAGAATTTATCTTTATACTTTTATTCAGAGATGGACTAATTATTCCCATTGTGATAATGTGAATTTTGTCCTTTGGTTCAGTTTTGTTGCCATTTTTAGTTTGACCACTTGCTGTACGACTTTCTATTTTATTTTATTTTATTTTATTTTATTTTATTTTATTTGTTTATTTTGAGACAGGGTCTGGTTCTGTCACCCAGGCTGGATGGTGTGATCTCGGCTCACTACTACCTCTGCCTCCTGGGTTCAGGCGATCCTCCCACCTCAGTCCCCCAAGTGGCTGGGACCACAGGTACATGCCACCATATTGGCTAATTTTTTTGTAGAGACAGAGTTTCACTATGTTACAGCCCAGGCTGGTCTCAAACTCTAGAGCTCAAGCAATCTGCCTAATTTGGCCTCCCAAAGTGCTGGGATTACAGGTGTGAGTCATTAAGCCTGGCCTTTGATTTTCATCTCTTTTAATTCTGTAAAATAAAACTTATCACTTGGCTTTCTTCATTTTTAATTTACCTTGAACCTCAAAGTTGTTAACATGGTTCAAAATTTGGTGATAAATGTTGAGAACCCTTGGGTAGGGAGAATAATGTTCAGTATAGAACATGACAGTGAACAAACATTATAAACACTTTGCCCTGGGTTTGGCTGAAATGATTTTAACAGAGTTTCCTAATCAAATACTATCTGATAATCATATACTGTCTTTGAACAAGCAAAGAAATAACGTATTTTTTAAAACATTTGAAAGGCAGTTTTTCTCAACTAGTGTATAATTTGGATCGAGCTGTAATGATATACTTGGAGGAATTCACTCTTTCAGTTGAGATTTGTATGCTGTACTTCAAACTAAATTCCAAGCATTGCCATAAGTTTCAAATTTCAGTTCATTGTGTAAGGATTGGGAATATGGCAGAATTTAAAAAGTCTCATGAGTTTTTGTCAATTACATTATAAACAAAGCTCTACCTAAGAGAATCCTTTCTTTTGTACTGTGCCTGGAAATACAGAAGCTACTATGTAGTATTTACTATCCAAAGCTTCCTTTTTCAGCAAGAAAAGTTTCCTTCATTTCTTTCATGCTAATAGTTGTCTTTCTCACTTTCATTATGATGTTTAAAGAAAGATAAGTAAATAGTACTTATTTATTGAATACCTCCAGCATATTTTTAAAGGGTTTAGATGAAAAGCACATTGTATGTAAATATTCTATTTGTCACCTTGTCTGATGTAATTTACATTAAAAGTACTGCAGTATACATAGTGGGAAATACGTATATTATTTTTATCTATATTCCAGGCTCAGTTATTTGATTTGAATTATTTTGTGTATAAATATATGGTCCACTAGTTGTTAGCTTTTGAAATATAGCAGGGATAAACAGAACAAAGGTGATTACTTAATCAGTGTAAATATAATTATCCAAAACTTTCCATTAGCATTTGTTAAATAACATTGTGGAGCCTAGAAATAATTCTCTAATGAATGTGTTTGGTCTAGGAGAGATGTCCAAATTTCTACCAAAGCAATGCTGTTCTGTCCGCAGTAGGCAGTTTGTGTGGAGGTCCAGGGGCCCAGCCAGGTACTCTATTTCTAAATTCCTTTTCCCTTTGGTGTGGTCTTCTAATTTATTGTAATCAAAGGAAGGCTAAGAGAATTAACATGTACCTTTTTGTGTGTGTATGCCAGAGGTACATTTTAAGAAGGGCTTTCACATTCTACAACTTGTCTTTTTCCTCTTCTAATTTATGGGTTTACAAAGTAGGTCTATATTCTTCTTCTTTTCTCTTTTCCCTTCTGATTTGCAGGGGTAGATGATGAGATGATCCTTACAGGTTGAAAAAGCCATAGATTTAACAAGCATGGAGGCACTCCCTAACTCTATTGTGTAGGCCCATCATCCTTGCTTGAATGAGGCATACCAATCAAGCAAACCTAGCTGCCAAATACTTTCAGGATATCACGTGAGCGTGAGTATCCCAGGACATCTCTGTGTTCCACCTTCACAAATGTCTTCTGAATAACTCTGTCTATAAACTTCGGTAATCAGAATCAAGACATCACATTAGTTTATATTGTGGAGGAATGTGACTTTCCAGGGGCTTCTCCTAGTCCTAATTGCAGAGAATGTGACTTTATCGAGAGAATTTTACTCTTGTTGTTTTTCATTGCATACTCATAAGTGTTTAAACATACAAAACATAGTCCAAAGACTGGATTTTATTTAAATATTTTTCTGGTTACAAATTACTAAAAGAATGGATGTATAGCTTTTGTGTACATGTTAATAGAATAGGTTAATTATATATATCAAAATCATAAAACAATGTTTGAAGAGTTAATTTAGGTAAGTTCAAAGTAAAATTTTATAAATGTGGGCATGAACAAAAATACTGACTCACTATAACTTGAGGCTGAGAAAGAAGTGGCCATGCTACAACACTGAGTGATATTTAGTGTTTTTTTAAATTTCCATTAAAAGTATGTTAACAATTTCCCAAATTTTAAGTAAGTTGCTTAGATTGCAGTTTCCACAGTTGCAGAAATGTATTTGGAAGTGCTATAAATAAAAGTTTGGCTTAGAGATTTTTTATCTTCTTTTTGAAAATGTTTAAATTTGACCATTTAAGTGATAGTTTTTAAACTCCTTTTAGTGAATTTTGTTTGATAAACTCCCTTGAAAAACATACAAACAGAAAAATATATAGGACAAGTTTTAATAATATAGTGACATTCTATTTCCATTAGGATATTTTTACTCTGAGATAGAAAGGGAGGACAAATTAGAATGGTCTAATGATCTCAACTCCAATTCTCGAAATACCCTTCATTAATCTTTGATAAATTTATCCTAATAGGCTTACAAATAATAATTCACTCTGAGTTGCAGAGCAATCAGTTACTTATTCTTTAGATCTCTTTATATTCCTGCCTTCCCTCAGAAATTCACTGGTTGCTAAAAAAAAAAATAAAAATACCTTTTAGATTAACAAAAGATAGAAAGCAGAAGTAGCTTATTTGCAAGTAATCCATGTGTGTTGTTTACATTTAGATCATTTTTTTTTTTACTTTTCTCATTAGATAACCCTACACCTTTAATCTATGGAGTAATATAAAATTAAAATAGTTCAGAGTTTGCCCCAGCCTCGTATTAGAGCTTCAATGTTTTCATGTCTTTTAAAAAGGGTTAAATGTCAACATTAGGAATCATTTGCTTTAGCTCAATAATCCCAAGACGATAAAGGAGAAAGAGATAAGGGGGAAGAGAAATAAAGATGAACAGGATAAACTACTTTCTCCCAAATTTAGTAGTTGTTTGCTTTTTTTCTTAAAATTATTCTTTGAATGTGAATGTCAATTAAACAGTAGGAAGTTTTCTCCTCAATAAACTTTATTCCAAAATGCACTAGTGAAAAGAACTGACAGTTGCAAATGGTAAATTGTAATATGATAAGTAGAAAACAATATAATTTTCTAAAAAAATAATATATTGAGGTAAGCAAGGAAAATTATTGTGCCAAGTGCAGAAAAAAACAGATAAATGGTGATCTTTAATCACTAAATATTACCAACAGGAGACAAGAGAAATGGGTAATTTCTTTTAGCCTTTATTTTATCCTCACTTACCATTATCTCATTGAGGGGGGAAAGATAAATCTATATAACTTTTTACCAATTATTTTCCAAGTTAAAATCCTCTAATACCATGTCTATTTTAAAACTTTACATAGTAAAAGGTACAAACTAAATCTTCAGAAATTTGTATTATCATGATCATAAGGGTTCTTCTTATTCCATTCCATATAGTTTAAAATGCTTTTGCTGGTTTGTGTGAAATAATGCCATCCTGTATAACATGGCAGGATGCCATTGTATTACTTTCACTTTTGAAAATCATAATTAAAACTCATAATTTATTAAATACAACATGTACATTATCAATGATAATCAATATTGCATATTTTCTATAAAAAAGAATCATATGGATCAAATCTATGTAAACAATGTCATTATGACCTTGAAGTGCAGTGCAGGCCTATGATCTTCCAAAATACTGTCTGATGTTCCAGACCATATCTCTGAGTTAGCTTAATATGTTCTGATGAAGTTCAGAATTCATTGTTTCATAGATAGGGTGAATACTGTACCTTTCACTCCATTAGTGACTGCCAGATTCATTTTGGATTTGACATTCCCTATCTAATTTGACACCAAATAGCTAATCTCTTTACCCTTTAAATTTCTGATGTGTCATATTGCATTACATTTCTTCTGTCACCTTCCACCACTGTATATTTTGTCGCATAGAAAAGCCAATGTGATTTGACATAACACAAGATGATGGGATCCAAGAGACTTAAAGCAATGCTAGTCAGTGAAGCAGAAATGTGACACATTGCTTCAAATGTGCAAATACTCACTTTTTGAAAAGCAGATATCTGCTAAAAGCAGTTATGTAGGGTGATCCATAATAGTTAAGGAAAAAGATATGGATTTTACCTTTTAGTGGCAAATTTAAAACATTGTGCTGCCCTATATAAATAACAGAAAAATTGATTCGAAGTGACAGTGGCCAGAGAAAAATTAGTTTGATTCTCTTCTATTCTGTGTGGTAAGCATTCTCCTAAACTCAATAAATAATCCACCAAAATGCCTCTCACAGTTTTGTCACTTTATTTTGGATGAAATCATAAATAACTTGCATAAATTTATTTATGACCAAGCAAAAATTGTCTTTTGCATTATAATATCTAGAATAATAGTAATAGTAATAAAATACACTGAAAAGAAATAAATTTTCAAAGTGCTCAAGTACCTTTTTTTTTCTCATTTTGAAGTTGTATGTGTTTTTATAGTACCAAGTTATAAATTGGTGCAAGGTCAATAATATCCATAAGATACATACAATCTAGCAGCTCATATACAACCCAGAAGTACCTTGGAAGCCATGATTCTGCCTCTTTTCGCACAGATTATTTTTCAGTTTTTTGAATTGGGCTTTCACAGTGAATTTGTTGATATATGCCATGAATGAAGGCTAGCATAGAATATAGAGAAATAATCTACAATTCAGAAGCACGGATAAGGTTAATATGACTAGGGTTAACATATATTTTTTAATATCGAATGCACTGTATCTGAGTACACATTCTATAATTGGAGATTCCCCTATACAGTTAGTTTGGTGGATCATAAAGCCAGTATTCCAGTAAAGAGAGTACTATATTAAAAAAATGTAATCACCATCTACTTGGAAGCTCAAATACCGACGAGGAAGTGTGAATACAAGAGTATGAATTAGAGTAGAGCAGTCTGAATTAATCAATGCCCAACAAGAAGCTAACAAAAGAATGAATACATGGATTCTCTTGGAGGATAGTGATGACATCAAAATCTTATTTTCATTAGTAGCTTTGGCAGAAGTACCTGAAGTTGTGCTGGCAGCATGACCAGTGCCCAGTTTCACATATGACACTAGAGCAAATTCTGAGCACACTGTTCAAAGGCAGTGGCAGTGTGGTTTTTGCCTGACAGATCATGGTGAAATAGCTACTGAGATGTCTAGCTCCTCCTGTCCTTTCCCTTCTCTCTTAGCCTGTTTCTTCAGACTTGTGTTAAATATTCTAAGCTACTCAATATACTTTCTATGTATTTCCTTTCAGTTTAATTTGGGCCATTTTTTTTCATTGTTCAATTCTAAGAATTCTGACTAATAAAAAACTGTGATATATTTTTTAAAAAATTTGCAACTTGAAATAAAAAATGGACAAAGAATTTAAAAAGCTACTTCTAAAGAGTACAAATTCTAATGGATATTAACAAATAAAAGAAACAACTCTCCTATTGTTTTGCAAAGTGCAAATTACATTAATGTAGAGATGTCGTTTCACTTGCCACATTAGACTTTTTTGATAATATTGAACATATGTATTTCTTAAAAAGAAAACAACAACACACTTTTGACCTAACAGTCTTCTTGGGATTCTCAACCATAGAAATAAATGCATGAATACATAAAGGTAAATACATGATAAAGGATGTTTAGTGAAATGCTATTTGTATTATGAAAACATTTAAAGAGTAAATACCAATCAGAGGGGAAAATTTTAACAAATTGTGGCACATCAATTATGTGAAATAATCTGTAAATCCTAAATGAATGTGTTAACTTCATTCCAGGTAAATAGATACATTTAATTTGGAACTTTTCAGAGGAAGAAGCAAAATGACTAACAGTATGGCAACATGGTCTAAGTACAACAAAAATATTTATATTTACGTTTAATTTTAAATATTTACATCTATATTTATACTTGCATTTGATTAGTTGGTATGTTTTATACATGTACAACTAGATTAATTTAATGTACAGATACATTATTATATTAATATTTTTATTCAAAATCAAAAGGAAATATAATAACAAGGCTTACACGGAATACTATGCAGCCATAAAAAGGAACAAGGTTATGTCCTTTGCAGTGACATGGATGGAGCTGGAAGCCATTATCCTCAGCATACTAACGCAGGAACAGAAAACCAACACCACATGTTCTCATTTATAAGTGGGAGCTGGACAATGATGAGAACACGTGGACACAGAGAGGGGAACAACACACATTGGGGTCTGTGGGGGTGGCAGGCATGAGGAGGGGGAGCATCAGGAAAAATAGCTAATGCATGCGGGACTTAATACCTAGGTAATGGGTTGATAGGCACAGTAAACCACCATGGCACACGTTTACTTATGTAACAAACTTGCGCATCCTGCACATGTACCCTGGAACTTAAAATAAAAAAATAAAAAACAAGGATTACTGTGAAAGTGTGTAACTAAATAGTACTTAGGAAAAAAGAATATGGCCAGTGAGAATGAAAAATCCCAGTAAGAACTGGGTGTAATGGTCCAGTATTATATTCGGTAAAAAGCATGGAGAATTGTATCAGATTCATCCTTTGAATCTCACAGCTGAATAGTTCTCACTACTGCCTTTGGGAAGTAATTACAACTGAATTACGACCCACTCACTGTATGTGTGCAAATCCATAGAGTAAGGTATCACTATGATGGAGCTTATCTTAATACCATAAATGTTACTGGCTTATCATGACTTTGTGTCCTTTTCTCTGTTTTTAATACTTGAATCCTTGCTTCAGAGGTATCCTCAATTCCCTTCTCACTTGAAGGACATTGGGTTTTGTTGTGCAGCCAATTTCAGGTTAAGACTGCTTGGTATGCTACTAATTGCTAATGAATTCATAGTAGAAAAAACTGCCTGTCTGATTAAATCTAATGTCATCAATTTCTAGCTCACTGTTACTGTGCTACAGTGTAGCAGTCTCAGATACCCTTTTTACTTCGGTTTGGATCTTGCATATTCTTATTTCACGTGAAGACTAGCAGTTGCCTGTTTTTGTAAATATAATGTGAAATCTCTGGATTTCACTTCCCCATTATCTATACTCAGTTCTAGCCCTCATAAAGGGAATACCTCACACAATTCGATCAGCCCCAGTTCTTTATTATGTACCCATTTGGTCTGCCCCAACACATTTAATAATCAGGGTCATAATTGACTATAATTGCCATGTAAAAATGGAAAAATCATATCTATATACAATTAAAATACAGTTTAACGGCTAAATATGAGAGTATGCTTATTAATAAATGGCAATGCTAAAGGTATTCTCATTAAAAGTACAAAATATACTATTAGATTGAGATCTGAAATCCAAAGGAAAAAAATACACACTTTAGGAAGTAGGAGGCTTGTATATATTAGTCCAGATTGATGTTATTTTTTGTCATTGTAAGTATGATAGATAATATTCGATTAATAGGACTAAATGTTATCCTTCCAGAAGAGCCAGTTTTCTACTAGAAATTTATTGAGCTCCATCAATAATACAACTTCAAGGAAATTTCAAAAATACTGAAAAATGTTCTAGAAATAACAGCTCATGGTATCACCAAAAGCATGTAAATAAATGAACATATATCCCCCTTCAAGCTGTTTTATTTTGTAAAATAATGTAAAATTTCAAAAATAATATACTTTGAGCATACAAAAAATGAGAATTTTTATTCAATAAAGAAATCTACATATACACCCTTGGAGTCATTTTAATCAAAGCTTTTCTCAAAATGAGAATTTAACAAACAGTGACTGTATGGGAAACAACTCAGAATTTTTTTGAACCACTCACAGAATGTAATTATTTTTTATTATAGTTAAAAAGAAATTAAACTTTTTAATTAGAAAGTTACATTGTAATTTGAATCTAAGCAACTGTTCATAAAATAGCCACCGGCACTGTCATTAAAGTAAAAATAGATTGAATTTAAATTGAAATAAATGTCTTTTTAAAAACCACAGCTGGGGTCCTAACACCATTTTCTCCATAAAGTTCTCCTAAAATGAAAGCTCTAAATTCTTGGGATCATATTTTCCATTTTATGAGTTAGCAAATTTTTTCAAAAAATATATACTTCTTTCTATTTCATAGCTTTAGTATTACATTAACTGTTTTTAGTTGTAAGATTCATTATCCGAAGGAGTGATTTCGACATTAATGCCTGAGAATATCTAATCTTTCCGTTACATGAAAAAAAAGCTAGTTGAGTAAATGGAAGAGTCTGTGATGCATTGATGCATATTTTAATTCAATTATAGTGCCAGTGATGGAATGACTATTACAGGTTAATAGTTCTAATTTTTCCATTAATGGTTTATCTTTTTTATTGGGCCTTGTAAAAAAAGTACAAATAAGTGTTTCACCACGAATATTCTTAAAAGGTATACAAAATGGTACTACAGAGCTTAAGCTTGATATGTTACACCACTGATAATGAAAAAAAAAATGCATACAAATATTCCATGAAGAAAATAGTGAGCTGCTGGATAAATTTGAAGCCTTAAAAAAATTATGATTCAACTAAAGCATCTTGTTAGTTTTTGTGTACCTTGATAGAAAAGGCAGTGTTTCTGTTTTCAAAATTTGAAAACAAGAGTCAACCAGTGAGCAATCAAGCATTTATATATTTTAGTGCAAGTTGTATGCTACCACCATTTATCTTGAAGTAATTTGTATGTAATTTCAACTACCTTTTTTTTTTTTTTTTTTTTTTTTGTGACAGATTCTCACCCTGTCGCCCATGCTAGAGTACAGTGGCCAATCTTGGCTCACTGCAACTTCCGCCTACCAGGTTCGATTGATTCTCCTGCTTCAGCCTACCGAGTAGTTGGGATTACAGGCGCCCTCCATCACACCTGGCTAAGTTTTGTATTTTTAGTAGAGATGGGGTTTTGCCATGTTAGCCAGACTGGTCTCCTGACCTCAAGTGATCCGCCTGCCACAGCCTCCCAAAGGGCTGGGATTACAGGTGTGGGCCACCATGCCCAGCCTCTACTACATTTTTAAAAAAGAATTAATAAAAAAAGAAGTACGGAGATGAATGTGTTTTAGACCTTCCAAAATTAAAGGAAAGGTCTTGTGCCTGCATCATTTCATTCAATTTCTAGCTCTTATGGACTAACCCGTAATAAGGCAAGAACTGAAGGCCAAAAGGTACTATAAGTAATTTCACTTCCAAAATAGACCAAATGTTGTCAGTGCAGAAGTGAGTAGACAGGAGACTAGAATCTACTCTTAAGAATGTCTCACAAAGAAAGGAAGGGGGCTTGGAGTAATGAAAAATGTTGAACAGAAGAGAAAGAATTAGATTTATAGGAAAAAAAAGAAAAGAAAAGGAGGGGTTGGAAGAGATAGTATATAGGAGTGAGACAGTGAGAAGATATCCTGATATTATAGTTTCAGAAGGTATCTCCATTCTGTCTCAAGTGTAGAAAACAGAAAAGAGTGAGAGTGAATGTGGTTGTAAATGACCTTAAACAGAGAGAGATGGACTTTTTTTTATCATTTGAAATGGGAAGCCCCACCCTCACCTCTCAAGTCATCTGTTTCCCCCCTCCTCCCACATCCACCTGTCCCTTGCCTCTCACCAAGTAGAATGTGTGATTAAAACTTTTTCAGCAAGATTAGTGGTTGGTGGAATGTATATTAAATTTAAGAGGTTAGATGGGATGGGCGCGGTGGCTCACACCTGTAATCCCAGCATTTTGGGATGCCAAGGCAGGCAGATCACTTGAGTTCAGGAGTCCAAGACCAGCCTGGCCAACATGGTGAAGCCCCGTCTCTACTAAAAATACAAAAATTAGCCAGGCATATTGGTGTATGCCTGTAATCTGAGCTACTTGGGAGGCTGAGGTGGGAGAATTGCTTGAACCCCAGGGGGCAGAGGTTGCAATGAGCCAAGATCATGCCACTGCACTTCAGCCTGGGTGATAGAGTGAGACTCCGCCTCAAAAAAAAAAAAAAGAGGTGAGATGGAGATATCAACTTTAAAAAGATTTTGTTGTAAGAAAGAAATATTGCTGAACCTTGAACAACATGGGTTTGGACTGCCTTAGTCTACATATATCTTCATTTTTTTCAACCAACTGCGGAGGGAAAAATTCAGTATTCAAAGAATACAAAACCAATGTATATGAAGGGCCAATTTTTCATATAAGTGGGTTCCACAGGCTGACTGCAGGACTTTATGCGGATTTGGGTATATGCAGAGGTTACTGGAACAAATCCCCCACCAATACTGAGAAACTGTATATGTATATGTGTTTTCAACTGTATATATATATACACACATACACACACACACACATATATATACATATATACATAACACATATACATATGCAGTTGTTTCTCAGTATATATATATATATATATATATATACACAACTGTATACATACAGTTGAATAAGAACAGATCAAATAGGCTAGACTCAAGAAAATTCCTGAGATATAATAAGCGCAATTTATAAATCAATTTGATGTGCTGATGAAACAAAGGGAAGATGCAGGAAGGACAGGAATGATTAAAGGATTTTCTGTAAATGATAAAAATTTAGTGGACTATTTCACTAAAAAAGAGAGAATATGTGGGGCCCGGAGCTATGTATTTTCCATTTCACAAAGACAAAGCCTTTAATATTGTCTTCTGTACCACACATTTGGGAGTTAAGAAGTATTTACTGAACAATTGAATAATAAACAGGAAATTTTCGCAACTGAGGTATCAACTAGATAGGGAGTGTTGATGGATACAATTGACAAAATTGATAATTTTGTCTTCTTTTAAGTAGGTGATAGCAATATAATTCTCGAAGAAAATTCTTGATTTTTATGGCAATAAATTTATATTTATTGAATCACAAGTGAAAAATGCTAAACTTTGAGGGGGCTTTCTAGAAACAAATGTCCCTTTCATAGAAATTAAGTTTAAACATTTTCAGGCAAAACTAATTTTCTAAACAGTATGAAATATCAAATTTATGTGTCATGATCCTCTTGAGATACTTTAAAGTCACTGGAGTAATATATTGAAGGATGCTGTGTGAATCACGAAAAGTAAATTCTACAGTCAGAACTATCATAAAAGAGAGCCTGAGCATTACATTGCTGAGAGAATTTAGACAATTGAGCTCAGTTTTGCCTAAGAAATTTCAGGTGATTGAAACAAAAACACATGTAAATTTTCACTTGAAATGTAAATTTACTTTTTTTTTTCTTTCTAATTTGCCTTGCTGGTATTGAATAGTACTTTAGATGTGAAGTCAAAGAATTTCTTTGATTAGGTAAGAGTCATAAGGAAAAGGAACAATCAGGCAGTTTACAGTCAGATTTCTATTTTAGTGATGGGTGCCTGTAAGGGCTGCCAAAAGTCCAAGTGTAGCTCCCTATTTAGCAGACGAGAACCTATGTATGCACTGAGGAGAAGAAGGTTTGGGTTTAGAAGTGTTGATGTAGCCCTTCATAGTTATATGTGGTGCTTCATTTCTATTAAACACTTTAGCCAGAATGTGAAACCTTTTCTTTTCAGAAAAAAACTGCCAAGGATCCTTGGGCAGTGATTTATCGGAGCAGTAAGATGAGAGGAGAACAACCCTGCTTGTAGTACACTAGATAAATGAGGGTTCCCTGAGTGCTAAAATTGCTTGGCATGTCTGCACCTACCAAGTTATGTTTGGTAAATTATAAAAGAAAAGCCTGCATTGCAAAGCCCTTAGAAGGCAGTATCAAGTGATAAAAAAGACTGAACTAACTATGTAACTCTGGACAAGTTATTTAATCACTTTGAGTCTTATTTTATCATGTGTATAATAAGTATGAAAACACAAAACACACATAACCTAACATAGACAGTTGTCAGAGTTAAAAGAGGTAATACAAGTGGAGCGTTTAGCAAAGTACAAGACAGTAAGCAGATATTTTGTCATATAAACATTTTGATTGTTTTCCTTTTTTTATTAAACATAGCTTTTTCAAATTTATTTTAGATAACAATGCCCTAATCATCTCCTGCCAATATGATAGCCTATTTTTATTTAGAATCAGGAAACAGCAATACAAAAATGTAAGAAAAGATAATGGGAAATGGAACATGCTTATTTATTTTCTAATTTTAAGTACCAGCAGGACTATGTTGTTTATGAGCTTTTTAGTTGTAAATATGGCAAAATAAGGTAAAATGATAACTTAAAGGAATGTACTTACCATATTTGAGATAGTATCTGTTTTTTGGTACCTGAATAAAGTCTGGGAGTCCCAGCAGCCATATTTTCTTTATCACACACAATACTACTGATGAAAATACTTAAGGCAAGATAAAACAATCAAATTCCAAGAATTTCAAATTATAACGCAGCAAATGAAAAATGGAATGTGGTTAGAGTTCTCAAATGCATAACTAGAACAAACTGAATCCATCTGACTGCAGACAGAGACTCAAACTTCTCACCTTCTCACCTGATATTGTTACACAGTCGTTCCTACGTTTCCATTGAGGGTTGATACCAACCTCTGTGGGTGCCAAAGTCCCTGATATAAAATGGTGTAGTATTTGCAATTAACATGAAAATCCACCTATATACTTTAAGTCATCTCTAGATTATTTATAGTATTAAGTATAGTGCCTATACACTTCACCTGTACATTTTATTTCATTGATGCAATGTAAAAACTCAAGTTTTATTTTTTGGAACTTCATAAACTGTTTTTCTGAATATTTTTGAACTGTAATTGGTTGTCCATTCATGCAGAGTCCATTGATACAGAGGGTTAACTGTGTTTAAATTTGCCCTAGGATATAATTTTGTGAAAATTTATAGCTTATCTAATCACTCTCAATTAGATTTACAAAAATAGTGAGTGACTTTTATTTTTAGTGGAAGTGTTTTTCAAGCTAATGTAATGTCAAAATCTAAATATTATCTAACCTAAACATCCTTCCCTCATCCGGATTGATCCCACCATAGGCCAGAAACTAACAGTGAATTTCTTCTCTTTCTCCACCTCCTCCTTCTCCAACTGACAGATTTTAGATATATATAGCCTATAATTATATTATATTATACATTATATATAATATATTATATTATACATTATATATAATATATTATATTATACATTATATATAATATATTATATTATACATTATATATAATATATTATATTATACATTATATATAATATATTATATTATACATTATATATAATATATTATATTATACATTATATATAATATATTATATTATACATTATATATAATATAATATATTATACATTATATATAATATATTATATTATACATTATATATAATATATTATATTATACATTATATATAATATATATATTATATATTATAATATATAGCATATTATATATTATAATATATAGCATATTATATAACATAATTATAATATAATATATAACATATTATATATTTTAATATATAGCATATTATATATTATATTATGTTATATATTATATTATATATTATATTATTTATATATTATATTATATATTATATTATTTATATATTATGTTATATATTATATTATTTATGTATTATATTATATTATATATTATATTATTTATATATTATATTATATTATATATTATTTATATATTATATTATATATTATATTATTTATATATTATATCATATATTATATTATTTATATATTATTTATAATATTTATTATAGGCATAATATAATTATATATCAAATTATATATAATTATTTATATTTGAGACAGCCAGGTGGGAGGGGGCCCTGGAGAAACTCCAACCAGCCTGTCCACTGAGTGGAGCCTTGGGATGTTTGCGCCCTTTGCAGTGGGAGGAGCTTGGCCCCTCCTCTTCTTGTGTGGAAGCTGAGATTCAAACAGCAGATGGGAGGCACTCTAGCAGGGACTCTGGCCTTACATAGGATCCCTTTTTTCCTTTTTATTCCCTTTTCACCCAATAAAACCCTGCTTTACTCATCCTTTAAACCATCTGCAAGGCTAAATTTTCATGATTGTGGGACAGCTAAGAACCCCACCTTTGGCCGAACTAGGAAAATTCTTGCAACATAATTATATAATATTTATGTATAATTATAGAATTTATATATTCTATAATTATATCCTAAATATAGAATTTATATGTTCTATAATTATATATAATCTCACATTTTATATATACATAAGATATTATATGATTATATAAGTTACATATAATTAATATCTTATACAATTTTATAAGATATTATATATATCACTATATATATATATCCCTAATAAGATTTTATATATACACAAGGAAATAAGGGAGTCTTCTCAGCTAGAACAGGGGAAAGGAGATGAGGATCAAGAAAGGTCTGACTGACTAATGTGGTGGTTATCTAGAATCTATATCCCCTAATTGTCTTTCTCTTGTGGGACCCTTATGGGATTTAGATGCTCCTCATTATTTGGTGAGTGTATTAGTCAAGGTTCTCCAAAGGGACAGAACTAATAGCACAGATGTATATGAAAGGGAGTTTATTAGGAGAATTCACTCACATGATCATAAGGCGAAGTTCCACAATAGGCCAGCCACAAGCTAAGGAACAAGGAAGCCAGTCCAAGTCCCAAAACCTCAAAAGTAGGGAAGCCGACAATGCAGTCTTCAGTCATTGGCTGAAGACCTCAGAACCCCTGGGAAATCACTGGTATAAGTCCAAGAGTCCAAAATCTGAAGAACCTGGAGTCTGATGTTCAAGGGCAGGATACATCCGGCATGGGAGAAAGATGAAGGATGAAGGACTCAGCAAGTCTCCTCATTCCAGACTCTACTGCCTGCTTTATTCTAGCCATGCCAGAGCTGATTAGGTGGTGCCCGCCCAGACTGAGGGTGGGTCTACCTCTCCCAGTCCACTCACTCAAGTGTTAATCTCCTTTGGCAACACTGTCACAGACACACCCAGGAACAATACTTTGTATCCTTCAGTCTATTCAAGTTGACACTCAATATTAATCATCATAGTGAGCCTTCATTATTGGGTTCTTTTATGAAGAGTTTTCTTGAATCTTTTTCAAAAGTTTTTCTTCTCCCATCTCTTCTACCCTATTGAATCCTCTTTCCTAGTGAATAGTTTCTCCTGATGAATTCTAAATAGCCTGGAAGCAGGTGATGGATCACATTGGCAAAAAAGCGTTCATAGTTTTAACACATCTGCAATGAAAGATTTCTTTCTGCCATTTGAATGTTCATGTGAATGGAATCCAATCTATGGTTTTCAGCCTTTGGGCCTTGGACAAAATACAATTATAGAAAAGTCACAGGTTATCATCTTATCCTGTCACCTGTATAACTTCAGGAGTTGTGAAGTGGTCTACCTTGAAGGAAGAGTAAAAGATAAATGACTGAAGAGAGAACACAGAGAAAGGCAAAGAGAAAAATTAGAAGAAGAAAAGAAAAAAAAAAGATTACTGGTAGTCCATTTCTTGAAGCCTAACTATATTCTTGCTCTTGGAATCTATGAAACATCCTTTCAAGTCATGCTTGTTTCATTTTTAGTTTATTACTTGAGTTATTAAATTAAATTAGGTCATTGTTTTATTCTTGCTTTTTTAAATTACTATTGTTTTTGTTTTTCTGTAGCTAATAAAATTATAGAAACAGCAAGGTTATCTGTTAAAATGAACTTCTATATTCTCTTTTTACCTTTCAGGTTGCAGCTGATGATTCTGTAGAAAGGCCTAAAATTAATTTTAGAAAAGCATACTCAAGACAATAGACTATTATTACACGGATAAAAAATGTTAGTATTTAAAATAATTTTGATAAATATTATTTTTAAAAATTATTTTATAAACAATTGCTGGGTTTATAAAATGTGACTATTTGGAACAAACAAATTTAACATTAATCTGCATTTAGTCTTCATACAATCTTCAAAGTCAACGATTTGTGCCTAGGTATTCATATTTATTTCCAAAACTTCATAGAAGTCCTAATTATTTGGGAGTAAGCTATCTTATAAGATCCATCAAAGTATTAGAATAAAATTTGGAATAAAGGGTCTATTCAGCCCCAACACTAAGGGCACTAATAATATTGAAATACATTGGCAGCATCACTACAATTTAGTAATTTATGATGCATTGTGATTTTTTACGTTTAAAATTTTTGAACTGACAGCTGAATTAATGTAGAACTTTTGTAATTCCTTAAGTATAAATTAATTTAAATTATATTTAAAATGCTTTTCATTTTCTTGACTTTTTCTCAAGAAAAATGTATTAGATCAGTTTAAAATAACTAATTAACATAAGAAATACTGCATTTATGTCTGATGCAGAGTTAATATTAATAATTTATTCATTGTGTATAACATACCACTGTTTCATTATCACTTAGTGTAATTTAAAATATCTCGATTTTCAACATACTTTACTTTGCCCTAACTTTTGGAGGGGGGGAGAGGTGAATGTTTCTTTTTTTCAAAATCTTAAATAGTGATTACAAATATTTTTAAATTTATCAAATATGAGTTAGAAATTTTCCAGATGTAAATACCTTTAAAAATAATGCTCTAGGTAGTAAAGGTGCAAATCATGTGGCAGGCAATAACTATATGTTTTCTCTAAGTCTCAGAACTCTTCTGATGCTGCAGTAATTCTTATCTTTATTTTAGACGTAGAGAAACTGAGGCAAAATGTCACAGAACTCACAAGTGGCAGATAGGACTAGAAGCTAATGTTTTCAAATCCCAAACCTATGCTTGTTCTCTTAACACGCCCTCTTATCTGAAAATCTATAAAGAAGAACATGTTCTACAAGGTATAATGCATGAAGAAGTTAACAAAGAATGTGTTTTTCATATAAAATCAGAATTTTAAAATAGTTTCAGCTCGAATGGCAGTGAAGAGAAGAGCAGAGAGAAATCAGTTGAAAATATAAACATTAAAATGTGTGAAGATGACATTGATTTTAAAAATCAATCTCATATTTTTTTCTAGTTTTCCATGAAAATGATTTTAATGACATAGGAAGAGTTTCTTTCCAAGAAATTTAGATTGATGACTAGCTTAATACCAAAGTTTGTGAGGAGTTTTTGTCTGACCGGGAAACAGTGTTTCATCTGGGCTATGTGAACACTGGTATAAGAAGTCTCTATCCCTTCAGCATCTCTTTGCTTCAGTTCAAAGTACCCTGGCTCCCACCATCAGAAATGTAGGCAGTATGGCCTAAAAATTATTTGCACACATGGGCAGGATTTGGCAGGGAGCTAGATAAATATTTATTTTAGTTTAGCACTGTTAGATTAAATGCAATTTTGCTAGGTACTGGAGATTGTTTTAGCAATTATGCGTAACATTTTCATCCTCAATAAGTGATAAGAAGAAGATTAAAAAATAATTCAAATGGAAAAGTGTAGGATAAATGACAGCTAGCATTCTCTGTGAGGACAAATTTTTGCTTTGCTTTTTTTTTTTTTTTAAAGATAAACTCTTCTTGTTTATTAACAGGAAAAACATTTTGACTCCCAAAATATAACACAAAGCAAGAAAGGAAAAAAAAATTGAAGATAGAATAATAAGAATATATTGTGAAAATAGAGTTGGGCTTCTTTGAAAAATATTCCAGTTAATGTAGCTCCTCAAAACATTATCAGATATATTTCTTAAAATTCAAGACAATATGTTAAGTTAGTGAAAGATGGTTTTAAAGGTTAAATTACCATTTAGAACAAAGTGATATATTAAGTGATAACAAAAGTACAATTTACAAATAAAATATTAATCCATAAAAATGTATTCATCAGGCAGTATAACAACCAATATACAAAACAGTAAATACTCAAAGAGATTTTTTAATAAATACTATTATACAAGAGAACTTTATAGTGATACTCATTTAAATGGTTTGAAAGATGTAGAAAACAAGTAAGAAATGATAAAATTGAGACATAAAACCAACAAACTCATGTTGTTACAATACATGTTTGAAAGAATAAAAACATGAAAACATTTTTCAATGAATAAAATATGTATTTTCCCCTTATGTCTGTGAACTACCAATCAAAATATTGTCCATATTTTTAAAAAGCTCATCAGAATTAAAATGTGTAAATTTTACAACTTAGAAAACCAGAAATAAAAAACTTTCAAATTTTGACAACTTGGGAATTAACTCCGCATTATGATTAATATTTTCAGTCCTGGAGTCAGACCACCTGGCTTTGAATCCTGACTATGTTGCACTAGTTGTATGACCTCGGCAAATTTATGTAAAATACCTCTTCCTCAGCTTTAGTATTTTCTACCTCCTAAGGTTGCTGTGATAGTTAAATATGCCAATTCTAGTAAATGTTAGAATTCTGAAAAACAATTATATGAGGAACTATATACTATTGTATAGTTAAATATATGATTAAATATATTTTGTGTGTAATAATATGCTGTCTCGTGTTTTAAGTTGAACTTACATAAGCAACTTTAAATTTTTAGTTGCATTTGTTTCATGAGAGAAGGAAAACTTTCAGATAATTTTATTACTTGGGAATTAAATATTCAAACAACTCTCTGAAGTTTACAAGAGTTACTTGTTCATTTCTAGTACACAAAGATAGAAATTCAACTCTATTAACTAGATCAAAGTATATTTTTAGTTTACATTTTACGGATTCTGGTCAAAAAATATTTTCTAACATATTAGTGTCTTACCACATGAAATATAATGACTAATCGTATATGAATTTTGGAAACAACTGTATCAACAACACATCATTTACTCAGTGTTTCTCATTGACAGTTATTTAAACCTGAGGCTAATGATTTCTACTATACTTAGCCTTGGCTGCAACTAGTGATTACAATGATTTATTTTCATATGTGTACGTATTCAAATACATATGTATTTATATGCAAAACTTTAAAAGTAATTTAATATCCAATAAAGGATGCAGAAGACACTGGTAGGTTGAAAGTTACATTTTATGAAATTAATTAAAAGATAAGCAACGCAAGAAATTAAAGAAAAAACTATATGAAACTGAATTTATGAACAACTTGCTATTACGGGAAAGCTGCCTAATCATATAGTGATTGGTGCTTTTATGTTTTCTTCATATTACATTGATATAGTATATAAAATGTGGTATTCTAATATTCCTTAATATAAAACTAATAAGAAATGTCTTGTCTCTTCTTTCTCCTAAGGATTCCGAAGTTCAAAAAAGACATAAATCTTTCACTTTTTTGTTGTTTGCTTGCTTTTTCTCCTTGATTGGCCAATATTCCCTTTTTTTCTTCTCTTTTACTACATGACTTCATTTTTATATGGTCTAGACAGGAACCACTCTTACAGTTTTAGGACTAATCCAGTTCTGTGACTAACTTTGGCAATTATATTTTCAACAATTTAAATGAAAGATTTGTGCCAGTATGATATTTCCTCTGGGTCCACAGAGATTTAAAAATGTACATTCTAGTTTTTATTCATTTTCAAAATTTAAAGTTTTTTCCTAAATTTTCCATTGTTGTTATAACCACTTGCTTTTTCTAGAACAAAATGTTTCTAGCATTTTTCCATTTGTTCATTTTCCTTAAGTAAATACATGAATCTATATATATCTATACATATGCTTTATTCCTAATATCCTATGATAAGAAAACTTTTCTCATGTTAATCTGAACTGGCTTCAGGAATGCAAACTAAGGAACACAAGATAGATACACAAGAATACAAGGCAGAAATAGTATAAGATACAAGACAACATTTGGAACCCTGTAGCCACAAGGCAGGAATTTCACCAAAGAAAAGTATAAAGCTTAAGAAGAACTCTCTCAGAGGCAATAAATGTGATCCTGTCTCTCAGTGCTTCAATTTGAAATGCTGTTGACCAACAAGAAGCAAAATGTGGCTCTTGGACTCCATACAACAGATGGGCAACAATTGCCAAAGTTAACTTTATGAATAAGGGAAGGCTAACAAGTTCCAAAAACCCATCTCGGTTGTCACCTCATCTCACCTTGTTCTATGATAAATTCTCTACATTTCTGAAGTTCACCATTTTCCCTCTTGAGTCCTGCTGCATGTCAGCAGCTGTGGCTCACTCTGCACTGATTTGCTACAGGAAGACACATCTCTTAACACCGAATAAAGGCCAGGAGATAATAATATAAAGAACTCTGTATGTAGCAAACATTACAAGATAAATATACATGAATTAAATTAAAATTAATTTAAAAAGTGAATGCCATATATTAAATCTGACCATTTTCTGAATCCATAGTCTAGGAGTCACATGAGTTTCCTAATGAATAACAGACCCCAGTTTCTAACATCATTCATTCATTCATGTCTAGAGTCTAATCTCTAATCATTCAAAATATAAACATTAACAGCTTTCTTCTCTTGTATTTGCCCTGAAATCAGTTGCCTTTTATTGATCCCTTCATTTCTACTTTTAGATAAGACTCTTCAGGAATAAATTCAGGATTAAAATTTAATAATTTAAGTAAATTAAAAAGACTTCTTTTGCTCAATTTCTAGGAACTTGAATCAATCAATATTCTAGGAACTGTAAATACAGTAGCAAACCACACAGAAACAGATCATTGTTCTAGTGGAAGCAGATACATAGTTAAGTAAAATAACATTATAAGGCAGGTATACTACAAGGTATTAAATACTAAGGAGAAAATTAAGGGAGGAGAAGGGATTAAACAACATGGAGAGATGTAGTTTTAAAAAGTGGTCAGGAGAGGCTTCATTGAGAAGGTAACAGTTAAATAAAACTTGAAGATGGAAAAATCAAAGATTAAAAACTAAAATACTAATATATGCAATTAGAAGTTCTGCAGGATAGACAGCATAGTATAGAACATAGTAGAGTTTATTTGTAGAATAAATGACAGCTAAAATATATTATTAATGTGCCAAGCCCTGTTGTAATCACATCACATGGTACTATTTGTTAAGTTGCATAACAATTCCATGAATAGGCAAAAATATTACCAATATTCTACAGATAAAGAAACTGAGGCAAAGAAAGTTTATGTTATTTGTTCAAGGTCGCACAGATGATCAATATTTTTCTTCACAGGTGGTTTTCTTCCACATCCCAGTATTTTAACACTTTAATACTCACCTTCTGAGAGGCAGGGTGATTTATATTCTGTGCACTTACTCCCATGAAGAAAAATTAAAATCAGACTAATTCCCACCCACTGATCTTGGCCTTGTCCTATTTGGCCTCCATTGAAAACCTCCACAACTGTACAATTCGCTGGAGAATCTTTATCACAGAATAAGATATTCCATCCTCAGTAATACCACATATGGGAATCAGCCAAGCAGTGTAAATGGAACTTTGGAAGTTTCAGTCTGGTTCCTTTTACAGTCTGGTGCGAACATCAGAGGAAGATACGCCTCTAGGTCGTTTCTGAAATCAACATCCTCTGATCTCCATCTCCTTTAGGAAGGCAATTTTAGAAAAGAATATTCACACTCCCATATCCACACCTACATGTGCTACTCCATCCTAAAACTAAAAATATTCATTAAAAATCAGTCTATACAAAGAAAAAATAATTTCCCAAAGGAAACATCCTATGGAAAAAACAAAAATCTTGTAATACTTTCTGCTCCTATGGTTTTTGACACAGAAATACTCATGTATGCATGTGGAGGGAGATGGAATCTCTGTGGGTCTCACAAGCTGATACCACAGACCTTCTGGAGGCTGGCTAGGGACAGCCAAGTTTCCAGCTTTGGCAGGTAAAGAGCAAAGATGCCAAGGTGGCCCAAAAGGGTTTCAGACAACTAGTAAGTTGAAATCAACAGGAGAGAGAGAAGGAAAAGAAACATAACCAATAAAACAAGCATGATGAAAGAGTAAAATGAAAATACAACAATAAATAATTAATAGTAAAACCAAAATGAAGAGAAGGAATAAAACCAAATAGATTATTTATCACCATAAATGCAAATGATTTAAATTCTTCTTATAAAATACAAAAACCTGAAGCATCTCAAAGTGGTTACAAAACAAAATCTGGCAGTTTATTAATGACACATCAAGTACAAAATGACAAGAAACGTAAAAGTTAAAAGAATGGGAATGAGGCCAGGTGTGGTGGTTCACGCCTGTAATTCCAGCACTTTGGGGGGCTCTGAGGCAGGTGGATAACATGAGGGTCAGAAGTTCGAGAGCAGCCTGACCAACATGGTGAAACCTCTGTCTCTACTAAAAAGATAAAATTAGTAAGGTGTGGTGGCACATACCTGTAATCCCAGCTACTTGGGAGGCTGAGGCAGGAGAATTCCTTGAACTGGGGATGTGGAGGTTGCAGTGAGCCAAGATCTTGCCATTGCACTATAGCCTGGGTGACAGAGTGAGACTCCGTCTCAAAAAAAAAAAAAAAAGATAGGAATGAAATACTGCAAAAAATGAACAAATGGTAAGTGGGAGTAGAAATAATCAAACCAAATAAAGTCAGGTAAAGTGAATTTCAGAGCCAAAAGCACGACGAAGAGAGAGAGAGAGACATTGTTTTATTTCGCTAGGCTAAAATGTCTCTTTCTAATGTATTTGTGGTAGTATTTTGTTGTCTAAAATGAAGATAACCTTATAAGTAAATCCTGACTTCTGCAAGTCCATAAAAATCAATAGAGTCCTACCATATCAGATATTTTAATGCTTCTTTAAACTGGAAAAAAAACTTTAATCAAAATAGTTCATAACTTAGCAAAAAAAATTTAAGAAGTACCAAAAGAATATAGTAAAAAATGTTACTCACCTATTTCCCCATACTCCCAATGCCACCTTCACCCCATCCCTGCTTCTCAAATATGCTCACTTTTAAACATTGTTCAGCAGTTACCTTCATGTTTTTAATATGTGCATTGTGTTGTTTAATACTCGTGTTAGACCTTATTATTGCCACCTTGCTATAAGGGACTAAATGTTGTTTTACTTTTTCCCCTCCTTTACCCATCAGACCTGTCATGAATTTTCTCAGTATTTTTCTAGCCATATTTTAGTTAAATTTAAATTTATGTTATTATGCATGCCTTTAGAAATATTACTGTGTTATAATTGCAGTTTGGCTTTTCTATTTTTTTATTAATTGCATTTTTAATAGGCTTTTGTTGTCTTTTGCTGTCTTTGCATTATTTATTTATTGTATCTCCTCATTTGAACTTTTAGAAATGTTTAAGTTACATCGCCGGTATTTTATTAAGTCTGACCCTTGACACCTTCTTCCTAAAACACACTCTTTCGCTCTCCTGCCTCATCTAAACTGTTTGCCCTCTGTTCCTGCTGTGAACCACCTTTCCTGAGGCTGCCTTTGACTCCAGTCCCAATTACAGGTCTTCCTTAAAACAGATGCCAATAATTTCAGAGGAGCGGGTGTGTGGGAGGTCCTGGCATTTCTGAAAAATGTTTTATAGTGTTTTAATCAATTGATAGCTTAGGAAATTACACATTTAAGAGTTGAAGAGAGCATCCCTGAGAAACGTGAAAGCCTTGCTCCCTTGCCCTCCAATGGCTAACATAGTTCTTGAAAAAGTTAGAGGCCATGTTGTTTGTAGATAACCCGTTTGGTTTCGTTTTGTTTTGTTTATCTGTCTAGCAGCTTTTAGGTGTATTTCTCCAATTTTACTACAATCTCATGAAAATATACCTTGAGATGTGTGTGCATGTTTATTTAATGTATAAAATCTGATCTGGAGAGTACTATAATTTTTCTCTTGAAGATTTCCACTATTGTTTTGCAGATTTTCTTCCTTCAATTTTCTCTATTTTTATAATTTACAGAGAATTGTATAAATCAGATGGTGGATTTCCTGAAAATTTTCTCTATATTATATTTTTGCTCATGCTTTTTACTTCTCTCTTTTTTCCCCTACTTTCTGGGAGATGTTTTAACTTAATTTTCCTACAGTTCCCAGTTATTTCACATAAATATCTATAGTTATATTTTTCCAGATTTATTTTTCTCAGATTTTTCCCCAAACATTCTCTTTATGATAGATACAGTGTTTCCTGGAAATTTGTTGAACATCCTAATTAGAGTGATATTTGTCTAAATTTTCTTTTATTTCATGGGTTATCTGTTTCCTCTAGGGTAATTACTTTTTGATATCATCCTTCGTTATTTTGTGTTGCAAACTTTCCTAAACTGTCTGGTTATCATGAGTTAACTGTTGGTATATAAGAATAAAATAGCACACACACAAAAAAAACCAATTAGGAACTTAGTAACTTAATGTCCCTGTCAATCAGCAAGTTTTGCTTTAGGTTAATTAACTCTAAAATACCAAAGCTTGGAATCTTGTCCTTTGGGTTGCTGAAATTTCCCAATAACACTCGTTATCTACTACCTAGGGGTATAGAAGTCCAATTTCTTGAACACTGGTTATAGAGAGGGGACAAGTTTTCAATATTAAAAATTTCAAATTACTTTTTCAGCTACTATTTTACTCATCCTTTGAAAACAACATTCGGCACCTGGATCTCTCAAGGGTCCTATGAAAAACCTACTTTATTGTTCACACCCCTTTTGTCGCACAATCTATTTGTCTTCTTTAGACACAAGGTCTTACTATGTTGCCCAGGCTGGTCTTGAAATTCTGAGTTCCAGTGATCCTACAGCCTCAGCCTCCCTAGTAACTGAGACTCTAGGCAGGCACCACTATTCCTGGCTAATGATGCACCATCTTTGTAGCAGCTTTCTTTTCTCTTCTATATAGCACTATCTCTCTAGTCATTTTTCTTTTATTTTGTTAAAGTTATATGTGTTTAACAGTTCTTTATTTTGTATTTAGCTAATGTATATAGGCAACCCTTTATCTTTATTCAAAAAATGTTCAACCTTTCAAATACCCTAGGTTCAATTTTTAGGCAAAACCTGAAGTCAAACTACATAGATTAGGATGAAAGGGTTCTGTGATGATTCTCTCCATGGAAGAAACAGAATGAATAAAACTCTCTTCCAGAGAAAATCCCAATGACTTTGTATTTTCCGAAGTACATAGAACTCTACAAATTATGAAAAACTTGAACAAAGCCCTGATGAGATTAAGATATAAATTATGCTGATGAGTCTATCTGAAGGAAGAGCTTTCAGAAAAAGCAAAGAGAGAATAGCAAAGGAAAAGACCTTGTTGTAGGATCTGTCATGTTAAAGAAATAGTGATAAAGATAGTATGCCTAAAGTAGAGAGAGAAAGAGAGAGTGGTGAAAGACCATAAAGGGCTTCATAGACCATCGAGAATTTGATTGTTAATCTGATAATGATGGAAGTGCACTGGAGAATCTTGAGTAGGTGAATAATGAGATCTATTGGCATTTAGAAGGATCAATCTGGTTGATATGTTATTTGTTGAAAATAGAGATCACAGAGGCAAGGACAAAAAGGATAATCAATGATATAATTCTGTACCTTAAAAAATAAATGTTCTTGGCATTTATTTAACTTTATTGTATAATTCATTATTATGTGGTTTTCTTGGTTAAAACTTTAAATAATATAAAGGAATCTACAATCAAGATTGAATGTTTTCCATCAATTTAATTACCATTTCAGAGGTATGGAACCACAGAGCTTTGAGAATTTAATAAGACTCAAACAGCTTCCTCAAACTTTACCAATACTAATAGGATAATGGAGTTTGATTAAATTCTATCTCTTCAGAGCCAGTGTTAGTTCACATTAATTAATTTATTTATGGTTATAAACAAAAAAAAAACAGTGTAAATTTCCCACATGGCTATTAAAGAAACCACAATGTATGCTTAGTGCCTATTAATAGTATGGGCATTTTTCTTGCCATATAATGTTGCATTAATTTTGAATAAAAGTAATCATCACCTTTAATTAGAAGAATGGGAATTTATTATACATGTGTTGAATAAAATAATAAGTACAACTATCAGAAATAATTGAAAAAGTAGAGAGTAATTTGGCTAATTTAGAACAGTCAAATGCAGGTGAGTATTAAAGCACATTTGGAATGGCTGAATTGCAAGCTTAAAAACGTATTTGGGAAGAACAGCCAATGAAATAAGTTGTAAGTAAGGCCACAGTATAAAATATTAGGAACGTGAGGAGAAATGCTCAGAGGTGTAATAAAAAAATAAATGAACTGACAAAAATAAATATATAGGGCTCAGAAATCAAAGGCACTTAAAAGGACAATAAATGGTTAAATCAGTTCAGTTCATATAAATTAGACTAGAGCTCAACTAATATGAATTATCTTGAACAGATAGGGTCTCTGTAAATAGAAATTCTATTTGGGACAGTTACCATGGAGAAAGCACCTGGTCATATTCTTTCCAGAAGGGCCTGTGATATTATTCTAGGGGGCTTTCTTTATATAAAATATCTACCTCCTGACCAGAAAAAACTTCAGAATTTGTGTGTTGAGGAGAATTATATATAAACATTAACAATTAAAATTTTATCTAAAAAGATTAAAGAATAACAATGATTATTTTAAAAAATACAGAAAAAATGAAAGAAAGGTAGCTGTAGCTAACAAATCTTTAAAATGGTAGCAATAATATATCATCCATAAAATTATATATGAGAATGTAAGTCAAAGATATATAACACAGAATACATGAGAAAATAAACAAAAGAGGCCAAGGAGCAAATAATTCTGATTTCCTATTTTGAGTTAGATCTCAGATAGAAATGACATAAACAGAAACTGAACAATTCTAGGACAAAATATGTTTGTTAGTAAAATTATACATAACTTATAGTATCATTGGTAGATAATTAGATTTGGAGCTGTAACATCTGAATGACAACAAATTCACATGACAAAAGAACCTGCTGCCACTTCTGGGCACCAGACTCAGTAGCTTGCTTGCTGATATTGGCACTGGGTTTGATATACAGCAGCTTGCACCCCCTATACTATTGGTAGTCCTTGATTCCTGTTTTCAAAACTTTTATTGCCTTTGGAAACTACAGCTGGAGAATACATTAAAAAAAAATGAAAGGGCAAACAAATATTTTAAAAAATTTGTTAATGAAAACTGAAAAAAACAACTTTATAAGTTTATGTAGCTACTATGTTGAAAGAATACACAATCTCCTTGAATCTGGGGAAAAAAAAGCCATAAGAAGAAAGAAAATTTGTAAAATGGTAATAGAAGAAAAGGAGATAGAGCAGTTGAAGAAGAACATAAAATCTTGAAAATAACTGTCATACTATCCATCATGGCCAGGCGCTTACTGAGTTAAAAACATCCTGAATATGTACATTAAACTTCTGATTCTGATTTTTGAAAAGAAAATAAAAAACAAAGCATAAACAAAAAAAAAAAACAGCCAACAAGTATTGCTTTAGAAAAAATCCTGCCATCTTTTGAGTTTCAAGAATAACAAAAATTTGGACAAAAAATCTCATTTTCTTCAAACTGGTAATTGCTTTTCTGTATCACAAAACTTCAGAAGAAAATGAAGCAATCACTATGGAATTTTTTAATGTTCAGGTTTGTTACACAGGTAAACGTGTGTCATGGTGGTTTGCTGCACAGATCAACCCATCATGTAGATATTAAGCCCAGTATGCATTAGCTCTTTCCCTAATGCTCTCCCCTGCCCACACTCCCTGACAGGCCCCAGTTAGTTTTGTTCCCCTCCCCATGTCCATGTGTTCTCATTGTTCAGCTTCTGCTTATAAGTTAGAACATGCAGTGTGTGGTTTTCTGTTCCTGCATTAGTTTGCTGAGGATAATGGCTTCCAGTTTCATCCATTTCCCTGCAAAAGACATGACCTCGTTCCTTTTTATGGCTGCATAGTATTCCATGGTATATATGTACCACATTTTCTTCATCCAGTCTATCATTGATGGGCATTTGGGTTCATTTCATGTCTTTGCTATTGTGAATAGTGCTGCAGTGAACATACGCATGCATGTATCTTTATAATAGAATGATTTATATTCTTTGGGTATATACCTAGTAATGGGATTGCTAGGTCAAATGGTATTTCCAGTTCTAAATATTTGAGGAATTGCCACACTGTCTTCTACAATGGTTGAACTAATTTATATTCCTACTCACAGTGTAAAAGCATTCTTATTTCTCTTCAACCTCACCAGCATCTGCTGTTTCTTGAGTTTTTAATCATCGTGATTCAGACTGGCATGAGATGGCAATCAGGCAAGAGAAAGACATAAATTGTATTCAAATAGGAAGAGAAGAAGTCAAATTGTCTTTGTTTGTAGATGACATGATCCTATATCTAGAAAACCCCATTGACTCAGCCCAAAAGCTTCTTAAGCTGATAAGCTACTTCAGCAAAGTCTCAGGATACAAAAATCAATATGCACAAATCACAAGCATTCCTATACATCAACAACAGACAAGCAGAAAGCCAAATAATGAATGAACTCCCATTTACAATTGACGCAAAGAGTATAAAATACCTAGGAATACAGCTAACAAGGGAAGTGAAGGACCTTTTCAGGGAGAATTACAAACTACTACTCAAGGACATCAGGGAGGACACAAGCTGATGGCAAAACATTCCATATTCGTGGATAGGAAGAACCAATATTGTGAAAATGGCCATACTCCCCAAAGCAATTTATAGATTCAATACTTTTCCCATTAAATTACCATTGACATTCTTCCCAGAATTAGAAAACCTATTTTAAAATTCATATGGGACAAAAAAAGAGCTTGCATAGCCAAGACAATCTTAAGCAAAAATATCAAAGCTGGAGGCATCACGCTACCTGGCTTCAACTTATACTATAAGGCTACAGTAAGCAAAACAGCATGGTTCTGGTACAAAAACAGGCACATAGACCAATGGGACAGAAAAGAGAACTCAGAAATAAAACTGCACATCTACAACCATCTTATCTTCGACAAACCCAACAAAAACAAGCAATGGGAAAGGATTTCCTATTTAATCAATGGTGCTGGGAGGACTGGCTAGCTAGCCATATGCAGAAAATTGAAACTGGATCCCTTCCTTACAGCTTATACAAAAATTAACTCAAGATGCATTAAAGACTTAAATGTAAAACCCAAAACTATAAAAACCTTGGAAGAAAATTTAGGCAATCTATCAATCACTAAGGAATTTAGGGCAAAATTTTTTGATCTGAGGGTTCTGTAGTCAGGCAAGCACCTCATTTATATGTGATAGACATAAATGGTGTGCCTATCTATTCAGAGACTCACACATATACCAACCAAAAATATATAATTCTCCAGAAATTACATACAATAGAACCTGAACAGGTAAATGAATTAATAAACATAATTTTAGAAAGAATATTTGTGAAATTAATTTGTGGGCCTGTCTTCATTCAATTTCAGATAAGAATAAAGAGTGTAAACACGTTACCAAAGTGAATTCTTGAAATGGAAGAGAAACTTGGCCTTCTTTAGCTTCACCATTTGTTCCTGCCTTCCACCTCCAATAATAGTATATGTCTCAATCCTTGTCTATACTCCAAATTTGAATTGTATAATTAAATTGGTTAAAACTTACAAAATACTTTTCAATTATATCTGTAATAAACAATTTAGATTATTTATACAGTTATTTATACACTGGCTAAAAAGATTTTACTACACACAATTCTTTGTTAATGCAGAGACTGGATTTTATTTTATTCTACAAGTCTTTTTTATTATAACAGAGTTTTAGCAATTATATTTTTTATCTTTCAATTTTATATTGGACAACCTGCTTCTTTTTTTAATTAAAAATATTTTTTAAAATATTTATCTTTTTTATTTTGTTTATTTTATTAGTAACCTAAAAGGAAGATTTTGAAATAACTAATTCAAAATATACAATCTGATTTCAAAAATAGCAAAATTTTTAGAAAATTTTGAAAATGGCAAAAAAGCAAAAAGAAAAGATAAAAACATAAATTATTAATAATAATTCTACCCTGGTGATGTTTAGATTCAAATTTTACATTTAATTATTTTTCAATGATTCTACCTTACCTGAAAAGTAGACAAAATAACATTAATAATAAAATTATGTGCAATTTTATATGAACTATAACTATAACCACATGATGTGAAACTATTATTTGTAGTGGACAATCAATAGAGAGTAATCACAATGAAAATTGTAGCTTTCAGTTACACATTAATGTTATATTGGAATATCTGAAAGACATGGAAGTGACTACTTATTTGATGAACTGAATTAAGACAATTCCGTTATGATATATTTTGGTTTATTAAGACTTTGTAATTTTCCTAGCCTTTCAGGATATCATCCTGCTTATATTGAATGATTACTAAAGATCAGTGCCATATACATTAGAGAGGCTCAAATGAGAGGATTCTGTAGGTATTGTTTTCCTTTGAGCTATGCTACCAACATACAATAGTTACTCAAACACTAAAAGAGGCCAAACATTTCTATCTGTATCCATGTTTTTTTGTCCTGTTGACATAAGCCATTTAACAAATTATGTAAGAGCATTATAATCTGGTCAGAAATTCTAATAAATTTTCATTCCAGGATTGGAAAACTGTCCAAAACCCTTCAAGAGTTATTGTCAATTACTAATGTATTAAATTGGATGAGCTTATCCCTACTTATTATTTCTATTACTCACTTTTATATTTCTTGACATTAAAGATATTATCAAAGTATGATTTCAGTGGCAAAAATTTTAAGGATTTGATTAAGAAACTTGGAAATATATTTCAGATTCCCTCATACTTAACAAATATTTATAAAAGATAATATGAGAGTTTATTAACAATTGGTTGTGTTCAGTACTTTATCTGTAAAATCAACAATGATACAGTATATTCTTTTTGCTATCATCAGAGGAGCATACATACAGTTGTTTTATAGTAAATACATTTTTATTTTTATAATCTTAGGCACTGAAATTTAAGCTTCTTTTCTATTATTGCAATCATGTTAGAAATAAATATAAAATTTAAATAATGCTTCTATAGATATCAAATATAAACAATAACACATTTTGATATGTTTGAACATGCTTTCTTAAGAGCCAATAGTTAATAAACGTGCATTATTGAGTTGGCAAAAATAAAACATCCAAATAGTATTTCTTTTTTTTTGTTTGTTTTTTGTTTTTGAGACAGTGTCTCGCTCTGTCGCCCAGGCTGGAGTGCAGTGGCCCTACCTCGGCTCACTGCAAGCTCCGCCTCCAGGGTCCACGCCATTCTCCTGCCTCAGCCTCCCGAGTAGCTGGGACTACAGGCGCCCGCCACCATGCCCGGCTAATTTTTTGTATTTTTAGTAGAGACGGGGTTTCACCGTGTTAGCGAGGATTGTCTTGATCTCCTGACCTTGTGATCCGCCTGCCTCGGCCTCCCAAAGTGCTGAGATTACAGGCGTGAGCCACTGCGCCCAGTCCCAAATAGTATTTCTATAATTTATGAGGAAATTCAAGAGCATCTGACAATCTTGAGAAATGAGTGGAGGTTGAGTTTGCTGCTATACTTAGTTCAGCTCTGAGTAGATTTTTCACTCACATGTGAAAAATATTAGGGAGGGCAAAAAAAAAAAAAGAAATACAAAGATATATTCTATTATTGTTCCCATAATGTCCACTCAAAGAGCACAGCCGCTTTCTAAGAGTCTGTCATCAATAATCTACACTTTGAGAGAGGCAAATAGTATAATTCTTCTAGTTGAAATGCCATGGTTAGAAACCGTTTCTGTCTCTCTCTCTTTTTAAATGAAATGCTTATTTTTTAAAGTAAGTTACATTAAAATCCCAGCTAGAGAGGTAAAAGTTTGCTTGCTTGTTTATGGATCTTCCTCTCATAATGAACTATGCAACAGTGAATTTCAAACATCTCTGGAAAATACAAAATATAGCCTTTCATAAACATCTAGGACATCCTATAACATTCTTCTGTAGGCTTAGGGAGAAGCCTACCTTCTACATTTTCATACCACTCCAACCCTTTCATGAACATACCCCTGCATAGTGAGATTCTAAGCAAACCATCTAATCCCTCAGGGTTTTAGACTCCATGCAAAGAAGCATGTGACAGCCTCAGTTTTTCTATCCCTAGTTAGATTTTCAGCAAGTGAACTCATACTATTTAAAAGTATAGATTTCAAGCTTCCAGAGAGTAGGGGTAATTTATATTCATCACAACACTAAAGAAAGCTCTGGTCCTGTATTTTTAAAACAAAGAGAGAAAGAAGAACAGGTTTGCAGGCAGGCAAGCTTACATTTATAAATACAGTCAACCCTTAGTATTCATGGGTTCTGCATCTATTAAGTTTATCAATCACGGATCGAAAATATTTGGGAAAAAAGAGGGTGGTTGTGTCTGTACTGAATATGCACAGACTTTTCATTGTCATTATTCCCTAAGCAATACAGTATAACAACAATTTATGTAGCATTTACATTGTATTAGTATTATAAGTATTCCAGAGATAATTGAAAGTATATGAGAAGATATGCATAGGCTATATGCAAATACTATACTATTTCATATCTGGGACTTGAGGAGATCCTGGAACAGATATCTCATGAATATTGAGGATGACTATGTAATTTATGTCACATAATTAGCTATGTTACATGCAATGTAACTTACACAATCAGAAAAATACATTTAAAGTTCATGACTAACACTAACTGAAATTAGTAAAAATGTTTAAAGCATTCAAAAAATAAATAATCTCTGACTTTTAAACTACACACCATCTGCATATGGAAGGATGCTAGGCTCTACTTTATATTAGTTAATAACTGTAGAATTATACTTGTTTATATAAGAATAAAAGCATTACGTCTATCTTGTATCATGGGTGCTTGTATAAGATTTCACAGAGAAATTATACTTTTCAGGGTTCTTTGTTGAAAGCAACCAAAACTAAGTAAGCAAATATGACTTCATGGGGGGATGTCAGAAAATTCACATTATTGACATAAAGGAAGTTAGAATAGGTTTTAGAAAAGCCACTCCCAAGTTGGCATCTAACGAATAATCTACGTAGAGCGTGCTGCCACTCCTCCCACTAAAGTGCATTGCCATGATAGACGTGCCTACCACCAGACACTGTTCCTCTGTTCTGCTGGCACATCCTGTTAAGAATGAGTTCTAGGCCGGGCGCAGTGGCTCATGCCTGTAATCCCAGCACTTTGGGAGGCCGAGGCGGGCGGATCACGAGGTCAGGAGATCGAAACGATCCTGGCTAACACGGTGAAACCCCGTCTCTACTAAAAATACAAAAAATTAGCCAGGGGTGTTGGCGGGCGCCTGTAGTCCCAGCTACTCGGGAGGCTGAGGCAGGAGAATGGCGTTAACCCGGGAGGCGGAGCTTGCAGTGAGCCGAGATTGTGCCACTGTGCTCCAGCCTGGGCGACAGAATGAGACCCCATCTCAAAAAAAAAAAAAAAAAAAAAAATGAGTTCTAATCTCAGCTCTGGATTCACAAGGATTCATCCCACCTGAAAGCACTCAGTGGTTGTCTAACAGGTGGAGCCTTGATTATAATCTGCACTTTAGCTACCAGAGAATGAGGATAGGAAATACTGGACCATCTGGAACTTCTGTAATTAGGAGTAGCGCCATGCATTCCCCAAATATTAACGCTATCGAAGATTTCATGAAAATATAGGATTGCAATACTATGCAATGGATACTCTAATAAATACAGCAATATCCATTGCTTATTTGATGTGATTTTCTGATTAATGGTAAGGAATAAGATAATTGAATTTTGTTTTTGATTTATAAACAGATCTTACAGAAATCTACCTAATGGTTGATTAACATGTGGACAAAGATATCCTGACTACTTTGTTAGAGTGAAAATCTCTGCTTTCTTCTTTTAAAAGAAACAAGTTGCTGCCACATTATGGTATAGGCAGAACTAAACGTATCTTAGGAAAAAGTATATTTAAACTACCAAAGACAAATGCTGTGAAATATTCTAAAAAGAAAAAAAAAAAAGAATTAGATAAGGGACATCAAACAAGACATACTTAAGCAAATAAAATTGTATAATTTTCCAAACCATTCAAATATTATTCTATAATAAACTCTGAAGCATGAAAATTATATTACCACAAACAACTTTCATTCTGAAGCACAGACTGAAACACTTCAGTTCTACCAATAATCAGATGTTATCTGTATGTGGTACATTCATTTATAAAGACTTATCAAGATATGAATGGTAATTCAGTAAAGTTAAGTCAGCTAGTACATTTGAATCTTTATAGTCAATTTATTATTGGTAATGATAAAATAATGTGAAAATGGTAAATGATAACTATCTCACAGATGGAAAAGTATATTAAATCTCTAAACGCTTACATAACAATGAAAAGTCATTTGTATTTATAGCACAGTTGCTGAAAATATAAATTCTGGGAAAATTAAGAACAAAAGGCATTTTTTGAACTATATCAGGTGTCTATTGGTTAATCTGGTAGAAAAAAAATTGAAAAAAAGAGAAAGAAAATAGGAAAGAAAAATATGCTCCCTCAAGTTATACAAAATAATAATTTAAAATATATGGCATTTAGAGGACCTCTCGTCTTTCCATCATCTTTTTTAACTTTAATTTTCTCTCCTCTAAATTTACTTTTAAAAAATGGATTACTTAAAAACATTGTCCATGCATATGCTTAGTCATTATAGGTATAAAAGTGTATTTGAATTTGAAAATTGATATTTAAATTTAAAACAAAATTTAAAATCGTATTAAGAATATCAAAATGTAAAATTTCCAAGCAATCATATTTCAACTCAAACATGAAAGAAATCAATTAAAATGTTGAAATTGATTTTATGTATAGGCTTAGTTTTCCTGAAATTGTTTAATGATAATTTAAGGCTTTCTCTGAAGGATGGAATAGAAACTTTATGAGTCATTTAAAATAAAAATAAATATGAAACTTTTACCATCTTGAAATAAATATATATCTGAGGTATAATTTTTTTGTACTTTTAATGTACATTCTAATAGGAACATTTGATTGATTACAAAAAGAAACTATAACACAAATGCATCACCTCAATTATGCCCATGAGCTAGATTATCTACTTTATAGGCATTTTTCCCCCTACACACAGTAATTTGACATTATTAAACATACACACAAATTCTTGAATTTGGACACTTCCCTTGCTTAATACACACATTAATATACTTTATATTTTAAAAATCCTAAAAATAGACACCATGTGTTTCTGCATTGGTCATTTATTTAGGCCTTATATGTTAACATTTATTAATGAAAATATTGTTAGTAACACATATCAAGCATGAAATGCATGCAATTCTTTCTTAATCCCTTTTTGTAACTAGCCATTAACTTTAGAGATTTTCCCACTATCATAATTTTGATTACCTTGATCAGAGGCAGAAAAATGAACAAAGGGTTAGCACTTGAAAAAATGTATTCCTTCAATTTACTGAAATAGATTAAGTGCTTGTTATATACAACAATAGCCTTAACATATATTACCATAAAATGATACTGAACTTTCTTGTTTTTACTAACAGCAAGGCAGAGTACTAAAGTACAAGCTACATGAGAGCAAGGATTATATAACCTTGACTGTCCCTTCATATGTGGTGCACAGTAGAGGCGCTGTGCATATTTCTGAAATGCATGAATATTTTCTAATCAATCACGAGGAGCAAAAGAACCACTGTGTGTTCTCTCTCACAGCAGTGTCCTTACTGATCACCAGAACAATGTGGGTTAGTTGGATGGAATTTACATTCCTACATACACTATTACATAAATCTGTATACCATGATCAATTTATTTCACCTTTATTATTCCCTAAAATAACAAATGTTGGCATAATAATGTTTTTTTCTCATAATTTCTTTACCATAGAACCACATGTGAATCAAATGAACCCAAATCCATGATTTAGTTGTTACCAGTCAAAATAGTTTTATACACAGTTTAAGAAGTTATAAAACAATTCTGAACCATATTCTGTAAACAAAAACTTCTGTTTGTGTGATCAAAGTATGACCTACCCTGACTGACCTGAGACCTGTGCAGTCTCTCCATGACAAGCAGTTCAGCAATCAATAACAGGTCATAGAAACTAAAGTTCAAGGATTCTACATCTTGATGTGTCACATTTGTTCTCAGTTTTAACTTGGCACAATCGTAGTTGGATCTTAGTTTTTAACTTTCACAGATAAAGTAGAAAAAAATTTTTCAATGTATCACGTTCAAATACACACAGAGACACATATACTTATCTATCATATCATAGTGTCTGAATGTGGTCAGGATAAAGATGATGCATTTCAATACAAAAAACAAAATAGGAATACCATAAGATTGATACTAAATTTTATAAAACCTAGAGGTAAATATATTCCACTCACATCTGGACTTTAATTTATCTATTTTTTTTCTAAAGTTAACCAAAAAATATCACTTGGTGTATCATTAATTACTTTGATTATTCAAAATAAATACAAAGACAAAGAAGAATTCCAAAAAAATGAGATGACTGATAAAAGAATGAAATAAATTTTGGGTAAAGATGATAATCTGAATGAGTGCATTTTTAAAAATCAGAGTAAGTATTACAGCTACTTAATTTTTAATTTTTTTCAGTGCCATGAAAACTATTCATTTAACTCTGCTAAGAGTAAATTAAAATTGACAACATTTTTCATTTAGGAACCCTAAATGACCTTTCCCAAATATGCATCAGAGTTAAGCAATTATGTGACACACTACGTATCTAATGTTTGCATTGGCTCAGTTGTACAATTTGTTATGCCGACAGACACGATTAAGCTCTTTGGGAGAGCATTGTTGACACAAACAAGTGAAAGTTTTCTTTATGCTAAAAACAGAAAACAACAGACTAAATGACAGCCTAAGAGGAAGTCATGACCACTGGCAGTACACTGTCACTCACCTTTCCCTAGTGAATTAATTTGCCATGAATATTGGAAACAGCATTCTTAATGTCAGAAACAAAACCATTAAACCATCATCCAGAGAATGGACAGGGATTATACAGACATCTAGGAACTCTAATGCCACAGTAATTATAATCTTAAGTAACTTCAGTGGCTCAGGAGATTTGCTCATCTGTTATTTTAACCGATGGACATCAGTCTGTTAAACCTGTGGGCCCTGTGTGACTATTTAAACTGTCAACAGTCACAGGAGAATCAAAAGAAGCAAAATCTAGTTGTAGAAAAGTTTGGTTTACCAGAAATAAAGACAGAAAATATGTAAATATAGATACATAGATGAATGGATAGATATAATAAATATTTTACTTCATTCAGTAATTCTTTGATCATCTATCCTTTCATTTACATGGCCTTTAATACTACATTAGGACTTTATTAACTAGTGTTTATGACTAATATAGTAGCTTCCTAGAGAGTTTACTTGAGTATGTCTCTATCTCCTTTTACCCTTTATATCAAAACCACAACAATATTCCAATAATAGCACCAAGAAAAAGGAATGTCTCCAGACCTCATGATTTGGTGCAGGTCAACCTCTCTACCCATGTTCTTCATTTTGTACTAACCACGATAGCCTTAATGTTCTCCTTTGATTGATTAGACTTTAGACAGGCTTCTGCCTGACTCTAGGCCCCTGTTCTCCCTTTTCTTAGAGCATTTACTTTAGAAAACTTAACATTTTAATTTTTTCTCTCTCCATTGAGATATAAATTTTCTTCCAGCCTAATGCTTGTTTTATAAACCCTGTTTTAAAACCTTGTTTTATAACCCTTTCTCAAAGACATAGGAGTCATCCCTTTGAAATGTAATTATCAAAGGCAGTCTCTGTCTCCCGGCCTCTGTGGGAGGGTAAGAGCCTAACTTCCCTAAGCACTAAGTAGCAAACACAGAGGGCCTAATCACATGGACCAATATCCCTTCTGATGTTCTCTTATGCTGTAGAACAACCCAGCTCTTAAAAAAAATATTTAAAATTCTCCTGCCTTTTCTTTAGGGGAGTTGAATTCCATTTTTCTCCTCTATTGCAATAGTCTTGATCTCTAGCATAACAGTCTTTAATAATAATCTTTAATAAAGTCTTCCTTGACTGTTTAACTCCAAGTGCATTATTTTCTTTGACAGCACTGTATCTTCCATTTCTCATTCCTCTTCATGTGTCCATCCTCAGTCTCTTTTTTGAGATTTGAATTATTCTTCAAGACCTGTATCAAATGCATTTCCTTTGAGTATAACCATCTAAATTGAAATTTCCTTGGAGTTGGAGGGTGAGACTCGCTATGTTTTGTTTTCAAATGCTTAGTTTCCAAAAATGTAAAATAAGATAAATAATTTTACCCTACATGAATTAACCATTCTCTTTTATAATACTCAATATTTTAATGAGAGATTGAAAGAGTGGAGAAAGCTGCCCTTTTTTTTGCCCACCAGTTAGAAGGGCATTTCTTCAGTTTCCAGTCTTCACATGTTCACTTGGAAAAGGGAAGAAAAACTCAGTTAGAACACTGTGAAATTTGTCTTGCTGAAACATTTTTAGTTACTTAAAAGACGAAGAAGACTATCATCTTCCCTCTCACCAGGCAACTTCCCTTCAAATGACTTTGCAATGTCACCGAATACAGAACTGTGCTGAGCAGGGAATAAAAACATTGAAGTCTGTGAAAAAGTGCTAAACAACTCCTTGACATTTTGTGTCTGGCACTGTAAGGAAGTTTACTTATGAGAAAAGTTTATTGTGATGCTCATCAGGCATTGAATGTTCTATTTTTTTCCAAACAAAAATGTATAATTCTGTGCAGCAGCATACATGTACATCTGAGTAGAAAGAAATAACACAGTGGGAAAGAAGGGCAAGAGCTAGAGAGGGGTTATTTGCTGTTTCTCTTTCATTTTGAGCTTTGACAAAAGAGAAGGATTAAATGGAAACAAAATAACATTATCACCAAAAATTTGAAAATGAAAGTTTGAAAGAGAACAGTAAGATCTTACTAAAAAGAGTTTCCTTGAGTCTTCTAATACTCAACATGCAATCTGTTTTCACATTGTCTGAATCTACCTAAAATATATCACAAATTGCCCACCATGTGCCACCATTACGACCCTACACCCTGGCACCACCCTCCCTCAATTGGACTCCTGCAATAATTTCAGAGGTGCCCCTCCTGCCTCTTCTCTTTTGTTCTTCTAAAAACTATTTGTTCCCTGGCAGTAAAAGTCACCTTGGTGAAACAATGTTATGTTTTCAGTAAAAGAGTAAGCCTGTCACTTTCTTGCTCAGAACCTTCAAATCAGTTCCCCAAAATCTCAAGCACATGACCATACTCTAAAAGGCACTATGTGATCTGTCACAAATCTGCTTCTCCAATATTATTGCCTTTCATTCTCTCTACCAGGCCAACTCAAATAAAACTGTACTTACTGCTATTCCTCCAAAGCAATTGCCTGGAATATCCCTTAGAGATCTCCATGTGATCCACTCCCATACCTCAGTTAAGACTCTGGTCAAATATCATTATTTTAGATTCTTCTAGAATCTCTTTCTTCTTCACAAGCCACCCTTTAACACATGACACTCCATTGTTGTTTTGGTAGCACAATTTCAACCTGAGATAATAATATAAAAACAATAAGAAGATGGCATCACTTTGTAGTCCCACACTCTAATGTCTGCTCCTGTTTATGCCAAGAATAAAAACCACAATATCTTGTGTGGAAAAAGAGGTCATACATGATAAGAACCCTTCCCATATCTATTAATTACTCATCACACACTATTCTATCTTCTCGCTCACTCCTTTCCAGCCATTCTGACATTCTTGCAGGCTTTGAGCATTAAAAAGCTGGAGCCTTATATTCATTCTCCATTGAATGGCTTATTTTTTCATTATATTCAGGTATAGCACCACTTCTGTATTAAAGCCTTCCTTGATACCAGTATTAAAATACCACTTCACAATACTTCCTATTGCCTAACCTTTCTTTTTTATGTTTCATGCATTTGTAACTGCTTTATATGTTAAACATCAAGTTTCTTTGCTGATTTCAATGGAATGAGAGCATAAACTTTGTTTCTCTGGGTTATCATTGTATTTTTGGCTTTTAGGAACAGTGCCTGCCACATAATAGACCCTCAGTAAATATACTGAATGAGTAAATTATATGTATGTTCAAAAGGCATTTTCTTTTAAATGCTACACATGAATGACTAACAGAAACACACCAAATTTCTTGAAATTGTGTCACTTTTGAAGAATCGCATATTTTTTTTATACTGAAAAGAAATTTGACTTGGCTCCTCCCTGGACAATTCAATTTACTGTGACATTTGATTAAGAACAATAGATAACATATAGCTTCAATGAAAAAATAATCTGTGGTATTTCATTTCTGAAATAACATTGTAAGGTGCTAGCATAAAGAAGGCAGAACAAATAGCAGAGATAAGATTCTTGACATTCAGGTTCTTTTGTTCTCTGTTGATAAATATAATATTTGATTATTCACTTATATCAATATCTCCAATCCACACCTCTTATCTAAGCTTTAACTTCTTAAAGTTCATATCCACTTGATTCTCTTTTAGTTATCTCAACATATACATATCAAAAAGGAACAAGTTATTTATCTTCCTATTTTCATCCTAACTACTCTCCTCGTTTTAATAATTTTTTTCTTCTGTGTTTTGTTTTGTTTTCCTATCTTAATGAAGGTCACTTACTATCATGTAGGGTGAAATTCCAGGAGGATGGGCAAAGAAAATTCACTCAAGAGGCCAGGCACGGTGGCTCACATCTGTAATTCCAGCACTTCGGGAGGTGGAGGCAGGCAGATCGCTTGAGGCCAGGTGTTTGAGACCAGTCTGGACAACAAGGCGACCCTGTCTCTACTAAAAATACAAAAAAAAAAAAAAAAAAAAAATAGCCAGGTATTATGGTGCGTGCTTGTAATCCCAGATACTTGGGAAGCTGAGGACTGAGAATCCCTTGAACATGGAAGGAATATGTTGCAGTGAGCTGAGATCACGCCACTGCACTCCAGCCTGGGTGACAGAGTGAGAGTATCTCAAAAAAAAAGAAAGAAAGAAAGAAAGAAAATTCACTCAAGAAAAAAACAATATTGGAAAACCATAAACAGGTGTTAGTAATTTCCATATAATATTAATGTTAATATTTTAATATTTTCATATATTTATTTTTTAATACTATGTTTATGTTTGAGGAGGATACATTTATCTGGGGAATAAAATCCATTGCTTTCATTATCTCGACAAAGAATTTCAAGATGTCCTAAAAGAAAAAGGCATTCTGTATGCTCTTAAATGCAGAAAGCTCTTAATTTTATATTTTATACTCGAAGTCTCACTTACCCTCTGACACACACTGTGTTTGCAGGTGTCTGTATAGTCAGTGAAATAAAGCAACAATCTTTCTATTTAAATATAACTACCTTTGCATTAAAAGTATAGATCTGATTTTGACACCTTCTAAAATCATTACAGTGGTACCCCAGTACCCTCAGGATAAGGTTCAATTTCAATTTTTATTCCAACGAGAACTTCATTCAATTTTTTTCCCTGATATTGTACATGACATTTCTATTTAGGTAAAGTCATTTTTTTTTTTTACTTTTTTCTTTCCTCTCAGAATGCCTCCACATTAAGTTAGAAGCTTCTTGCTAAATACATCCAGAACTATCCTGTATTTCTTTCAAAATATTTCTCACTTTATTGTAACTACTTATTGAAATTATTTGCTTTCTTTTGGAGTTGGATTTACCATGAAGAAAATAAATCTTAAGCCTGCATGTCTTTTTTTTAAGGAGGCTACTTTCCAGGGCCTGGTTATCGAGTACTGATAATTAAAGATCTTTTAAAATTACACATGAAATCTAAAATCACTTGAATTTTTGTAGCTGACATGTTAAATAATCATGATCAGAGATTTACTAAATTTTTCAACAATTCTAAAATATGTCTGATATTGCCAATGAGTTCAGAAGCCAAAAGAAACATCAGTAAACTATGATAAAGTACACTCTTCCTGAAGGAAAGACTGAATTGTATGTGCGCATTTTATTTTTTAGACATACTCTTTTAAGAATAAATTCACTGATTGCCAACCACAGCAGTCAAATTATCCTTGCAAAGTAACGATTACACTCAAAACACTTCTCTCCTCCAGGCACTGAGGAATAAATATTGGAGGAACAGTAATCATTCTACTTCATTATAAATTAGAAGACATAAGGCAAGGTTGTGAGTTATGGGTTTCCTGCTCCTCTGTGACCAAATCTCTAGTGGCTCCTCTGGAAATAAATATTATTTCTTCCTTAGGAGAACCATTCGGGGTGTTTGTTGTTACACAAGACTCAATATTGTGTACAAATGAAGCAGATTCACCTGGTATATTTGTTGTAATATAAATCCAACTTAATGTTCTGTTACTGGAGAGTGTGAGAGTAGATGATCAAAAATAATTCAACAGGAACTGCTAGGATTATAAATAATCCTATTTTGATCACAAGTTTAAATGAGACTGGCTCCAGAAACACTAAATAAAAGTAAAACCATCCTTCTTGACTTGTTACACATGAATATCGTAGATTACTAATTCCAGTTTGGATTAGTAGAAAGTAATTTGTTTTCTCAACAATTATCACCATTATCATAATTTTAAAGAGGCCTCTAATAACTGGGATCAGGATAAGATTTTTACCTGGGACTAAGGAGAAAGTAGCAAAAGTTAGGAAGTTAATAAGGAAAAATGAAGATATATAAATTACAAACTTTCCTGTCTTTTAATGAAGATAGACCATGTATTTCCCTCCTAAGTCAGCAGGTTTTTCAAGTCTAATCTCATATGTAGCTGCTTGTCAATAAATGTTTTATGAAATAGATGCCTAATACCTAATAAAAATACCTAAAAGAATGTGGGTATATGCTAATATTTATTCAAATCCCAGTTTTTACATCTAAAAAATGGACAATCTGAAACAGCTCATGCCCTATATTAATTCTATTACTAAAATTTTGTCAAGTACTCTATAATGTAGTATGTGTGCAATTTACAATATATCAAAGTAAATGAGTTGCAAAACATGTAGATTATAAATACACACATGTGATTTTTAAATTTTACACATACGTATGTGGTTCTATATCTACCTGGCAATTGCAAGTTTTATCTGGAAAATTTTCAAGTTTTTATAACGAAAATGTAAATCTGAAAAGTTTAAAAAAATCAATTTATTTTATACCAAAATTCTGGATACTTGAATGCATGGGATTTCAATATGATTTTTAAAGATTTTGTCAATAAGTTGAAATTGTATAAAGAGCAACTAAAATACTTTGACCTCTAAGCAAAATAAACAGAATAAAAAGTCAAGTAATCAGAAATCCATAGTATTTAAGAGGAATAATGTGCACTCAATAATTAAGTAATATGCATTTTTTCAAAGCTTTGTGATGTTCAAAATGAGTGAGAGCCTATAAAAAAAAAACCCGTGTGGAATAAGATGACAATATGTTTCCTTCAAAATAACCAGTTTGGAGCAAGTCAAATACATCCATTTCTTAAAGAAGTTTTAAAATCAAAATTTTTAACAACTGATAACTGGTGTCCAGAGTCACCCATTCCCCAAGAGGAATGATCTCTTCTTCCCATTAAATCACACCATATTATGTGACAAAGCATATGATGTGTTAGTGGCCACATGCTGACTGAGCAGCTGTACAAAATGAATTAATATCAAATTGTGAAAACATCTAGAACTGCAAACTTTTAGAACATTTAATGAAAATAGAAAGATGATTGTGTCGGTTATACAATTAATCAAATATAATAATAATTTTAGCATATTTATAATTAACATTTTGTATTTTGTATGTTGTGTTTGAATGATGAATTGTTTTTCATTATAAGCATATTGCATTATATATTTCTATTCCATGACCAGTAAGGTTTTTTAAAGTGTGTGAATGTATCAGATGGCAATATAAAGAAAAATGTAATGGAGAAACATAGTGTTAGCTGTGATTATTGACTTAATATGAGTTAAATAAGATCCAGGATTCAAAGACTGTCTTAAAAGGGAATCAACTGATATCAAGGGATATTCATGGTATTAATTATAAATATTTTAATATATATATCATTGATTTCTGTGATAGTTATCAATTTACTACCTCTCAGCTCCAAATTCACTCTGCAATATATTTTCTGTGATAACAGACGTATTTCCTCTAAATATTTCTTCTTTATATAGACTACAATTTAATCTTCCTCAGCAAAGGTCACTGGAGGGACATTGCAGGAGAAAGGAGTGCGCTTGCATTTCCAGAGTTGCACATTTTGGTCTGTGATATGGGCATCAGAACTGCCCCGAGTACACATCTAAAAGTATAATCTCTTGGCATCCTTGCAGCCCTGGCTCAGGCTGGTCATCATCTCACTGCAGCTATCTCACCACAGACCCTGTATGCTTCATGGCTTCTGCAGATTCGACGTTTCCTACGCTTACCTGCCCCAAGGCCCCAGAGCTTTATTTCCCATTTTTCTTGATGCTGCAGCCTTAGCAACACCGTGTATCTCCCAACATAAACACCATGCATTTGAGGCTTTCTGCCTTCACTGGCGCCCCTTCTCTGAATTCATCTGCCTAACCACTGGCTGTGGCTTACCAGTGGTATCCCTCCTGTTTTCTAGGTAATTTGTTGTTCCCGCTTGCCCCACAGTTGTGGATGAACTCTAGGCCAGGCAAACCAACAAAGTTTTCTCTTATATAGAATCCTGTAACTACACCTCTGTGGAGATCTAAGCCCGTTTTGGTAGTGGGCCCCCTTCTAAGTATGACTATCCCTGTGCAGTCTCCCTCAGCTCTAAGATACCATGTAAATATTTCTTATACCTTATAATTACTTTTAATTAAAAATAAGTGTATTATTATTAATTACGTGGTATCTTAGAGCCATGTTTATTTTTTATATTAAAATTGCCCTTTTTATGTCACTGCATGGCTTCTTGCCTGATTGTTTGGACTAATACAAAATTGGTATCAGGAGTGGACTTAAAAGACTAGTCCCTAAAAATGGAATTTGGTGTTGGTTTTGCCCTTGAGCTTAAGCACAGTGCTGAGCTCCTTGCCAATGGAAAATAAAATACTAGTAATCCCTGACATGCAGTGGAATCTTAATCAAGCTATCACTGTGACTGATTATGATGAAGTACCAACTGATCCATGTATCTTGGAAGCTCATGTGGCTGTTGTACGTGACTGTTTTGGTAACAATGATTATGTAAAGACCATGATATAAGATAGATTATTTTGGGGCAGGGTGCGGTGGTTCACGCCTGTAATCCCAGCACTTTGGGAGGCGGAGGCAGACGGATCACGAGGTCAGAGACCAAGACCATCCTGGCTAACACGGTGAAACCCCGTCTCCACTAAAAATACAAAAAATTAGCCGGGCGTGGAGGCGGGCGCCTGTAGTCCCAGCTACTCGGGAGGCTGAGGAAGGAGAATGGCGTGAACCTGGGAGGTGGAGCTTGCAGTGAGCCGAGATAGGGCCACTGCAGCCCAGCCTCAGTGACAGAGTGAGACTCCTTCTCAAAAAAAAAAAAAAAAAAAAAAAAAAAAGATTATTTTGAATGAAAGTAGCAGTAACTTATCGTGTTTTCTAAGAAGATACTCCTTTTGTTCTTGAAAACACAATGATAACTTCATTTGTGGAAGACGCCTTATAAGTAGATTCCCATTTTACTCAAAACCCACTACAATTTCCCTGTTGCTATTAGATCCATAGCTATTTCTCAAATATGAACATGATCTGGGGAAGTTGCTATATATTATAACTTAGGAGAAAATAACTTAAATATCAAGATAATTACGAGAATTCCCTAATATATTTTGACAGAAAACAGAATATGTATGGTGATGAAAATTAAGGGTGTTGGACCAAAGAGGAAAGGATGTAATAGTAGATAGGGCTGAATTAATTGATATGGGTGTGTTTACTAAACATTATAGATTTAATGTCATGTCCATTATTTTTCAAACTTTGCTTCTAAATTGTTCTCTTCCACCCTCATCTGAAACTCCAATTACACTAATGTTAGAACTTTCTCCTCTCCTACTTATTTCATATATTTTCTAACCATTTTACTTTCTGTGCTTTGGTTAGAATATTTTATATCAACTTTCTCCAGTTCTCTAATCTGTTCCCTTTTCCAATTTGCTATAAAATGTATTGACTGAGTTCCTAATTTCAATTTGTTTTTCTGAATCCCATATTTCTTATTTGATTTTTATTTTTCCTGTTTAGTTTTCTAGCATGACTCTCTACATCTTTTTTTTTTTTGACATGTGAGTCATTTTGTATTTAAAGTCAATTGCTGATAATTTCAATAACTTAGTTATCTTTTGGCCTATTTTCATCACTTTTCTTTTCCTTCTTAATCCTTGATATTTTAACATTGGACATTGACTATGAAACTTTTACAAGGCTCTAAATGATTTTTTTCTTCTTTTATCATCCTATTCTCTTGTAGACAGATACAGTTAGGGCATATTACATGAACTTGTTCAAGGCTGTGCTGTAATGTTGCAAACTTTTGTTTTGTTTTCTAAAGTTTATGTACATAGGATTTATTTTCATTTCTAGGATAAAGCCCTCCAAGGATCACGACTGAAGATGTGGATGACTCCAATTCTGTGTGTCATGGACTCAAATTTTTATCTCCTCCATATGGTGAGAGTGCCTCTTACACTGTCCTTGACTTGGGGGCAAACAATTAAATGAAAAGTTAACATCGCTGAGCCTCTCTTCTCACTGATATCTTAGCTACTAATTTTTTTTCACTTTCTTATCATTTCAGCCTCAGTCTGTCAAGCACAGTATGATTGTAAGAATAAAATCTGCCATCCTCTTTCATTTTTGGCAAATTTTTGGTTTATTGGCCTTTGTTCCATGTCATTAATTGGCAAATGTTCCAAGGGAAAAAAAGGTCCCAGTGATTGTTGGTTCAACTCTGTAGTTTATATTTTTCTGGGATCCTACCTTCAAGTTATGATTTCTTCGGAAGATTTTCTTTATATTTTTAATATTATTGTGTATTTTAGCAGATTTGCTTTTTTATTGCTGTTGTTCTGGTTTAGATTTTTCATCTTCCATAAGCTATCCTTCACAGATAAAGCCAGAAGTCTCCTGTCATGTTACTTACATACATTTACTGTCTAGACAGCAAATTAATTTAGAGTTAAGACAACGTCTACATTTTTACTTTTTTATCTGAACTATCTTGTCAGTCTATAATAGGATTTAATTATATGTGTTGGGGGGTAAACCTGGACTCAAGGAAATAAAATAGAACAGTGATCTAGTCAGAATGACGAGATAAAATGTTGGCGTTGTATGAGGTAGTGACATGGGGATGGGCAAAAGTGGTAATTAGAAACTTTTTAATTGTCTAGGTGTGCTGCTGAGTATGCTGCTCACAGGAATCATAAAAATTGTTTTCCATGGGTCTTAGTACCAGGAACATCTGTGCTTCTCCCGAATAACTGTAAGAAAAATTTCACAATATGGATGCTGAACTTCTCATAATTTATTGTATTTATTTCTGATTTGGCTATTTAAGAATTCACAAATAAATAATAGCTTAGCTTTAATTATTCAGTTGTGTATCTTAGAATGTAATTTACAATTACCTTTATTTTTGCTTTCTTGTTTTTTTATATATATAAATTATATAGCAAATATATCCCTTCTGTGGTATTAAATATATGTCTTGGTAGGTTGTTTTAAATCCTATTTTGGTAGAAGTGAAAGATAAACTAAAAAATACATACATAAATTTAAAATCCAACACAAATAGAATGAGGATCTCCTCCTGAATTACCTTTTTTATAAACCATGGGCATAATTTACATGAGATAGTTTCAGTAAGTCAGCAGTAAAAAAATCCAAATAAAATGGCCTGAAGGAATAAGAGTTTTATTGTCTCACATTAAAAGTAGCTCAGGGTCAGAAATGATATAGTTTTTTTTTGTTGTTTATTTGTTTGTGTTTATTTGTATTGTTCTTTTGCTGTTTCTACATCATCAGGGTTTCAGTGCAGCATTTCAGCAATTCCCTTGACTTGTTCCTTCTTTATTCATGATGGCCATACATCAATGATTGTATACTCACACAATGACATAAAAAAGATAGGAAGGACATTTCTCTTTTTAATACTAGGAACATAAACTTTCTCATGAGCCCATAAAAAAGATTTCCTTTTATGAGTCATTATTTAGAGGAGTCAGATTCTCATGCCTAAGCATACTACTGGCAAAGCAACTGTCATTTACTGATTAGCAGGATTGCTGGGGAAGGTACCTATGAAGCATAACATTGTGTAACACATTTTTTAAAATTAGGGTTCTAATACCAAGAAAAAAATGACAATTGAATAGAAAAAAATAGATGAATAGAAAAAAATGGTGTCTTCCAAACTCCTTTTTTTGAATTATGATACGATACATAATACAATATATTTTTAGGTTCAAAATGTAAAGTGTCAGTCACTCATTCATTAAACAAACAAACAAAAATCCCTGGGTATATAATTTGTTCCAGCTATAGTTCTTAAAAATAGAAATAGTGTAGTGAACAAAGAGTTAAATTCCTGGGATCATAGAGGTTACCAATCAGTAAAGACAGAATAAAAATGAAAAAGAAAAATTGGATCGGTAATATATAATTAGAAGCCTGGGTGCAGTGGCTCACACCTGAAATCCCAGCACTTTGAGAGGCCAAAGCAGGAGGATTACTTGAGCCCAAGGATTCAATACTAGCCTGGGCAAGTTAGCAAGACCTCATCTCTACCAAAAAATAAAATAGAAAAATTAGCCAGACGTGGTGGCATGCTCCTGTAGTCCCAGCTACTCAGGAGGCTGATGTGGGAGGACCTCTTGAGCCCAGGAGGTGGGATTGCAGTGAGCTAAGATGGCACCACTGCATTCCATCTTGGGAAACAGAGCAAGACTCTGTCTCAAAAAAAAATATATATATATATATATATTTTATATATATAATAATTATATATATAAAATATATATAAAATATATATTATATATAATTAGATGATGAGGTGATGATGAAGACTAAATAAAACCATAAATGTATGTATAAGATAAATATGTATATATAGGATAGCCAGAAAAGGCACACATAGAAGGAGACATTTATTGGACTCTTGGAAAAACTGAGTGGTCAAATGGAGCAGATGTTTTTCAGAAAAAAATAAAATAGGAAGAGAGAACAAGTGCAAAAATTTTGAAGTAGGACCATTCCTATACCCTTTGAGAAATACTGAGATCAGTATGACTGGAATGGAATAGCCAAGCAAAAAGAAGGAAAGGTCAGAAGGCTTTGTAGGCTATTATAAGAACTGGCTTTTAACCTAAATGTGATGAAAAGCCACTGGAGAGCTGAGTAGGGAAATGATACAATCTATCTGAAATCCTAGAAGAGAATCATTTTAGCTGCTATATTCAGAATAGATGAATGAAGGCAAGAATGAAAATAGAAGAATGGGTTAGAGAGCTATTTCAATAATGTAGGTGAGAGATGATGGTGTCTTGGACTCAGGTAGTTGCAGAGAAAGAGGTGGGATATGATCAGCAAATCAGAAGATTTTGCTGATGGATGGGATGTGCAGACATGGGTGCAGGTAGCATGATTTAAAAATTTTACAAATATTTGTGCCTAAGAGATTCAAAGAACTTATTTTTCCTCAGCCTTCGTATTACTCCCTTACTTTCAAATTATAGCTAAACTTTCTAAACTTTAACTTTTTCTCATATGGATGTGAACTATTCTTTTTCTGGGTTTTTAAAAAACATTGCTATTTCTCCACCATCTCATAATAATATTCTGAATTATATTATATTTATTTGTTATTTAGTCTACCCCTATTTATAAATAATCTACCTTGATTTTTAAAATCAGAGCTCGTGAAGAGAAGGAACAGTATCTATCTTTCACTCATGCAAATAATAGATTTTTCCTCAGGCAATATGCTAGGCATTGGAGGTATAGATATATATAAATCAACATAAACCTGCCTTCATGAAGCTTGTGCATTGTGTATAAATACCCCTTCTTTGTGTTCACTATGTATCTGTTGAATTTGAACGCAGTATACATTTTTAAAAATATATTTTTATTGTTATTTACCAATTTCAAAGAAAAAATGCTGACAAAAACATCTTCCTCCAGCATGATTAAAATAAAATCCCATACATGGAAGTATATTTCATGGGGAAGAATATACAACATTTCTATTTGATTTCCTGAAACTGATACAAATCATTTCAAACTGCTGAAATATGTCGCACCAACACTGGTAAATTATGGGCAGTGTTCGATGACCGATTGTCAAAGTGTAAAATAAGAGACAACAGTACTGTTCAAAGTCATCAGGCTCTGTTCCTTGGTATTTGAGTTCCAAGCTGACTATACTTGCAAAGGTTGTTTTTAGTTTGGAGGGAAAGTATGTTTTTTTAAATATACTTCCACAACCCATATTTGTGTTTAAGTGCATATTTCTGTTTAAGGATGTTTATTCCAGTTCATTTTCACTGCAATTTATGGAACTTATTTTGCCTAGATTAAAAGGAGAGGCAAAGGATGAAAATTTAATATTATCATATGAACATATGTTTTATACTTTCTGGGATATGGCTCAAGACTAAGACAATAAATTTCTAGCCCAGCTTTCTGGCTTCAAAGTATAGCTTTGCCACTTACTAATTATCTGACCCTGGTAAATCATTTAAGTGCTCAAGACCCAAATTTCCTCATCTATAAAATGTAGATAATAACAATTGTTTTTAAAAATATTTTTCTCTCATAGTCTGTGTTATGGGTTGAATTGTGTCCTCCAACAAGTTATGTTGGAGTCTCAGTTTTCAGTATCTGTGAATATGACTTTACTTAAAAATAAGCTTTGCAGATATAATCAATAAAGATGTGGTCATTAATGCAGGTTATAACTCATCATGACTGCTGTCCCTATAAAAACAGAAAACATCATGTGAAGACTGAGATGCACAGAGAGAATATCATGGGACAATGGAGGCAGGGACTGGACTCATGCAGCTGCAAGTCAAGGACTGCCAGAGACTGATGGTGATACTGTAACTAAGAGAAAGGTATGAGATAGATTCACTCCTAGAATCTTCGAGAGAAGACATCTCTGCTTATACCTTGATTTCAAATGTCCACCTTCCCAAACAGTGAGAAAATAATTTTCTATTGGTATAAGCCACACGGTTTGTGGCGATTTGTTATACAGTCCTGGAAAACTAAAATATGGTGGTTATAATTATTAAATTACCTAATAACTAAGTAATCAGAATCTAGCACATTTTAAGTATTTATGAGTTTGAGGATTTAATATTACTGAAAAATTCATTCAGATTAAATAGAATGTTCTCCTCTGGTCTCCATTGCCTATATCCCAACTGTATTAGTCTCCTAAGGCTACTATGACAAAATATCATAGACTGATGGCTTAAACAAGAGATATTATTTCTCACAGTTCCAGAGTCTAGGGAGTTCCAGATCAAGAAGCCTCACAATCTGGTTCCTGGTGAAAACAAAAAAGCATAAATAACTTGAAATATTCTATCACTTCACTGGTTTATATTAAGAAACATTAATTTGAAATATTCTGTGATAGATGATAAATATCACATTTTTAAAGTTTAATGCAAAATTCTAAACTAAAAATAAAGATTACTTTTAGTTTGAAAATGACAATACAGAAGATAGCTAATTTTTTAGTTTAGATCATTCTTTTTCAGCAAACTCCAACATGTTATCCATAGCCTAAAAGGCATGGTAATTAAAATTGTTGTTTCATTTCATATAACAGTAAATAATAAAAGTAGTCATTTACAAAAAATTTTAATTTTATGTAACATGTATAGTTATTTTCCCTAACCATCTCTTTCTGTTTCTCTTTTGCTGATATCCCTAGGAGGAAATAGTTATATTATTTTAATAGCTATAATAAATTGAACATCTTGACAAAAAGAATAAAAAGAAAGAGGGGGAAAGCAGGAGGAGAAGAAAAAGAAATAGACAAAGAAAATGAATTAAAAGTGGCTTTTACCAGAAGATATCAGGTGGTAAGGGCAAATCCTGGAAAACACTCATCATTCTTTCATTAAGTTTGAAAGATGGAGAATGGAAAATTATTAGTAGTAGCCTGCTGGCTAGCATGGAAAACTTCCAGGGCAGAAGGAATATCAAGTGCTTACTGTTAATTTATCAGTGGTGAGTGAGTTTCAGAAATATGTACAGAACGAGAGGTGACTTCTGTTAGAGACATACACAAGTACTAATAACAGCTGGAATTCAAAAATTACTGTATTGTACAAGGGAAAAAATTCTTCATTTATCCTTATATCTGTCTCAGCACCTAACACACAATAATCATCCAAAAATATGTTTAGAATAATAACCTTACAGAAATTGTATACCGACCTTCTGGCACCTCTAATCCAAAGCCAATCCCCTAAGATGTGGAGGAATTGAGTAGTTTGCTTTTGTATTATCCATACCAATAAATCAGTCTCAATCTTCTGTTTTCAAAGAGAGGTAAGTCTAAATTACAAAACAAACAAAAAATAAGTCAATGACTCCTATTTACCTTAGAACTAAAGTGTTTTAATAAGTTTGCATGAAAGAGAAACTTGAACATAGTTCAAATTAAAATAAGCAAAATAAATCTTTAATTGGGTTAATAATAATCGTTCAATAATTTTGGAGCATAGACTTTGCCTTGGACTCAATCAACGTAATGTATTTAACGGTCTTTATTAAATTTGTACCAAAACGGTTTTAATGTGAATTTATCTAATGTCAGGCCAACAACATAAATTATGTGAATTCTATGGACTTAAAAAGGTAAAGAGTTTTCTAGGCACATAAATCATAATTATCTTATAGAACACTAGATTAGGAGTCAGTGAACTATGGACCATTGACCAAATCCAACTCATGTTCTATTTATTATTTACATTTTTATTGGAACACAGTTACACTCATCCTTGTGTGTATGTCTATGACTGTTTTCATGCTATAGGGTTGCCATGCTGCATTAGAGACTGGCCCACAAAACATAAAAATATTTACTATCTGCCTCTTCAAAGAAAATGTTTACCAGAATGTGCACTACAATTTCAATACTGCTTGTTTTTATATTTAATACTAATTTATAACTAAGCAAGTAAAAAAGCTTCTTAGATTTTATAGTCAGTCGTCTAAAATTAGTTTAATAATGTCTCTCTACACTAAAAGACTATAAGTCTCTCTAATAATACTTCTTCATTCTTTATTAACGTAACCATCAGAATGAAAAAAATGTGTCATAAAGTCCCTTTTATAAAATAAGGAAGCTGGACAAAAAGTTATCAGTAGCAGCAGTTAAAATGATATGATTCTATAATTAAATATGAAATATTAAGTTAAGTGTTCATCACAAATTTATTTTTAGTGATGATGTTAAGAATACTGAACTTTTAAACATTAGGTAACATAATGGCTATTGAAGACCATGATTATATTTAGTTCAATTTATAACAGATACACAGTTCCTAATATATTTCTGTTTATAATAAAAAAAACTTATGTCCATATTATGTAACTTTGCATTATAACTGAAATTCACAAGGAGAGTATGTTTCCTAAACTGTGCTGATTTGTGAAAGCATATACACACAACTTACTTGCTTCTGTGTGTTTCTAAAAATATTTCAGATAATATAAATAATAAGCTGGAGACCTAGGAAAACCAGTGATGTGGTTCAGTACACGTCCAGAGGCTGAGAACTATGGGAAGCAATGGTGTGTCTCACTCCAAGGGTACAAGACCTAAGTTTCACTCAGGTAGTCAGACAGCAGAATTGAATTATTCCTTCTTCTGCCTTTTGTTCTATTTAGCCCTTCATTGGATTGAATAGACGCCCATGCAAATTGAGGAGGAGAATCTGCTCTACTGAGTATATTATTACCTCTCCAAATGCTAATCTAATCTAAAAACACATTCACAGATACATCTAGAAATAATATTTAGCCAAATAGCTGCACATCCTGGGATCCAGTCAAGTTAATGTATATAACTATCACAAGTCAAATCTTTGACTTGGCACCCATATGCATTTTCTTACACTATACTTATTTTCTAAATAAAGGCAATAAGATTATAAATTTGTCTGACTTGATAGAACTGTCCTGTGTACAATCAAAAATACACAAACCCCTCCTCAAAAGAGGTAAAGTCCTTGAGTGTTGTTTTCTCTTTGCCCATTTTCTGTAATTTAAATAATATGATACAAAAGTATCAATATTTATATGTTATGATATAAAGTTAATATTCTTATGTGACATGATAGGGTAATAAGAAAGGAAACAAATCAAATATACACACACAAATGTATTCATAACAAACTATGACAATTACAATTCTCAATTTTGTAACTGGTCACATGATCATAGCTGGTATTTATTATTACCTTTTACCTCTAAGCACCCTGTTTTGCCTTTGCCTTCAGGCAGCACCTCAGCTTCTCATGGTTCTTTACCTAGTAGAATAACCTAAAACCTTATTCCTGAAGGGTCTGGACCATTAGTAGTCCTGCCTGGACTAGGTCACTGTAATTTTCCATTGACCTTAATCACAGGGCATGGAAATACTAAAAGACATTCTAAAAGATTTTTTATATACCAGGCATACTGTTCCTTTTCTTCATAGTGGAGTAGTGTCCAATTGGCCCTTAAAATTAGCATTAATCAGCAGTGATTTTAGCCATGTTGGCCTTAGTAAGTAGAAAGCCATTTTGCAAAGCTCATGCATAATCACCACCCTTACCACCATGGACACTTTTTTAAAGAGTCCACTGTATGATGACAAGGATGTCTGGGGAAAAAGGTCAACTAGTTTCAGCAGAATAGGTTACCCTATCCACTTCATTATTTAAATCTTCCTCTACTGAAGTCACTCTTTGGTAAGTATTCACATGGGACAAATATCTTCAAAGTCTTTGCCCATTTGGAGAGGTCTATCCATATACCTCTTCTTCAAAATTTCTTACCATCACTCTTCCAATTATCTTCCTTCCAAGTTCCTGGATATTGAGGCAAAATATTGGACACAGGCAAAGAATTGGTCTATAATCACGTCTGGTCATTTTTCCTTCCAAATGAAGTGCACATCCAGGTGCTCTGCTTAAAGTTTTACCCACTGACAGGATTTTTCTTCACTACTGTCCTTCAAGGATGTCCCAGAAAGGGGCTATAGTGCTGCAGCTGTGCACTTTCAGATGGTTGCTGTATATTATGCAGGATTGTCTATAAACAAGACCTGACTCTTCTTCTTCCATTAAGTCAATGTAGAAAAATCTCCATGAGCCCATAATTGCAGACTGGGAGAGAAAACGTACTATAGCAGGAGTGGGGACCATGGGCATTTGGGTCACTTCACGCAACTTACTTATACTTTCACGATCTGATCAGGCTTGAGCATGTATATACCACCTTCATTTGATGATAGAATACTGTTGTATAAGCTCAACTTTATGGTTTAGTGGGTCAGATATCTCTCAGTTCATGATAAGCATCTCAGGTCTCATGGTAACTTAGTGGCCCATATTAAGCATTCAGTCTCTACTAAAACATGGTAGCAGGTCAAGGGCTGTGTCTTAAAAGATGGCAGAGCTTTGCTCCAAATCTGAAGCATTTGTGATGTGATTCATCAATAGGAGCCAGCCAAAGTCTCCAAACAGCATTCTTTTCTGCTGCTGACATTTAATGCACTATTGGATAAGGTGCAAGAGGCAGAGCCACTTGCACAGCAGCCTGAATCTGTTGCCGAGTCTTCTTCTGTCTGGATCCTATTAAAAAGTAATATCTTTTTAAGTCACTTAGTAAATGGGCTGGAGTAACATACCCAGTTGAGAAATATGTTGCCTCCAAAATCCAAAGAGGCTCACTACATGTTGTGCCTTTGTCTTGGCTTTAGAAGGAGCCAGGTGCAACAACTAATTATTCACATTAAAATAAATATCTCAACATGCCCCACACCACTGGATCCCTAGAAATTTCACCAAGATGGAAGGCCCCTGAGCTTTTTCTGGATTTATTTCTTTTATTCTGGCATGTAAATGAATTACCAATATGTCTAGAGTAGGTGCTACGTTTTGCTGTCTAGGTCTGATCATCATAATGTCATCAATGTAATAGATTAGTGTGATATCTTGTGGAAAGGAAAGGTAATCAAGAATCCTGTGAACTAAATTATGACTCAGGTCTGGAGAGTTGATATCCCCATGAGGTAGAACAGTGAAGATGTATTACTGGCCTTGCCAGCTGAAACAAAACTCATTTTGGTAGGCCTTATCAAAAGGCATGGAGAAAAGGGCATTTTCTAGATTAATACAGGTAACAAGGGATATATTAATTTGCCCAGGCAATGAAACCACATCTGATAGTGCAGTTGTAATTGGGGTCACCACCTGGTTAAGCTTACAATAATCCACTGTCATTCTCCAACATCCATCTGTTTTCCAAACAGGCCAAATAGTTGATTTGAATGATGTTGTGGTGGAAATCATCACCCCTGCCCCCTTCAAATCCTTAATGGTGGCAGTGATCTCTGCAAGTCCTCCAGGAATGCAGTATTGCTTTTGTTTTACTATTTTTCTAGGTAGAGACCATTCTAATGGCCTCCAGTTGCTTTTCCCACCATAATAGCCCTCATTCTACAGGTAAGAGAGAGAGTCACTGTAGAGATTCTGTCTACTGCTGAGTACATCTATGCCAATTATTCATTCTAGAACTGGGGAAATAACCACAGAATGGGTTCTGGACTGACTAGGTCCACTGAGAGATAGACTCTAGTTAAATCTCCATTAATCACCTGATTTTCATCAAGCCCATTCTATGACTAGTGGGTCACAATGATGATTTTTTGTTTCCTGGAATTAGTGTCAATTCAGAGCCAGTGTCCAGTAGTCCCAGAAATGTTTAATTATTTCAATTTTTCCAATTCACAGTTACTGTGATGAGACTATTGGTCCTTTTGGAGATGACTGGGAGAGAGATTAACAGTTTAAATTTTCAGCAGTGTTCCATGGTCCTTCCTCAAAGGACCCAGGTTTCTTTTAATTCAAGGGTTTCTGGATCTATAAACTGGCTCATGTCTGGAAATTAATGGAGAGAACATGACTCTCTGTTTTTATGATTCAGGTTAGACTTCTGTTTACTTGCTTAGGCTTTTCTGCTTGCACAGATCAAGTAAGAATTTAGTAGGCTTCCTATCTATTTAACTTCTAGGAATAGCATGATTAACTAGTCAATGCCATGTGTCTGTGTCAATCAGTTGCTGCTTTAGCTCTGCTGTTAATTATGGTAACTGCACCTACCCTGCTTTTGGCAGTTAAGTGCAACAACTTGCCAGTTCCGCCACCTGGCCCCTGCTGCCCCAGGACACAATTACCTACTTTGCATTTAGATTTTCCAATTGAGTGCCTGCAGTTCTCACTGAAAGACCTGGCCTATAGAGCAGAGTGATCACAGAGCTCTTCAAAAATGCTGGGGCTCTTGTCACAAATTTCTCAGTGTTGGTGACAGGAATGACTTCTGGACTCTCCCATGTGGGTGAGTGGGTCTTAAATGACAAATCTACTCTAACATTCCATTTCTTTAAGCCTTTGAATCTCTTTCTCCATTAAATGAAAGCAGATGCAGCATTTCCGGTTTGCTCACTGTGGGCTACCTTTCCATCACAGTTTCACCCAACTACTCACACAAACTCTGAGTGCACTTTCTACCTCCCCAAGCTGCAAAATTAAATGCAGAATGTTTGCTTAGTGAGCCCATATCAATAAATTTGGCCTGAACCAACTTTATGTTTTCTTTTATGATTATCCCACACTCTCAGTATTCATTTCCACACATGTTCCTCAGATATTTTGTATCTTACCCTTAGGAGCCTGCTGAGACTTGAGTATAGAAGCAAAGAGAGGTGCTGGGGTGGTACTAAAATTTGAATTGAAATCTGAGGTTCTGCAGATAAATAGAAAATAAAGCAACAAGGGAAATTGACTTATACAATTATGGAGGCTGAAAAGTAAAATTATCTGCTGTCTACCAGCTGGAGACCCAGGAAATCTGGTGGTATAGTTCAATCTGAGTCTGATGTCCTAAGGACCAGGGTAGACACTGTTTTAAGTAAGTCATCAGTGTTATAAATAAAGTTTTGGTGCTGCAGAAGAAACAGTACTCAAACATAAAATTTTCAATTCTCAGCAAGGCAAAGTACTTCTATAGAAGGGTATGCCCTCAAGATGGAGCAATGGTGAGCACACACCTGGACAAGGGAGGGAAAGGTGTTCTTATTCCTGATGCATGTGGTCCCTACTGCTGTGTGGTTCTCCTATTGGCTAGGGTTAGACGGCACAGGCTAAACTAATTCCGATTGACTAAAGAGAGTGACAGGGTGAGTGGTTTGGCAGGAAAAATGGTTATGAATTGAGTCAGGGTGGAGAATGAATCGGAATGAGTCAGGGTTGAGTAGGTAATTGGAATGAGTCAGGGTGAAGAATGAGTCAGGGTGGAGCAGGTAATAACAATGAGTCAGAGTGGAGAATGAGTCAGGGTGGAGCAGGTAATCGCAATGAGTCAAGGCAGAGAATGAGTCAGGGTGGAGCAGGTAATCAGAATGAGTCAAGGTGAAGAATAAGTCAGGATGGAGAATGAGTCAGGGTGGAGTAGGCAATTGGAAATGTTGCCTTACGAGAAAGTTAAGTTTAAAAGTAGAAGGCATAGAATTGAATATAGTGACATATTAATTCTTTGAAGAAAAATTTAGAATTTATATTTAACAATCAGTCAGAAGACTGATATCCTAGCTCAGCAATCAGGCGTAACAGATGCATTCTCCTCTACTCTGCCTTTTTTCTATTCAAACCCTCAACAGATTAGATCAGGACAACCCACATTGGAGAGAACAATCTACTGTTTTTAGTTCACCTATTCAGATACTAATGAGATCAGAAAACATCTTCAGAAACATATGCAGCAATGTTTAATCTGTGCACCCTGTGATCTACTTAAATTGACACATAAATTTAACCATCACAATAATCCTATTGATGCCGTTTATTTTTGTGTATGTATATGACGTACTATCTCAGGTCATTTGCTTTCAGCCTAAAGAAATTTCTTTCATATCTCTCATGTTGGTCTGCTAGAAACAAGTTATCTCAGTTTTTGTGTATCTACAAAGTCTTGCTAATTTTTGAAAAATAGTTTCCATGGATACACGATTCTTGGTTGATAGTCATTGTCTTTAAGTATTTTGATTATCCCACTGCCTTCTGGCCTCCGTTGTTTCTGCTGAGAAATTAGATGCTAATTTTATTAGGATTTTTTTGTTATGAGTTATTTTTCTATTGCTGCTTTCAAGATTTTCTTCCTTGTATTTGACTTTTAGTATTTTTAATTTGATGTGCCTGTTTGTGGATCTCTTTGTGTTTATCCTACTTGGAGTTTGTTGAGCTTCTGGAATGTGTGAATTAGTGCCCTTCAATAAATTTGGGAATATTTTTGCCATTGTTTTTTAAAGATATTTTTTTTGTTTCTATTTTCTCTCCTTTCCTTCTGGTACTGTTATTACATGTGAATTGGTGTGCTTGATGATTTCCCACACTTCTCTGAGGCTCTGTTTATTTTTTAGATTCTTTGTGCTATTTGTCAGCTTGCATAATCTCAATGAATTTATCTTCAAGTTTGCTAATTGTTTCTACTGTCAGGTCAAATCTATTTTCCCAAACTCTTTCAAATGAAGTCAGTACCCTTGGAAATGGAAAAGAAATTATCTTTTGTAAGCCCTGCTTATCCCCTCAGTGAGAAAAAAAATCACTGAGAGACGGCACTGGAACTGGATTGAAAATGGCCTACACTTCTCTGAGTGTCCCCCTGTTCTAGAAACTGAGTACTCAGTCATGTGGATGTGTGAAGGCAGCATCCCAAGGTCCTCTTGGCTTATTTCTAATGGCATGGAATAGCCACTGCATTAGCAGGGGCAAGGTCAAGGAGGACCCCACTATTCTATGCATGCCATGCCCTAGGCAGAGCCTCTAGTACATAGGTGGAAGATGGACAGCAGGTGGAAATTCTCACCTCTCAACTGTACCAACCTTGGGCTTAGGCTTATGTTTGGATATCTAAGGCAGGATTTGAAATGCCAAGTCCTGATTATTTAAAACAGAAAGCACTCCAACTGAAAAATGGGTATAGAAGGAGCCCTGTTCTTGTTTGAAGCAATCTAGAATGCAGTCTTCACCTCACTGAGCTGGGAGTGGGGAAGAAAGAAGTGGTCTTGTTCAAATGCCACAGACTATCATCTTTCTTATTAAATATTTCTAGATTTTCTTGAAGAAATGTTTCTTGATTTGCTGTTTATCCTTAGGGCCATTTCTAGAAGCTTAAATGTATCTATGTTTGTATGTATACGTATGCCTGTATGTGTGTATATGCATACCTGTTTGTATATATGTACATGTATGTGTACATGTATATGTGTGTATGTGTATATGTATACATAAACTTTTGCTTTTACTCTGTAGTAGAACAGCAGAGCTTGCACACTTCGTGTTAGAGAGGTTTATTAACTAAATCCATTTTTAACATGATAGCCAGATTGTTCCTTCTTAACAATAACTTAAATATATTACATTTATTTCTCCACTTAAAACCTTCTATGGGATTCCGCAATAATATTCTTTACCCCTTGTGATATTCAACCTCCAAAGTGGTCACAACGATCTCCAGCCAGTTGAATTCACACCCTTTTGTGGTCTCTACACATTTTCCAAGAGTCTTTTTATGTGACCAATAGTATTTGACAGAAGTGAGCATCTATGTTATTAGGATACTCCATTAGCCTATAGAGACAGACATGCAGTGAGGAACTAACAGTAGATGTGAAACTGAGGCCTTCCAAAGCCATGTTAATAAGCTTGAAAAAAGATTCATTCTCATGTGAGCCTTCACATAAGACTGCATTCCTGCCTGACTAGTTTTGACTGCAGTAACATTGAAAGCTAGAGTCAAAATCACACAGGTAAACTGCTACTAGATTCCTGACACAGAACATAAGAGACAAGATATATTTGCCCATGAGGACAAAAATTTTTTTTCATTATATAAACTAATCTATTTTCTGTCCTTAAAATATTTCTGGCACTTAATAAATACTCAATATAAATTTGCTGAGCAAATGAATGTTTGCATTTTATTAGATTTCAGTGACTCTATATAAAATATTTTCAATATAATAAAGAATATTTGTATATTTTCTAAATGTATATAAATTTTCTATCTTGCATATCTTATGTAAGATTTAAGAAGTAACTCAGAATAGAAGTCTTTGAGGTTTCACTGTAACACTTGAGAAAAGCAGAAAGTCTAGAGTGTACTCATCAGGATAATCTTACTTTCTAAAAAGGAACACCCATACCCCTTCCAGAGGTCTAGTTTTCTGTCAGCCTGATGAAAGACAACTTAATTCCCAGAAATTTTAGGAAATGATAGAAGACCAGAAATTGACTTGAGGGATTTTTATAGCTAGACCAATCATTTCTAAGGGGAAATGGAACTATTGCCAAGTTTGTAGTATATACTGGTATAAAACTTTCATAAAACATCCTAAATTCCTATAGACATGTTTAATAAAATAACTCACTTCTTCTAACAGATATGTGTTTCAGTGCAATATTTTATTAAGAAAACTTTGATTTACTTCCCACTGGACACGTGCAATCTTAGCCTGAGGTGACTAAAAGCACCTGTTTCTAAGAATGCTGTAATTCATGTTAATGTTGGTGTTGAACACCAGGCCTTGTGGAATCCAACGTATCACTGCTTTCTTCCTGTATGATATTAGGTTGCTGCAAAAGCAATTGTTGTTTTTGGCGTTACTTTTATTGGCAGAAACCGCAATTACTTTTGCATCAATTTAATAAAAATCTGGTAAGTTATAAATTTGAGTAATTTAAAATAAATGTGCTAATATTTATATGTCTGTGTAAATTTTCGAGTGCTTCTATGGCCTGGAAAAAAAATCATAACTGCATGTATTTATAACAGCAAATTATATCATAATCATCATAAAACATGATTAGTGCCTCAATTTATTTATTGTTATAGCTAGAAATAATTGTTTGACTATGGAGGAAGAAGCAGAACTCTTTAAATATATGTTAAACTATTCACTTACTCCAAATATTATAAATAGACAACTTTGATTTGATCTATAATTGTGAAGTATAATTGGTATGTGAAAGATATCTGAATTATATCTATTTAATATATTAGTGTACAAATTAGATATAATATTCATTTAAAAAAGTTTCTGCATTTCAAATTGACTAAAGTGTATGTTGAAAATATTATTTTCTATTGTTAACCTAGGTAAATATCACACTAAGATTCCAAAAGTAGTTATGCATTGCTATAGTCATAACATATGACAGAAATATTTAGCATTATAAAATAAATATATATTATTTTTGGTATCAAGAACATAAATAATAAGTGATCGTGTGACAAAATCTGAGAAAAATGTTTTGAAATGTTTTGCTTTGGCTCCTGGGTTCATACAGCTGTTTTTGAGACATTAACATTTATATTAGATTTAATAATATATACACTATTAAATATTTGGAAAATTAGCAAGATGAATTTGTGCAAACAGTTATATATAGTTCTGTTTGTTCTTATTTTTTATATATGTGGTGTTATGATATATATTGGTTTTCATTCATGGTTTTTTGTTTATAACTCCCATAGCCCTTATTAAAGTTTTTTGTTATCATGTTGGCTGTTTTAGAACTCAGGAAACAGAATCTCGCTCTTACCTTCCTTGTACTTGCCCAAAGGCAGGGCTCTAAACTTCCCATGCCTTTCTGACTGTGGGTCTTAAGACCCTCTCCAGAGAGGAGTCCACCCTACAATCTGGGAGAAGGAATGCTGACATCATGAAGATTCCATAAGAGCCCGAGGCCTGGGTTTGAGGAGCTTCTACAAAGTGGAACACATGGTGGTTTCTGGAGGATGCTGTACTCAGGGAGGGCATGGAAGGTCCACACCCCTTCCCCCATACCTTGCCCTGTGTGTCACTTCATCTGTATCCTTTGTCATATCCTTTACAATAAACTGGTAAGTGTAAGTGATTCCTTGAGTTCTGTGCACTGCTCCAGCAAATTAATCCGACCCAAACAGGGGCTCATGGGAACCCCAACTTGAAACCAGTGGGTCAGAAGTTCCAGAGGCTTGGACCTGTGACAAGCATCTAAAGGGAGTGGGGCAATCTTGGGGACTCAGCACCCAACATGTGGGATCTGACACTATCTCTAGGTAGATAGTGTGACAATTGAATTGGAGGACACTCCGCTGGTGTCTGCAGCTTGGTGTGTGGGGAAAATACCAACACGTTTGGTCACAGCAGTCTGCTTCTGTATTGGTGATTGACTTGGCAGTGGGAGAACAGAGGAAAAACACAGTTGATAGGAGCTTTTCTCTGAAACAACATAATGTCTTGTAAACTATAAAGTAGAATTTGTAAACAGTTAAGGTAATCAGGTAAAAAAGAAAAAAATGTCATTTAAAGTGTTTATATAAAAAAGCTGTGTAGTCCAAATAGATTATATTATCTCACATATATAAATCACAGAAAACATCTATACAGATATTAAGAAGTCTAAGTATATAAGGCTGAAAAATATGATACTTTTGATAGCAGAATGATGAAGGAGATGGGGTAGAGTTAATCAATTACTATTCCTTTTACATATAAAATATTGGAAAAATTAAAATACACATATATTAAATAGTTTACATTAGAATTTATTTTAAAACAAAATGTATGGATTAGTCTATATAGGATTATATTATGTTAAACAGGATACTGTTTGCATTCCTAACAGAAATTCTTTGGGAAATAATAATTGACATTTTCTATGAAATTATGCTTATGTTTTTCCTATGCATAATTTAATGCAAAAATACAAATTATGCATAGGAAAAACATATGCATAATTTAATACAAAATACAAATTATTATTTCCCAAAGAATTTGGGATTGTAGTGATTTATGTTAGTATGTTATTATCATTATCACCATGAAAAAGACATGTATTTGTGAATAATTCTTTTTGGCTATTAAGTTTATTTAATGAAAAAATTTATATTGTGATAATTTAATTATAAGTGAGTACTATTCTTGTTTAAATTATATTACCTGTTAAAATATCAAAGACAATATTAAATAATGGGTAAAAAGTAAAAAAAAAATAAATAACAAACACGTAATTATTGACTTCAAGTAAACTTTTTAAAAAGCTAAGAAATAACACCTGCCTTAAACATGACTGGTATGGTTTGGATTTTTGTCCCTGCCCAAATCTCATGTCAAATTGTAATCCCAAATGTTGGAGCAGACACCTGGTGGGAGGTGACTAGATCATGAGGGCAGATTTCCCCCTTGCTCTTCTTGTGATAATGAATGATTTCTCACGAAATCTGGTTGTTTAAAAATGTGTAACACCTCCCGCTGCTCCCTTTTCCACCTTCTCTGGCCATGTTAGACATATCTGCTTCCCCTTTGCCTTTCACCATGATTTTAAGTTTCCTGAAACATTCCCAGACAAGCTTCCTGTACAACCTGTGGAACTGTGAGTCAATTAAACCTCTTTTTCTATAAAAGTTACCCAGTCTCAAGTAGTTCCTTATAGCAATGAAAAGACAGACTAATGCAACCATCTGTAATATATGAGCAAAGGAAATAATCTTTATTACTCTTAAACCTATAGAAACCAGACTACATTAGACAGAGGCCAATACACACCCTGTGTACATCACTGAACATTTGCAATATGGGGTTTATTTTACTGTTGATAGGAGAGTGTTATGTGATACTAAGCATAACAATGCCAATGGGAGGTAGTCAAGTGGAACAGTATGAAAATAGGTACATATATGTTCATCTTATTCAGCCTCAAGCATTAATATATGCTTTGGCCAGTAAGCAAATTCCAGTGGAGAACTGAAGTGACTTTCTGGAGGCCTGTATTTTTTTAATTAAAAATAGTTTTAACATTGGCTGATTGATGATGAGTTATATATTGCTTTACTTAGGCCAGTAATGAAGGTCTGCCAAAACAAAAATCAGCATTTATAATTATTTCAGACCTATTAAGAAGGAAGACCAATTTTTTAAAAGTCATATTCAAGCAAAAAAAGAAAGAATCCTATACTAAATAAAAAATGTATTTATAACAGGTACTAACATCAGTAAAGGTAGCTATTTGAATTATCAACCACAAAAATCCTTAAGAAAATTAGTCTTTGCCTACAAAATAATACTATTACTGACATTGAATTTGCATATGATTAGTCAATCTGAAGTAAATATAAAGTCAACGTTAAAAAAAAGGTCTTGATTACATTTGGTCAATTTTTAGCAGAATAAATCCTTGAGTGAGTCAATAAGTTTCTATCTCTTTATTTAAATAATGTTAACAATACTTGTTAGGAGAGCACAGACACTGAAGCTAGCGTACCCAGGTTTAAACCTGGATCTACCATTTTGTTGAAATGCTATTTAGAAGTTTACAAAGTCTCTCTGTGCCTCAAATTCCTCCCGGATAGAATAGGAATTATAACATCACATGTTCATAAGGTTGGTATGAGTATTATGTAAGTTCATACAAATAAAGATCTCTGAAAGGTAATTAGCACATGCTAAGATCTCAATAACTGTTGGTTGTTTTATTTCTGCTGGTCTTAGTCTGCTTCCTGCTGCTATAACAGATTATTTACATCTGAGTAATTCACTTTTAAAAAATGGGGCTTAATTGGCTCACAGTTCTAGTGTTTGGGAAGCCCAAGAGGATGTTGTCAGCTCCCTGCAATGGCTCCACTGCTCCATTATTCCACTGTAGAAGGTGAAAGAGCCCATAAAAGAGAGAGCTCACTTTTATATCAACCCTGGCAACCACTGATCTTTTTACCATCTTCATAGTTTTGCCTTTTCAAAAATGTCATCTAGTCTGAATTATACATTATTAGCCTTTTCAGATTGACTTCTTTCATTTACTATTATGCATTTAAGATTACTCTATGTCTTTTCATGGTTTAAAGCAAATTTCATTTTAGTGCTGAACTATATTTCATGGTTTGGATGTACCACTATTTATTTCTCATTCATCTATTGAAGAATATCTTGGTTGCCTCCACATTTTGGCAAGTATAGATAAGGCTTTCATAAACATCTGTATGCAGATTTTTGTGTGGATACAAGTTTCAACACCTTTGAGTAAACACCAAAGAATGTGACTGCTGGATAGTGTGGTAAGAGTATGTTTTGTTTTGTAAAAAATCTCCAGATCATCTTCCAAAGTGGCTGTATCATGTTGCATTTACATTAGCAATAAATGAGTGTTTATGTTTCTCCACATTGTCACCAACATTTGATGTTGTCAGTGTTTGGGATTTCAGTAATTTTGATAGGTGTGTATTAACATGTGATTGATGTTTTAATTTGCATTTCTTTGATAAAATATTCTGCGGAGCATCTTTTCTTATGTTTCTTTTCCATCTTTATATTTTCTTTGGCAATGTATCTGTGAAGGTCTTTTGTCCATTTTTTTAATTAAGGTATTTGTTTTCCTTTATTGAGTTTTAAGAGTCCTTTGTATATTTTGGATAGGTTCTTTATCAGATATCTTTTGTAAATGTGTTCTCTCCATTGGTTGCTTATCTTATTTTTCTCTTAGTAGTTTCTTTTGTAGAGAGAAAATTTTTAATTTTAATGAATTTCACGTTATCAACTTTTTAAATGAATCATTCCTTTGGGTTTAAAATTCAGAACCAAACAATTATTTTTAAAATTTAAAATAGTAAATTTTAAAAATTTTAAATTAATTTGAAAATTATTACCATGCCTGAAGTCATCTAGATTTTCTCCTATGTTATCTTCTAAGAGTTTTATAAATTTGCCTTTTATATTTAGCTCTATCATCTATTGTGAGTTAATTTTTGTAAAGTAACGTATGTATCTAGATTTATTTATTTGTTTTTGCAGCAGGATATCCACTTATTCTAGTACCCTTTGTTGAAAGGTATATCTGCTTCATTAGATTACCAGTCGTCTTCGACAAAGATCATTTGGGTATATTTACCTGACTGTTTCTCGATGCTTTATCCTGTTTCACTGATTTATTTGCCTGTCCTTTTACTAATATCACACTGTTGTGATTGCTGTTACTTTGCATTAAGTCTTGAGGTTGAGTGGTATTATTCTCCCCAATTTTTTCACATTCAATATTGTTTTGGTGATTCTGAGTCTTTTGCTGATTCCTAAAAACTTTAACATAAATTTGTTGATATCCACAAAATAACCTGCTAGGATTTTGTTTGAGGCTGCATTTAATCTACAGATGAAATTGTGAAGAACAGTCATTGTCTTAGTCCATTCAGATTGCAATAGCAAAATATCTTAGACTGAGTAATGTATAAACAACAAAAATTAATTGCTCACAGTCCTGGAGGCTGGGAAGCACAAGATCAGAGCACCAGTATCTTTGGTGTCTGCTTCACAGATGGTGCCTTCTAGTTGTGTCTATATGTTGGACGAGGCAAAGAAACTGCTTCAAGTCTCTTTTCATAAGGCACTTATTTCATTTATGAAGGCCTTACCCTCATGACTTAATCCCTTCTGAAAAGGCCGCATTTCTTAGTATTATCACATTGGAGATTATATTTCAACATATAAAATTGAAGGAACACAAATATTCAGAACATAGCAGACATCTTGGCAGTATTGAATCTTCCTATCCATGAACATGGTGTACCTCCACATTTATTTAGTCATTTGGTTTTTTGATAAAATTTTTGTAGTTTTCCTAATATAGATCTTTTGCATATTTTGCTATGTCCATACCTAAGTATTTCAATTTTGGGTAATACCAGTGTAAATGGTATTGTTCTTTTAATTTCAAATTTTACTTGTTCATTGCTGATACAGGCATACCTCATTTTATTGCATTCACTTTGTTGTATTTTGCAGATATTGCACTTTTTACACACTGAAGGTTTGTGGCAGCCCTGCATCTAGCAGGTATATCAATGCCACATTTTCAATAGCATGTGCTCACTTTGTGTGTCTGTGTCACATTTTAATAATTCTCACAATATTTTAAATTTTTAAGTATTGTTATATATGTTATGGTGATCCGTGATCACTATCATAGGTCTTTGATATTATTGTAGTTGTTTTGGGGTACCACAAACTGCTCATATGACAGTGAATGTAATTGATAAATGTTCTACTTCATGGAAGGAGGCCAAAATATCATTAACAGGAGTTTGAAATAAGTTGATTCCAACCCTCATTGATTACATTAAGGGGTTTATTACTTTAGTGGCAGAAGTAACTGCAGATGTGATGGAAATAGCAAGAGAAATAGAATTAGAAGTGGACCCTGAAGAGGTTACTGAGTTTCTGCAGTCTCATGATAAAACTTCAATGAATGAGTAATTGCATCTTATGAATGAGCAAAGGAAGTGGTTTCTGGAGATAGAATTTACTCCAAGTGAAGATTCTGTGAACATTGTTGAAATGGCAACATATTATACCTAAACTTAGATGAGAAAGCAGTGGTAGGTTTTGATAGAATTGACTCCAATTTTGAAAGAATTTCTACTGTTGTTAAAATGTTAGCAAAGAGTATCACATGGTACAGAGAAATATTTTATGAAAGAAAAAGTCCACTAATGCAACAAATTTTATTAATTTCTTATTTTAAGCAATGGCCCCAGACACCTCAGTTTTCAGCAACCACCGCTCTGATCAGTCAGCAGCCATCAATATCCGTGCAAGACTCTCCACCAGCAAAAATATTATAACTTGAAGGCTCAGATGATCATTAGCAATTTTTAGTGACAAAGTATTTTTAAACTAAGGCATGTGCATTATTTTTTAGACAAATGCTATTGCACACATAATAAACTACCATGTAGTGTAAACATTTATTTGCATTGGGAAAGGAAAACATTGTATGTATCTTGCTTTATTGTGACATTTGTTTTATTAAAGTGGTCTGGAACTAAACTCACAATACATCCAAGGTATGCCTGTATATAGGAAAGTGATTGACTTTTGTAGATCATTTTATTCACACCCTTTGATAAAGTTTCTAAGTAATGTGAACAATTATTAGTATACTATTTAAAAAATGAATGAGGTCACATAGGATAAATTATTGCCATAAGCAATCCCATGTGCATTGGATGGATGGACTAAGAAAAAGTTTATTGTTTGAATTCTGAACCAGCATTTTTCCATTTATAATAAAATAATATATACTTAAGAAAAAATAATGAGAACACTTAAACAAAGTGGCAGCTTTTATCTCAAGTTTTAAGTGATATAAGTGAGTTTCATGTTGTAGTAATCAAAGTTTAGAAAAATCTTTATGTGTGAACAATAAAATTGAGCATTATGCATGTTTGAACTACTCTTAATGCTCAACTTGAATTTATATGTCTCAATTAATATGAACCATAAAATTGAATAAAGCTTTTCCTTAAAATTGGAGTGCATTTGTTAATCTTGTGTATTGCCACATTTTTTTCAGGGCATCCTAAAAATATATAAAGGAGTGTATTATTTCTCAAATAAAAGATATATATTTATTTACTTCATAAACATGTACTTTTCTGCATTTCTGAGTATTCAGCTTACAGTCTGTATCAAAATTTTTCAGGCCACAATCCTGACCAACCTACATTAATAATAAACTTTACTTTTCTACTGTTATCTATTCTTGAAGAAATAGAAAATAAGTGGAATTTCAGGTTTTGTAACTCCACTGGAACCTCAATCAGTTACATGAAATTCCTTAGCTGTTATGTATACTTTAAGATAACATTTGGCCTTCAAAGTCTTGTAGAAAATAAAACATAACAAACTAGTAAAACCAGAAATGCAGTCTTTTTTTTCAATAGGAATACTACTAACAATTTTAATTTTAAAAACCATAAGAACTATTCGGTAAGGTATAATCTCTCGATAAATTATGCATAAGCAAAAGTTATCCTGTACCATAGTCATACATTTTATCAGGAATATTTATATAATCATTATTATAAAACTATGATTTTTTCTCCTTATTCATTTTCATTTTTGGAAGTCTTTATGGTGAATTAATTGTAAAGGGTTTTCTATAGTTTAATTATCATTCTTGATTATTTTACACAGATACTCCATTCAAAAATTTTAAGATAAAAAGATATATTTAAAGCCTCAACTACCCTCCTGAGTTCACACTGTTAAGAAATTGTGTTGGTGATCCTGTGGGTGAGTGACTAACAACCATTTAAGCTGAGTGACAGAGTGACAATTTAAGTGGCAGAAGGAGATGAACATCTTTTAGTGATGCTCTGCCTTCTTATTACTTTACTCAATAAATATGCTTTTTTGTGTGTTTTGTTGTTTTCTTTTTCATTTATCTGTCTTGGGTTCAGAAATCAAAATCTTAATTGCATTGTTCCAGGTTATCTAAATAACTCTCCAAATTCTTTAAAACAATGTTCATGGTTACATGGCTGAACCATGTAACTTTTTCTTACATGGTAGAAAAAGTAAATTGAACTTCAAGTTTCTTTTTAATGAAATATTACATATAAATGGTGACCTTAATGAATTTATAATTTAGAGTTATAATTGTTGTAGCTATAATTAGTTATTCTAATACACTTGCTAACATGCTTCTGAAATGGAAGAATAACTATGCTTTTTACTAACAACAAGGGAGCACTACGAAAGCACAAAACATTTTAGAACAAGTGTTACTCCATTTTCTGTCACCAAGAGGCATTAAATAAAGTGCCAGCCACAACTGCAAATTGCAAGTAGATTGATCTCTCTGGAAAGTTTAGTGTTGCAGTCAGTACAAAAGGAATGATGGAGTTCCTCTTTCCAATAGCAAGCCCACAGAGACAGTAAAAGCTAGAGGCAAAGTATTGCTGAGAATCATATACACTGTAACAGTCAGTCCTTTACCATATACCAACATAAGAAAATGGCATAAGTGATAGAAAAAAATGTTGAATGAAAAGTCATTTTTTAAAGCATTGGGACCTATGCCAATAATTCTAGTACTAGGTCAGAAATACATAAGTATTTCAGATTTAATATTATATGGGTGTGTTTGTTCAATATAGCCAAGTATATGTAGTTAGCCCCAGACTTAGCAAGAACAAAATTAATTGTTTATTTATCATCAATAATAAAGAGAAAAGGAAATTTATTTTAAGAAACACTAAGATGGAAACAGATAGTGTTTTATAGTGTTATATATAAGCCAATTGTTGTCTCTATTTTTTTCCTTCCCTCACACACTGAGTCTTTCAAATCTTCAGCTGTCTACTCATTTCCTCAGAGAAAATGTGGGGCATAAAATAGAACAGAATCTAAGGGCCTTCTTAGGTTTGGACAAAGTTCAGATTTCTGCTGGAAATTGGTTTAGTGATTCTTGGATCCAAAATAAGACACGCTTCATCAGAGTTTTCAGTCATTTCATTGAAGAAGTATACATGAGTTACTTAGCAGGATGAGTAAGGCAACCTAAATATGTCATGAAAAAATACTCTGAATCTTTTTATTACCTGTCTTCAGGCATTTGAAGAAAATTGATGGTCTTCTTTTATTTTTTTTAAACCTTGATCATAATAATGACAACAACTACTATTTACTGAGCTAATATTAAAAATGTTTACTTAGTTTGACCTTGAAACTAGGCTACCTGTATTCAGATGTTAGCTCTTTCTCCTATCTGCTGTGTAACCTGTGGAGGCTAATGCAATTTCATCTTGTATGCTAATCTGATATGTTGGCTTGTGATTAACCCCAGTTGTGGAAACGCTGCCAAGATTTCCAGTTTATCTGTTGTTCCTTGTGTAAGAACGGGTACTTACTGTAAATCCTGCTTTTAGACCTAACAACGTTGATGTTCTTGTACTTCAATTGTCCTAGATATCCCTTCCAAATTACCCCTTCCCTATGGTATATAAGCCCTGAGTCTGGAGGGTAATTTTTTAGGAATAAACCATGTCATATCTCCACTGCCAGAAATGGAGATGTGGTTTCTGTTCGTAAGTCCCCATTAAATGTTTGTTCCTAAGAAACTGGATTTGTCAGCCTCTTTCTTTTTTTTTTTTTTTTTTTTTTTTTTTTTGAGACGGAGTCTCGCTCTGTCGCCCAGGCTGGAGTGCAGTGGCGGGATCTCGGCTCACTGCAAGCTCCGCCTCCCGGGTTCACGCCATTCTCCTGCCTCAGCCTCCCAAGTAGCTGGGACTACAGGCGCCCGCCACTACGCCCGGCTAATTTTTTGTATTTTTAGTAGAGACGGGGTTTCACCGTTTTAGCCTCTTTCTTCAGCATCTCAGCTTCCTTGGATTTTGAGGTAGGTTTACATAGACCTGCCCACTGAGAAACATAACCTTAGGAAATTTGTAAAATATCTCTGTTCTCCAGTTTTCCAATTTTTAAATATAACTAACAATATCATCTACCTCATAAGGTTGTCATAGGATTTACTATTTGTTAAGGCAATTAAAATTGTGCCTGTTGCATAACAAATGTAGCATAAGTGATGATTTAATACCACAATGTTTCAGTCACTTCTCTAAATACATTATATAATGTGTTTAAAGCTAACAAAACCCTCTTAGGTAAGTAGAATTGGGGCTTCTATTCTATACTGGAAACTGAGGCACAGAAAGATTAACAAACATGCATACATCTATAGAGGAGAAAACATTCACAGCTGAGCACTTAAGCCATCCAGTTAATAAGTTTTTAATATCTATATTGATTTATTTTTCTGGATATCAAACATGAGTTTCCTGTATCAGAGATCATAGGTTTTATTACTAAGCACAAAAAACTGTTGAAGTTTCTTATGTCCAATTCTCTCCTCTATGGTGTAAATGAGTAGATGAAGAGAAACAGATCCTACATGTGCAAAAGTAAGTTCTTGCAAGACAAAAATAGAACCCCCCCAAAATATGAATTTTAGAACTTATATAAGAATGTTCCACAATAGCGTCTCCTGAGAGATAAAAAAGGAAAAAGGACCTTAATTTTCTAATGTAAATAATTCATATTTTGGAGAAAAGAAGTTCCTTTGATGTTCACAACCCTTGGGATAGTAAACCAATGGCTATGGGTTTAACCCCCTTTTAACAAATAAGCACATGACTCTGCATCATCTCTCACCTTAGAATGCAAAGAACAAATATATCTATAAGGAAAAAGATATGTTCTTTAGCTTTATATTAATTTTCTCTGATCAGAGAGCTTTGATCATGCAAAAAATGAAAATATTTCCCTGCAATTCAACAGCAATCTGACACTAGAGATTACACACTTAACCTATAAATTATACTAAGATATTAAAAGCGTATTAGTGTTATTTCTAAACAGAAAAAAAATGTATTGAAAGAAATTGGAAGAAATCTGAAAAATATTTATGTCACAAATTTCGTAGTGTCTTCCAGAATGAGTAATATATTCTTAAAGCACCTTGCTTTGAAGACAGTAGAAAATAATCATAGTCCCATCTCTTTTCCTTGAGAAGTTATAATCATTAATTGGCAGTTGTGGTGGGTTTTATGTTCCATGAATAAAATTTTCAGAGGAACTTTCATAAAGTCCAGAAATTATTCACAGAATTAAAGCTTGTTGATACTGAATATTTGGTTTGAGATATTGATACAGAACGTCTGGGCTTCCGGCTAAACTCCACCCTCAAGCCTAGAACCACGGCCCCAGGTGAAAACAGCTGACCCTATTTTTCCACCCAAATGTTGCTATTTTAGCCTGTCATGCTCTAATCCTGTGCCCATAAAAAGACTTCAGCTGGCAGAGCAACACGAGCCGCTGGTGCAAGTGGTTGGGGATCCAAGCAGCAGAGCGTTGGGGATACAAACTGGTGAATGTCGGATGTACAAGCGGCTGAGCATCAAATACTATGGATAGATGCGGCTAACTTCAGATGGTGTGGCTTCAGGGAAAGATCACCTTCTTCCCACGCCATCCCCTTTCCAACTCCCATCCTGCTGAAAGCCATCATCCAATAAAATCCTCTGCATATACTACCCTTCAATCTGTTCATGTGACCTGATTCTTCCTGGATGCCGGACAAGAACCTGGGTGCCGAGAGGGCCGGGGGTTCGATGCTATTGCGGGGCCACACACAGCCTGCTCCCACCAGAGAGGAGTGGCCGGCCGGTTTCAGCGCTCATTCCCACTGGTTCCCGCGCTTGCTTACTCCCTCTCAGGAGGAGTCACCAGCGGTGAGCTGAGTGAAACAAGCCACTCCAGTTCCCACCCATGAAGGAGGCAAGGGAACAATCCTGTCTCATCTGGGGCTCCGTCAGAGATACGAAAAAGGGTGACTTTAAATTCAGAACTGTTGGATCGGCCTCTTTTCCAAGACCCTACCATCTCTCCCTTCCCATCAAGTAAAAGGAATGTTGGCTCTGTTTCCCTTCACGGAGGTCTAGTCGGTCTGAATAGTTATTAAAGGAACCTTTCTACAAAGCAAGAGGCTCTTTCCCCACCCCTGCCCCCAACCCCTTATGCACTTTTAAGTTGTTTTGCGTCTTTTTCTAAGTGAGAGGATTCTTTTCCAACCTCTGCGCTTTGCTAGAATAAGGAGGAAACAGAGGAGCGTCCCCTGCTGGCTGATAATGGCAAATTTGGCAAAGCTTGTCTGGGACATCTAAATGACTCCCAAGCAGCCCCTGAAATACTTTCTTTTTCCTCAAATTTGATTTCAAGCTTCAGGTTGAAGCCCTAGAAAGGAAAACCATATCAGAGGGATCCAAAGCCAGCCAACAGGCACAGTGTAAATGGGCAGGACCAATTCCTACCAATTAAACCCTAGCTTCACGGAAGGAGGCCATGCTCCATGGTATAGATGAGGCCCAGGGAACTCAAAGGTTGTCAACAGCAGGGGGGATAGGGTGTATGTGCGTAAGAGCGGATATTCCTACCCCTTAGGCTCCCCTGTCAACATGGGTGAAAGCCGCTTTGGTACCCATAGGTGGCACCTGCCAAGGTCACTGGAACTCGGGGATACGGACACAAAAGGAAAGGGAATTCATCCACTTTCTTTCTCCCTCACACCTGAGTTTTCACTGAAGGAAGGAAGGGAATGGGGGATGCCAAATTTCCTGTCTTTCAGAATGGACAACCAAAAAACTTGACTACCTCCAGTTTATATTCAGAAACGGACCCTGGGACAAGACAGTCCTTTAGAGGACCTGCTGAAAGTACCCCCCTCGGTCTTTTAGACACAAGAAAGAGGCAAAAGCTTTAATGGCCAACATGCAAGCCTACAAACCCGAGAATTCCTAAGGTTCACCTGTTAACTGCTAGAGATATGGCAAGAATAGTTACCTCTCTCTTAAAGTTTAATCACTCCCATATAAGGTTTAATTTCTTTCACCAAGTGAGACATCTCAAGGTGCAATGTACTTAGTATATTTCACTTCTTATTTCTGAGATTTTTGGCACTAGATTCTTTCCTTGTATGATACACGTTTGATCCATGGATACTTAAACTTGTGAAGTTTGTTTTTTCTTTTGCCTAGAGGCCATCGAGGCTCCAAAATGGGCAGGCAGCTGGAGCTTTGGATGATGGCTCCTTTTTACCAGTGACCCTTGGGTAGGCCTCTGGGAGGAATCTGACTGCCGATTTCCCCAAACAGTGCCCTTTTTCAGCACGAAGTAGCTAAGAGCAGTCATCCATATTCTAATGGCAGTTACATGTGCCTCTTCAGAGGGGGGAAATAACACAGAATGGCTGGGCTCCCAACTAAACCCCACCCTTAAGCCTTAAGTGAAAACAGCTGTCCCTGTTTTTCCTACCCAAATGTTGCTTTTTTGGCCTGCCATGCCCCTATCTTGTGTCCATAAAAAGACCTCAGCTGGCAGCTCTACACAAGCGGTTGATGCAAGTATTTGGGAGTGCAAGCAGCTGAGTGTCAGAGACTACGCCTAGACGCAACTATCTTCACATTGTGCAGCTTAAGGGAAAAATCACTTTCTTCCCACACCATCCCCTTTCCAACTCCCGTCCCACTGAGAACCATCACCCATTAAAATCCTCTGCATACACTACCTTTTAATCCCTTCATGTGATCTAATTCTTCCTGGACGCAGAACAAGAACCCAAGTGCCAAGAGGGCGGGGGCTTGGACACTGCTGCAGGGCGCACACAGAGCCTGCTCGGGCCAGAGAGGAGTGGCCGGCTGGTTTCAGAGTTCGTTCCCTCTGGTTCCCGCATTCGCTTGCTCGCCGGCTCCCTGTTGCAAGGAGTGGCCAGTGGTGGGCTGAGTGAAATGAGCCACTCCAGTTCCTGCCCACGAAGGGGGCAGGTCAAGGGAAAAAGCCTGTCTCAATATGGTTTACTCTTTGGACAATCTTAAGGACTGAATGTTTTTGTCCCTCCAAATTCACATGTTGAAGTTCTAGTCTCCAATGTGATGGTATTTGTAGGTGGAGTCTTTGAGAGGTAATTATGGCTACAGTAGTTCCTGAGGGTGGAATTCTTACGATGGAATTAATGATTTTGTAAAACAGATACAGGATCTCACTTTCCTCCAGGTGAGAATACAGCAAGAAGATAGCCATCTGCAGATTAAGAAGAGGGCCCTCACCAGACACTGAATCTGCCAGCACCTTGATTTTGAATCTTCCAGCTTCTAAAACTGTGAAAAGTAAATGTTAGTTTCTTAGTCTATGGCATTTTGTTTTAGTGGCCTGAACTGACTAAGACAGACACAGCTATGTAACATCCCAGGTGCAAATACTTCTGGCTCCAACTACCTAGTATTAGACCAAACTTCACAGTCTGAAAGAATATTTCTCCACAATGCATTCACAGTCAGCCACTTACTGCAGACACAAGCCACAATTTTGGGGTTCCTAGGCTACTTTTACTTCTGAACAGAGGGCTAAAATTTTGGAGGTTCCTATCCTTTCAGGTTAGAAAATTTGCTAGAATGACTTACAAAACTCAGAACACTTCATACTTCTTATTAGTGTCTCATGTGTCCATGTGAAGAGACCACCAAACAGGCTTTGTCTGAGCAACAAGGCTGTTTATTTCACCTGGGTGCAGGTGGGCTGAGTCCGAAAAAGGACTCAGCAAAGGGTGGTGGATTATCATTAGTTCTTATAGGTTTTGGGACAGGCGGTGGAGTTAGGAGCAATGTTTTGCGGGCAGGGGGTGGATCTCACAAAGTACATTCTCAAGGGTGGGGAGAATTACAAAGAACCTTCTTAAGGGTGGGGGAGATTACAAAGTACATTGATCAGTTAGGGTGGGGCAGAAACAAATTACAATGGTGGAATGTCATCAGTTAAGGCTATTTTCACTTCTTTTGTGGATCTTCAGCTGCTTCAGGCCATCTGGATGTATATGTGCAGGTCACTGGGGATATGATGGCTTCGCTTGGGCTCAGAGGCCTGACAATTACAGGTTTATTATAGGAAAAGAGGTATAAATCAGAACCATTCAAAGAGAGACACATAAAGCAAGGTTGGAGAGTACCCAAACCATGAAATTTCTGTCATCCTCAGAGATCTATTGCCCTCCCGGCACATCAATGTGTAACAATAACCAGAGTATAGCCAACCAGGGAGGTTACCCAAGTTTCACTGTTTATGTTTTTCATGTAGCTTCATTAGATAAGTATAATTGACTAAATTAATAGATGTGGTCAAACTGAATCTCAATCCTCCCTTTTCTCCATAGAGATCAGGTTGATATCATATGGCTTGAAGCCCAAATCCTCTAATCATATGATTAGTCTATTGTGGCCAGCTCCATGTTTAGTTATATTATTAGCATAAACTAGGGGCCCAACTGGAGTCACCTACTTAGCATAAACTATCAGGTGTGGCATGAGAGATTCACCATGAATAATAAATACATGCCTATTACTGGACAAATTCCAAAGATTTAAACATTATCTCTCAGGAACCAGGGCTAAAACCAGTCAAATTCCTCATTACACACTGAAACAGCCTCATGCCAAAAGAAGACTAAATGTGACTATAAACGCTGGTTGAGACATAGGAATTAAAAGTGGGTTTCCATTTCTGTTGGAGATGGTAAGGGATTATGCATACGTAAAGGATTAATGAAAACAGTTCAAGACAAAGAGGAGCTGTTTTATTGATCCAATAAACACGTATTTTACGTGTTTATGAGGTACCTGTGCTATTTTGTTACATGCATAGAATGTGTTAGGACCAAGTCAGGGTATTTAGGGTATCCATCAGCTTGAGTATTTATCATTTCTGTGTGTGGTGAAAATTTCAAGTCCTAGCTGTTACCTATTTTGAAGTGTTTAATACATTGTTGTTAACTATAGTCACTCTACTTTGCTGTCGAACATTAGAACTTATACATTCTATCTAACTTTATGTTTCTACCCATTAACCGACCTTTCTTCAATCCTCTTCTCCCACTCAAACATAGTTTCTCAGCTTCTGGTATCTACCTTTCTCCTCTCTACCTCCATGAGATCAACTTTTTTAGTTTCCACACATGGGTGAGAATATTCAATATTTGTCTGTCTGTGCCTGACTTATTTCATTTAACATAATGACTTTGAGCTTCATCCATGTTGTTGCAAGTGGTAGGATATCATTCTTTTTTTATGGCAGAATAGTATCCCATTTCATTGTGCATATGTACCATATTTTCTTTATTCCTTTATCCATGGATGGACACTTAGGTTGATTTCATATCTTTGCTCATGTGAATAGTGCTGCAATAAACACTTAAGAACAGGTACCCCTGATATGCTAGTTTATTTTCTTTTGGGTAAATAGCTGAAAGCGGGATTGCTAGATAATTTGGTAGTTCTAATTTTAGTTTTTGAGAAATCTCTGTACTGTTTTTTATAGTGGCTGTAGTAATTTACATTTCCATCAACAGTCTGTAAAAGTTCCTTTGTTCTTTGCATCCTTGCCAGCATCTGTTATCTTTTGTCTTTTTAACAATGGCTATTCTAAGTAGGATGAGATGCTATTTGATTGTGGTTCTAATTTGCATCTCCCTTATGATTAAGAGTTATCTATTCATATCCTTCTCCCAGTTTTTAAAGGGATAATCTGGTTTTTTGTTTGTTTGTTTGTTTAACTCCTGAGGTGTTTGTGTTTCTTGTATATCCTGGATATTAGTCTTTTGTCAGGATGAATGCTTTACAGATATTTTCTCCCATTTGAAAGGTTATCTCCTCACTCTGTCGATTTTTTTCTCTGTTATGCAGAAAAATTTTAATATAATCTCATTTGTCTATTTTTATTTTTGTTACCTGTGTTTTTTATGTTTTAGTCAATGTATAAACCAATGTCCTAAAGTGTTTTACTATGTTTTCTTCTAATGGTTTTATAGTTTTAATTTAAGTTTTTAATTGATCTTGCGTTGATTTTTTTATTCAGAGAGATATGAGCCCAATTTCTTTCTCTGCATATGGATATTCAATTTTCTCAGCACCATTTATGAAAAAGATGTTCTTTCCCTGAGATATGTTCTTGAAGACTTTGTCAAAAATCAGTTGGCTATTAAGTATGTGGATTTATTACATAAGTGGGCTCTCTATTCTGTTCCTTTGGTCTATGTGTCTGTTTTTACACAAATACTATTCTGTTTTAGTTACCATAGATTTATAATGCATTTTGAAGTCAGGTAGTATGATGCCTGCAGCTCTCTTCTTTTTGCTCTGAATTGCTTCGGTCCTTTAGGCTGTTTTTTAGTTTCATACGTATGTTAGGATTAAAAAAAAAAAATCTGTGAAAATGTCATTGGAATTTGGTGGGGACTGCATTGAATCTATAAACTGATTGGGCAGTATAATAATTTTAATTCTTTTGATCCATGAACATAGGATGTCTTTCCAATTGTTTGTAGTGTCACTTTATCAATTTTGTTTGTCTTTCTAAAAAAATCACCTTTTTATTTTGTTGATCCTTTGAATTGTTTCATTGGTCTCGATTTCATTTAGTTCTGTTGTGATCTTATATTATTTCTGTCCTTCTACTAATTTTGGGTTTGATTTGTTCTTACTTTTTCTAGTTCCTAGAAGTGCTTTGTTAGGTTGGTTATTTAAAGTCTTTTTTCCACCTTTTCGATGTAAGAGTTTATTGTAATACACTTCCCTTTTAGCATTGTTTTTTTTTTTTTACCATATACCATATGTTTTGGTGTGTTGTTTCTATTTTTAGTCCTTTCAAGAAACTTTTGATTTTTGTCCTTAATTTCTCTTTGACCTAATGGTCATTTAAAGGTATGTTGTTTAATTTCCATGTATTTGCACACTTTTCAAAGTTTCTCTTGTTATTGATTTTGCATTATTCCCTGTGGTCTGAAAAGTTAATGATATCTATTTGTTTCAAATTTGTTGGATTTGTTTTGTGTCCTAATGTATGGTCTATCCTGGTGAATGTTTCATGTGCTGATGAGAAGAATATATATTCTATAGCTGTTGGATAAAATGGTCTGTAAATGTCTTTTAGGTCCATTTAATCTAATGTGCAATTTAAATTCAATGTTTCTTTGTTCATTTTCTTTCTAGATGATCTGTCTAATGCTGAGAGTTGGGTGTTGAAGTCTCCAGTGGTAATTGTATTGGAGTCTATCTCTCCCATTAGATATAATAACATTTGTGTTATACATCTTAATACTCCAGTGTTGGGTGCATGTATATTTAGAGTTGTTATTTCTCTTACTGAATTGATCCCTTTATGATTATTATATAATGATATATAATGATTATATAATAATCTTCTTTGTGTCTTTTTACTATTTTTGACTTAAAGTATGTGTTATCTGATATAAGTATATAAGTATTGCTACATCTGCTCATATTTGGTTTCTGTTTGAATCCCTTTCCTTTCAGTCTATATGTGTCTTTACAGGTTAGGTGAATTTTTGTAGGCAGTATAAACTTGGGTCATTTGTTATTTGTTTATCTTCAGCAAATCTATGTCTTTTAAGTGGAAAACTTAATCAATTTAAATAAAGATTATTATTCATTGTGAGAGACATTTATTATTATTCATTGTGAGAGCTCATTTCCCTCATTTTACTGATTTCTGGGTTTTTTTTGAATATTCTTTCTTTTTCCCCCTTTTATTACGTATTATAGTGCTTTGGTGGTTTTCTGTCATGGTAATATTTTAGTCTTTTCTCTTTTTTGTTTGTGTGTTTGGTCTACCAATGGGTTTTATGTTTTCATGTGTTTTCATGATGGTGGATGTCATTCTTACACTTCTGAGTATAGAAGTCTTTTAAGCATTTCCTATAGGAACAGTCTAGTAATGATATATTCTGTCTGCTTTTGCTAGTCTAGGATTTTATTTCTCTTTCATTTATGAAGGCTAACTTTGCCAGGTATAGTATCCTTGGCTGACAGTTCTTAACTTTTGGCACTTTAGATATATTATCCAATTATCTCCTAGCCTGTAAGATTTTTTTCCTGAGAAGTGTGCTGTTATTCTGGTGAAGATTCCTTTATACGTGTCTAGATGCTTTTTTTCTTGCTGTTTTTATTAATTTTTTTTGTTTTTAACTTTTGACAGTTTGACTATAACATGCTATTTAGAAGACCTTTTTGAATTGTATTTATTTGGGTATCTCTGAGATTCCTGTATATGGATATCTAAATATTTTGCTAGACTTGTAGAGTTTTTATATATTATTTCATTAAATAAGTGTTCTAATATTTTTGGTTTCTGTTTACCTTTTGAGACACCAAAACTTTGGATATTTGTTTCCTTTATGGTGTTCACTATATCATGAAGGCCTTGCTCATTCTTTTTTTTAATTATTATTTCTATGTGATGGGATTATTTCAAAACAGCTATTTTCCAATTCTGAGATTCTTTTTTCTTCTTGATTTAGTCTGTTTTTAAAACTTTCAAATGTATTTTTTATTTATTTCAATAAATTATTCAGTTTCAAAATTTTGATTAGGTTATTTTTATGATATCTATCTCTGGTGAATTACTCATTTATATCCTGAATTGTCTTTCTGATTTATTTGTACTATTTTTCAGTGTTCTCATATCTCATTGAGCTTTAGTGTCAAATTTTGCATTCTTTTTGGGGGTTTGGGGAAATTTCTTTTCTATTCAAATCTGTTGCTGGAGAATTATTATATTCCCTTGGAGGTGTTATATTGTCTTGCTTTTTTATGTTTCTAGTCTTCTTACTTTGGTATCTGCACATAGTTGTAACAGTGGCCTCATCCACGAATTCCAATACTGTTTTTGAATTTCCTTTTACGGGAGATGACTTTTTTGTGACTTTGGTATTGGTCGGGTGGGGCACTTTGGCTTGATTCTGGGTGCATGTAGTATTGTAGTCTCTAGATTATTTCTTCTGCTATAAATAGTGTCAGTGATGTTTATAATTTCCTAGTGGGTTAGGGTATGGTTGTTAGTAGAGGTTGTGGTGAAATTTTACTGAAGACTGGGATGCCATGTGGGCCAGTCTTCTAGTCCCAATGGTAGCAGTAGGGGGCCAAGTGTGCCAGGGCAGCATACACTTGCACTGGTGTTAGGAAGTTCAAGCAGGCCAATTCTTGGGCCTCCAGATGGCTTACTCAGGTGCTGGGAATTGCAGAAGTGAGCTGGGAAAGCAGGTGAATTCTCCAGTCTTTGCAAAGTAGGTGTGTCATAGATGATAGCATTAGTATTGGTGGAACAAACCTCTGTGTCCCAAGTGGTTTATGTTGGTGTTGGAGGTAGTTGTGACAGGCTGGGTGAAGAGGTGCTTTTTCACAGCCTATATTCTTCCAGAAATTTCTGGGAATTTTAAGATGATTATAATTTATAATCCTATTTTATATGTGAACGCTCCAAAAATTTCAACAACATCAGCCATTCTTGCCTTTTAGACATTCTTTGTTCTTAAAACCCAGTGAGGCTGCAATTTAATGTATTTCTACATTAACATTCAAAAATTCTGTTACTATTCATTTTCTCTTTTGTTAATTTACAGTGAAAGGGTGAATGATATTTCACCTAAGTCCAAGAACTCATTGCTTTTGTAAATGGCAGCTGGTCCGATGAGCTATATTTTAATCATTTTTTATTTCCAGTATCCCTAGGAAAATTACCAACCTCCCAGTTGTTTTCTCTCTCACTAGGAAGCCTCCATCCATTCTTATCTAATTCTCTAAAAACAACCTTATAACAACACATTGGGTTTAAAATAAAATCAACAACAACTGAAACCTAAAAGCAATTATTTGGTACCATAAATCTTTAAGAGAAAAGCATATCTTCAAGGTGTCAATCAGAATCTTCCTGATTATTTGGAAAAACCAATATCCATGCAATAATAAGTAAACTCATACATTCAGATACCATAAATTATTATACGGCCAACGAACCAATTCTAAATATATTACACTGATTTCAATAAATTATGACATTACTTAATATACTCTCTCTGAGTGGCAGTGCATAATATAAAACTGACTAGATACTCTGAACAGTTTTTCATAATTCAGGTTTATTAGATTTTACAACTCACTTAAATCTCATATAAAAACTAATCCTATTACTGCCTGAGTTCCCTTTGGGAAACTCTTTATTAAGATACGTTAATAATACTTAGGTCACATAAATATTTTAGCTGCAGAGTTACTTTCCTAAATACGTGTTAATAATGATAATTTTTAAATTATAATAGTATTTATTTTCGAAAACCATGATTGATCAAAACTTATTTTAGAAGAGAAAAATCAGCGCTAAATTAAATTTCTACTGTAGTTGACCCACAAATTGGGTAATAGGCCTTAAGGTAATAGTTGATTTGTATTTTTATCCTCAATAAAATCTTAGTAATAATTTGCTGTACTATACAATAATAGTTTAAGTAAGACCACTTTCTTTTTTATTTTTTTGAGATGGAGTCTCACTCTGTCACTCAGGCTGGAGTGCAATGGCACAATCTTGGCTCACTGCAACATCTGCCTCCTGGGTTCAAGTAATTTTCTTGCCTCAGCCTACTGAGTAGGTAGCATTAACAAGTGTGCACCACCACACATGGCTCATTTTTGTATTTTTAGTAGAGACGGGGTTTCACCATGTTGGCCAAGCTGGTCTTGAACTCCTGACAGCAGGTGTTCCACCCTCCTTGGCCTCCCAAAGTGCTGGGATTACAGGTGTGAGTCACCGTGCCTGGCCAAGACCACCTTCTAAATTTTGGACATTTAAATTGCCTTCAAACATGTTAATAATCTATGTGTATTAGATATTAGAACTTGTTTTCTAGAAACTTTAAACACACCAAAGTTTTATCTACAAAAGTACTTTAAATATGTTTTGTATATTATATAGGTTAAAAACCATTTGTGAAATAGATGTCACTCATTATTTTAGTAAACCATTTCTATAGATAAGACTCTAAAGGTTAAAAACAAAACAATTTCCACCCTGTTTCCTCAAAATAAAGCATGAGAATGTAATAATACATTTTAATTAAAATTTAAATATATTTCATTGGGAACTCTTCAGCAAATAGTCTTGGGAGTATTGCAATCTAATTTCCAAAATTTCAAAGTCAAATTAAAATAAATCACTGATTCAAATTTAAAATTAAGCTTAAGTTCAAATTTAAATTAAGCTTGAAAAAATGTGATCTAAGACACATCTGTAAATATCAAACCTAAACATTTCCTCTTATTTTATTTTGTAAAATATATAGGAATAATTATATAAATAAATATTAAATAAATGTTAATTTCTATTTTTTAAACCTATTTAATTTTACGCTTGTGAAAACTCAATACTTTTTTTATATTAAATGAATAATTCTGTAAGAAAGTAGTATAAATTACAATCAAATTTACTCTTTATGAAAAAATATATTGTGGCATTAAACTGGTATTTTTATCAAAATATTTTTCTCAACAAGAGATTAAAAATATATACCATGGACACATGTAATCCAGACATTGTTAATTGCTTTAAATAACTTTGGCCCTTTGTTCCACTATTTCTGGAACCACTCCTCCAGTATATCAATTATTCAGCATTATCAGGGCCAACACTTTCCGTATCTGACTATTAACTTTTTAGCATATAGCATTTTTCCAAAATATGTACTTTCTAGTTTCTATTTGACATCTGTACAAACTCGGTTGTTTAACATTTGAATTTTAATTTGTGAATGAGTAATTCCTCAGTTTATAGCAATCCAACTTTCCCTGTAGGCATGATTTATTTTGGATTTGACTTTCTTTGTCCTTTTTATCCAACCTCTAAGTTTGCATGGGGCAGTCCCTACATATGGGGCATTTTGGAAATGATGGGCATGCTACTGACTTAATGGGTGTATTCAGATACCAAGCATGCTGCTATGCTGGGGATGGTTGTCCTCAGTGAATAATTTTCTGACATTTCACACTACTTCCAAGTGTCTCACCATACATTAATGAACATGACAACATGACTAATAGTTTTCTGAGCATAGTATCTAATACTGCTAACACCAAAGCAAATTTTTTCACAGTTTTAAAATAGCCTCTATTTTTTTCAAAGTTAAATTACCATGTTTACCAAATAAAGAACATACTCTACTTTTTTGAACATTTTAAAGCATTGTTCAATATTTAAAAAATTATTTCACCAAAGGCACTGATATTTGTGGTATTCATATCCCAATACAACACATTTGTAGCTGTTGCATTTATGCTGCTTCTATGCAGAAATACAAGTGCCTGAATAATTTGATGTTTTCCTGTAAGGTTAAACCTGACCATTTGCACATTATTTTGCATTACATTTATAATAAGTTATATATTATTATTCTATTAATGAAATAAAACTTTTCATTGTTGTAAATTATAATGATGCATTAGTGTTTTGTTATATATATAAGTATGCTATTTTATGTTTGAAATTCATTTCACAATAGCAAAAGTTACATTAGAAAATATTTTTTTTAAAAGGAGGCTTTTAGTCTGATAGGGTTGTGAACTATTATAAATATTCCTCATGGCCAGGTGCGGTGGCTCACGCCTGTAATCCCAGCACTTTGGGAGGCTAAGGCAGGCGGATCACCTGAGCCCAGGAGTTGGAGACCAGCTTGGCAAACATGGCAAAACCCTGTCCCTACTAAAAATACAAAAAATTAGTTGGGTGTAGTGGCAGGCTTCTGTAATCCCAGCTACTCAGGAGACTGAGGCAGGAAAATCACTTGAACTTGGAAGGCGGAGGCTGCAGTGAGCTCAGACTGTGCCATTGCACTCCAGCCTGGGCAACAAGAACAAAACTCCATCTCAAGAATGAAACTCCATCTCAATAAATAAATAAATAAATAAATAAATAAATAAATAAATAAAACTCATTAATATAAGTATAAAGAATGTGCTACATGAGCTGTCTCTAGTCATGTCATGTACAAACTAAGTTTTGTGCTTGCCTTGATATTATATCAAATTAGTATTTCTAAGCATTTCAAAACAGTGGAAACAAAACCTCTGTTTGAAAACTGGGAAAACAATAACAACAATACCATTACTCTACCATTATTGAGCATTTGCCATCTGCCAGGCAAAGTTATGGGCAATTAATATGTAAGTAACTCATTTAATCCCTATAGAAACCTATATGGTGAAACTTTTATTATCCTCACATTATAAATCAGTAAGACAAGGTGACAATAAATATTTTGGAGTCAACTGTACACATAGTTAACATAATCAACTTCCGTTAAAAAAAAAAGTTTGTAAAACGCTAGCTAGGTTACATGATAATAAAGTGGCTTTGTTTTTGTCTTGAACAATCATGGCTACTCAGTGGCCTAGTTTATCCTTACCAGGCCAGACGCCAGGGCTGCTTTTCTCTTCCTTACATCTCTTGAGATTCAATAAAAATTAATCCGTTTCCTACATTCTGAAATATAATCTGTCATATTCTAATATATGCGAGGAGTGTATGTGTGTGTTTGTATGTGTGTATAGTTAGAAAAAGAGAGTTACTATGGCCTTTCAAAGGGAAATAATTCATAGCCAACTGATATTTCAGGAAGACCACAGAAAGTATTAAAAATGATAGAACTTAATAGAGAAGTATGATGAAATATTCAGATGTGCAAAAAGATATGATGATTTTCCTCACTTTTTCCAGTTGCTCCTGACTTTTCTCTCAAAAGCAATTTTCCCATTAAATATTTTGTATGTCTAATCCTGTCTTGGTGTCTGCTTCTAGGAAGACCTGAAGTAATGCAGCATAGAAACATGTTCAAGGAAAAGAGTAGTTATGCTTTTCTGAGGTGTATACCTGCTGTGTGTTAGCAGTGGAAGAAAACTGGATTGGATAATACTAGGTAATGTTTGAAATGCCAGGATAATGAATTCACAGTTAATGTTATATTGAATTTGGATTTAAATGTAGGTTAACAGCATTGTAAAGAATGGCAAAAGTACAACTAGAAAAACTACCCAAAAGCCTTCTAATATAATTGAGGTAGAAGTGATTGAAAACATTATATAGGGTGGTGGCTGTTCAGAAAGGCAGTCTGTCATAGGCACTATACATTCCAGCACACTATTACAGGCAAGACTGGATACATAATTTACAAGGCCAAGTGCAGAAAAGCATGCAGCACTTCAGAGGACAACATATTGTGTTACTGCATAGTTTGCATGCCAATGAAGCTCACCCTACTTTTTTGAGCATGACAACAACACAAAGTCTTTACTACTCTTCACTTCATAGGTTTAAACTTCAAAATAGGATAATCTAGTTACCACCGAAAATAAGAGTGACAGGAGAAGGGAGAGAAAAGGTGGACAATTGTGGAGAGAAAAGGTGAGAGAGAAAAGGTGAAGAATTATCATTTAGATGTTTTAAGCACTTCTTTATAAATGTGTCTTGAAAGTGATTCCTTCTTTCACTTTCTTTGTCACTGCCTTTGTGCAATCTGTTTTCACTATTTTTACTATGCGAAATGAGGCCTGAGTAATCCTTAAAAACTAAAAACATATATACACAGATAAAAAAATTAAACCAAATAAAACCAAATACCTTTAAAGGTATGCAACAGAATTTTGTTGGGTAGGTAGATGAAAGGAGGGATAACTTAACCACTGGTAGCTATTTCCATCAAGGAACTATGAATCATGCACATGTGAAAAAATGGTTTTGAATTTTCTTCAGAGAGGCAACACTTGAAGTTTGGGGAAAGGAAGGGTTTAATAACAGCTATCTTTTCAGACTGACATATACAAATAGATATAGACATATAGAAGTGCATGTAGTAAAAGAATTATAGAAGGTGTAATCAGAGGTGAAAGATGAACCACAAAGACTAAAGTGTAACCAAAAGTAAATGCAAAACAAAACTAAATAAGGAAAGAAGATATAGAGTAAAATAATCAGGACAATTAAAGAATAATGATAATAATATTATAAGATTTATTGATTAGAGAGTCATTGATAAACTGAGACTTATTTTAATGGAAAAAAATAAAAATAATTAAAAATTGTACAAATATAAAAAGGTTTAGAGGGTGAGTGAAAACTATTTTTTCAGGAATTTTTCATTGTTCAGAGAAAATATCTAGCATTATACTCTGGAGGGTAACATCATCTTGAGAGAAATATTTTGGAAAGCTGAAAAATTGTGGGTATAGAGAAAGGAGTTTAAAGATTGAGAATACACATTTCAAAATGAATGTCATTGTGAGAGATGAAGTATGGATTTCAGGAAACCATTCCATCTTAAAGGGAAAAAAGCCTTCCTCTGATGTTGGGAATTCAAAAATCTGAGAATTGGTATAAAAACAGTGATAATGCTTGAAACATCCAGCAATAAAAATTGCAAAATAAGGATGAATTATTGATAAATATCATAAATTTGTGTTCATATGAGGGTAAAAAAGTCTTATAGTAAGAGCTTAAATATGGATTAGTGAGCAAAGATTCAAGATTTAATTATTAAGTCATCGTTTCAATTTTAATCTATGCCATTGACAAAAATATCAGCTTTTCTGTGAGAAATAATAATTATAAATTATTTCTTGTTTCCAAAGTTCATTCTTGGACAAAAATTAGAAACAACACACTTATAAAATGACTCAATTTATTTCCTCAGAAGTAAGTTAAATAGCTTACTTTTTAAATGAAGATAATAACTTAAACATTATACCATTAATTTTGTAAAACTATATTTTATAAACTTTTCAATCAGGTTTAAAATAATAAAAGTAATATTGATTTTTGAGGGCTTACTAAGTACCAGAGAGTCTCCTATGGATTTAATGTATCATTTTATTAAATCCAAACAATTTTTTAAGTAGCTGTATTAGTTACTGTTTCATAGGTGGGGAGATTAAAGTTCAGAACAATTTTATTCATAACAATGAAAGTAAGAAATGATGTAGCTGATATTTAACCCACAGAAGTTTAAAAATAATAATAAGTGCTTAACCTGGGCAAGATGGCCGAATAGGAACAGCTCCAGTCTGCAGCTCCCAGCAAGACCAACACAGAAGGCAGGTGATTTCTGCATTTGCAATTGAGGTACCCAGTTCATCTAATTGGGACTGGTTAGATAGTGTGTGCAGCTCACTGAGGGTGAGCAGAAGCAGGGAGGGGCGTTGCCTCACCTAGGAAGCACAAGGGGTCAGGGAACTCCCTCCCCTACCGTAGGGAAGCCATGAGGGACTCTACCGTGAGGGACAGTGCTAAATGGCACAGATACTATGCTTTTCTCATGGTCTTCGCAACCCCCAGACCAGGAGATTTCCTCAGGTGTCTATGCCACCAGTGCCCTGGGTTTCAAGCACAAAACTGGGCGGCCATTTGGGAAGGCACTGAGCTAGCTGCAGGAGTGTTTTAATACCCCAGTGGCACCTGGAACGTCAGCAAGACAGAACCATTCACTTCGCTGGAAAGGGGGCTGAAGCCAGGGAGCCAAATAGTCTTGCTCAGTAGATCCCACTGACACAGAGCCCAGCAAGCTAAGATCCACTAGCTTGAAATTCTCACTGCCAGCCAGCACAGCAGTCTGAAGTCTACCTGGGATGCTTGAGCCTGAGGCTTGAGTAGGTGGTTTTCCCCTCACAGTATAAACAAAGCCACTGGGAAATTCGGACTGGGGGGAATCCACCACAGCACCACAAAGCCAATGTAGCCAGACTGCCTCTCTAGATTTCTCCTCTCTGGGCAGGTCATCTCTAAAAGGCAGCAGCCCCAGTCAGGGGCTTATAGATAAAACTCCCATCTCCCTGGGATGGAGCACATGGAGGAAGGGGTGGCTATGGTCCAGCTTCAGCAGACTTCAACGTTCCTGCCTGCCAGCTCTGAAGAGAGCAGCACATCTCCCAGCACAGCGCTCAAGCTCTGCTAAGGGACAGACTGCCTCCTCAAGTGGGTCCCTGACCCCTGTGCTTCCTGATGGGGAGATACATCCCAGCAGGGGTCGACAGACACCTCACACAGGAGAGCTCTGGCTGGCATCTGGTGGGTGCCCCTCTGGGACAAAGCTTCCAGAAGAAGCAGCAGGCAGCAATCTTTGCTGTTCTACAGCCTCCGCTAGTGATACCTAGGCAAACAGGGTCTGGAGTGGACCCCCAGCAAACTCCAGCAGACCTGCAGAAGAGGGGCCTGACTGTTAGAAGGAAAACTAACAAACAGAAAGTTATAGCATCAACATCAACAAAAAGGGCCACAATGCAAAAACTCCATCCAAAGGTCACCAACAGCAAAGACCAAAGTTAGATAAATTCACAAAGATGAGGAAAAACCAGCGCAAAAGGGCTGAAAATTCCAAAAAACAGAATGCCTCTTCTCCTCCAAAGGATCACAACTCCGTGCCAGCAAGGGAATAAAATTGGAGAGAGAATGAGTTTGATGAATTTACAGAAGTAGGTTTCAGAAGGTGGGTAATAACAAACTCCTCTGAGCTAAAGGAGCATGTTCTAACCCAATACAAGAAAGCTAAGAACTTTTTTTTCCTTTTTTTTTTTTTTTTTTTTTTTTAGATGGAATCTTGCTCTGTCGCCTAGGCTGGAGTGCAGTGTTGTGATCTCAACTCAGTGCTACCTCCGCCTCCCAGGTTCAAGTGATTCTCCTGTCTCAGCCTCCGGAGTAGCTGGGATTACAGGCACGTGTCACCACACCCAGCTAATTTTTGTATTTTTAGTAGAGATGGGGTTCCACCATGTTGGCTAGGCTGGTCTTGAACTCCTGACCTCATGATCCACCTACCTCAGCCTTCCAAACTGCTGGTTATAATAACCAGTTTAGAGAAGAACATAAATGACCTGATGGAGCTGAAAAACACACCATGAGAACTTTGTGAAGCATAACCAAGTATCAATAGTCGAATCAATCAAGTGGAAGAAAGGATATCAGAGATTGAAGATCAACTTAATGAAATAAAGCATAAAGAAAAGATTAGAGAAAAAAGAATGAAAAGGAATGAGCAAAGCCTCCAAGAAATATGGGACTACGTGAAAAGACCAAACCTACGTTTGATTGGTGTACCTGAAAGTGACAGGGAGAATGGAACCAAGTTGGAAAACACACTCCAAGATATTATCCAGGAGAACTTCCCCAACCTAGCAAGACAGGTCAACATTCAAATTCTGGAAATACAGAGAATACCACAGAGATATTCCTCGAGAAGACCAACCCCAAGACACATAACTGTCAGATTCACCAAGGTTGAAATGAAGATAAAAATGTTAAGGGCAGCCAGAGAGAAAGGTTGGGCTACCCACAAAGGGAAGCCCATCAGACTAACAGCAGATCTCTCGGCAGAAACCCTACAAGCCAGAAGAGAGTGGGGGCCAATATTCAACATTCTTAAAGAAAAGAATTTTCAACCCAGAGTTTCATATCCAGCCAAACTAAGCTTTTAAGTGAAGGAGAAATAAAATACTTTACAGACAAGCAAAGGCTGAGGGATTTTGTCACCACCAGTCCTGCCTTACAAGAGCTCCTGAAGGAAGCACTAAATATGGAAAGGAAACACCTGTACTAGCCACTGCAAAAACAAACCAAAATATAAAGACCATTAACACTATGAAGAAACTGCATCAACTAATGGGCAAAATAACCAGCTAGCATCATAATGACAGGATCAAATTCATACATAAAAATATTAACCTTAAATGTAAATGGACTAAATGCCCCAATTAAAAGACACAGACTGGCAAATTGAATAAAGAGTTAAGACCCATAGGTGTGCTGTACTCAGGAGATCCATCTCACATGCAAAGACACACGTAGGCTCAAAATAAAGGGATGGAGGAAGATTTACCAAGCAAATGGAAAGAAAAAAAAAAAAGAAAGAAAAAGCAGGGATTGCAATCCTAGTCTCTGATAAAACAGACTTTCAACCAACATACATAAAAAAAGACTAAGAAGGACATTACATAATGCTAAAGGGATCAATGCAACAAGAAGAGCTAACTATCCTAAATATGTATGTACCCAATACAGGAGCACCCAGATTCATAAAGCAAGTTCTTAGAGACTTACACAGAGACTTAGACTCCAACACAATAATAGTGGGAGACTTTAGCACCCTACTGTCAATATTAGACAGATCAATGAGACAGAAAATTAACAAGGATATTCAAGACTTCCACTTAGCTCTGGACCAATTGGACCTAATAGACATCTACAGAACTCTCCACCCCAAATCAACAGAATGTGCATTCTCAGGACCATATAGCACTTATTCTAAAATTGACAACATAATCGGAAATAAAACACTCCTCAGCAAATGCTAAAGAATGGAAATCATAACAAACAGCCTCTCAGACCACAGTGCAATCAAATTAGAACTCAGGTTTAAGAAACTCACTCAAAACCTCACAACTACATGGAAACTGAACAACCTGCTCCTGAATGACTACTGGGTAAATAACGAAATTAAGGCAGAAATAAGTAAGTTCTTCGAAACCAATGAAAACAAAGACACAATGTACCAGAATTTCTGGGACACAGCTAAAGCAGTGTTTAGAGGGAAATTTATACCACTAAATGCCCAAAGGAGAAAGTGGGAAAGATCTAAAATCAACACACTAATATAATGATTAAAATAACTAGAGAAGCAAGAGCAAATAAATTCAACAGCTAGCAGAAAACAAGAAATAACTAAGATCAGAGCAGAACTGAAGGAGATAGAGACACGAAAAACCCTTCAAAAAATCAATGAAGCCAGGAGATGGTGTTTTAAAAGATTAACAAAATATGTAGACTGCCATCCAGACTAATAAAGAAGAAAAGAGGGAAGAATCAAATAGACACAAGAGAAAATGATAAAGGGGATATCACCACTGATCCCACAGAAATACAAACTACCATCAGAGAATGCTATAAACACCTCTATGCAAATAAACTAGAAAATCTAGAAAAAAATGGATAAATTCCTGGACATATACACCCTCCCAAGTCTAAACCAGGAAGAAGTTGAATCCTTGAATAGACCAATAACAAGTTCTGAAATTGAGGCAGTAATTGATCACCTACCAACCAAAAAAAGCCCAGGACCAGACTGATTTACAGCCGAATTCTACCAGAGATACAAACAGGAGCTGGTACCACTCCTTCTGAAACTATTCCAGACAATAGAAAAAGAGGGACTCCTCCCTAACTCATTTTATGATGCCAGCATCATCCTGATACCAAAACCTGGCAAAGACAAAACAAAAAAAGAAAATTTCAAGCTAATAGCCCTGATGAACATTGATGCAAAAATCCTCAACAAAATACTGGCAAACTGAATCCAGCAGCACATCAAAAACCTTATCCACCACAATCGAGTCGGCTTCCTCCCTGGGATGCAAGGCTGTTTGAACCTATGCAAATCAATAAGCATAATCCATCACATAAACAGAACCAATGACAAAAACCACATGATTATCTCAATAGATGTAGAAAAAGCGTTCGATAAAATTCAACACCCTTTCATGCTAAAAACACTCAATAAACTAGGTATTGATGGAACATATCTCAAAAGAATAAGAGCTATTTATGGCAAACTCACAGCCAATATCATACTGAATGGGCAAAAGCTGGAAGCATTAACTTTGAAAACTGGCATAAGACAAGGATGACCTCTCTCACCACTCCTATTCGACATAGTGTTGGAAGTTCTGGCAAGGACAATCAGGCAAGAGAAATAAATAAAGGATATTCAAATAGGAAGAGAGGAAGTCAAATTATCTATGTTTGCAGATGACACAATTGTATATTTAGAAAACCACACTGTCTCAGCCCAAAAATTTCTTAAGCTGATAAGCAACTTCAGCAAAGTCTCATGATACAAAATCAATGTGCAATACACCAATAATAGACAAACAGAGAAGCAAATCATGAGCAAACTCTCATTCACAATTGCTACAAAGAGAATAAAATACCTAGGAATACAACTTACAAGGGATGTGAAGGACCTCTTCAAGGAGAACTACAAACCACTGCTCAAGGAAATAAGAGAGGACACAAACAAATGGACAAATATGCCATGCTCATGGATAGGAAGAATCAATATCATGAAAATGGCCATACAGCCCAAAGTAATTTATAGATTCAATGCTATTCCCATCAAGCTACCATTGACTTTCGTCACAGAATTAGAAATAACTACTTTAAATTTCACATGGAACCAAAAAAAGAGCTCATATGGCCAAGACAATCCTAAGCAAAAAGAAGAAAGCTGGAGGCATCACACTACCTGACTTCAAACTACACTACAAGGCTACAATAACCAAAACAGCATGGTACTGGTACCAAAACAGATATGTAGATTAATGGAACAGAACAGAGGCCTCAGAAATAACACCACACATCTACAACCATCTGATCTTTGACAAACCTGACACAAGCAATGAGGAAAGGATTCCCTATTTAATAAATGGTGTTAGGAAAACTGGCAAGCCATATGCAGAAAACAGAAACTGGATCCCTTCCTTACACTGTATACAAAAATTAACTCAAGATAGATTAAAGATTTAAACATAAGACCTCAAACCATAAAAACCCTAGGAGAAAACCTAGGCAATACCATTCAGGACATAGGCATGGGCAAAGACTTCATGACTGAAATACCAAAAGCAATGGCAACTAAAGCCAAAATTGACAAATGGAATCTAATTAAACTAAAGAGGTTCTGCACAGCAAAAGAAACTATCAGCAGAGTGAACAGGCAACCTGCAGAATAGGAGAAAATTTTGGCAATCTATCCATCTGACAAAGGGCTAATATCCAGAATCTACAAGGAAGTTAAACAAATTTAGAAAAGAAAAACAACCCCATCAAAAAGTGGGCGAAGGATATGAACAGACACTTTTCAAAAGAAGACATTTATGTGGCCAACAAACATGAGAAAAAGCTCATCATCACTGGTCATTAGAGAAATGCAAATCAAAGCCACGGTGAGATACCATCTCACACCAGTTAGGATGGCAATCATTAAAAAATCAGGAAACAACAGATGCTGGAGAAATAGGGATGCTTTTACACTGTTGGTGGGAGTGTACAACTCCTCGTAGCACCATAGCACTGTGTTTTCCCCTCCAGCAATATGTATAGATTCAAAATAATACATCTATGTAACTTTTATTAATAATACCCAGAACTTAGTAAAAAGCAATTGTAATTCTTCAGCATGTACATTTCATGTTTCTTTTTACATAAATGGAATTACTTTCAGTAGAGAAATTTAAAGCAGCTGTTCCTATATTTTAAATTTTCCAAAAGCATATCTCAATATTTTAAACAAATAGATCTGTGTTAAAACCACTTATTGTGTTATTTTGAGACTTATTTATGGAGTGTAATTTCAAAAAGTTGAGATTATTATTTTTTTTCTCATTTCACTATTTTCTATATGCTAGAAGAATTTCAGCTGGAACGTATATTTTTTATCATGCAGAGAGTTGTATGAAAACGTTTAAAATGAATTCTGTGGATAAGCCAGTATATAACAAACTCGCTTTTATTATTCTTCTGTAGGCATCTCACTTTATGATTTGCTTGGTATCAAAAAGCAAATATTTGGTGGTCTGCGATAGAGAAAATTTAAATTTAACTGAATGTCTGGTGGCATTTAGGTAGAAGTGTCCCTTAAGCCTCTAAATTTAATTCTATCACTTTTCCAGGTAAGTGGTGTGTGTCTTATATTATCCTGTACCAATCTGAGGCTGAGTTTTCCTGTGAACTGGCTCTGCTTCAGTACTATACAACAAAGTGGACTAAATAATATCAGCATTTAGGTACATGAATTATGACATCTCTAGAAATATTACTTATTTGCAAAGCCCAGCAATTTTACTTTTCCTCTCTCCCAGCTCTAAGTTTCTAGGTGCTACTTGCAATGTGTCATAAGCATTAAGCAAAAGCCCCATTCTCACTCTCCTTCCTGCTTCAGCACAGTAGGCTGACATGATCCATTCTGCCATAATATCCAGTGAATTTTGCATGAGATTCTTAAGAGCAAAGCTATCAAGTAAAAAAGTGGGCTAGAAGTCAGCCATGCTAATAGAAGTTTTCTGAAGTTCTGGGTCACTTAAGATGGTTTCAGAAACTAAAGGTTAGTACACCTGACTTCCCTTTATTGGTAGATGTAGTTAATTTTTTAAGAGAAATATCTAAAAATACTTCATATGAGTTTCTTTAAGCTTTAAGAGAATTATAAAATAAATTCTACAACAGTCTTCTACAAAGTCTTACAATTTATGAAATAGTAAATATTACTTGCCACAAAATTTAATAGATTGATTAACCGAGAGTATAAAGTTAATATAGCAGCTTTGCTTAGTTTTCTGGTCAGCCTCCCCAGTATGTCTCAAACATATAGAGAAGGGAGTAGCTATAGTTTTCTGTTAAAGACTTTATTTTTGTCAAAATTGCTCATATACCAACCAGTTTGGCTTGCCATTTGTTGAATTAAATGTTAAAATAATTTTTTCTCTAATAGCACAAACTAAATTAAATATTATTTAAAAGCAAAAAAAAGAAAATGAGAGTGACATTTTTAAAAGTCATATATATGTTTGACCTCGTAGTAAAATTAATCTCATTGAATTGTCATTTATAAGTCCTACAATTAATGTTATTCTAATCACTTGGTAATCAGTTATTTCAGTGCTTTCACTGACATTTTAATATAGAAAGAAGTTATGCGGTGGGAAAATTTATGTTTTTTTGTTGTCTCAAACACTAATATTTATTTTGAAGAAAAACGAAATGAATTAGAAGGGAATATTTAGAACCTTCCATATAATATCTAACATAGGGACTGGAGATTCTGCAAGATTTAAATTCTAATATAGGGGGTGATGTCAACAAGATGGGGTGATAGGAAGCCCTGGACCCTCATTCCATTCATTAACACACTGATTCAACAACAATACACAGAAAAATTCTCTTTGTAAGTAATCCAGAAACTACTGAGAAGGCTCCTTCATCCTGAGTGAGGATACCAAGCCACATTTAAGCCAATAGATAAATAAAAGACACCTAGGCATAATTCTTACTGCCAGCACAGCATCATATGATCAGGAGAAAAAACCTCCCAGTTTCTCCCTGGGGAGGGAGAGTTGACAACCCAAAAGATCAATGTCCCAACTTTTCCAAGGATGCCAAGAAGACTGACTTCTGTAATGCAGTACTGATGGGAACTGACGTACTGGCATTCTCTAGCCATCTATGGGCCTATAATAACAAAGACAGTGGTTTGGGCTAACGATTACCATACTTCCCTCCTTAGACTTAGCACAGCCTAAGTAGACCAAAAACAAACAAAAAAAAAATTCACCTTCCAGCTTCTCTCTGAAGAGGGAAAGAGTTAGACTGTGCATCTAATGTTCCAAGTATTTTGGGTGCTGTCCAAAGGAATCGCTTCTGTCTTGACCGCTTCAGAATGCTGAAGCCTGCAATACTCTAGACACCAGGAGATCCATGAAAACGAAGATGGTTGTTTCTTCTAGTAAGCAACAAGTTTCCATAGCCCCTCTCATGGGTTCAGCATAGAGTGAACAGGAGAGAACAAAATATATCAGGTTTGCTCCAGGGAGGGAAAGTATTGGACATAGTCTAACAATTCAACTTTTCTGGAGGCTTCCCAACAGATTGGCTTTAGTTTCACTGTCTCAGAGCACTTAACAGAGACAGTCAGATTCTAGAAATGGAGGGCCACTAGAAAAAAAGAAGGCAGGTTGCACTCATATAAAAGCTTAAGAGGCTACCAAAATCTCTGGCCAAGCTAATTTGTGAATGATTTCTCCTCTACGATAGGTTGCTTTCTCTATGAACACTGAGAAAATAGTGTTATTTTCTCAGCTATTTTTTTCCAACATAAGATGTCAAGAAAAATAAAGAAACAGGGAAACATGTTCCAAACAAAGGAACAAAATAAATTTCCAGAAAACAATCTTAATGAAATGGAGATATATAATTTATAAGACATAACATTTAAAATAACTGTCATAGCTGAGGGCGGTGGCTCACGCCTGTAATCCCAACACTTTGGGAGGCCGAGGCGGGTGGATCACGAGGTTAGGAGATCGAGACCATCCTGGCTAACACGGTGAAACTCCGTCTCTACTAAAAAAATACAAAAAAAAAAAAAATTAGCCGGCATGGTGGTGGGCGCCTGTAGTCCCAGCTACTCGGGAGGCTGAGGCAGAAGAATGGCGTGAACCCAGGAGGGGAGCTTGCAGTGAGCGGAGATCACGCCACTGCACTCCAGCCTGGGCTACAGAGCGAGTCTCAAAAAAAATAAATAAATAAATAAAATAAAGTAACTGTCATAAAGATGCTCAAAGGTGTCAGGAATACAATGCATGAAGGAAGTGAAATTTTTAGCAGAAATAAAACATTAAATGTACCAAACAAAAATTTTGGAGATAAGGAAAACAATAACTGAAATAATATTTTCAGTGGAGGAATTCAGCAGCAGACTAGATCTAGCAGAAGAAAAGTTCAGCAAACGTACAGATAAGTCATTGGAAATGATCAAATCTGGCTAGGTGCTGTGGCTCATATCTGTAATCCCAGCACTTCGGGAAGCCGAGGCAGGTGGAGTGTTGAGGGATGTATAAACGTAGTTTTGTATGCAAGTGAAGTTGAGTGGTTATTGGTTTAAAATTGACAGTCATAACTATAAGATAATTTTGTTAGCCCCATGGTAACCACAAAGAAAGTAACTATAGAAAATACAAAAGAAAAGAGAAAACAATACAAGCTTATCAATACAAACAAAATCAGCAAAAAATGAAAGAAGGCAGCAAGACAGTAAAAGAGGGACAAAAGAACTACAAAAAGACAGAAAATAATTATAAAGTGGTAATGGCAAGTTCTCTAAAATTGATATTACTTTAAATGTAGATGGATTAAACATCAGTACACATAGAGTGGCTGAATGGATAAAAACAAACAACAAAAGAAACCTAAGATTCAACTATATGTTGTTCACATTAGACACATTATAGACTTAAGAACATACATAGTCTGAAAGCATAGGGTTGAAAAAGATATTTTGTGCAAGAAAGGAGGAGTAGCTATGCTTATTTTCAGAAAAAAATAGACAAAGTCTAAAATTATCACAAAAATAAGGTTACTGTATTTAATGATAAAAGGGTTAACTCAGGAATATATAAGAAGTATAAATATATTGGAAACCAACATCAGAGCATCTAAATATACAAAGCAAACATTGATAGAACTGAAGGAAGAATTGATTTTAATATAAGTAAAAGACTTCAATAACCTATTTTTAATAATCATAGGAAATCTAAACCAGACATAAAGAAACCGCAAACTTTGAAAAGGCAATAGATCAAATAGAACTAACTGCCATATACAGAATTTTCCAACTCGCATCCACAGAATGTGTATCTTTCTCAAGTGCACTTGGAACATTATCCAGGATAGAGCCTATGTTAGGCCACAAAACAAGTATTAACAAATTTAAGCTGATTGAAATTGTATCAGGTATATTTTCTGACTACATGGAATGGGTCAATGAAAAAATAAAAAAGGAAATTAGAAAATATCTTGAGACAGGTGAAAATGTAAGCACAATATACCAAAACCAATGGGATGCAGCAAAAGCAGCACTAACCAGGAAAGTTACAGCAATAAATTCCTACCTAAAAAAGAAAAAGATCTCAAATAATCTATCTTTAATCATCAAAGAACTAGAAAAGCAAGCGACGTCTAAGCCAAAAGTTATCAAAGTAAATAAAGCTTAAAGCAGAAATGAATTAAATGTGAAATTAAAAAATAGTAAAATGAATGAAATTGAGTTAACATTTTGAAAAGATAAACAAAGTTGACAAACCTTTAACTGGACTAAGAAAAAGAGAAAACTCAAATAAATACATTAAGCACTGAAAGAGGAGATGTTACAACTGATGCCACAGAAATAAAAAGGATCACAAGAAACTACAATGAACAATTACATTTAACAAATTGGATAACCTATAAAAATCTAACAATCCAACTAAAAATTGGCAAAAAACCTGAACAGATATTTCTCCAGAGAAAATATACAAGTGTCTAACAGGTATATTTAAAAATGCCTGACATCACTAACCATCAGGTAAATACAAACCAAAACCACAATGAGACATTATCTTTTGTTAGGATAGGCATTACCAACAAAATAAAAGCTAAAAGGTATTGGCGAGAATGTACAGAAAATGGACCCCATTTACATGTTGGTTTGAACGTAACCTGTTTCATACATTATGCAAAATAGCATGGAGGTTCTAAAAAATAAAAAAATGAACTATTATAACATTTCTTGGTATTTATCTAAAAGTATTGAAATCAAAATCTCAAAGAGGTATTTGCACTTTATTTTTCATTGCAGCATTATTCACACCAGTTAAAATGTAAAAACAATGTAAATGTTCAACAGATGAATGGATAAAGATTATACTGGTATAAACATACAATGGAATATTATTCAGCCTTTAAAAAAAGTAGAAAATCTTGTAAAATGCAACAACATGCATTATGCTAAGTGATATAAGCCAGTCAGAAAAGGACAAATATTGCATGTTTCCACTTATATGAGGTATCAAAAATAGTCAAACATAGAACCTAGAGCAGGATATGGGAGGGGGAAATGGGGAATTGCCATTTGATGGTTACAAAGCTTCAGTTATTCAAGATAAATAAGTTCTAGAGATCTGCTGTACAACATCACACATACAGTTAATACTTTAACATCCACTTAAAATTTTGTCTGAGGGTATATTGGAATACAAAAAACAAAAAATATTATAGTCATTAGTATTTTAAATTTTTTATTGCAAGAGACAATATAATGAAATCACGTATTGGTTGGAATTAAGTAGAATTTTACATGCATTATTTAAAAATCATCTCGTTATAGAGAAGTACTATAAAATTATTGTGTGTGGCATGTCAAAATATTATCAAAGTGAGCATTGAGTTAATAAAACAACTTTTAAAAATGCCTAACATTATCTCCTTATTGGAAGAGATAATTTTAAGCAGACATTTGACATTTTAGATAGAAGAAGATAATAAAATTGTATATCAGACAAAAGGAAAGCAAATATGAAGACTTTAAAGTATGAACAAACATGAGATTCCTCAAACTGTGGAAAATTGTACTGCTGAAATGAGTTTCAGTTTGAGAGATGCAAAGAATAATGTTAGAATATCAGAACGTATGCCATTTCAGCACCCCATGTCATTATCAGTAAGACAGGAAGAATTTTTATATATTTGTGCTACCATATATTTATTTATTGTATGTATCCATTTATGCTTCCAGGTTTTCAGTGTTCCCCTCCACACACAGAGAAAAACCAATGGCATACTTAGGGACAGCCTTTATCGCCTTACCAATTAGCTTCTTCACTGAGTTGCAATTTAGTTATGCCCTTAACTTCATCAAAGTCTCTCTTATGATAAATGCGTATATCCACTCAATTTCAGTGCTTGAAATTATTATTGAGGAAACCATATGTTATTGAGCATTATTTGGATGTATTACTGAAATTCAATTTTAGTTCTCCTGAGAAATTGATTCCCCTTTCTGTAATTAAAGATTCAATAATTAATATTAAGTTTTGGCAAAGTGTGTGTCAATTTCTGTGGCTAAGAAAGATGCTTTTGTTTCAGTATTTCTTCAATGTTTAGCATATGTCACTTCATTCTGTCATTGGTATTGGTTTACTTTTTTATAATCCCAACAAACTATACAGCATATGTGTTGTATCACAAGTTACCACAAATTCTGCATATGTGTACTTCGTGTTGGCTCACTTATCTAGATCTAGCAAGGACAACTTTGAAATAGTAAAGAATTGTACTTGTTAGTTGTAAAAAAGAAATTTCAAAAGTAGGCAGGTGTTTCCAATGTAATTTATTTTGGCAAGTGAATATGTTCTGTAATAGACACATCCTATTACATAAATTCACTAAGTGTTGCTTTTAAGGGCAGTGTTATTACACTATGCTTCATTCTCCCTCATTCAATGAGTGGGTGGAATATTATAATACAATTTTCAAATATGAGAATTAATCTTTAGATTTTCTAGAACCATATATAAAGTTCATTTTTTGGCATGTTTTTAATACTTCTGAGTTCAATATCACTGTAGCAGACACTGTTGATGCTCTAGTAGTGTTTACTATTTCAGACGTACTTAGCCAAATAGCAATGTCAGCATCCACTTAATCTGGCTGCAGAGCTCACTCAGCATGCATGCATGGCAGGCCAGAAGTACCAGGGAATTAACACCCCTTTGAAGTCGCTTTCAACCAATGACTGCTGAAAGTGGCTATACATACGATTTAGCTCCGTAACCCATCAGAGAACGAAGTTTTGAGGTACAGACTGTACAACTTTTTTTCAGAATTCCCCAGAAGCATTGAGTCCTACTTGCTCACAATAAGTTGCTTGATAACATATTTTCTATTATATTCCTTTATTTTTGTTTTCACTTTTGCACTCGTCTGCGGGTATTTCATGGGAAAATCTCCAAAGTAAATTATTTGGATTCATATCTTTGTCTCGGAATCTGCTTCTTCGGGAATTCAAAATAATCACATCTGTTAGATTTTTAATTTGAACACTGTGGATATTTGTCAGTTTCGTTTCATGTAAAATGCCATTTCTTTTGTTCTTGCTCATTTGCTATTAGTCTTCAACTCTTCATCCTCAATAACAAATTTCCTTATCAACCTTTCCTTTATTTTACTATAGAGGTTATAATTTATGGCCCTTTTGTCAAATATCTGACTACCTATTCAGTCCTGTATTGTAACCTAAGTAATATGAGCATAGCATTGTAATCATAGACAAGTTACAGGGGATAATGCTAAGGATATATGTTTTAAAGTGAGTCAAGCAAGGTTGAATTCCCAGTGTTTCCACATGCTTATTGTAAGATTTTGGCAGAATCATCTACCTACTCCAAACCTTAGTCACCTCATCTGTAAAATACTAAAAAGTAATATCTAGTTCAGAGGATTTGTGGAAGAATTGAATTATTTAATAAATATAAATTTCTTAGCATGGTATCTGACATGTTTCAGGTGCACAAAGAATAGCTCATATTATTTTTAAAATTCCCCAAAGTCCTTTTCTTTGTGATTTATTCTACAAAATACTTTTCTCATATTTGACATTTTACTTTAGTTTGATGAGCACTGCAGTCTTTCAAATATACAATTCATTTTCTTTCAATCCGTTACTGTTTTATGTCTTATTGTTTTGTCTTTTTTATTCTTTCTTTTCCCTTCTCTATTGCTCTGTCAATGGAATCACCTCAGGGATCCGTAATACCCATTATGTTTTTTTCTTACCTTCCAAATCAGTATAGATTTTAACTTTTGTAAAAGAATATTTTACAACTGAAAAAAATGCTATGTTTTATTTTATCACATAAGCCAAGGAACTCCCTCTATGTTATATAAGTTTTACATGTATTCTGACTACTTTTTTGTGTGTAAAATTATATATTCATGGAAGAAACTTGTTGCCTATAAAAATTGCAAGTTCCTTTCCTCCATAACCTAAAACAACTTTCCCTTCTACTTCACATAAGCCATTTACTGACAAGACCATTCTTTAGAATTTGTTATCAATCCAGAAAAGCACTACATCTGAAATTTCAGATTTAACCTCTCCATTCTCTGACTGCTGTTTCCTACTATGACAAATGTCTCAGTCATTTGCAATTGTTTGTCAAACGAATTGAGATCTATAGTGTACATAAACACATTTATTTTTAATCTAAAAAGAATATATTAGGCCAGGCGCGGTGGCTCAGGCCTGTAATCCCAGCACTTCGGGAGGCCGAGGTGGGCGGATCACAAGGTCAGGAGATCGAGACCATCCTAGCTAACACGGTGAAACCCCGTCTCTACTAAAAAATATAAAAACTTAGCCGGGTCTGGTGGTGGGCGCCTGTAGTCCCAGCTACTCGGGAGGCTGAGGCAGGAGAATGGCGTGAACCCGAAGTCGGAGGTTGCAGTGAGCCAACATCGCGCCACTGCACTCCAGCCTGGGTGACAGAGTGAGACTCCGTCTCAAAAAAAAAAAAAAAAAAAAAAGAATATATTAATCACCAAGTACCAGCATTGTACTGAAGGTCTGTGATACACAATCGATATAAAAGGTCATTTTATTATTTGATTTCATAAGGGCTGAAAATTTAGTAGAACCACAAACAATTCAGAAAGCAGAATCATTCTGTGATTTAATTGTTGGAAGAGAGAGAATACAGGAAGCAATTATATTTCAGCATTATTCTTTCATTCACAAATCTCTCCCTCTAAGACTTAGGTTCCTTATTTGGGTTTCTACCACGTTCATCACATTAACAATTTCATGCCATCTTTATTGCCCTAAACTCTTCACCTGACAACCCTCTCCTCTCTTTACAGATGAGATTTGTCTACTTTTGTGACTAAACATACAAATTCAGCTGCTTCCAAAAATATTACTTTCTTCCTCATTTGAATCACACTGAAATTACTGTAACTCCCTTGTATAAATTTAATTCCCTGGTTTCCTACTACAGCTTCTTGCAGTTCTACCAAAGACTTATTTCCACGGACTATGCTTTTTGGTTCTCCTCTTTCTGAAAATTTCCATTCAAACTTCAAACTTTTTTTATATCTCTCTAATTGTACAAACATCAGCCACAAAAAACAAAAATAAGAAAAATTTTTAAACTTCGTATTCCCCTGAATTTACTGTTATCTTAACTCTTCTATTTATAGCAAAAGTTTTGGAAAGAGTAGCCCACATTCATTACTACTGTGTCCTAATGACACTGAGTCATTCCCTGACTGAATCTCATTTCTCACTCTTTTTTATGTGACTGCAAGCTCATTCCCACCCACAACATTTCATAAACCAGATTTCATCAATATCACCAATATGTTACACCAGCTATCTTCCAGACTTGGCATTGTTTACAGTCTCAATCTTGAAACACTTGGGTTTCCTTGGCTTTCTGAGACTAGACTACACAGGATTTTATCTACATTTCTGGCTGCTCATTCTCAAAATTATCTTTATTCACATTCCTCTTCCCAAAACAGACATGCAGACATAAGATCTTATTGAATCCTATTTTAGACCTTCTCTTTGCCATTTCTCCATATTCTTCCTTCTATTAATATAATAAAGGACAATGCCTCTCAATCTATTTTTTCTTTTTCTATTTTTCTTCTTTTATACAGAAGACAAAGATCTTTCCCAGAATTTTTCTATTTCACAAGTCATTTAGGGTAAATAATTCACCAAAAATTCTTAGCTGGTTCTAGGTTAAAGATAATTCTCTGAGATTTATTGGAATTATTGTGATTAACCTCTATTATTTCTAATTTGATAAAATGTAGGTAAAAATAATTTTGTGATATAAGAAACTAAAAAAAATTATAAACTAGGAGAATATATCTCCCTAGTATTTGTATAATTTATTATTCTACAAAATCTCTATGAAAACTTTTCATGGACAACTAACTCCCAAATCTACATTTGTTAATAATTTTACTTCCTAACCAGACTATCGTTTCTAAAGATAGATTTATAATAAAACAGCTTTGTTGTTTGATTGTGATTTATAAAAAAAGCAACGTTGTGTTCCATTATCTTTTTTGTGCTTCTTTAAATATTAGTGGTTAGAAGATATAATATTTTGATTTATTCCTCTTTCTCAACTTTTTGTAGAGTATGATAACTTCTTTGGAAATGATCAGGAATTTGATGACAAAATATGTATGGGCCAATTACTTCTGTTAGGCTTTCTAGTAATCAAGATAAATCGTTTCAGCTTGCATTCCTAAAATTTCCTATTACTGTTCAATATAGCCAGTCTAGAATGTTTGTTGTATGAAGAAAAGATTTCTCAAGAGTAATAGAAAAATGTTACAGTTCAGTTCGATTGAAATACAGATGCCCAGCTTAGATAGTTCAACAAACAATTCTTTTGCCCTTACCTGGTACAAAATCATCACAATTTTGACATAATATACAGTATTCAATAAATTACATGATATTCAACACCATATTATAAAATAGACTTTGTGTTAGATGATATTGCCCAACTATAGGCTAATGTAAATGTTCTGAGCACATTTAAGGTAGACTAGGCTAAGCTATGATGTTCCATAGGTTAGGTACATTAAATGCATTTTTGATTTATTATATTTTCCATTTACAGTGGATTTATTGGACCATAATCCCATCATAAGTTGGGAAGCATCTCTATTTGGATTTAATATTTTGTATATTATTTAGTGTCCTAATTTATTTATTTTTTGTTCTCAAAGTTTTACTGGAATCAGTGTATGTGTTTTTAACATGCCCAACCTTCCATTTAGATGAGTTATATTTATTTTCAAAAGGAGAGTTCTTACTGTGATAGTTGTATACTCTGTTTGTTGTTAAGTTTCTTAGATTGTTTTCTTTCATGTTTGTATTAGGTTATATATCCATAGAATTACTAAATAGCAAATGTTAGATTCATCTACTCGCCTGTTTTCTGTCAGCCTTAAATGCTCATTATAACACAATCGACCAGTTTATCTGTTAAACCTTCTACTAGACTATTTTTCTATACTGCATTTTGTTATCCAAGTGATATAAATATTATAATTATTTCAACAGCTGAATTATCTCTGTGAGATAAGATTAGTAATTCCTTTATTTGTCTCTTATTAGAACTAGAGAATGGAAAAATGAAGAAAATAGCACAGACTTGAAAATTGATCAGAGAGAAAAATATATATATTAGAAATAGACAAGTGCTATTGGATTAAGATAGCACTCTTTTAGTACATACAGTTTAAATACAACTTTGGGAAATAACACCAAAGTATTAAATTATTTCTCTTTCTCAGAAAAAGATGTCCTGACATTAACTTGATCCATATTATACTTTCAAATTGTTACATGCTTTAAAATTACATAACAACCCTTAAAACAGAATAAGATCTTCAAATCACCACACTATAAATTTTTAATGCACAATTCATTCAAGTTTCGGAAGTGCTTACTTAGATTTATGGACTCATCAATATCTCTTTTACAAATAATTTCAATCTGACAGTAAGTCCCTTCTAAGTCCTGATGATAGTTTTACAACAGTATATTTTGGGCAGCTGTGAAGTTTCAGTTATTTTAAGACTAACTTTATTGCAGCAACCTCTGCCAATTTTCAAGTCTCTGGAGTAGTTAAAACTCTATACTAAAGCATTTATAACATGCAGAGCAGAGAATAACAAATCCATATATGTAAGTGAGTACATCGATAGCATGAAATACTGAATTAGCTCCATTTAGTAATATTGCTACCTATATATTTTGAGATATTTTATCAGATGCTATATAAAATCTATTGAACTATACCCTCTAACCCTTTTATTGGACATAGCCCTCCAGGATTATTGAAGATTACAAGATTACAAGAACACATGTTGAAATTTTAATTAATTCCATCACATAGAAAAGATTTTGATGAGTTACTAAGAAAATGCTTTTTAGTATTTCTCGTTTATGCTTAGAACATGGAACATGGAGGTTATCAGTTGATGGAGCAAAGATTAGAATTTGAGATAAAAGTTTCATTATCCAAGCTTGACCTAAATGTTTTATACTGCAAAAGTAATTTATAGTTATTTCTTGGCAAATCACTAAGTATTTATGCCCAGTGATTTTGTCACCAAATGTAGTGACTAATCTGTAAATTCATCTCTAGATCAGAATACTTACAGTCTAGCCAATGAGAAAAAAATCATCCAATTTAATATTTCCTTAGTACTCTTTAGCTGTCCTGTCACTTGGCTCAAGAAATTGGCTCTTGAATCCTTATGAGGGTGAAGAAGATTTTCAGGGTAACAGGACTAGTAGTGCTGGTGGAAAAAAAGTGTTCATGTTAGAAGAGTTTCAGTTTGGTACTGCAGAGACTACAAAAGGCCAAAAGACAGTGCCCTAAAGGAATACTCAGAGTTTAATCATTTATATCATTGAAAAATAAGTTGTTTAATGCAGACAGTTTTATTTATTTATTTATTTATTTATTTATTTATTTATTTATCAAGGCAGAGTCTTGCTCTGTCACCAGGCTGGAGTGCTGAGGCGTGATCTCGGCTCACTGCAACCTCCGACTCCCTGGTTCAAGTGATTCTCCTGCCTCAGCCTCCCAAGTAGCTGGGATTACAGGCATGCACCACCACGCACAGCTAATTTTTGTATTTTTAGTAGAGACGGGGTTTCACCATGTTGGCCAGGATGGTCTCGAACTCCTGACCTCATGATCCGCCTGCCTCAGCCTCCCAAAGTGCTGGGATTACAGGCGTGAGCCACTGGGCTGGCTAATGCAGACAGTTTAAGATATATTTATTTCTTACATTTCATACTAAATCTAAGCCATTTCAGTTGAATTTTTATGGAACATTATGTATTGAAGACATTTGACATTGTATAGATTATTGTCCATTTAATATATGGGGGATCACATGAAACATTATCTGTTTCACATTATAGAATCCTGCTTTGTATGACCCATAGCATCTCATTGCCAATAAGTCATAACACAGGAATACAGTTCTGTTTCTCAAGTGAAAGTTTTATTTGAGTATAGTTACAAAGAAAAAAACAGTTCCTTAGGAATGTTCATTTCAAATGACAGGTAGTATTACATTGGCAAGTGTTGATCAGTTATGATTGAGAGCTCTGGAGGGGCATGTGTGACAGTGTAAACTGATGAATAAATAAGAAATGTGGGCGTCTTTACTGCCAGGTTATTTCCTGTGTATCTCCCTGAAATGAACAAATGTTGAATAAATTGTTATATGAGTAAAAATAAAGTTGCAAAATAGTCTAATTTTAATTAAAATAATCATACGGCTTCCCCCTTTGTTTTAATTGCTGTTGTTTCGCATTCAACATTAACATCATTAAATAGAATAATAAAAAAAACATGATACTACCCCTGTTGATACTTCAGAGATGACAGAAATTGATAAATTTTAGGTGCCAGCATTCTAAAAATGAGAGGTGGTGCAGGTCTTTTTGAGTAAAAGTTATGTTTGGCCTGTCAAGACTAAGAGAGTGCCCACAAATAGTGACAGACACTGGAGGCTGGAGATAGAGTCATTACTCAAAGGACAGACCATGCCTGTAATTAGTTCGCTATCCTTGCATCTCATCATGGTCCTATTCGTGGAAAACAGTGCCATGATGAGCATCACAATCCTATGTGACAGACGTGAGAACAACAGTTGGGTGAATGCCTGCATGAGCATGAGTGGGCCACAGTATGTCCTATTATGAATGTTTAATCTTCCATGATTTTGCTCATATATTTTATGATATCTCTTTAAATTGACCATTTCATTTTTGCATTTTCCAAGCAAGTATCACAAACAACTAGCTCAATGATCTATACATTATTTTATGTGTGTGAAATATGCTCATTTTTGTAGTTTTGAGGAAGTAACCTCTTTTCTAAGACTAGTTCTTATTATATGAAATAATTTAAGCAATTTAGAAACTATCTAGCTTTCCAAATTTTAAAATAAATCAAATGCTCTTTTTTACAAGATGATTGTTAAAAATAAGTTATTCAAAAACCAAGCTAGAAAAATGAGCTGTGCCATCATGGATTTACTATTTCTTTGAAAGTTAAAAATAATTACTAGTGAAAACATTAATATGTAGAAATTAACTTGAATTAATAAATAGAAATAATTATTTTGCATTAAATACTCTGGGAAATTTGGGTGTTCTTTTCTAGCATACCACATTTTGTTCCATAGATGTATAATAAAGTAATTACTACACTGCCCTCTGGCATAGAGTATATCAGTACCATCCACTGAGATAGCTAAATACAACATCTTGAAGACCTTGTATTTTCTAAGAAATGCTTTTACGTGTTTTGGGATAATCTCACTCAGCCTTGTAAAATATTAACCAATAAAAAAATCACATTATTTCTCTAATACAAACAAAGCTGGAGTGTTGCCACAATTATTTAAGCCAACAAGCGTGAGGCAGAACTTGCCTCAATTATTCACACCTTCCAAGGTATCTGTTGTAGCTCAAGAAATTAAAAACGTATTTATTCAAAGATGACAACCAAGTGTAAAGGACAGTTACACTCAAACACTGCTTGTGGGATTTGTAAATGCATCTATGTTTGCTAATGAAAACTTTGAGAACATGAATAAAATGCATTAAGTGCTACATAGCTTTTGCCTCAGAAATTCATCTACAATTTTTTTCTTAGGAAATAAAGATATATACATATATCTCTTAAGAGATACATATATCTCTTAAGATATATATATATATATATAAAGATATATATATATCTTAAGTCTCTGGATTAGTTAAAACTTTTATTTTTGTAAGAAATAATCATGTTATTTCTTATAAAAATAAAATATTTACAAAATAATGCTCAACAATAACAATACTCAACAATAACATGGATTTAGAAAAGTTTGGTGAACCCAAGATATTATATGCCATCTCAATATCAAAATATATTATAAAGTTAAATGTATTTATATAAAGGATATAGGGTAGACATGATATACTATCATTTAATTAAAACATTATGTATAAAATAGTATACAAATTATGGCTGTATTTTGTCAATGCATTTATAGCACAAGGCACTCAAACATAGACATGAAAACAGCCTTGAAAATGATAGATTTTTTTTCTTGGTAGTAAGATGGGGTTAATATTTTAAATTCTTTTTGTTTCTATTTATGTTCTATTTTTCAATGAATAACTATAATTTATATGATAATAAATGAAATTAAAAGAGAATAGATACCTGCAATTGAGAACAGTGTAGGAACTTCTTAATGGGAGCACTAAACCAATGAGATACACTGATGAGAAATATCCATCATACTAGAGTTGAGTCTCCCATAAAAAATGAAATATCATGGTCGATGTTTAAGCTTTATCATATGCTATTTTGGTAGGAACTAAGCTGTAATTAAGACTCAGCTACACCTTAAACCCAAGCGGGATTGTGACATGAAATTGGTCTGGAACAAATGACGGAACCCAAGTACACATGAGGGAGGAAGACTGGAAAAAAAATAGACTGCAGCAAAAAATACTGTTTTACTTTCACTTAAAAAGTGCCTCTCCATCCCCATGGTAACATTCCTTGAATTGATCAAATACATGAACTGAAATTCAAATTTTAGATGTATATTTATCTCCAAGAGTTTGTACATAGCCCCGGCAAAAATAATGGAAGTTAATCTGATATACTTGTATTTTCATATCATCTTGTGAAAGTTCCTCTCGATTCCTCAAATGTCCCTTAGCCCTTGGCTCTTTCCAGCCAGTAGCACTTCCACCTCCACCAGATCTTTTCAAGTTAAATCTCCCAAATCCTGTCCAGTATTAATCTACAGAGAGACTACAGTTCTCCATACACCTTTCCTCACTGTCCATGCCCTGTTCTCTCTCCCCAGGTCTCCCTCTTTCTGTTTCTCTCCTACACACACACACACACACACACACTTTTCTTTACATTGCAAATCAACTCTGTTATAATTGAGGGTAAGTCGTTATACTTTCTATCCTACCATTTGGATCTTGTCTTTTCTTAATCATTCTTTTAAAATGGCTAGACTGTTCAATTATATCTATTTTTTAACTAAATATTTTTATGAAAAAACGTTCTAAATACTAAAAATAATCAAATACCTTCTTTTGCCAAGATGGGTATATTTTGTAAGTACTAGTAATTTAAAGATGGGAATAATGAGTTGAGAAAATTGGTATATTAAGTGTATCCTTGGATCATATAAAACAACAATTGTATGGCCATATGTGACAGCCAATAGATATGTACAGTAGGATCTTTCTATTATATAACTATAAAGCATAATTTTTCTCCCTTATTGATGGAAATATTCCACTCAGTGAAGAGTAATTTAAGCAAATGAAAAAGATTAAATCTGAAAAAAGACAATTTTTATTTGTAACCCATAAAAAATATTTTCATGGTAAAAATAATATAAATGGCAAAATGCTGATAGACATTAAGCAATGAAGATTCTAACTGAAATGTCTGAAAGTGATGATGGTATATTGGAGTTATGAATTATATAGTAAGAAAGTGATGGTCTCTGTTTGTAGTCTTTTAATAGTTTGTTTTCTCTTTTCGGCCAAGAAAAGTGACAATTTTCACTAAGGAGCAACTTAGCTATTTACTGAAAAACAATAGAGATTAAAATTAAACATATTTTTGTTACAGTTTCTGTATCACTGCAACAAGTCTGAGAGATCTTTGGAAATGTAACTGCTCTAAAAATTCTTATATGGGAGAAATGAGCAGAAATAACAGGTTCAAAACCTATATGTGTTTAAATTACCAAATGAAATAAGATTCTGAAAAACCTATTTCCATTTTCTTAAGGCTTTCCTTCAGTAGGTGCAGAATCAAATGAATAGATAGCACATCCTGGAAGTCTGCAAGAATAGCATGCTTGGAATTCTATTTCTAGATCTGAGAGCACAAATGATGAATACAATTTTAATAAAAAATATTCGTAGAGTGCGTCTTCTGAAGATCCATTTTAGAAGCTCCTTGAAGCAAAAGGCATATAGAATATACTGAAATATATTGATCTCCCCAATTACAAATATATTATTATTATTTATTTGTATTTTATTTTTGATAATTTATTAACTCCTATTTATTGAGGGCACAAAAATCACTCCCCTTTGGACACCACAATGCAGTTTTCAGAAAGATTATTTCTCTATTGCTGCAGAAGTCAAATATACAATATCATACATTTTTCATAATCATCATTCAAGTGTAATTAATTAAAATATTCTCCACCATATATATTTTCCAAATTTAAAGGAATGAAAATTATATTTTTATAGTGACAGGAACAGTATTATTGACAGATTTAAGGTAAAGTAAAACTCAAAATACAGATTGAAAGTAAAATATTTTTATTGTAGTAAAATATACATCACAAAATGTCCTATTTTAAGCATTTTTAAGTGCACAGTTCTATGGCATTAAGTATGTTCACATTGTTATGCAACCATCACCACCGTCCATCTCCAGAACTTTTCATCTTCTCCAACTTCAATTCTATATCTGTTAAACACTAACTCTCCATTTCCCTTTCTACCCAGCATTAGCAATTACCATTCTGCTTTTTTTGCTATGAATTTTACTAAATACCACATATAATTGAAATCATAGAATATTTGTCCTTTCGTGATTGACTTGGCTCATCTAGCATTTCCTTAAGACTCATCTCTCTTTGTAGTATGTGACAGAATTTATTTCCTTTTAAAGACAAAATAATATTTCATGCTATGTATATACCACATTTTGTTTAAACATTCATCCATTGATGGACACTTTTGTTGCTTCTGCAGTTTTGGCTACTATCACTAATGCTGCTATGAAAATGGGTTACAAATATCTGCTTCAGTTTCTGCTTTCAGTTTTGTTAAGTATATATCCAGAAGTGGAATTGCTAGATAATATGATCATCCTATGTTTACTTTTGTTGAAGACCCACCATTCCATTTGCCATAGCAGCTGCAACATTTTCCATTTCCACCAGCAATACACAAGTGTTTCAATTTTTCCACATCCTCACCAACTCTTGTTATTTCCTGTTCCTTGTTACTAGCCATCGTAATGAGTATGAATTTATATCTCAATGTAATAAAATATTTTAAAAATGAATTCAGGGCTGGGAGCGGTGGCTCACGCCTGTAATCCCAGCAGTTTGGGAGGCCGAGGCAGGCGGATCACGAGATCAGGAGATCGAGACCATCCTGGCTAACACGGTGAAACCCCGTCTCTACTAAAAAAAAAAAAAAAAAAAAAATACAAAAAATTAAACAGGCGTGGTGGCAGGAGCCTGTAGTCCCAGCCCCTCGGGAGGCTGAGGCAGGAGAATGGAGAGAACCCGGGAGGCGGAGCTTGCAGTGAGCCCACATCGCGCCACTGCACTCCAGCCTGGGTGACAGAGACTCCGCCTTAAAAAAAAAAAAAAAAATTCAGTGCAGTTCATGTGTCATGTGCCAGGTTAAAAATTGATGGTATAACTTAATAACTATTTATAGAACCTTGGAAATTATATGAAAATATTATCACTGCCACCACAATTTCATCTGGTGAGCAATTTTTTTCCCTACTTTATCTACATTTTGTGTGTGTGTGTGTGTGTGTGTGTGTGTGTGTGTGTGTGTGTGTTTTCCCTCTACTAGGAATGTTCTTTCTTTTCTCCTCTTCCTGGGAAATCCTAGTTATTATTTTGAAAACATGCAATAGGCTATCATTTGCTTATCCCAGGTTTACGCTTAGTTTTCCTTTGTGGATCTATACTCTATTATTTAATAGTTTCTGACACGTAGATACACAGGCATTTTTGTTCAGTGTAAATTCTTATTTATATATCATACTAAGGAGTTTTGACTGTGTTCAGTGGAGGAAGGTAAATCTTTATATGATTTAAGAAAGAGGGTTATGATTTATCTTCTTTAAATATGGCAGTTTTAAATATGAATTGCAGAGGGCATTGTCTGAAGACTAAAACCTAGGAGAACATGTAGGAGATTTAAATGTTAACTAGAGATAATAAAAGTCTGTTTGAACTATGACTGATTTTGTCAGAGATTGGAAAGCTTCTCTTTAAAACTATTTCCTACGCTTTCTAGGCAGGGAGTTTGAGTACATTTTTGTAGTTTTCCTTGTTGTTGTAGAGTGGCTGCGTTAATGAGTTCAAGCTGGTGGAGTGTGAATAGAAATAATGCCCACCACTATACATAACCAACATCACTATATGGCTGCCCCAGCTTTATGAAAAGGAAGGCTTACACTGCCACATTCCACTTACTGCTACCACTTGGATTTATTTGAGTGAGAATAAATTTCTATTGTGTAAAGCAACACTCTTTCAAAGTTAATCTATCATGGCATCTAGCTGTATCTATCTTGTACACTGATTATGTGTGGAAAAAAGCAAAAATAAATGCTCGTCTACGGTAGGACTGAGCAGGTGTATGGTAATTCCTTTTGAGATAGCATGTAAACAAAGAACATTAAGCAGATAAGTAGATATGGATGCCTAAACTAAGGATTAATAATAATCCTTATTTCACTATAACTCAAAGATTTAATACAGAGTTTTTCCCTAAGCGTATTGGAGGTTTTGTCCCAAGAAAAGTAACATTTTAAAACCAAAATATTATATATGCTTAAAATAATAAACTTCTCAAATGCATCATTTTAGACTCAAATATTTTTATTTAATTCCTCCATAAACTGCTATTTATTTGTCTTTTATAAAATATACATTATTAATTTCTCCTCATACTTATTCTCTTTTTTCCTTTGTTTGTTTGTTCATTTTTCAGACGGAGTTTTGCTCTGTCTCCCAAGCTGGAGTGCAGTGGCAGGATCTCGGCTCACTGCAACCTCCACCTCCCAGGTTCAAGCAATTCTTCTGCCTCAGTCTCCCAAGTAGCTGGGATTACAGGCACCCGCCACCACACCAGGCTAATTTTGTATTTTTACTAGCGACAGGATTTCACCATATTGACCAGGCTGGCCTCGAACTCCCGACCTCAAGTGGTCCGCCCGCCTTGGCCTCCCAAAGTGCTGGGAGTACAGGTGTGAGTCACCATGCCTGGCCTTCATACTTATTTTCTTAGGTGATTAGGTGATAATGTCACAAGTCAAGACTTTAAGAATTAGTTAGTATAGTGAGCAAAGTCTTTAAAAATTTTCTTAGAAGGTACATTTTCTTTCAATAGTTTGTGTCCCAGGAAATGTTGTGGGTTTGAAAGTACCTATGTCCATTAGTAGTACAGTAAGTTCATATTGGGCTTGTGAGGTATTATAAGCTGTCCTGCCTGTATTCAAATAAGTAAATGGGACTTAGAAAAGATGAATAAAGAAAACTATTTGTATTTGGCATTATAAGGCCAATGAGACCTTTAAAAATTGAATACAAATTATACTGACATGGTATCTATACAATTTATCCAGATCTTAAGAATGATTAACAACTACCTTTCTTCACCATTAGCAAATGGATTTCCCCTCCCAGAGAAATTTTATGTTAGTTCAAAGAATAATAGCAACTGGCTGTATCAATGAGAATCCTAGCAAAAAACAGATGGCACACTCCTATTGTATAATTTGAGGAATATCAATAAATGAAATTTAATACAACACATAGTATTAGGAAGTCACATGAGATAACACAGTTATGGTAACTACCAGCAGAATGCAGTAACAATATCTATGTCTGAAAAAGCAAGTAGAGAAAACAGTTATTTGAAATTAGGAAAGACAGGAATGTCAAAGGTCAACCTAGAAGAAATATGTCTAATTAAACATTGGTCTGAGCTTAATTAAACACAATGCTACAGTGGCTTTTCAGATAGAGACCTCAGAAATAAATATGTCAATCTTATTTCTCTCTCTTCATTTAATTTTTGGGGCTCCATTGTCCAAATCCATTTGAAAGTCAGAAGGCCAGGCAACCTATATCTGAAAGATGGGGTAGCGGAATTGGACCAGAGGATGCAGTAGAGTGGGACAAAGAAAGTGACCGACATACAGACTTACTGCCCAGAAGAGCAACAAAGTTTTCTAAAGGTATTGAATTTATATTGCTCATTCTACTGAATTTTAAGTATTGTTTTAACTATGGAAACCAAGGAAAATGTAAGAATACGAATTAAAGCTCTACCTCCAAAGAAGTTCCATTTTTTCCTAGTATATACAGATTTTTTTTCATCATGAGGAAAAGGGGAAAAAAACCTGGACAGAATATTTCCGTAGTCTCTATTACATATCAAAAATAAGTTTCACATAATTCTGTTTGCACACCAAATTAATTTCTATGGATTTCAAAATGTAATCACGCTGTAAAATCTTTAAACTGAATGCCAATTCATCTTTTCTAATCTACAGCTTTAAGCCAATCTGGAATCATTTAAAGCATTCTTATTGAGACTAGTGCCCTTCACTGGCAGATGTAAGCATTCATTCTGAGTGGTCGTGTTTTATTACCACATGTAACCAGATGAACTTGAATTATCTTCTATCTCTCCTAACTATAAATGGATCCATGCTTATTATTTTCTAAAGTTTATGCTTATATAATACCATCTTCAAACAAACATACAATTTATAAAAACATATTATATTAATTTTCATATAAAAATTAGATGTCATTATAATTATGATAAAATATATCATGCAAATAAATAATTCAAACTTTAAGTTTGAGCCTAAATAGTATTCGTATAGAGAAAAATCTTCAAAAGTGTGAAATAAAAATCTTTATTGAGTAGGAATTGAAGATGAGGACAACTGCTTAGCATTAGCAGAACTACTCAATATCTTCTAGAAGCTCATTAATTTCATTTTCAGCACTTTCAGCACTTGGCTAGCTCCAAAACATGCCCACTGCCCACTACCTACTTTCCTCACTGACACGTCATTCCTGATCAGCTCACTCTCTCAGATTCAGAGACAATAGAACTTAATTTCACCCCTAACAATTATTTTATTTGCATAAAATTCCTCATTTTTAAAATTTATACTTTGTCTTCTGCTTCCAAACAATACTCTGAGGATTTATTTTTACAATAGTTTTAAACTAAATAGCGTCTTATTTAAATCAATATATTTTGAATTTTTGTAGATCATTTTCTTAAAAAGGAATATTTTAAATAAAGTGTTTTCCTTTGTGAGCCAAAACTTATTAGGAAAAATGTAAGTTTTCCATGGCACATCTTTTCTGACTAGGTCATTTATATCTGAAAATAGCATTTCTTAACATGTGCTAGGAAATAACCTGTAGTCATTGTCAAACTGCTTCCTTTTGGCATTGTTTAAATAGGCACTAATTGGAACTCTTGTTATATATGACCTTGGCTCTATTCAACCCCCATTATATAATGCCTTCATTTGTCCTAAGCTTCTCATTTGCAGCAATTTAACCTGAGATTGGAAGTGACATTTAATGGTATCCTTATTTTTCTATTAAACTTTCTTTCTAGTTTTAGCACTTAGCCTCTTACAAAGCATCAGTGGGGAAAGTTACAATAATGAACAATGAGATTCTTGAATATGTTGCTCTTGGGTTAACTAAAGCATATTTTATATAATAAAGAAACCAAGAATACCTAAAATTGTGTTCCCTTGTCTTCCCTTCTGATATTTCCACTTCTGTAATGCTGCACCTTTTTTTAACACGATCATTTGGAAAACTTTGAAAACAATACTTTATAATATACCATTATATTAAGTTATTTAATATTAACTGTATTTTAAAATAAATGCCCAGAAAATATTTTTAAGATACAGACTTCTTACATATTAAATATATCTGATAATACCATTATATTACGTTATTTAATATTAACTGTATTTTAAAATAAATGCCCAGAAAATATTTTTAAGATACAGACTTCTTACATATTAAAGATATCTGATGTTAAAAGGCCTTAAGACTTTCTATAAAAAGCTTTTTAACCAGTGATTACAAAGTTAACTATATTTCCTTAGATATTATAAATATCAATACAAATTTATGTATTTGTTATATTCCCAAGTATTTCAAAAACCATAAACAAAATACTAATGTCATGTAAAAAAAGAAAATTAAAAATGAATTACTGTATAAATCAATACTTAAATATCTATACCATAGAATTAGTATCTCATTTTATCTATATTTTTCTAACATATTCCTTGTATAATAATAATACTTATTTTAACAAATTACTCAGGGTCATAGTTATGTTACTAGACACAAAAGAAAAATAATACCATTTAGTGGTAACTGAGGAAACATAATCCAGGTACAAAAAATTTGAATTTTTTAAAGATATAATTTTAAAATTCCATAATCACCCTGTGGAATATCACTGCCTTTAAGATGAATCATTGCAACAATCCTATTTTTTAACTGATATTGAAATATGACACACACTTTTCATATGTATTTCATTGTATTTCATATACAAAACATGGAATAATAGCCCAATACATTTTCACAGTGTTTATATGAGAATACCAATGTAACCCTTTACCCAAATTAAAAAAAAAAATCAACCAACTAACCAACAAAAAAACAGAACACCCCCCTTACCCCGGAAGTACTCCCTATTTCTCATCTAAGTTGCTGTACTTCTTCTAGCCCAAGGTAATCACTATCTTAATATCCCACACCAAATATTTTCTAACTTTATAAAAATAAAATTATAGGCCAGGAGCAGTGACTCAGGTTTGTAATCCCAACACTTTGGGAGGCCAAGGCGGGCACATAAGATGAGGTTAAGAGTTCAAAACAAGCATGGCCAACATGGTGAAACCCCATCTCTACTAAAAATACAAAATTAGCCAGGAGTGGTTGTGGGCGCCTGTAATCCCAGGAAATCTGGAGGCTTAGGCAGGAGAATAGCTCAAGACCGGGAGGCAGAAGTTGCGGTGAGCAGAGATCACGCCACTGCACTCCAACATTTTTGCAACATTTTTTTATAATCACTTTTGCCTAAGTGATGTTAATGGGATTCTTTCATGTTGCTGCTCTAGTAATGGTATATATATTTTCACTATGTATAATACTCAATTGTATGAATATAATACAATTAATGCATTCATTGTACGATTGATGGACACTTGTGTTGCTTCCAGTTTAGTATTTTTAAAATGTAGCTATTCATATTCTTGTGTATTGACTCATATATACACATTTCTGTTAAATATATATGTAGGGAATAAAATTGCTCTGTCATAGGCTAAACTTATATTTAGCTTCAGTAGATCAGATCAAACAGTTTTTCAAAGTGATTACAACAATTTACATTCCTCCTGATACTGTATAAGAGCTGTTAATAATTCCAGATTCTTCCCAACACTTGGTACGGTCTATCCTTCTAATTTAAACTGTCCTTGTTAGTAAATAGTCCTATATCATAATAATTTTAGTTGCCATTTACTTGATATATTAGAACAAATATAGATCTAGATATATAGATATATAAACAATACAAATTTATACCATAAAGGCCTGTTTATATAAAATAAATTATGCATTTATGTAACAATTCCCGTTGCATTTTTTCCTAGTATATACAGATTTTTTTTCATCATGAGGAAAAGGGGAAAAAAACCTGGACAGAATCTTTCTGTAGTCTCTATTACATATCAAAAATAAGTTTCACATAATTCTGTTTGCACACCAAATTAATTTCTATGGATTTCAATACGTTAAGTGCAGCTTTTAGGTATTTAACCCCTCAGTCATACTTAAATGGCAATCATTCCCTATTATGATAATTACTTGTCTTATTTTGTAGTGACTCTACAACAATTAACAGCATTACAAACTACTTCGAAATCATATTTTTTTTTAAACTATGGGATTTTGCTTAGTAGGTTTTGCTGATACAGTATGCATGTGTATATGGATGTAAACTATTCTCTCCCTTATATATTGGTGTTTTAAGAAATGTGACAATGTGGGAAAATGTTACTGTACTTTTAAGTTTTGATGACCTTAGTTTTATTTAAGAACGTATATGCAAAGCTAATAATGTACTGGCTTCTCAATATTTAAAAGTGGTAAGAAAGGCATTCATTTTTTCCAATTTGTATAAAATAACTCATAGAGAATATTGGTAAAACTGTTTATTGTAGAAATAATATTTATAGCAGGAAGTTAACCAAAAGCTGGACATAAATTCATGTGTTGTCACCATTACAAGCAACATTGGTTAAATTCTAACCAATTTAAATTAATATTTAATCATATACACAAAAATATTCGGTTGATTTGTTATTTCATTAGAACTTAAATCTGAAACAATTTAAAGATTATTTAGTAAAAATTGCCTACAATCTTAGGGATTAAATTATGTCTCAGAGATGTTAAATTGGGCAAATAATTTGGACAATTACAGTGGTAGAGAGTAGACTTAAAAATTTAGTATTTAAGTCCCATGTCACAACTTCTTCCCAAACACCATGAAGGCTTTGTTAAATGATGGTTGTAGTAGTAGCTGTTGTTGTCGTATTTCTCTTCAACTAAACTGGAGAACTTAGATATAGATACAGATTTCACATGACTCAATTATGATAGTTAAGAACATGCTGTTAATCTGGTAATAAATTAAGAACTAGACAACCAGCACAACAGCATTACATAATCTTTCAAAGATGCTGAAATAATAAAATTAATATTCATACAGTGTTAAGCTCAGAACCTAAGATAGTATTTTGTGGCTATTAGATCTAGCGTAAAAATAAATTTTTCAACATTAGACCAAAAAAAGAACTCTTTTTTTTTTTTTTTTGAGATGGAGTTTCACTCTTCTTGCCTAGGCTGGAGTGCAATGGTACGATCTCAGCTCACTGCAACCTCCACCTCCCGTCTTCAAGCAATTCTCCTGCCTCAGCCTCCCAATAACTCGGATTACATGCACGTGTCACCACACCCAGCTAATTTTGTATTTTTAATAGAGACAAGGTTTCGCCATGTTGGTCAGGCTGGTTTCGAACTCCTGACCTCAGGTGATTCACCTGTCTCAGCCTCCCAAAGTGCTGGGATTACAAGCATGAGCCACCACGCCTGCTCAAGAACATTTTAAATAGAGTTTTAATATGGAGGTAGTCTGTAAATTTCTTCATCTTTAACTCCTACAGTCTGGATATTTACAGAAAATATGTTCAATGTCACAGGATGAGTGAGCAGCCCTCTGGCTCCATGTGTGGAAGTAAGTCAATACCATTACTTACAATACATTACCGTACAATAATCCAAACACTTTGGCACAAAGATTTCTATATAGGCAACTAAGCCAGTAGTTGAAGAGTTACTTCAAATTGAAAAAAAATGAATTCAGGTGACTCACAATGAGCCCTTTTATTTAATTTATCTTTTTTTTCATTTGGAATCATTTGATGTTGATACTTTTCTTTTTGTGATATTCCTGTTAGTGATATTCTTCAAAACCATAGACATAAACTACATTAGAATGAGGTTTTTATGCATCTCTTTATGTTTACACTATAAAAATATAAAATGTTATATGTAATATTTATAAAATATTTAATTATAATTTTTAATGGTTGGTTTTGTGGAGTTATTACTTAAGAGCAAGGGAATGAATTACACGACCTCACTTCAGCTCTTCAAGGTCTAGAATTTTATTATTTCATTGGGCTTAGTAAGATGTTCATTTTCAATATTTCCTAATTATGGCTGCAGCATTTTAAACTGAAAAAATCTTGCAGCTTACTAACAGAACACCCTTGAATTATCTGAAGCTGAATTATACAGGGACTTGGATAGTGTGGTTATATATTAAATGTTGAGATCCTTTTCATTATATAACTCCAGAATTGATTATTAAAGCCTGACAAGGATAATAAACACCCCTAATTACCAAGAAGCACTGTCTCCACAAGCTACTACTCTTTTCTTAAAGGCATTTATGTGCTTTTCCAGGCAGATAGATTTGCTCTGCCTCTTAGCCTGACATAAATTATTTTTATATCAATCTTTCAGAAAAAGGGTTGTCCACTGAGTGATAGCTATGGGGAATATAGGACCTCTGGGAACAGAAAATTAATTTGTCTCATTATTTTCTATATCTCACTATTCCCTAAGCTGCAATATAGCTCCAAAACTTACAGTAGAAGTCTAAGCCCCAACAGTTAAGTTTCATGAACAGATATCATTAAAGAGCAAAACTCCTTAAAATAAGGTTAGCTACTGGGAATTGAAAGCAAAGAAAAAGAATAAAAGAATCCAACTAGGAGAGCTATTTAATCCAGCTTCATTATTTTTACCATGACACAATTATATCACCTTGTTATTTGGCTCAAAATTGCAAAATATTAGACACTCATTAGGGATACAGGATGCAGTATCCCCTCTTGGGCAGGAGGGGGTACTTTTTTTTTAACTAGAGAAGATAAAAAATATCTATATATCACATTAATACATAAACAAATTACTCACTTTAAATTGGCTTACATGTCCTGCTTAACTCATGCGTGTATTTTTATTATGTTAGATTTTGGATGGAATGGTTTAACGCAACAGAAATGAATGTCTCTAAAAAGTAAGCTGAATAAAAAGAGAAATAAATAAAATTTATATGAAAATTCAAATGTGGAAAAATAATGTTTCTAGTTATTAACATTAAATGACAGCCTTTACAACTTTTAGGGATGTCAAAATATTTTAATCAAATAAGAAAATAAATATTTTAATATTTAAATAAAATTATATTTGATATGAGTTCAAATTAATTAATTTAGAATATATTTGAGTTTCTAAGATATCATATGGTATGCTAAGGTATAACTATTTTAAAAATACAGCAAGTTTCTCAATAAGCTTATAAGAAACAGCAGAAAAATAGTTCATTATTTTTATGAAATCATTTTCATAATAGAGAGATATTTAACATTTTGAAAAACCACAGTGGAAAATAATAGTCTGCTATATGATCAGTTAAAAAAATGCAAAACTGAGGCTTCTTTTGATTTAATATTAGAGAAATTAGCATTCTTCAGGTAGATATTATGAGGGAAAACACACAAATTATGAAGGCCTTCACTAGTATGACATTGTCAAAGAAATATGAAAAGTTTAACAATATTAGAAGAGGATGAGTGAGCAGAGTAGTTAAGAAGATATTGCTAAGAACATTAACTTTTTTTATAAAAAATTCAGGAGATTAGAATCTATCGAAAAATATTAAAGGTGTTTCCAATAATCAAATCATCTTGTTTGCCGTGACACTTTCAAAACATAAATATAATGAATGGTGATGAGGATCTGTGACTATACACACAGAGGCCAATTCATGCCTCCTCATTCTTCTACCCAGTGAACATATGCTCTTCCTGGGCATCTAATGAGCTGTGATTGCCTTTTCGTGCTCTTGAAGCATCAGAGTATATATCCCAGTCCCTTCATTGCATTATTATAGTTAGCAAGTAAATATTTTGTAATTATATGTTTAAACTATAATTCCTTCTTATTCCATATGTATATACTTATTTCAGTCCCCAAATCTTTGTTCAATGCCTATAGCATTATAGGTGCACAATAAATATAAATTGACTGACAGGATGAATAAATGACAGTTGGGAATTGATGCTCTCAAGTAAATATTTACAAGTTAATTAAAATCATATGTTTCCGAATAATTCTTAAAGGTTAAATGGTGAGATGTATATACGAAGTTTCTCAAGTTCCCTTTTTAGGCAAATGGTGCCTCTCATTGAGTAGTGCGTTTTGAATGAAATTGCCCATATAGACAGTAATGTGAGAAGTAATGAGACTTCTGTGAGATCACTAGTGAAAGCTAACGTTAAAACTGTTTCTGACAATTAATGGACAGAGAATAAGAAAAAAAAGAGTGTTTTGATTAAATAAAGAAAAAAGTTATTGAAAAATGTTATAGGTATTTCAAAAGTCAAATGTTTTAAATTAGATACAGACTGGATAGGGATCAATTGGATTTGGCAGTCGGATGATTTTTGTGAAAGTTCTTCCAAGTGGAGAAAATGGTTACCGAAGAACAGTGGGAAGAGGAAGAAAAGGAGATGAGAGATGTAATAAGTGCATACCACTCTTTCTAGAAACTAGGTTATGAACTGGGGGAAAATATAAATTAGCCCTTCTATTTTTGTAAGTATTAAAGAACATGAAACTTGGGAAGTCTTAATGTCCCAAGATACGCGATGGAAACAATGTTTACATGTACAGACAAGAATAGAGAAGATGCTGAGGGACGGAATTATGACAATGTTTTGTCTGAAACTTAGCTGTGCCTCTGACTCTGAATGCCCTTCTCTAGAATTGTTTACCCCTCCTTTGGATATATGTATCTGTCTAAGAATGTTACTTTGTTTGTTTTGTCTGAGTGATTTCTCTGTTTTACTCTGTCACTTAAAATGTCTCTGACTAATAAACTTAGAAATCACTTGGAACATTATTAAGTTCAGTTTCCCAATATCTTCTATAACATTCCTGAAAATTGATCAAACAGCCTCTGTTCAAAACTATCCAGTGTAAGGAAGCTCAGATATTTTCTGAGGCATTTTATGAGAATAACAAACAACTTGACTGCTAAGAAAATAGAAACAACCAGTTTGTCAAATTTAGTAAAAACCTAGCTGATTACCTTTTTACATTTAAGTTCAAGGATCTCATGGTGATAGCGAACTTATCTAGATCATTTATTAAGTGTCACGCACAGTTCTAAGTTAAGTACATTGTGATCATTATTACATTTAAACTTTATGGCAATCTTATAATATATATTATTATAATTTCCATTTACAAATATAGTGTTGAGGCACAGAGAGGTTACATAATTGCCCCAAGTTATCCCCAGTGATCACTTGTGGACTGAGTATTTGAGTACATAGAAATGGTTCCAGAGCTCACTGGCTCACTGTCTACCACAATATTTTATGTGGTAGCTAGGCAAATGGCACCATCCTTTAAAATATTTTGGGAGAGTCAAACTCCTGAAGACCTGCAGTATTCTTAAAGCATAAAATGCAGAAATAGGCTCTATATAAAAATGGTAGAATGCCCCAAAAAAGAGAACAATGTAAATAATTTTTCAGTTGTTTGTGCTTGAAATTGAAGTCTATGTAACTAGCACAATCTCCAAACAAACTTAGACAAATAAAATTGTTCAGCAAACTTGTTAGATTGGTAGTGATTTTCCTTAGTACAGCCATTTTCCTTAGTTACCAGCTGTCTCTATATTTCTTACCAACCTTACGAAAATACTTACCCTAATCATTGTCTAATAACCCTCTTCCTGAAGGGCTTCCTCAGAAAGCACACCTTCAATTCCATAGCATCCATAATCATATATATTACACACTATCCTGTTTCTTTGTGGACATTCTGATACTATTTGTCAATTGGAAGAAGTCTACTAGACAATATAGAACATATGAGAAAACATTAGAAAGATCAGCTACATATTATTAAATACATTCAGTCAAGACTGAATAGAATGAAGGGACTCAAAGATGCTAAGAAAATGACTTAAATGAGAAAAATCAATATGTTAAATGTTCTTGCTCCATCAAGAATCAACAGATCGATCTAGAGCTTGAAGTAATTATGATGTCATTGCTTATCAATTGGAATGCGAGTTCAATACTGAAAAGACTCTTAGAGTACTCTCTTTGAAGTTACGAAATAATGACTGGAATATAATAGTATGCAATTAGCAGCTTACTTCCTATATTTTTTTCTTCTTAGTGGAAGAGAGGCCATGATCAATTTAGTATCTTGTCCTAGATCAGAGGTAAATTTATTCTCTAAACTTACTAAACTTAGTAACATTTCAGAGAAACATAAGGACAGCATTAAGATTCTAGGAATGGCACTATGCGTTTAAATTGTTTTTTCAGATTAAATTTACAAGTAACTTAGAACTTGTATTATCTAAATTGAATTAAGATATTGAAGGTGTTTTTAGTCTTTTTCATAATAGAAAGTTATTATTCTTAATGAGTAATTTGGATGATTACTTTCATCCAATTTTGAGTGTCACAATGAAAATTTCTGTATTTTAAAAAATGTGTGCATTCAGTAAATTTCCATTATATTTGTAAACTGAAAAAGGCTGCTAACTCTTTTCCACAAGTATTATTTTATCCTATCTTTTTTCCTTCATTCATGCAGTAAAACTATTATGACGCTTGAGAATGGTAGAGTTGCAGCTGAAATTCACTGAGGAGTCTGGATATGTGGGTTTGTAGACTAAACCAAAAAACTAGACATAGCTATGGTTTACATTCAAGAATATTACAAAAGCTTTATGTGGACTTTGTAATTTTGAGTCTTCCCAATTAAATAATACATTATTACTATTCATCACTAGATATCAGACACACAGAAAAGTTTATTTTCCTAAGTTTTTCTAAAAGAAATCGTTCACTGAGTTGGTATAAATGATTCCATTTGCTAAGAGATACTCATGTAGTTCGGTGCACAAATGTTGAACAATTACATTTAGGAAAATATGATGCAGCATATTCATAAGAGATCTTTCTGGGAGTTAAAAAATAAAAAAGAAATTTGAGTGGATAATTCCTCAAAGATATTAGCCAATGTGCTACCATTATCAACTCATCACAAGGAAGGCTGGTAGAAATGTGCCACATACAGATGTTTTGATCAATGACAAATCACATATAAAATTATGGTACCCTAAGATTATAATGCTGTATTTTTACTGTGCCTTTTCTATGTTTAGATACACAAACACTTGCCAGTGTTACAATTGCCTACAGTATCCAGCATAGTAACATGCTGTACAGGTTTGTAGCCTATGAGCAATAGGCTATACTATATAGCCTAGGCGCCTAGTAAGCTATGCCACGTAGGTAGTGTAAGTACGCTCTATTAAGTTTTCACAATGACAAAATTGCCTTTGATGCATTTCTCAGAACTTATCCTCATTGTTAAGTGATGCATGGCTGTAGTAATTAGCACACAGTTTTGTTTGTTTGTTTTTTGTTTGTTTTTGAGACGGAGTCTCACTCTGTCACCCAGGTTGGAGTCAGTGGCACGATCTCCACCCACTGCAACCTCCGCCTCCCGGGTTCAAGTGATTCTTCTGCCTCATCCTCCCGAGTCGCTGGAACTACAGACATGCGGCACCATGCCTGGCTAATTTCTGTATTTTTAGTAGAGACGGGGTTTCATCGTATTGGCCAGGCTGGTCTCGAACTCCTGACCTCATGATCCTCCCTCCTAGGCCTCCCAAATGCTGGGATTACAGGCTTGAGCCACCATGCCTGGCCCCACAGAGTTTTAAAATTTAATGAATTATTACCTGTGAAGTACTTTCAATAGTGCCTGACCTACAGTAAGTGTTCAATCAATGATGCTATTTTAACTCTTTTATTCAGATCTAATGGAATTAATGTATAAAATATATATTAAAATATAAAACATTATACAAAATTTTAATATAGTATTAAGAGACCAATAATATGAAATATATATTTAACAAATTACACACATTGAAAAATAATTGAATTGTGACATAACAACAACAACAGAAAACCAGAAGCAACAACTCAATAAAATATTGTTGGCAATAGAACAATTGAGAATCGTATTATACAATGGTTGCCCAGGAGAAAAATGTGTAACCCATCAAATGAACCATTTCAAATTGCATTGTACAAATCATTGGAAAGTGTATTTTAAGGAGCAACCCTATAGTGGCAAGGTGGTGAGCAGTGACTTATGACATCATATAGCTTTTTTTAAATCCTTTTATTAATACTCAGGAAAAATTGTTATTGTAGAATTTTAAACTTAATAATCATTAAATATAATATTTGAAATAAACTGCATTCAAAACTGCAACATCAAAATACAATACTGTTTTCTTTCAAAAATTTATGCATACAAAAATAATGCATTTTTTCACAGAAATACTGGAATGCTGATATTAGAGATTTCTTTGGAAATTATTATAGAAAAAAATACAGATGGAAAATTAGGACTTTTTTAAAAAAATAATTCTATTAGTTAAATTTGTTCATACCCCTAAATCCTCATCTGGTTCTTGTGTTTTATTTATGATAATGATGATGATAATTTAAAAATGTTTATCTAGAAATCTGTTTCAACTATTTTTCAGTCCTTGGCCACGAAATGATTACTTCATGTTGAACACACACACACACACACACACACACACACACAGACTGAGATTTTACTATCAAAAATGAATTTTTACATATTAACAAAATTCACTTGTTTTTAAACACTTAAATTTAGTAAAGATAGTAAAACTTGTACTCATTTTTTCCTCTATAATTACTTTTTTAAAGGCCTAAGTTGAAGTTACTGTCTCTGAACTTAACTACAACAAATTATTTTTCTTCATTGTGTAAATTTTCTCTGAGAAATTCCTGCATACACAGCTTTTACAAGGCTAGAAAGAAGTTATATTAAAGTATTCTATATGTAGCAATCAATATATCAATTGATTTATTTTACACATAAGTTAAAGTACACTGCTAGAGACTGTAAGGAACAGAAAATAATAGTTTGCTGTCTATGAATGTACAGTATTTTGGAGAAAGAAAGTGTGAATACAAGTATGATACAGTGAAATATAAGTACTACAAAAGAAGTATTTATTATGTTCATAAGATTAAAAATACACTTCCAGGTGACAGATCATTTTAAGATTTAAGGAGATTACAGTTGTAAGGATAAGCATTAAAGAATAAGTAAGACCTAAAGGAAACTTAGAGAGGTCAGAGCATGTCCTATTGTGGTAATGGCTTAAGAAAAATAGAAGAGACAGGAAAAGTGCACATTATGTGGACAATAAAAGGTACAGCAGGTTAACTGAAGCAGAGAATATGGGATGAAATCAGGAAAAAAAATGTCAACAAAGTCAGGATGAAATTAAAATTTTTACTTCCTGATTTACCAATAAAACATTCCTTTAGTTGTTCACAGGGAAGCTTGAAAATGTGATTGACAAGATATAAAGCAACAGAGGGTAAAACCATATCAAGAGCTAAGTCAAAATGATGTAGTTTGAATTGTATAGGAAAATAAGTAGTAGAATCTTATAATTTGCCTGGTAAAAATTAGGAGTGTGAGATTGGGGGAAAAAGGTTAATTTTAATTGATGTACTAAGCGAAAATGTTTATTTGGGTATCAGTAGGACATTACTAGTGTTGAGTATTGTGCTTCTTGCAGTGGTTATTCCAGATATTACTCACTCTTTTCAAATGATACCTAACACGCCACACTAATAAGAAAACTAGAATCCCTGAGGATCTTTTCTTAAGTTATTAGAAAAAAGTTATTTGGTACTTGACTTGATACTTGTGATGGTTAATTTTATGTGTCAACTTGACTGACCGATATATTTGATCAACATTATTCTGGGTGTGTCTGTAAAGGTGTTTTTTTTATGAGATTAACCTTTAAATTGGTAAACCTAGTAAAGCAGATTGCCTTTTCAGATTCTGGGGAGCCATCTTCCAATCAGTTTAAAGCTTGAGGAAAAAAAAAAAAAGATTGACTCTCCCTCTAGTAGGAGAAAACTCTTCCTGCCTGACTGCTTTGAAGTGGAACATTTATCTTTTCTTGCCTTTGGACTCAAGTAGAAACACAAGCTCTTCTTGGGTCTAGAACTGAACTTGCTGGCTTTCAGACTGGAACTTACACCCTTGGCTAAACAGACTTTTTCTGGAACTAAAGCCACAGTATGTTCCTGGTTCCAAGGATTTCAGACTCAACTGAAGACACCAGCATCTCCTCTGGGTCTTTTGAATACAGATCTTGTGATTTTCAGCCTACATTATTCTGTGAGCCAATTCCCCATTACATATATATATATATATATATATATATATATATATATATATATATATATACACACACACATACATACACATTACATTATATATATATATATACACACATACACACACACTACATATACACACACTACTTATATAAGGTTTCTGATTTTTGGGAAAACAAGAAACAGAACCTAATGAATGGTTTTGTTTTACTGGAGAACTCTAACATGGTAAAAGACAAGTACAAATAAAAATAAGAGGTTGAATTACTCCTATGGAAAATAATTGAAAAGACTTCTCCCTTCCTTTTCTTAGAGCATTTGCCTTAGAAAACTTATCATTGTAAGATGTGTCTCTGTCTTCTTGAAATATGTGTGAATTTTTTAAAAGGCCATTATGCTTCTTGCCAGAATTAAGCCCCCAAAACATCTTCCCTAAGGACATTGAAACTATCTCTTTGAAATTAATCATCAAGAAAGACAGCTCCCCTATCTCTCAGTTTCCATCAAAAGGCAGGAGCTTAACCTCATGGGTGCATCTCTCTAAGTTGCAAAGCCACCTCATAAATATAAAAAATAAAAAGTTTGTTTTTTCTTCACATAAAGTCAATTAACACAGATGGCCACCCTAAATACCATGTGAATCTATGATTAACTGTATGTGACAAATGGCATCATCATCTTCTTACTTGAGGACTAGTTTTTGTTTATCTTCAGAACATGCATATAATAGGTTGTATCTACCTGGCTATATAAAAATATGATTTTTTTTATTTTGAAATCTCATACTAGATTGTTATCACATTCTAATTTAATGTTTACTCAACATAAAACTATTTTATTTCTATTCAACTTTTGTGTAGGATTTTCTCTGTTGGCATGAGATTTTTTTTTTAATTTTATTTCTCTATGAGTAAAATGGTGGTACTGATAGTAGAAGGATACATCCAGATGGAGCAAGATGTATTTTGATCTAGGCAAATTTAATTATATTGCAGGTGACAGCAAATGAAATAAGTCCAAAAATATTGAGACAATGAGAATGTGAGAGGCATAAAAAAAGCAAGGCACTAGGATATAATTTGGAATGATTATTGATCAGAGAGGAAGGGTGATAAATGTTCTCATGGAAATATTGCTTTAATGGTACTGTTTTCTGAATCTTGCTTCTCCTGATGTGGGACACAGATTTGAAGCATAATGTGTAATTTAAAGATAGCCTTGTTTTGGATAACAACATTTCAAACAACAAAAGCTTATTAAAGAGCATGTATTAAGAAAATATCTTGAGAAAAAATTGAAAACTTAGATTAGGTAGGGCTTTAATGATAGTTTAATTCAACAGTATAACTTTACTAGTGAAGGAATCTGGTATGTTACACAGAGCTGGGAATACGGTTTAGGCTAAAATCTTTCTCTTGTAATGGAAATACGCCTTGGCACCTTCACTGTAATGTACAAAGTAAAAGGCAAGAGGGAGAATGCAAGTTGGAATGATTTACACATAGTATCATAACACCAAAGCAATACGTTGTTTTCCTGCTTAAAGTAATGAAGGCGTTTAGTGAGGTTGAGGGTATAAGAGAAGAAGTAAATGAAAGCTATAAATGTCTTAAATTTCCTCAAAGTAACAATATGTGTAATTAAACTTTAGATGAGAAAAATACTGGTTGTTTTTATCAATGCCATTAAACAACTCAACACATAGTGAATCGATAGTGTACATAGTGAATCAATACATAGTGAATCAATACATTTTTCATGGGTGAACTTAAGACATTATATCTTATTTGTGAAATAAGATATAATAATTGTGAAAATATTTAAGGGTTCAAGTTATTAATATCCAACTAGGTAACTATGTATATGTTCTAAATAATGTATACAAAGAATATGTAGTTCTCAGTTTAAAAAAGGATAGAAAAACTTACACTTCAATGTAGTTCCCGGCAGTGACCTCAGTAATTCTAAAGGATTCTACAGTCTGTGCTTCAAAGATTCACACTAGTTGGAGGGTGGACATTTACATAGTTTGAACAAGTAGGGAAAATATTAGACAGTCTGTAATTAACTGTGAGAATATAAGCTAGGAGTAATATGAAAATACAGGGAAAAATGAGGATATTGAATTAGTCTTTCAAACAAAAAAGACATATTTGATATCTTTAGTTTCGGAACTATATATAAATTACCAGGAGAAACTGGCTCATTTTGCACTGTGAAATATACTACCCTTTTTCCAAGATATTTCCAAAAAAATGAAGTTGAATTTGCAAAAATATCACATCATCGCACTAGCCTTGGCTGTAAGCTTGCTTAGAGAGAGAGGATAATGGGGATTAACTGGAAATTTTAATTTAGAACAGGAAACATGACAAGAAATTGAGGGTGATCTGAGTAGAAAAGAAGAAGTTTTAGAGACTATAAAAATATTCAGATGAATAAAAAATAAAATACTTTCTGCATCATAGTGTTTAGATTAGCAGACCCAAATAATTACGTATTTCACATACATATTTTTATCTGTCATTGCCATAAATAAAATGGGAAAAAAACATTTGTTTCCTTTACTTTGAGTCATTCAGATTTGCTATTTTGTTTCCTGTTTATTACATAACCTATTGATTCACAATTTTCCCCTAGCTCAATCCAAGGTTTCTAAATGGTGATGTATATGTTGGTGGTGGTAGTTTTTGTATTGCTGTGTGGTAGTGGTTATTTACTTTTTGTCCTGTGAGCCAGGACCCCGATATTATATTCTTCTGAGTTAAACCCAAATTATTTCTTTGATTCTAGAAAGGTGTTTATTCCCTCTGAGTACTCTTCTCCAAGACACCTATTTTAAAAGGAAATGTCATAATAAGATATAATATCCATGGATTTTTATTATTTAAAATTTGTGCCCCCTTTATAATTCAAATTGCAGTCTTCTGGCTGTTAGCAAACACCCAAAATTTTATTTTCTTAGTTAGTTATTTTTTGCAATGGGTTTCAATATTCTTTAAGCCAAACTTAACATTATTTTTTCAAAAAAAGGAAAACTTTAGGAAACAATGGAATACTATTTTATCTTCATTTTTGGTTAATAATAAACAGCATAACTTTTCCTTTTCATTTTTGAATTAGAAAGTACTACACCATAACTTTAAGAATACTCTGGGCCTGGCGCGGTGGCTCATGCCTGTAATCCCAGCACTTTGGGAGGCCGAGGCGGGCAGATACTTGAGGTCAGGAGTTTGAGACCAGCCTGGCCAACATGGTGAAACCCCATCTCTACAAAAAAATACAGAAAACTAGCTGAGCATGGCAGCAGGCGCCTGTAATCCCAGCTACCTGGGAGGCTGAGGCAGGAGAATTTCTTGAGCCCTGGAGACAGAGGTTGCAGTGAGCCGAGATCGCGCCATTGCACTCTAGCCTGGGTAACAAAGCAAGACCCCGTCTTGGGGAAAAAAAAAAAGAAAAGAAAAGAAAAAAAAGAAATAGAATACTCTGGTGCCACTGAAAGCATTAATAGTGTACTACCAAAGTCTTGCCATTTTTTCTGCAATTTCTACTGGAGAGAATCTTAGCCACATAACCTGCTCTGTTTGTGAATGCTAGTTTTCTAATTGAACATCAGTAAAATATGGTAAAGAAAAAACTTTTGTTGGCCTCTTGTTTTGTGTTTTTCCATTTGCTACCCAAACTCCTACCCCACATATTTTTACCCATTTTTCTCTGCTAAGGAAGTTAGTTAGATGCTAGAAACAAGGAGTTGGGAATTGGGGAAAAGTAGAGATCTAAAAAAGCTACATTCAACACAATGCATCGTTGCATTTTATAGATAAATACATACATAGATTTATATGCAAAAAAATATTTTACCTTTTGTTTTGGTTCTAAAAGATTACTTTTCCCTTCTACCTTAAAATAAACATATATCAATTCTATTTTAAATTTGGCTTAAAAAACTTAAAGCATAAAGTGTAAAATACATTGGTCAAATTATAATAAAAATAATGTTTTCAAGCGTTACTTTTTTTTGGTGTTTACACCAAGGTTTTAAAAATATTTTCATATTTTAGATATTTCTTTTAGGTGAGAATACAAAATATCTTCTAATGGTCAAAAATACTATCAGTAAACAAAAATCATATTTTTATTTCGCCATAATCCTATGTCAAATTTTGCACTTAAAACTTTTCAATATATCAAATATTAAATTCTGAAAAGAGAAACAAAGATGCTTTCCTATTTCTGAACTAATCAATACCAAAACAGTGTAAAAATCACTTAGCAACTTGTTTCAGGAAATATTTGTTCCTGGAAGAAAAGCCTATAAAAAAATTAAAATAGAAACTTATAAAAACTAACACCTTGGCTGGGCATGGTGGCTCACTCCCGATATCCCAGCATTTTGGGAGGCCGAGGCAGGCAGATCAGGTGAGCTTAGGAGTTCGAGACCAGCCCAGCCAACATGGTGAAACCCTGTCTCTACTAAAAATACAAAAATTAGTTGGGCATCATGGTGCGTGCCTGTAAACCCAGCTACTGGGGGACTGAGGCAGGAGAATCCCTTGAACCTGGGAGGTGGAGTTTGCAGTGAGCCAAGATCATGCCACTGCATTCTAGCCTGGGTGACAGAGGGAAACTCTGTCTCAAAACAAAAACAAAAACAAAAACTAACACCTTAAATACTCATTTTAAATTTTTGCCTCACTCTGACCACCAAGACAAAACCTAACATATAAACTCTTCATATACCTAGCCAGTTTTCCACATTGCAAGATCCTTTTAAAGTCATCCTGCCTAGGTCCTAAGATTGTAGAAATATTCTCTCCTGATTTCTACCTTTCATGCCAATATTACAATTCCATTAATGTGACATTCTTCCTTACTACAGTAAGTCTAATTAACTTAAATTTACTTAATCAATAGGCATTCTGTGGGGATTTCTGTGGGGATTTGATAAGATCATTTCAAAAGTAAATTAAATAGTTTTATTTAAATTAACTCTCATATAAATAAAAACTACAAAATTTAGACAAAATACAAAAAATAAAAAACTTGTGAAGCCTCCAGAAAGTGACCAAAGCACTTGGATTGTGGAAGGTTGAACATTTGGAAGAAGAGAATGGCAGTGAATGAGTTTCCCATTTTCATGAATTTTAGAATGAGGGCAGGCCCCAGTCTACACCATACCAGGCTGGTAAGACTGAAATAGACACTCTCATTTTACAGACTTGAGGAATTAGAAGATGTGCTTCAGGAATTTACTACACATTAAAAGTGTGGAGAGAAATCTTGAAAAGGAAACTTCCAGGGAGGGGAAGCACCAAATTCTATGCGTAATCTTTTCTAAATCTCTGTCTGATCTCTAAAACATGAATATTCATCCCAGATGGCAGGTATCCTCAACTATATCTATAAAACTAACTTTAAAATTCAGCTGTTTCCCACAACAAGGGACACAGTTTGCAGTTTGGGCACATAAACTACAACACAATTAAAATTTCCCTGCAATATGTAGATGATAATGCCAGGATACAAACCAAAATTATTCTACATAAGAAGAGAAAGGAAAATGTGATTCTTGATAAAGGGACAACTAATGAATACTGATCCTGAGATGACCCAGATTTTGAAATTAGTAGATAAAGACTTTAAAGTACTTTTAACAATGATTAAGGATATAACATGTATGTGTAACAAGGGAAAATGTAGCAATTAAAACACAGAATAGAAAACAGTAAAACAGGAAAAAAAGAGTCAGAGAGCAAAAAGAAGAAAACAGACAGAATAAAAGAATAGAGGAAAGAAAAGATTGAAAAATGATTAGAGTGTCATAAACGTATGGGACAGTATTAAGTTCGAACATGCACGTAATTGGAGTTGCAGAATGCAAGAAAAGGGAATATGTGACAGGAAGAACAATATTTTAAGAAATATATAATGGCTGTGAATTTTTCCCTTTTGATGAAAGATTTAATTTTAGAGATTTAAGAAACACAGTGAAACCTAAGCAAAATGAACACAAAGAAAGCAACCTACATATATGGTCAAATAGTTGCAATGTAAAACTGAAGGCAAATTGCATTTCATACAGGATAATAACATTTCAAATGAGTGTGACTTATCATCATAAACAATGAAAGCCTGAAGACATTGAAATAATATCTTCAAAGTGCTAGGGCGGAGGGAAAGACTACCACCCCAGAACTGTATGTTTTAAAGCCTTACTCCCTAGCTGTCTCAGCTATCACTCTCTCCTTAAATTTTCATGTTTTTTAAATTTCATACCTTATATGAAATTTAAAGTATATCTGGCATTTAATTTTAAGCCAGCCATTTGTGATTAAACCAACTGTATGGATAAAACAAGTAGGCTTGGAATTATCTTTTAGTGATTGTGGTTGCAACCTGCCACACAAAAAGGCTCTCCCACATGGGGTCCTGTTAATAGCCATAAAAATCAAACAAAAAATGGCTTTTTAAAGCCAATCTGTAAATATTTGTTTACTGTTAAAGACTGGCATGGGATGGAAGGGCATTATTTTAATAATTAGAAATTTTCTTATTTTTCTAGAATCTTGTGAATATGAAGGTAAAACAATGAAATAGAGATAAATTACATTTTTCATTAAAAGCTCATTAAAAGTACTGACACCAATATTGGTACCAACACTCTCCAAACAATGGCTTCCAAACTTGAGTTGACTAATAATAATGCTTTCAGACAGAAAAACAAAACAAAACAGAAACAAACAAACAAAAACTAACAAGTAGATATTTGCCATCAAAATGCCTTCTTTGCTCTGTTTTCTAAGGAGATAAGATACATAGTTATCTTCACACTGAAGTTAACTATTCTAATAAATAGAACACTGGGGAAAATATAAAAAGCTGTTAGAACACATCTAATTTTATAAACATTGTTTCTAACTTTCGGTTCATATAAGGTTATGTAAAAATTACTTATGTGATACCATTCACATACAAAAGAAGCCATTTCTTATTTTTTAAGCACATCTATTTCAAACACTTTGATATTTTTTAATAGAGAAAGTGAGTTTTATGTCAGGGTGGGTGGAGTTGAGTATAAATCACATAAAATAAAGCACAGAAAATTAGAGAAAAAGAAAGTATCTTTGCAAAACTTTCCTTAAGTTTACAGTCAAATTTTATTCGCTATTATATAAATAGCAGACATCTCCTTGCACTACAAACCTGTCACATCTCATAAACTTGGCTGAGTGAATTGAGTAGATGGGAAACCTCCAAGGGAACATCAGTTAGTGCAATAAGTGGGATCAGTGATTCAGGAGAGTTCACTCATACATACTTTTCCTAAGTCCCAACTTGGTGTTGGTGAGAATCAAGATATTGAAGGTGCTATTAAATGACTTCCTGGCTCTGTTTTAGTACTTAAAGCTGTTCTGAGCTATTTCTCAATATAACTATAAAAATAATAGTTTTCTGGCTAAATTCCATTCCAGAAAATCACACAAAACCACTCCAAATACTCCCTGAACTTAAAAGTTGATAGAAACTGTTAAAGGCTGCTTCTGATAATTTTTGCCAAAAATTCAACCACAGTTCTGACACTGGAGCAAGGAAGCAAGGGTGTTTAACAACACAGTGGTAGTGATAGTGCATTTGCAAAAAGTCTACACGAGTTAGGATAAGCACGAGTTTCAATTCTGGATCTCCAAATTAAAAAAATAATAATAAAAAGGAAAATAAAACAGTGTAGAATTTAGGATGATGCGTCTATATTTTTCAGCAGGTATAGTGTGTAAGGATGCCAAGAACAAAAGCAATGATCAGATAACAGGCATTAGCCCAAGAAACATCAATAAGCACATCTTTAAATCTGCTCACAAACTTAACTGATAACTGATAATAACATTAATATTATTTTAAATTAACAAATCATATTTGTATATATTTATGGGGTTCAATGTGATATTTTTATATATGCATATGATGTGAAATGATTAAGTAAAACTAATTAATATATCCATCATCTCACTTATTTTTTTTGGTGAGACATTTGAAATGTACTCTCTTGGTGTATACCTTAATAATGAGGATAGTTCTGAGAAATGGGTTATTAGGAAATTTTATCATTGTGTGAACATCATAGAGTGTTATTTACACAAACATAATGGTATAGCCTACTACATTCCTCGGCTGTATGGTATAGCTCCTAGGCTATGAATGTGTACAGCAAGTTAGTGGATTGAATAATATAGGAAATTGTAACAAGGCAAGTATTTGTGTGTCTACACATAGAAACGGCACAGTAAAAATACAGTGTAAAATATATAAGATGATTCACCTGTATAAGGCACTTACTATGGATGGAGCTTGCAGGACTGGAAGTTGCTCTGGCTGAGTCAGTGAGTGAGTTGCAAGTGAATATGAAGGCCTAGGACATTACTGTGCACTACTGTAGACTTTAAAAACACTGTGCACTTGAACTACATACTTAATAGCATAGTTTTTTTGGTTCAATTATAAATTAACCTTAGCTTATTGTAAATTTTTTTGCTTTAAAAACTTTTTCGCTCGTTTGTAATAACTTTTAGCTTAAAATTTACACACACACACATTGTACAGTTCTATAAAATATTTTCTTTCTTTAAATCTTTATTGTATAAGCTTTTTTTTTTCTATTTTTAAAACTTGTATTTGTATTTTCTTTTACTTTTTACGATTTTTTGTTAAAAAAGTAAGACACAAATACACATATTATCCTAGGTCTACACAGGGTCAGGATCATCAATATCACTGCCTTCCACCTCCACACCTTGTCCCTCTGGAGGGTCTTCAGGGGCAAAAACACACAAGGAGCTGTCATCTCCTATGATAACAATGCCTTCTTTTGGGATATCTCCTGAGGTCCCTACCTGAGGCTGTAATATAGTTAACTTTTCTTTTGTAAATAAGAAGGAGTACACTATAAAACAATAATAAAAATATAGTATAGTCAGTGCATAAACATAGCTGATTATCATTATCAAGCATGATATACCATACATAATTGCACATGCTATACTTTTATATGACTGCCAGCTCAGCAGGCTTGTTTATAACAGTATCACCACAAACACGTGATAATGTATTATACCATGACATTATGAGGGTTACCACATCACTAGGCAATAAGAATCTTTCAGCTCCTTTATAATCTTAAGGGACCACCATCCTACATGCAGTCCACAGTTGGCTGAAATGTCATTATGCAGCACATGACAATATAGCATGGATTGTTATTAACTGCAGTCACCAAGCTGGGTTATAGATCTCAAAACTATTTTTCCTGTCCAACTGAAACATTGTACTCTGACCAGCATCATTCTACACTTCATTTTATGAGTTCAGCTTTTTAAGATTTCAAATATAAGTGACATAATGTAATATTTATCTTCCAGTGATGCATTATTTCACTTAACATAATATCCCCCAGTTTCACCCATGTTGTCATTAATAACAGAATTCTTTTTTGAAAAGCTGAATAGCATTTCATTGTGTATATATATATATAGACAAATATATTGTGTATATATATAAACACCAATATATTGTGTATATATATATACACAATATATTGTGTGTGTATATATATATATATACACTACTGTGAATAATACTGCAATGAACATGACAGTGCAGATATTCCTTCAACATATGAATTCCAATTCCTTTAGATATAACACCTAGAGTGGGATTGCTGGAAAATATGGTAGTTTTGCTTTTGATTTTTGAAGAAACTTCAACGATTTTCCATAATGGCTCTACTAATTTCCCTTCCCACCAACAGTGTTCAGGGGTTCCTGTTGTCTGCCCTCTCATTGTTTTTCTACATTGTCACCAACACTTAGTTCATCATTTTGTAATAATCATTCCAACAGGTGTGAGGTTTATCTCATTGAGGTTTTAATTCATTCTAACACATATGAGGTTTTAATTTGGTGAGTATTATTTCCAATAAAAGTAAAAAGTATGTTTACTTTTGAGAAATGTCTAGTCATATTTTGTGCCATTGTTAATTGGATTCTTTATTTTCTTACTGTAGTGTTGAGTCCTTATACATTTTGGATATTAACCCCTTAGCACACATTGTGGTTTGCAAATATTTTCTTTCTCTCTGTGGGTTGCCTCTTCATTTTGTTAATTGTTTCTTTTTCTGTACAGAATGAAAGTGTATATCCCAGATAGTAGTTTTTATTAGAATCTAGTTGGTTAATGTATGCAAAAATGCCTTATACTATTCATGGCATGGAGATAAATGCTCAAAAACTCCTAGCAGCTTTTTTTCCTTTTTGTATCCCTCTCCTCAAACTCCTCTTCCTCTTTCTCCTCATCCTCTTTCTCCTCATCCTCTTTCTGATTTTCCTACCCACCTCCTCTTACTCCTTCTTTTTCATCATCATCTTTTTCTTCCGTTTTATCATTGATTCTGTTACTGTAATGGAAACTGAATAGTATTGCTAGACTTACGATTACTATAATCAAAGAGGAAAAGGGTGTTACCTTGTTGAATAACATTTGTTTTTATAATATCCATATATTTAACTATCTTTCATGGGAGGATGATTTTTGTTTTGCAGGTTTTAAGCAATCCTCTGCAATTTTATCAGCTTACCCAAAAATAAAATCATTCTTTTACTATCATTTGAATAATAACGTGTGATACAAAGGGATATTTTCCTGGTGGTGCTTGTGATGTTAACGTTAATGATGATGTTTGTCATGCTGACAGTGGTGTGGTACAGATGGGAATTCAAAGACATGGTAATAATTCTTTTGATTAACTCCCAGATTTGATTTATAAAATATTGAGTCAAACTGGGATTCCTTCATTCATCCCAATGCTTCACTTCTTTTTTTGAGAAAGCACAGTATATTGTTAATAATCACATTTACTATTACAATTATACTACTTTTCAATTTAACAAGAGAGAGGCGCTTTTCTAGACTTTGCAGGTTACTCACTAAAAAAATTCAACAGGCTTCTCAAAATTACATAGATTCAATGCACCTGCAAGTATATCATGTCTTGATCTGTGGCATGTGGAAAATATAGCATGAGGACACCAATACCATAGTAAGAAATTATATTCTGAGACCAAATGTTTTATTACATACTAAAGACAGTGTATACAACCACATAATGTAAAATAGTAAAGTGATATTGTTGGAAATATATTTAAGTAATACTCTTTCTCCAACTTGAAAGTGTTTTCTGTTAGGATTTTGAAAGATTCCAAAAGTTAGCCTCTTAAAGCCTGGTGCATCCCGATATTCTCCTTTGCAAATGTATCCTTTTTCTCAGGGTGGTAGACTCTAAGTTTTATGTTGATGTTACAGAGTTTTCAATTTTCCAAGATTTCAACCAATTCCTTTATGGTCTTACATTGTGATGCTATTTCTCACTTATTCCTTATCCAGATCTCTTTACCCTGCTGTACTGACATCTCTTCACTGATACACCTTACTCAACCATACCTTCTTGGTTCTTATATAGGACCTGACATCCACTTTATAATCCACCTGCTTTTCTCTGTTCCTAAGACATTCTAATCATGTGATATTTCCTTAGCTGTTCAACCCACAAGTCAAAGTTACATACTCAAGATAATCTTTCTGCAAGCTCTCAAAGAAATCTTGAGTTTTAGGGACCCGGAATCTCACAGCACAGAGGGCATCATTAGACGTGTCTCATAGAGTGTTCAGTAATATTCTTTCTTATGCATGAAAGAAATTCAGCAACCTTAAAGATGTACAGTCTTGTTTATGTAATACAAACATACGAACCACATTTCATTGATCTCGCTTGCAATGACATTGTCAGAAAATTCTTTTTGGTTATTCTGCATATGTGATTTTTTTAGCCCCTTTGCCTATCTAATCACCACAGTCCTGACTCTTGGTTACTTTTACTCATCTAGTAAAAACCCTGACATCTCATGCTAAGCTGGAGAAGATTCCATTTCATTTAGATTTTACATATTTAGTTTTTTAAGATAAGAAAAATGTTCTCTTGCTGATATAACTTATCAGAATATTAAGTATTAAGTATTATCAGATTAATACTTAATATTTGGTTTTGCCAACAGACTCTTTTGGTAAAGCACATTGTTTTCTTGCTTATGTTGACTTACTCAGATAGGACAATATTGAAATATTTTTATAAAACAAGATCTTAGTCCAAAACAAACCTTTTCTTGTTAACATCTATGGGTCTTCAAAGCCAATTTTGATGTTACACTAACAGAACGCTGTCATTTTTATACCTTTCAGGGAACATTTCTTCATAGGGCGGTGATGGGAAACAAAAAAAAAGAGTTGTATCAAATTGAAGAAAAATGCATCCTGCCAAATCTGTATTGAAGCAAAAAAATACAATAATGAGATAATGAAATAACTTAAATTCACGCTAGCAGACATTAGAATTGAAGCCACATCATTTGTTTTATGGTGACACATAGGCAGATCTATTTCTTTGAAACTTGTTTATAGTATTGTCCTTTTAAGGGTGGTAACATACACAAATCAAAGAACACCATAATATTCTTGGGAGAAAAATTAACCAATGGGTCTCTCTCTGTTCTGCTTGTCTTGTGAACAGTCTTTGTTCTGAACTGTCTTTCCAAGGATGTTAGTAGAGCAAATATTCTTGAAAATGAGAGTTTTTCCTTTATAAATAAAGGGCAGACATGTTTCTTTCCACACAAATATTTGGCTTTCTTAAAGTTGGGATTTCTGACTCCGGTCACTGCTATTGCAGTGAGTATGAAGCTATCCTTTGTTCCTCTCCCAAGCATCTCTTTGTTGTCTGCCAGCATTCAAGTAACTGAGGCAGGATAACTTGTCAGCCTGTAAGAATGGTGCAGTCTCAGACTCTTCACTGTTCTTGACAAATATCTAAAAAATAATTCATCCATATTTATAACAATATGTACAGAAAACAAATATGAGATACAGTTGACAGAAAATGACTAGTATTTATTATTTTCCTGTATATTTGTAGAGAAGTCCATTCAAAATCATCCCCTAGCAGTTTTTAATAAACAAATACTGATTTGTAATGAGACATTTCCATTTTTACTGCTAAATGACAAAATAATAGGCATTTTGCAAGACAGAGGAATGGATTATTTTTTCTACTTTAAAACAATATTTGACAGATTTTATTAGCAGGATGTTAGCAGACGGCGTATAATCCATCCTTCCTAACTTGGTGATGTCAGTGAAATGAGACAAAAAAGAGAAAAAAGATATAATCAAAACTCCTTGTAAACATTCTCATCAAATTTTTTATGGGATATATAAAAATAAACTTATAATTTATAAATTTATGGAACATGGCCTATGGGAAATATTAGTGTCAGCTATGTATAAGAGTTTAATACGGAGATATTTTATAAGCAAACTAGCTTTTTTGTGTAAGTGATGTATGACATGTATTACTTAATGACCTCACATGTTAAATCTGAAACAGGGCACATGCTAATGTAAGGAAAGGAAACTATGAATATGCATCAGGAGTCTCAGACTTCTCTGTGCTTTGCCTATGACACATAGTTACCTGTGACTCATAGCTACCTTTATTATTAAGAAAATTTGAAACTAGAAAAGATTCCTGACATTTGTATGTCTGATTAGAAAATATTCACTTTTTCTGTCTCATCTAATATCTATTTTTTCTCCTACCTCACCAAACCTCAACTTTGTTTCACCAATTACTCTCCATAAGAACTTTCACTAACTCACAAAAACACATTTGCCAAACTTATTTTGGTTTCTCTATAATACCATAGTTTTTCTTTTCTATAATTTCAAATTTTATTTCACTTTCAGGGAACACAGATGCAGGTTTTTTATATGGGTATGCTGCAAGATGCTGATGTTTGAGGCATGAAAAATCCCATCACTCAAGTAGTGAGCGTAGTACACAGTAGGTAGTTTTTCAGCCCTTTTCCCCTCTAGTAGTCCCCAATGTCTACTATTCCCATCTTTATATCCAAATGCACCCAATGTTTAGCTCCCACTTATAAGTAAGAACATGTAGTATTTGGTTTTCTGTTCTTTTGGTAATTTGCTTAGGATGATGGCCTCCAGCTGCATCCTTGTTGCTGCAGAGGACATAATTTCATTTGTTATGGCTACGTAGTATTCCACAGTGTATATGTGCTATGTTTTCTTTATCCAATCTGCCCTTTATGGGTATCTAGGTTGATATGTTGTCTTCACTATCATGAATAGTGCTGCAATGAACACATGAGTGCATGTGTCTTTTTTGCAGAACAATTTATTTTCCTGTGGATACATACCTAGTAATGGGATTGCTGGGTTGAATGGTTCTGTTTTAAGTTCATCGAGAAATCTGCAAACTGCTTTCCAGAGTGATTAAACTAATTTACATTCTCACTAACAGTGTTCTCCACAGCCTTGCCAGCATCTGTTTTTGTTTTTGTTTTTTTTGTCTTTTTAATAATAGCCATTCTGACTGGCATGAGTTGGTAGCTCATTGTGTTTTGATTAGCATTTCTCTAATGATGAGTATTTTCTCATATGTTTATTGGCCACTTGTATGTATTATTTTGAGAAATGTCTGCTCATTTTCTTTGCCCACTTTTTAACTTTTTATTTTATTTCTTTTTTTTTTTTTTTTTTTTTTTGCCTGTTGATTTAGTTTCTTTTTAGATGCTGGATATTAGACCTTTGTTAGATGAATAGTTTGCAAATATTTCTCCCTTTCTTGGGGTTGTCTGCTTACTCTGTTGATATTTTTCTTTTGCTATGCAAAAGCCCTTTTAGCTGGTTTTTGTTTTCCATTCTCTTTATGTTGTGAATCACATTTATTTGTGTATATCGAACCAACCTTGCATCCCAGTAATAAAGCTGACTTCATTATGATGAATTAACATTTTGATGTGCTGCTGCATTTGGTTTGTTAGTATTTTGTTGAGGATTTTTGCATCTATGTTTCAGGGTTATTGGCCTATAGTTTTTTTTTTTTTTTTTTTTAATTGTGTCTTTGCCTGGTTTGGGTATCAGAGTGACACTGGTTTCATAGAGTGAGTTAAAGAGGAGTTTTTCCAAAAAATTTCTGGAATAGTGTCAGCAGAATTGGTACTAACTGTTCTCTGTATGTCTGGCAGAGTTTGGCTGTGAATCCATCTGCTCCAGGGCTTTTTAGGTTGGTAGTTTTTATGACTGATACAATTTGTGAGAATCAAAAATCCATACAAAGATTAATGAAGGCAGGATTTTTTTTTTGAAAAAATAAACAAGATTAATAGACTGCTAGCTAGATCAACAAAGAAAAAAGAGAGAAGATACAAATAAGCATAATCAGAAGTGACAGAATTTGACATTAAATTTAACCCTGCAGAAATACAAAAGATCCTTAGTTATTGAGAACAGTTCTGTGTACACAAACCAGAAAATCTGGAGGAAGTGTACTAATTGTAATTCCAGTCAACAAATAACTCTAAAATTAAAGGAATTTGTACACCCCCTCTAGTTAGAGAAATTCCTATGGAATTAGTGGAATTCCAGTTAGAAACAAACTACAAAGATTGAAATAGGAAGAAATTCAAATGTTGAACAGACCAAATTGAGTCCCATAGATTTTCTTATCTAACACCTGTTTTTATTCTAATTACTATTACTTCTTCTCTTGCTTATACAAAAAACTTCACTACAAAAAATCTCATTCTGTCCACCACTATCAAGTTTCCTCCTACATTGGATTTTGCCATCAGCATGTAAACATGCACATTAACAATAATACATCTTTCCTCCCCACTACCTCTATCATTTCCCACTCCTTTTCATACTTTTTCTTTTTCTTTAAGCAAAACTCTTTAAAATATTAGTCTGCTATGATTATATCCAATGTATTCAATGTATTTAAAGAATGTATTTCCTACTCTACTCAGATACCCCCATCAGTTTATTTAACTGTTTTTATCAAGGTTACCAAGGATCTAAGTATTTCTAAACCTAATTATCAATTGTCAATCCTTTATTACTTGACCTATTCATAGCAATTACTGAAATTGATATTTCCATCCTCTTTGTAACTCTTCTTTCAATCAGCTTTCAGAGCATCAGAGTCTTTTTGTTTGTTTTCTGCTTCACTGGATGCAACTTCCTTCCTTACTTATCAGAATTTTTATTTCTTTTCTAGAAAAAATACACATAGAAAATATCATGTAGCTATTGGATTGGCAAAATAATATTTTCTTAATTTGATTAAAGTTGATATAATATTAAAAAATTACTTTTACATGGTGAGGACAACATTATGCTTTTTCCATCATATCTAGGGATTATCCTGTGCCATCAAATCTTATTCCACAGAAACTGATTTTTCTCTCTCTAAAGGCTATGACACTTCCTCTTCATGGATGCAAAATGTTTATAAAATCGTGTGTGAGAAAAAGTAGGTAGTCCTGGTGAGATACACCCATTCCAAACAATGTGATAAGAAACCAATGCACAAACTAGAGCCACCTCATTTAAATTTCTGTTTATGGTAAAATATCATCTTCAAATTGAAGGACAAGTTGCTACTCTTGAGATTTGTTAATTTTTTTTTTTAATCTGGAATGGACATATGCAACATTTATGTGTTGTGAACCAGTTTACACAAAAGGCTACCAAGTTTGAATATGACAAGAAGTAAAAGTAGTTTATTCAGCTCATTCAGGCTGCAATCAGCTTAGTTTTCCACTTGGCTTTATGGAACAATATGTGTAAATGATTTCAAAGATTCTGAATTTCATGTTGCAGCTCTATTTCTTCTGTGGCAAATTTCTACAAAAAAATCCCAATAATTTTGAACTTTTAAATAAAGTTATAACATCTAGAAATTATGATTTTCCGCTAGAGAAAAGTAATTTGACACTTAAATGATATGTAAAGCACAATAATAGAATATCAGGTAAACAGCTGACCATCAGAAATTTAATGTAGCCAATACAACAAGTTATGAATTCAGAAATGCCCTGAAGCACATAATATTCCAAAGGAAATAGTATAAGTTTCTTTATAGTATAATTGTGGATCAGGTGTTTAAATGTCTTCTTAGTATATGTAACATTATGGCTAAAATGCATATTAAAAATCACCAAACATTTGGTTTTAAATTAATCATTAGTATTTCTGAAAAGTAAATACTTATTTTCGGTGATCAGAGATAATTAGAAGGTAGAGAGATAAGCCAGCTCTGGAGCTGGAACATTATGATAAAAGGAGGGAGACATAAAAGTTTCAACAAATATTAGAAAATTTAAAAGTATTATGAAAAAAATTATGCCTGATACATTTAGAAAATAAGCGTAAAGGATAATCGTGTTAAAAATACATAAATTGGCACAACTGACTCACAAAGAAGAGAAAAACTAAATGAACCTATATCATTAAATAAATGGTCTTCATTGAAAGTCTGTCCTCAAAGAAACACTGAGCTTAGAGAGTTTTAAGGCATGTTGTAACAGACATTCAATAAAAAGATAAGTGGAATCTTATCCAATTCTCTCAGAAATGAGAGGAGGAAGCAGATTCTGGCTCATTTTATGAGGCCATTAAAACACTGATACCAAAAGCATACAAAGATTTATTTCTTGAAGTAACTGTGGATCAAGGGACAAAGATTTATTCTTGGAGTAAAAATGGTTTAGGAACAAAGGGCCAAGGCTTGAATCCAGAATCTATTACTTATTATATGACATCAAGCAGGTCATTTATATACTTCTGTTTCATCATTATAGTATTTCAGAGATGTTTAAATAAGTCAATATTTAATAAATTGATTCTGCAGTATAAATCATTATATGAACACAATATATTTAGTGTAATTTTTGGAAAATGATAAGAATAAGAGATTTTTCATGATAGGAACAATCCAATAGGTAAAGAATACAGGGACTTCCAAAGACCCAAAAGATAAAACATCCAAATGATCAAAAAATTCTATGAACAAAAGAAGCTTGAAATTTGTTTTGCCCAGGATCTTAGAAGATGCAAAAGCGATTTGAACCCCAGAGACCCATGGTGAGTACATTAAAATATGTTTCCCAATACTAAAGAAAAAAAAACTGAAAAAGATTTAAAGAAGACCAAAAATATTTTAGAATTTAGAAAACATGAATTATTTTATACAGGTCAATGAAAAGTAAGTATTGCTCCAAGTCCAGTTTTGGGCCATAGATAGAATTCAGGCAATGCCAAATTCTCTATGATTATTCCAGTGGACATAAAAGCCATTTCTGCAAATAATTATTAATTACTATGACTGAAACATACCATCTTGTAGAATAAATTGAAATATAATCAGTTTATTTTAGTGTAATGCTATAAATATTACAAACTAAGTGAAAATTATTTATAGGATTAGAGAAAAAAAGATGAGATCCTTATGAAAACCTTAGCAGAGTAAGGGATGAGCTGTTGCACTGATACACACAGAAGAAGAAATTGTCAAGTAACTGAGAGCACATTGTTCTGAGCTGCAGATTTCATAATGAAGAATACAGAAATCAAACTCAAGTCAATTTATTCATTGTATACATATTTTTATTTCTTTGAATAATTAGGCTACTATATACTATAAATCAGATATTCATAATGATTTTCACTTAGTTTTTTAAATGATGTCTTGAACATCTAGAGCAATTTTGCCTCACTTTTTTTTAAACAGAATTTTCTAGTAACTAGAGTATGTCAACAATATTTAGGGCATAATTAATGTTTTCTAGTTCATCCCAGGAGCTGAAATGCTCTAGCTTTAAAACTGCTGTAAAGAATATATAGAAGTCCAGCTTACTTCTCATCCAAAGCTTTTAATCCCACCCCATTATGGGAATCCTAACATTCTAAGACATCTTTGCTGTGTCCCGAAGTGAAGAGGAGATAACATCTAGCTTCAAGCTATGTTGACACATCTATGCAAGGCAGTTGCTGGCGAATGGGAAGAGTTGCTCTTAATGTGTCATGTGAATGAAATAGCTAAAGTGATCTGACTATCCACGGTTACACTTGGTGAAAAAACTTCCGGGTCCTTAAATTTAATACTCTTTCCGTTTTCTGTCACCTCAAAGACATAACATGGTATACATTTGAGATCTGGCAAACCTGTGACTCTTTACACCCTGACAACATTTGCACGACACATGATCCTCAGGAAAGTCAGAGCCTAGGTTTACAGCAGTAGAATATTTGGCTAATGGAAGATAAGTTTCCTGTAAACTATTAGGCTATCCCTGGAGATAGAGTAAAACATTTGCCTGCAGCTCTAGTGGATCTGTGAATGCTGAAGCAGAACTGTCATGGCAAAAAGCAAATCCCTCAGCATCAGTTAGTTCTGATAACTAGGCTTGAGTCAGAAGCATCAATTCCTGTCAGATCTTATTGAGCTCAAACATACAACTGCCTCTCAGGGTTGATGAGGAATCATCAATCACTTTTGTACCCCAAAGCAATGTTCCTCTTCCCCAAATAGGGATTTGTTTCTTTTCTACTACTTCTTTCATCCAGGAAAGGAAATACAGTTCTCAAGGATGTCTTTTGATCTACCCTATAGCATTTAGGGAGGAAATCTTCAGAGATCACTATGTGATTCTTTTTTTCCAGTCATGCTGTGATGTTATGGAATAAAAAGGAGAATGTGTGATAGAACAGGGTAAGCAATAACAGCAAAGCAAACACTTCTCTGGTATGTTCCTGAGCATTGACAGTCCAACATAGTCTAACATATCATGTTTAACCATAAAAACACAAATACCTTGAAAGTCTTTATGAAGCTAAAGAGGGAATGTGTTTTTAACTAATTCTTTGAATCTTGGCAGCATTACTTTCAGAAGTCAATGAAGGGAAGTTTCTGCTGTACTTCCATTTTTATCTTTAATGTTAGTAAAGAGTATTTTGTCATATTTGACATAGAATGATAGAATGGTTAATAAATAAAATAGATAACTCTTGTGATAATTGCCTTATTGCCTTGTAAAATAATGTTATTTTGAGACATTGAATCAGTACAAGTATACAGTAGGGGGCCTAACTTGAACCTAAAGTGTAAAATCAATCAGGTTTGAGCATGTATAATAAATAATTCTTTTATCGTTTTATTTTATTATATATTTAAACACGATGTATGAGAAATTTCAAAAACATACAAAAGTAAAGGCAATAGTATGATGAATCACCATAAAATTTCCCCAGCTTCAACAATTATCAACTCATGGTCAATATTGTTTCAACTAGGCCTCCATCTATTTAGTGTTCTCCCATAGATATTATGTTGATTTTCATCAAAGTGTTTGCTCAGAATTCTCGGGGGGAAGGAAAAATACAGAAAGGTAAGATTTGGTATTGGTTTCCTATTTTGCCCAAATATACCTGACCATATCTTACCTCCCAATCTCAAAATTGGTGTCTGAATTTTTATGGAGCCAGGGACTATAAACAAAAGGAATATTTATATGAGTTGCTCTAATATATAGAAGTATAAATACCATGATACTGTGCATATTTGTATCTTATAATAGCCTTATTGAGGTATTTCTTCATAAATAAAATTCATCTCTTGTAAGTGTAAAATTTAACGAGTAAATTTTAAGTAAATTTATAGAGTTGTACAACCACCAATACAATCTAATTTTATCATATTTCCATCACACTAAATATTATCTTGTGACCTTTTGCAGTTAATCTTGCTTGCACCCACAACCCAGAAAACCACTACTGTACTTGTCTGTATAGATTTGCCTTTTCTGCACATTTCATAAAAATGTAATGATATAATATGTGATCTTTTGCATTAGGATACTTTCGCTCAGCATAGTTTTTTAGATCCATCCATGTTACTGCATGTAACAGAAGTTTATTTTCTGTTATTGCTCAATAATATTCCATTGGATGGATATACTGTTTTTAAATTCAATCATCAATTAACTGACATATCAGTTATTTCCAGTTTTAAAATTATAAAGAATGCTGCTGTAAAAATCTGTGCATATGTCTTTGTGGGGGTGTATGTTTATGTTTTTCTTAAATTCCTAGGAGAGGAATTGCTGGGTCATATAGCAAGTTTATATTTACCAACTTAAGAAACTGCCAAACTATTTTCCAAGGTAAAATTAATATATTACATTTTTGCCAGCAATGAATAATTGGTTCAATTTCCCTCCATCCTTTCCAATATTTTGTAGTGTCTGTCCTTTTTAATAGCCAGTCCAGTGGGTGTACAGTGATAGCTCATTGAGGTTTGGAACCCCTTTTCTACGGTGACACCTCATTTCATGTGTCTATTTCCTATTCATATATGAACTTTATGATTTGCATAGAATGTCTATGCAAATATTTTGCCCATTTTAAAATTGAACTTCTTTTGATTTTATTCTAAGTATTCTATTGTTTTGTTGATATTGTGAATGTTGTGGTTTTACTAATTTTATTTGTGATAATAATTAATTTGGGGGCAATTTTGAAAAGGCAAATAAGGAGTAAAACTAGTATAGGAAGGCATTTACTACACTACTTCAGATAACGTGGGCTTTTTGGAAGATGCTGATAGAGCTCACCTTAGCACCAGAAGCAATACAATCATGACATAGTGTGCCCAGTGTTTCCTTGGCAGGGAATATCAAAGAAAGAATTATAGATATTAAAAAGATATAAGAGGATGTATGATTTTTATCCCCTTGGGTGTCTGAAAGAAGATATTTGAGCCAGGAACTCTGAGCTCCTAACTTATACAAAGAGAGAAAAGTCCTAGAATATATGTTTTCTACCTTTAATGTTATTCTTTTTGTTTCCAGGTCTTGAAAACTAATAGAAATAATTAAAATTCATATAACAATTAATATTTTAATTATATATAAGCAACAAATCATTAAATTTTTTAAGGAAGACTTCATAGTTAAAAAATTACATATAGTTTTTATGTTAACAGGCAAAATATTTTGGATCAGATCAATAAAGCATACCAAATAAAATTAGTTATTTGAATAAATTTAAAGAAAAACAGTAGAATTTCTGATTAAGGTAACATTAAGAATAGTTGCTTTGCTAGTGTACGTCGGGTTATAAATATAGGTCCCATCTCTCACAAGACCATTTAGTTGACTCAGGAAGAGAACTTTGATCTTTACTTAAGAGTTACATGATCAATAAAATCTATAGAGTTAAAGCACATAAAAAGAAAAATATGTCAGCAAGAAATACAGAATTGGACTCACACATTAATCTACTGAAGTTTGTTGAATGATCAATGAACATCAAGAAGGATGTTATGAAGGAAAAATAAACTGTTGATAAGTAATTAAATACTGGGCAGAGTAACTTCCCAAGAAAAACATCTCAGAGGCAATTATGTTCATTTTCTAAGTAAGGAAACAGGTTTAAAAATGAGATAAATAAATTTCTGAATATCCGTCATTTATTTAGTGGCAGAGTTTAAATTCAAGCCTATAACTGAGTTCAGGTCCTATATTCCTTTCAAGAAACAATAATTTCAGTAAATTGGATCTCAATAAATATGAAGTTATAGAATCATCAACTTTGCAGACCATTCAGCACATAATGGATTGCTTAACTAAGTAAATAGTTAACTAAACAGAGGACAGTCAATGGGTATACTGTGATGAGAAAAAAAAGGACATTACTTAGTATACTTCACAGGGAGACACATTTTAAAGAAATAAGTTTATAATTACTAGTACATATCAACTCTAATAATTGTTCCAAAGGAAAATAAGACTAGAAGAAGATTTGGTGTATATGAAAGGTAGTAGAAAACCTAATTTAAGAACTAAAGAATTTAACCTAATTTAAGAACTAAAGAAATTTAAGAACTAAAGGATATCAGTCGGTATTAAAAGTTTCAGGCAACAGAAGCTGACTCTGGATGATTAGAACAGAAGTGAACATTGTGGAAAGGAAATCTTTGTGCTTACAGAATCCTTTTGCAAGACTAGAGAACTGGCTTTAAAGATCCCAGTCAGATCAAGGCCCAAATGAGGTTGTGCAAGTGTTTCAGAGAAGAAGACTTTTTGCTCACCCTGTGTACCAGCTGCTGTAGACTCAGCAGTGATATTGGACCCCACATGGACACAGCACCAACTCACCTGGCATGCATGGCAATTGCATATCATGCTGCAGATGTTGTCATCAATATTTGGAATGATCCTACATGTTTTCTAACATTTTCTGTTAATATTCTCTATATACAATTGGCAGAGAAAATAGTTCACCTGCCTTTTGTTTTTTGATTTCAAGGAACCTTGGAACTTGGATACCTGGTATTTTCCCTCTATAGTACTGCTTTAATGGTGTTATGCATAATTTGATATTTACTGTTTTAATTATTCAATTCTAAGCATATTTTAATTTTGATTACCGTTTCTTCTTTGACTCATACGTTCTTGAGGATAACATATTCTATTTTTCAAATAGATGGAATTTCTCTTTGTTGTTATTCATTTATTTCTGCTTTCTAAATGACTTTTTTTGGTTGGATAAGTTCTGTAATCTCCAATATTTCTAAGTTTGTAACTTGTGCTATTAGCTCGTATGTAGTCAATTATTTTGTACATGTACTCCTTGTGAATAATAAAAATATATTCTACAAGCATGGAATACAAAGTTCTCTGTATGTCTCTTAGTATTCTTTAATGTCATCTTTCAAACCCTTTACAGTCAAACTACTATTACATCTCTTCACTTTTTACTAAAAAGAGAAATATGTTAAAATATTCCACAATTATGGAGCTATTCCACAACAATTATGGAGCTATTCATTTCTCTTTGGAGTTATATTAACTTTTTCCTCAAATATTTTCAAGTTAATTTATTTGGTACATTAAAAGTTAATTTACTTGGAATTGTTAACACTGTTCAAGTGAGTTGAAATTTCTATTCCTATGCATTACTGTTTACCTCTGCTAAAAATTTTATTATTTAAGATTTCATACATCAATATAGCTGTTATACCATGAATTTTAGTCATGGATGCATTGCCTCTCTGCTTCAAATGTATCTGTATTGCTGCTTTGTGAAAATAAATATATGGCCCTCATATATTTCTTTTCTGTTGGCACTATGTTAATCTTGGTAGGTGGAGTATCCTAACGAGACATTGTAGGAATAAACGGTTTACTCACTTGGCAGGCTTCCACAGAATGTGTTGATTTCTTCCCAACCCTGGCTCATGTATTGCACCTGGCCTCTCTAGTCCCCTCATCCTTCACAGTGGTCAGCAGTACTGAGTAGCCCATGTCTTCCTCCAGCATCTATCTTATTATCTTCTGTAGCAAAGACCCCGTGGTCCTTCCCTGGTACCCTAGAGAGTGGATTTTCAGCACATTTCATAGTGTAGCAACACAGTGATTTACTTCTCTACCATCCAGTCAGCTATGGCCATGCCTTCTTCAGCAGTATCTGAACCTCAGCCATGGGTTACAGAGACTCTTCCTTGAATGTTTTATCTCAATCCTACTGGTAGTGGATGTTCCATTTATCTTTGATTCTATATTCTTTAGCGTTCTTCTTATGTTCTAATCACTCATTAACCCAATGTTCCATTATACTTAATAATTTTGATACTAAGCTTCTCTTTTTCAAATTACTATGTAATTTTTTTCTCATGATTTGACCTAAACTGATATGCCATCTGTATTAGTCAGCTTGTAATGCCATAACAAAACACCTATAGACTAAGAGAGATGAATTTTCTTACAGTTCTAGAGACTGGAAGATCAGTTTTTGGATCAGTCTGACCTAAGTCTAGATGTGAAGTCGGGTCAGTTGACTAGCATGGCTGGGTTTTTTAGTTAGAGCTGAATTGCTGGCTTGTAGTTGGCTGCCTTCTCTCTGGGTCCTCACATGGTGGATAGATAGCCTTAGTTACTCTTCGTCTTCTTAAAAGGGATCCACGTTTTGTGACATTTAACCTTAATCACCTTCTTAAGAACCATAGCTCTAATATAGTCATATGGAGGCTTAGGGCTTCCACCTACAAATTTGCAGGTAGAGGGTGGGAACACACTTTGGCCTACTACACCAGTTCAGATTTTGATTTGCTTAGTATAACATTTAAAATAATTTTATTTTAGAATTTTCTATATCCATACATTTTAGAGAGCTATCAGCTGCAATAGATTTTTTTTCTTGTGTTTTGTTATTCTGGAATAGTGTATTTCTGAAATATTTTCTATGGGGATTCTTTTCAACCTAACTTTAAGATGCATTATTCCAGAACCTTTTTATTTGCCTTTGCCTGATACTTAGGTGCACTTCAACCTGGGTTCTCTTTTAACCAAACTGTAGAGTTGGGGTTTGGGACTATATTTATAGATTCAATTCACCTACATAAGTGTGTGGTTTATTTAGAACCAGGAGAGGATCAACAAGAGCTAAAGCATGACTCTCTCTATGGAACAAGATTTATTTTAGTTCAAGCAATTAGAGCGCCTTTTTCAGATCCCCTTCATGGATCTGAACTTAAATCTGGAGACTCTGATTTTAACAAAACCCGTCTGTTGTCTCCTCTGCTTTGTACATTAAAGTTCAGATTCTAAACCACCAGGGGGTGACAGGTAGTCTCAAAATGTAGTCAAGTTTTATTGTATTCAAATTATTTTAGATTTTCATTTTTCTTAAAAGTTGCAGGCTTTGGGACATCACCTTAATTTCGTATCCCATCATCCATGCATTTAAAATGTCTTTATTATTTTATACCGCATTTTAAATGTGCTCCTTCAAAAGGAATTTCTCTTAGTGCCTTGTCCACATGTTATTATTTTCTGCAGTTAATTTGTATTTTACTATTTACTTTACATCTCTGGCCTTTTGGTTTTAACCCATTTCATCTTGAATATTCTTGATGTCATACAAATATTTTAAAGTATAAACCGATTTTATATAAACCTAGTTTAATTTAGACCTAATATATTGCAGCAGATTTTTAAACCAATATAATTTTCTTTATAGTGCTAGCAGATTATAAATCACTTTAGGTACCAAATTATATAATGTTCATATTTGTAGCCTGGGGATTAGTACAGTATCTTAAATGTTTGTTGAACTAAATTAAATTTATGACAATATTTAATTGTTTTCCCCCAGGCTTCATTGTTTACAATCAAAACAAAGCAATGAATGTCTCATGATTTTGTGACTTTTTTTTTTTTTTGTAAAAGATGCCTCTCATTAAGTTGCTGAGGCTGGTCTCGAACTCCTGGGCTCAAGAGATCCTCCTTCTTCAGCCTCCCAAAGTGCTGAGACTACAGGTGTGACCCATCATGCTTGGGCCTGAACAACGACTTTTTAAAAGTGAAATTTAGGGATATATTTAAGCAAGTAGACTGAAGAAAGATTCTCTATATTCTTACATAGTCACTTTTCTTATGGTATTTTATGATATCTATCTTTGAATATGAAATCCTATGAAGCAAATTACTAATTTTTGAGATAGAATCAAAGAACATTAAAGCTGGAGTGTTTGTGAGATATCTAGCTCAACCCCGTCATTTTCCAGTTGAGCAATTAGAGACAAATACTTTGAATGTTTTCAGCTATACTGGGCTGATATCCTGAAACTCCCTCAAATAGGTATTTTTTTTCTTTTGTGTTTCAGTCTCATTCATGATGTTCTGCTAATTCTATTTCATTATATCTGTTATTTTATGCCTTACCAATCCTGTTACTATATACTGTCTAGCGCTACCGATATTCACTGTGATTGTCAGCCTATGGATATAATGGTGCTATAAAAAATGAAAACATCTTTGTTTTACAATGTTGGGTACTTAGTACTTATTCTTAGCTGGGAAGAAGTTGCTATCACATTTTCTTTCTACTAAACTGGTTTTTTATCTTCCTAGCTTAGTTCTTTTATTTATTTTTAATTTCCCTACTTCTCAGTTGCAACCCCTGACCTGGTCCGTATTATATTCTTGGACTCTGATTTATATTAAGCAGGTTATTGCAGCAATGGAATCTGCCTCTCATTTTATTTTGGCAAGGGATATCTTTATTCACTACAAACTCTTAATAGACTACAGGAGACTACTACCATGTGAATAAAATTAAATAAATCCAAAAACGAACTCGTTTTTCACCTCAACCCTTCCCGTTCCCAACTTTTGAATGTCTTCCTCTGACGAGAGTATAAATTTGCAATTTTTCATCAATGATATGATTCCCTTGATAGTCTCCATGTTTTCCTTCATGATTCATTATTCTATAATTATTAGTTGTCTATTATTAAAACCAGAACGTTGGTCCATTCCCTAGTCATAATTTGTCATCGTTACAGAGTAATTTTCTGGATAGACTAAAATCTGCCACTACAAGTATAATATTTTCTATCATTCATATTTCCAATTTATAAAATTTTCATTGCTATAGTGACAAAGCATAGTTCCATATCCTTTGTGGAACTTAAACTTTGTAGATCTTAAATATTATGTAACATCACTATCTATATATTTTATAGATGCAGAGAAGGCCCAAAAGAATTAAAGAGAAATTTTAGACACAAAACATCTAATCTAAGAAACAAAATTATTTATAATTAAGACATATAGTGGAAAGAGTATGAGATTCTTTTTCCAGAGGAACAGAAAACTAAATTTAAAGTCATATTCTTTATAAGTAAATATAAGATTTAGGCCAGTTGGAAAAAAATTAATAAATCTATATAGTAGTAGTTAATGTAAACCTAAATGCTCTATACCAATTTATGTGTTTTTGTTTCCTTTATTAGGAACTAGTTTGTGATAGAGAACTAGCCATTCAATAGACTATGTTTATAAAGAATGAAAACAATTGCTCTTCAGCAGGTGTTTTTTTAGTATGCACACTACCTAAATAAGTGCTTTTACACCTATTAAAATATTCATGAATTATTTTCACCTTCTGCACTTTAGGTTTCCAGAGAATTCATCTCCACATGGACACTATCTATCTACTGCCATCATTGCCTGTCTGAGCTTCAAGGCTTTCCCCTAAGATAAGCTCTTCAGGAATGACAGCTTGAATTTTATATTTAACTAAATGGTTCTTATTTTGGAATCATACTGTTTATACCAAATTTGTATGACAATATAGCCATTTTTACTCTGTATCTGTGGTTATTAGCATTTCAGAAAAAATCTAGCAACAAACCTTAACTTCTCACTTTCCCCTTGGACACTCTTGTCCAACTAGTTAAATTTTAGAAATAAGAGTATATAAAATAGGTCTCCAATCAAATAAAGAACTTTACTGGATGGGTCTTCCAATAGGAATATGGCAGCATCTACCTTTCTCTAGGTCATACAGAGCAACAAGGAGAAGAAAAGAAAACAACTACATGAACACATTTGAAACAAAATGAGGACACAGTCAAAATTTGAAAACACCATACTTCTTTAAGTGCTTCTACATACGTCTGATTTTTTTTTTTTTTTTAAAGATGAAGCTGGTTAAAATGGGGAGAAAATAAAAATGCTGGAGCTACAAGTAGTAAAAAGTTTGAATCAAGCACTTCTCCCTAGAATGAGAGGAAGGACATTCAGTATAAAGTTTATCTAAGGATGCCTAAGAGAAAACAATACCTGATACATCCATATCAATCAATATTCATTCAGGAGACAGAGTAATTTGAACACAGAAAGTTTCATATACAAATTTATTGGCTGTATCAGAGGTGTAACTTTAAAGGTAGAAATAGAGCTCTAAAAAATATCTCAGGGCTGAGGAAGACTTCCCAAGGAAGGAGGCCCCCTCCCCAAGCTACTATTCAATCTTGTTGGAGAAAGTGTAGGTACAACCCACTAAATGCTGGAGAAGTTGTCTGAATTGCTTACGGCAGAGCTTGTTAATGGTAACTGGGTACCATAATGCACTTAATAAATATGAAGAGTGAGATGAAGAAAAGGTGAAAAAAAGATAAGCTTGCTGTAACTTCAGGTTGAATGGTTACTATGTCAAAGTATTATTCCTTAAAATCTGTATGAACATAACTTAGTGGTTAAAGTTAAATATTAGTATAAATATTTATATTAGGTAAAAGTAGAGGTTAGAGAGGGAGAAGAAGCATGGAGAAGAAAATACAAATGAATTATTATTTATATATCCTAGGACATCTAAAAATATTATTTATTGGAAGTGTTGACCATGCAAAAAATCTGTCTTAAGTAATGCAAGACAACATAATACAAAGAAGACAATCCACATGGAGGTATATATATACACACATATATGTGTGTGTGTGCATGTAATGTACATGCAAATATTTTATAATATAATTAAACAAAGACCAAACAAATTTCTTTACTACTAGGTTTAAGTGGATGCAGAGTATCATTATTAAAGAGGTGGCAGAGCTGTATCTTCAAAAGATGGTTCCATTTTTCTATCTGACCATCAGCTTCTGAGTAATGAATTAGATGATGAGATCTATGGATTCCATAATTTATCCCCATTGCAATACTTCCTGTGCCATAAAGTGAGCCCCTTGTTAGAATGTGACATTATAGGAGACCCATGTTAGTAGATCTCTTACCATTTTCATTCTTTTCTCTATCATTTTTCATACAAGAGAAAGCATTTCTAACTCATTTAAAATGCCAATCACTTTTGCCAAGAGTCAACCTAGCAGTATCTTTGGGTTTCCTCCCAGAAAGTTAAGTTCTTTAACTCAGCAAAATGTTTTCTAATCAACAACTTTCTATTCCATTTCACTTGAATTGGCTACCTCTGTGTCAAAGCTCCTGCTACTACATGTTTCTTATGACTACATCTCTTTGAGTGTATAGTTATGATCTTTCTTTACAAAGACTAGCACTTCCCAGCTGTGTTATTTTGTGACTTTACCCAGTTATTGATCTGGTGGCCAGGAGGGCAGGTGGGAATAGATCTTGAGAAGGTCGCAGACTTTTCCTGCAGTGCAGATGTTTTGAACCACCATTGAGCAAAGAGGAAGTACTATCTTTTATTATTCTGTTTTGAGCTACTTCTCTCAGCCCAGAGGCTCCAGGGAAACCTAAAAATTCACAGTTTTCAAGAATATCTACCCATATTTTCTTACCTTAAGTTTTAGGGCCCTGCATCTTTTCAATTAAGGCTTAGTTTTGCTGTAGAAGACCTGTCAAGATTGAGAATTCAACTTGTTCTGGAGACTTATTACTCTTACAATTAAGTCCTGGGCTTGATTCTCTGGCTGCAGGAAATTTCTGTTACTTATATATTGCCAAGGAGGCTCTCTGGCTATCACACTTTACCTTACATTTGTGAGAAATAATGCTGAGCCTTTCATTGTCTGTTGCTGGTGCATTGAGAATCCGGAAAGAGATATCTGATACCATGACCTTTATAATGACTGTAGTTACTCAAAGGCCTAATATCTTTCAATAGTTAGCACATTCCTCTTTACTGTGATTCCCTTCCCACTTTACCACCCATGAAATATGTATATATTGCTTTGCAATCTTATGTCAGGAGCTATCAATGTTGTATTTGTAGCCATGGTGAGGTTTTCCCTGCCAGCTGGTTGGTGAATGATCCAACTCAAAATCCCACTTTAGAGTCTGCTTCCTAAAGCAACCTATAGTATGAATTGTTATAGTTTGGTTTGACTAGGAAATAACCTATTATATTTTAGATTTCGGCACAGGTTATATATCTGTGACTAATTTTAAGAACGACGACTGAGAGAAATACAGAAAGCAGGATTAAACATAGAAGCTGAGCTGCAGTGATGTTGCAGCAGAGGCGTCAGCCAATCCATTTGTAAGCACTGAGCCTTGGTGGCCTTTCAGAGTTTTCCACTTCAGAAAAGAGGGTAAGACTTTTGTACATCCCTGTCAACTAGTCATTCATATGCAGGCTGCTGCCAAGGAGGGGTAAACTTGGATTTGAATCTTTCTTCTACAGAGAGAAAATACTGGAGAGGGATTCAGCTGTATCCCATTTAACCAATATTCCTGACATCTGACAAAATGATTGCCTCACTCCTGAAGAAGTTTCTGGATGGTGAATCACATCATTACTATGATTCTGACTATATTTTCTACCACTCTGTACAAATGGATTTTAAAATTAGGAGGACTGGACAATTTTCTAAGACTATATACTTTCCTACGTTCGACCCCAAGAGATATCAGTTTAAACACAATGATTTTTTTAAATTATAGGAAATTATCTTATCAGGCCCAATTGTTTTCAAAGCAAACAATCTTTAAAGAACTGATAATTCCAATGTGATTTAGAGTAGTACAATATTACATTCAGACAGTCATTCAAGTAAAAATTAATTTTAATAAGAAATGAGCCCAATATATATAAAAATAAATAAGACAAAATTGTCTGCCAATATGAAATTTTTATTTTAGCAGGGGAAATAAGTAATACACATTAACATACTACTACACTTGTAGGTAACGATAGGTGTAATGAAGAAATTTTGGGGGCTTGCTGGCACTTCAAAGATTTGGGCTCCTCTTACACATTTGAGAGCCACTGAAAAATACCCAGAGTACTTGCCCAGCCACACTCTTCATGACTCATAACCAGGAGTTTGAAACCAGCCTCAGAAACATAGTAAAACCCTGTCTCTACAAAAATTTAAAACTTAAAAATTAGCTGGGCATGGTGGTGCATGCCTATAGTCTTAGCTGCTCAGGAGGTTGAGGTGGGAGGATCGCTTTAGCCCATGAATTCAAGGCTACAGTGAGATATGATTACGCCACTGTACTACAACCTGGATGACAGAGTGAGACCCTATTTCTATAAAATAAATAAAAATTAAATTTACTTTTTAAACTGCATTAACTTTTCAAAAAGAGAAATTTTGAAAGAGGTTGTAGTGTAGAAACCTATGCTCATTCTTGCAGATCTATAAGAGAACAGCAGGCGAGGTACTAAGAGTCAGTGAGGATAGATAATTCCAACAAGAAATATTGCTGTACACTACTGCAGAGGAAGATGTCTGTTCAAAGAGGGGACATGAGGGCAAAGAGTGTTTTGTTATTTTTAAGATGTAAAATATGCAACCTGTTTTGATGCTGATGGCAATGATGCTCCAGTGCAGAAATGATGAGGAAGGAATGAGTCATTACCTAAGAAAAAGCCCTAAGTAGAAAATAAAAATGGGATTCATGGCAAAGTAATTGCTATGATCTTTAAAACAGGAGCAGTTTCTTCACTGTAACAGGAAGAAAGGCAGAAATGTGGGTAAACGGATAAGCATGTTTGGTAGATTTGGTTGGAAGAAGGCTATTCGCTTTCGGAAGTGAATAGTTTTCCATTGGGAGTGAGAGGGCTATGAGAGAGATTTAAAGGTTTAAAAGACGGAAGACAGTATTAAATAGCAATCTTGGAATTTTGTTGGGAACCTGTGGAAGAAGAGAAGACAAAACTGAACAGCCACTTGGAACCCAGTTGCGAATTTAGAATCACCAAGTTTCAGTCAACAAGATTAAGTTTTGACGCAGATACATCCACTGAGTAGGAGGAGAGGTGGGTTTAATGAGGATTGAACAATGTCCAGGTGAGTTCACAGTGGAAGGAGAGTCTAGTGCTTTAAGACTTATGAAAATAAGAAATTATTGAAATAGTTTATGAAGCATAATTCATAAACAGAGAGAAGTAAATAGAAGGGACAATTGACGGTGGAATGGTGAGGGGTCCAAAATTTGGAGGAACACATATGGATAAAAATACTCAAACTTTAAGTTCCATTGGGAATGATTTGGTACACTGTAAGGTAGTAAAGAGACAGTAATGTTTTAAATTAACATATTTTAGAGGTAGCACAACTATTCGTTGAATATTTAAAAACTGGAGTCTATTAAGGAATAGGCACAGACAAAGATATTTTTAAGAAGGCAAGCTGGAAACAGAGAAATAAGCTAGACTCTGTTTAGCTATGCCCTGGCACCATGCCAACCAAATTGTGGGTTTATATTACTAATAGCAAGATACACAGAAATGAGTATGTCTTCTGGTTTTATCAATGATGTTTTTCTTAAAAACAAACAAATAAACAAAACCCCACAAGAGTGAGATTTTGAGATTTTAAAAAGAAAAAGTACAGAAAACACCTACCTAATATCTTAAGCCTTATATTCCAGGAAAAAAAAATAGCTTTAGAATAGTCCTCATAATATTGTTTATAGGGTTAAGTTCATTCTGCTGTTGGAATATAAAACACGTCAGGTCATACGACGATCTCCTAGGTTTTTTCAGAGTCTCCAACGGCAAACATAATTTTCTTTTCAGGGTAGTTCAAATACGACAATCATTAACTTTGTTTGTGCATCCAGCACATCTTATTAATGTGACAGGATTAATATATGATGCTGGGATTTATGCACTCACTGGATACAGAAGGCTCAAATACAGGGATTGCTTATCTTAGTCTTTGGCAAAGTTACAACAGGTGTATTTAATTAAAGAAGTTTAGAAATCAAATGACTTATCTCTTAACATATATTTGTATTGTTAGTATTTGAGCAAAATGAGACCTATTCTGGATACAATACTGAGTTAAATTTTACAAAAGACTTTAAATAATTTATTTGAGTATTACAAAAGAAATCAAGAATATTATTGGTATTATTTTATATTTGCTAATGAGAAATGAATCAATTAATTTTATTTTTAAAATCATTTTGGTAGTAGCTGTGAGAACCTCTGTAAGAGACATGGCTTTCTTCCAAAGATTGTAAACTAGTTTGAAGGAGAAAATAAAAACATAAAATAATTAGACAGCAGGTAAATACCACTGGGAGAAGACTATGTGCGATCTGAGTGCAGAAACATGAAAATAAATAGTATAGGGAGTAGAATAAGGTAAGTTTTCATGGAATACAAAGTATTCATGGAGGATGAAAAATTTGAACCAAATCTGGAGAAAAGTTTATAAATTTTAAAGACAAAAGCACAAATAACCTCATCATCAAATTGTAGCATCAAAAGAAAGTAATGGAAAATAGGAGAAAAGCAGGTCAGTGCAGAGACTGAGTTTTATGGGTGAAAAATATCTAAAACAAAAAACAATTACTCTATGGTTTTACTTTTATTTTTCCTACTGGTTAACTTTTAAAGTTTATTTTTATATAAACAAATTGTAAAAAAAAAACAAGAATTTCTTCTATTATCTCAGGTAATATAAGATAATATTTGCAAATCATGTTAAGCATTTAAGCCCTCAGTGATGTTAACTCATTGACATAAAACCCATATTTCTGTATCCTGTATTTGTACTCATGGCTCTTGTTATTCTGTACTATCAGAGTCACATTAGAAACTGGAAAATACTTCAAAATAAGGATTCACTGCTTTAAGGAAATGAAATTAGTGATAAAATGATAGAAACAATAGAAATTCACATATGTGATGAGTTTGTTAAACTACAGTCATTTTTATTCCTTTTATTTTTATCTCACAGTACAAAAAAATGGTAAATCAAATCCATGCCAACAAAAGCATTTAATTTTAGCAAGTAATTAAAAAAATTCCCTAGCTAGTAAAAATGCTCCTTTGGGGAAGTGACTTTCCAAACACTTTCCAAACTACAAGAAGAAGTAGTACTGCAGAGAGGCCATAGAGATTTTGTTTCTAGTTGTAAAATAAACAGATCCTTACAGAATGGATATGTTTTTGCTCACTACGGTGCTTATAATGAGATTGAATTCAACTTCTTGTGTACTAATTGTATTAAACTGTGTCATAAAAGTGATGGAATAGGAGTTATTTGGGGATTAGGAAAAGCAATCAAATGTTTGAGAGAATGATATAAAATTAATATGTGCTTTTTATTAAGTCCTATATGTACATTTTTCTACAAATCATGAACTCTGAAGAAAATGAAATAGCAAATGAAGCACCTTTTAAATGGAAGTGCAGATGAAGTCAATCTGGACTTATAAGAACTTATATTTATTTTGATTTTTGTGTGGTTTTATTTTGTTTTGTTTTTGTTCCCTGAATTTTTATTTGGTTGGGTCTTCATTTTCAATATCATGCAAGAAATGCTCAGATAAAAAATGTAAGCATAATAATCTTATTCCATGAAATCTAGTACCCATAAAAAGTGACATACAACAGTGAATTAATGGCATTAGTATACACTTATAAAGAAAATCATGTGAACAGTTTGCGTTATTAGAAAATCCATTTTACAAACGAATTCCACGTGTTTTTTGTATCCAAATACAATTGACTAGATAAAATCCTAGAATTCTATGAAAAGGCTGTGAGATTTGGTTTAATAGGAAATACCCACTTTTTAAACTCTTATATTTAATATAAATTTGATAGTAAATTGAATATCTATGATATGAAAAGGATTATGTCTTACTTTGTATTTTGAATAGCTGTTTAAATAATTATTGCTTAATAGCAAGTTAGGAATACATAAGAGAAAACATAATGCTGAGATGTCAAGATAATCACACTTGTCCTGTCAGGCTACCATTTCCCACAACAATTATTCATTTAGTTAAATGTATTAAATGCAGGTAAATGAAACTACCAATTACTCAAGTTCTACTATCAGAAAAAAACTGTAGACTCTGTTTAATAATATTTCCAGAAGCCATAGAGCATAATATAAAATCACACGAGTATATAGATAACATATTTATAGTTTTTTAAAAATTTCCTTACATTAAAGGAGTAAATATATAAGTTAGCAGAGACAATATTTTACAAAAATGCATAGCATGCATACAGGCTCACGCCTGTAATCCCAACACTTTGGGAGGCTGAGGTGGGCAAATCACCTGAGATCAGGAGTTCGAGACCAGCCCGGCCAATACGGCGAAACCCCGTCTCTACTAAAAATACAAAAATTAGGCGGGTGTGGTGGCGCCTGCCTAGAGAGGAGAATCGCTTGAACCCAGGAGGTGGAGGTTGCAGTGAGCCGAGACCGCACAACCGCACTCCAGCCCAGGCAACAGAGCAAGACTCTGTTTCAAAAAAGAAAGTTTATTATTCTGAAACAGTCAAATTCTTTGCATATAAAAATGTACAATAATTTTATATTTGCACATATTGCAGTTGCTTCTATGCTTCCTTTTAAATGGGAACGCCTGGCCGGGCGCGGTGGCTCACGCCTGTAATCCCAGCACTTTGGGAGGCCGAGGCGGGCGGATCACGAGGTCAGGAGATCGAGACCATCCTGGCTAAAACGGTGAAACCCCGTCTCTACTAAAAATACAAAAAATTAGCCGGGCGTAGTGGCGGGCGCCTGTAGTCCCAGCTACTTGGGAGGCTGAGGCAGGAGAATGGCGTGAACCCGGGAGGCGGAGCTTGCAGTGAGCCGAGATCCCGCCACTGCACTCCAGCCTGGGCGACAGAGCGAGACTCCGTCTCAAAAAAAAATAAAAATAAAAAAAATAAAAAATAAATGGGAACGCCTAATGTATTTATTTCACTCTAACCTTTTATATTCTAAGTATGTTTTAATTTTTCATCTATTTGTGCAATATTCTTTATGTATTAACAAAAATGTGACACACACAGAAAAGTTCTCTTTTAATGGTTTTATAAATACTTGATATTTCTGACACAAATATTAAAAATTTCATATGAATTTTTGTAAGTGGCATTTTATCATTTGAACACTGGATATATTAAAATGTACCTGATTCACATTTCTAATCAATACATCATCAGTAAAAATGGTAAAGGATCATACAAAATATGAAGGAATTAGTTTAGCTTTCCATTTTAATTAGCCACAACTATCTTATTAAATATTAGCTGTGTATTTAAATCTTGGTAACCTAGATTCAGAACTACTAAGATTAGGGCATAATTAGCTATTCAAATCAATTATGTCATTCAATTTTATTAATTCTGTTGCTAAATATATCACATAATTAATCCTAATATTATTCATTATAACTCATAATTAGCAGTCTAAAAAGTCTATAGATGGAAATAAAAATAGTTCTGAAAGATATTGCACCAGTATTTTTGCTATCACGTTTGCATTGATTGCCTACTCTTACACTGAATAATAACGGAGAGGTAATGGAAGTAAATTCAACTTAAGCTTTGTACATTAGACATTACCAGTTTCTAGAGTATTTTCAGTTGTTTGAAAAACTGTGTCCTGTTTAGCATAGGCATTTAATTAAGCACTATTTTAAAGAACAACATGCCATTCGGATGACACTTCTGTCAGCATGAAGGATGACAGTATTCTTGAAATAAAATATCTCAAAACAAGCAGATATTTCAATAAAATGTAAGCAATATAATCAAACTTAAGGTAGGGAAAGCATAAATAAATCATGGTATTAGTTTTATTTCATAAAATGCAAACAATTTAGAGTATTTATTTTATTACTTATTAAAACTTCGTTGAACGCTAAACTCAGCTGGTGAAAGGATATAAAATTTTAATTACATAGGAGAAAAAAGTTCGAGAGATTTATTGTATAACATGGGACTATAGATTATAACAATGCATTGTATTTTTGAAAGTTGCTAAGAGGGGGGATTTTAAGTGCTCTCCTTACACAAATAAATGATGTGTATGTGAGATAATGCATTGTTTGTGCATTTGTATCCTCAGGAGATTCTCTAGGCTGCTATCTGGTCCTATAGCTTGCTTCTGTAATTTGTTCTTCTAATATTGGCAGCTGCCTGTGTAATAAAAGTGTCCTTCAGGATGAGCTGTCCCTCGACTGAATCAAGGGATAAAGAGATGTGTTTTATTAGTGCCTCTCTCAGCCTTTCCATAAAGATGGTGGGAGTCTTGTCTGGTCTTTGATCTATCATGGACAATTTAGAGTAATTGAGAGGTTTGGCCCTGGTCTTCCATAGGCCTTCTAATATGCACCCTATAAAGTTCTTCCTTTTTAATTTATGTCCTGAGTTTTTGGGGTTCCAGTCAGGGTTGTCTGCTGGAACTGCTTCTCTTCCTAGTGGGAATGGAGTTTCCACCTCTTCCTCACCTTCCCTATCTCCTCTTTTTCTCCTTGGTCTACTATAGGAAGCATGTTGCTCATCTCTGCATTTTTCTGCTGCCTGCAGAACTGCCTGCTTTTCAGCCACAGTGAAGGTCTGACTTAGCAGCAATATAACGTCCCTCCATGTGAGATCAAACACCTGAGTTAAGTTTTGGAAAATTTAAATGTACCTATAAATTAAGGTCGTCAGAAAATTGGCCTAAGTCTCCCTTTATTTGCTTAAGTTCCTGTAATGAGAAGGGAACTTGAAACCTCATGGCACCATTCCCATCAGGTGTTTCCTGCAGAGGTAAGAGTGAAGGGAGAACTTTACTCTTTGTCAAAGAATAAAATTTGCTGCTTGAGCAAAATGCCTGAGCTGATAATCCAGGAAAACCAAGACAGCTGGAGTGCATGAGACAGAATACCAAAGAAAAGAAAATTGCATAGAGAGAACGCTCCAAAGATCTACCAAGTGTTTCCTTATATTCAACACAGTAGTAGTCAATGCTTGTATAAGAGAAAAGTAATCAAGGCCTAGGAAGAACCACCAGATAAGATTAAAGAGAATTGTTGACAGTGCGCACTCAGGGCCTCATGGAATACCTTTTTCCACCAGCCAGACTGTGTCACTCAATGGTACATTGTTAAGAATGCTAGAATGGGCCGGGCGCGGCGGCTCATGCCTGTAATCCCAGCACTTTGGGAGGCCGAGGAGGGTGGATCGCGAGGTCAGGAGACCGAGACCATCCTGGCTAACACGGTAAAACTCCATCCCTACTAAATATACAAAAAATTAGCCAGGTGTGGTGGCAGGTGCCTGTAGTCCCAGCTACTAGGGAGGCTGAGGCAGGAGAATGGTATCAACCTGCGAGGCGGAGCTTGCAGTGAGCAGAGATCGCGCCACTGCACTCCAGCCTAGGTGACAGAGAGACACTCCGTCTGAAAAAAAAAAAAAAAAAGAAAGAAAGAAAAGTATGCTTAGAATGGCCCTGTTCCAGCAGTAGGATTAACTAGACTTAGAATAAACATTGCTCAAATTTTCCCTGACAAATCTTAAAAGCAACACCTAAGGAGATCAAAGTGTTCCCAAGTAACTTAAGTTTATTCTAGAGCAAAGCTCTAGAAAATACAAAAACAATCTAGCACGCAAGTCAAAATTCATAACAGTAGTATGAATAGAAACACCAAATACAAGCCATGCAAAAGAGCAGGAAAATTCAACCTATTTTACAAAATGTAATATTCATTTCTAATTAAGACATCATCAATGTAGCAATAAAAGGAAAATTTCTCAACTTGACAAAGGGATCTATAAATATCCTACAATTATTATACTTAAGGATGAATGACTGGATACTATCTTAGAGAGATTCTAAGCAAGATAGAATGTCTACTCTCAAAACTTTATTCAACATTGTGTTGGAGGTTCTAGTCATTGTACTATGGCAAGAAAAACAAATAAATAAATAAAGATTCTAAATTAAAATTAGAATTGTCTTTTTTATACGACATGATCATCCATTAGAAAATTTAAGGAAATCTGGTAAATCAGACAAACAAAAACAAACTAATTCTTACAAGAAGTGAGTTTAAGAATAGTGAAAAATGAGATATATGAGACTAATATTTCAAAAAATCAAAAGATCAATATACAAAAATGGTTTTTCTGTTGAGCCGCCATGAAAAAATAAAACTCAAGTGAAATAATACTCTAAATCCAATTTAAAAACATAAAATTTGTTGGAATAAACCTGACAAAAGATGTGCAAAATCTTTACACTGAAACCTTCAAAACTGAGCTGATGGAAATTGAAGAGGACTTAAGTAAATTTAGAAATCTGCCATGATTATGAGTCATAATATTCAATAATATTAAGACGTCAATTTTCTTGTAAATTGACTTGTGCATTCAACATAATCCCAATCAAAATCTCACAAAGCTTTTCTTATATAAATTGAGAAACTGATTCTAAAATTAACATAGTAATCCAAAAAACTCTGTATAACCAAAACAAGTTTGAAAAAAAGATGAAAGACTAACATTACCTAACTATAAGACTTTGAAATCTATATCAATCAAGACAATGCCATTTCATAAAGATAAACTTGTAGATCAATGAAATGGTTTAGAGTGTCCAGAAGGAGACACTGGCATTCATACACAACTGAATTTCACAATGGCAATAAGGCAATACGAAGTAGAAAGTGTATTATTTTCAACAATGTGCTAAAACAATTGCATATACATATGAATAAAACAACTGATCCATATCTTACAATTTATATAAAAATAAAATCAAAATGGATCAGAGATCTAAATGAAAAACAAAATGATTCAAAACTTATAGAATAAACTATGGAGGAAATCTTTATGACTTTGGGTTGGGTAAAGATTTCCAAAGTAAAACATTGAGAGCAGTATCCATAAAGGAAAAATGATAAAAATGATGACTTGTTTTTTAAAATGTCTGCATTTGTAAAAGATAATGCTAAAAGAATAGAAAGACAAGCCATACACTAGGTTAAAATATTTTCTAATTATATCATAGAAATACTTCAATCCATAATATTAAAAAATTACTCTCAAAACTCAAGAATGAGAAAACAAATATTCCAATGGAAAAATTAACAAAAGATTTGAAAAGATATTTCAGCATAGAAGGTGTAGCACAGCCAATAGGTGCATGAACAGATGCTCAACAATGTCTACACATTAGCCCAATGCAAATTAAATCCCCAAGTAGATAACCAATACTACTTGACTAGCTACAATTTTAAAAGATAGATTTTTCCAGTCATTCGTGTGGATATAGATAAACTGAAATTCTTATAAACCACTAACGGAAGTGTAAAAATTTACACAACCTTGGAAAAAAGACTGTCAATTTGTATAGAGTTAAACATATACCTCCCATATGATCCAGCCATCCTACTCCTTGATATTTACCTCAAAAAATGTAAGCCCTTACAAATAATTGCATAATTGTACACAAAAATTTAACAATATAACCTGAAATTATATTTATAAAATATGTTTCACATTATATAATTTATATTAATATAATATAAATTATATCAATTTTATTATATTAATATCATTGTATTATATTAATATATTAATATTATAATATTATATAATTTATATTAATTTATAATATATTATATTATAAATATATTCATTTATATTAACATTCTCTTTGTTAACAAATAAATTCTTTGCACCTCAGGATCCTTTGCACCTCAGGATTCTTTGCACCTCAGGCGTTATTTAATAACGCCTATAACATTATGACTCTCATTGTCAAGGGAAGAATAAGACATTAAAGCAATAAGACATTAATTTGTTTACTCAAGGATACTCAGTTTATAGATTAGGTACTATCATTCTTCTTTCTCATTGTTATTTATGCGAAAAGCTTAATAGTCTTCCTATTATACCATCAAGGACGCTTGCTCGTAATAAAAACTGAAGATATTTGAGCCTTTGAGCATAGCTAAGATGTCAGGGGTGAAGGACTTTTTGTTGCTGGGGAGTAAGAAGTAAAAGTTGGCATTTTATTTCATCTGGGTCATGCATTCATCTTTTGTAAAAGTGTGTGATGTGATGGCAATAAGGATATAAGGAGAGTAAATTGACACTGAGAAAATTCACAATATGTGAAGAAGGCCTTTTAAATGGTGTAACATAATTTATATATCTCAAAGTTAAGAGAGTATAAGATGTTATAAATAGCAAAAACTGACACCGTGGCATAAGTGGGGCATAATTATCATTAGTGAGGACACAATCCTTGATTTAAATAAATTGTTAGATTAGACAGGATGTTTAATTGCACTGGACACAGAAAATAATTCAAGGCAGATAAAAATATAGGAAATTAATGAGTATCCAGGCAGCACCAAGACAGAATGTAACCAAGGTACTTCTCACAGTTACCTTTGGCTCAAAGTTTTATCAGTACATTAATAAGAAACAGAAAAATGTTTAAAATAGATATAGTAAGAGATTGCCATTTTAGTGCATGAGTATGTGCATACTTATACAAGAAAGTGACTCTACTCATCATAAGACATAAGAATTTTTGAACAATCTTAAAGACTGGAAAAAAATGTCATTTTAAAGTTGCAGGTAGTTTCTGCCTTCGCAGAAGTAAAGCTTCCAGTTTATCTCTGTAAAAAAAAAACAACATATTATTAAGAAAATCAAAAGATATAACAAAAGAATTAAAAATATACTATGAGATGTACTGACAGAGGTAAGATATTGAAGAAACATAATCAAACTACCCGGTAAAGCCTAGAAGATTTCAGTCAAGTATACATTTACCTATGTTGACTAAAATATGATGAATAGTTAATATTATAAGATGAATTCTGTTTTTTTATAATTCTAGAAATTCATGTTATTTATGTATTTTAAATCTCATTAATTTGTAGACAAAACTTAGATCAATTTGACTCTAAATCACAATTTTGGTCCAACTTGCTGATTGCCAACTTCGTAATAGAGCAAGAGTGACACCCTTTATAAAGCCACTCCTGTTATGGGTGCAGCAAACTACAACAAATTATTATGAAAAAAACTAAGATATATACACAGGCTGATATTTTAAATCTTATTTTGTAAGTTACTACAGGCACAATAATAAGTGCATTCGAGTTTTTATTGCTTGTTGCCTATCTAGTTTTGAGCTTGTTGCCCATCTAGTTTGGGTGAGCTTGTGGCCTATCTATTGGGTGGGTGGGTGGATGGATAAATGGATGGATGGATGGATGGATGGATGGATGGATGGATGGATGGATGGATGGATGCATGGATGGATGGATGGATGGGTTTTTATTGCTGGTTGCCCATCTACTTTCGGGCCTGAATTTGGAATTGGAAAACCTAGGTCAAAATGAAAACATCCTATATTATCTGAGTTTATTTATCTGTAATAATACTTCAACCTTAGTGGTCTTACAATGAAAGTAGTAAATAATAAAACTTTGCAGTTTAACACATCATTAGTTTTTGATTGATCATTTCAGACTTGGTATATGTTATAGGAATGATTGACCCTAAATCGACAGTTTTAAAGAAGAACTGAGGCTGACACAAGGTCACAAAACTAAAAATGACTCTCTCTATTCTATGATGGTGATATATCTATTGTCTTTAATAAAGATTTTAAGTATTTTAGAAATCTTTTAAATTTAAGTTATTATTTTAACTCTCTTAAATAATATGTTAACTACATTAAATAATATGTTTAATTATGTTAAAATTATTTGTTCACAATATGGAAGTTATCTTTATTTAATACTTATATTTTTATTTAATACTCAAATGACATATTAAAAATAACATTTAATTATAGGTAGTATGATAGTTTCTTTGGTTCTGTCCTGCCTAATAAATTTCTAAATAATAAAATTTTTAACAGATGAGAAATGTAATTTCTGCATGACACAGACATGTTTGTTGCTTTTGTAATATACTTTTCTTTTCTTCAATATGAATCAAACGGCTAAACTTCTGCTGGTATTTTTTGCACTACAATTTAGGGAGTCCTACCAGAATTAACAATCCACCCATCCAAGTCTTTCTTTTTTTTAATTTAAATAAAGTTTGAATACATTTTTTTCCATGTGAAAAGAATAAAGGTTTCTGTCCAATAATATCTCCTCCTAAAAGTTAAAGTAATTACAGTTTCAATTTACCAAAATGTCATTCCTAAAATAGGAAAGGTTATGTAGTTTAATTATGTTCATGTTATTTCACTATAAGGTTTTATTTTTAATCTGCTAATTTATAGGCCAATGATAAAGTCAGTGAAATGAACATGACTATACTGGATTCTTCAATATTACATCAAAATTGGCCTACACAAGGAGCACAGAATTCTTAAAGGTTAATAACACTCTTCTAACGTTACAAATTCTGAACTTTAGTAGGTTGCTAATTTAAAAAGAATAGTTTGTGGTTGGTAGAATGTTTTTATTATGATATTTAAATGTGAAAATACAGCAACATAGAATCCATGTTTACCAACAGATAATACTCAGTGTGCTTTTTCCAAATGAAAAAGGTACATCATTCTGGGGACTTCAGAAAGGGTTTAAAGATCCACTTGGGCTTATATTTAAATGTTTTAATCATTAATTGTAAATAAAATTGTTTCAAAATACTAGTAGGATGGACTGATGCAGCACATGTATATAAAAGAAACATTTGGATTAATATTTAGCTGTATCCAATATTAACAGACTAAGTAGAAGTTATAACTGAACTACTGCAAAACTGGTAGCATTTGCAAATCTTGTGGACAACAGTTTTAGTCTAAGTTACAATGTCCTAAACAATGCCAAACAAGTGTCATATTTTCGTGTCATTTAACTCAATTATACCCAAAAGAGAAAGTGATTACAATTATTCAGCTCTTTTGAAGACTAGGGCATGAAGCAACACCTCAAAACAATTTTGGAAATTGTCTTCCATGTTGAGTAAATGACTTATCCTGTGTAGACGTAATTTAAAAATCTGATTAACATGTGGAAATAACATTGATAAGGGTAACATATTCTGATTACATGTCTTCATAATTAAGCATTATGAGGACTTCGAACTGATCATTTATTCTTCTAGTTATTTGTTGTACAAGTATGTTTTGAATGCTTCTTGCTTCTTGTCATTTTATCGTCTGGACAGTAGTGATAGCTACCTAGCTATAGACATGGTTTGAAGTAAATTAGACAATATATATGCGACTATACATCATAATTCATATATACATATATATATAATTTGAAGATAAATTCTCTGCTTTGCAAATGTTGAAAATAGATAAAATAGAAAGAGGGAAGCCAAGAAAAAAACTGAAAGTAAACACATGCATACATGTACACATATGAAAGTAGATCACATGCACTTTCGTTTTTCTAAGTATTCATTTTTAAAACATTCTGGGGATTTTCTAACAGAGCTGGAATTTGTTAGCATGATGACAAAGTATTTCATAAATAGAAAAACAATTTATTTCACATTATCAGAACTAAATGTGTCTCTATGTATTTAAGTAAATACTTAGGAATGAACAAGAGAGTTTGATAATGAAATTGTATTAATATCATTAGTTCTTTTCCAGCTAAAATATTGATAAATATATACTAAAATATCCTATATCAATACATTAAACAGGACATTTTGAAAACAGCTAGTAGGGGCCATTTCTCAGAAGTTGAAAACAAAATTATCTTAGATCAGCTTTGACTTGGTTAGAGATGTCAAAAGTGTTGTGGATTAGATTAGTTCAATGAACTAGGAAGACATTTAATTCATCTCCAAAGAAAAATTACAAGACTATCTCTTAAACTCTCATTAGTGTTCGAGGATAGAATTTCCTTCTTTTTTTTCTTTAACCCATCCATACCAAATTGCCCCCTCCTCAAAGTGAATCAGACTTAAATACACACAGATGTGGCACTTGGTGTTTCCCATTTGGTAATATTTAGACGAGGGAGAATTTTTTACCTTTGTTAAATCAGAAAAGGAAGTAATCATCTGGCACTAATTGTAACAAAGTCTACACTACATAGAAAATAAAAATGAACTTGTCTCTTCAGTTACAGAGTCGAATATTTACACTGCTCCTTCATCAGCAAAAACACACACCTCACACCTGCAGTGATTTATTTTTCTGTTGAACCTCTACCCAATTAACAACCATTAAGATTCACACCTGTGGTGGCTTTAGCCTTTGCCTACTGCTCAGAATTGAGCTTTTTAACCCTTCATTTTGACTATATTACATGATCACTTTTCCTAGCAGGCTCAGTCTTTCAAAGAGAGCTTTTCTCAGTATTTGCTTGCATTCAAAGCTGGGAATTCACCACAGCTGGGAACTGAAGAGGCTATTGGTTTTTTCTGGAATAAGAGATGAACAGGTGGTACTCCCACCTGCTGCAAGTCTTTGAATTTTTTTGTTTGGCTCCAAATTGTTCTTGGACCTGGTTTTTAAAATGTTCTCTTGCATTAGAAGCAAGAGAGGAAGAGAAAACAGGCCATGACCAGTTTTGTTACTAATGTTCTTATTACAGACATTCTCTGGTTGGTAATTGCTGGCATATTGAAATAAATGGGTGCATTGCTTTCTGTACCGGGTGTGGGTGGAAAAAAAGCAAACAAATTCAACCATAGCATGGCTACTTTATTTTGAACATTAAAGAAGATTTAGCCAATCAAATTGAGTGACATTTTCCCTTTGGGAAAGTTAGCAGAAGTCTATTTGTAGCTGGCAATGAAAATGTTTCTGGACAGACAAGCTTTTGTTGTGATTTTTCACTGTTATTTCTTTTACACAGAAGAAGGCACTTAGCTACTATCTAATTTTGGATATATCTGTTCTGTTCTTTTAGTTTATTTAATGTTTTGGTTTCTATTCTCTAATGGAATGGAACAAATTACTCAAAAATACTAGTACTACTCAATTTGAAGGCTTTTATAGACACAGTAAACCGTTATGGTCAACTCAGTCATAATTATAACCTGCAAAGTAAGTTGGGGCTATTTTTGTTCTGAACAAAACTGAAAATATACTGTTAACCATGGTTGTTTCTATTCTCTCGCTATCCTGCCTCTAATAATTTTCAATGAACTGCACTGAAAATATCAATACAGAGTAGCTTTTATTTAATATGCCTAAAAGTGCTATTTGTGTATTTGTTTGTAGAGTTATAGACAATAACCATATAATAAACATATGGTTAGCTATCTTTGATTTTTTAATATATTTGTAGCTATATATGTATATAGCCATATGTAATATAGTTATAGATATATAGACACATAGATGTCTAGATATATGTCTACATATATATTCAAATTGTATGTATTATACATTAAATATATGTATGCATACAACATTGTTAATTTAAAATATGTAAATGTTATAGCTAGAAAGAATAAACTATAGTGTGTTCTAAAGCACTGTAGGGAGACTATAATAACGTTTTATTTCAAGTATTGTATACTTAAAATATTATATATGGGGGAGGACAAGACTGAGCAATTAAAAAAATCTTCAAAATTATCTGGCTTACAATTCTCTTTTCAGTTTTCTTTTAAGATTTTCTTATGGAAAACTGTGTAGCCAACTGTATCATCCATTTGACTACTGTGATGGTTAATTTCATGTGTCAATTCGACTGGGTCATTGGGTGCTGGGATATTTCTGTGAACCTTATTTAGATGTTCCTGTGAGAGTGTTTCTGGATGATCTATCATTTTCACTGGTAGACTAAGTAAAGCAGATCACCCTGCCTTTGGTAGTGGGCTGCATCCCATCAGCTGAAGAGTGAATTTGAACATTCCTAACACAAATAAATGATAAATGTTTGAGGTGATGGACATGTTCGTTAACCTTATTTGATCATTACACATCATATACATGTATCCAAATATCACAAAGCACCTCATAAATATGTATAATTATGTCAGTTAAAAATAATAGTAAAAGCCAAACAAGCATACATGGAAATCCATACAGACGACTCTAAGTAACCTAATTGATTCAGACTCTAAGTCAATTTTACATAAATTATTTTCCAGCATGCTTGACATTTAAAAGACATTCAATATCAGGTGTGGTGGCATGCGTCTGTAGTCCCAGCTACTCAGGAGGCTGAGGCAGGAGAATCACTTGAATCCAGCAGGCGGAGGTTGCAGTGAGCTGAGACCCGTCACTGCACTTCAGCCTGGCAACAGAACAAGGCTCCATTTCAAAAAACAAATAAAACAAAAAGGCATTCAATAAATGCCAAACTATACTATCTCTTTGATTTTCTCTTTTAAAATCTGTCACTACCTATTAAATATCGCCTCTTTGAAGACACAATAGTCTATGTGGTAGGTACAATTATCTTATTTTTCATAGAAAGAAATCAAGGCACCTAGGTAATGTCTGAGGCCATATTATAGGTCAAAGGCAGAATTGGAATTTAATGACCTACACCTCTGACTCCTTAGCTCCATGGGTCTTTCAGGATATTATTACCTCCAAATCTTTCAGGGAACCTTAGAGCTTTAGGTGGACACCAAGGAACATAGTAATATTTTTAGAATAAACATTCACCTTCTTAAAAAGTTTAAATTATGGCTAAATAGAAAGTGACTGTAAAAGTGTGATATTGTAGAAAAAAAGGTAGCAAAGGCTTTTGAATGTGTATGCTGAGAAAGTAAGAATAAACCTGATTTCTGAAAAGTTAAGACAAACATTGAGCAGACAAAAGGACAAGGAAGAGAGCGTTCAAAAAAAGTTTTGTTAATAAGTTGAGACTCGATGATGGAACTTTGAAACACTTTTTTGAATTGCCTCCTATCCACAGTCCTCTGAGTTTCTTGTTTCCTTCTCTCTACACGTTCTCATATTTCACTGTTTTTTCCTCCTCTGTCAAATATTTATTTCTTTTTTATTCTTCTGTGTTTAGACTTAGACTTCCTTCTATTTTTACTCTACATAGTATTTTTCATATGTGATATAATCTAGTTCTATAATTACATTTTGATATGTAGATAAAATATTCAAGGAAAAAACACTGTGACTAAAATGTTCAGCCTGGGATAATAAGACAATGCAAGCAATTTAATATAGTTTCAAACAAAACTGAATTCCCTTTCATTTTGCATATATATGACATATCTTTCTGTTAAAAAGTTTTGTACATTGTAGCTCTTTCTACATCATTTTCTTCACAATTTTATAAAATGCATCTTTTTTTTGTTTGTTTTTTGAGATGGAGTCTCGCACTGTCGCCCGGGCTGGAATGCAATGAGCAATGGTGCAATCTCGGCTCACTGCAACCTCTGCCTCCTGGGTTCACCCAATTTTCCTGCCTCAGCCACCAGAGTAGCTGGGATTACAGGTGCACACCACCACACTTTGCTAATTTTTTTGTATTTTTAGTAGAGACGGGGTTTCACTATGTTGACCAGACTGGTCTCGAACTCCTGACCTTGTGATCCGCCCTCCTCGACCTCCCAAAGTGATGGGATGACAGGCATGGGCCCCTGTGCCCAGCCACATCTCTTTTCATTTGTACCAATCCCTATCCTCTCTCCCTTGTATTTTGTACATACCTTGCACTTCTTTCAGTAATCCTACCCATATGCTTCACAACCTTCTTGATGTATTCTTTTATTTCCATTCTCGTATTTTCCATCCCAGCCAAAATGCATAACTAGTTGGACAAAGTAGATCACTTTTGTATATGTATGGATGAGGAAGATTTTGCAGTGGGAAAGACATAAAACAACTTAGATTATAGGGAGGAACAAGACTGAGAAAAACAAAAAACAAACAAACAAAAAAAACTTCCAAAATTCTCTGGCCTAAAATTCTCTTTTTCTCTTTTCAGTTTTCTTTTAAAATTTTCTTATGGAAAACTGTGTATCCAACTGTTTCATTCATTTAGCTACTGTGATGGTTAATTTCATGTGTCAATTTGACTGAGCAGTTAGGTACTGGGATATTTCTGCAAACCTTATTTTAAATGTTTCTGTGAGACTTTAACATTTACACTGATAGACAATGTAAAGCAGATTACCCTCCCTATGGGAATGGGCCTTATCCCGTCAGCTGAAGGCCGGTATGAAGTAAGACTGACCCTGCCCTGAATAAGAGAACATTCCTCCTGTCTGAACTGAGACCCTGACTTTTCTTGCCTTGAGACTCAAACTGAAACACTGATTCTTCCCCAGTCTCAAGCCTGCCAGCCCTGGGTTTGAAATTACACAATCAGCAGTCCTGGATCTCCAGCTTGCTGATTATAGATCTTAGGACTTAGCAGCCTCCATAATTGTGTAAGCCAATTCCTCATAATAAATCTCTTGATTTTTGTATATACTTCACTTGATTCTGTTTTTCTGGAGAACCCGGACTAACACAGCTACAGATAACTTCAAATGTAATTTGCCTAAAGATTAACTAATTATCCTTTCTTCAGACTTGCCAATATTTATAGATCAGTAGATGGTATCATGATTCATTCAGTTGTTCATGATATCACCTCCTTCAACACTTCCCTTTCCACCACCTACCCCAATTAGTCTAGATATTCCTCTGATCATCCCTCTTTCAAATTACTTACATGTTTCATCTGATTTATTGTATACACTTTTTAAACTGATTACCTGAATCCATTTTTGCCCCCCTCCAACCAGGCTCCACACAGCAGAGAAGTTCCTTACAAAAGAAAACTGACAATTTTACTCTCTTGCTTAAATTCCTTCAATTGTGTTTCACTATTTTGGAATGAATTTGGAAGCCCTTATTACCTACAAAGTCTTGCATAATCTATCATCTCCCTGCCACACTAGTCTCACTTCATGACATTCTGTCATTCCTGCTTTATTTTCCAGCCACATGCATCTTGTCATCTTCTGCCTCTTCACCTTTATGCATGCTCTTTACATAAACAAAGCTATTATTTTTTAAAGATTGTTTATGACCTGAGTAAAGATAAAGAAATAAAAACGTTTGAGGCTACTGCCTAAAATTATCTTTTTCTCTTGTGTTTTTACTTCTTAATTCAATCATCTTTTTCTGAGGTCCCAGTTTAAAAAGTATCTTCCTGAGGAAGCCTCCAAGGATGCTCAGATGGTTTGTTTCCTTCTTATGTATTTCCACAGCAGCTTGCCATTTTCTTTCTCAGCATTTTGTTTAGGGATGATGATTGAGGAGCAATTCTCCAGAGTTTCTATACATCTTCATAACAACTTTATCGTAGACTATCTTTTCAGGATGTGTGCAAAGCAAACAGCCTTGGAAGATGAATAGGCTCTTCCACTGAAAGAGAGGGCAGACAGTTTTTCTTACCAATGTAATTTAGATAATATCCCTCTCCTTGCTAAGGTGGGACAGGTTGCCAGATACCCCTTATATAAAATTGTGGCCTCTTCAACATAATGAACCTAGAAAACATTATGTTAAGAGAAACAAGCTAGTCATAAAAAGACGTGTATTTTATGATTTTTACTTACATGAAATGCCAAATACTGTAAAATCTGTAGAGACAAAAAGTAGATTGGTGGTTGCCTAGGGTTGTGGGAAGAGAGTTGGTTAATGGGGAGTACTTACTGAAGGGTATAAGGTTTATGTAGAGGGTGATAAAAATGTTCTAAAATTGATTGTGATGGTGATTACATAAAGCTGTAACATATAAAAAAAACTAACTGTTCACTTTAAATAGATCAATTGTTTGAAACATAAATTATATTTTAAATAGAGCTGTTTTTTAAAAAAATGTGTTTATGATTTGAATAAAGATAAATAAATAAAAATGTCCTGGACTTCATAATCTCCAGGTTCCTCAGGTATACAGCAAACCCACTGTTTGTGTAGCATCTAATTGGGACCATATTTGCATAAACCCTATGAGATGTGGGTGTGATTGAGTAGGGAGAACTGCTGTGAACAGGATGCTCATGTTGCCTGCTGTGCTGTAAATAATAGTAATTTTTCCTTTACCCAGAAGTCTCACACCTTCTACCAGGATTCAGGAAACTCTGACAGGGGAAATTACTAGGTCAAAAGTACAGTAAAATCTCAGACCCTTCATGGTTTCTGACAGCCATCGTGTACTTAATTTTTGTGTGTATTCTTTAATATCTCTTTTCTGTGGCATAAACTTCTCTGTCCTTTTTCTCACACAGTGTGTAACAAAGAGCAGGCAATTAATAAACATTTATTGACTGACTGAATAACAACAATGTTGAAGTAAGGAAGAAAAGTCGGGAAAAAGCTGATAGGTAGGTGTGCCAAATGACTCAGAAAGTAATCTAATTTTTCTTTATTGAAAGCATTATTAAATATTAATGCCCTTTCTTCAGTTGGGTGCGGTGGTTTACACCTGTAATTCCAACACCTTGGGAGGGTGAGACAAGTAGACTGCTTGACCCCAGGAGTTCAAGACCAGCCTGGGCAACATGACGAAACCCCATACCAAAAAAAAAAGAAAATACAAAAATGAGTTGATGTGGTGCTGTGCACCTGTGGTCCTAGCTGTTTGGGAGGCTGAGGCAGGAGGATTGCTTGAGCACAAGACATGGAGGTTGCAGTGACCATTGATGACACCACTGCACTCCAGCCTGGGCAACAGAGTGAGATCCTGCCTCAAAACAAACAAACAAACAAACAAAAAACCCGCTTTAGATCTCTAACAGACATGTCAAATACTTTAATTTTTTTTTTGAGATGGAGTCTTACTATGTCACCTCGGCCGGAGTGCAGTGGTGTGATCTCAGCTCACTGCAACCTCCACTTCCTTGATTCAAGCAATTCCCCTTCCTCAGCCTCCTAAGTAGCCAGGACCACAGGTGTATGCCACTACACCCAGCCAATTTTTTTTTTTTTTTGTATTTTTAGTAGAGACCGGGTTTCACTGTGCCAGCCAGACTGGTCTTGAACTACTGACCCCAGACAATCTGCCTGCCTCGGCCTCCTAAAGTGCTGGGACCACAGACGTGAGCCACCATGCCTGGCCATACTTTAATATTTTAAAAAATCTGGTTCGCATAATGATCCAGAAACTCCCCATTAGTGCCATATTATTTAATAGACCCAAACAATTTTTTTGCATATAAAATACGTGTCATCCTTTTACATTATTCCCTTGTCTCACTTTTGTCCCTAGGGAGCAGTATAATCACTATAGTTTGTAAATTGTAAAGTTGAAGTACCATGGCATTTCACCTATGGAGAAAAATCTTTATGAAAAAGGTGACAGAATTGAGCTGGGCTTTCTAGCAGCCATAGAATTTTGATTCAAGATAGGAGGTAGGAGGTTAAAAGGTAGGAAGTTGGCAGTCATAGAGAGCAGATAATTAAGGTCAATTTAGCCCGGTTTGGCTACAGCTCAGAACAACTTTAACAAAAAAAAGAATGAGATTGTGACAGAAAGTTATATTCAACTCTTATTTATGTTGGCTTTCAATGAAAGTTTTGGTGTTTGGTTGAGTCTATACTTTCCTTACTGCTCACATATACTAATAATTTGTACATGGAAAGGCAAAAGAAAAACAATTTCAAAGTGAAAAATATAGCTGAATGATAGAAAGGAAGTTTCTCTGATAAAGTCAGACTCTCTTAAGTTCGTTTTGAAGGCACATTTTTTTTTCCCACTCTGCTGCTTTGCTATTTCCAGTGACATTAGGGGACCATTAAGAAAAATACTCCATAAGATAAGCTTATCTTCTTGCTCACTACCAAATTCAAACACAGAGTATGCCTGTGAACAACTGCTAATGATTTTTTCTTTTGCTTTGCCTCTTGTACTAAAACTCTGTGAAAGACACAGACCCACTGTCAATCAGAGGGTACAGAATTTAGAGTTACTTTGTGATACAGGCTTGAAAAGTATGGTTTCTATGCAAACTTAAAGTGATAGTTATCCATATACTAGCAATTATCAGTGGAAATTTCAAGATTGCCATTGTAGTTTTATAATGAGAAGGAAGATGACAGTGTGTGATCCCATCAAAAAATTGAAAAGGAGAGAAAACCATCACCTGATTATTTTGAGATGGAAATTAATGGTGGTGGTGACTACAAAAAATGATCTAAGAGAACAATGTGTATCATGTTCTTGATACTTAAAGTTATTTTAACAGATTTAGAAGATGATATTACTCTAATGCATGCAATGATTAATAGTATAATTTGTAAAGTACTACCATTCTATTCTAAATTCAAATCCATTTTATCATTGAAAATGTTATAATGAATAAGAAATCATTTAATTTAAAAATCAGCTGCTTAAATCTAAACCCCTATGGAAGCAATAATAATAATTTATATTTATCTAGTTATTATTTTTAAGTTTTCTCAAGTTTCAGATCCTTTGCCTTATGCTTTTCATATAATATTGCTAAAGTAGTCACTTAGCTTGGATACCTTTCACTTCATTTATATGTAAGAGAAGAAAAATATCATCTTTAATTGCAGGAAATTAACAATATTTCTAAAGAGTTTTATTTTTTATTGCATTTATTTTGTCAAGTCTGTCTGTATATATCCTACTCCAAATGTTGTAACTCTTGAGCCAGGTACTATTTGTTTCTTAAACTATTATTTCCATAAATAGTACATAACACATAAGCAAAGTCCACGTTGCTCTTGCTTTGAAGTTGACCTTGGCATAGAATTAAATTTATAAATATCCCAGTTCAATAATGTAATTGCAAAACCATTTAGCTTTAGCAAAGACTCTCAGAAACACAAAAAGGGGATGCCATTTACATGATAAACAAAATATTTTTAAGCCCATTTTTGTCAATATCTCTCTTCTTCCACCATTCCTCCTACATCTGTGTATTTCATACCTATGTATTACAGAGACTGCCTTAAATCTCTCAGTTCTCTATTTCAGAACTTTCTCAAACTCTCTAAATTTACATTACCTTTTTTCATTTTCTACACCAACCACCTACCTTCTATTCATTGCCCCCAATCTGCACCTTCCAGGATACAGGATTTTCTATTATACCTTTCTTATACAGTGCCTGAACTTTCTTTCCTATGTAAATTAGTTTTGACTTACTCACTTTCCTGTGTCTCTACTTCATTCATTACTCTGATCAAAATGAGCTGAGGGAGAGAGTAAGTCTGTGAATAAACCAGACATTAATTATCACCTCCCCTGATATGTAGGTAGTAGCAAGTGGTAATACAATATTTTGTTTGGTTACTATTACTGTTGGTACTATAATTGTTTTAATTTGACAAAAGTACCTCCCATAATAAATAGCAAAAACTAGGATATTCTGAAAATAGGAATGTATTTTATACATTTGTTAAATCCCAAGTATCATACAATTAGCATGGCGTATGTGCTAAATTAACTGTAAAGTGTTTTTAAATAGTTTTTATGCAACCAAATGTTTAAAAATAATAAAAGAAGAGGAAATAAAACCATGTGGTAATTTAGACTTTGAACATGGGAACTTCCATTACCTGGAAAGGAAAGAAGGTAGTTAAACATTAGATCCTTACCATCTGTGTTTCACATGTCTTTTAATGTAAATTAATGGTCATGTTATCCTCTTAAACCATTTCTAAGTTTTTATTTGAGAGTCCACCATAGGTTTCTGGACTATAAATTTTGAAAGGTGTTCATTCATTCATTTATGAATCTAATAATATTCACTGGGTACTCACCATTTGTCAGGCACAGTAATGAATATAATTTACACAGTGGTCAACAGATACAGATGAAGATTCTACTTTCAAAAAGCTTTATTATACAGGAAAAAACATGAAAACATTTTCCAGACTGGCAAATCACTTGCAAATGACAAGGATACTATGGTCCCTATGAAAATTAACCCCTCTGAAATGGAGAGCTGACAGGGAGTAGTGCCACAAAAAGGAAAAATATGTCATCAATAGTGAAAATATTTAACACTTATTGAGAAATTACAATACACCTTGGTATAATTGAGGAAGTAGCAAACATTGCTCTGGAGTATTTAAATTTATTAAATTATTTAATCTTCAAAACTCAATGAAATGTTTACTGTTATAAACCCAAATTTGCAAAGGAGGATACCACAACCTAAATAACTTGCAATCTATTTAATTGTAATAACTTTTAATAACAATACTTTATTGTTTGAATTCAAACCCAGACAGTCTGCATTGGAAACTTCCCTTTCCCATCCCCTAAAAAAACAGGTCTCAGCATAATATTAAAATAAAGTAGAACTAATGTGATATGTTTGTATTTTGCAATATAGGCTATTACTAATAAAATTTATGAAAGCAAAATGGCAAAAAACAATTTGTTTGCAAGAAATAGAGGAATTGGGGCAAAATATAGGCTACATTTTCTAAAACTTCAGTAGCAAAAGGGAGAAGGGAAATATAAAAGTCATTATCTTAAACAGAATAATACACCATGAGTGACATGTTGTCTTGTTTCAGTGGAAAAATTATTTAATATAGGAAGATCCTCCTCTTTATTTGAGCTAAAATTACCCCCAAAAAAAGAGAGAATAGAAAGAGAAGGAGAGGAAACACTACAATTACTGCTAAAACACAAAAATAGTCATTCAATAAACAAACCTATAACTGCTCTTAAAAAAAAAAAAAAGTCTTTAAAAAAAAAGACTAGGCCAGGTGTTGTGGCTCATGCCTGTAATCCCAGCACTTTGGGAGGCCGAAGCAGGTAGATCACAAGGTCAAGAGAAAGAGACCATCCTGGCCAACATGATGAAACCCCATCTCTACTGAAAATACAAAAATTAGCTGGGCATGGTGGCACATGCCTAGTATTCGGGAGGCTGAGGCAGGAGAATCGCTTGAACCTGGGAGGTGGAGGTTGCAGTGAGCTGAGATCGCTCCACTGCACTCCAGCCTGGCGCCAGAGCGAGGCTCTGTCAAAAAAAAAAAAAAAAAAGACTACATTAAATATATTAAGTTGAGCCAAATGAAATTGATATTCAACTCTTCCTGTCCTTCAAGAATGGCACTTTTGTACGGTTTAGCCTAACAGAAAAAATTGTAGATTAAGAAGAGATACTAGTTCCCAGAAAAAATGATATACTTTATACTTAGGAAGAAATAAGAAAATAATCTATGAAAGAAAGAAGAAAGAATAAGTTTATTTTAAAACATAGTACCAATTTATTTATTTATATTAATTTATTTGCAATTGACAAATATTTGTATATCTTTATGGGGTATAATTTATTTATATTAATTTATTTGCAATTGACAAATATTTGTATATCTTTATGAGGTACAATGTGTTGTTTAGATCTACAAATACATCGTAGAAAGATTCAATCAAACTAACTGTAAAAAGAATGCCTATGAAGAATGAGATAAGGAATTTTCTAGGCATGAATAAATAAATTGGGACAGGAAATTGAAAAAAACTAAATGTGAATTACAGTAAATTTTAATACAGCCAATATCAGAGTTTTATGAAGTTTTCTATAGGGGCTCAAGATTCTAGTAGCAGGTGACAAGATAATAGATAATATGACCTTTTGGTCAAAGACCTATAAGCCTATTAGCTAAGTTATAGTGATGCTGAATTTCTAATTACACATATAATACTTTTTAAGCTACCATTTTTTGATAGCTATGTAGGAGGTTTTATATATGCCCTTTGCAGATAATCTAATGAGTATTGTCACTCCCAGTCTTGCCTCCCCCTTATCCAATTTCTATACTGCAGCCACAGTCATATTTTTATAATATAAATCAGATCAAGAGACTTTCCTGATTAAAACTCACTCTCCTCTCTCCCTTTCTCTTATGTCTTTTTCCTTGTCCTTCTTAAACCCAATGTAGGCAGATTGAACATTTATTCACATTTTCAAAAACTCCAAGCCCCTGACTAACTCAGGTGCTTAATACATGCTTATTTTCCTAGGACCCCACTCTTCTTTTCACTACTGGGAAACTGGCTTTATCCTGGACCTTCAGTTTCAGCTTAAATATCCTTGCTTCATAGAGAAAATATTTAAACACATGGTCAAAGAAGATTGTTTCTATTCCTGATGTTCATTGGACCCCAGTCGTATCCTTACAGAACTTCTCATTTATAGTTACATTCACTCCTCAGCATCATTGGATTAGTTCCAAGACATCCCACAAATACCCAAATCTGCTTATTTTGAAGTCCTTTATATGAAATGGTGTAATATCTGCCTATAAGCTATGCATATCTTCCCATATACTTTAAATCAACTCTAGATTACTTACAATAGCCTCCCTACCTGCCAGCCCTTCCAGAGGCCCCTGCCTGGCTGCTCCTGCAGGAGCATGTGCACAGCACAGCCTCTGCTGCCCAGCCTGGAAGTTTTACCAGTGGCCCCACCTGAGTGTTTTCCCAGAGGCCTGGAAGCACTTTGGATCCCCCAGCACAACCAGTGCCCAACTTCAGGGTGGCAGAATACAGAGCCATGGGCTCAGTCCCAGTGCCTCAAGATTGCAGCACACAGCTTGGGAGTGTCAAGCTGCGATCTGTGGCTGGTGCTTGAGCGGACAGGGGAGACCTCAGTCTCAGAACACTGAAAAGGGATGAAAGATGTGTGGTTTGTGGGCTGGCAGAGTAGCAGAACATGCCTCCCCTCACAGGGCTGGTCTGGGAAGGATGTAGCTAGCTTTTCTGCCAACTGCAGGTTTTGCCCAAGGGAGCCCCGTAGCCCAGAACATCTAACAAAAGAAACACATGTAAAGCACCAGTAATCACAAGAGGCTTCCTTAAGGCCCAGGAGTGGACCTGGAGAGGAGAGGGGGTCATGTCTCTCCACAACCCACCACCCCCGGCCAGCCACAGAGAGTGCTGCAAACGCACTGAAATACAGAAAAGACACGTGGCTAAGTAAGCCTATCTGCTGGCCATTACTCTTCAGTGCCACCTACTGGATGGCAGCCTAAATCTCACAACCCAAAGACTATTCCCAAAATATACATTGCCTGTGAAATCTAGGGCTACAATCTCACAACAAATACACGTTCCATACAGAGCCTTGGCCCTCTGAAAGCACCCAGAAATGAAGCCAGCTGAGTACACTCAACCTATATTACAGTTAAACCCTCAAGAGAAATAAATAATATAAAACCAAAAGCCCCATCCAAATGACAGCTAATCAAAAAGAGGAACACTAGCCCTCTTGATGAGAAAGAATCAGTGAAAGAACTCTGAAAATTCAAAAAGCGAGAGTATTCCCTTACCTCCAAAAGAGTGAAACAGCCCTCCAGCAGTGGTTCTTAACCATATTAAAATGACTGAAATGATAAACATAGAATTCAGGATCTGGATAGCGAGGAAGCTCACCAAGATTCAGAAGAAAGTTGAAACCCAATCCAAGGAATTCAATAAAATGCTCCAGGAAAAGAATCCAATAAAACACTACAGGAATTGAAAGATGAAATAGCCTTTTTTAAGAAAGAACTAAACTGAGTATCAGAATTTAAAAGTTAACTGCAAGAATTCCTTAATACTGTTGGGAGCATGAATAGCAGAGTAAACCAAGTTGAGGAAAGAATCTCCAAGCTTAATGACCAGGTCTCCAAAGCAAGTGAGACAAAAAATAAATAAATGAATAATTTTTAAAAATGAGCAAAACCTCTAAGAAATATGGAATTATTTAAAGAGACCAAACCTATGACTCAATGGCATTCATGAGAGAGAAAGAGAACAAGCAAGTTGTAAAATATGTTTGCAGATAGAGTCCTTGAAAATCTCCCCAGTCTTGCTAGGGAGATTGACATGCAAATTTTAGGAATACAGAGAACCCCTGCAGGATACTGTAAAAGATGAACATTCCCAAGGCATGGAATCATCAGGTTCACCAAGGTCAACAAGAAAGAAAAAATCTTAAAAGCAGCTTGACAGAAGGGTCGGGCCCCTTTTATAAAGTGAACCCCATCAACTTAGCAGTGAACTTCTAAGCAAAAACCTGAGAAGTTGGAAGAGACTGGGGCCCTACTTTCAGCATCATTAAAGAAAAGAAATCACAACCAAGAATTTCATATCCTGCCAAACTAAACTTCATAAGCAAAGGAGACATAGGATCCTTTTCTCACAAACAAATGCTAAGGGAATTTGTTACCACTAGACTAACCTCACAAGACGTACTTAAGGGAGTGGTAAACATGAAAATGAAAGCACAATATCAACTGCCACCAAAACACAGTTAAGCACTCAGCACACAGACACTCAAAGTAAATACTCAATCAAGTCATCAGATCTACAAACAACCAGCTAACAACATGATAACAAGTCAGAATCTCATATATCAATACTAACTTTGAATGTAAACAATCTAAATGTTCTGCTTAAAGGCATAAAGTAGCAAATTGTATAAAGAGACAGGACCCAACTGTGTACTGCTTTAAAGAGACCTATCTCATATGTAATGGCACCCACAGACTCAAATTAAAGGAATGGAAAGAAATCAATCATACAAACTGAAGACCAAAAACAGCAAGGGTAACTACTCTTACATCAGATAAAACAGACTTCAAACCAATAACAATTGAGGACAAGGAATTAGCATTACATTACATAATAATACAGAGTTCAATTCAACAAGAAGACTTAGCTATCATAAATATATATGTACTAAACACTGGAGCACCCAGATTTATAAAACAAGTTATTTTTGAGCTACAAGAAGACTTAGATAGCTACACAATAATAGTGGGAGACTTCAACACATTACTGAAATCATTAAACAGGTCTTTGAGACAGAAATCTCACAAAGAAATTCTGGACCTAAACTCAACACTTGACCAAATAGATCCAATAGACACCTACAGAATACTCCACTCAACAACCACAGAATATACATTCTTCTCATCTATACACAGATTGTGCTGTATGACTAACCACATGCTCTGCCATAAAGCAAGTCTCAATTAATTCGAAAAAACAGAAATCATACTAAAGACACTAGTGGATTAAGGTGCAATAAAAATAGAAATTAATACCAAAACCATCTCACAAATCCAAACAATTACATGAAAATTAAATATTTGGCCCCTGAATGACTCTTGGGTGAACAGTGAAGTTAAGGCTGAAATCAAAATATTCCTTGAAATTAGTGAAAATACAGACACAACATACCAAAATGTTTGAGATGCAGCTAAACCAATGTAAAGAGAAAAGCTTATATGCAAAATGCCTACATCAAGAAGTTAGAAAAATCTCAAATGAACAGTCTAACATCACACTTACAGGAAGTAATGAAAAAGAGAACAAATCAATTTCAAAGCTAGTGGAAGAAAAGAAATAACTAAAATCAGAGAAGAACTGAACAAAATTGAGACATAACAATCCATGCAGAAAATCAATGAAACCAAAAGTTAACTTTTGGAAAGAATTAAAAAAATGATAAACTGCTTACTAGATTAACAAAGAACAAAAAAATAAAAAGAGAGAATTTACAAGTAAGCACAATCAGAAATGACAAAGATAGACATTACAAGTGATCCCACAGAAATACAAAAGATCCTCAGAGACTATTATGAATACCACTATACACACAAACCAGAATACCTACAGGAAATGGGTAAATTCCTGGAAACACACAACCTTCTAAGACTGAAATAGGAAAAAAAAAACGAAAACCTGAACAGACCAGTCATGAGTTCCGAAACTTAATCAATAATAAAAAAAACCTACCAACCAAAAAAAAGCCCTGGCCCAGGTAGATTCATAACTAAATGATATCAGAACAGAAAATAAAGCATTGTTACAAATCCTACTGAAACTATTCCAAAAAATTGAGGAAGAGCGTTTCTCCTCTATTTCATTCTATGAAGCCAGCATCACCCTGATATCAAAACCTGACAAAGATACAACAACAACAGTAACAACAAAATCATAGACCAATTACGCTGATGAACATAGATGCAAAAATCCTCAACATAATACTAGCAAATTGAATCCAGCAGCACATCAAAAAGTTAATTCACCACAGTCGAGTAGGCTTCATTCCTGAGATTTAAGTTTGATTCAACAAAACAATAAATTTGATTCACCACACAGAATTAAAAACAAAAATTACATGATAATCTGAAGATACTAAAATAGCTTTTGATAAAATTCAATATTCTTTCACAATAAAATCCCTCAACAAGCTAGCCATCAAAGGAATATTCCTCAAAATAATAGGAGCCATCTGTGACAAACCCAGAGCCAACATCATATTAAACCGGCAAAAGTTAGAAGCATTTTCCTTGAGAACTGGAAGAGGATAAGGATGTCCACTGTCACCACTCTTATTTAACCTAGCAGTAGGAAGTCCTAGCCAGAGCAATCAAGCAAGAGAAAAAAATAAAAAGCTTCCAAATAGGAAAGGAATTCCTCAAAGTATATCTCTTTGCTGATGATATGATTCTATACATAGAAAACTCTTAAGACTCTGCCGAAAGGCTCCTGGAACTGATAAACTTCAGTAGAGTTTCAGTATACAAAATTAATGTACAACAATCAGTAGCATTTCTAGACACCAATACTGTTTTAGCCAAGAACCAAATCAAGAACACAATCTCATTTACAATAGCGACCAAAAAATAAAACACCTAGGAAAACATCTTCTTTCTTGTAGAAAGATCTCGATAAAAACAAAACAAAACAAAACAAAACCTACAAAAACACTGCTGAAACAAATCAGAGATGACAAAAATAAATGGAAAAATCATACTGCCAAAGCAATTTACAGATTCAATGCTATTCCTATCAAACTATCAATGACATTCTTCACAGATTTAGGAAAAAGACTCTTCTAAAATGCATATGGAACCAAAAAAAAAAAAAAAAATCCCGAATAGCCAAAGCAATCCTAAGCAAAAAGAACAAAGCCAGAGGCATCACATTACCCAACTTCAAGCTATACTACAAGGCTACAGGAACCAAAACATCATGATACTAGTATAAAAACAGATACACAGACCAATTGAACAGGCTAGAGAACCCAGAAATAAAGCCACACACCTACAACTATCCCATATTTGACAAGTTCAACAAAAATAAGCAATGGGGAAGACTCCCTATTCAATAAATAGTGCTAGGGTAACTGGCTATACATATGGAGAAGAATAAAACTGGACCCCTACCTTTCACCATATACAAAAAAATTAACTCAAGTAGGATTAAAGATTTAAATTTAAGACCTCAAACTGTAAAAATCCTACAAATAAAACCTATGAAATACCCTTATCAATTTTGACCTTGAAAGAATTTATGGCTACATCCTCAAAAGCAACTGAAACAAAAACAAATATTGACAAGTGGGACCGACTTAACTAAAAGCTTCTGTACAGTAATAGATACTATCAATGGAGTAAACAGACAATCTGCAGAATGGGAGGAAATATTCACAAATGATGCATCCAACAAAGGTCTAATATCCAAAATCTATAAGGCATTTTAATCAACAAGCAAAAAGCAAATAACCCCATTAAAAAGTGGGCAAAGGACATGAACTGGCACTTCTCAAAAGAAGACTTACAAGCAGCCCGTGAACATGAAAAAAATACTTATCATCCCTAAGCTTCAGAGAAATGCAAATAAAAACCACAATGAGATAGGATCTTATACCAGTCATAATGGCTTTCATTAAAGGAGAAAAGAGGGCTCTTACACACTGTTGGTGGAAACGTAAATTAATCCAGCCACTGTGGGGCAGAGTTTGAAGATTTTTAAAATAACTGAGAGGTGAGCTACCATTTGACCCAACAATCCCCTTACAGGGGAAGAAAAATAAATCATTTTACCAAAAGGACACATGCAACCATATGTTCATAGCAACACTATTCACAATAGCAAAATATTGAATTAATCCAGGTGCCCATCAAAGGTGAATTGGATAAAGAATATTTGTTACATGTATACTGCGGAATACTATGAAGTTATTAAGAAGATCAAAATCGGCCAGGTGCAGTGGCTCATGCCTGTAATCCCAGCACTTTGGGAGGCCGAGGCAGGTGGATCACCTTAGGTCAGGGGTTCAAGACCAGTCTGGCCAAAATGCTGAAAACCCATCTCTACTAAAAATACAAAAATCAGCCACATGTGGTTGCGGGCACCTGTAGTCCCAGGCTGGGCACAGTGGTGCAAGCCTGTAGTCCCAGCTACTTGGGAGGCTTGAACTCAGGAGGCAGAGGTTGCAGTGAACCGAGATCACGCCATTGCACTCCAGCCTGGGAGACAGAGGGAGACTCCGTCTCAAAAAAAAAAAAAAAAAAAAAAAAAAGAAGAAGATCAAAATCACATCCACTGCATCAACATAGATACAGCTGGAGGTTACTATCCTAAGCAAATTAATGCAGAACAGAACATCAAATAGTGCAGGTTTTCAGTTATAAGGGTAGCTAAATATTGGGTACTTTTGCACATAAAGATGGGTACAACAGATACTGGGGACTACTAGAAGGGGAAGGGAGAGAGGAGGGCAAGAGCTAAAAAAACCTACTTATTGGATCCTGTGCTCACTGTCTGTGTGACAGGTTCCCAAACCACAGCATCATGCAATATACTTTTGTAACAAGCCTCCACATGTGACCCCTGATTTTATAATAAAACCTGAAAAAAATACTGGGCCATTGTAAGATAGCCTAGGTAATGCCAAGCTGCTTGGCCTTCCTAGTAGATGGTGAATTAGTTTTACAAGTTGACATCTCTAGATTTACATATTAATTATTCAGATTTCAACTGGTAATAAATACACATTTTAAACAAAATAAAATTTTACACTCACGTCTTCAGCTTTATTTTTATCTTTTTTTTTTTAATTTAAAAATAGACACATTCAACCTGAAGAATCTGCCACGCTGAAATGATCTCAGGCTTTGAGATTTCCTAAGCTATCCTTTGAGACTTACATACGCTGAACATCAGGTAGCTAATGAGCTTTGGGCAACGTAGGCAATAATTCCTTTTCCCTTAATAACTACACCACATAGTATAGGAATTTAAATAATATGACATCACCTTCTGCTTGTGGATGTCACTGATAACGTGTCAACACAAAGAAATGAGTAAAAAATACTTTGTTCTTTTTAAATAGCAATCTACTCCATAGTAGTTTTATTGAACAGTAAGGAAATCTTACATCATTGTTTTCAGAAGGAAAGGATGACATCGGAATAGGGCAGCCAGTAGAGAATTTGTCCAAATCACTAGGGCCTCCTCCTGACCTTCACCAGGAAGGATGCTTAATTTTACAACTGTTCATTTGTGCTGTCACTATGCAAAAAAAAACACCAATTGAGGGTAAAGTGATGAGCTGGTTCGGTAAGTCTTAGAAAAGAGCAGATTTATCCAATGCCTTAGCGTGTACTAAAATAAATGTATGTATTTTTTCAATTTGAAAAACAATATACAAACTATGTAAAAGGAGTCAAAATAAAGTGTCAAAGAGTTACAGACTCCCTATTTGTCCTGGAATATATTTTTCTCTACCTGTTTTACTGAAAATTTTAGTTTCTCTTTTTACATATGTTCTTATCTCAATTCAGATGAGGTCTATTGGTTAGGAATTATGATAAATTCCTTTTATCATAAAAGGAAGATCTATTTTGGCTCTTTTGAAGCTACCAATCATGGGAGCACAGCAAGTATTCAAGGATAAAGTTGACTGACCACAAACTCCAAATATTGCTCTGAGCTCAGTTTCTAAACTATTTTTCTTTTGTTCTTTGTCCCAACTTGCAAAATACCTCATTTTCACTACCATTTATTGGAACTCATCTATTGGCCTGATCATTGAATGAAATGTTTCTTCCTGAACCATCGATATTTTAACTCTTGTTTCTAATTATACAGAGTTACTAGAGGGTGAAAGTGACTCTTTGGGAAGTTTTCTTCCCTCTAAACTGAATTGATGCCAATTCCAGGGGGTTTTGCTCTACCTTCTGCTCCTACCATAGGTTTTGTACCCCTGTTATATGTTAATTTATACTTTTCTGCCATTGTCCTAACTTTATATAACTAAACCTTTAATTATTAGCACCAAATATTACTGAAATATGACACCAATAAATGATATTAAACTCCCTGCAATAAAACAAACAGAACTTTATATTTGAGTAGCACCTTTTAGTCATTTTGCTAACATGGGCTGAGTACAAAATTATCAAATAGTGCACACTAAATCCCCATATCTTAGAAAGAATGGCTACTACACACATATTGTTTGGTCAGCTACCAAAAATTAAAAAAGCATAGTAATTTATCAATTGTCTTTAGAAACATACATAACAAGCTCAGAATTCTGGGTTCCTTGTAAGAGAGAACAATATTGGCATTCTGTAACTGAAATAAAGCTAATGATCCATTACGGGATTGAATGTTTTCATCTGAAAATTACCATTCAAATTTATTTTCTTTCCATCTCAGTACAATGCTCATCTCAGTGGTAGGAAACAAAGAAAACAAGTAGCACTGGGGACTTGGAAAAAAAATCACTTGAATATATCTAATTTACATTGGTAATCATATCCTGGAAGGTCCGATCCTCCCATTTTAACTCTTTCCTTTTATACTTTTATTTTAATGATCTTAAAAATATGTGGTCTGCGTTTATTTTTCAAAATCTATATCTTGTTTAGCATTCAGAGGGGATTAAAACAATTTAAAGAGAATCAGTCCGTATTTACATGGACACGGCCTACTAATTTTTGAGTCTCTTTTGTATGAAATTAGCCACATATTGTTCTTTTATTACAGTTGATTCAATTGACTTTTAAAAAACATAGATTTGAACTGCACAGTTCCATTTATAGGTGTACACAAGTGAAAATATAGTATTTGTGGAATGCGAAACAGGTGTATAAAGAGAACCAATTTTTCCCATTAGTGGGTTCCACAAGAACCTGAGCATACATGTATTTTGATATCTGAGGGTTTCCTAGAACCAATCCCCTGCCAATACCAAGGGACGACTACATATATTTCACTAAAGAAAATTTCTGATCTAAAAATAAGCCTCAATCAATGTATTCCTTTAATTCTTGATTTTAGATTCTACACTCATGGAAGCATAAATATGTATCTTAAATATATAATTTACTGCAGTTTTAAAAATTATTTCCAATAATTAACTAAATTATATTTTTAATGTGTCTTATAGTTTTGCCAAAAAGTTTAAAAGAAGAAAAAATTACTTCTAATTCACTTTAATTAAAATTTAAGAACTAATATAAATAAAAACACTGTGCTAGGAACTGAGAAGATAAACATTTAACTAATATTCTGCCTTCACAGTCAATCAAGCAAATTTCTACCTAATTATGTATATAACAGACATTTGATATGTGCTACATCAGTACATATTGCTATTGGAATATGAAAGAAAAATAGATTAGTTCTTATTTAAGGCATAAAGTATGGCTTATTGAAATGGTTTAAAAGTGATGATTTTGGAATCTTAAATCAACCTTCCGACAGGGGTAAAACTTATTTCATTTTGAAATATATTTTAAATATATCCATTGTACTTATGCCCTATAATGGCCATTTAACACTTTTGAATTAATTATTATTATTCTAACGGTTACATATAAATTTTCAAATGTCTACATTAGTTACTGTAAATTAATAATAAGACAAGAGAATAAGACTATTAATGGAACAATGAATTATAATTATAATAAAAAACAATTCAATATAGACAACTTGTTAGCAATTTATTTAAACTGAGCTCTACTTAAACTACCTTAAGAGCAATACATGTTTACTGTATTATAAACATACTTATTCATGCAGAACCGCAAATGTCAAAGGAAAAGGCTAATAGTTTCATAAGCAACCTTAACAGGAACAATATATAATAGATGCCATGAGGCCTGACAGTTCTAATCAAGTTTGTAGGTAACCTTCAAACTGCAAGGACAGATTTAAAAATTAGGATCTCGTGTTCTGCTGGCGATTATAAAATAATCAGCTCATAGTTTACAGAAGTATATGATTTAATACTTGCATCACCTTGAAAGCTGACAAATTATATCACACAAACTGTTTAATTAATAGTTTTGTGGACAATTTTAAAAGTAGAAAAAATGACTTTATTTTACTTTATTAAAATGTAAGAACTAATATAAGTAAAAATATTTATTTATCTTACCATATTAGAAATTGATATGTACTCATTTTATTATAAAAAACATACTTGTACACTTAGTCACCAATGTAAATTCACATTTTGACTACCATCTTCACAAGTTTTAACAACAAAAATAAACTACCTTTCAAAGGAAAAAAATAGTGTTGTATACTATAGACTAGCTACTGTAACGTTAATGGGGAAAGGTTCTGTAGGTTATCATTCAAGGGCCAATTTTCAAACCCTCTGAAGATCACAAAGTGCTCAGTTATAAATAGCATGACTTGAAAACAAATCATTGTCAAACCAAATGTATTTTCTACTATGACAGAATAATGGCCTTGATTCTTTCAATCTACAGTAAGTGTAATCGAGCTTGACCCCAGGAAGTCTTTTAACTCTGTCCCACATGGCATACTCATCTACAAGCCAGCAAAATATGGTTTAGGTCATGCTATTGTTGGCTTGATGTAAAAGTCATCAAAATGTGGTACTCAAAAAGAAGTTATTGATGGTTCACGGTTGACCGGGATGTATGGAATGGAATAAGGGAAGTAGTTGGTTTATGTCTGATCAAATGGTGTTATGCCAGATGGGATTTCTAAGTTTGAAATTATTTCTAATCTTATAAATGATTGGTAAATGACCTTAACTAACTTATCCTATTATATCCAATTGGGAAGGATGACTATGAAGTAGAAATTATCTTGAGATATATATGTACATATATACATTCATTCACTTGTGCATACACACACACAAGTGTGTGTGCATGTATTCAGAAGTAACCTAGACAATGAGGAATATCTAAGAAATGAAAAGATCAAATTATGACAAAGCTTTTAGTGAGGAATTAGTTACCAGCATATCTCACTTAAAACATGACTCTTTATATTTAAGAAAAAAAAAAAACATGGTGACATTTTTACTGTTGAACAAAAATAAAATTTTATTACAAATGATGTGGCAAAATGTTAAGTGAAAATGCTGCAGTGTATAACCATAGGAGGAAATATGAGTCTGTTGTACTTTACTCCATCTTGAAGGAATGGAAAATTATTAAACTCATAGAGAAGAATGAAATGGGCCTTATGGGCCTGGGCTGTAGGTTTCACTTTTAATCTAATACTCTTTTAACAGAGAAGGTGCTTGTACATTGTCTAAAACAACAAAAAATAAAATCAATTAGTGAGTATTTTTATAATCAGTAATATTCATAACAAATATTAATATCATCGCCTGGTTGTACTCATCTCCCCACATATAAGATGTGGCATCTGAATTGAGAGGTTCCTCCTTAGGTATATTTGATCCTGGTGAGACATGAGAAGCTCAGGCAACTGAATGGGAACTTTCAGTTAAGATAGGAAGTAGTAATACCCATAATGTTGCACATGGGACTTAAAGTTCTAAAAATAAATTTGGACCAAAAAAGATACAGAAATGTTGAAAATCGTTACAATTAATATACATTTTCTTTTGGCCACATGAGCAATATTCTGTCATGTTTAGAACTGATGATTGTGTTAGTACAATTGTGAGGAGAAGTATCATGAAATTCAAAGTATTTTTAATACAAGAACAAATGTTTAAGTGTCACAATTTATGCAAAATAGCAGTCATGTATCACAGATAAAATGGCACTTGATTTCAAATTCAAGCACTTAATTCGATCTTTCTTCAAGATTTTTAAATTTTTTTCTTATTTATTTTATTTCCTTCTTTTCTTATTAAAGGAGAAGTTGAGCAAATTGGTATAATTATTCTTTGATGGAAAAGCATCTTCTAAACTATAAAGCAGCACTCCTACCCCAGGGATTAGTCAGTTCCAAATGTTGCTTTTAACAAGGCTGGTAGTTCTGAAAATAATTTATTTTTTCAGCAAGGTGAGCTTTCAGCAGTTTTGCTAATGGTATACTCAAATCTCAAGTGACCAATCTGACATACAACTCCTACTGATCCTCTCTCTTCTGATCTTGCCAAATGTAAAGTTTTGTTCTTAAATCTATATTCCCTTTGGAGTTAATTTCAAACAACTAACTTCAAGTCATGTTTATGCCTTATGTTCTGTTTCACTTGTATAAAATCTTAATCAACTGAAGAATAGTTGGGAAAATACTTAATTACAATTTCAAATATTGACACTCATAATAAACTAAAACTATTAATTTTTATTTCTTCCAGATCTTAAATCTAATTTTCATCTTATGTTCTTAGTTCCCATTGAAGCTATGGCATTATAATTATATGCACACAATTATATTTTTTCATCATGTGCTTTAAAGGGAAGAAAGACTACAAGCATAGACATTGGTGATACTCAAGTTAAGGTCATTCTTTATGTCATACACACACGCACGCGCACATACAAACAGATATACATATAGATACAAACACGTTGAATATCTCTTGTTCAAAATGCTGTGACCAGAAGTGTTTTGGATTCTGGATTTTTTTATTGTTTATATTTATTTTTTAGAGACAGTCTCAATACATTGCCCATGCTGGTCTTGAACCCTCAACTTCAAGTGATCCTCCTGCCTGAGCCTCCCAAAGCTCTGAGCTTACAGGCACAAGCCACTGGACCCAGACCTAGATTCCTGATTTTTAAAAAATATTTGCATATATATAATCAGCTCTCTTGGGGATAGGACCCAAGTCTAAACACAAAATTTATTTATGTCCATATATACCTTATTGACATACTTGAAGGGAAATCTTTGCATTATTATTGATAATTTTGTGCATGAAACCAAATTTTAACTGTGTTTAAACCACAACTCATAACATGATGTCAGGTACGGAATTTTCTACTTGTGGTGTCTTGTGAATGTTCAAAACGTTTTGGATTTTGAAGTATTTCAGATTTCAGATTTTTAGAGTAGAGATGGTTAACCAGTAATATATTTATAGATTATGTGATCACGATGACTTTTTTGGTAAGCCATGATAATTAAGAAATAAGGTAATGATTAAAATAATATAATTGTTTAAAGACAAAAGCTTTTATTCAAAGCCTTATATGCAAAGAACTATGTGTTTTCAACATGTTCTAGAGCATTTGTTATAGAGTTCTGTCTTTAGTAAAGACGATATAAACAAATATCATTTGAAGATCATGCAAACATACTTTAAAAATCATTAGATTGAGAAGAATTTCAAGAAACATGAAAATATTTCATTATTGTCTTTATGAGGCTATCTCTGCCTGGATAACTTTTTAAAAATATTTAATATAATACACATACAACCTAAAATAAATCTTGTCACATAGTTCTTTATCTTTGTTTGAAATTAAAACTAATTTTTGAAAATATTTTTAATGATCATTAATATTCAAATTATCTCACTGTATCAGAAAACACAAACTCTAGCTAAGTAGAACTGGCAGAGAAATTAAAATATATAATACAATGAAGGCATATCAAACTGAAGTAATTTAATTGACAAGCTTATAGGAAAGTCAAAGCAAAATTAATATTAAAAATGAAAACTGCCATGACTATAGTACCAGATTTCAAAATTTGCTATTAGCATCATTCAACAGCATTGCATGGTCAAAAGGAAAGATATATAGATCATTGAAACTCTAAAAATAGACTCATACATATAAGGCTATTTGAATGTTGACAAAATCAATAAGCCAATTTAGTGGAAAATAATGGACATTTCAACAAATTTTGCCTAAAATAATTGGATTTTCTCATGCAAAACACCCCAAACCTTCACACATTTCTCACAACATATTAAAAAATAAATAAGTCACAAATTTAAATGTAAAATCTACATTTATGAAACTTCTAGAAGAAAAAAATAGAAGGCTATCATTCCAACCACCTTCAGCCAGGAGAAAATTTCTTACAGAACAACAAATGCAAACACTTTTTACAATTTATAAATGAGACCTCATCAAAATTAAAACTTTGGTTATTCAGAAGACATTAAGAAAATATAAATAATCTACAGGCTAGGAGAAAAATGTTAGAAAAATATATGCCTAATAAATGATTGATACCAGTTTATGTAAAAAGAACTCTTACAAATAAATAATAAGCAAGCACACATTAAAAATGTGCAACAGATGTGAACAGTTACTTCAGCTCAAAAGTAGTAAGGACTGAATGGATGGATGAAAGCAAATTCCATTTTTCTTTCATGTCATAATCAACTAAAACCTAACTTAAAGCTGAATAATGATGAGATAAGCAAAGATTAAATACTTCTATGAGAAAATTAAGGTTTGTAATCATTAAGGGTGAGGTTTAAAAATAACGTGTCCATAGATGTCTTCTATACATGAACTTTGTAGGGAATATGTAGACACAGAAAGGAAAAACAATTGTCAACACCCTATGGATAAAAGAAACAAAGAAGAAAGGAAAGTAGGGAAGCAACAATATTTTATCTATCATATCTGATTCTAGAAAAAAATTACAGTGAGATAGAATCACATTCACTTGTATTTCTATGAAATTATTAAAATATATACAGCTGACTCTCATTATTAGCAGCAATTATGTTCTATAAAGTCACCACCGGTCCTTAATGAATACTGAACTATTGCTCCTAAAGGAAATACAGTGTTAGGTTCCTGAAAACCTCTAGTCAAAATTTTGTGAGCTGATCAATGCTTAAAATTGTATTATGTGTGTTTCTCTTTAAACATATCTAATCTAATATAAATTTGATTCATTAATATTGAACACTATGGCTCATTCCTGAATAAATCTTATCTAATACACATATTTTGTCCATAAAGCACATCACAGCCTCTTATACTTCTGGGCAGCACTTCAGCTCTATGATTGGGCCATTTAAAAAATATACAATAATTGTGAAAAGCATAACACTAGATAGATGAAAAAAGGACAATTGTTTACAGTATAGGATCTGAAATAAGAATTCAGAGCATGGGCCGGGCATGGTGGTTCACGCTCTTCATCCCAGCACTTTGGGAGGCCAAGGCGGGCAGATCACCTGAGGCCAGGAGTTTGAGAACAGCATGGCCAACATGGCGAAACCCCATCTCTACTAAAAATACAAAAAATTAGCTGGGCGTGGTGGTGGTGGGCACCTGTACTCTCAGCTACTCGGCAGGCTGAGTCAGGACAGTCACTTGAACCCAGGAGGCAGAGGTTGCAGTGAGCTGAGATTGTGCCTTTGCACTCCAGCCTGGGCGACAAGACTGAAACTTCGCCTCAAAAAAAAAAAAAATTCAGAGCATGATCTTATTCTACCTCAGCTAGAAACGTTCACATCCAGAAACTCAAATTTTGATTTTGGGGTTATGAATAACTTTTTGTGAGTAGGTAAATTTACAAATACAGAATTCATGAATCATGAAGATCTACTATATTTAAAAATAGCCTAAGAAAATGTATATTAAGATATTTCTGATAGGGTTTTTTTTTCTAAATTTCACTAATCATAGTTTCTAGACCAAAAAAATCAATAGTTAAAATTATTCACTACTACTCAGGTGCTATGGCTTTAATGTGTCACCTTCGAAATATAGGTGCTACCAATGTGAAAGCATTATATGGTGGGACTTCAAGAGGTTAATTAGGCCATGAGGACTCCTTTCTCCCAAGGGCATTAATGCCCTCCTTTCAGCCTTCCCTCTTTCCCAGTGGAGGAAGCCTAATGGACTGTAAGTGTGAGGAATGTATATATCCTCCTTCTTGGCAGAACATGGCTTCATAATGGCAGATTACTAAGGAATGCATACATCTTCAGTTCTCTAGAAAGCTAGCTAATAATCCAGTAAAGACTGATTTGAGATATGAATGTAAATAATTATAAGAAAAAAAATAACAACTCTAATTACAGCATTTAATCTGCAAATATTTCCATATGTTGCAGCTTCTTTACATAGTCATTAATAAGTATATTTTTATATTTATTAGCAATTATTCCCAAATGAGCTGCAAACAATAGATGCAATATGGAATTTTACTTTCCTCTCATGCTAATCTTAGTTACACAGAGGGTCTCAGCCAGGTGGTCAGTTCTATTCCATGAGGTCATTCAGGGATCCGGGTTATTTTGTCTTACTTTTCCACTATTCTAAAATGTTTGATTTTTCCTTACATTGTCCAAATGATATATTAATAATAACTTCCAGTTAATGCTTGTTAAATGACACAAAGGAAGTGGAAGCTTAGTCAATGCTTGGGAGATATGCAATTTGATTACTAAAAGGAAGAAATGAAATCAGTATTAAAGTACACTTATAGTCCTTACTGTAATTCTTCTTTCTATAGTTGCTTTTGTTTTGTTTTTTTAAACCGAAATCATATTGTATTAACAGAGCCTTCCTGATAAAATTTTCTTCCATGATCTCATTCTGGAGAAAGAGAACATAACATTAGAAATGAAAAATGTACCTTCTTTTGGAAGTGGCAAATTAAAACACTCTACCACATACCTGACTTAAAATATTTGCTCTAAATTTGGAATATTATAAGAAGTTGTTTACATTTTTATGTTCTCTTAAAACACATAAAACATGGTACAAAACATGTACGTAAGAGGGGAAACAAGAATTGTTTGATAAGCTTAATTTTCTCAACTTGTTTACATTTTTGTTTTTTCTATGTAAGGTTAAATATAACCAACTGACATGCTTTAAGGTTACACTTAGGAATAGTAGTACTTAGGTAGAAATTGACAATAAATATTTAAGCAAAAAAAAATTAATCTAAAGTCATCATTGACTTTTTCTCTTCTTATACATGGCACTTTAAAATAACTTATGCAGAGAAGCATAAAGATATCATTTGTAATGTTTTGAAGATGTTGATTAATGTCCCAAATACTGTTTTTGAAAAGAGTATAATTTTCTTCATCTACTATACCTTTAAGTCTTTTTAAAAAATTTAAATATATACCAATGCAGAGATAAAAATCTCTAGGTGTAATATATAAAGCATTGACACTTCAGAAGACATTTATTCGAAAAGTATAGTCTACTACCTCAGAGTAAAAACAGATTCATTTTTATATTAAACTATATTATTGAGGAAAAATATATGTACAAAATAAAATTATATTGAGGATCTAAGAAAGAAATATAAATTAATTTTTAAATTTGCCAGCTATCATTTTTCTTTTTGTTTTCTCTTAGGTGATTAGTGTTCCTCAGATATTAATAACAGTAATTTATTTAGTTTAACTTTTTGAGCATTTCAGAATAAAACTAGAGTTACCAGGCTCTGAAAAGCAAAACTAAAAACATTCATATTATTGTTATGTTGTCTGGTTGACTTCGTTAAAATTTTCATTGTGTAGCCTCATTTATCTAAGAACATATATGAATATATGGTTTATTAATGACCTATGGTAAGAATACTTAGATGTATAAGATCTATGACTTAATTTTTCTTTTTGACTTAATTTTTTTTTTGCTATACCTCCCACTACCATTGTTCTCATATAAATCCTACTTTGCATGAAAATAAGACACTAAATTTCTAAACCTCATAAACAGAAAATCTACCCAAAATAAATAGCTTTTTCCTTACACATTTTTTGAAATTTGTGATTTCAATTCATTGATTGTGTCATTTTCATCATTTCCTGTTTTCCAATATTATTAAAAATATGTATTGAATATTTGAAATGTCTAAAAGACGTTTGTTTGCTAAATATAATGCTATAGGTTGAAATGTGGTGATTTAAGGCAATATCCTAGGAAAAGTCCAGGACAAGTATTTTCAGCTCTTTTCCTTTTTACTGTTTTGTTATAGTTTTTGCACTTAAACCTAGACTTATTAACTCAACTGGAAGAAAATATGCTATATAATAAAACCAAGTCATATATATAAATTTTCATAGAATAAAAACTACAAAGCAAGATTAAAAACACCCATTTCCTATAATACTGATGGAAAGGACGTAATACAGGATTTAATATAACTTTGTGAAAATGTCATTTGGAGTACTGTTATTCTGAAAGTTTTTTTAATATAAAGCAATGCTATGTATATCTACAGAAAACAATATTGTCAAATTAATCAGAACTAACTAAAAACATTGTGAAAATTTTATCAGAAATAATTAGTGAAACAGGTGTCAATGAGCTTCTGAAAGAGGTTTAATGTAGAAAAATACAGAGATAGTAAAATATAAAAAGTCCAGGAGATACCATTTCTGGATTAAAAAAGAAAGTTAAAAAATATAAGTAACATCATTGGGAATATTTGAGTCCCCATAATTAAGATTATAAGCAAGAGAAGAGGACTGGTGAAATTTAGGGCTAGGAATAAGATTGGAGGTGGGAAGGCAGAGGCTGTATGTAGTCTGAAATGAATATTTGATAGCATGTAATTGCATATTTAGAATAAGATAAAAATTTATGCCAAGTATAGAAACTCACAAAAATAAAGGGATTAAAAACTTTTGTGGTTTCTGAGAATTAAAATCAAGGATGTTTAAAGATTTCATATTTGAATTTCAGAGGTAGATCTAGGCGTATTATCAAAAGGAGATTAGATAAAAATGACACTTCTCTGCATAGTAGCCTAAAATAGTATTCATTTTTTTCAGACTATATTAAAGAACCATGAGGCTAAAATAGAAAGAAAATATGTAATAGAACAATTGTTTCTACAAATGTTTTTACTATAATAGAATACAAATGTGGTCTGTGAGAAAAGGGGAGAGAAGGGGAGAAAAATCAGAACACATAGCTTTATTAAGCTGTGTATATCTTTTATACATATTGTATGATTTGCTTCAGAAATTATTGTGAATCTTAGCAAGAAAATGAAAAGTCCTTTGGAATACTTTAGTGAAGGTTAAACCAAAGTCATGAATGAGAAAAAGTTGATGGGATGTGATAACATGATAAAAATCTTTGCAAAGTTTCAGTACTACACTCTTCAATACAGTAAAACAGAGAGGTATATGAGAAGTTACTGGGTAATCAATACTATGATTGGGAACTGCTTAGAAATTGAATAACTCTTGGCAATTTGGTTGCTATCTATGTGAAAATATTTTTTCTATTGTATGGAAAAATAATTATTATGTTTCAAAATTCAGATACTCTAATATTTTATCAGATTCTCACTCCATATATGCTATCTACAATATTAAATAACATAATGATCATAATTATAAAATGACATATTTTAAACATTTTTAAAAATCAAAATCACTTTTGAGAAATAGTAAGAGAGCTGTATTTATTACAAAGCTACTAATATAATTAGTGTTGAGAAACTAATTGTATTTATATTTTTTATTTATTGGATTTAAAATTCTATATACTTTAATTAGAATTTAGAAGAGGAAGAATATAATATAAAAGATGCATTCATATATGTAAAACATACCAACAGTCTTGTAACAGAAATAAAACTCCATCTCGTTAAACAACGTTAAACCTTCAATACTCTACATGTAATAAATTAGGATCTGTGTCAAGAAGCAAGATGTATTTAATTTCAGATAATCTCCACATTTCCTATCAAAGAAGACACTCCCACATCTTCCCTTCCCCGCCATTTTTTTAAAGTAGCGACAACAAAATAATGAAAGTCATTGTCTACCGCAGAAAAATAAAGCTTCCAAAACCTCATGGAAGTGGCCAAAGAAAGACAGAATATTTCAGTAGAGGTCTCTGGCTGATATCTCTGCACTAACATCACCGAAATAAAGTTTGGGAAAAAAGGCAAGCTGACTAAATCCTTGTATTACATATTAATATACCTTAAATTCAAGATAATGGAAAGGAAAATAGTCAGCTGTGGAAAAAATAAAAATGTCCAGGATCCCAGAAGTGGGTTCTACCTCACCAGGGGGTTCTCAGGAAAATGAGGAGTTGGTCCCTGAACTCATCATTTAGTGTGCTTTAATAGTAGGTAAGCAAACTAGAAAGACAAAATGACTATATATTCATGGAATTAATCATCCTGCAGATGGGGTTCTGCAGAACTTAAACACCCAAACAAAGACAGCAAATACATATGATCATTTGGAAAGGAGGAGACACACTAAGATGCCTAGGTAATGATCCTCTTCCATTGCAAAGAATTAAAAACAGGATATAAAAATACAAGTACTTTTATCTCATCCATCTTTAGAGTTAGCAGAGAGGACCTGCTGGAGAAAGTAAGTTGAGTCAAGTAGGGTAGGCAAAACAAATAGGCTAATGTTTAGATGAAAAGATAAATTCAGGCCCGTGCTTAGTTAAGGGTCCAATGTGAAGCCATAAGTTGTATTTGTACAGGGATACAGGGCTATGATATGCCCTTGACCAAGTGGAATAAACACTAAAATTCTTTGGAATGCCACGGAGACACCAAAAATTAAAAAAAAAAAAAAAAAAACAAAGAAAAAACAGAGTTATCCTGTACATAGGAGGAAAAATGTCAATTAAAGGAAAATATCAGTCTGACCTTTGATTTTTCCACAGTAAGATTCAATAGTAGAAGCCAATGGAGCAATACTTCCCTTATTCTGAGGGAGAAATTATACTAACATTATCATCTTTAGCTACATTGTCATTTGATGTTCTTTTTTTGTTGTTAAATAAAGAAAATAATAAATCAAATATGTTTGCTAAAATGTGGCTACTGCAGGATTCCATGGCAAACTTGTAAATGCCATTTATGTTAACTAACAAAAAGACATAATGCTGGGGAAATAGTCTCTAAAATCATAGGCTATTGGAGACATTGCTGCTTGCAATCATAAAATAATGGCACACTCCATTCTTGCCTGAAGGATCTGAGTCATTTTGACACAGAGAGGCATCCTCCATTTCCAATCTAGGCACAAGACTTCAGTTTAGAGGTTTCCAAACACAGTAGTGCAAATTTATCTTCACGTTTTAGATTTCAAAACAAAAATAGGACCTGGTTCCACTCAGGATACAATAACTGATATTAAACTTTTTACACACAGCACAGTTTTGCTAGGACTATCAAAGTACTCATTTATTAAATTTTACCAAAAACACACACTTCCCCAAATCCTGTGTCAACACAATCCCTTGTTTTTTTAGGAGAGAGAAATCCAATGGTTCCTCTTGGAAACCTTCCTTTGTTGCAGCTACCAGATAAATCAATCTTTGGTGGACTGCTGTCTATCCCCTGTGGTCATAGTCAGGTGGATATTATTGCATTATTTACAAAATTATTCCAATTTTAGAAAGCATTTCTCACCACTGATCCCCATATTTTTAAAAATTTCTATCTACATATACATAGATGTCTTGAATATTTCTGAGTTAGTATTAATGTGTATGACCAGAATTTATTTTTCAATTTATATTTAACTTTTGGTCTTCAGTATTTCATTATTACATGTATTATTTTCCTAAAATAAATTAAATTATCATATTTTATAAATTAAGAATGGACAGCTTTTAGGAATAATACTTTGGTTTTTGGTTATTTGTAGAGATTGCCTTAACTGCAATCTTACACACACAAACACACACACACACACACACACACACACACACACACATACATGAGTAGATTCTTATTAATTTCCTTTGTTTTCGCCCAATTTTTGTAAACTGTTTTTATTTATCTAATAATTTTTTCAATAAGTAATAGGTTAAACTGTTGCTCAAAAATTTAACCAAGTTTGTATTCTGCAGGGATGTTTCTTATAGCCCTCAAATTATTTCTCCCAGTTGCATTTATCATTGCTGACAAGTAGAGCAATAAAAACATCTCATTTCTTTCTCTGGAGTCCTCTTGCAAATAGACAATGTAAGGAGAGATATTTCTTTACATTAGGGCTGCCATCATTTCCATGTTTACCTGGAAATTTAAGAAACACTATTTTATATTATTTTTATTGTATTAAGAGAGGTCCAATCCAGATAAAATATATAGATATAGCCTAATGATTTCATAAGGGATTGAGGAACAAAATGCAGTTTCCAACTAGGATTAGATTTAATAATCAGAGAGTTGCATATACACTGAGGGCTCCCTAAGTCCCATCTGCCAGTAAATTTTTCATATGTGAATCTTCTACATAATTTTACAAGTTTTGTTGAAGTTCTCCTCAGAATACAAACCATTTTCTAGTCTTAGGTTAGTTTCATGAAGAAATGTAAAATCCCTTACAGAAATATATTTTTATTTTCATACATCTATGGAGCTTAGCCCAAAGTTTTAAAATGTTTAAAGACCTTTCAAATGTGCTGTAAAGGGTGGTCTACACGATTCATATGGTTTGGATTTGTGTTCCTGCCCAAATCTCATGTCAAATTTTAATCCCCAATATTGCAAGAAAGACCTGGTGTGAGAGATGATTGGATCATGGCAGCAGATTTCCCCCTTGCTGTTCTAGTGATAGTGCGTGAGTTCTCATGAGATCTGGTTGTTAAAAGTGTGTAGCACCTCCCCTTCCTCTCTCTTCCTCATGCTCTGGCCATGTGAAGATTTGCCTGCTTCCCCTTCGCCTTCTGCCATGATTCTAAGTTTCCTGAGGCATCACCAGCCATGCTTCCTGTAGCTACAGAATCATGAGCCAATTAAAACTTTTTTTCTTTATAAATTACCTAGTCTCAGGTATTTCTTTATAGCAGGGTGAGAATGGTCTAATACAACAATATTACATTTTTTGCCATTTGATTGTGAGCTTTTATTAGATTTAACAAATTACTATTTCATACGCTTTCTCTTGTTGCTTATAAATACTACTTATCAATTGTCTGAATGAATGTGCTACTTAAAATCATTTAATTAGTTACTTACTTTGTAACATAATATTAGATCTAAATTATACCAAAGGCTTGATTCTCTACTTATTGATTTCTAATATAAATAAATCGATGTATGTTAAAGTTCAATACTAAATGCTCTCTTAATCATCTGAAGACAAGGTACATTAATATTATAAAATAAAAAGAAATAAAACATTATTTTTAATCCTTGTTTCAATTAACATGCAATAAAACAGATATTAACTTGCCATTAAAAACCCATGCAGATTTTTAATGTTGTAATCCAACAGTTTAAAGCAACAATTTCTTCTACATACTACAAGAAAGAGCTATGTCCTTGTTGAAGGGAGAGAAAGAGAGAGAGAGAGGCAAGAAGAAAAGGAGAGATGGAGGGAGAGAGGGGGTGGGGAAAGAGAGGAAAAAAGCTAATAAAAATATAAAAATACATTCTGTGGATTTCAGAGAGGAACGCTATCAATCAGGACCTACTTCATTAAGAACTTATCCTTTGAAATTGTCCTTGGAAGAGTGTGAGGATTTCAACAGAGCTGGAGTGTGACTATATTTATAGATGGAAGGAAGAGCAAGAGCTTAGGAAACAATTTGGAAGTCTAGGTCATATTAAGAAAACTAAATAATATGTAGTCAAATATTTAAAAACTAAGCCTGGCAAGGATGTTTAAAGTCTAACTTGAAAGTTTTAGTCATGATTCTCCAGGTAATAATTGTGTTTGTGTTTATCTTATTGGTCTCCAACAACAATATTTTACAACATCTCAGTATTATTATTATAAACTGTCTTCATTTATAAGCAATAAGTCTTCTGCTTGAGTTTAAGTTTATTTATTCAAATTTGTTTATGTACTCACTAATTTTATAAATACTCTTTCTATATTAGAAAAAATAGTTTATTGTTTCTCCTTCACACTTCTCTAGACTAAATAATGCATTTTCTTCAGCATTTACCATGGAATTTTTTCTACTTACTATGGTGGGTTTTCTTCACTTCCACTTCATTTTAACCACATGATCATCAAAACAAAGTATAGCTTAATAGATTATCATATCTAATACGGATACTTTTTAACTGTGGAGCTTTTTATACATTTTAGACTACTGGTGCCACTACTATTCTAAAGTATATGTTATCTCCTCCTATAAATACACATCTGATTCAAGGACACTTCATTTCATTAATTTGACAAACACAGTCTCCATTATGTTTCAGGAAATTTACATAATTCTGTGATGCAACATAAGCACAAAAAACAGTCCATGGAAAATTCTAACTTACAATACTGTCTCCCATCCTATATAGATCTCCATGGGTTTGTAATGTTTCTGCATGTCTGCAGCTTTAGATCTGTACTATTCTTTTCACGGCTGTTTGTATAGTAAACAATGTTGGAAGATATGGTATCTCCCTCCAGGACAGAAGAAAAATGTGTTTCCTGACTAGAATAATAAAGATAATGTCTTCCTCTCAGACAAAGGTTGAACAGGTTTACTAGTAGCCCTCTTTAAAAGACTGGATTTCCTAAGCATGAAGTTTTTCAGCTATGACACAAACTCACTATTTATAGAACATCCACGTGAACTTACCTGTGTATCACTGTTATGTGTTTGAGAGACGAAACAGCCTTACAATTCCTGTTGTGCTGTGGGCTTTGTCTTTAGAAAAAAAAGTAAATATTAAATAAAATATTGCTAAGATAAATTAACATGACCTTATAGGTGGGCCCCTTGGGTTAATTTCAATGCATTGTTATTGTGTCTACATGTAAATGTAGAAGATGGATTGATGTGTCATATGTTTGTACAACCCATCTTGCAAGTGCCAGAGGACAATTTTCTGTTTGGAAAGAGCTTCAGGTAGAGAAGTGCTAAAGGGACACATTCTCCTGGTATTTGCCACTAATGAATGGATCAAAATTTAGTGGAATTCCTCTGCCCTCTGATGTCAAAGCTTCCACAACATAAGTGAGGTCCTGTTGGCCAGCATGTCAGAAGACTCAGTTGCAATGTCCTGACTGCAGTTATTATCACATTTACTCCAGAAGCGGTGACTGATAAGCCCAGGGAAAATTCTGAGGCCTGTTTGACAAGTAAACTTCCTTGAGATTATGTGGGTAGATTCACAGTGTTCAGTGCCTCCCCAAAGAAAAATTGTCTCTTCAGCCCCCTACTATCAAAAAGAAGGCCCATCACCATATTGGACACTGCGTATTGGAGGCAATTCTGTGACTCGTGATTCTGATTGGAGCCTCTGGCAAAGAAAGGCAGCCTGCAGCCAGAAGCACCCCTTAAGATTTTCACCTTGCATCCTTCAAGATATGACTACCAGGTACTGTACACACCTTTAGAAGAGTAGCTGTTAGCTTCCTGTTATACTCTTGTTGAAATTGAATACCTGCCCATGGAGGGCTTATGACTCTGGCCTAACATTCTTACATGGATGTGGGTCACTTTGGAATATAATGACTAACAAGATGGGAGGAACCTGAAAACTTCACTTATCAAATGTAAATGCTATGTTTGCAGAAATTCTTACATTGGCTATGCACTTCTGTATTTTTAATAAAGTAAAAATAAAATTGATTTCTTAAAAAAAATCAGCAGACTCAATTCTAGTGGCATCTCAGTTTTGCATGAAACTATAATAGTCTAACCTGTGAACTTGCAAGCAGGATAAAAATCTCACATTTTTCCCAATTCTTAACAGTGTAATATTGGGATTCTTTTTCCGGTGAGAATAAACACCTTATACTTATTTATCTTACATACAATTATATCAATGTGATTATTCAAATGTAGGCTAAGTTCAGTTATTCTGTTCTGTGCTATAAATAATATATTTTACTTTTATTTAAAAGTGTTGACTCTAATTTTAATTATGTCACATAAGTAATCAATATGCTTATTTACCATGCATATTTCTTATAAAAGAAAGCCATTCTCAAAATTGTTTGTAACTTGTGGTTTGCAAAACTTTTAATACTGAGTTAGTCATGAATATTAAATTAAAACTTCAACTTAATCACATCAAACAAATTCAATCATAGTTAAATCATGAATATTAAATTTAATCATAAATATTAATTTAATATTATAAACATTATTATAGTTACATAAATATTAAACATGATTTATTGCTTAAGGATGTTATGAAATATGAAAACCCACATAAAGGGTTTAATACACTGTAAGGCAGACAGTCATGTCTTTTTTTAGATATGATTATTGTCAGTTGTAAATAATGTTTAACTTAAGAAAATTTCAGAAAACAATGTTCTGATCTAGAATTCATAAATGGTTTGGTTATTTTTTATATAAAATGTATGCTTTTAGCACATTGCCACTCAAAAAATATGTACAAGCAATCTTGCAGCATCTATAGATGATGTTTGACAATTATAACTATTATTCATATTCTTTTGCTAAACTAACTACAGTGTATTATAATTTCCTTTCTTTTTTCATTCTGGTTTGCGTCTCCTCACTAGACTTTGAGTATCTCAAGGACAAGGACAATGTTTTGTTTACCTTTGTATCTCCTGTATTTAACGTACTAACTAAGAGAGTGAATTCTTGTTTAATGAAAGGATATAAAATGAATGAATGAGAAAAGCATCTTATATGTGTTCTATATGAAAGGCATTTAGATTTATATTAAAATTATATGTTTATACCTCATCAGTAAAATACATGTTTTCTAGATTTTGAAAACACTTAGTTTTCACCTTTAGTAAGTGTGGCAAACAGCACTACAAAGAGTAAAATCTTATAATGAAGGATATTATAACAACATAAAAATACATTGTCAGAATAATGCAGTCTTAAAGTCAAAAACTCTGAAGGAAAATATATATTAACTATTTGGGTGGAGAAATATTCTTTTATTATTTTAAAATCAAAGATCATGGGAGCCATTGAGACTTTCAAGAATAACTGAAAGCACAGTGCTGAGCCTCAGAACAATGTAGATCAAACATATATTTTAGCATAAGGAGAGAGAAAGGCAATTCAGAGACTGTGTGGTTTAAACAATGTGCAGGCTTTATACCACAAACACACAAAAGAAGATTTAGGTATGGCCCATCCGTATCACAAAATATTAAGAGAGAAATAAAATTACAAGTGTGCACCTATGGATTCAAATCAATTATTTATGATATTTAGGCTGTGCAAATCAATATCTGTACTGTAGGAGGTAGCTAAAGGAAGATACATACTTTGAATCCTCTCAGATATTGAATTGAATTGATTTGTGCCCATTTGGAATAACATGAATTCTAGTCTAGATTTATATGCAAAAATCTGTTTATAGAGTAAACGTTGAAACTAAAATGAGATTCGGGGAGGAAAATACACTAGGAAGTTGATCTAATTTAAAGACTTCAATTGTAATATATAGGTATATATATTTAGGTTGTAAACCTAATCTGCACCAACATAATTTTTCTAATGGTGAAGAATCTGGACACTGTTAAAAGGAACATATACTAGAAACAATGGATTAATAGATCTCTGAAAGTAAACATGCTGAAAATTTATGGGATATGACTGAATATTCAGTAAAATATATCTAGAAGTAAATAGAAATAGATATGCTATAAGATAATTTTCAGAATGAAGGATAGCTCTGACATCTATTGTTTCCACCCTAAACTCCAGTCACTCCCAATGACCCCTGTCAATAGTAAATACTGCAGAAGTTTCCACTACCATTTTATCTGCAGGCTGCAAGTCAGTAAGTCTCGTATCGTTAGCCACCTCCATCTGGTTGCTATGCAAAGGACTTCAGACAGAATTCTCTATTGCAGAAGCTGTCAGGGATGTGTGCCTTCTTTCTTCTCTTCTGCTCATTAATGATTTTCTTTGATGTTTGATTGTTCACTAGAGTCTAATTAGTGAGGTCTGTCTACTTGTTCTTTTTAAAATCATCTATTTTATTATTATGTAGCTATACAATGAGTCATCTTAAATTTTTCAGGATGCTACAGATGGATTAAGTGACAAAATGAACTTATTTTCTACCCCCGCTATATGTTGTCTGTATCAAAAGTATAGAGACTACATATTCTGAGGTGGAGGCCACACACTTAGAGACTAGTGTTACTTGTGAAAAAAAAAGATAATAATCTTGGATAAAGATTAGACTTTGCAGTATCCTGAGAAATGATCTATGATAAAACAGTTGAGGCATAATATTTAAAATCTCAGTGTAAAGTAGGAAGTAGAAATAAATGAATATTATAGAATATGTACTTGGATTATACAATATAATCTGGAATAAAACAGTTGAAGTATAATATTAAAAATCTCAATGTGAATTAGAAAGAAGAAATAAACCCACAAATGCAGATTACAGAATAAGTACTCTGAAGTTTGAGTTTTGAATGAAGTGAAGTGCTTTCTGGAAACTTTCTTTTTTTTTTTTGAGACAGAGTCTCACTCTGTTGCCCTGGCTGGAGTGCAGTGACACCCTCTCAGTTCACTGCAATCTCCACCTCCCAGGTTCAAGTGATTCTTGTGCCTCAGCCTCCCAAGTAGCTGGGATTGCAGGTGTGCACTACCACACCCGGCTCAATTTTTTTTATTTTTAGTAGAGACGAGGTTTCACTATATTGGCCAGGCTGGTCTCAAACTCCTGACCTCAGGTGATCTGCCTGCCTTGACTTCCCAAAATGCTGGAATTACAGGCATGAGCCACTGTGCCCCACCTGGAAACTGCCCCTCTTCCAGACCACACTAACCTATTCACATTAGTGCTTATCAAGTATTTTGTGAACATGATTCAGCCATAATGCTCTGTGCTGCATGGATGACAAAATAGTATGGTAAATAAACTTATTTTCCTCATATTGGTGGAAATATATAGTTTAAAATTATGCACACAATTTATTGTTGGTTAAGATGTAACCCCAATATTTATATTTTTATAGATATTTGCTTCCTCTTTAGAATCCTATATATTTAAAATGCGATTTTTCTATTGGCCTTTGTAGTGGAATACCTTATTCTTCCAATCTGATCACGATTGATATATGCATATCTATCTATAGGAGGAAGATTACCCTTTCTGTTACCATCTCAAATATTGTATAACTTGATTTTATTAAACAATGGTATTCATTAAAAGGAACAAATCTACTTGCTTTTCTCCTTTTTTTCTCTTCTCTTCTTCCTTCTTTTATTCCTTTCCTTCCTTTATTCCTTGCTCTCTTTCCTTTCATAGAAAACTGAATTGTTATCTAGTCTTGGCTTCTCTTACTAACCTAGGGAAAGCAATCAAATTGAGTGTTCTTGTTATCTAAGCCCCAAACCACTAATCTTTTTATCAGATTACCACAGTCAAAAAGGGAGAGATAATATGGAGATTCATCCATCCAATCCCATTGTCAAGAGCTGAACTGGAAAGAAAGGAGCAGCCAGGTGTCAGGGTAATAGCTTTAAGACAATGAGGCAAAATGAAAGTAACAGTCAAGGCTTTATTCACTTACTGGAATAGTTACAATAAAGTGCTGGCTTCCCCACTGTTCCATTTTTCTCACGAATGGCAATGGGCAAGGGCAGATATGTCAGCACAGATTAAGGAAATTATCTCACTGCCAAAAGAGCCATGAAAAAATGTTTCTGGAATTTTATGAATCCTGCACTGAGTGGAGAAAGAGGAAGAAGGGCTGAAAGTGAAAAAATAGTGAGTACTGAGTCAGAATGGAGAAAAATATCTTCAGGTCTCCCTTCTTCCCTGGTAAGGAGTTCTAAGCAGAGGCATCTAGGGTAGGCCTCAGCTGAGGGTCCATGGTAAATAGGCCTTTCATTGGTGGTGCCTAGTTAGAAATGCAGACATGCATAACAGCATGGCTGGCCAGGGGTTCCTGAGTCCTTGATTGCAACTCCTTTCAGAGGATGCAATGCACTGGCTGTGCACCAGGTCTGGTGTAGAGAGGGCAGCTTTCTGCTATGAGGCATGCTTAGAACTCTGATGTACTAGCACCAAGTGAACTCGGCCAGGGAGTTGGGGACTAAAAAGAAGGATGGGTGGTCCCTTCTCAGAACTGAAAACTTATATAAACAACTCACTAGCATCCTTCAAGAATGTCCGGCAGCTTCTGCTAGCATGTCCTAAGACCCATTGGTGAAGTAGCTCAAGGGACCCTCAGACTCTTGCAAAAGTTCCACTAGCGTCCCTCAGTATGTCCATGGGATTCTCCTAGCACCTGCCCAAAGTGCCCCCATGGAATCTTCAGGATTTTTCTCCCACAGAATGGCATTGTGCTTGATCTACCACACTGTTCACTGCATTGATTTGTCAAGAGCTGAGCTGCCAGGAACCTGACTACTTACCCATCTCACTAGTTCATCCAGAAAGAGAATTTCCTTCAAATAGAATGGCGCAGTTTCAGATGTTCTCTTGATGAGGAAAAAGAAAGACCATTCCTGAATCACTTCTGAGTATGTAAATACGTAAGCCCTGCATTTGAAATTTGGTGAGAGGTATTGAAATGCTGCTTTGTTCATGACGGATGTTTTCTAGCTTGGAGAGAAGACTCACTGCCACTTTGGCTATAATTATGCCATTTGGCACAGGTGTTTATTGTTTCTAAGTTGTGTGGAATATAATAGAAGGATGAGCCTAGGCTCTTCTCCAAATACCGGAATTGGAAGAAGCACAGTAATTTTATCTTTTCCCTCAACATTTAGAATTGTGCCCTATTTAATAAACATTAATTGTACCTTTTTCATAGATGCTTTGTCAATAACAGAACCTCTTGATTCTTGTTAGGAAAATAGATGTGCTTCAGTCAAGAATAGTCCAAGGTAAACATCTGGTCCAGTATGACTAAGAGGGTTTGGAGCTCAGACACACAACTGTTCATTATGTAACCTGTTTGTGTAAGCTCAAACTTGACTCTGAGCCACTATTGTCTGTAAAAGGTATAATTACCCTGCTGACACTGTGCATAGGGCTCACATTCCGAGAAACAGAATGAAGTCATGTTGAAACTGTTAGGATTCCTTGAGTACCCAGCTACCCGCCACCTGCCTACTAACTCCCCTCAGACCTCAGTTTGGGCTAGAACCCGACAATTCTCATCACTTCTATAGAGAAGTAATTGGTTATCAGTGTACATTTACCTGAACTTGGGTGATGAAATGTATAACTACGAAGTGGTTTCTTAATGCTTGATTAGTACTTTCCCGTAACTGTACTCATTTAAAAATATGTTGCATTTCCAATTGCCAGCTGACAGTAATAGAATTCAGAAAGGCCTACTGCATAGAAGTAGTAAATCATATTTAGAAAGTACTAAATATTGTCTGGAATAGTTTTATATCACCAACTTAAAATCAATTAATTTGTTAATTCAACAATTGAGTGAATGACTAATGTTACTACGTTCTATAGAAAGGACATGATAAACAGAGTGAACTGGATGTGGACTTGTTTTCCAAAATATGATATCTAACTGGTGATTCAAATAGAAAAAAAAATAGGCATTTTGAAAACAAGTGTGTTTGACTATTTATAATCCAACCCTTCCACACAGGGAATTGGAATAGAAGAGAAAAGCTGACACAATTTAGCCAGTTTGTTCTGGGAATTTGGTATTTAGAGATAGAACTAAATATAGTCATTCTGGTGGTTCAACTAAGATGAGACATGCAAACCTAGGAATTATAGAGTGAACATGGGCTGAGAGAAGCAGCAAAATTTGGTCTAATGAAGAAAAATGTAGCTGATGGAGAGAGACACACGGAGATGAGCAACTGAATGTACATAAACACTAATTCTGTTTTTTTCTTCCTTTTGAAGCTCAACTGCCTCCTTAAGGTCTATTGTTAAATTCATCTTACATGTATATGTATTTGCAATTTAACATGTCTGAAATTGGAATATGTCTTATAATTAATCATATCTTATGAAAATTGTTGGCCAGGTGGCAAAAAGAATGCAGTTCTCATTGCCTGTGTTTGTGCAAAACTAATCATATCCAATCATATAGTTGTCACGGCAATTGAGTTAACTCCATTTTTGTTACATGTTTTGAGGCAGGTGCCATTTAAAAGAGTACACCTTGATTATTCACAAAACCACAAAACAGTTTTTCTTTTTTTTTTTTTTTTTTTTTTTTTTGAGACAGAGTCTTGCTCTGTCGCCCAGGCTGGAGTGCAGTGGCACGATCTCGGCTCACTGCAACCTCCGCCTCCCAGGTTCAAGCGAGTCTCCTGCCTCAGCCTCCCGAATAGCTGGGACTACAGGCACTTACCACCATGCCCAGCTAATTTTTGTATTTTTAGTAGAGACGGGGTTTCACCGTGATGGCCAGGATGGTCTCAATCTCATGACCTTGTGATACGCTCACCTCGGCCTCCCAAAGTGCAAGAATTACAGGCGTGAGCCACCGTGCCCGGCCACAAAAGAGTTTTTCGTTGTGAAAAATAATAGGCATGAAAACAGAGTAGTGCCACAAAAGTATGATATTGGTGGAGCAAATATTTATCATTAGGGAAATAGTTGCATTAAAATAGTTTTCTGACAAAACAATAACAGAGAATAATATCACACACCACGTAATGCAACAAAGCTAGATGATGTTTCCAAATGCCTGGAAAACTCTTACATTTTTCAAAGCAAGAAAAGCTGTTGTGACATATTTATGCATTTCATGGAACTATCTTTAAGACCTCAAACATAAATTTTTCAAAAATTTCATGCTGAGTTTGAATAGAATTTTTTAAACTCACAATGACACACTATTTAATTAAGGAAAAGTGATAGCATGAATTTAGTCAAATAGGAAATGCTAATAAATACCCAGTATTCTTCAACATGCCAAACATGTACTATTAATGCTAAATATACTTAAGAGATACAGATTTTAAGGATTGATTTCGAAAAAAATTACTGTGAGGCTCTGCTCTATAATTTCCAAAAATAAATTGCTATCATATTTCATTTTAAACCACTGAATGAAATTATACCCCCAAGGTGTTATTTCTGAGAGCACCAAAAATCAAAAAGTAGATAGATAATGGCTGAATTGTTGTTGGGCTGATTAAATTTCTTCTTGTCACACAAGTCTGGGGGCTTTACACAACCACCTAGTATGTTAGTTCTTTATGCATCTGAGGGCATGTATCTGATTAGTTAACAAATTATCTTGCCAAAAATAGAGCTCCCTCTTTCTCATTCTTTTGCTCTCTTTCTCTATCTCTCTCTACATGTATACAGAATATGTACATAAATATGTATGCATACTGTGTGTGTATATCCATATACACACAGAATATATACCCACACTTACGTGTGTGTATTTTTTCTTTTTAGCTGCTCTACACTTCATCACTATTAATTAACTCATGGGTTACATAGCTTTCCAAAATATATCATTGACACCCTGGAGATAAGGGAGAACTCCCAGCATTGGTATTCTTGACACTTGGTCCAATGTGACTTTGGGTAACCATCTGAGGCTACTTCAGATTTTACCTGGCCCCAGCCTGGCAATTACTCAACAAGAGGCTACAATTAAGGCCTCATGAAAAAAACAAAAAACAACAACAAAAAAAAACTTGGTCAGATCAATCTCTATAGGTAGCTCTTCTCTAAGAACCAACTTTTAATGGCCGGCATTGGATGGTTATTCTATGGCTACCGTAGGTACTTTTGGGTGGTTTTATATTTTTTAGGGAAACTTCCTACTGTTTTCCTTAGCAGCTGCACCATTTTATATTTTCACCAACAGTGTACAAGGGTTCCAGTTTCTCCAAATTTTCGCAAACACTGTTTGTTTTTTTCTTTGATCATGGTCATCCTAACAGGTGTAAGGTGATATTGTGGTTTTGATTTGCACCTCCCTGAAGATTAGTAATATTGAGTATCATTTTTCATATACTTACTGGCCATTTGTTAATTTTCCTTGGTGAAATATATATTCCAGTCCTTTGTACAATTTAAAATCGGATTGTTGTGGTATTTCCTTTTATGTTTTTTGGTTATTTATGTTTTTGCTTCTGAAATGTAAGAGTTTCTTAATATTTTATATATTAAGATTTTATCAGAGCAAATATTCTCTCCCATTATGTAAATTGTCTTTTCTCTCTGTTAATAGTTTTTTTGATATGCAGTAATTTTTCTGTTTGATAGAGTCCAACTTGTCTATTTTCACTTTTGTTGCTTGTGCTTTTGGTATCATATACAAGAAATCATTGCCAAGATCAATGTCATGAAATTTTTACCTGTGTTTTCTTCTCATAGGTATAGGAGTTTCAGGTCTAATGTTTATATTTTTAATCTATTTTGAGTTCATTATCAGGTATGGTGTACAAAAAGCTTCCCATTTCATTTGTTTACATGTGGATATACAGTTTTTCTAGCACCATTTGTTGAAGAGACCACCCTTTTTGTGTGTTCCTGACATTCTTGTGGTGATTAGTTAGCTGTACATGTGTGGATTTATTTCTGGGGTCTCTATTGTGTTCCACTGGTGTTTATATCTGTCATTATGCTGGTAATATACCTTTTCCATTAATGTATCCTTGTAATGTATTTTGAAATCAGGAAGTGTAATTCCTCCAGCTTTGTTCTTCTTTTTCAATATTGTTTTGACTATTCAAGGTATTTTGTCATTCAATAAAAATTTGAGTATGTATTTTTTTCTATTTCTGTGAAAAATATCATCAGAATTTTGACAGAGAATACTTTGAATCTGTGGATCGCTTTTTGGTGGTATTAACACTATAAAAATATTCCAATCCATGAAAACGGAATGTCTTTTCATTTGTTTGTGTTCTTTAATGTCTTTCACCAGTGTTTTGTAGTGTTCAGTCTATTACTCTTTCACCCTCTTAAGTTTATTCCTGGGTATTTTATTCATTTTGGTTCTATTTTAAATTGTATTGTTTTCCTAATTGCTTTTTCAGATAGTTTCCTGGCAGTGTAGAAATATGACTAATTTTTCTTTATTGATTTTGTATACTGCTGTTTTACTGAATTTATTAGTTCTCACAGGTTTTATTATTTTATTTTATTTTATTGTGGAGTCTTTAGGGTTTTCTACATATAAAATTATGTCATCTTCAAACAGGGACAATATTAATTCTTCCTTTCTGATTTGGGCCTTTTTTTCTTTTTTTAATCTCATTGCATTGGTTAGGAGTCCAGTACTGTGTTGAATAAAAGTGGCAAAAGTGAATGCTCTTGCCTTGTTACTAATCTTAGAGGAAAAGTGTTCAGTTTTTTGCTATTGAACATTAGCTATGGACTTTTTATATATGGCCTTTATTATGGTGAGGCAATTTTGATGCATTCCTAGATTTTGAGACGTTTTATCATTAAAAAAGGTGTATAATTTTTTAAAATGCATTTTCTGTGTCCACTGAGATGATCATGTGATTTTTCCCCTTAATTCTGTTAATGCAATGTATTACATTGAAGACATTAATGTATTTTTGGATGTTGAATCATCCTTGCACCTCAGTCATATATCCCACCCGGTCGTGGGTTATGAACCTTTTAATGTGTTGTTGAATTCGCCTTGTTAGTGTTTCGTTGAGGATTTCGGTATCTACATTCATTGGGGGCATTGACTTTTAGTTGTCTTTCCTTCTATTGGCTTTGTCTAGCTTTGGTATTAGAGTAATTCCTGCTTTACAAAATCAACTTAGAAGCGTAGTCTCCTCTTCAAATATTTTGAAAGAGTTTGAAAATGATTGCCATTGATCCATTTTTAAATGTTCGATAGAATTCAACGGTGAAGGCATCTGACCCTGGACTTTTCTTTGTCAGTAAGTTTTTGACCGTTGATTCAGCCTCCTTACTATTTGCAGGTATATTCAGTATTTTGTTTCTTTCCGATTCAGTCTTGGTAGGTTGTATATTTTTAGAAATATTTCTTTTTTATAGGTTATCCAATTTCTTGTTAATAATTGTTCACAATAGTATCTTATAATCATTTTTATTTCTGTGCTATTAGTTGGGTCTTTATTATTTTATTATTTTAATATTTTCTCTTTTGCCTCAGGGTATAGTTAGGGATTTGTTAATATAATTCTCTTCAAAAAACAACTCTTAATTTTGTTTTTTCTATTATTTCTCTATTCTCTATGTGATTAATTTATTTTTTCTAATCTTTATCATTTCCTTTCTTCTGCTAACTATGGACTTAGTTTTTTTGTTCTTCTATCTTAAACTGGAAAATTGGGCTGATATTTTAGATATTTCCTCTTTTGTAATGTAGTTGTTTATCACTATAAGCTGCCCTCTTAGTATTCCTTTTGCTGTATCCTGTAAGTTTTCATGTATTGAATTTTTATTTTCAATTTTCTCCATATATTTGTAATTTCTGTTTTGATTTTTTCTTTGACCCACTCATTGTTCGAAACTGTGTTGTTCAATTTTTACATTATTTTCTACATTTCTTCTTGTTATTGATGTCTACATCGATTTAATTGTGGTCAGAAAACAGACTTGGCATAATTTCAATCTTCTTAAATGTTAATACTTACTTTGTGACCTCCCATGTGACCTATATTGGATAACACTCTGTGTGTGCTTGAGATGTATGTATATTCTGCTGCAGTTGAGTTGAATATTTTGTATATGTCTCTTAGGTCTCTGGTCTATAGTGTTTTTTAAGACTGCTATATCTTTATTAATTGTCTGTCTGGTTTTCATATCCTTTATTTAAAGAAGACTATTGATTATTCCTGCCATTACTATGTCTATTACTGCTGTCTATTACTCCCTTCAGTTTCGGCAATATTTGCCTTCTATATTAGATACTGTGATGTTGGGTACATATATATTTAAGATTATATATATGTGTATATATATACATACATATATGTATATACATATATATGTATATATGTCTTTTATCATTATATATTTTATCTTTTATCATATGACTTTTATTATATAATGTTCTTTTATCTCTTTTATCACTATATAATGTTCTTTTTTTGTTTATTGTGATAGTTTTTAAAGTCTATTTTGTCTGATATAACCATGTAGCCTCCATTCTCTTTTGTTGACCATTTTTTTATAGAATATATTTTTTCATTCCTTAACTTTCAGCCAAAATGTGTCTTTAAATTTAAAATGAGTCTCTTATATACAGCATATAGTTAAATCTTTTTGAATTCCTATCAGGTTCTGTATAACTTTTGAATAAGGAGTTTGACTTCTTATTATTTACAATAACTATTAATGGAGTATAATTATTTCCATTTAGTTAAATATTGTTTGTCTCTCTTATGGTTCTTTTGTTCCCTTGTATCTTCTTGCTGTCTTCCTTTGTTTTTAATTTAATTTTTTAATACTGATGTGCTTTGATTTCTCTTTTTCTTTTGTGTATCTTCTATACAGGTATTTTCTTTGTGGTTACCATGGGGCTTACATACAATGTCTTATAGTTATAATACTATATTTTAAGCTGGTAACTAATTTAATTATATACAAAACTCTACACATCTACTTCCCCCAACATTGTATTATTGACTCACAATTTACATCTTTTTATATACTGTATCCATTCATTTATTTTTAAATTTATGATTATCTTTAACACTTTTGTCTTTTAACTTTTATACTAGAGTTAAAAATATTTTATTTGCCATCATTCAAGTATTACTGTATTCTTTATTTTTCTATATGATTACTTTTGCAGCAATTTTTGTACTTTCATATGCTTTTGCATTACTGTTTAGCATCCTTTTGCTTCAACTTCTAGAACCTGCTTCAGCATCTTATATGGCAGGCTCAGAGGTGATGAACTTCTTCAGTCTTTGTCTGACAAAGTCTTTATCTCTCCATTTTGGAGAGATGGAGGACAATTCTGCTGTTTATACTAGTCTTGTTTGGCAGATTTTTCTTTCAGTACTTTGATTTTACCATCTACCCCCTTCAATCTTTGCTGAGAAAGCCAGACAATCTTAAGGGTTTTTCATTGTTCATGACAAGTCATTTTTGTCTTGTGCTTTAAAAAAATTCTCATCATCCAGCGGCTCACGCCTGTAATCTCAACACTTTGGGAGGCCAAGGTGGGAGATTCACCTGAGGTGAGGAGTTTGAGACTACCCTGGCCAACATGGTGAAACCCCATCTCTACTAAAAATACAAAAATTAGCTGGGCGTGATGGAGGGCGCCTGTAATCCCAGCTGCTAGGGAGTCTGAGGCGGGAGAATCTCTTGAACCCAGGAGGTGGAGATTGCAGTGAGCCAAGATTGTACTCCAGCCTGGGCAACAAGAGTGAAACTCTGTCTCATAAAAAAGAAAAATGTCTCGTCATCTTTGTCAGACAATTTTGTTATGTCTCAATGTGTATCTTTTTGTATTCAACTTTTTATGGGGTCTTTGTTTTTTTTTTTCACATGAAGGATGATTTTGGCCATTATTTCTTTGAGTAAGCTTTTCCTCTTTTCTCATTTTTCTTTCTGATATTCCTATAGTGTGTATATTCAGCCGCATGATGATGTCCCGTAAGTCTCATAAGGCCTTTTTCCTCTTTTTTGATCTTTTTTTTTCTTTTTGTTCCTCTGACTTTATAATTTTCAATGACCTGTCTTCCAGTTTGCTTATCCTTTCTTCTGTTTGACCTAGTTGGCCTTTAAAACCCTCTAGTGATTGTTGTTTACTCTTGCTCAGTTATTGTATTATTTAGCTCCAAGATTTCTGTTTGGTCTCTCTGTTTCTATTTTCTCTTTCGTCTGCCTCTTTCCAGTAGGATTTTATACTCCTCTAGTGTATTTTATTTGGTTTTTGTTTTTGTTCAGTTATTATATTATTCAGCTCCAAGGTTTCTGTTTGGAGCTTTTTCTATCTCTTTGTTGAAATTTTCAGTTTGTTCGTGCATTGTTTTCCTTATCTTATCAAACACCCTTATGAGGGTTATTTTTAATTAACTTTCAGGTAGATTACATATCTTCCTTTCATTAGAGTCAGTTTCTAGAGATTCATTTGTGCCTTTGTTAGAGACATGTTTCTGTTTCTTCACTTTTCTTGAATTTGTGTTGGTATCTGTGCACTATAAAAAAAACAGCTACCTCTCCTAGTCTTCACAAACTGTTCTTACATAGGAGAAGACCCTCACCAATCAGCCTAGTCAAAGATTCTGAAGGCCTATCTCAAGCCTTCAGGCTAGTCCAACCTGCTTTTTTTGTTCTTTGTAGCCCCCAGATGTTTGGAATATTCTGGATCCTGTCAATGTTCAGAGATAGGCAAGGCTGAAGCTATTTTCTAGCTTCGGTCCTTAGAAATTTTGGGTCATTGGTTGTTCTGTAACCTTTTTCCCTCCCCAGGGAGAAGGTGGGAGCTAACATTTTTGTCTCCTTGCTCTGTACTGAGCCTGTTGTTAGGAGCTTGCTGACGGTGGGGAAGGAGCTACGGTAACTGTCATCTAAAACACCTATCTTTGTTCTTACTTAGCTCTAGGCAGCTTGAGTGTGCCAGGTTCTGTCAGCTCTCTCAGATAGGCAAGGCAGAATCCAGTCCTGAGTAGCTTCCCAGAAAAATTAGGTTGTTGGATATATGTTCCAACTTTTTCCTCACTAAAGAGAACCTTGGAGCAGAAAGGCTCCTCCCAATCATAGGGTGCTGCCAGGGATTGGGCAATATGGTGAGAGGGTGTTTTAAAACTAGCCAGGGTGGCTGGTTTCATGCTAGATTAAGGTGCAGAAACCTCTCAACCAGTTTATTTCTCATAAAGGGAATTCGTCTATGTAGTGTTGAAGAATCACAGTGTTCATGGGGTGGAGGAGGATATTTCAGAGCTTCTTGCCTGAAAGGAAGGAGATTTCAGGGCTTCTTGCTAATATCACTCCCCTTATATCCTAGATTCCCCCTCACCCACCCCTTAACAAAACCTTCCATTAGCACCTCTAAAAAGGCAATAACAATAGAAGAATGAGTTGTCAAGGATTTGAAAAAGTAATCCAGAATCAACAACAGATTCCTATTTTAGTCAGTGTTGCTTCTTGGTGTTTTTGAAAACAAGGAGGATAATATTGTTTGTAAATCATGGAATTCAATTAATCTGAGTCAGAGAATAATTTAGCTGAGTCAGGCTCAGATTGTAGAAAACTATTAGACATGCCATCGTAATTAATTTTACTTAGGTTTTCATTTTTGTATTTGCACAAAAATGAAAAGAAGATAAATACATGTGGTTAAAAATGTCTGAAAACAACACTTTCATGATTATAGAATAAACACTCCCTGTGTGAAGTTTACCATTGTGTCATGGTTTACTTGGGAGTTCTGTGTTCTTTCCTAACGGCAAATTAAAAATGTATTATACAAACATTATTGTCTCATAATTGATAAAATAAGGCATTCATTTATTTACATTAATCATGGAACCACATATACAGTAAATACATAAGAAAAAACTTTGCTGATTACATCTGGGAATAAAATTGTAAATTCTTCGTATGAGAAACATTTTTTAAATAAAGAAACTTGTGTTTCAATCCACAGAATTTATCTTCAAAAATTATTTCCTATGGCAATAAAGCTATTGTTTCTAGCTATTGTTGTTTGATTTCAGCCTCTTTCAAAAATTTCCTGAATATTTGGAGACATTATTTATTGATCTTAAAATCATAAAAGAGTTAATGCTGCTTCATTAGGGATTCTCTTAAGACTACAATAACCATGTCGCATGGAAGAATCTAGCCAGTATTATCATAAAACATGAAAACTATTATGTAATGAATGGATCTAAAATGAAAATATTGTTGTATATTGTCATGAGAATTTTTCATGAAAAATAAAGTAACTCTTAACTCAATATATTACTAATGCTTAAGGGGAAGTAAATATTCTCTAAACTACTCACTACAATATTTCACCTCTGTTTAGATGATGAACATAGTGTTACAGTATGTCAAATAGTGTGGAAATGAAAATGTTATATCATAAAATGGCATAGTTGTTTTTGTATTTGTAGAAAGATTATCAGGTGATTTATATTCTTCCAGGGTTGCCATTATTATTAGTATCAGGCAATACAAAGCATATAGTAGTTTTAATCTAATAAGTGAAAACCTTTGTGTGTTTTATAGTCTATTACCAATAGCACAATACAAGTTATATATTTTTAACAAGAGTACATATCATAAATATCCAGTTGTTTATTGACAATATTCTTCAATATTTCCTAATATTCAATGGAGGATGGATGCTTAGTTAAAATTCTATTTGTTACTTATTACTTTTATTATTTAGTATGTAATAATATTTGATATGGTTTGGATGTGTCCCCACCCAAATCTCATCTTGAATTCCCATGTGCTGTGGGAGGTAACTGAATCGTCGGGGCAGGTCTTTCCTGCGCTGTTCTCGTAATAGTGAACAAGTCTCACAAGATCTGATGGTTTTAAAAAAGCAGAGTTTCCCTCCACAAGCTCTCTTCTCTTGTCTGCCACCCTGTAAGACGTGCCATCAAACCTCTTTCTTTTGATTGCCCAGTCTCAGGTATGTCTTTATCAGCAGCATGAGAATGGACTAATACAATGTTCTTGACAGTAATGACAGTATTTGTTATTGTTCAGGGATCTATTAACACAGAAAGCCTGAGTCTGCTATCCTTAGAATGATCTGGTTTCAAGGTTTGCCCTTGGCTGGCAGTCTGGGACCTTGATAAAAGTGTCTTACTGTGCTTAAGTTGTGTGTACAAGCAACATGGTTTATCTTGAACATTAGCTTTCCCTATGGGGCTCTGAAATTTGGTAGGCAGAGGTAATTACTTGACTAGCTCCCAGTTAAATTATTACTGATGAGTCACTAATTAACTTCCCTGGTAGACAACCCTTCTTACAAGTTGTCACGACTTATTGGTAGAAGAATTGATCATGTCTTGTGTGGCTGTATTGGGAGGGGACTCTTGGAAGCTTTCATCTGGTATTCCCCCAAATAAATTTTAGCTATTATAACTATATGCTGAGTTATGCAAGTCCTCACAGTTATCCCCAAATGTGCAGGGTAGTCTTTGATACCCTTAACAAGAGCACATATTATATACCAAGCATTATTATAGATGCATTATATCCATTATTATATTTGTGCTCAAAAAAAACCCTGTAAGATTGTGGGGTTTTTAAATTGTTTTTTTTTTTTTTGTTTCTTTGTTTTTTGAGATGGAGTTTCACTCTTATTGCCCAGGCTGGAGTGCAGTAGCACGATCTTGACTCACTGCAACCTCCACTCCCAGGTTCAAACTATTCTCCTGCCTCAGATCCCCAATAGCTGGGATTACAGGCATGCGCCACCATGCCCAGCTAATTTTGTATTTTTAGTAGAGATGGGGTTTCTCCATGTTGGTCAGGCTTGTCTCGAACTCCCGAAAAGTGCTGGGATTACAAGCGTGAGCCACCATGCCCAGCCCAGATTGTGTCATTAATTCTGGTTTGTGTATGAGGAAACAACACTGAGAGCATAAGAAATTACAGAAGTTAAAAGAGATAGCATGGAGACAAAGCCAGAATTTTTACACTATTTTTTTTTGTCTTTTTTTTTTTTTTTTTTTTTTTTTTTTTTGAGATGGAGTCTTGCTCTGTCAGCCACGCTGGAGTGCAGTGGCACGATCTCGGCTCACTGCAACCTCTGCCTCCCGGGTTCAAGCGATTCTCCTGCTTCAGCCTCTCGAGTAGCTGGGACTACAGACACGTGCCACCATGCCCAGCTAATTTTTTGTATTTTTAGTAGAGATGGGGTTTCACCATTGACACAATTTTTAAAATTCCAAAATAAGTGTGTTGGATAGCACTGTCTACTAAAAAGTAGCATTAACAATAAATCCCATATAGACCTGTTATTCTGTCATTATTCTTGTATTTGCATTGCCCATGTTTGATTTCAGGTATTCAGTTGGTGGTATGTGCTGTCCAGAATAACACATCTAATAACTCACTAACTAAAACTAGCCACAACTCCCAGGATTCTCTTCTGCCTAAGAGTTACATTTTTGCCAATTGAATTTCAATGAAAGCTAGTAAATAGCAGGTGGATTTGAGTACCTGTAAGAACACTGAGTTGTAGCATTCATTATCTGTCCTTTTTATTCACCCATAATAATCTGGTCCACAAAACTGAGATCTTCCTTTAATATCCCCAGATTCTTCCTAGTATAAAAGTTCTGTCTAATACTCAAACCTTTTCCCCACACTCAGTTAATTGGAGGCCTCGACTTGCATCTGACATCCAGTAATTATTTTCTGGGCTATGCACTGGACCGTCTGTCTATATTTCCTAATGCCTATTGTCACCAAGTATTGTCTTCTGAAATTCCCTCATTGTCAATATTCATTGGGTCAAAATTTAACGATCTGAACCCTTTCCTGTATTGAACCTGAGATGGTAGGGGTTTTTTTTTGCCAATACATATGAAAATAACACATAAAGAAATTAAAATAATCAGTGCCAACATTACATATATATGTATATTACAGTAACTTTTATTTTTTATATTTTCTAAGAGGATGTGTTTCTATTCTACCAGGAGGCAAGAGGCAGAGACAGCAGCCACATGAATACTGTTTTTGTTTTTTTTTTTATTTTTTTCCCAAGATGAGAGTGTAAGCTTATGAATTCTCTGAAAAAGGAAGAACTAATGTTCACAAACATCTTTTGATAGAAACACACGAACTGTTAGGAAAATCAAAGAAAGTAGAATCATCCCTCAGTATACTCAGCAGATTTCTTCCAGGATTCCCAAGAATACCAAAATCCAGGGATGTTCAAGCTTCTTATTTAAAATAGTGTATATGCATATAACCTATGTTCATTCACCATATTCTTTAAATAATCTCCAGATGATTTATAATGCTTAATGTAATATAAATGCTATGTAAATTGTGTTGATACAGTATTGGTTTTAATTTTCAGATTATTATTATTATTTTTCAATAATTTTAATCCATGGCTGGTTAAATCTGCAGATGCAGAACCGAGGATACAAAGGGCCGATTTTATATAAATGTGATTCTTTCATACAATCTATAAAAGCTGTGACAGTATATTTTCTTCTGAAAATGTGTAAGATAGGATATCCAGGAAAACACACTAGCTATGCAGGTGAGAGTGTGAGTTTTCAATCAAGATGGCATAATAGAAGCCATATGAAAAATCGTGGAGCAGTTAAGTGGAAATAGATGTTTAAGAACTTATAATTGTTTGTAAAACATACAGAGAAAAGCAAAAGCAGATATCTGAAGAGATAAAAATGATGAATTTATGTCTGAAATCTTACTAGAAGACTGAATGTTGGAGTTTTGTTGTTTGGTTTTCCCCAGAATTGTCAGGCCTTAACTAGCTAGGAAGGGTGAAATTAACATCTGAGGCAACAAAGAAAAAAAAATCAACAAGAAAAGTATAACAAAAATTACCATGGTGGAGATAATCCTAGTTTTAAAACAACAGTTAGGCATCTAAAGAAAAAAGAATGAATAGGAAACAAAAGGTCAGTGTTCCAAAGCTAAGTGATTACTATTCTAATTTTCTGAAGGTAATTTTTCATTCCCTGTCCTTGTGTTAATATTGACAAGAATCCTTGGATGTAAGTAGGTCTACTGTTATCTTTAATTTTCAGGTTGTAAAAGATAATAAAATCAATTTTGAGTGCATAATATGTCCCAGCAGCTATACAAAGTTTTTTTTTCTTTTTTTTTTTTAAAGCACTCTCATTTGATCCTCAAAAGTACCCAATCGGGTAGATAATAGCTTTATTCCATTATATAGCATTATATAGGTCAGAAAATTTAGACCTGGATATATTAAGTAATTTCCACAATGTCAGATAGCAAATATTGGAGACAAACTGCAAATTCAAAAATATCTGATTCCAAAATTCTGATTTTTATTAGGTGATACTGCTCGTTTATTCTATTAGGTGATACTGCTTCAATCTGTAAAATATGGAAATTAACTTACTATCCAAATTCACATTGTCACATTGTGAATGTGACTTAAGGAGTGACTTTCTACTAGAATGCTGAATTACTAATTTCCCTGGATCTTAATGACAGTTTGTGTGCTCATTTTTTCACTTATTCTATTGATTATCTATATGTGCAATTAGAGATGCCATCTGACTAAAGCGGTAGCCATTACTGATTCATTGGTTCAGACATCAATGAACACTTTGAGCCTCAGAAATTTAAATCTTCACAAAATAGTCTATAGAGCAGCACTAACACCATAATTATATTTTTTCTTCAAAGATTGATTTTGAGAGTATTTCCTGTTCACTTGTTCTTTGAAAATGGCTTAAAATGTAAAGAGTGCAGCACTCTGTTATTTTAATTTTAATCACTTAAGAACCACCATAATTTCATTGATAGATCAAGGTATATTATTAATAATCTACACATAAAGAGGTTACCTATCTCACCTGGAACTGAAAAATGAAACCATAAAAAAATTCTTAAAAATTCTATGATAATATATAGATTATATTTCTTTCATACCTAGTCAATGTTGTACATTTTTTACTAAAGAGATTCCCTAGGGATATTAATATATTGCAAAATATGTGAAAATTAGAAAAGGATAGGCATTTGTATTGTGTACAGCCAAAATAAAGAAGGTTGACATATTTTAACTTACCTTCAAAAAACTCTGTAAAAATTACATTGCTTTTGTGTGTTTTCCTAATAACCCAACATCTCTATTTTAGTAATTTAAGAGAAAATCTGTTTATAAGTATGTTAATCATATATTTTTTAATATTTATTATGTATGTTGATAATCAAAAACATATATTTTACAAAAAGTATAAAAGTGAACTCATTTATTCACAAATACAATTTTATAGTCATAATAATTTAAAAATATTTACAAGAGAAATACTATGATTAACTTCAATTGAGGCTAAAATGTACAGATTTTGAAACTAAAGAAGTAAATTGCATGCATGTAATCATATTATCTCTGTAAGTATTGGTATTATGAAAAGAGAAAGTGAAATTTATATATTTTACCCCTGTAGCATTTATAAATACACAAAAATAGCTATTTTAAAGTAGCTGGAATGATTTGAATTGGTGCTCCCTTAAAATAAAAAAAATAAATTATTTTGTGACTCCAATTGCTTTTCTAAGTTTATGATTGAATGGGTCATTGCTAAGTAGTTTTTATTTTGTTTGTTTTTTTCTGTCTGATGTTTTTCTGCTACTGTATGTAATTATCATGATAATTCTCAAACCTTTATGATAGTGTTGTTGTCATTGTTTATTAATAAATAATTGCATAGAGTTGCTTGCATAGGGCTTAAACAAAATGACATTCGTGGTTTGAAGAATGGCATGAAAAATTTTTTGGCCTTCTTTCTATTGTTTACATGACTTCTCAATGACTACATTATTTCTAAACCACAGCTTATTATTGAAGTTAAGGCATTTCTTTTATTTTAGACTTATTCAAAAATAAAAAGACATTAACGATTTCTTTTTTTTTTTTTTTAGATGTAGTCTTGTTCTGTTGCCCAGGCTGGAGTGCAGTGGCACGATCTCGGCTCTCTGCAACCTCCGCCTGCCAGGTTCAAGTGATTCTCCTGCCTCAACCTCCCTAGCAGCTGAGACTGCAGGTGTGTGCCACCATGCCCAGCTAATTTTTGTATTTTTAGAAGAGACGGGGTTTCACCATGTTGACCAGAATGGTCTCCATCTCTTGACCTTGTGATCCACCCACCTCAGCCACCCAAAGTGCTGGGATTACAGACGTGAGCGACCTTACCCAGCCGATTTCTTCATATCTGTAGAGATAATACTCATATATTATAAAACATGTAAGAATATCATAAGAAATTGTTTTAAATTAATGTTAGGGGAAAATCATTTGAAGAATGAAAATTAGTATACTAATTTTAAAATAGATTTTCTTATAAAAATAATTTTATTCATTTAATAAACAGGAAAGAATGATCTGTTTTGAGAAATTCTCAGAATCTTTCACATGTTAATTTGTCTTATATCTATCCAAGAAGAAAGATTTAACGTACAGCTGATCCTAGGAATCTAACCAATATGGGCTAGATATTATGCTTTGCACTGGAGATACGGCCCTGCCGAACTCAAATTAGTCTGCATTCACTGAAACATGTCATCCACGGAAAAAAAATTGGAGAAAACAGAAAAAAAGTGTAAATATCAATAAGAAACTCACTGCAATCACAACACAGAGTTTTAATCTTCCAGGCAAAAAAGTGAACACACACACATACATACACACATTCAAACTCACATACACATTTTAAAAGCAGTGTTATAGTAACATATCATAATGATTTTACTTGGCTATTTTCCAAGTTAATAGTTTATACCAGGGGTTGGCAAACTACAGCCTGGAAGTGAAAATGGCTTTTACATTTTAAAATAATCTTAAAGCCAATCAAACCAACAGAAAAACAACAACAACAACAACAAAAAACCCAGACACCCACAAAGCCTAAAATTTTATTATGTTTTTCATTAAAGAAAAAGTTTGCTGTCCATGCCTATGATCTCTGTTATCACATATCATCAATGATAATCACCAATATATATATATACACACACATATATATGTTCTTTCAGAAATGGCTTTATAGACACACACACATACACAGATTTATGCTTCACTTCATGACGGGGATACACTGAGTTATGGGAACATTATAGAGTGTGCTTACACAAACCTAGATGATATATCCTGACACATGCCTAGGCTATATGATATAGCCAATACTTCTAGGTTACAAACCTGTACAGGATGTTACTGTACTGAATACTGTAAGCAATTGTAGAGAAATTGTAAGTATTTGTGTATCTGAACATAGAAAAGTATAATATAGTATAATATAAAACACTGTATTATAACTTTATGGGATGCCTTTGTATATATATGCAGTCCCTCATTGATGGAAGGTTATTATGCGATACATTACCAAATATGTATATCTATATAAGGTATATGCATATATACACATATATGTATGTATATGTATCTATACAATACATATACATATATGTATATGTATCTATACAATACATGTATCTATACAATACATATACATATATGTATATGTATCTATACAATACATATACATATATGTATATGTATCTATACAATACATATACATATATGTATATGTATCTATACAATACATATACATATATGTATATGTATCTATACAATACATATACATATATGTATATGTATCTATACAATACATATACATATATGTATATGTATCTATACAATACATATACATATATGTATATGTATCTATACAATACATATACATATATGTATATGTATCTATACAATACATATACATATATGTATACGTATCTATACAAACATGTTTGCATATATACACATATATGTATACATATATGTATGAGTGTATATACATGTATATGTATGTATATAACTGCATATATATATACACACACACACATAGCAAGAGAGAAAGGGGGAGGAAGAGACAGAGTAGCCACTTTTCTGCTTTGGAACATTTGATATTTAACCTTACATTAGTGAAGAGATTTTCAATATCTTTTACTTAAATCTTAAAATATTAATTATAACTATATTCTCAGCTAATCCCAATGTAATCAATATCTAATCAATTCTTTTTTCTTGAGAATGTGTCCTTCTTGAAAATACTTTTTTTTTCTTTTTTTTGAGATGGAGTCTCCCTCTGTCACCCAGGCTGGAGTGCAGTGGCGCGATCTCAGCTCACTGCAACCTCTGCCTCATGGGCTCAAGCAATTATCCCACGTTAGCCTCTCCAGTGGATGATTACAGGTGCCCAGCTAACTTTTTGTATTTTTAATAGAGACAGGGTTTCGCCATGTCAGCCAGACTGGTCTTGAACTCCTGGCCTCAAGTGATCCGCCCACCTTAACCTCCAAGGTGCTGGGATTACAGGCGTGAGACACTGCGCTTGCCCCCTCCTTGAATATTCTATTTATTGTATTCCTAAAAATGTCAGCAATGAATTATGTGTCAATAAACCCAATGATCTTAAGATTGAATTTCTTGACATTCCTCTCCTTTTAAATCTTTTCCACTTTCATTGACTGGGATTACACTCTTCTCATTTTACACACCTGGCTGATATTTTTATGCTTACTTCTTCTTTTTACCTTTAATTACAGCCACTAGCTGTTATTCACTCCTCTTTTTGTAAAAAATTTCCTTCTACACTGACTGACTAAAAAGTCCCAATTAGTACTGTGGCTTTTAAGCTTGTGGCTCACACATTTCATGCTCATATAGAAACATTCCTAATATCCTAACTACATTCCCAACTACGTGAACAGCAGTTAATTTATATATTTTTAAAGCTTTGTCAAACTCAGTATATCTACAGTAAACTCATAATTTTTATCCCTAAACCAATTCTTTCTATAATGTTGTCTCTTTCTCTCTATGGAAGCACTATCGCTCAGGCTCAAAACCTTCAAGTAGTCTTGCGTTTTCCTTTTCACTTTTTCCTCACATCCAATCAATTATTTAGCTTTCCCTCTTCTACATCTGCAGTGCTTCTTATTTCTGCCTCTTCTTTTCTATAGCCACTTTCTTAGTTCAGCTTTTCACTTCTTTGAAAATGTAGACTGGAATTCAAAAGTGTTTTCTGCACATTAAAAGTTAGACCTAATGATATTTACATATGAGACATACATCTATAATCATCTTAATATGTGACAAAAATTAAAACAGATATAGATAGACAATATTATAACTGACTACCAAAAATACTAATGATAGGTAAGTGGAAACCTGTTTTATTAACAAAATAAATGATTGTTTAGCTTTATATTTGTCCCATTTTCAAACAAAAATCTGTATCATCATGGCAGGGATTGTGATATTATTATAGAAATTATGACAAATATATTAAGCTTTGAAAAATGAAAACAGATTATTTAAAATTATTATTAATCTATGTTTAATTAACATTTATTTCACATCCACTTTCCAACTAATAAACACACACAAACACACACACAGAATTTAGAACTGCCAGCTTAATGTTACTGTTACATTGCATTTGGCTTCTCTCCAGTTTTCCTTTCTTAATTCATTTTGTGCATTTGTGGCTGTTTTCTTATAATTTCACTTTTCTATAGGGCAGAATGAAAGCTCCAAGTCTTAATATTCTGCATCCTTCACTGTGGTGTTCCAACAAAACTTTCTAATTTTTGCTTCTTTTACTAATACATACTTTTCAAGAGTCAAGTGAAATTACTTGCTCTCCTCACACTATTCCCCATGCCCCAAATATACACATTATATGTAGCTCTTTCAGATATTCTTTCTTATTGTAATATTGTTAATGCAAAATTTTCAGGTTATATCTCTCACACTAAGTTGTTAATTTTCTGAAGAGCTGGAACATCAGTTTAGTGCCTTGAGCAATAATTATTTACAATTGTTCATAGGTAAATTAAGTTTATCTTTCAAAACACCATATGACATAAGCATGCCTCAGTGCCCATTTACAGACTATTTCAGTAAAACTGTCATTTTTGGGAGTGTCATATATGCCAAATACTGTGTTGCACACTAGAGATAAGCACAACCAAATCTTAGGCCTGTCCTAAACAAGCTTAGAATCTTGAGAAAGGGACAAAAAATGATAATTCTAATTTAACGTGCTAAGTAAAAAAATAGAAGTATGCACAGGAAGATACGAAAGCCAAGTAGAATGGGATAGGAAATAATCTCAGTTTATGAGAGTTAAAACTTGATTTTCTGCCTGAGTTGGCAACCAAACTGAGTTCTAAAAGAAAACTGAATATTAGAGAGATTAAACCATCTTTCTTGAGTCCCATCATTATTATACAGCAAAGCTAGCGCTAAAACCAAGATATTTTTGCCCAAATTCTCTATTTATTATAACACCATTGTAATTGTTCTGGCACAGTTTTCCATCTGTTAAATAATGAAAAGCAATAATCCAAGATAATCCTCTCACTTCCGCATATCATGACTGAATTCTATTTGTAGTCTTGAAGAAAGAAATTTGACCTGATGGCGGGATTTTAATGGCAAGAATATTGAAAACTGGAAAATAAAAAATAATTCGGAAACAGTTCTAAAACCACTCTTTTTTTGCTTCTCAATACCAAGAGGCATTTTTCTTTTCTGGCTTGTATTTCCAGACTTCTTAGCTACACAGTATATGTTGCCTTCCTGCTCATCTTAATAATGTCCTCTTGCTCCTTCTTCCTAATTCTCAAGCCATGGCTTAGTTCCTTAAGTGGCAGCCATACCATTATTTATAAGACACAATTTTAAATATGAACAAATAAAAAATAATTTAAAGCCAGATACCACTATCCTACTACTATCAATACAAAGAAAAAAAGTAGCTCAACCTTTTTCTGGATATATAACCTAAGAAGGCTATGCCATCTTCCAGGCTCAGTTTCCCCATCTGTGAAATGTGAAGATTATAGTAAGTAAGATGATAGCTAAAACACTTTTTAATGTATGACACATTAGGTTATCAACAGGAAACTTTTTGTTGTTATGATTATATCCTTTGCCTCTGTATTTAAATATTTTATTTCAGAATTCTGAACTAGCCTTGCTTTTTTCACTTTTCATGCTTTATTTGGTCAATCTTATGTATTTTTTGCTTATATCTATAGTCTTTGTGAGCTCATTATTTCTTTTTCTATTTTTCTATTCCAAAATACACCAATGCTTTGAAATTGTCTGACAAACTTATGTTGTGGATTTTCTTTTGGTTGTTACCCAAATCCTCAAATGCATCATCATCTCTCTCTAAAACTACTTCTCTGCTTATTTTTGCATTTTATTTAAAGCATCTGTGATTTAACTGTTAACACCAATAATTTGGGGCATTTTTCTACTTTCCTCCATTTTGGCTAGTTTTATATTCAACTGATTGCCAAATTTAGCTAATCTTGTGCACCATAGTTCTTTTTTAAATTCATGATTATTGCAAAGATAGCTATCTGGCCACCAAAGATTCTTGTCTTCAAAGGGTAACATTCTTACTTAAAAATGGCTGTGCACTCAGACACTACATTTTTTGTCCCACTCTGTGACACTGTAAATGCTGATTTTATGTGATGCAATAATTAGCAATCTTTAACCAAATGTATTTCTACTTTATATCACTACCTTGGTTCATTTGTAATTTTCCAATAGCCTAGCAATTAGTATTCCCATTTCTAGCTTATCTCTCATCAGTGCAATGTTTTTATGAACACTAGGAATTAGATAGATAGGTAGATGGATGTAGGTAGATGATTAGATGGACAAAAGAAGAGAGAGAGAAATAGGTAGGTTGATAGGTGCCAAAGTATAATCAGACCCCTTTCTAAACACACATATGACCCCCATTCTTTTTAAAGAATAAATAGGTATTCTTCAGCATTACCTACAATGCACTTCATAATCCATTTTTCTCACCTTTCCAGCTCTAGTAACCACTTAGTTATGTGATGTCTCCATTAAAATCTTCAGAGTTCTGTAACAACATCCTTAAAATCTTGATAAATGAGCTTCCTAAATTTCCAACTCCATGCTAGGATAGGATTATAGGACACTGAAGTTACATGTGGTGTTCTAGGATCTATATTAGTCCATGGCACTTCTTCTCACTTTTCATATTTTATTAATCTGGTACCTCCTAATAATTATTAAAATGCACTGTTCAGACATTGCTTTTGAGGAAGAAACTGACTATCCTCAGCCCATGGCCCCAAATGTTTCTTCTCTGAATATGTAGTGGCATATAAATATTTATTCTGAAATATTTGTCATTCTGAATTACAGCGGTCTGCTTGCTTGTCTCTCTGTCTTTTATGTTAGGTAATACGCCGTTGAGATTGTAAATCGCATTTTGGTAACTTTGAATTCTCTCTCTTTAATATTGAAATTTCTACAATTTCCATTTATAAATGGAGAGCCTACAGTGTATAAGAAATAGTGCTTTTATAGCTGCAGGAGAACAATATAAATAATATACATAAAATAAGTAAATTATGTATTATAGAAGAAGGCATAAAGTATCATAAAATAAAAGAAAAAACAGAGTATATTCAGCAGAATGGGAGTATAGATATTAATTTTAAATAGGGTAGTTAGAGCAGGCCTCATTTCAAAAGTGACATTTAAAAAACGACATTATAGAGCTAAGGGAGGTAGCCACAATGTTATGGGAAAAATAAAACAGTGCAAAGGCCATAAGGATTGAGCATCCCTATGGTGTTTGAAGAACAACAAAGAGACTAATGTAGCAAAGCGGACTTATGAGAGGAGCGTTGAGAAAGATCAGACAAGCAGGTGACAGTCAGAGTAAGTTGAGTTTTGCAGGACTTTCTAATAACTCTAGCTTTATACTAAGTGAACTGGGAACCAGTGAGGAATTTTGAGAATAAAACAAATATTATTTACATTTTAAGAGGTTTCTGTATCACCTATGTTGAAAAAAAGATTTTAAAATGACGAGTACATTAGCAGAGAGATGTATTGAAAGACTATTGAGCTATCGCTCTAATCCAGTAAAAGATAATGGCAGCTTGAACTAGGATGTTGATTATGGGAAGAGGGGGATCAGGGAGTGCTTTGATTATGGATATATTTTTTTAGACCATATTAGCTAGATGTCTTTATGTAAAATGTACATGCGGTGTGCTAGAATAAAAAAGGTACAGTTTCAATATTTTTGGCCTGAACATTTTGAAAGATAGAGAAGCTATCATTCGAGATGGGGAAGGTTGTAGTTGGAACATGTTTAGGGAGGGAAAGATCAGTAGTTCACATTGTACAATTCAAATTCATCAAATCAAGTTTTCCACTCAAGTGGGGATATCAAGAACGAATTTGGATATAACTTAAAGACAATGTTTAGGAGAAGATTTGGGGTCAGATATATAATGACAGAAGTCTCATTTACACGACAGAGATTAAATAGGATCACCAGGAAACAAATATAAAGTGAAAAGATCCATGGGCTGAGTTCCTGGCACTCCGACCTAAAGAGAAGGAACAAGCAAAGTGACAAGAGAAAGAGTGGTTATGTTTTATGTGTTCTGCAATCAAGTGGAAATAATACATCGAGTAAATATTCTTTGAAATTAGCTGACTTTTTGACATACTCCAAAATCACTCCACAGTTGCTATATTGACTACATCTGTACACAAGATCTTCTTACAAGCCAACTCTTTTGTAATTCAATTAAATATACCCTTAATTTGCTCTACGTTTTGTGGAAAAAGCCTGTGTTTGCCTTACATCCACGGAGATCCTACTTCTATTATTTCTATCTATTTGCATTAAATGATAAACTTAGGAAACAAGGAGTGAATATGGAAACAATATTATTCTCTTCTGCATTGTTTCTCTAAATAGTCTCACTTATTATTTTTTTAGAGATGGGGTCACACTTTCTTACTCAGGCTTACTCAGGAGTGCACTGGCACAATGGAAGCTCACTGCAACTTTGAACTCTTGGGCTCAAGCCATCCTTCCGCCTCAGCCTCCTGAGTCCCTGGGATTATAGACGCTACCCACTGTGCCTAGCTATTGTCACTTACATTTGAAAGAAAATAATTTTTTTCTAAATGCACATATAGAGCAAATGTAAGATCACACTTAAAGATGTGATAAATTTGATACTGTAATGCCATAGAATAGAAAAAAAAAAGTACTAAAAGTAAGGTAGACTGAATTCTATAAATATTGACTGTTAAACATTTAAGACTTATCACAAGTTTTTATTTCTTTCTAAAATCAGAGACAAATTATTAATGGATTATAGAAAACACTTTTGAATAAATTGTTTAAATGGCTGCTGAAACTCCTGAACTACAGCAGTCACAAGATAAGAAAAAAAGGTATTATTTTGCATTATTTCTTAAAAAACAGATTTTAGAATTTTTGCCATACAATAATTTTTATTCTGTAAAGCTAAAAAGGCTTTTATTGACTGATTCTATAATTCTTGAAGACAAGGTAAATTTAAGCCATTGTTTGGAAATAAACGGGAAGTTCATCTTTTATATATTAGAAATTCTCTACTTAGTGAAGTAAAAAGTAACAGGTCTATTAACAATATTGATGGTAAGTTCAGATAGGGAATTGAGCATGTTTTGTTATAATTAGGTATAAACTGGCTCTGAGAAGATGAAGTTTAAGTTGTTAATAACTTCACAGTCCCCAAGGCATGATGATACAAAGTAGGATGTCTGGAAGGGCACTAGAACGTCCTGTAATTTGTCTAATTTGCAGCAAGTTAATAAGGCTGATAGTAGCATCTTTATGAATAAATGGACAATTTATGAAATAAAAATGACAGGTATTCCATATATCTTGTGTTAATTCTTAAACTAACATATTCTATTCTGTTTCTCCCAGTAGCTAAACTATTAAGGGGAATTTTTATAAAGTAAAATACCTTTTATTAGCCGGAGTTCAAAACTGAACAAAAGGGCACCTTCAAATAAATGGTCTTAAAATTAACCCTAACTTGGAAAGAGCAAACTGAAATTTATATTCTAAAAGGAATTCTTGAAGCGAGAGTCAAATACAAAACCACGATTATCCTTCAAAAGCCAACTTACCTGAAACTTATATAATAAGATATTCTGATGTCTTATTACATTTAAAATATAATGGATTCTAAGACACGTAGTATAAAACATCTGAACATCAAATGGCAATTAGCCGTAAACGGTGAAAGCTGAAGAATAATCCATTTTACTTTCAAAGAAAAAACGAGTCAGATTACATTGAAGGCTATTTCTTCAGAGAGTTTCGTGAGAATAGTTTGGCTTCTCTTCAGGAAAAATCTTAGTACTAATGTGGAATAGAAATTCTTAATTTGAAGTGCTTCCTAATTAGTATCACATCCTGAACTGGGGCAAAGTGTCTTCAGTGAGCTGAATACTTACATCTTTGCATAAGTGTCTTTAATTCTAAAATGTTATGATTGTTTTTAATGCAATGACCTTCCACTCAAGAAATATCCTATACTGGCTTGGAGAGGAAAAAATAAAAAACAAAAAACAAGTTTTTTCTATTTATCTAAGGCAGTGGTCAGGAAACTACTGCCCACAACCAAACTAGATACAGTTTGCCTGATTTTGTATGATCCAAGAGCAGAGTGTTTATTATATTTTTTCAAAAATTAAAAGAATAATATCCCATGACATATAAAATTTCTATAAAATTAGAACTTTGTTGTCCATAAATAAATTTCTATTGGAAGACAACCTTACTTATTCATTCATGTATTATTTATGGCTATTTTCACACTGTGGCAGAGGTATTGAGACCAGAAACCCTATGGGCTACAAAGTCGACTTTGTTTTCTATCTAGTCACGTAAGAAAGACTTGAAAACTCTTGGTCTCGAGAAGGGAGAAATTCCCTACTGGTTATTCTATTTCAAATTAGTCACTATTTGACATTGATGAGCGAATCAAAATGGTGACAAAACTGGTGATTAGATAAAAACTATATACATGATAGTAATCTTGCTCTTGAGTCAAGCCTTAACTCAAGCTATGAACAACAACAAAAATGTACAGACCTTTAATTATGTAATATTTTAAATAACAATGGCCAGTGCTTAAATAATACGATTATTTTAAACCTTATAGCAGCATTAATTTATTTCTTGAGACATTTTCATTACTTAGAATATTTTAATTACATTTAAAAACTTTGTTGTTCTGATGAATAATGTGAATATAATAACAAACACTTAAAATTAGTATATTTTAGAATATTTGGTTTCTTTTAATATAAGTAATCGGTCTACATTAAATTGCTATACACTACTAAGCAAATTTAACGAGAATGAAACTCTGTTCGCCTCAAAGTAAAATATATTTGTTAAGGAAAACATGCTGAATATTAAGCCGTTGTTTTTGTTACGGTTGTTTTGTTTCTCTTTTAAATGAGAAAAGGTAATTATTGGTAATAAGTGTAGACTGACAAAGGCACTGTGAAAATAGCTGTTGTAAACTCTCAATTAGATCAATACAAATCTACTTCAAATGTTTTTATGTAACAGTTCCAAAGCACTGAGGGAGGAGAGGAATAATCACAAATACATGATTGCATAATTTTAAAAAGGGGAAAAAAACAGAAAAATTTTCTCAAAATCAAAACTAAAATCATTGCCTGGGCAAATAGTGAGACCCTGTATCTACAAAAAAATTAAAAAAAAAATAAGAAAAAATAGCTGGGTGTGGTGGCACATTTCTGTAATCATAGCTACTCAGGAGGCTGAGTCTGGAGCACTGCTGGAGCCCAAGAGTTCAAGGCTGAAATGAACCATGATGGCACCACTGCACTACAGCCTGAGTTGAGTGAGGCCCTCTCTCAAACTAACAAAAAGAACCAATTAATAGTAAAAATGGGCAAAACAGAAATTAAAAATGAAAAATAAGGAAAATAGATTAACATTTCCACTAAAAGAAATCTTCTTAGTCATATAATAAAAATATGTATTTTTATTAATAGTACCAAGATGGAAAGCATGACAGTGAAGGGTCAAATTATTATGTCAGCACCTGTTGCAAAGGGTGATATAAGAAAGCAATTTGCCAAAATGATTAAAGACATGAGTTTGTGAGCTAAATACTTTTCATGATATTCTTCATATTTACTAGCTATGACATCTTGGGAAAGTGAGTTAATCTGTTTCTTAATTTCTTGATATATAAAATAGAATAATATAGTATTGTTAATACTGAAACTATTATGAGATTTATTGTCTTAGTCCATGTGCACTGCTGTGACAAAATACTATAAACTGAGTGTTTTATAAACAGCAGGAACTCTTATGTCTCACAATTCTAAAAGCTGAGGAGTCGAAAGTCAAAGTGCTGGCAGGTTCAGTGTATGGTTAGGCCGCTTTTTCATAGATGATACCTTTATATTGTGTTCTCACTTGATGGAAGGGCAAACAAACATACTCAGGCAATTTTTATGAGGGTACTAATCCCATTTGTGAGGTCTAAGCCCCCCATAGTTCCCATCTCTTAATACTATCACAATGGGGATTAAGTTTCAGTACATGAATTTTGGGGGGACACAAACATTCAGAATATACCAGTTTTGTAAGAAAAATGTATTAATGAGTGTCTTGTTATGTTTCTTAGTACAGAATGTTTATTAAATGGTAGCTATTTTTATAAACATAGGCAAAAGATCTCATTTAGGTAACACCTGAGGTTATCAAATATTTTGTGTATTTATTTATTTATTTAAGTGGATATAGTGTATTAAGTTTATTAAGTCTAATTGTAAGAAAGAGAAATGTTTCTGTATCTTAAAGAAGGGGGTGCGAGCCTTCCAGTGACATTGAATGTGCAACCTCATGAAACACAGATATATTCATACAATAGAATCCGAAAAACAGCAAAAGTGGCTTAGGGCCACCCATGTCAGAGGGATGAATATCACACATAGGGTACACACAGTAGTTTCATAAGAATACATCTAGTGTATTTGTTGTACACTAGTGTACCTCTAGTGTAAAGTTGTACATCTAGTGTACAGTTATTGCCCATATTAGTGTGTTGTATTGATTCTCAAACCCAAATCTGCTTTCTAACCCTGGTACTGGAGCTACTCCCTGACACTGGAGCTGCACTTTGTGAACATTTCTCCTTTGTCAGCTGGCACAATCATAGGCTTGTTAATAGAGGATGCAATAGCAAAGATCAGTGGCAATAGCAAAGGAGCTTCTCTTCCTGGTGCCAGTGCTTTTTCTGAAGATGGGCCTGCCCGCGATCAGCATGTTGGATTTCCGTGGTCCTCACCTTAGTGTCCCTCATTGAGAGCTTTTCCTCTCCTGTGCTCTCTAGTGGGAATCCCCACCATTATTGGGCCATTTTCTGTAGACTAGCCATGCTCTGCTGACACCTTTTTGTGAGTTGTTCTGCCACTCTGTAAGCTTCTTATTTTTCATGCTGCTTTCCCTCTGGTAGGCTGCATGTATCTATGGCAGCCACATTTCTCCAATGAAGTATAAATCTCAGCTTTTGGTGGGGGAGTTTCCTCTTCCATATTCTAATGTCCTTCCTTTTTCAGTCTCCCTTAGCTCCAGAAGTAACAGCTACCTGTTCTATTTGCTCTGTGTTGTTTAGAGTTCTCTTTTGCACCTTTTTAGTAACTGACTTTTAATTTTCAAGAGCTCTTCAAACTAGTGGTATAATTTCCCTCTCCTGCTGAACCCTGACTAATAATATACCTTTTATTACATTTCAAAAACATATAAAACAACTATATTTTCCATATTTAGACAAATATAAACAATGAAAAACCAAAAGCAGTAAGAAGAAAAAATTCATGAGGACTATTATTACTGTTGTGGGCATTGAGGGAAAGGGGAGATTTGATCACAGAGGGGCCGATGTAGAGCTTCCATTGTACTGACAATGTTCTTCCCCTCCCATATCTGCATAGGTTCTATGTATCGATCTATTTTTGGAACTGCATCAAAGCACATAGTTCATATTTATTCTTTGTGATAGTTTTGATAAGGGTAAAATGACTTTCTGCTGCTGTATTTTGTGCACATAATAGCCAATGGGAGTCATAGCTAGGGATTTGCAAACAACATAAAATGAACTGATGTCACCTTTATTTGATCTTAAACTAGTATAAATTTTGTGTTTTATATTGTAATATATATTACAATGTCATGTTATATTTCTCCAACGTCTTCTGTGTAAAATGTTGCTCTAAGATAATGCTCTATGCTTTTGAAGTAGTTTGCTAAATTATCTCACAAGCAGATACTCTTCCAGGGATATTGGTAAACTGATTTGAGATTACATAATTTATTTTTAAATATTTAGTGAGCTTGTTCTATGTGCCAGGCATGGTTATAGATGCTGGAACAAAGACAAAAATGTACACAACGTTCCCAAATTCTCTTATACAAGCAGTCTTTTTTGCTTTTGAGAGTAGGGGTACATTATCTTCCTTACATATTTTTAGTGTTGTTTTTGTCTAAAGTTGACATTAAGAATAAATTTTGTCTTTTATTTATTAAATATAACATTTGTTGAGAAGTTAAACTCTATCAAGAGAGGCTCCTTCTTTAACTTTTTTAATATTAAGAAAATTTACAGTTAAATGAGATACTTAACTCACTTCATGAGAGAAAGTTATAGTGCTAGAAACATTATTTAACGACTGTGACAGGCAGAAAAATACCTGACACTTATAAATAAAATTTGAAAGATAATCAATAAGTTAAAAAAGAATATTAATGATAACATTTACAATAGTGATATATTTTTCAGCTAGTTGAGATTTAGAGGGTAAATGTTTTTAATTCAATACTCGAATCTGAAAATACTTCCTGAACATATTAATTCTGGTAATGAATATGATAAATGAAAGTGAATAATCACTTCGTACTTCAAGAATATAAAGTTAAGTTGATTCTTTATTTGATAATTTTAAATAGAACAAAAATGGAAAAAAAAAGAAATTTGAATAGATCATTGTTATGAACAATAATGAAAGTAATAAATCACTATAAATTTAGATAAAAGAGATTTGGCTTACACCTGCCTGAGCTAGAACAGAAATGAAAGTTGATTATTTTAGTCAATTTTTAAAAATATCATCATGCATTGTTTTGTTTTGTTTTAATTTGCTTTATAGCCAAATTGTCAATTATAGAAAAACACAGAAAAAGTGAACCTAAAGTACCCTATGTAGATGTGTTGAAATATTTTATTCTATAAAAAATCAAATTGCTATGAGGGTAGTCAAATTTAATGAAGAAAACTATGTTGTGTTCCAAAGAATGTTGAAATAACTTCATATGAGTGGTATTTAGTGCCTAGTACTACAAAAAGAAAACAAAAATATTTAATACATTTAATCATCTTGCTGTCTCTTAACACTATCATCATATGATATAGTTCAATGCATATATTGAAGACACAAACGGCAATTACTATGCTCATGTTGACAGTCATTCTCTACCTCTATTTTTATTCCCTTATACTATAAACAACTATTTATTATGCCCTATATAATTTGAGGCAATGAAAAATAATTAAATATTTCATTAAATATTTTTTAGTTTAGTCTGAAACACGCACACATATCTTAATTTAAACATAACTAGCTGAATCATTTGGCGTATGTGATTTTTATGGCTGTTTTAGATCTATCCACATATCAAAGTGAGCTTGAACATTCAAGGCAAAGGTTTGATATGCCTTCTAAATAATTCCTTTTAAACATTTTGTTAGATCGTCAAATGATCAAACAGGAGAGATATAAAGCATCTGGTTTTCTTTTTTTTTTTTTTTAGAAACACTTAACTTTTTAAGGAATAAATTAAAATATGAAATGTAGTAGAAAATTATTAATGTTTTAAGAAATAGGTAAATAATAAAATAATTTCTTAAAGTGATAAGAATACCAAAAAAAGCCAAAGCAAAGGTGGTGTGCTTAATCTAACCTGAACTGAAGTAGAATGTTCTCTGATGGAATATTGTAAAAAAGATTTAATATGAAGAGATCTACCAATTCAAATGCTGGCACACAGCATCAGCATTCACATAACTAGAATTCCATTTCGTGGTCCTGCTTTCTAGCCTTTGTATTGAATGTTCAAATAATTCAGTTACCTTCATTTCTTTTAACATTCATCTGTTTATTTAACAGAATTTTATAAATTATTGGTTTTCAAGAGTGTGGTGAATGAGACGGAAAGAGTACAGGTAAGGCTGCTGCTCAAGTTCATATACCTCTGTTAAGCTCATTAAACTTTACGTCATGCTAGAGTAAATGAACTTCATTTCTCTCTTTCCAATATACAACGTCATCAATCTGCTGTCTCGTAACTTTCCCTTTCAGCTCGACCTTGTGGTGGTTAGGAAATGAGAGAAAGAAAAGTTGAAAAAGAAAAAAAGAAGGTAGTAGCAGAGAAATCAGATAGAGACACCATCAGATTTGAAATTTTGATAATGTCAAATTATGTTTAAGTCCACTAACATCAATTTTATGCACATTTCTATTTAAAAACTATCAGGTATAAATACATTCTCATGGATAATACTTGAAGGATAAATGACAGATACATATAAAATAAATAAATAAAATTATGGTGATCTCTCAGACCCCAAAAAGGGAAAATTTTGCTGACTTTCTTCTGGATATTTTTCCTAAGCAAATACATTTGTTAAACATTTGAATTTATTTTGATTTTTTTTTTCTGCATGTCTGCCTTCTTCAAATTACACACTTTCCTTCCCCACACACATTGTCCCATCATTTCCACACCTTTTGCTATATGGTATCATTAAATGAGTAAAAAATGGCAGATACTTAGATAAAGAAAAAGAGGCAAAGTGCAGGGTCACTGTTTAATTTATCACTGAAAGTGTGATATATCTGCGAATGCAAGAAGGAGCTAAACAGAAGGGATGCCAGAACAATGGTTGTCAAACGTGAGGACAGAGGAACAACCAGGACAGAATTCCCTCACCGGGATAACTAGTGACAACAGCTAAAGCAATCAAGAAGCGTAGAGAAGAAGGGCTGTGATAAAGAAAGAATCTTCTCAGTTCTTTGGAAGTGTGGGGATACACGGTAAACAGCTTTTAGTTGAATAATGGGCTTTTCTCTTATTAAAACAAGTTTTGTGTCTCTCTGTAGCTAGGAGTTTGTTATAAAAATGTGTGACTCTCCTATAGAGATTTACAAAGTATGCTGATTGAAAAATTATACTCGATATAAAATTTTTCCACTCTGTCCAATGAGACACTTTATAAAATGGTAATATATTGAAAAGATTACTATACTGCATGCACTTCTCAGTAACTGTAACCTCTATAAAAATACCTTATGCAAGGTTATCAAAGAAAGCTGATACAAAACATTTTTCAGATTAAATATTGCCACAGTGATGTTCTAAAGACTTTTTGTCAACATTAAAATGAAATAGTAGCAAGATGTGATGGCTCAAGCCTGAAACCCTAATACTTTGAGAGGCTGAGGCAGAAGGATCACTTGAGGCCAGGAGTTCAAGACCAGACTGGGCAACGTAATGAGATCCTATCTCTACAAAAAATAAGAAAAAATTACAGGCATGTGCTTGTAGTCCCAGCTACCCGGGAGGCTGAGGTGAGAGGATCACTAGAGCCCAAGAGTTTGAGGTGACAGTGAGCTGTGATCACACCACTGCACTCCAGCCTGAGTGACAGAGTGAAACCCCATCTCTTAAAAGTGAAATAATATCTTAACACTAGTGTATAGACAATAAAAATCATGTTCCTCTAATGTAAATCTAAATTATATAACATAATTTATTACACAACAAAATATGAACCACTCATATTTGTTTATAGTAGAACCATTGATTTCCAAAACATACAAATCATTTTAATAAAAAATGTAATTTTTAAAGTTATATTCATAATAATATTTTTTATAACTGAAACAATTTTTAAATCAAGTACTATGTACCTGGAAAAGAAAAATAAATAGATGGTCTTTATCTAGCCTCAGGGAAGTCTAAGGATTTAACTCTTGGCTATTTATAGTTTAACCCCTCTTAAAGTATAAATAGTTTAACCCCTCTTAAACTATTTATGGTGTTGATTGTCAAATTCAATCTCATGTACCAAATCAAGCACCTGTACTGGGGTCATTTAATATGGCACTAAGTAACTAGGATTATTTAATAGATACAACTGTGCCTAAGAGTGGCTGCTAATCATATAACCTTGAGACTAACTAGTAACATGCACACACACACATCAGAAGGCACAGACTAAACATTAATGTTAAAGAGCCCCAAATCTGAGAGATTCTCTGAGCTGAGTTAGTCTGGTCGCACTCGGCCTAGTTTCTTGTTATCATGTATATACCAAATGAGGAGTGCCTGGGACATGCTTGTATTATTCATGGTGTGCTATTTCCTCTCCTGTTTCCCATCTTAAAGGCAAGTAAGTATTTTAGTTCCATATAAATATTGCCACTAGTAAGTGAATTATATCAGAGCCCAGAGCTATTCTTATGCTGAGAAGTACCTGCCTCTCTTACCTAAAGATAACCACTATCCCAATTCTATCAAATTAATTTGTTTTACCTAATTTTGCTTAATATATAAATAGAATTTTAAGCATGTATGCTTTTTTTGGCTTATTTTTCTCAACATTAGGTTGGTGAGATTTCTTCATGTTGTGGTATGTTGGGGTATTTGATTAATTTTTATTATTGTGCTGTATCCATTCTGTTGTAGGATAGTAGTATTTATCTACTATTATATACTACTGCTAGAAAGAGTAGTATTTATTCTACTATTAATGACATTTGGGGCTATTACAGACATTTCTCCTTTGAACACTTGTGTCATCTTTTGTTACACATATATGGAGATATGTTTAATATTCAGGAGTAGAAATGCTTCTTCATAAGGTCAGCATATGTTCAGCCTTAGGAAATAACAGTTTTTCCCAAATAGATTAGTTAGACTTCCAGTTACTTCACATCCTTGCCAACACTTAGCAGTTTCTGTCTTTGTAAATTCAGTGATTAAGGTAGGCACATATTGTTATCTTACTGTAATTTTCATATTCATAATTCTGATTATGATACGTATACTGCGAAATTTTCCCTTTCTAACTTGCTTTAGAATCCCTAATGATACTATTTGAAAAGAAATCAATATAAATATGAACCAATTTGGTAATTATTGTCATTGGTTTTTCTCTTAACCTGTTTAAAAATAATTTTGCCAATCCCAAAACTATGAAATGTTTTGCTAAGTGTATTAGTCCAGTCTCACGCTACTATAAAGGTGCTACCCGAGACTGGGTAATTTATAAAGAAAATAAGTTTAGTTGACTCACCTTTCTGCATGGCTGGGGAGGACTCAGGAACTTAAAATTGTGGCAGAAGGGGAACGGGAAGCAAGCACCTTCTTCACAAGGCGACAGGAGAGAGACAGAGCTGGACTGACGAAGTGACACTTTAAAACCGAGAGGTGACAGCATGCTGGCAGTCCTCACAGCCCTCGTTCGCTCTCAAGGCCTCCTCTGCCTGGGCTCCCACTTTGGCGGCACTTGAGGAGTCCTTCAGCCCACCACTGCACTGGGGGAGCCCCTTTCTGGGCTGGCCAAGGCAGGAGCCAGCTCCCTCAGCTTGCAGGGAGGTGTGGAGCGAGAGGCGCCAGCGGGAACCACGGGTGCGCGCGGCGCTTGCGGGCCAGCTGGAGTTCCGGGTGGGCGTCGGCTTGGCGGGCCCCGCACTGCGAGTAGCCGGCGGCCCTGCCGGCCCCAGGCAATGAGGGGCTTAGCACCCGGGCCAGCAGCTGCGGAGGGTGTACTGGGTCCCCCAGCAGTGCCAGCCCACCCGCGCTGCACTCAATTTCTAGCCGGGCCTTAGCTGCCTTCCCGCGGGGCAGGGCTCGGGACCTGCAGCCCGCCACTCCTGAGCCTCCCAGCCCCTCCGTGGGCTCCTGTGCGGCCCGAGCCTCTCCGATGAGCACCGCCCCCTGCTCCAGGGCGCCCAGTCCCATGGACCACCCAAGGGCTGAGGAGTGCGGGCGCACAGCGCGGGACTGGCAGGCAGCTCCACCCCATCCCTGCTTCGGGATCCACAGGGTGAAGCCAGCTGGCCTCCTGCGTCTGGTGGGGATGTGGAGAATCTTTATGTCTAGCTCAGGGATTGTAAATACACCAATCGGCACTCTGTATCTAGCTCAAGATTTGTAAACACACCAATCAGCACCCTGTGTCTAGCTCAGGGTTTGTGAATGCACCAATCGACACTCTGTATTTAGCTACTCTGGTGGGGCGTTGGGGAACCTTTATGTCTAGCTCAGGGATTGTAAAGGCACCAATCAGCACCCTGGCAAAACAGACCACTTGGCTCTACCAATCAGCAGGATGTGGGTGGGGCCAGATAAGACAATAAAAGCAGGCTGCCCAAGCCAACAGTGGCAACTCGCTTGGGTTCCCTTGTAGACTGTGGAAGCTTTGTTCTTTAGCTCTTTGCAATACATCTTGCTATTGCTCATGCTTTGGATCCACACTGCTTTTATGAGCTGTAACACTGACTGTGAAGGTCTGCAGCTTCACTCCTAAGGCAGTGAGACCAGGAACCCACCAGAAGGAAGAAACTCTGAACATCAAAAGGAACGGACTCCGGACACGCTGTCTTTAAGAACTGTAACACTCACCCGAGGGTCCATGGCTTCATTCTTGAAGTCAGTGAGACCGAGAACCCACCAATTCTGGACACAAAACCATCAGCTCTCATGAGAACTTCTCACTGTGATGAGAATAGCATGGGGGAAACCATCCCCATGATCCATCCCCTCCCACCAGGTCCCTCCCTGACATGTGAGGATTACACTTCAAGATCAGATTTGAGTGGGAACACAGAGCCAACTCATATCATGATTTCTTTTTTTAAAGGAACTTTATTAGTCCACATAAAGAGCTCTAATTCACGTGGAATTGATTTTTTTTTTATATATTATGTGAATTTGGGTCAAAAAATTTTCTTCTGGTATTCTGTTTCATTGGTATAATGGTCTATTTTTAGTTCAATATTCTGTTTGTTTGTTTGTTTTTGTTGTGAGACGGAATCTGGCTCTGTTGCCCAGGCGGGAGTGCCTTAGCGGGATCTCTGCTCACTGCAAGCTCCGCCTCCTGGGTTCACCCTGTTCTCCTGCCTCCGCCTACCGAGTAGCTGGGACTACAGGCGCCCGCCACCATGCCCAGTTAATTTTTTTTTATTTTTAGTAGAGTCGGGGTTTCACCGTGCTAGCCGGGATGGGCTCGATCTCCTGACCTCGTGATCCTCCCGCCTCAGTCTCCCAAAGTGCTGGGATTACAGGCGTGAGCCACCGCGTTCGGCCAGTATTCTCTTAAATATAACTTGATAATAAATTTTAATGTATGGTCCTCTAAGTCCTACAAATGTGTGGTTCTTTAAGATCTTGGCTGTTCTCTTACATTTAAATCTACAAAAATAAAACTTGTTAATTACCTCAATAATCTCTTCTGGAATTTTTATTGAGATGTAGTGGATCCATCCACTTCTTTACATCTTTTATTTATCTTAATGTGTGAAGATCTTTTTAAAATTTGTGCATACCAGCCGGGCGTGATGGCTCACGCCTGTAATCCCAGCACTTTGGGAGGTCGAGGCTGGCGGATCACGAGGTCAAGAGATGGAGACCATCCTGGCCAACATGGTGAAACCCCGTCTCTACTAAAAATACAAAAATGTAGCAGGACGTGGCCGCGCGCACCTGTGGTCCCAACTACTCTCCTGAGGCAGGAGAATCGCTTGAACCCCGGAGGCGGAGGTTGCAGTGAGCCAGGATGACACCACTGCACTCCAGCCTGGTGACAGAGCGAGACTCTCTGTCTCAAAAAAAATTGTTCTTTTTGCATACGTTGTTATATTGATTTATGATATTACTGCTATCATTTAGGGCCCCTTTTACCCGTTTATTTTATTTTATTTTATTATTATACTTTAAGTTTTAGGGTACATGTGCACAACGTGCAGGTTTGTTACATATGTATACATGTGCCATGTTGGTGTGCTGCACCCATTAACTCATCATTTAGCATTAGGTATATCTCCCAATGCTATCCCTCCCCCCTTCCCTCACCCCACAACAGTCCCCGGTGTGTGATGTTTTTTGATTGTTTCTCAAATGTTTAAAATAGAGTAGTGAACCAAAAAATTACTTCTTCCACAAAGACGTTGGGAATACTAGAACTTCCTGATATAAGAACATGTTAAAAACCTTTCTTGAGTTCTATTTTTAATAAGTTTTCACATTTCTGGAAATAATCTTTTATCTTTTAAAAAATTTTTCTAGTATGCACTGAACAAAGTCTTTTAACCTGTGACTTTTGTGAATTGTATTGTAAAAATTAATAATTTGCTTAATCAGCCAAAGTAAAATCTGGATGGCCTCTTGATTTCCCTTTCTTCTTGATCAAGTTTTTTGTTACACTTTTTGATACATTATATCAGTTTTGCTTTGTTATTTCTGTTGTGAGTAACTTAATAATGACAATACACGTAGATTTAACTATGGTCAATTTTCTATAAATAAGTTCATAAGAATTTGGGTCTAGATTATTACAGTAATATCAACAATTTTATATGCTAGAATTTATTTCATTTTTCCACTTAATGTCCCAAGCAAAACTGGGCAACATGAAGCTTTTAAATTAGGTAATAAACATGTAAGCATAGATTACTGCAGTAAAGATATGATCTGATAGCCATATTTTCTCCTTAGTAGTTAATTTATTAGAATGTCCTCGCCTCTCTTTTAGTTGCTTGAAGTATGGTTCATCGTTCAATGCTTTGTGTCAGAGTGAGAGATTTCCTTGCTACCAGGTTCCTTCCACAGACTAAGCTAATTAAATACAAAGCAAGAGAGATTTCCACCCTAATAAATCTGCCTGTAGATTAAGACACTATGTCACTTTAGTAGTTCTTTCAATAAAGCCAGAAGGGATTAAAACTAGAGCTTTTTTAATCATTGCCCATGACATTAGTAATAGACTTCCAATCCTACCCTATCACAATGAATTCTTTCACAGAAAAATTTCCCATACTGCTTTCAGCAATCTAAGTGAGCTGGTCAGCACTTAGGACAACTGACAGATTCTATTATAAAAATTAATACACATTTTTCTTAGTAGCAGAAGAAAAGGAAACTGATTTCCATTTTATAAAACCTAATTGATCAAACATAGCTATATTTTGAACATAAAACAGCTTCTCGTTTCAGGTCTACTGGTTTTAACAATAGCTATAAAGCTGTGTGACTTTGAAATGGTTGTTTATGGTATTTTGAATATGCTGCTTGCTTTAAACATGTCCTGTGATAAAATGCGTAAATAATCCAGTGATATTTTATGTTTAATTTCTCAAATATAGCAGATTGCATAAGATTTGTATTTGAATTTACTTTTCTATAAAGAAAAAATGCAATTTGATATAAAGATCACTTTCTTGTTTGCACTGTTAACAGTCACCAGACATCTTTTCAAAGCTGTTATTCTCATAGAACAGTTATGCCTTATTTTTAGTATACAGCTCTAAGACTGAGAAGCCCCTTCTTAATCTGCTAATGAAAACACTATGTCTCATAAGCTTCCTTTGCTCAAGATAGGACACTGCACCATGTTGTCAATGAGTTGATGACTTCAATATTAAGATTTACTTCACGACTGGATCCATTTAATTAAATAATTCACAGAGTTTATATTGTATGTTCCTTCTTTGGCAGACCAACACATTTCTCCAGAGCTTTAACTGTTTTTTTCCAACTCTCCTTTGTAGCCTTCCTAAGACTACATAGTATAATAACTATAAAGCGATCCTTCCCCTTGCACAACCACTAGATTCTCACAATCACTCCTTTTCTTCCTGTAATAAAAGCCTATATCCAGATGGAAACACAGGTGCATAAGGAATGAGTAGACAAGATAATTATGAGGCTTAAGAAAATTTCTTGAATTAATGATTTAATGATAAGCAAAAAGTATATTGTCTTCAATTGCCCTATCAATTGTGATTTAAGTGATTGAAAAAGAAACTCTTTATGCATTGAACATGTATGAATGGATCTAGGAACTAGGTGTACATCAGTGAAACAAACAAAAATTCCTGCCCTTATAGAGCTTCCATTCTAGTGATAGTCTCTTTAAAAATGTTCTCACCTCCTGCCAATTCTCTATCCTGCCAGGGTTTCTTACATGAAAAATATGTTTCTTACATAAAATTGCATTCCTTACATAAGATTATCATATGATTACAATTTGAATGATACATTCAAATGTAGTTGTTTCTTGGAAATCTAGACTAGACAGGCATTGACAATACCAGTTTAGTCTGAACATGTTGTTACAATCTACTAGGCAGCTACTAGGTAGGTTCTTTATAGAACAAATGACTTTTTTATTGGACTTCTGTTTTACTTGAGGGATGTCTTGGAAGGTGGCTGGCAGTTAGTGAATAAAAACCATGAGTGCTGGGAAGCTGCAACAGGAAAATTTTATAAATAAAAATAGAGATATGTCTGAAGATATTCCTAGCATATTTATTGGGTCATATTCTTAGCAAATAATCCCTAGAATTCACTTGAAACAAAAGCCTCAAATGTTCCAATGAACTCTTGTCATGGAAATCATTAATTCTGTATTTTATTAGACGTTCATCTTCATCTGTCAGGTTTCTCGTTAATTTCAAATATGCTACAGGGGTTGGCAGACATAGAGTTGCTAAAAGATATACAAATCATTTTGTCAAACAAGATTAAAAGTGTTAGGTTGGGTACGATCAACAGCTACATTGATTTGAATGGTGGCACACCGAGATGGGAGGAGGATTTGGAATTGCTCAGGACTGTTCTCAGGTGGCAAAGATAAAACTAATGGGAAATTAAGCAGTGCAAAGATATGGATATTATCATTGTAATAATTCCCAGCAGCAAGGTGTTTTTAGATTGTGGTAAAATCTTCCAAGTAATCCATTTGAGTTATGTAAAACTAGATTAGACAAAGCACTAGAGAATTTACTCAAAGATTAAAGCTTGCCCAGACAGAAAGATGAGGGATATGACCAAATGGTCCCTTTCCATCTCTAATTGTGATGACTCGAGGAAACCAATGATGGATTTAAACACACAGCAGTTGGCTTTATCATTTTTCAAGATAAAATATGTTATTCATCTTAATAACCAGAATAATGATTAAAAGAAGCAGCTCTATGTTAGTTGTGAATGGCCAGATTTTTCAATAGATAACCTGAATATTTTTTTCCACAGTGAATTAGCTCTAATATAGTTGGTACTTGGCATGTAATTATGATGTACTTTCTGTGGAGCCACAAGAGATTTTGACAGCCATGTACCATGCATGTCACCCTATTTTTAACATCATAAAATTATATTTATTTATTTATTTATATGTCATGAAAAGTTTATCATTTTTGGACCAAAAACAAACAAAAACAAATCCCCCAAGAACAGAAACATACTGACACACGTGGTTGTTAGCTTTAAATTAAGGGAAGTATTTCTTCCAAATATTCATCTTAAATATTTGTCTTCTTTGAGGAGAATAAAACTGAATGTATTATCAGGCAAGTGCAATTGGTATAGTACTTATGGGTGGATAGGTTCAGACTAATTATAAGTTGAAAAACAAAAATAAATTCAAAGCAACTAGCCAAAATCATTAAGATCAAGAATAGCATTAGTTTCCATATCAGAAGCTCTATAATGTAACTAGTTTAAAATCTTATACATTTTTATATTCTGTTTAGGTTTGTTTCTTTAAATATGCTTCAACTTGCAACATAAGGAAGCTCTGAACATGAGTAGGACATTTAGCTGTGAAGATCTCAATATAGACAAAGATGAAGAAGAAGCAACATTTAATCTTACTTCTAGAAGGAATATGAGAAAATATAACTAAAGCAGCTAAAGCAAAGTCTTGAATATGGAAAATTGACTGAAATTTAAAAAACATCAAATTAAATATCTGCTTCCCCCTACCCACTCTAGGCTTAAGTAGTGAAGAAAGCTAGAAAGAGTCACGTGAAGTTTTATATCTCAATTTGAGAAGTGTTTAGTTGGAAATGGGGAGAACAGTAATTTCATAGCCCTTATGTTTCTTTCCTGTTTCTTTTTTAGAGAAAACTATGTAATTTATTATAGAGGTGTTCAGTTCCCTCCTCTTGTCACAGTTCAGCGTGCTCAATTCAAATCCAAGAATGGGCTACTATTTATCTCTACCCCATAATACAATTTATTTTGATCTTACCTTGTCCTCTGTGCACTGTGGGAACATGTCTTTTCAAATTAAGAATGTCGGCCAGGCGTGGTGACTCACACCTGTAATTCCAGCACTTTGGGAGGCCGAGGCGAGAGGATCAGGAAGTCAGGAGATCCAGACCATCCTGGCCAACATGGTGAAACCCCGTCTCTACTAAAAACAGAAAAAAAAAAATTAGCTGGGTGTAGTGGTGCGTGCCTGTAATCCCAGCTACTCTGGAGGCTGAGGCAGGAGAATCACTTGAACCCGGGAGTTGGAGGTTGCAGTGAGCCAAGATCGCACCACTGCACTCCAGTCTGGCCACAGAGTGAAACTCCATCTTAAAAAAACACACAAAACACACACAAAAAAACAGAGTTTTCAGATAAAAATACAGCACATCCATTTAAATTTGAATTTCAGATGGAGTGGATTTTTTTTTAAGTATAATTATGTCCCATGCAATATATGGGACATACTTGAATACTAAAAAATATTTGTAGTTTATCTAAAATGCAAATTGTGAGCATCCTATATTTTATCTGACAACCTATTTCTAGTACATGCTTTTTCCAGGTTATATTGCTGGGAGAACCGGTAGCACGACTCCTGTGGTCTGCGAAGGTACTGGATGCAGATGCCATAAGATCGTCGCCTATGAAACTGATTACCTCTGAGCCTACAGTTGCCTTGACCCTTCCCTAGGCCTACTACCTGACTACTTCTTTCTAGCAGTGTCAATTCTCACTTGGGCCAGGATTCATAGGCTCTCTAGTCATGATAAAGCCAGGTGGGCTTTTCTACACACACACACACACACACACACACACACACACACACACACACACACACAGAAATGCCTTCACTTCTCCCACTACTTGCCTCAGGCTTTTTGCTGATAATCTTTCTCCCTAAAAACATACTAATCTTTTCTTTTCCTCATAGTTCAATTGATAAGTAAAACCAGACCGGTTATTATATTTAGGGTAATATAATTAGCAGAATAATTGATGACTTTTCTATTGCTATATTGAGGGTCAAAGCCTAGGATACAAAATCCCCTTTTCTCCACTCCCTTCAAGGGAAATGATTCAACATTCATTCTAAGGAAAGTAGCTAATCTTTATCTTCTCTAACTCTTTCTTTTATTACTCCAGTCTCTCCATCTTTTAAAATGATTGCTTCTAAAGAAATAAAGACAAAATATCGTTTGATGGCATAAAAGAGGTTTAACGTTTAAATGATTCGACATTGAAAAGCTCCTTTCCTCTTAGATTGCTTAGGATTTCAAATAAGGGCCCTCAGTAAGTAAATCTTATAGAAATCTAAAAAGTAGTATTCAATGATAGTTAATTAGATATGCATTTCTTCATTCATTTGTTCAGATAACCCATAAACAAGTATTGCATTTCTCATTTAAGTAACAGTTGCTGAAAAAAGAAGTTACTGAATCTTCATTTCTACCTATAAAAAATTAGGATATTACTTACCCTTTCTCCTGCATAATGTGATAAAAAGTTATGTTGATCTAAGAATACAAAGTTTCATTTAGAAATATGTTCTCGAGGTCCATATTAAAACATATTGACTATGATTAATAATAATGTATTATACACTTGAAAATTGATTAGATAGTAGATTTTAATGATCTCCTAAATGTCTCACCACAAAGTCATTATGTGACATGATAGACATGTTAAATAGCTTGATTCAATCATTTATCATTGATTTAATCATTCAATCACAATGTGAAATAATTAAATGTATGTCAAAATATCATGTTGTATACCAAATATATTTATCTATATAATTCCTCAATAAATATTTTAAAAATAGTGTTTTAGAAAACATGGCCAGTACATAATGCTAATTTTTAGTGGATAAACAGCTACATTTTATTACAATGGTATAGGGATGTTTTTAGTTAGAAAGATTATTTGAAAAATATTGTGCGTGTGTGTGTGTGTGTGTGTGCATACTCCTTTGTCCTATATCTTTGAATTTGAATTCTGATTCAGGGTGACTATTAGTGCCCTGATACCCAGACACAGATAATAAAATTGCAGAGACAACTTTCCTATCCCTTACTTTAATACTTTAGTTTAATACAGGAGGAAGCTCTGTTCGAAGGTGGTTTGGAAGACTGCACCAAAACAAACATATTTAATGTTTATACTGTGTAAATTGTATTCCTTAGGGTCTGAACTCAAAATTCAGTTTGAGATGGGTCACCTTTCCTTGTATTATCTCCTGGCCTACAACTTTTCAATAATTCTGTATCTTTCCAGGAAAAAAATTTAAAGTTTTACCATATCCTATTAATATTTACCTATTGGCTCATTTCTCCAATTTCTCCATCACTCACCTGACTCAACTCTTGGCATTAACATTATTAAACAGGATGACATTTTTCAAAGGTGGTATTCTCTTTTTAAACTCCCAGATTTTATGTATTTTTTTCTTGGGTCACTCTTTTTCCACTACTGGACTTGTTAAACTCAGTCATCTTTTAGGATTTGGGTTTTAGCTTCTGTTATCTCTCTTCCTCTGAGAACACGGAACATCTCCAACCCACTCTATGATCACTTATAGCATCCTTTGATTCATTCATATATACATTTGTCACATGTACTGCAATTCTAGCTTAAGGTCCTCCCTAATGGCAGAGATGTGGATTCAGTCTGTCAAACCATTTCCTTTCTCAGTGAATGGTTGGTTACATGTGGAGCATTCTGGTTTTAATTATCTGTGCGTCTTTGAGTGAGAAAATCTTTGGGCGATAGGTTTCTCATCCACTGGCAAAAGTGGTTCTGCTAGATAACCTTTGTGGTGTCTAACAAATCTTAAATGGCATGCTTTTATGATTAAATATACAATATGTCAAATCAATAAGGGAATGAAGGTATTTGACGATTTCTAAATGTTATTTTTAAATTTCATAAGAACATATATATTAATATTTTTATTAGGCAAAATTTTACTTAGTATATGGAACAATATTTTTGTCATTTTAATATTACTTCATTGTAAAATATATTTTATTTATAGACAAATTCACAGTTTTAGATTATAAATAACTTTATTTGAGATAATACAACATTGTTTTGAAATTTTTTCAAGCCATCTATATAGCATTCCCATATATATTAATATAATTAATAGAAAAGAAGTTGAAGAAATTTTTAGATGATTGTTCTTATTCCTTTTTAGCATGGAATTCTTGTTTTCATTTAATTGGCTTCATTTTGACATTTGAATAAGTGATAGTTACATCACAACTTATCTTGAACTTTCAGAAAGCTAATACAATGGCATAACAAATCGTCTGTGTTGTTGAAGAGAAATTAAACCTTCATAAAAAGTTGAGCACTTGCCATGAAGTAATAGGTATAAAAATTAAAATACCAACAATTAAAATTAAAATGTATTAATTCTGATAAAAAATGACCAATAAGGAGCTGTATAATTATTCCTCAAGTGGTTAAGCATTTTGAGATAGCCCGAAAATTAAATTATATTATTTTAGGCCAATTTATTTACTAAATAAAGTGGCAAGATTATATTTTCAAGCTCATAGTGGCCCTTGCTTGTTGTTGTTTTTAATATAATTAATAAGTACAAGAAAGAACTTCTACAACAGCCAAGATGAAAACACAAGGACCAGATTTATATTCCTAACTTGACCAATGGAGGAAGAGAAAGAGGGAGAAGAAGAAAAGCTAATTAAAAACCTTTAAACATTGGTTTTCAAGACACTAGTCATCAGGCATTGCAGAATAGTAATGCTTGAGAGATCATAAACCAGTAAGTGACCCAGCTTTGTTCAAACCTTCTGTCTTGAGAGAGTGAGTATTCAGGCTGTGGCAAAAAGAAGAGAAATGCATATGAAGCCCAGCAGACTCTACATTGAGAAGACAGCTGAGGGTTTGAGGAGACCAAAGCAGCAAAAGTCATAGGACAGAGTATGGGAAAGAAAAGAGATAAATAGAAAATTCAGAAATCTGCAGCGGGTGCTTCACACATATTCAGTAATAGACTAATAAGTACCATGTGTGAGGAAACTAACCCTAGCTAGGAAGAGAAACATCAGAAAGGATTAGAGGAAAGAGTGTTATATGGCTATGGTGGATATGGAATAATTCATTCCTCAACCAGCTACTCAGAAAATTATAATTTGTAGTGCATCTAATAAAGTACTTTTAGCTCTGTCTAAATACTGCTCTTGTTTCAATAAAGGTGTTTTTAGATCTAGAAAGGCTGGAGGCTTCATCATCAGCAGACCTCTCTGTAAGTAATGTTAAAGTAAGACTTTCAGGCAGGGGGCAAATGAATCAAGATGAAAATATGGATCTAAAAAAATTAAAAGGATAAAAAGAAAAAAGATACGGTAACTGCATGGGCAGTGTCTCTTTTCCAATTAATTTTTAAAATAAACTAAACAAAAATAACAATGTGATGTGACCTTATAACACATTTAAGTAAAATATATAACAATAGCATAAAGTTTGAGAGAAGAGAATTTGATGTGTATTACTATAAGGTTCTTATGTGTAAAGGATTTAGTACCACTTTAAGGTAGACCATAATAAGTAAAAAATAGTTACTGGGAACTCCAGAGAAACCACTAAAATAAGAAAATAAAAAGGTATGTGTAATAAGTCAACAAAGGAGTTAAAACTGAATTATTAAAATAATCATTGAATTCTATCTGTTGCCTAGAAGAAATACATGTTAAATATAAAGACAAAAACCAATTGAAGGTAAAATGATGAGAAAAGAAACACCACACTAACATTGATCTAAAGGAAGTTAGAATGGTTATATTAACATCAAAATGCATTTCAGATAAATAATATTTACAAAATAGAAAAAGTCACTTTATAGATAAGAGTCAATTAATCCAAATGACATAACAAACCTAAATGTTTATGTTACGGCTTCTTTACTCCCATAGTTTGTAAGCAGGAGGGGATGTTACAGCTCTTTCACTCCTGCAGTTTGGCGAGTTCTGAGTTCTTGTCTCACAACCAAGAGGGATGAGGCACGCAGTTATCAGATAGTGAGTAAGGCAGAGTAAAATTTTATTGAACAGAAAGCTCTTAACAGTGAGAGGGGACTTGAAAGTGGGTTGCGGGCTATGAGGCTAAGTCCAGGGTTTTTATTGGCTTAGAATGGAGAAAAGTGTGCTGATTGCTTTATAGGTAGACTTGGGAAAAGCACCATTCAGAAAGAGGTACAATAGTGTAAAGAACCAATCAGGGGCTGAAGTGAAGTCTTGGCCTGGGACCAATCAGGGGCTGAGCACACCAAATGGGAATGGGAATGGAAGTTCTCACTCCAGTTTGTGGACTCTATCCAGATCTGGTACTTTGGTTTTCTGCCTTCAGACCATCCTTGGTTTGAAGGTCGAGTTTCACTGGGGACCTGTCCCTGATTGCTTAGGAATTTGTCTGCCTCCTGTCCCTATCATTTATACACCTAATGTCAAAACAAAGTGCAGGGCTGGGCACGGTGGCTCACACCTGTAATCCCAGCACTTTGGGTGGCCGAGGTGGGTGGATCACCTGAGGTCAGGAGTTTGCAACCAGCTTGGCCAACATGTTGAAACACTGTCTCTACTAAAACTACAACAATTAGCCAGGCCTGGTGGTGGGCACCTGTAATCCCAGTAATTGGGGAGCCTGAGGCAGGAAAATCGCTTGAACCTGGGAGGTGGAGGTTGCAGTGAGTCGAGATTGTGCCACTGCACTCCAACCTGGGCAACAGAGCAAGACTCCATCTTAAAAACAAAACAAAGCAAGACAAAGTGCAAAATAGGTCCACACATAAATGAACAAGTAATTATTTTCAGAAAGTTTATGAGATAGTTCACTGGAAAAAGATTAGTCCTTTCAATGAATAAAGATGGAATGTAGCATGTCAATATGCAAAGATGAACTTGGATCCATGCCACAAAACTTAAACTAAAATTAATTCAATAAATTAATGAACATATAAAAGCTCTATGAGAAAATATAGAATAATAATTTTTAAACCTTGAGTTATATAAAGAGTTCTTAAATATGACACCAAAATTATGGTCCATCAAAAAAATTAGACCTCGTCAAAATTAAAAATATGTCTCTTTGAAAGAGTGTTAATATAACTAAAATACAAGCCACAAAATGGAGAACATATTTGCAAAGTAAATATTGAATAAAGTACTTGTTTGTGTAATATATGTATTTTTTTAAACTCTCAATTCAAACAAACAATTGAGTTTAAAAAAATACCAAATACTTGAACAGACAACATATTTACAAAAGAAAATGTGTGCATAACGAAATAAGAACATGACAAATGTTCAATATCATTAGTCATTATGAAAAGGCAAATTTAAATCATAATTAGACAATGCTACCTATACCAGAATGATTAAAATTAAACAGCCAGATTATACCAAATCTTGATGAGGATTTAGAGGAACAGGAATTCTCACACACTTTCATTGGGCACAGAAAAAGTGCAACTATTCTTGAAACAGCTTCACAGTTGTTAAAATTCATTCTACTTAGAATATGATCCAGCCAACCTGGATCTATTGTAGGTATTTGCCAAAGAGAAATAGAAGAATATGACCACGTAAAGACTTGTACATCAATAACTCATACATAATGAACATAGCACCATTCTTTTTTGTAATCATTCTAAACTAGAAACAAGCCAAATATCAATCAATTGCAGAATGAATAAATTGTAGAGTATTCAGACAATTAAATGTAACTGCAATAAGAAAGCAAAATAAACTATTGACACACTCAACATCATAGATAAATCTCAAAATAATTACGGTGAGTAACAGAAGTGAAACATAGAATGCTTAATATATTATTCTATTTATAGAAAACTCTTGGAAATGCAAACTAATTTATAGTAACAATGTTAGCCTGAAGCAGAGGCTGGGGAAAGTTGGGTAAGAGGAATTGCAAATGGACCAAAAAATACTTCTAGTGTGATAAATCACAGTCTTGATTGTGGTTATGGTTTACTGGATATAAATATAGGTCAACATTTATCAAATAGCACCTTTTAAGTATGTGTAACTTAATATATGCCATGTACTTTTTAATAAAGCTGCTAAAAAAGACAAAATAAATACAAGAGAAAAGTTATAGAGCAGAAATTACTCCTTCTTAACTATTTAATTCAGTTCAGTAATTGTGCAAAATGTGTGAATACCAGTTAGACAGTTTCTAACAATTTTGTTTAGCAAAACACATGTGACTCAATACACACCAAGTTAGAATAAGAGACCTGAAGGGCACCTTCATTTTATATGTAACAAATTGAGGCCAAAATAGTTTATCTCTTGTCACATCCATCCTTTCCTGCTGTGTTCCACTTATTAAACTATTGCATTTGACAAGGCTATTCAGCAGTTGATGTCAGAGAAGATACATGAACCCTCATTTTAAAATATTCAGTGTGATTCTTTTTCATACTAGTTTTCTGAGTCAGCCACATTGTACCATTTATTGTAGCACCTTTAAAAATATTTCAAGTTCTAACTGGAAATTCATACCCTTTTATTCTATTTTCGTCCTTTTCTTTTTCAAACACACAAAAGAAGGCATACTATATTATTCTATTTATAGAAATCTCTTGGAAATGCAAACTAATTTGTAGTAACCTTGTTTGCCTGAAGCAGGGGCTGGGAAAGTTAGGTAAGAGCAATTGAAAATGGACAAAAAATTGATTTAGATAACAGTTCTAGAAAGACTTTTGTGGCCAATGCTGTAGTCTGTTTAACTGGACTTTCAGTTCCTTCTTTAGTACATATCCATGAAACAAATTTCTGTTGTGTGAAAAGAAAATTATACTAAATGCTTTCAAACTGAAAATAATGTTAAGGAATGTTTTGGACATTCTTCATGACTCTAGTTAAATATTCCATGATAAATGTCTCACTAATCCAATAATCAATATCAGTAATAAAATAACATTTGTCCTTTAACCAGAATTTATGTTTATAATCAATCTTATCTCCATAAAATTACAATGAAGATACAATTGTATCTTATGAATCAGTTTTCTAAAATATTCAAATTTAATGGATATTATTTGAATGTTTAAAATTTATTATTTCTGCTATAGCATCTTCTTACAGGCACATTACTACTAAACAATTTGCTAAACTTAAAGCAAGAAAAAACACTTTGTCAACTTTAAAGTTATTAAAATTAACTTTCAAATGTTAATGTGAATAATAATAACAATAATCTAGCCTCAAGCCAAAAATTATTATCCAAGGACTTTTAGAATTAAAGCATTTTAAATTTAATTTTAAATCTTGATGATTTATGCTGATTAAATCTTCAGTTCAAATGCCCACACTACAAATTTACCTAATCTGATCTTCAAAATTTACATAGATAGCAGTGGTACCAAGGGAATAGTTCTCAGCAAGATATTTCATGTAATTGAGGAAGTTCTGAAATACTAGCCCAGTAGTTATTTACATATGTTAAGTACTCTTATGTTGAGCCCAGAGTCAGCCCCCATCACCTTTATTTACTAACTTGGATGGCAGTGTCTTTGAGGAGATAAGCTTTCACATAGCCTACAAACATCTTGTATGTTAGTTCTCTCTATTCTCTTTTCTCCATCAGTTCAACCACATTTTTAAATAAAGTCCTTATTTATAAAAATTATATATGATAAAATCCCAAGGATTAAGTGCATGTCTTTTTAAAATTTTTTTAATTATACTTTAAGTTCTGGGATACATATGCAGAACATGCAGGTTTGTTACATAGGTATATACGTGCCATGGTGGTTTGCTAAACCCATTGACCTGTCATCTACATTACGTATTTCTCCTAATGCTATTTCTCCCTTAGCCTCAACCACTTTTAATGACTATTTTTCAGTAATCCATCCGCATTTGGGGACTTTTAATGGTGGACTCCTACAATATTTACTGCAGCTGAAATTTTATTTCCACTAATATTTGTATGTATTTTAATAGAACATTTGTAGAAAAAGAAAATTGGGTCAATATTTATATATTAGTCATCTTTTGTGTTTGCACACATTTAATATTTACTTGGAGAAGTTTTAATGGTTGCTTTACTATTTAAACATTTTAAGTAAATTTGGACTCTAAAGTATGGAATTTGAAACTGAAGCATTCACTCATTTTTCCTGGGTGATGCAGGGATACACACAGGAAGGACATTTTGTTTTGTGGTAGGGATATTTTTTCCTCTGTAATTTCACACTGTTAAATGTTTTCTGCCTGGAGAAATGGAGATGACATACTCGTAAAGAAGTAAAACAGTTACAGAGGACTGTGATGAACACTCTGATCATTTTTTGGTCACGCTTGTATAGACATATAAATGTACAATGTAGCTGTATCATCATATTAGAAAATAGTTTTTCCTCATAATCAATATGTAGTGTTCCTTTTAAAAAATGCTCACACTAAGTGTTCTAGGAAGCTGTGAGATCTGTTATATTAAGGCTATGCTATGTCCATATATTCTATAGTAAATTATTCTATTACACACATACACAGGAAGACACCCACATACCCAGATGCCACATCAAAGTGACTTTGAGTCAAGTTGTTTTGTCAATACCAAAAGTACTGTAGGTACAGTCAAAAGGTGATTCCAAATTTTTCTTTGACCAGTCTATTGTTGTCTCTTATATTGTGGTAGCAATATTTCCATATACTTACTTCATAACTTAAAAATAATCAATTTGGATTTTTTTTGTCTTTTTATCTCTCTATTCTCTTTTATGTGTCTCCACTGGGCTTTTTTAAAACAAGATTTTTCCTTAACAATATTCTCCTTTAGTGGTGATTTATTTAGTAGTCTCATAAAATAAACTACAAAGTACAGTGATGCTTGTATATCAGTTTATAAGAAAGTTTATATAAAATGTGGCACATCCTAGAGATATGATTTGATAGCAAATCAATATGTGCCAACTATCAAATATATCAATTTAATTTAGATGAAAAAGATTGAAAGTCTAAGTTACAGAAACTTATTTTTTCAATAGAAAGCTGCCTGTCCTTACCAGAAATGATCACAGAGAATTTCACAGTTAGGAAATATAAGAGGCTCTATGCTTAAAGAGTTATAAAACAGTTTGAGTTTTGATTGTGCAGACAATGTAATGAGACTGATTAAAAGTGAGGTAGTAGAAACATATGGAAATATGTAAGGAAAGATGAAGCTATATAAAAACATTAAAATCTTGTGCAACCTGGAAACCAATGAGACTATGGCATACTGTGTTACAATGTGATTTTTTCACATATTAAAGAATTACTGTAATGTGTTGCACAAAATTTTTCTTCTTTACTTTTTCCTCCTTAAGACCTAGAGCAAGATTGCAATGAACTAGTTGTTGTATTGCAAAAGACAAATCTTTAGCCTCCATTAGAGTTAATATGAAGATGCTTAACTCTAGATTTCTGCTATGAGGTCTAGAGAACAGTAATATAAAATGGTTAGAAAGAAATATTTACTTTGATGTGTTAACCAAATTTAAAGTTTAAGTTGGCATAGTTATTAATGGGAGACATTAAAGAAGCACTAACTTGTAAATGATAAACTTATCTGACCTTGTTGTACATATAACACTAAACATGTTAAAACAATTCTCACTACAAGAAAACAAACTGTTTTCTATTCCATATACCATTAATGATTTATGTAATTGGAAGGTGCTTTTACTCCTGAAATCACCATAAAATAAATTTATTGTTGAAGCTCTGAAGATGGTATGTTTTCGCATCTTTGAACATTTTTGACTGGGTATTTATAACTGGGTAAAATAAATCTATTCTACTTTTTCAGAGATAAAACTTACTGCCAGTTAAAACCAGCTTAATAATATAAATAACAACAAAAAGATCAATCAGCAAGGTTAAGATTAATAGAGATGTTGACTTTTGAGAAATTTGAATTTTGAGAAACTTGAATTTTGAGAAATACTTTTGGATGACAAATATCTAAAAAGAGTTACTCAAAAGGAAATATTCAGAGGTTTTCATTTAAAAATGCCATCTTTTATAAATTTGTCAAGGATTATTAATACTTTCTTATTTTTTCTCACTCATATTAGCTTAGGCAGCTGCTGTGGGTTAAATTGTGTCACCACCAAAAAGAAATGTTGAAGTCTTCTAGTACCACAGAATGTGACCTTATTTAGAATTACAGGCGATCAAGTTAAAATTTGGTTATTAGGGTGGACCTTAATCCAATATTGACTGGTGTTCTTATAAAAATGAGAAATTTGTAACCAGTCACAGACATACACAAAGGGAAAACCATGCGAAGACACATAAGGAAAAACATGGCTATGTGACTGAATTGATGCATTTATAAAACAAGGAGTGCCAAGGATTACTGGGAAATACCAGAAATTAGAAGAGGTAAGAAAGGATTCTCCCCTAGAGAGCACCACCCTAACAATATTTTGATTTCAGACTTTCTTCCTCTAGAAATGTGAAGTGATAAATTTACGTTGATATAAGCGACCAAGATGCTGGCAGCCCTAGAAATATAGCAGCTTTTCTACTTTTTATTAAATTTTAATAATTTTAACAAAGTATGTCTTATAGTACACCTGGCCCTCTGTTTCCGGGAGTGTCACATTTGTTAAACAACCAACCTTGCATTTAAAACAATAAATAAATAGATAAATTAAATAATAATACAACAAAATAGAAAAATAAATACAGTATAAGAATGATTTACATTGCATTTGCATTATATTGGGTATTATAAGTACTCTAGAGATGATTTAAAGTATACGGGAGGATGTGGTGGGTTATATGTAAATAGTATGTCAATTTATATTAGGGACTTGAGAATTCATCGATTTCTGTTTCTGCAAGGGCCCTGGAACCAATCTTCTTCAAAGGGGAGGGACAAGTGTACTATGAAATATCTGCTTGTAATTAGATCATCTTGGAAAATAATGTAATACTAACTGCTCAATTACTGTCATAACAAGACAACCTTTAATGGCCCAGGCGCGGTGGCTCACACCTGTAATCCCAGCACTTTGGGAGATCAAGGCGGGTGGATCACTTGAGGTCAGGGGTTGGAGACTAGCCTGGCCATCATGGCGAAACCCCGTCCCTACTAAAACTACAAAACCTAGCCAGGCATGGCGGTGCGCACCTGTAAACCCAGCTACTTCGGAGGCTGAGTCAGGAAAATCACTTGAACCTGGGAGGCAGAGGTTGAAGCGAGCTTAGATTGCACTACAGTACTCCAGCCTGGGCAATAGAGCAAGACTCTGTCTCAAAAAAAATAAATAACCTTTAAAATGCTAGAAAGTAATTAAAATATATGCTTTATTAAAATTACATACACTGATTTTGAAATTGTCACCATTTAATAAATCTGGAACTTGACAGAAATCATTTTTAAAATATAAATATATGATTTAAATTCATATGCAGCAAACAATTTGGCATATCAACATTTTTAATACATTTTCAACTTTGTATTTGTACATAATACAAGAAAACTCTAGCATGTGCATATAATCCCATGAATCAGAGATAATATTAACCATATATAAACAAGTTTTGATTATTAGTATGTATCTTTGCTGAAAATTAGCAGTTTGAAAATCTAATGACTGATATCTAGGGAAAATTTGCAGATGTTATATTTTCCTAACTCAGTGTAATACAGAAATGTTCTTTTTCTTTTATATATCTCCTATTACCAGCAATATCTGGTCAGTGGCAGTGTGGGGTAAGCACTCCCATCATTGGTCTTTGAATATACAATATCTAATTTTTCTTGGCTAATGATATACGTTTGTACAATTTACAATGTGTACTGGAAAACTTATTTAAAAATAACATGACTGAGAAATCAAATTTTTGTTTTTCTTGATCTATTTTCCTCTTATCTGAAGCAAATAAGTCACAAGATTGAGTTTTATTTTCTAAACCTCAGTCTACAGAAAATTTGTCACAAGTAAAATATTGCATTAATTAGGGTTTATTCAGCAATCCTTCCCTAGGCAGGATTCCTACTAAAATCAGAAATACTAAATTTGATATTGAATCTTAGATGTGAGAAGTAACATGTTTCTTGCTAAATGCTGTTTTAGCTATGCTGGGGTGATATTTCCAGAGAGAAAATGGGTAACTTATTTCCTATTAACGTGAACAAAAATAGGGAGTTAAATGTTAACATATCATGTTGGCAATGTACATTAAGGTATATATATATATATATATATATATATATATATACACACACACACACACGCACATATTTTATGTTGAGAGCTGCCATGTATTGCTAACAATCATAATAAAAAAGGATATTAAAAATGAAATATGTAACTCTAAATTGAATCTATTCACATGAAAACATTATAAATATTTTCATAAATGGAGTCAAATGTTGTTCTTTTCAAACCTTTTTTAGTTTCTATATTATTAACTGTAAAGACAGAGATTGGTACTACAGAATAGAATTCCCAGATCTTTGATTAGTTAACTTAATGGCCACATTTGCATCTCTCAAAACCAATGTGGCTTTAGTAGGTGACTGATGCTGCAGCAATCATTTTTTAAAAGTTTATTTGCTCTCTGATACAATGTGCTATAGGGCTAAAAATTAAATTTTCATTGAAGTATAGAATGTGTGCCATTCTTGTACTTCTAAGTGATTTTCTTCAAACTTTCTTCTCCAAGAGTTTTACGCTACTAATCTAACATCTTTATACATGTCAAATATCAACAGGAAATATATGAAGTAAAATATGAAGAACTACTCAAAATTATGTCCCAATATATGAATGTAATAAAGATTAATTTGAGATGACAGAAGAGCACTAAAGACAAACAATAACAACAACAAAAATAAAAGCAAAATGAAAAAAATAACAAGCACCCAACAGCCCTCAAGCATAAAAGAATAAATAGGAGAAAGAGAATTTCGAAGAAAACTTCATAATAAAATAAAATTGTCATGAAAATCCAGAAGAACGTGATTATCCTTTATCTAACCAAGACCACTGTTTTTAAAAAATAAATGAGCGTTTGGAGTGGGGGAAGGTAAGATAGGGATGATTTTTTTCTCTATAAGCAACAATTTCTAAACAATGCCCCAGAAATATAATCTTTGTTTTAAGTGTTTTTGGTGATAATATTTACCAATCATCCTAAACCAGAAGACTTCCTTTGTTATAATTTCAGAATCTCAGTATACTCTCAAAAGTTTTCACGTCAAATATTTTTGACCCTCACATACCAAACTTATTTTGAATAAACTACAGACCACTAGAACTATTTAACTTTTCCCAGAACAAGAATCATCAAATATTTGTTAGCTACTTAAAATTGATTGATTCAAGCACATTAAGAAAAGAATAAAACCACCCAATTAAAGGATAAGAAAACATAAATAATAAAATTTTATCTTTTAATAGGCTTCAAAGCAAAACCACTATGCTCTTCTAGACCAAAGGTGGTGTAACAACATGTAGAAGAATATAAAGAATGTATTCTGAATAAAGAAAGGAGACATTTTATTGGCTGATAACAGGACAGGAGGAAACTTGTAGCCTTGGCAGAATGAATTACCTGTCTTATATATTTTTTGAAAAACCACAATCTGGGCAAATGAGTACTCAAGGCTCTTATTAAAACTCTTAGTATTGTGTCCCAACACAGCTCTGCCTGCTGTGGTTGATTGATTAGACTGCTGTTGCATGTTTTCCCTTAAGATTTCAAGACTCTTTACAGAGAATTTTAAACACAGACAAGTTGATGCTATAAAATTGAAAGCAAAGAATTCATTTGAAAAATTACAAAGAAAAATGAAGAGAGTAATGGCAATATCAGGTAGAATAGAAAGAGCAGGTGATGAAAAAATCAGAACCCTCAAGTAATGACGACAAAAGGTAATCACCCAAACAAAGCGTTTTAGTTTTCGCAATACCAATTTTTTTTTTGTTTTTTTCTCTACCATATATAGCTGCTACCCTAGTGATAATATCTACCTCCTATGGACAAGCATGTTACTTCTCCCCTCAAGGCAAACATATCACTTTAGTTTTCTTCTCCCACTTGTAACAGTCTTAGTTATGCTTGAATATATGAGTAAGGAGATTTGTTCCACATGTTAGCATTCTCCTCCTCTACCATCTTCATTCATTAAGCTACATTTATTGAACCTAACTACCAGTACATTGGTTTTCAAAACTGATTGCCACATTAGAATTAGAAGAGTGCAAATTGTTTGTTATTTTTACTATCAATACCCAAGTTCTATACTCAGAAATTCTATTTCAATTAACCTGAGAGTTGGGAATACGAGAGTTTTTTTCTAAACCTCCCCAAATGATAATAATAGGCCCCAAGATTGAGAACAACGGACACAGTCATGCTACTGAAAAAATTAGGTAAAGGCTCTGCAATGGCAGGTATATGGCCACTGACAAATCATTCATTTTGACCTTGAACTTATTATATAAAACATAATAACAGTACTAATTCCTACCTTATAGTTTTATTGTCAGGATCAAGTAAGATTAAATATGACTGTGGTATGTAAATTTTAAGGCATATATTAATTATTTTACCACTGGAAATTCTAACTCTTCCCTGTGCAGCAGAAGAGTACATTAGTGCTATAATTCTATGTTCAATATATTTTTGATGTCCCCTTATTAAATGTTATTGATATTTGTTTTTAATAGAAACTTCACATTAGCTGAGATGGATTGGCATGCTATCATTTTGCTAATGCTACTTAATTTACAAAAGGCAATTCAAATTGTGATTACGAGCATTTTTAGTTTCTGCAAATTGATGTTTAAGGCATAGGATATATGGTTTGGATTCCTATTTTATACAGAACAATGATTCATAGATAGATAAATGAGTTCTTTGCTTCCTTGGGAGTATGCCTTATAAACCAAACATCATTATCAAGGCATGCTACAGTGAGAAGATGTGGCCTTAAAGCAATGAAGTAGGCAGAGTTGGGAAAACAAGGACAAGGTTATTTAATTGTGATATATGATGTTTAACAATACTTTTTTAGAAAAACTATAAACTTCTTGAGGAAAAGAATGGTAACTGTAAGTAATAAAGAGAAGTTCATAGTATTTAAAATATAAGGAAATATAAAATTATAAAATAATTTAAAGATAGTTTGCTGCTTGAGATTCTGTGTCCTTGAATTCTAAATATAAGTTAGGCATAAAAAAAGCTTAATAATATAAGCAAAGTTAATTTAGGCAACAATTTTATAATACTGACTATATACATTTCTTATCAATACATGATATAGAAGTTATAAGTCCAAGAGAGAGGCAAAGAACATGTATAATATTGTTAGTTTAAATCTTTTAAAAATCCTACTATGTGACACGAGTGTTCTAAATCTCACTGTAATGTTTATGCATAATTTGCATATGCTAATACTGTCATTGAAGTTTTGCGTGGATATTCAATAAATATTTGCTAAATTCAATTGGACTGAAGTGAATTAAATGGTACATTAAATAATGCAGTTTTATCAAATTCCATAGTTTTTGTTTAGTTCATTTTCCATCTTGCAGGGATTTTTTTTATTTGCCTCAGAAATAAAAGGGTCACCTAGAATATCTTCCACATTACTCTTGAATTTCCCTAAATTTTCCTCATAGCCTCTTGTTAGAACTGACTTACATGAGCTAATGAGATCTAATGAGCTCACTACCTCACCTGTAGTATGCCCTATAGGTAAGAACTGCTGTTGTTCACAATCCTCACACATTAGCTCACATGGTAAAAGTTTGGAATCAAGCTGACAGTAAGCAGCAAGGTAAGTGCAAAACCTTTAAAAGTTCAACAAATATTTTTACTAAAATAAGTCTATATCATTTTGTTTCTAGGAAATCTGTTGCATATTTTTATCATAACTAATCACTGATGTCACTAATGCTTTATGGAATTAAAAAAATTACTGTCATTATCTATTTAGAAAAAAAGCTGACTTGGACATTACCTAGCCTAATCTTTTCATTTTACAAATAAGAACACTGCTAACCAACTACAAGGCCTGCCTACAGACTAGAAGCCAAATCTCTCTAGAGTTGGGATTAGGATGTAGAGCTCAAATCTCCTGGATTCCAATTATTGCTCTCCCACTCATGATGTAATTTTGCTCAGTACAGAGTATTAACTGGAATCATTTCACTTTTAAAAGATTTATTCACAAAGTATTAATCTTAAAGAGAGAGAAAATATGTAATATTTTTATAAAGGTATAAGAAAGGATATTAATAAAATTTAAAGAATAGCAGAGTGGAACTTTCAAAGCATTATATAAGAAAATAATGAGATTGTATTTATTAGTAATGATTTACATACAAAGCACTTATTTCACTGACAGGTTAGGTGTTTATGACTTGCAGAAAACATTGTAAAAAGGAAACTAATCATGAGTTTAATTGCAAAATGCTCTGTAAACTCAGGTGTAGCAAGAAGGAAAGGGCACTTAATAAGAAGCCAATATTATAATTTGATGTGTCAATTAAGAATTTAGATGTTGATTTTATTGACAGAACATTCAGAGAAAGAAATATAACAACTGCATAGATGAGGAATAGCTTTTAAATTATTTATATGGCAAAATAGGAAGGTATTCAATTTCTTCATAGATAGGCAGTATAGAATGTGGATTTTCTTTATCAAAGATACTATAAAAATTTTCTCAGCAGAAAATATATGTGAGTGAGCTATATGTATATATACACATACATATTTTAAATGTATCTTTTACTATAGTTGAGAAAGCATTCAAAATCACCCCCTTAAAATATGAAACTTGAGAGATTTATCTATAATCATTAAAAAGAGATAATAAACACCATCTTTTTATTATTGAAGAAACAACGATTACATTGAAAACATGGGGAGTATAGTCTTTAAGCATACACAGTTTTTCTATTTTTCAAAATGAAACTAAATTTTGCTGAATGAAAAACGCACAGGATGGAGGAATTAAATGGGTTAGATGATAGAATGGCTGTACTAATAATTATTTCATGCTAATATTCTTTACTTCTCTACCAATGGTTATAGAAAGATTTCAGTGTTATAAAAATGAGAATAATTATTTTCAAAGAAATAGTTACACATTCCAGGTGATATAATAGAGAACAGAGAACAGGACCTCTCCCTCTCCTCTTCCTCTCTCATTTTCTCTGTTTTTCCTGCTGTCTCTTTATCTCTCTCTCTATCATCTCATCTCTGTATATCTATATATCAACTTATAAAAAATACTTGCCTTCACCATAAATGATGAGATTCAGTAAAAAAATTAATGTCCACAAGTTGAAAATAACTGAAAATTAATAGTTATTTAGTTAGCTGTATAATTTAAAATACATAACACCTGTACAAATTAAGTGGGACAATCAAGTAAAGGTTTTTTTGATCAAATATTCTGGGAAAAGTAAAACATTGTTACAAGAATTGAACATGGATTATCTATAGTCAAAAGATAAATCTGAACCATGTTTTATATTAAAAAGTATTTTTAAAGCAGTATTATGGAAAAGGAACAAAAATACCTTGGGATTCAATTCAATTTTTTTTTAAAGCTCCAAGATTTATGGATAAGGGAAATGAGGAAACATTTAGTTTTGGCATAATAGAGAAATATCATTTAAAATACTGTTATAAATTATTAACAAGTAGCAGAAAGAATCATAGCATAGCTATTGCAAATTATAGGAATTAAATATCTTGACCAACACAGATTTGTATCATAAGTACAAACCAGAAATGAAATTCTGTATGAATATAAAAGAAAATATTTGAATAAAATACATAAGCAACATATTTCTCATATGAAATAATATACATAATCAACTGCTTACTTTATTTTTCAAAAATTTGATCTCAGTTATTCATGGCTTACTTTCAATTTGAGGGTTAGCTTTACTCATCCTTAAACATACAAACCATCACTGATCTTTTGCTATCTGGACTGTATTTGTGATAGACAAGGGACAAAAAAAGCTGAGACAAAGGAAATAGTGTCTGACAAAACTACTAATAAGTATTATTTTGGTCCTTGTTCTTCTGAGTGTAGCATCGTTTTAACTGTACTTAAACTGTCTGCTATTGTAACATTTGTAATAAAATTCTGCTGGACAAAGTTTGAATTAAGTATCCATAAAATACTTAACTAATACTAAATGATGATTCACTAAATGATAATCATAAGAAACAGTCCATGAGTTAAAAAATGTGGGGAAGGTTTGTGGTAGTAATGATCAGGGCAAAGGTTTGTGGTAGTAATGATCAGGGCAAGCCACAATATATTAATATCCTGGTTTCCACTCTACCCCTAATTTCAAAACCTCTTTGAAGGAATGAATCAGTAAGGATTACTTGTTTCTGTAGTTTAGATCTGATCTCCATAGGGGTGTGCTACTGTTGTAAAACTATTTAACAAAGAATATAACCAATTACTGAATTTGCTACAAAGTATTCTCCAGAGTTTGCAGTACTTTAAATAATATACAATGACCATCTGTTTTCACTGAGCCATAGAAGTAATTTAACTATGCTTAATGTTTACTTTTTAAAAATACTAAAGTGATTGTTTATGAAACAGAAAAATTAAAATGTACATATAAAAGCAATATAGTTGAAGTCTTGTAATGGTACTCTATTAACTAAGAAGATGGATTACTTTGTAGTACTTTAGAAACATCTGCTGAGAGATCTGCATGAATTTTTTAACACTGGCCTTAAAGGAAATGTCCCTGAATAGAATAAAATATTATATTCTGCAACTTTTTAAAGATGTTGGAGTTTATCAGAAAATAATGATATCAATCAACATAGCCTGTTGCATTTAAAAGAGTATACAGCAAAAGTTGTTTAGAATTCAATAGTTTTAAGACGTTGACAAGAAATAATACAAGATGTTGAAACAGTAATTAATAATTCTAAAATAAAACTTATTTCTTAAGCTTTTAGAGGTAGTAGAAGCAGGATATTTAAAAAGATAATTATTTAAAAAGTAAAAAAGTATACATTAAAATAGCGTGAAACATAGACTCTTCCTTCTCTCATACATATTTTTAATTGATAAATATTACTGAATACTACTGTGATTAATACTACTCTGTCCACAGAATCCTTTCCAGTACAGTGACTCTCGATATTTCCTGGGCCATGCTCAGGAGACAAGAGTTTAAGTTGGAAATTCCAGAACCTAGTAGTGTTACCCTTCTTTCAAGGTTATCACCAGAGGTTTTAACTACAAGAAATGTACTATATAATAATATTTCAAAACATATCCAAAATTTAAAAATTGACAAGATGCGTAAGCATATAGATCTGATGGCATTTCATTGTAATGCCTGAAATTGCCATTATGTAAGACATAATCTGTCCTGTTGCTTGGTGCACTTGAAGAGGGTGGTTAATATAGATGTTACCCCTGCCCACACATGCTCACAGCTCAACATTCATTTTTTTTTTCTAAAATTGAGATGATCAATTTTAAAATCTAGAATAGTACCATTCTATGGCTAATATGTCACTGTTCCCTCATTCTCTCAAAGAACTGTTCAATTCTGACTATTCTGATAATAAGCCTGCTTCCTATGATTCCCATATTTATACTTTAAGGTTGAATGGTTCTCACACTGTTATATAAATGCTCTGCAAAGACTCATGATAATATTTATAATAATACAATAATAATTTTGTTTATGGAGTTTATGTAATAATTTTTAAGATAATTGAAATTTTATTTAAATGGCAATGTCATGTGAAGTCTCATCAGAAACTATAACATGCTTCCAAGTAATAATGAGAGATATTGTTTTAATGGAATTGTATTAAAGGCAGTTGTGTTAAGTGTTATGCTCAACTGAATGTCCATAGACTAGGAAAGTTTGGAAACCATTTCTTTAGGAAATTCAATTATGGTAGACCCCAGGAAACAATGAAAATCTCATCTGTCCAATACTGAGTAGAACAACAGGGACATAGAAGTGATTAAATCTAAACCTGTGAATAAATTGATAAACAAATGTGATATATTTCTGTGTTTCTCTATGCCCTCTCAAATGTATAGTCTCCTGTAACTCTAATAAAAATATTCATTGAAAATTAAATAAAATATTAAAATAATGATATATATTAATTTTATATTATATAAAATAATTTCTTTCGTTCTTTTTTTTTTTTTTGATGGAGTCTGGCTCTGTCACCCAGGCTAGAGCGCAGTGCTGCAATCTTGGCTCACTACAACCTCCGCCTCCTGGGTTCAAGCAATTCTCATGTCTCAACCTCCCAAGTAGCTGGGATTACAGGTGCTCATCATCATGCCTGGCTAATTTTTTTTTTTTTTTGTATTTTTAGTAGAGACAGGGTTTCACCATGTTGCCCAGGGTGGTCTTGAACTCCTGACCTCATGTGATCAGCCTGCCTTGGCCTCCCAAAGTGCTGGGATTACAGGCATGAGCCACTGCGCCCAGCCTATATTATCTAAAATAATTTCTAAAATTTTACTCTGTTTTAAAATGACAAATAATAATTTTCTATATTTGTGAGGTACAATGTGATGTTTTGATACATGTATACCTTGTGTAGTGAACGAATTCGGCTAACAAACATATCTAACCTTATATACTTGCTTATTTGTGCTAAGAACATTTAAAATCCACTCTTTTAGCAGTTTTGAAATATGTAACACATTATTAACTACAGTCACCATGTTGTGAAATCAATCACCAGAACTCACTCTTCCTGTCTCAGTGAAACTTTTGAAACACTTTGACCATCATCTGCCCTTTTCCCGTACACCCCCACCCCAGGTGACTGCATTACCACGTTCATTGCAGGATCGTTCATAATGGCCAACATATGGAAGCAACCAAAGTACCCATCAATGAATTAATCATTTAAAAAAGGTGGCATATATACACAATGGAATACAATGTGCCTTCAAAAACTGTCACTTGCAATACCATGGATAAATCTAGAGAACATTATTCTAGATTAAATAAGCCAGGCACAGAAAGACCAGTACTATAATAATATCAATTATACATGGTATCTAAAATAATTTTTAATTTAGATGCTCAAATATTCAAACTGGAAAGTAGACTAATTTCTTAAAAGTTTCTTTTTGGAGGAAGTAAATAGAAGACATTTGATTTTTTGGTTCATTTGCACAGAAAAGCATCCAAGTAACAACGATATAAAAGGCATCATTGCATAACAATGTATACTGCCTAACATTGTACTTGAAGAGAACTATTTACTCATCATCAATAAACCATAATCTCTTTTTTTCTTGGTAGGGCTGGATTTGTTCCTTTCCATTTCATGGTCTCCCTTGTGAGTACTAGTGCATCTTTGAAAGGTAGGTCTATTTTGAAGGTACGATATCTGATCAAGAAATTGGAAAGGCTAGCTGACAACACAGCGACTAGATCTTAGACTTTATTCTCATTAGCACCATATTTCAACCAACCTGGGCAAGTAGCCATAGACATGGATGACACACATGATTTGTATGTACTTTCCGGAAATTGCAAAAGACATGCCAACTCCATTATTAAGTAATAATTCTTAGAAGTAAAACATATTTTTATGTTTGGGATTAAATTCTGGGAGTCAATGTTATCTCCTGAAAGTTTTCATATACATAAATAATATCTTTTTAAAATAATTCCCCATTTGTTCCCCTTTGGTGAAAATGGAAAACTGGAACGTTCACTATGATACTGGATTTCCTTAACAACTGCTACCAGCATTATAAGTAGCTTAAATTAAATATTACAAGTATTTAAAATATTATTGCTCAATACTGACAGAAATGATCTGATCTGGTAGTTACTGTGCATGCAACGTTGAAAATGTAATTTCTCACTTGTAATACTTAATTTCTTCCGTTATATTCCACTACTAATATGCCTGTGATTCATTTTCATCATGCTCTAAGTTGGCTTTTCACCTTACACTTCACAAAAGGGACTCATTAAAAGATCTTCTAGTAACAGCTGTCGGAGAATAAGGCTCAGAACTGCAGGCAGGACCAGATAGATTTTTCACTGCCTGTTGTTTCCTTGGCAGGCAATTTGTTTCCTATTGTTACATTTAGAAGATCCAGTTTATTAGTGCCAGAACTTAATGAAAATAAGTTTTCGTTTCAATTTCTTCTTATTCAATATAAATATATAAAAATTTAAATTTATTTTTCTGAAATATTGAAGAAAAATAGAGATAATTATATATGCTTTAAAAACTAATTAATTAATTTAATTAGTCTTTAGAGATTTCACACAATGTTTTTGAATGATGCAGTGTGTTAAGTGTTGGGAATAGGATATTTTAATAGCATAAAACAAGTTCTCTGGTCTTTAAGAATAATACATATTTCAAATTCTGTGAGATTTCATCATGTTTTATATTGATTTAAAAAATAATTTTCCTAAGTATTCACTAAATTTAAGAATATTTTCTATATTATAGGTATATCTATATAAAACTTAATTCATTATTCAGTTACCATTGTAAAACTAAAAAAGAAATCAGGAAAAGCTTCTATATGATTATATATTTGATAGATTTTTATCAAACATAAAAGAAACTTTTATATGGAGAAAATTAAAGAATCATATACATAAAGATAAATTTTTCTAAATATACTTCAGTAAATGAAACACAGAATTGTATCAATTAAACAGCATGTTTTACTACTCAATTTATCTAAGGAATGTAAGATCATTCAAAATGAATAACTATTACGGCAATTCACTGTATTAAGAAAGAAAAGTAAGGGAGAAAATCACATTATCATCTACATAGATGCTGGAAGTTTTTATAATATTTAAATATCTATTTAAATATACTTTAAATTAAAACAGAAGGATATTTTCTAAATTGAATAATAGATGTTTAATAGAAATCATGTTTATGTAAGAAATACAGAAGTCATTTTATTAAAGGCACTAGCACACTAGATATGTCACCATTATTGCTACTTTATTCAACATTTTTTATATTAGCTCATGAAACAGAACAAATAAAAATCTATAAGAAGTTTACATAATTTGACAGTCAATATAGACAAACAGAAGACCTGGGGAGACATAATACGTTCCCTAATGAGTAAGTCTGTATGAAGTTGATGACTACATCCATATTAATCTATAAATAAATTAAAATTCAGTCAAAACTATCACAGTGGAAAAAACACTTAAAATAATATTTTAAATTTGATATGAAGAATAAATTTAAAAGCATAGAAACATTTGTATCATGAAGCCTTCCCTAATTATATATCCAAACATAATATAAAGTTACACCATTGGAAACAATATGGAATTATCCTATTATATAAAAATTTTATTTAAATAAGTAGAAATCCAAGGAACAGCCTAAGATATACATGAGAATAATATGCAATAAAGGCAACATATAATCAACAGTACAATGATAGACTACTTAATAATTGTATAAAGGAAAGATTACTTCCATTTAAGCATGTTTCATTTTAGTTTTTTCTACTTTTATTTTATTATTATTATTTTTTTTTTTTGGAAACGGAGTTTCGCTCTTGTCGCCCAGGCTGGAGTGCAATGGTGCGATCTCAGCTCACTGCAACCTCTGCCTCCTGGGTTCAAGTGATGCTCCTGTCTCAGCCTCCCAAGTAGCTGAGATTCCAGGTGTGCACCACCACACCCAGCTAATTTTTTGTATTATTAGTAGAAATGGGGTTTCATCATGTTGGCCAGGCTAGTCTCAAACTCCTGACCTCTGGTGATCCACCCGCCTCGGCCTCCCAAAGTGCTGGGATTATAGGCATGAGGCACCATGCCCAGCTTACTTTGTTTTATAAACTCAACAGTTTCATTTTTGCATTACATATGGGATAAAGAACTAACAATAAATATAGCAATGAATGCACTAATAATGGGATTATGTTTTTAGAGAGTAGGAAAATAAGGTCTTCAAAACTAAGTCAAAACAAAAATTGTAAAGAAAAAATTGGAAAAATTTGTATATGTAAAATCTGAAAATCTCCATCAGTCAAAATGTATATTATTATCATTCTTAATGTAGAATAATCTAAAAGTTTTTTAAATTTCTTGACTTACATATATATATATATACACTAAGTTTTTGTACATTCTTTTCTTACCTTATTTTACATGTCTTCATCAAATTTGCAAAGGTTTCACTAGTCTCAGATTCTCTTCAAGGAATCAGCATCTTGTTTTATTGATGAAACCGACTATAAATTTTTTTACGGACCCTTTTTGGAACTTATTGTTATTAAATTGTCTGTTAGATTTTAAAGTTAACATTCATTCTTTTTATTTCTACTTTTAATAAATTTAATATCTAGTTCATTTTTAAGAAAACTGCTTTCTAAAATATATATTTAAGGCTAATTTTTTCTTTTAATATAATATTCAGCATACGCGATAAGTTCCCATGTTGAATCATGCTTAAATAGTAGGTAATTTCCATTAATTTCCCCATGGAAGGAAAATATTTAAAATATGGAGTACTTCCATTTAATAATATGGTATTTCTCTGTATATTTAGATTGTAATTACAGGGGCTCTGTCACAAAGTGTGTTTGTGTGCATTTATAAATATGTGTGTGGATGTTCATATGTGCATGACTGTATGTAAACCTCGGTGTAAGTGTGTGTATATTTAAATGTATGTACATGCATGCACACGTTCATGTACGGGTGCCTTTGTTCATGTGGAGATGTATGTGAATGTGTATGCATGAGTATATGCATTTACAGACCTGTGTATCTTGTTAATGTGTGTGTGAGTCGGTGTCAAAGTATGTACAGCTAAACTGGCTTTCTTTTTTCTTTCATCCAAATCTCACATTCATTTTACTTGATTATGATTTGCATTTCTGAATTACTTAGAGCTGTACAAATGGGTTTATCCTGGAAAGCAAAACCTAGCTTTGACAGCTGAAATCTCAGTAATTGTTACATATTTTTTGTGTAATTAACTCAAATTATGGCAAGGCGTCCACTCGGCTGGTGGCACTATTCTTTCCTATGTGGTGGATTTTATGAAGCTTCAGTAGGGAAATTACTTTTTTGGAAGTTGTTTCAACCGTATGGTTTTCAAATTTTTTAGCTCTAATGAGTGTCTATGACAATTTTATTTCACTTTTCTTAGGGTATTCCTTAAAAGTTTTAAGACTTGAGGCATCTTACGGCACTCATTCTGGGTTTTATATTTATTATTTCCTCTATCTTTTCAATGGTATTTTGGGATTGAGAACCAATTACATATAATTAGTCATCTGGCTGCAGTACAAAGGTCAAGTAAAATTTCAAAACTTCACATACCCAGAACTTAAGAATGTATTTACTATATGACCAAAATCTGCAATAGTAAACACATATTTATGCACAAATATGGTAAAATATAAATTGGTTTTCTTTATATAGAAAGCATTTGAAAGTATATTTTAAAATAGATAACATGTGCAATGTCATTGAATTGTTGGTTTAGTTACAAATAAAGTTATTGTTTTGATATAACAGTGTTACTAAAATCCATAAGAAGCTTGCTCTCTTGAGTAACACACATCCCCTACTGTCATCATTGAGCCTTGCCACATACATTGGCCAAAAAATCTTTTATAGGAAATGTATGAATGTACCTAAACTGCCTTGAGAGTAGCGTTACTTTAAAACTTGTCACTATTTACATCAGAATTCAGAATCTAACTTTTTTGACATTTTTCTAGGGCAATTTATTTACTTATTATTATTATTGTGATAAAAACAATTAATGTGAGACTTACCTTCTTAACACATTTTTAAGAAGTGCACAATACGTCGCTGTTAACCCAACGCAGATTGTTGGACAGAAGATACCTGGAAAATATTCATCTTGTATAACTGAAACTTTACATGCAGTAAGCAACTCCCCATTTCCCTCTCTTCCAGCCCCTGGCAACCACAAACTTAATCTCTGTTTCTATGACTTGTCATGTTACTTTCATGTGAGACTAGAAGTTAAATTGATTTAACTTCAGCTTTGATGTGTTATGTTCAACAAATGCATTTAGTTTGACTCTTGCCTGTTTTCTAAAACATATACCAGTCCTTTGGCTAAAAAACAGAAAATAAGATAGGCTTCCATGTTGCCATGTGCTCATGACTGAAAGGTAATTGATCTCTAATTATAAGAGTATTTACCACTGAGCCTGAATTTTACCGTTATGTAAGTTCATTTTCTATTGCTTATAACAGAATACCTGAAACTAGCTAATTTATCAAGAAAAGAAATCTATTTCTTAGAGTTATGAAGGCTGAGAAATCTCAGCTCAAGGGCTCACATCTGGTGAAGGACTTCTTGGCTGGTGGGGACTCTGCAGAGTCCTGAGGTGGTACAGGACATCACATGGGGAAGGGACTAGCTTCTTGTAAAACCAGCAGTCCCACTCCCATGATGACCTATTAGTCCATTAATCCATGAATGGATTAATCCATTCATGAGGGCAAAACCCGTATGACCCAATTATCTCTTAAAGATTCTACCTCTCAAAAATGCCGCACTGGAGATTAAATTTTAACATTAAGTTTGCAGGATACAAATATTCAAACCATAGCAGCCCTGTTTCCCAAATTGACACCGATGATGAATTGCCACTTTTACCATTACTATGTGCCATTTATATCCTAGCCAGACTGGTCATTAAGATGTGTTTAACAGCTACCCTAGTTTTTTAATACTTTTCTATATGTCTGCACATGTATACATAGATGGAAAACAGTTACCCTTCAGTAAACAATTTTCATTACTCTGTTTTTACTATATAGTTTAAAAAATAATTATGTTTTGCTTTTTCTCTTGTAATATTTTTTCTCTTTCTCAATACCTATTAACTAAAAATAACCAATAGTCACACGAAGAGTATATTTTCTTCTTATTGTTACATTTATCACTATTCCTAAATTTGCTACCATCATATTTGTGTGCTTTTTTTTTTTTTTTGCTTTTTTTTTTTTTTTTTTGAGACGGATTCTTGCTCTGTAGCCCAGGCTGGGGTGAAATGCCATGATCTCGGCTCACTGCAACCTCTGCCTCCTGGGTTCAAGCGATTCTCCTGCCTCAGCCTCCCAAGTAGCTGGGACAACAGGCACGTGCCACCACGCCCAGCTAATTTTTGTATTTTTAGTAGAGACGGGTTTTCACCATGTTGGCCAGGATGATCTCGATCTCTCTCTCTTTTTTTTTTTTTTTTTTTTCTGATACGGAGTCTCGCTCTGTCGCCCAGTCTGGAGTGCAGTGGCACGATCTTTGCTCACTGCAAGCTCCGCCTCCCGGGTTCACGCCATTCTCCTGCCTCAGCCTGCAGAGGAGCTGGGACTACAGGCGCCAGCCACCACGCCTGGCTAATTTTTTTTGTATTTTTGGTAGAGACGGGGTTTTCACCGTGTTAGCCATGATGCTCGCGATCTCCTGACCTCGTGATCTGCCCGCCTCGACCTCCCAAAGTGCTGGGATTATAGGCATGAGCCGCCGCGCCCTGTGCTTTTATTCTTAAAACTTATATAATTCTGTCTTTCTGTTGTACTTTCTTCTTCCCAACAGACTTAACTTTTGAAATGTAACTTTTGTTCAATATTTACATTTCTTTTTGGAAAAGAAAATTATTTTATTTCTAATTTTGAAATTGCAGTCTATGGAACTATAAGATATCACATCTGAGCATTTTTCTAATTTATTATAGAGAAATGACTGTGCTTTAATTATAGTATCTCTTGGGTATTTCAATCCTCATATACAAGACTGAATTCTAAGGCTTTCCCTAGGATATCAGTGTGCTAACTAAAGTGGCTAATTCCACAAAATACACCTCATTGAAGTTTCATACAGTGGTAGCACTGAGGGCCATTATTACTCTAATTTAATTCAGTGTGCAGGTTGCCAACACTTCAAAATGTTCTTAGCTTGGGCTTACAGAATATCAAAATAGTATTCCCTCATAAGAAATCCTTTCCTGAAGCAAAGAAAATTCTTATGAATTAAATCAACACATATTTCAAAATAGCTTTCCATTGGGAATTTCCAATTTTTATATCAGATTTATTTAACTCTCTTTTGTGTAAATATAAAAGTACTTTTAGCAGTACATTATCCCTGAAGAACACATTTCAACAGAATCCAGAACTTGGCCCAGGATAGCTCATATTATGAATTTCTAAATAGTCCTATGTTGATCAATCCATTGATTTCTTTTCCTTTGCAAATCTTGATGGACCCACTTTTGAATTTTTGATTAGTTAATTTATTTAGCAAATATTTATTAACTCCTTGTCATGTTCTGGGATTTTGAGTTGTTCTAGTTGACCAGCTTCCCCAGGAAAGACTTCTCTCCTTTGGTTTGATTTGTGCCAAAGATGTGTCTAAGACATGGTGTAATGTTGAAGCAGTTTATTCTGGAAGCACTCTTACAAGATGAATGGCAGGGGCAGGCCAGTGTCATTGGGCAGATACAATCATGTGGGCAGACAATCAACTGAGCTGGAGGGTCTCTGTTTGGAGACCATTCATAGAGTCTGAGAGTCTCTTCCTACTTTCTTATACCTGTATTTAGTCTATTTCAGTTACCAAGTGTTTTCTTGTTTGATTGTTTTATAAAGGGAGTTTAAGCTATTGTTATAAGAAGAAGCTTTGTTTTAAGGTTTATGAAAGTTACATATGTGCTGAGGTGGTCATGTCTCACAGAAATTCCAAGGCCAGGATTGAAAATCCCCAGGTTAGGTTGTATCACACTGCAAAATGACAAGAAGTATTAGCCCTGTGAAATGTTTAAGCAAGTCTTATGGCTACAATTAATATTTTAATTTATCTTTTAACCAATGATATGTCTCTTATGGTATACTACATACTGCATACTTAAGCATTGTGCTTGGACAGTAAATGAAAGATAATTTGTACATGATATCATGGCTTCCTTTGGGGGTAAAAAAATAAACACAAATCAAACAACCACACAACACAGTTCATCAACACAGAGAGGAATGTTTGTTTTTCTATGAAATATAAAAGGAATGGATATGATTTCATTTGGGAGAGTGGCTGAAGAGCAAAATTGACTTGGAATCATTCTGAGGAAATGAAATGCAAGCATTTCCAATGGCTATAGGATGGATTCATGTCCATTCCATATGTGGTTAATATCTATCCCATAGCAAAAGTCATCTTGAATACAACACCTCCTGAATGGGCTCCCAACTGAAGTGATCTCAGTGGAAAGAAGGTACAGAAGTCATAGATCAGCTAGAGATTGGTATTGCCAGAAAATTCTAGTTGGCTGTGTCCAGTAAGATAAACTGCAAGAAACCTACAAAATTGCTCCAGAATAGGCCAGATTCAACTCACCTTTCTTGGAATAATTCCAATTTATGCCTGCAGTTAGTCAACTAATAGCTCATAATGGCATTTGGAGCCCCCATCTTACTTTAAAATTGGTCCATTTGAAATGATAACTTACATGTTATCATTGTCATGATAACTTACATGTTATCATTGTCATGATAACTTACATGTTATCATTGTCATGATAACTTACATGTTATCATTGTCATGATAACTTACATGTTATCATTGTCATGATAACTTACATGTCATTTCATGTCATTGTCTGTTTTTTGGACAAAAAGAAAATTAGCTGACTTAGTTTGGGCTGCTATAAGAAAATACCATAAACAAAGTACTTAAACAGCAAATATTTATTTCTCAGAGTTCTTCAGGCTAGAAAGTTCAAGATCAGCATGCCAACAGATTTGGTGTCTGGTAACAGCCCTCTTCCCATTTTGCAGATAACTACCTTTTTCATATATTCTCACATGGTGGAGAAAGAGATCATGTCTCTCATATTTCTTCTCATAGAAAATGACTCCCAGTCAAGAGGGCTCCATCCTCATGATCTAATTACTCCCCATGAGGGCTCATTTCCAAATAACATTGCATTGGGGTTTCTGATTTTTGATTGGATACAAAGATTCAGTCTCTAGCAGTGGCATTTTGACATATGCCACACAGGAGAGGTCATTAGTTTTGGATGATGTCTTGTTATGATAGCAAGAAATTCTTTGCTGGAACTTACTTTCTTCAAGCGAACCCTGAAGGATCTAAAGACAGGTAGTAAATAGGGGAGGAAAATATGTTTCTTAAAAGGAAATGGTGAAAAACACCCAACCATATGTCCAAATGGAGATTTAAGGCAGATTCAATGCAGAGAATAGAGAGAAACTTTGAACTAGCTGAGAGATTAATGTTTCATGTTACACAAAACTTACATTTCAATACCCAAAAAGGATAACATTCTATCAATATTTGGGAGAAACCAGAAAATTCTACATGCTCTACTCTAATGACACAGGTTGGGGATAAGTATAAAAGGAGACTTCATCCAAGATTGTTTAAAAAATAATAATAACTTCTTTCTGTGTGTACCCTTAAAAAAGTAACTCAATCTAAACAGCAAATTAATTAAATAATAATAACTGCTCTTTTATACTATATGTTAAATACTATGCTAAGTACTTTACAATTATATAGACTATTTCATTTGATTATCATATCAACTTAATTAAGGTGGTATTATTAAACCCATTTAAAACAATCTGAAATTTATTAAATTGCTCAACTTCACAGAGCTAGTGAAGATCATTGAGAAAATTTGAACCCAACTTTGTATTCAAAATACATGCTTGTTATTAATCTGACGTAGCTGCTTTTCCCTCCCTTTTTGTCGCATAACTATCATTTCTGGAAATTTTCACTACTAGTATACTAGGTTATATAGTGAACTGAAAAACATGGGCACTGTATTTTGCAGCGTGTCCCTCATGAGATATAGTCTATTTCTCTATCCTTGTAATTTGCTGTGAATAACAGAATGTTATTCTGCTACAACAGCTCACCTTCATTTTTAACTGAAATACTATTGCCATCATACAAAGTGGCCATGATGAAAGGCCATATGAAAGAGAGAAGCCCAGCCATCCTGCCAGGCACAAGACATACTAGTGAGGCTCTCTGAGACCCCCAGTGTGAGCCAGATTACTTGCTGTGTGCAACTACATGAATGGGTCTACACAAGAGCAGAAGAAGAACTGAACAGTTAGCCCACAGAATCATGGGAAATAATTTCATGTTTTCAGTCACTAAATTTTGAGTATTTTTATTTTTCATACAGATACAGATACAGATATCTGATAGAATACATAACTAAAATTACCCAGATAAAAATAATTTCCAAAAGCATATCCCATTGTATAAGCTTAGGAGTGTGTGTGCATGTTTGTGTGTACAATGAGTGAACCTAGAAACCTCTGACTATTTGGTTTCCATACCAACAAAATAATGCTCTCCTATTAATGCAACATGGTAGGCCAGTTTTAAATAATGGAGTTTTTTAAGATGAATGCCTTGAGCCGCTTAATTTTCTCACTCTTTTCTTCTTAAACATATATACACATTTATTCTTCATCTATTTAATGTAAAGAAACCTTTTTCCCTCAGCTTTATTAAGGTATAATAGACACATAAAAATATACTTATTTATAAAATGTCATTTTTTCATATATATATGTATAGTGTGAAATGATTTAATCAAATGAATTAAGAATCCATCACCTCACATACTTACCACTTATTGTGGTAAGAACATTTGAGATCTATGCCCTCAGCAATTTTTAAGTATACAATACATTATTATTAGCTCTTATCATCACACTGTACAATAGATCTCTGGAAATTATTCATAGTGTCTAACTGAAGCTTTGTACACTTTTAACAAAACCTCCCAATTTTATCCCGCCACCCAGCCCCTGGCAACCAACATTTAATTCTTTTCTTCTATGAGTCCAACTTTCTCAGATTTTGCATTCAAGTACGATCATGTAGTATTTGTCTTTCTGTGCCTGGCTTATTTCACATAGTATAATGTCCTTCAAGTTCATCAATGTTGTCGCAGGATTTTCTTCTTTTTTAAGGCTGAATAGTACTCCATTGTGTATCTGTATCACAGTTTCTTTAGCTATTTATCCCTTGGTGGACACTTAGGTTGATTCCATAGTTTGGCTATTGTGACTAATGCTGCAATGAACATGAGAGCGCAGGTATCTTTTCAACATATAGTTTTCATTTCTTTTGATAGATATTCAGCCTGAAGAGGTTATCAAAGATGGATCTTCGTCCCTCTGCAACCCTTAGGATTAAGGGTCCTCTTGTAAAGGAAGGGGGGATATATGTCAGAGGCATTCAAACCAGAGCGACTCCATTTTGAGTGAGGGCTGGGAAAATGAGGCTGAGACTTGCTAGGCTGCATTCTCAGAAGGTTAGGCATTCCTCACCTCTAGGTACTTATGGTTAAGGGAACAAATTAATAACATTTACTAAACAGTCCCAGACTTGGGAGTGTCCAGATATCCTGATATCTGGAGAACAAATGCATTTCTAATTTTGCTTGAAGGATAATAACATTGATTCTTGCGCAATATAGTAATCAAGATTTTTTTTTGTTTTGTTTTGAGATGGAGTCTCACTCTGTCGCCCATGCCGGAGTGCAGTGGCGTGATCTTGACTCATTGTAGCCTCTGCCTCCCGGGTTCAAGTGATTCTCCTGCCTTAGCCTATCAAGTAGCTGGTGCCCACCACCATGCCTGGTTAATTTTAGTATCTTTAGTAGAGACAGTGTTTCACCATGTTGGCCAGGCTGGTCTAGAACTCCTGACCTCAGGTGACCTTCCTGCCTTGGCCTCCCAAAGTGCTGGGATTACAGGCGTGAGGCCCCCAGCCCAGCTGTAATTAAGAAAATTAATCTTTTATCACAAACCCTTGTAGCAGAGCACATTTCCCCATATATACAAGCATTGTACCTGGGATGGACACATTCCTCCTCTTACTTTCAGAAACGTCCTACTCTATCTGTGGAGTAGCTGTCTTTTCACCACTGTACATTCTTAGTAAACTTGCTTTTACTTTGCACTGTGGATTCCCTCTAAGTTCTTTCTTGTGCAAGATCCAAGAACCCTCTCTTGGGGTGTGGATTGGGACCCCTTTCCTGCAACAGTCCCACCTTCTTGACTGAACCAACATATATCTTACATTTATTTGATTGATGTCTCATGTCTCCCTAAAATGTATAAAATTACGCTATGCCGTCTGGGTGTGGTGGCTCTCACCTGTAATCCCAGCACTTTGAGAGGCTGAGGCAGGCGGATCACCTGAGGTCAGGAGTTCAAGACCAGTCTGACCAACATGATGAAACCCTGTCTCTACTAAAAATACAAAATTTAGCTGAGCATGATGGTGGGCACCTGTAATCCCAGCTACTCCGAAGGCTGAGGCAGGAAAATCACTTGAACCCAGGAGGCGGAGGTTGCAGTGAGCAGAGATCGTGCCACTGCACTCCAGCCTGGGTGACAAAGGGAGACTCCATCTCAACAAACAAACAAACAAACAAAAACCTAGGCTATGCCCTGACCACCCTGAGCACATGTTCTCAAGCTCTCCTGAGGGTTGCATCATGGGCTATTGGTCACTTCTCTTTGACTCAGAATAAATCTCTTTAGATATTTTACAGAGTTTGACTCTTCATTGACAGTTGCAACCGGCCTGTGGATATTTGCCTGCACCAAGCCTGAGACTACTAAGTGGTGTGCACTGACCCAGCCAAAGGGCAGGTATAGAAGGCACAGCAAACATGAGTCCCTCTGACCCTCTGGGAGCCCCTCTCCGGAATTCTCTCCCAGCCTCTGGCTATGGACGCAGAGACACGGGTATTTCAGGTGGCCAGGCCAGGAGATGGATCCACCAGGGACCTGGTGCCTGAATCCTTGTCCTCCTCTAGTGGGGAATGCCCACCTCAGCCTCACAGCAAAGTCAGCTGCTAGGCATGGGAAACCCCAGTGTGAATTTCCTTAATAATGCAGGGGAGAGTGTGGCAGCTACCCTCAGCCGTCTGGGCATGTAAGTTGATGCTGACATGGAAAAAGAAGGGAGAAGAAGCTTTTGGCACTCTTCACTCCAGATAGTTACTGCACAGAATGGAAGTGCAACTCTCAGCCAAGCAGCTGCTCTCCGGGCACCTCAGCAAACTCAGTGGAAGGGTCAATGGCATGGCACAGTCTCTGGCAGCTCAAATGAAAAAGATACCCCTGGAGTTCATGCAGCAGCCCGAGGAACAGATGGAGTCTAATAACAGTTTAGGATGAGATGGTGATTCGATTCCTTTGTCTTCAAAATAAGTGGGCCTGTCTACAAGTGAACTCCAGTCTGCAGATGCCAGAAACCTGGAAAGACCCACAGGACTGAAGGAGGCTGCCTTGTTCCCACATATTCCTTCAGGAACTGACTCCTGGCTGCTTCAGCCCCTCTCCCAGATGCAGTCCATGGGACTCTCCGATGAAGGTGGCTGCCTCATCAGGCTCCTAGACACCAGGAATTACCACATCAGAGCTGCCCTGGACATCATCCAGTATTCAAAGAATCCAGTACCTTTGTGACAATTTTTGCTCACCTTTTCCATGCCTCATTTTTGCCACATAGTTGTGTTGAGCTAGCGTACAACAGTAGGGCTTCTTTAAGGCCTGTTTCTCCGTCTTCTTCTTCTGGGGGTTGGGGAGGCATGAAGCCGTTTAAGACAGTAGAAGCAGTGACATGAGGGAAGACTTCCAATGTTATGTGTGGTGTCTGAGAAATAAAACCAGCTTCCCTTGAGGGTGCTCTGGCTTCTTGCAGCGAGGCAGGGTCTAGAAGGCACTAAAGCTACTACAGCTTCCCCGCAGCAAGGCAAGACTTTGCCCTTGCTGGGGAGGAAGCCACGGGCTTGCCGCAATGTATTCCTGCTCACGCTGGCCAGGATTACACCTGTAGTCCACAGATAGATACATATCTTGCCAAAAGACTCTTCTGCTTTTTTTTGTTTTGTTTTTAATGACAAATAGTACAAGAACATTTACTTGAGTTTCCTCTAGAAATCTGTTATACTCTGTTTTTAGATGGAGTGCAGCCAAAGATTTCTCAGGAAGCAACAGGAGGAGGGCTGTCCTGGAATTAACCGTGGGCAGGATGGGGCAGGCCAATATTGTGGGTTTTATACTTGGGAACAGAGAATAGCTGATGAGGGAAGTCTGATGCAAAGTTGACGTTGATTAAATATTACCCCCATGCTTCATTAACCACTCTACAGTAGTTTCTTCCTATCCATGGCTGGCTTTCTGCAATTTCAGTTACTCTGGTCAATCATGGTGGGAAAATAGGGGAACACAGTGCAATCAGATATTTAGAGAGAGAGGGAGATCATGTTCACAGAACTTTTATTATAGTCTATTGTTACAATTGTTTTATTTTATTATTAGTTATTGTTAATCTCTTACTGTACCTAATTTATAACTTAAGCTTTATCGTAGGTATGTATGTATAAAAAAGCATACTATATATAGGGATTGACAATGTTCAGGGTTTCAGGTGTCCACTGGGGGTCTTGGAACATGTCACCTGAGGATAATAGGAACTACTGTGGTTCTCTTGTCTCCAAATGTGTTAATTGCCTTTAAAGTAAGAAGATCCACTATGGCCATCCTATTATCATATTTGTAAAGACTCTGTAACTAAATGGTATAAGCCTTCCAAAAAACACAGAGAGGTGAGAGGGGGAATGATAAGAAATTACTTAACAGACACAACATACGTGATTCAAGTGATGGTACACTAAACACTTTTATTTCCCTACACAATATATCCATGTAACAAAACCGCACTTTTACCCCATACATTTATGCAAATTAAAAAATAAATTAATAAATAATACAAAATTATTTTCAGCGTCTGGAAAAAAAGAAGAAAATTAACTCAGAAAAAAACTATGATAGATCTGCATTGTAGTAATAGATTCAGTAAATTTTCTATACTGAACTAACCAAAACTTAGAAAGTTTCAGTAGGACAAACACTCAAATTTGTCATTAAAAGTGTTTACTAAGGTCTGGGAACTATTTCAGGATTAATTTAATCTGTGTATACTTTATACTGACACCTACGAGAAAGTGCTTCTTATAAACAATGGTTTTACTAGGTGTTGCTTAATAATTTTATCTTTTTATATTATAATAGCATTTTCGAAAATAAGTATTTTGAGTTAAATGATGTGCTTGTCATTTGTTGTATGTAATACTAATCAAAGATGAGATATATTGATAATTCAATGTGTAAATATTCAGCTTTCATTGAACAATTTTCCTCTTCATATACTTTAAAAATCTTTGAGAACCTGAAATTGTTCAAAAAACTTTTGAGAGGCTGTAATTGAGCAAATAAGAAGAAACATGCAAATCCCAGTATTATGATTTGGTACCTGTTTGACTGTATTATGAATTAGCAGCTTCAAGATGACCAATGTAAGTTATGAGATTCTATTAAAAAACTATGAAAAACAAATTAGTTTTGAGGGAAAACAAGCTGCAAGCTGTCATAAATATGTTTTGGTAGTTTTGGTCTTGTCAAGTCGTATGCTAATAGCTGAAAAATTAGAAACCTGCAATAATCAAATCATTTATCTTTTGACAGGCCAGGAGAGTGATAACAAGAAAATATGAAAGCCAGATAGGGTCACTATTTTTAATATTTCAGATAGCTATTTTAGGGAAAGTCAGAGTATAAAAATAAAACTTGATAAAATTATTACTTAAGCTATGAAAATGGTTTCTATTTACTGTTCTAAATTAAAAGTGAGAAATAGTTAATTATTAGAAATTTCTTATAAAATTGTCCCTATTTGCAGATTACATCATTTTATATATAGAACCCCCAAAGACTCCACCAAAAAAAAGTAAAAAGTAATAAACGAATTTAGTAAATTTGCAGGATACAAAAATCAACATAGAAAAATCAATATTATTTCTATGCTCTAACCAATAAAATCTGGAAAAAAATGTTAAAAAAAACACTTTTACCATAGTTACAAATAAATAAATAAAATAAAACATTCACAAATAAATTTAGCCAAGGAGGTAAAATATCTATACACTAAAATATACAAACTATTGATAGAAAAAGCTGAAGAAGACAAAAATGAAAAGATATCTTGTATTCTTGGATTGGAAAAAACCAATATTGTTTCAATGCCCATACTATTCAAATCTATCTCTACATTTATTACAACTCATATTGAAATTTCTCATAGAAATGTCAGATATAGAAAAAGCAGTCCTAAAATTTGCATGGAACCACAAAAGATACTATATAGGCATAGCAATCTTGAGCATAATGAACAAACCTGAGACCTCGCAGTACCTGACTTCAAAATGTAATACAAAGCTATAGTAATCAAAACATCACGATGCTGTCACACAAACAGACACATAGATGAATGGGACAGATTAGAGAGCCCCAAAATAAATTCACATATTTACAGTCAATTGATTTTCAACAAAGATGCCAATAGCACACAATTAGAAAAGTACTGTCCCTTCTATAATTATGCTAGTAAAACTTGATATCCATATCCGAAAGAATGAAATTAGACCCTCATCTCATACCTTATGAAGAAATCAACTCAAAATTAATTAAAGACTTAAATATAACTCTTTAATTAAAATGTTTAACCTACTAGAGGAAAATGTAGGAAAAAAGCTCCTTGACATTTGGCTGGGCAATGGTTTTTTGGATATGTCCCCAGAAGCATAGGCCACAAAAGCAAAAATAGACAAATGGGATTGTATCAAGCTTAAAAAGCCTCTTCACAACAAAGGAAACAGTCAACCAGGTAAAGAGACAACCTATGAAATTGGAAAGAAGATTTGCAAAACCATACATCTGATAAGGGATTCATATCCAAAATATAAACGGAACTCAAATAACTCAAGTGAAAAAACAAACGAATAAATGGGCAAAGGACATGAATAGAAATTTCTAAAATGAAGACATATAAATAGCTAACAGGTATATGAAAAAAATGCTCAAAATCACTATCATCCAAGAATTGCAAATTGAAGCCACAATGAGAGAGATCACCTCACACCTGTTAGAATGGCTATTATCAAAAAGACAAAACATAGCAAGTGTTGGCAAGGATATGCAGTAAAAGGAACACTTTTATACCCATGGTGGGTAGGTAAATTTGGATAGCCATTATGGAAAATGGCATGGATATTCCTCAAAAAATTAAAAATACAACTCCCATATGATCTAGCAATCCCACTTCTGGGATTTATATCAAAAGAAATATATATCAAAAGAAATAAGAGGACAAGTTAAAGGTTGGTTATTTAGGTTATTCCAGGCACATAGTTCACAGGTCCTAGTTACCTGCTTTACTGTTTTAAGTAAGCCTTTTCCTATGAAAAGCCAGGACATTATTCGAAACAGGGAATCTCTTCCCTAATGAATAGAGTCATGGAAATGCTTAACTATTTTCCAATGATTAGCACCTGGTATTAACAGCTTGTTGTCCTGTTTCCCTGGTGCACAAAGCTACTTCCATTTGTAAACCATTCTACCTCAGGGTTATCTAGAGGCTCATCCTTTAAATCCAGACAGCTGGAGTAAACTTGCTCCATAACTTTTATACAAGAATGATCTAGGTAGGGTACCTGTGAGTTCAGGCAAATAGGTAGCTGGATTCAAAATTTGGCATACGTTAAGTGTTATATCAGGAGCATCTAGCAACAAAGCATGATATTTATTCACAGGAAAGGAGAAGGAGCAATTTCTGTCTGCCTTGCAATTTCCAAGATACTACTGTTTGTAGCTGAGTTAACAAATCCCTTCCCAACAAAGGGTGGAGCATCCAGGAGAAAACCAAAGTCCCTGAAGAGCGGCTTAAAGGATAGGTAAAGTGTCATCTATGTCCATCTATCCCCTCGACCATAAAGTTTTGCAGTGACAGAGGCCCACTATAATGGGTCAAAACAAAGTAAGCAGTCCAGAAGGAAGTTAATATTCTTACCTGTCATGTCAAAGGTTACCTGAGGCTTCTCCAGAGACACGACTAGTTGTCCAGTGGGAGCTGTGGTGGAAGGTCTCTGCCCCGTCACTCTTGGGCTTGCCTGGCTGTTTCAGCCATCATTGGTTTGAGTGTCAAAGGCTTCCTTTGGAACGCTGGGCAATCCCTCTTCCAATGGCCAGTTTTCTTATACTGTGCACACTGATTCATGCCCAGGGCACACTGACTCGGATATCCAGCTTTGGGCTTCCACCTTTCAGCTTCCCTTGTTCAGGTCAACAGGCAGGAGGGCAACTCCATGTGGGAGGTGAGCCTAAGGCTGCAGCCAAGAGCTGCACCTTGTGGGAGGTCCTTCTTGCTCTTTCTACTTCCTCTGCTTTGTCCTTGTTATAAAAATCTATAAATGTGACATCCACAAGCTGTTCCACAGGACTTTGGGAACCCATAGCTGCTTTTCATAGTTTCCTATGGATATCAGGAGCAGACAGGGTTATAAAATGTACTCCCAAAAGGGCTATCCTTCCTTGAGGCAGGATCAGTGTTAGTACATTTCCTGATTGCCTCATCTAAACGCTCTTGAAACAAAGCTGGATTCTCATCTTTACCCTGAGAAACTTCCTTAACCTTTTTATAGTTCACAGACTTTTTCATACATTTCTTCATCCCTTCCGACAAACAAGTGACCATATGATCTCTCCTCCCCAAGTCCTCACTGCCCCACTGATAGTTCCACTTTGGATCTTGATTTGGAGCTCGTATACCTCCGGCCTGATATATTATGGTTTGGATTGCAAGCCAATACTTCATCTGCATGGATCCAGCTGTCCCCAAAAGGCATTGTTTCTCTGTCACTGTACAACACAGAGACAACAAATGCAGATCCTGCCGAGTTAAACTATAGGTCAGTTAATTTATCAAATCATCTATGAATTTTCCTGGATCTTCAGAGAAATGACCAAATTTGTCTTTATATAGAGCCAAATCAGACATAGAAAAAGGAACATGTACTTTCACAGTGCCTCTTCCTCACTTGCCTTGCCACCTCTCTAAGTGCAGAAAGATTTCCCATTGGAGATTGATAGGAGGCTCCACTACAAGAATAGTACTCACTGGGCTAAGTTCCTCAGGGAGTGGTTGGTGTAGAGTGGGACTAGAGGGATAAGGAGGAGGGGACAAAGGGTTCTCAATGGAACTTTCAGGTGGACTAGAGGGAGAAAGAACCAACACATCTAAACCTTCAGAGCTGACAGAGGAGGGTCTGCTCCACCCAAAACGGCCCACTGAACTGGGGGTGGAGCTTGCATTAAAGGATCATCTAGTATGTCTAGCTCTTTTCTTCTTTTCCTCTCATCAAACATGCACATGCCTGCTGCAGGGTTTTAACTTGACTGAGCAGCAAAAATGCTTGAACATATGCTATTTCATCCCATTTTCCCTCCCACTTACAAAACAAATCAAGTTGAAATATAGTACTAAAAGTCATAGTTCCAGTAGGAGGCGATTTCTCTTGCTTTTCCAAATAATGCCAAGAACAAACAGTATTACATAAAAACACCAGTTTTCTCTTAAGCCTATTCAGTTTAAGCTGGTCCCAATGTTCAAGAATACATCTTAGTGGTGAGTTCTTTGGAATCGATGCTGTGGTACCCATGAAGGAGTCAGGCGATATTGAAATAAAAGTTCCAAACCTGAGAGACTGTATTGCCACTGGCTGAGTTCCACTAAAAAGGATAAGAGAGGTTTTTAAGGCTGGCTGCATTAATGAAGGGATCCCTGCTGAAATTGAATTCTCTTATTCACATTATCCAAATAATATAAGTGAGCCAAGCCATGAATCTTAGATAAACCACAACACGAACTTCTACAAAAATGTTGAATAAGGCAAAGGAAATGAAGAGGATTTAGAAGAGAATGACCAGTGCAAGCAGGCTCTGGGTAATAGTGGTAGTGTGGATTGCACAAGCAAAGCCGGCTTACCCAAACCAAGAAAGGAAAGAAGTGGTTTTTAGTGTGCAAAATGAAACAAAACAGCAAGAAGAGTCCTCTGATTTCCATCCCCGTTCTTCTCGATCACACCTAGTCGGCACGGCAGCAACAAAACGTAACTACATCCCTTTAATCTTATTGCTCATAGCTGTTAAATACTAAGTCTCCATCAGCAATTTTAGAGCTGGAACCTTCAATCCTTTTTGTTCCCTATGTTTCACAAGCAAACGGATGGAAATATGGGGGCACATAGGAAAAGAGTTTAAGTTAAAATCACTAAGACCAGTTCAGTAAAGTCTCCTGAAAATGACCGTGAAACAGAGACAGCAACCAAGAAATTGATTCATGCAGCAAAGAGAACAAGGCTGATTAATACAAAGAGCATAGCCTGTGGTGTTAACCCATTCTTAGCTGAGAGGGACTTTACTGAGAGGGGCCTCTAGCCCCCTAAATCTTAGACGGGACTCTAACCTTCCTAAGCCGGGCCTCTAACTCAAAGTCGGTGAAGCGTCCTTGCCTTTTATTAAGAGGGTCCTCTAATCCACTCTGTCTTAGGAGAGACTCTAACTCCCCTAAGTTGGGCCTCTAACCCAATCCCATGCTTTGCCCAGGTACCTCACCACTTTCCCAAAGTCATCCAATCAGTGTTGCAGTCTATTCCCTTTGGACTGGGGGTGTTTCTTCAGTAGCATCCCTTCCATGGCCCACCAGAAATAAATTATAGGACCCCAACACTTAACCAAACATAAACGTTGGGTCAAGGTTTCTGTACTATAGTCCCTTCGTGGCTGCCAGAAATATGCTACAGGAGAGGGCTCCCAATTCAGACCCCAAAGAGGGTTCTTGGATCTCACGCAAGAAAGAATTCAGGGTGAGTCCACAGTGCAAAGTACAAGCAAGTTTATTAAGAAAGTAAAGTGGTGAAAGGACAGCTACTCCACAGACAAAGTAGGATGTTCCTGAAACTAAGAGGAGGAACACATCCACCCTAGGTGCAATCTTTGCATATATGGGGAAATGTGCTCTACTACAAGGGTTTGTGATAAAGGGCTAATTTTTTTAATTACTACCTTTTGCAAGAATGGATATTATTATCTTTAAAACAAAATTAGGAATGCCTTTGTTCTACAGATATTGGGATATCTAGACACTCCCAAGTCTGGGTCTGTTTGGTAAACATATTAATTTGTTCCTTAACCGTAAGTACCTAGAAGCTAGGAATGCCTAACTTTCTGAGAATGCAGCCCAGCAAATCTCAGCCTCATTTTCCTAGCCCTCACTCAAAATGGACTCGCTTTGGTTCAAACACCACTGACAGGACAACTCAAAACGGGACTGCCAGGTTATAGGTAGACTTTGAAATGTTCTGATTGGCAATTCGTTGAGTTGTTATCAATAGAAAGGAACGTCTGGGTTATGATAAGGGGTTATAGAAACCAAAGTTTTATCATGCAGATGAGACCTCCAGATAGCAGGCTTCAGAGAAAATAGACTGTAAATGTTTCTTATGAGACTTAAGGTCTGTGTTGATGTTAAATGTTGGTGGGCTTTTCCTGAATTCCCAAAGGAAGGAGGGTATAATGGGGCACTTCCAACCCTCTGTTCCCATCATAGCCTGAACCAGTTTTTCAGGTTAACTTTTTGGAATTCCTTGGTTGAGAGGAGGGCTCCATTCAGATAGTGGGGTTGGGGACTTATAATTTTATTTTTGGTTTAAACAACCATCGCAGATCACAGTTGGGGTGCACTGTGTTTCAGGTTACCCCCTGAACACATAGGAGGCAGTGTTTCCTTCTGCACTCCTTTTCTTTAATGTAGATATGGAAGATGTCATCCTTCACATTGGACATAGTCATAGTCAGTTACTTATCACTAAAGACAAGCAAGTCTCCATCCTCATTGAAGTACTGTGCCTGGAAGCTTCCTGACTGGCTGCAGCCACAGGAGCAGGGCAGCCACCAGGTTCAGCAGCTGCTGTCTTGGCCCAGGCCAGCCACAGCCTGGGCTTCCTCCTTGGTCTCAGTGCTGGAGTACAAACTGATACAGTAGATCTCATACACCACAACTTGGTCATCTGGAAGATGGGGCTGCGTGGTATGTAAAGTTATTGTCTGTGGTTAAGGAGCAGGAGCCCAGAGGAGCTCTTAGCAATAAAAAATTTAAAAAAATTTTAAAAATAAAGTAATTGCTGTAACCTTTACAGTTAGAGTTGTTTAATGTATTCTTGGGTTTTCCACATTCCCCCATACATTTTGAACTTTTAAACAGAAAAATAAACTGTTTTCTCTAGAAGATCGAAACATAACATTAAAATGAGGAATATTGTTAGGAATTTTTCTCATTTTCATATGCTTTGATCTTTAAACATTTAGAGTAATAAAATCTAAAATGTAAGAATTCAATACAGAAACATTTTATAATTTTTTGAAATCCAGTGCAATTAAAATAATTGCAAAGCTTATACTAGAAAATTGTCATTTATAATCAAAGTCAACTCAATTTTAATGGTGGCCCAGTGGCAAGATCCCTAGAATAGTAACTGGAGTTGCACAAATGTCTTCCTGTTTCTATTACCAGTTGGAATGATTACTTTCTGATTTGTATTTAAAACTCATAGAAACATGCTTTTCAAAAGCTTTCTAGTAAATGGCTTTCATTTTAAAATGTAAAGAGCTTTCTATTATTTGGAAAGACAGAGCAGTCTTTTTTTCATGTCAATAGCCAAATCCCTGACAGATATCAAGATAATGGTGTCAGTTCATATCATTTTTCCAAACTTCCTGCTATAGAAATGGTGAATTTCAAAGACACACTTTAAATTAAATTTTACCAACTTTTCTATAATTTAGTACTGAGCAGTATATGTAAGAAATCATTCTGCTGTTACGTACATTGTATATAAGCCACCTCTTTAACTACTCTAAATAAGAGGTCAGTATTTAAGACACTTCTCATTTATAATACTCAAACTTTGTGTTCTGTCAGGAAAGTGTAGAACACTGAGATCAAGTTATATTTGGGAAAGACGGTTCATACCACTTTTTAACAAAGAGGCAGGGACTCAATATTTGAAAGGTGGGACATTGCTCTGAGAAGCAGTTTTGACCCAAGTGATAGTGATTATTTTTTAATGAGTATTTTTTAGTGACTAGAGTTTAGGGTGAAATTGGTAGAAACTGGGTAATCTTTGGATAACAGTCACTGTCATTTTTTTAAGCTACCCAATATGTGGCTCTACGTTGCTTTTTCATATTTCAGCTTCAACTAGATTTTTAAAATACACACACACACACACACACACACACACACACAAACAAACAGGATTTCCTGAAAAATTGCTATACTCACTGCCTATAGGAAAGCAGTATACAAACCTATACCATCTATATGATGAGGCAGTTAAGATTATTTGATGGTGGAGAAGATAATGACATATTAGGAGGGGTTATGCTATAATAAATTGTAAAAATCATAGATGTTTCCAATGATATGCATAAAGTTAAGACATTTAACTGAGAATTAAATCCAGATAATCAAAAGAAAGACAGTTATCAGTCACATGACCAGTTTAAATTGTAGAGGCAAGAAAATATAATTGCCAAGATTGAAAAGCATTTAAAAGTATGGCATATCATTTGAAAACTATGTAGTAGTGTATCCAGCTCTTACCATAAAAATGAAATGGGTTGCTAGTAGTTTTATACTACAACTTGTTAAATTTCCAGGTGAAACAATGCTTGGAAGCTATGGTTTGATTTAAATTACAGTACTAAAATACACACAAAATGACACGGTTCAGTAAAAGGAAAATGTCCATTTAAATTCAAGTTTATTTAATTAAAAAACCATTCATTAATGTATTCATTTTTAATACTAATGTTTGGAAAAACTTTACAGAAGGATGTTAAATAATACAGTATAATTGAACAGAGAGGGATCATGGAATATAATGTAACATTCAAAAAAATTGTGATTACAAACCATGTGAAAGCATATCTTACATATGTCACATGGATTCGAATTATATATCACTAAAGATCCATAGGAACTATTCAATTCCTGTTCAGCTGAACAATTTAAACTTATGGATGCATTAGTAAGACATTCTCACAATACATATAGCATGTGCTGCTTTGCTAACCACTACATTTTCTGAATTATTTTAGTTGAGCAAATGCTTAATGAATATAGCACATTATTTCTCAGACAAAAAAAAATGTGTGACTATCTCCTGGTTTTCCAAAATTCTTTATCATGGCCTAATTTTGCTAAGGTCGGCATCACTATATTTTAGTTCCCTGCAAAATAATGATTTTTTTTTTTTTAACAAATAACAATGACACAGGATTCTTTTGGTGCCTCTTTGCTAGTCAGAAATCTTCGAGGCCAGCGGTGTCTGTGCTTGGGCTTTGCTTGGCTCTGGGCTTGCTGCTGGACACGTTCTGCCCACTCAGCCCAGTGGGCAGCACTCGGCTGGTGCTACAACCCTGGATTCTGCACCCATTATGGCTCTGAACTCAGCCTATACCTGGGCCAGGCATTCTGTGACCTGCTTCTGCCTTGGGTGCTGGCATCTAGACAAGGGGAACGTGGTGGCATCTGAAAACTTGGAGATGCCCGTAACCGTGGAGCTCCAAGTGGTGTTGTAGCTGTTGCCTGGGGAGTCCCAAGGTCTGAGCCCTCAAGGACTATTACAGCTCTCCCTCCTTCCCACCACCCACAGTGTTGAATTAGGGAATGTGTTACAGCTCATTCATGTTACAGCTCATGTTCCTTCCCGCTGCCGGCAGCATGGCGAACATGGGGGAGTGTTACTGCTTGTTCATGTTACAGCTTGTTCCTGCTGACCACAGCTGGACGAACAGGGGCATGAGGTGCCCAGTGGCTTTTTCTCCTGCATTGCTCAGTGATCGGGAGGGAGGGTTACAGTGTTACGGCTCCTTTCGCACCTGCTCAGCTGGTTCCAGATTCTTGTCCCACATCCAAGAGGAATGAGATACGTGGACACTGGAGATTAAGCAAGCTGGATAAGTGTTTTATTGAGGGACAGAAGGAAAAGTCCTCAGCAGAGGGGGGACCTGAGAGAGCATGTAGCTCTTCGTTTGAGAGGGGGCCTGAAAGTGGGTAGCCTCCTGTGTGGCTGAGTCTGGGGCTTTTATAGGTTTGAAATGAGGAGCTGTAGGCTGTAGGTAGCCTTGGAAAAGGCAACATTAGATTTATATAAAAGCATTATTCAGAAAGAACCAATTGGCTGGGCACGGTGGCTCACGCCTGTAATCCCAACACTTTAGGAGGCCGAGGCGGGCAGATCATGAGGTCAAGAGATCAAGACCATCCTGACTAACACAGTGAAACCCCGTCTCCACTAAAAATACAAAAAATTAGCAGGGCGTAGTGGCGGGTGCCTGTAGTCCCAGCTACTCGGGAGGCTGAGGCAGGAGAATGGCGTGAACCCGGGAGGCGGAGCTTGCAGTGAGCCGAGATTGCGCCACTGCACTCCAGCCTGGGCGACAGAGCCAGACGCCGTCTCAAAAAAAAAAAAAAAAAAAAAAAAAAAGACAGAACCAATCAAGAAAAAGTGGGCAAACAGGAATAGAAGTTCTCACTCTGCTGGAGGGATTTATCCGGAACCAGCAGCCCAGTGTTCAGGCTTCAGGCTGTCTTTGGCTTGAAGGTCAGGTTTCACCAGGGACCCACCCCTGTCTGCCTAGAAATTTGTCTCCTGCAGCTATCACTAAATATAGAGGTGTGACCTAAGTGCCATGATTTAAAGGATGGTATAGTTTCCCTTATATATCAGGGAACTTCTCTGAGGACATGGGCAGGAAAATTTGATGGAATAGAAGACGAAAGAAAACTAGTCAATGTAATATATGTAATGTGCACTCTTCAGAGTATGTTGCATATATTAATTTATTTAATCTTCAGCAAAATTCCTTTGGACTGGTACCATGATCTTGTTTGTTTTCTAAATGAGTTAGTCCAGGCACAGAGTTTAAATAATTTCATCAGATTCTCAAGTTTGTAAATTGCACATGTATCTAGGCAGACTGGCTTCAGTGCCCATTTTAAAGCACTATGCTATGCTGATTCTGAAAGCTCTTGGTACGGTTTGAATGTGTTTGTCCCCTTCAAACTTCATGCTCCAATTTAAATCCCTCTAAAATTCAGGTGTTGCCAGTTTGATGGTATTAAGACGTGGGGCCTTGGGGTGATTAATTCATGAGGGCTCCTTCCTCATTAATGGAATTAAGGGCCTTATAAAAGAGGTTTCATGCAGCCTTCAGCTAGCTTTCCCTTCAGCCTTCTGTGCACAGTAAGAAGGCCCTCACCAGATCAAATGCTGGCATTTGATCTTGTCTTCTCAGCCTCCAGAAATCTGAGGAAAAAATTCTGTTTATTATAAATTACCTAGTCTCAGCTATTTTGTCATAGCAGCACAAATTAACTAAGAAATACACTAATAGGTAGGTAAACCAGAGAGGCCACACTCTTAGAAGCTTGGGCCCAGAACATCAATGAAGAGGAAACCAAAACGTGTTAAACACACTTTAAACATATTAATTGCAGGTGGGATCAACATAAAGTCTCTGTAATGAGCTAACTGGATACAGTGTAATAATGGCATGTTGGTGTATAAAAATTTGATAAAAACTGGGCTGGGCACAGTGGCTCATGCCTGTAATCCCAGCATTTTGGGAGGCCAAGGTGGGCAGATCACCTGAGGTCAGGAGTTCAAGACCAGGCTGGCCAACATGGTGAGACCTTCTCTCTACTAAAAATACAAAAAATTAACGGGGAATGATGGTGCACTCCTGTAATTCCAGCTACTCAGGAGGCTGAGGCAGGAGAATAATTTGGACCTGGGAGGCAGATGTTGCAGTGAGCTGAGATCGTACCACTGCACTCCAGCCTGGGCAACAGAGTGAGACTCTGTCTGAAAAAACAAAACAAACAAACAAACAAATATGATAAAAACTGGCCAATAATGGAGTTTAAAAACTTGGCCTCTATCAACTTTGAGAGACTCCTAATATCCAAAGGTAAGATAATTTGAGTATTGGTTAGAATAGTAACTACAATACTTTAATACAGTGATTGTTTTTATTAAATGGTTAACTGGGTAACAGAATAATTTGAAAGACTTGAAAGAAAAAGTCTTAAGTATATATCCTGGCTTTCTTTCATGAATTTTGATGAACTTTCTATCAGTGTGTTTAAATATTTGTGGTCTGATTCTCTTTTTATAAAAACTGTTCTAAATATAAATGAAGAAATGATAGAATTATAATATTATATTTCAATCCCAATGAAATAATGTTGTTAATCAACGTTTGTAAATAGCTGCAAAAATGGAGTAAAAAAGATGTTGTGTACTTCTTCATAGAAAAATACAAGACCATGAAGAAATTTTGCCAAACATTAAAAAACAAAAATTCAAGTATGATAAACTAATTTTATTGGCAAAATAGTGGAATTCTTCTCCAGGTGCACTTCTATACAGTACTATACATTATAAACTGATTTAAATTCAAGAGATCTCCAATTAAAAATGGGTTTTTCAAAACTACAACTAAAACAAATTTCAAGTTATATGTTTCATTGGGGTTCTGATGAAACATATAAGGTAAATTATTTGTTTCCAGTATATCTGGAATAGACTAGAAAGAATACATTTCTGGCATCTCTGGAAGGACTAGAAAGAATGTCTAGTCCTTTAGTGCATTAAAACAGTAGTGAAAACATATACCCTAAAGTTTAAATTTAAGTGTCATGAGACCCCAAGAGTGGGTGAATTCTTTTTACCGTAAACCTCCGTAATTATCTGTCACCTCTCATTCATAAATTGCATCACACTTATAGTAAGCTATTTAATGTTTATTGTTAAACTTTTTGCTCCATGAATGAAGGGCACTTGTCTCTCTCATCACTTTATCTGCATTGTACCAATAAGTGCTCCTTGACCAAATGTGATGTTCTTTATTTTCATAATGTTCTTCATCATGTTTGATGAATGCCTGATACAAAAAATATATATCTGGGGAAAAAAGAAAAATAAGCAACATTTTTTGTTTTTTGTTTCAAGTGTTACCAGAATAAAGGCACTTGGTAATAGGACTTTTCTTTAATAGTCCTGATGTAATATAAATTTGTGACAATGGAGAGAAATTTGGAGAAAACACAAATGACTCAATAATGACTTCTGTACAACTTTCATACTGATATTTAACAGCAATAATTTTATTCCCAATTAAAGGGAAACAGCACTGAATAAATCAATGGAGAACACCAGTTTATTTTAGCACTCAATGTATATGTATTTAAGAAATTGTATCATTGGACATAGGTTATCATAAATTATCATATATATTATTAGTATTAGGTTAAATATTACAGGATTATGGATATGACAATAGAACTAATAAAGCAGTGATAATATTTATATAGAATAAAGAAGGACAAAATATTATCATTAATAAATGTAGAAATATAGTTTGAAAATGAAGAAAAACGACTTGGCCTATAAGGCAGTATAGACATGTGGATGGGGAAATAACATAGTGTTGAGCCAGTCATGATGATAATCTATATTTCAGCAACATTCAAAGTATGTTCTATATAACAGCAAATGCCATGACTATAGTTTTTTGGAACTCAGTTGTGTGGTACTGCAGCCAAGACACACACACATGCACACACACACACACACCCACAAACTTTTTTAGTATATTTGATTTGCTGCACATTTGATAGATTAATTCTTCTTGAATTATGAAATCATCAGCAAACTGATGCATATCAGTAACCAAATTCTATATTTGTTTTGTAAGTAGAGTTCACTTAATTTTGACTTTCAATTAAGTTTTAACATTATCTCTCAGAAATGCTTTAGGGAACTAAGTTTATATAAATTAGGAAAATGTTGCTATGTAACTGTATAAAGTACTAGTGCTGATGGTATTTCCATGTAGATAAGAGGTTTCAAATATGCAATTATCAAATGAACAAGGAATGCATTCATTTAAAAAAGGCAAAACAGGATGAGATTTACATTGATGTTGGAGGTCTCTGAAAAGTTATGTTAATTAATTTGGATCTGACATAATTGGTAAAACATATGATGGCAAATGATTGTTTGCTAAGGTATGTATTTATATTATCTTCCAAGTATAGGATTATGCTTTATAAAATACATCAATATATTTTATTGGAAATAGGATAATATAAACTGCCCTCAAATTATAATTTAAGAACATTTATGACCCTGTGTAATTCATATGTTATTGGCCATTGAATAAATAGTAATGCAGCAATAAAAAGTAGTACATCAAGCTTTTTATGGATATCAGAAAGTTTGATAGTGTTCAACAAATTGTGTTCTATGAACAAGAGTACATTTTCTATTTGTAATTGCATTGGAAACTGATGTCTCCCATCAATTGATTCAAAACAACCTGCTATAAACTATAGAACACTGATGCAACCAGGAAAGGACAGTTGCCAAGTTGGTTATAGAGACAGGTACATAAAATGACAACACATAATTTTCAAAATGGTAAAATCATTATTCCTAGACAAATATAAAATGAACATATGCTAAAGATTTTAACACATTATTCAATGAGAGAACTCAGGACTAAAATTGCTGGGTCAGATTTCAAACTGGATAATGTCCCACATACCATAAAGCATCAGTATTATTGGTTCAACTGGACAAACATTATATGCATCTTTGTCAGGCTGAAAACAACAGTTAACAAGTGACATAACTAACTCTGAGACATTTAGTAGAAAACAACAAGATAAACTAATTACCTTTCTGTTGAAAATACATATGTGGGTCTTTGCCCTGATATGATAATGAAAAATGGGATACATCACCCACCTTTGGACTTATTTCCAAGTTTCAATAACATTTTTAAGAGAATGGAAAACTATGGAATTATGCTATCATTCATGGAAGGGAAACATGAAATGTTCCCAGAACAAAACAAAATGAAAAATATCTTATGTTGTGGATGACATGAGAAAAGACACAGGCAGTCATTGTCAGCCATAATGGGTTTGCATTCAAAAACCTCTGAGGAGCTGAGCACAAAGACAGGTATAAAAATTTCACTGAATCATTTCATAATTTGAAATTAAAGCAAACATGCTTAGAATTAGAGGCAGCCTATGATGTGGGAACCCATTCCCTGTCAAAGCAGTGTAATCACTGTGGCTGGAGATACCAAAACAAATTCTCAGAGAGTACATAAAAGTTATACAAGTTGAAATTTTGACCAAAAAAAATCTAATTTCTAGGTAAACTCTCATATTCTGTGAATGTGTCCCCATTTTATCAAATTTTAAACAAAAAATAAATTATTTTAATTTGGATCTCAATGTAATTTTTATTACCTCAAGTTTGGCTTCTTGTATTTGAATTAATGATTATAATTATTTGGTTAATTTTCTTTCCTTGTTAAGATTATATTCATTTGTTCCGCATACTGTTGCTTTTTTATGTTAAGTGAGTATGTACATTAATCATGATAATTTGGTGCCTGGATAATTGTCCCAAGGCACAAGGGATTATTTTGTAAATTATATTTTAGCAATGCTATACAATCTGATTTAAAAATTACATAAAAGTAAATCTTAAGAAGAAAATGTCCTTAAATGAATATGATAGATAAATGTATTTGGGGCTTATAATTTTTTGTTAAAATGCAAGCTATATATTTTGGTTTTTGTCTATGCTTAATTAAAAAGGCAGGTGAGTGAAGTGGAAAGGTCTGAGATTTGTAGGACAAACAGCATTAAGCTGAGGAAATTACATTTGATTCATAAGGCAATAAAATACGAAAGTGCTAATACAGACCACAAGATATTCTGGTGACTTAGGCTGCAGATAAGATTACAATTGCTTGATAAAATAAACAATTATACTGATGCAATACATTATACACAATGTATAACTCTATTAACCTGGCATGTAGTCCTGAAAACACTTTTTTTGTATGACTCTCTTAACATTTTTTTTTTTACCTGCTTTAATTATTTTATGAATGTGACCTATGGTGAGACCGTAAGGTCATCATCATATTTAGCCCCTATGGTGTTTAGGACTTTGACTTGCATGTTGAAAATGCTTTTAGGTTCTGTTGAATAACTCAGAAACTGAGGAACATAAAGGTTGCTATATTTTCCATTTCAAATTAATCAGGCTGTAAAGATTTGTAAGGATTTTGACCAAACATAGGTCAACCATGCTGAATGTTAATGAAACTTATGTGGAAAGTACTCCCCAGTGACTGATAATCAAGAATCTTTACCCTTTTGCACAATTTTACATCCTGTTTTTAATATCATAATCTTGCTTCTGCCTGAAATATTTTCTTTATAAGCTGGGGCTTTTACTCAATTTATTAACACGCAATATCTTCCTGGAGGATTTTGTTTGTTTGCTTGTTTGTTTTTAATTTTACTTATTGATTTTTTTTTCCTCACTGAAACAAAATAATTTGGAAGACTTGTCACTGTGTAATCCCCTCTGTGATCCCAAACCTTTTTTCCTTGTTTCTTTTAATTAACTAACATGTCAATCAGATTTGTACCGCTTGTGTTTTTACCCATTATCACTGTTTGTATAGAGTTTTAGTTTAATCTGTATGTATATTACATCCACCCAATTCTTTGATAAGCATGGGTTTTTGTGTCGATGTGAGAGTGAGAAAATGTTTAGAAAGCCGATGCTTTCCTCATGAAGCCTTTTCTAAAACTTTCCTAAATCTTAGGAAGAACAATACTGCCATCCTAAGGCAAATTAAGTTTTAAGAAACACCACCAACTTTTGTACACATTTTAGATTTGTATTTCACACTTTCATATTAGATTTATAATCCCACCTAATTTGAAAAAAACAAAACCTAATACATCACAAGCTTGATGACATTTTTACAATATTCTCAGTACTTCCTCCAAAAATATTCCATATTTCATAGAATATTTTTTTAAATCATGTATTTATTTTACCCCTAATATATACTTTGATTTCAGAAGTTTAGTCCTTGTCTCAAAATGCTAATTTGACACTTGGAGGAAATATGGACAATGGCAAAGGTATTTTAAGACCTAGACTTTCACTAATGATATGTGAAAAATTATATAGAAATTTACATGACGCGCAGAATTAAGACTAATGTTCTTAAGTCTAGAGAAGCAAATGCTAGAGAAGGATGAAAAGTATAACTAGGAGTAAGCCTTTATGGCCTAGAAAAAATGTTGCTGTAATGGAAGAGAGTAGTTTAGAAGGAGGAGATATGGAGTAGCATGCTATCTGCTTAGGAGACCAACTTGAAAAGCATTTGCTGAATGGTGGCATAGAAGTAAGCATTAGTGGTACTTCAAACAGCAGAATTAGCAGTATTCTATGGTTATTATAGCTGGGTAACCTTCAATTAAATATTTATACTTCCTTACAGTGTTTCCTTATGATCACTGTTTTCAGAAAACGTTTTATTGGAAATTAGAAGTTTGAAGACCTCTAATGTCTACCATCCCAACATCTGTCATTTACTCAGTCTCTATTTTCACCTGCTATCTTCTAATTTCCAACTATCACCTAAGGCAACATGTATGTGTATTCGCTGTTCTAAGTATAACCTCTATAGTCTGTGTTTTTAAACCCATCCTTGTTTCCTAGGAAATAAATACAGTAAAGTCCTAAATCTTTCACACTCAAATACACTCACAAGAATACCCCCAATAATCAATTTCTACTGCCTATACACAATCACCATGTTGATCCACATTTCTGATCATGCCAAACACTAATACAAAAATATTGAAAGTCTTCATAATTACAATATAATGAAATTGTAACTATCGTGCCACTAAAGAGTGTAAACTAAGCAAGTACTGCTTAGTTTTTCTCTGTATTTCATTAGTCTGTAAATATGTATGCTTTCATCATAAGGCATGCTCACTTTCCCTGGACATGTTTTCACATTTCCCTTTTCTCACCTTCCTTTGTATTACTGTTTCCTATGTCTTAAATCAACTGTTCTCTAATTGCCAGGGGAAACCCATTCCTCCATATAGTATTCTGCCTGTGTAGTCAAACCAGTTAAAGTTGATTCCACTTGTCATTTCTATTTACTTATAGTACTTTGAATCTTCATTACATCGTCTCATAATTGATACTAGATAGTAAGATTTGCTTTGTTGGGAAAGGCAATGAGCCTTGGTTATGTTTAGACTCTACATTTTCTAATATGTATCTCTGCATACCTTTTTATGAATAAAACACTAAATTTGTATTGGAAATATATTAATTAAAACTCATATTTTACCCCTTTATCTTCTACACGACCCTGGGAAAAATTACTTAATTTCTCCCAACTTCTGTTTCCTCTAGTAAGGGATGAAAGTAATACTTTTTTTGCAGTGACACCACAATGTGGGTAGTAGAAACATGATTAATACAATATTTATTTTATAAATATAACATCCTGTTATTATGAATGCAAGTTGACTTCTGTCTCAGTCCTCAAGTACACATCTTCACTATTCTTCTTTTTCACAAACATCTTCAGAATTTTTTTCTTTTTTTTGAGATAGTTTCACTCTGTTGCCCAGGCTGGAGTGCAGTGGCGTGATCCTGGATCACCACAACCTCTGCTTCTAGGTTCAAGCAATTCTCATGCCTCAGGCTTTCAAGTTGCTGGGATTACAGGCATACGCCATCATGCCCAGCTAATTTTTGTATTTTTAGTGGAGACCTGGTTTCACCATGTTGGCCAGGCTGGTTTCACCATGTTGGCCAGGCTGGTCTCGAACTCCTGGCCTCAAGTGATCTGGCCACCTCGGCCTCCCAAAGTGCTGGGATTACAGGTGTGAACCACCAGGGCCAGCCCCATCTTCAGAAGATTTATACACTATGTATTCCCTTCCTCTATTTAGTTTCTCACCACCAGATTTTCATGTGTTGTATAACTATGAGACATATGAAGTATGTCATATGTCATAACTATTCTAAATGACCTTTGAGAGTTCTCAACACTCTTGGTACTGTTAATAAGTATAAATTATTTCTTTAAGCATAGCCCTGACAATGACCATTTAATGTTCAAAATCTGTCATGGCTCCCACCTAACCATGCAATTAACTATAAAAACCTACTTAAGAACCCAAAACCTCAAAATGTGAACCAAGGTTGAGGAACTGTTTATAAATAACACAAAATGTCTTTTTCAAAAAACTTTATTCTTGCTACATTTTTCTCCAGAATGAACTTATTTTTCATATATTTTCAATGCTGAAACCAGATTGATTTTCCTGCATAACAATAATTCTTGCAGAAAGTAATTTCTCTTTTCTTTAAATTTTTGGAATTCCTGACTTTTTACTATGAGATACATCTACTTACTTCTTTATCACAGGTATGTATATGCATGGATTTTCTATTTTACTAAATATATTTTACAAAATATAGCAAGTACCAACAAATACTTGTCGAATGAACTCTTTCCTGAAAGCTATGTGTTCCTGAAAGCCTCAAAAACTATCAAACTCTGGGAATAACATAATGAAATGCCTGTTCTCAGAAAACACTTTTGGAAGTAGATTAGACAAGGGCATGCTCAGAATCAGAAAGACATGTTACATACCGTTTCATAATTATGATGAAAAATCATGAAGAGCTGAATAAAAAATGACAGTGAGCATGGAGATGAAGTGGCCAAGAAGTGGAAACATGATAATGTGACTGATTTTATGAGACTGGAGGGAAGAAAAAAATGAAGCCCAGGATTTATCTGTCAGGTTTGCAGCTTGAGCCACATATTAGACGACAGTGTTGAGTCTTAAGATTAGTAACAACAAGAGGAAACATACGAGTCAATAGACATTGAATTTACTTTGGGATATATACTGGGAATAAATCTTTCATAATGATTCAGTAACACTTTGAAGGCAGACTTACATTTGTAGGAGGATTGGGGTTCATTGGGGTTCATAGGCTTAGGGAGTTTGTTTTTTAATTGTGTTCATTAGATACAGTTGATGAAAACATAATTTACAAATATTTCTTTCTTTCAAAATTTTATGAGTATATACACGTATATATTTATGGGGCACGTGAGATATGTTGATATATACATACAATGTGTAGTAAGCACATCAGGGTAAATGGGGTGTCCATCACCTCAAGCATTTATCATTTGTTTTGTGTTACAAACATTCCAGTTATATTCTTCCAGTATTTTTTAAATGTAAAATAAATTGTTGTTGACTGTAATCACCCTTTTGTGCTATCTTTTTTTGCTGTTTGTTTGAGACAGGGTCTCACTCTGTTGCCAAGGCTGGAGTGCATTGATGTGATCTCAATTCACTGCAGCATCTACTTCCGAGCTCAAGCAATCCTCCCACCTCAGTCTCCCAAGTAGTTGGGGCTATAGGCATCCACCACTATGCCCAGCTATTTGTGTTTATTTTTTGTAGAGACAAGGTCTCACCATATTGCCCAGGCTGGTCTCAAACTCATAGGCTCAAGTAATCCTCCCACCTTGGCCTTCCAAAGTGCTGGGATTATAGGTGTGAGCCCCACTCTGGGCTTGTGCAATCAAATTCTAGATTTTATTCATTCTATCTAACTATACTTTTGTACTCTACTGGGGAGTTTTAGAATATCTCACCTATTAAATAATGGTGATAATATAATAACTTATTAGGTAACAACACTTCTTACAGTGTAACTGACTTCTTCCAGTGACAGAATAAATGAAGTGAACTTCAAAATATTTCAATTATTCTGAAGTTGCCATGCTTATCTTTCTGAAGTTGTATTATGTAAAATGTTTCCTAAGTGTTTAGAAAACACTTACATTTTACATTTACAAAAATATAAAGTGCTTTCTAAGTGCCTAGAATAGTAAATTGTATTTCTTTCTTTCTTTGTTTTTTTTCCCCCCTGAGACTGAGTCTTGCTCTGTCGCCCAGGCTGGAGTGCAATGTTCCGATCTCGGCTCACTGCAACCTCTGCCTCCTGAGTTCAAACAATTCTCCTGCCTCAGCCTCTCGAGTAGCTGGGATTACAGGCACGCACCACCACACTCAGCTAACTTTTTGTATTTTTGGTAGAGATGCCGTTTCACCATGTTGGCCAGGCTGTCTCGAACTCCTGACTTTGTGATCCGCCTGCCTTGGCCTCCCAAAGTGCTGGGATTACAGGCATGAGCCACCTCGCCCGGCCAGTAAGTTGTATTTCTAGGGTTTCTTTGTGTGTACATTGTACACTCCCTCTTGATAACAGAATTCATGCCTTTGATTTCTTAATATCCACAATGATGTCTTGTATAAAAAGTATTTATTTTTAAAGTCTCATACCAAAAACTAAAGAAAATAGTATCTGCAGAAAGACTTTGAAGCTACAAAAAGGACTCCAAAAAGTTGGGTTTCCTTCTTATATATCAAACAAAATAAAACTCTTTTTCTAGTCTCCTAGGAAGTGAACTAGAGTAAGTCATTAACCTAAGATGTATGGCTTTAAAAATATTCAGAGATAGAAACTATGGTGCAATAGACAACAATGTTTAATAGATAAGGCTTAGAACTTCCTAAAACCATCATGGGAGAGAGAGAATTTTTGAATACCCCTTTGAAAGTAAGGCCCAGTTTCAGAGAACAATCCAACTACCTTTTAAATAGGAATTTAAAATATCAATATCTCAGTCATTGACTGATTTATCAGAAAAACTATAATTCTTAAGGTGAAAAGATGACTTTAAATCTGAAAACAGTATTTGTTAAATGTCGTAATTTAGAAAATGCCTAGTGTCAATTTCATTTTGACCAATACATTAATTTGTAGCTGTGTTAATATTAGATGGTAAAACCTCTTTCACTTTTGTTGTAACTCAGAGACTTAAAAAATTAGGATAGAAATCTTTAGTATTGCCACTGGGTAATATTCTCTTTGCTCTGATTGCTCCTAAATTTTAAAAATTACAATTTGAAAAAATTAATGTCCTAGTTGACTACACCTTAATATTAAGTGGTATAATTGAGGTAGGAAAGCTTTTGGACTTTGTAAGTGCTTAAGGGATTAATCTGATCAAATCCTGATCAGTAAGAGTTTATGATAAATAATTCAAAGTAAGTCAGAGTTACTATGATTCTGATACTTTACGCTGAAGTATTGAAAACCTAAAATTCTTATGTCTTTCAGATTCTCAGTTGGATCAAACGCAGGGGTTAATTTCAACTAACCAATACTATTCTCAGCACCATTTCACTTCTTCAGTGGAAAACACCTCAAGACCACTAAAGTTTCCAAAAAGGCATACGGAGCAGAACTTTTTATAAGGAAAGGTCTGAATTTATCTAAAATTCTTCCCACTGGGGTATAGAAACTAAGCCTATATTCCATTTATTTATTCTCCAAATTGTTATTCCAGTCTATGGACAAAGATATGTCAACATAAGTGCCTCCTGACTGGGTTTAGTTTAAGTCCATTTCTGTGCCTCAAGGTGGTTGATGGTTGGTTTATAGGCTGACAGAGTGCCAGGTTATTGTGAGAATCTCTAAGTTGTACTTAAGTCCCTTTTCTTTAAGGAAGAACTTGGAAGGCAGTAAAATATATCTCTCAGTGATACACAGAGTCCACAAAACAAATGACCTCTAATATTTTCTTAGTGAAAAAGACATACTTGAGGTTTGATATTGACAGTCTTGAAAAATAGCATGAAGAATAAATTAAGTTCAGCATACAATTAATGGTACGTCAGCAAAGACCTATAAGTGTATAATGATTTCTGTTAATCATTTGCTTTAAATGCACTTTATGACAAGCTAAATAATTCTACTGTAATACCATATCTATAAAAACACTGACCTTTGAATCAAATATTTTAAATACAATAAGAAAAAAACACCCAAAATTTCTTTTGTTTAAGAAAAAAAAGAAGATTTTATTCTGGTAGAGGCTTCAAGAAATAAACTAGAGGCCAGTTTGGTCACTAAATTAAGGTAACATTCTCTGGACGGTAAACTCTATCCACAGCTATAATCTATAAAACTCCTCTAGCAGTTTGAATATTACATAAATGGAATTTATAATCACTCCAGCAGACTCGCCTGCAGGATGAGGATCAGTTCAAAATCATTCAAAATTATATTCTCACTCGGGAAGCAGAAAGGGAGAGCACAGAAGCAACATTTTACTGTCTATTTGATTTTCCCAGAGTCAGAACTAACTACTGGAAAACATCCTTTAAAACATATCACATAGGACACAGTAGTGGAATGTTGGTAACTGGTAACTGTGTCAATTAATGAGAATTTATAGTCAAAATAGCATTGCCATAATTCTTCTCATTATCTCTTCCATTCTAATCCCTTGCTTGCCAATCTTTCTGAGTGCCATATCCAGATCTAGACAGCAATATTTTTAGTATATTCAGAGTTTCTGAATTCAGAATTGAATTCAGGCTGTCTAAAACCATTTCTTCTCACACATCGTCTGCTTCTTGTTTCTTCTGCCCCTTTTTTGTATGAATTTGGCTACACTGGCTGCACCACTGTCGGAAACAATCAAGTGCAACTATAGACACTAAAATAAGCATTAAAAACCAAAGACAATCAGATGGCTGTTTCCCCTAGAAATTGTCAATTGATCTAAATCTCAGGTAAGTACTGTGAAGAAACATTTGAGCCCAATGCAGTGGATCAGATTCAGGGCAGTGTGACATCATTTCATTTTATTTTTGAGTCATTAGATCCACCATTTAACCTGCAACATCTTCAAGGTCGCATCATAAATTTCCACATGTGATACAGATATACTTATGTTAATGACGGTCATTGTCTAACTGAATTGTTTATTTTTATTTCTCAGGGAAAGCAATGAAGGGTATTCTATTTGTATAAAGAGCGTTAAGCGATATTAGTCAGTAGCCCACCTATCTGCCTCTGAGTAGACTACGACCACAGAACAATCTCAGTTGTTTCAAAGTGAAGTTTTGTTTAAAAATAATGGTTCACATAATACAGTATTTAACTGCAAAGTGACTTGGCTTCACGTCTTTTTCCGTTTGTTTAAGAGAAACGTTCTTGCTGTGTTGTCCAGGTTGGTCTTGAACTGCTGGGCTCCTGGGCTCAAGTGATTCTCCTGCCTCAGCCTGAAAAATTGCTGGGATTGTGTCTGGAATTGGTGGGTTCTTCGTCTCACTGACTTCAAAAATGAAGCCGCGGACCCTCGTGGTGAGTGTTACAGCTCTTAAGGTGGCGCATCTGGAGTCTGTCCCTTCTGATGTTCAGATATGTTCGGAGTTTCTTCTTTCTGGTGGGTTCGTGGTCTCGCTGCCTCAGGAGTGAAGCTGCCTCAGGAGTGAAGCTGCCGACCTTCCCAGTGAGTGTTACAGCTCTTAAGGCAGCGCATCTAGAGTTGTTTGTTCCTCCCGGTGGGCTCGTGGTCTCGCTGGGCTCAGGAGTGAAGCTGCAGATCTTCGCGGTGAGTGTTACAGCTCATAAAAGCAGTGTGGACCCAAACAGTGAGCAGTAGTAAGATTTATTGCAAAGAGCAAAAGAACCAAACTTCCACAGTCTGGAAGGGGACCTGAGCGGGTTGCCAATGCTGGCTGGGGCAGCCTGCTTTTATTCTCTTATCTGGCCCCACCCACATCCTGCTGATTGGTAGAGCCGAGTGGCCTGTTTTGTCAGGGCACTGATTGGTGCGTTTACAACCCCTGAGCTAGATACAAAGGTTCTCCACGTCCCCATCAGATTAGTTAGATACAGAGTTTTGACACACAGGTTCTCCAAGGCCCCACCAGAGCAGCTAGATACAGAGTGTCAATTGGTGCATTCACAAACCTTGAGCTAAACACAGGGTGCTGATTGGTGTATTTACAATCCCTGAGCTAGATATAAAGACTCTCCACGTCCCCACCAGGCTCAGGAGCCCAGCTGGCTTCACCTAGTGGATCCCGCACCGGGGCTGCAGGTGGAGCTGCCTGCCAGTCCTGCGCCCTGCACTCGCATTCCTCAGCCCTTGGGTGGTCTATGGGACTGGGTGCCGTGGAGTAGGGGGTGGTGCTCGTCTGGGGAGGCTCAGGCCGCACAGGAGCCCATGGAGTGGGTGGGAGTCTCAGGCATGGCGGGCTGCAGGTCCCGAGCCCTGCCCCGCAGGAAGGCAGCTAAGGCTCAGTGAGAAATCGAGCCCAGCGCCGGTGGGCCGGCACTGCTGGGGGACTCAGTACATCCTCCGCAGCCACTGGCCCGGGTGCTAAGTCCCCCATTGCCCCGGGGCCAGCAGGGCTGGCTGGCTGCTCCGAGTGCGGGGCCCACCAAGCCCACGCCCACCTGGAACTCCAGCTGGCCCACAAGCGCCACACGCAGCCCCGGTTCCCGCTCGTGCCTCTCACTCCACACTTCCCTGCAAGCTGAGGGAGTGGGCTCCAGCCTTGGCCAGCCCAGAAAGGGGCTCCCACAGTGCAGTGGGGGGCTGAAGGGCTTCTCAAATGCCACCAAAGTGGGAGCCCAGGCAGGGGAGGTGCCAAGAGCAAGCGAGGGCTCTGAGGACTGCCAGCATGCTGTCACCTCTCAGGATTGCAGGCATGAACCATCATGCCCAGCCCATGTTTGTGCTAGTTGAGAAGATTACTAAAATCATTCATTAGATTACTGTAAAACAAAGTCTAAGGAAAAACTTTAACAACATAATAATGAAATAAAAGTAAGAATAAAAAAATTTCTCCCTTAAGTTTGTTGTTTCTTCTGCAAAATAGATCATTTGTTTTATGCCAAAATATATTGTTAAAGTTTTTTTGTAATTATAGCTTATTCTTAATAATATAGATAGAATTTTTTAGTTTATTTTTTAATTTAATATTTGTATTATTATACACAAACCCTTAAGTTTACCAGCTAACGCCTATTTCCAAGTCCTGGAAATCATCAAATCATTAGAAATAGCAAAGGATTTGGACACATTTTGCCTGATTCTGCAATCCTGTGATGATCTGTCATTGTTTTACCTGTACAGTCTTTAAAACCAGGTAAATAGCTTTCAGAAGTGTTTTTCAATGTAATTATTTGGGGAAATATAGTTACTATATAAAAGCAGAGTGTTTTATTTTCATTATTTTAATCATAATTTTATTTAAAATATTTTCCTTTTGTAACAAATTTAATTTCCTTTTGCTTATAACATGAAAGCCCTGTGGTCTGGAATTGGTCTTTCTCTTCTGTCTGGAGAGTAAGACAATTTTTGTCATGGGTGCTTGTTGCAGTAATGGTGAGATAAATCTTATGACCGTTTAAAAAACAGTATTATGTTTTCCCCAAATGTATTACTTTTAGCAAATGTATAGCTACCTGTTACTTTGACACAATTCAGCTCCGCAATTCTATTCATTGATATTTTATATACCAATAAGGAAAGCCTTGTTTTCTTTCTGTAATATCAATCAATAGCTTACATGCCATTTGAGATTTTTTTCTGTTTTGTACTACTGCTCAGAGGGAGTGCATAGTTTTAAAATTATGTTCAGGGACTTTAAGCTGACATTCCATAATGATATTGAATCTTGATGGATTGATATCATGTAAAACCTTGCTTTGCACAAAGTGTAGGCAAAATTGCACTATAAATATCATGACGTTGTGATGCATGAATTTATACTGAGGGGAAAATAGAGCTACCTGGCAAGCACTTTCATGCTAAATGATAGTGGATTGGAATTCATTATTATGATTATATTATTCTGTGTATTTATATTAAATCCACCACATTGATATATGTTATCTTACATGAGAAAGTGGTTATTTTAAACTTACTATGGATTAATGTATTTCTGTGCCATTAAATTATTTTAGTAATACTTTAGTAATACTTTCTGATCATAATCTTAAAAGGTTCATTACTTGTGAAAAAGTAGATACTTGAAAAATAAAATTTTTATATTATGGAAACTATAAAATCAAGTCTTATCTCAGTTTTAATCTTCAAATAAAAAACTTCACCACCTAAAATTTGGACAAGGGAGAGAAACACATATTATCTCTCTCTACATTTAATCTTTAATTTGCAAGATGATGTTACTCTTTTCTATTACCATTTATTGAAAAGTGGATGCTCTCAAGTTAATATATTATAGATTAGAAATAATATTTATTTAAATATCAGAAATAGGCCAGGCATGGTGGCTCACACATATAATCCCAACACTTTGGGAGACCAAGGTGGGAGGATTACTTGAGCCCAGGAGTTTGAGACCAGCCTGGCCAACATGGCAAGACTCCTTCTCTACAAAAATACAAAAAATTAGCCAGGCACAGTGTTGGGGGCCTGTAGTCCCAGCTGCTCAGGAGGCTGAGCAGGGAGGATTCCTTGAGCCCCAGGAGATTGAGGCTGCAGTGAGTTAGGATCATTCCACTGTAGTCCAGCCTAGGGGACAGAGTGAGATCCTGTCACACAAAAAAAGTAAATAAATAAATTTAAAAATTAGGTCGCTAATTTAAGTCGCTAGTAAGAGTATGAAAAATGACAGAATTAAATTCCCATTGTATTTTCTTCTCCAAATAAGAAGTACTGAATTCTGAATTGGCATAAGTGTATATTATTCTTTAGTCAGCATCTTTAAGGTCTGTTTTAGAGAATGAATAAACGTTTTTTACTATATTTTACTTGAGTAAATATTTCTTTAAATTAAACATCAAGGTACCAATACTATGTGGTCTCAGAATTAATTTCTTTAATTTATGAATTCATGTAGACAGCGTTTTAAAATCAAGTTCAGATGTTTTAAAAAATCTGCGTTTTCTTTACTAGCGGCTGTTAACATCAATAAAGAGAAAAATCATTTGAACATCAATTATTAATGTCTACTTATGATTTTTTTATTACTTAAACTAAGCTGCCACTAAAAAAATTGAGTAAGAAGGATGGGAAAATAGAATCAGTGGAAATATTTGTATTTAATATAGAGTATTTCTTATCCCTAAACATTTAAAATATAGAGAAAGCCTGTAAGAACACAGATACTATACATTTTTGCAGATAGTGCAAATTGCACACTGTCCAATTGCCTTTTTATGTTTGTTTCCTTTTCTATGTCTTTTTACTGATTATGTTTTAAAAGAGTAATACAAAACGAATTTCCAGCAGAGCTGGTTTACACATGCTACCTCTAAATAAGGATAGCATTTTTCCCAATCAAGTTGCTTTGTATTACCAAGAAAAGTAATATCATAAAAGAGAGAGATGTTACTCAAAGAGTACTCTCTATATATTCCAGAATATTTACATCATCAAAATAACCTGAGTTTAGAAAATAAAGCAGAAAGTTGGCAAATGGGAATTTAGTTTGTTTTAGGAATGCAAAGAAAACTGAGTAAATGAAAGTATGGAAGCCTTCACAGTACTAAAGCAGCTTAAAAGAAAGAAGTCCTGAATGCCTGTCGTTGTTCTTTTTTGATTGCTTTATTTTATTGTTCTACTGTTTGCCTTTTTAATTACCTGTTTATTGATGGTGGGTTGCAATAATTTGAGAGGTGTGGCACAAGTTATAACTAATAGATACAAGTATGTTCATATTAGGTTACTAAGTGATTAGCTTCGTTTTCAAATCAATTAAAGTAAATTTAGAGTTATTCTGGTAATAAGGCACTTAACATACACTTGCCATCTGGTGGCATTGCTTAGTGGGAAAAGAATGGAATAAATTACATGTTTTCTGTAACATCTATGACACAGCCTATAATCTGCAGAAGCTCATCTAGTTGTCACTCCTGTGAATGCCATTCCCTTGTGTCGCACATACAGACACCTATCACTGAATGTAAGCACTATGGTTTTAGGAGGCTATGCTAAGTTGAAATATATGTTTCACCAGTTATCTCCTGAGTACAGTGATTCTAATGATTTCATTTTGTTTTTTCCTTCACATTATGTTCCTCAATTTTAAATTTATCCTTTTTTTTCTGCAGACTGTCTATTTAGCACCCCTTATAAATAAAGCTTTTAAGATATTAAGGAGCTTAATAATAGGTGAATCAGTTGGACGAATGTAGGAAAAAATAGTACTTAATCTAAAAATGCATTAATAAGAAATTGAGGTTTTTATAAGATTGTCAAGTAAATTATGGCACGAATTTTGTACTATAGAAGAAAGATGATTCTGTGTCTGTTTTTAAACATCAATATTTCTGCTAAGGGGAAGGGGCCTTTCAGACAACAAGTATTAAGGAGGCCACAATACACTGTAAAAGTGCATGTGAAAATTTATGCTGTTATACGTCAAAGTAAGCACTTGGATTAAGGAATAATTAGAAAACATTATGGAACAGTTAAGTAATAAGAAAATAATACGGGTTGAAATTATTATGGTCTGTAGGCAGAGGGTACATGCTTTATTTTTTCAGCTGTAATTATTATAGCAATTATAATTTAATTCATCACCACCCATGTACTAACTGTGTATTTTAATTATTCAGTAGGGAGGTACTGTAAACTGTGTTTATGACTCTGGTCTACTCGAGGATCAGCCCCATGATATTTTTCTCCATAAAACTTACCAAATATAATATTCTTTTTTACAAAATTATTTATTGCTTATCTTTATGAGTTTGTATAAATGTTATCAGTCAGAGTATTCTAGGTTATATTGCAGTAACGAGGTGTCTCAGTATAATTATTTCTTTTCACACTACAAGTGAGAAAATGACAGCAGGTTAATCTCCTTACTTAAAAGGCCTAGATTAAAGAGGGCTCTGTGTCAAAATGCAATCCTTAAATAAACAAAGTAGGAAATAACAGAATGTGATAAGCTGTGTTCTGATTCTTAACATTTCTGTCCCCAAGTTAGATATTTTGCTCCCATTAATATTTTCTTGGCCAACGAAAATCACATTACCAAAAATAACTTCTACAGGTGGCCATTGTAGTACAATGCACCATACACCTCTGAGGTAAGATCTAGAAATATTTGATGAACAGCACTGATTGATTTCATAATTGTAATCCAAAAGTATGGGAAGTAAGATACTTGAAATAAATTGAGAATGTATCCAATTACATGATTAATGCTTTGAGGTAAGTCATTCCATGTCATTCTAATGTCATAGTCCCATGCCAGAGCATTTAAACCTAACACTCTTGGGATAGAGCTTGAATGTTTGTAGTTTTTGTAAGGTCACCTCATGATTCTAAGGTACATTCCTGATTGAAAACCACAGTTGTAAAAATGCTTCTTGGTAACACATTTGTCTCTGTCAAATACATTCATTTAAATCATTATTGCATGTCTGCTATGTTATAGCATGTCATAGCATGCTATGTTATAGCATGTCTGCTATGTTTCTGCAAATTAGTAGTTAATAAACTAAGATTTTCTAGGAGATGAATCCATGTTTTAGGTACAATACTAAGTACCTAAAACAAGAAGTGTTTAGTCAACTGTCTAAACACATAATGTAAATCATCTAATTATTTTTCAAAAGATGTAACACTATTAAGAGGAGATAATAAGAAATATAGTTGTCATTGTATATTGCTTAACATTTTGTCATATTTAGTAAGGCAAGCTTTAACCAGACATAAGAATCAACATAATATTTCAGCCAGTTCCAATCAGTTAAATTAGTGCTAATTTGGTTGAAGTTTATTTAGTAAAAAGTAATACATTCTAAATTCTAACATATTTAATACAATCTTTTTTTATTTTTCAACATAAAGTTATAATAAAGATTTTTAGAAAAATTTTTATGACTTATAACATATTTATAGTACATTCTTGCATTGTCAATCTTTACAAAATTGATCTTTCTTATTAGAATAGTCTATGTTTTAAATCTGGTCATAGAAGTTTTCAAGCTAATTCTCTCTCAAACAAGTTAAAAGGTGCCAAATTACACATTCTTTGAAAATGAGCCAATTTAAAGTCCTTGTTTCAGCCCCAAATTGTCATGATATTAATGTTGAAATGGCTTGCTGATTTTCATTACTAGCACCTGAGACAATTTTAAGAAAAAATAATTTGGAATAAATAATGGTATAACATTTTCCAAGCAATAGTTTGTAGATTCAAAAGAACGTCAATCCATTTATTCTTCTAATTTTCCCAACACTATACCACACTAAGTGAAATAATCAAACTCATCTAATTTTTACCCTTTTCTTACAGACAAGATTTCTACAGAATACTAAGGCTTTTCTCTATCATTAATAGAAAACAAATACTCAATTGAACACTTGACTATTCTCTTCAGAATTATATATGAAAGTAATTCATTTTTAATTAATTTTTAAATTATTAATAATTATCAATTGTTAATTAAATTCTGTTTTTTAAAAAGACACCTACAAAAAATATTTGGAATTTAATATCAGTGAGTGAATTTTTCTACTGACACCAAATTATAAGTCACCGAGAAGAAATAGAAATTTAAAATACTTAGCAAAGAAAAATTACTACAATATATTCTAGATAACTAGAGTCACAAAGGTGCATTATGACCTTTAAATTTTAAAAAAATTATATAAAATTTTATTTTTCTTTAGAACCTATTTTATATTTATCTGGGAAAAAATGGTGCATGAATTACAAGAAACAAACAACTCAAAATGTATAAAATATTGCAGATGTATTCAAACCTTCAAGCAGATATTCAGAACTAAAATTATGTTAAATTATCTTATTTTGCAAGTATATTATTTAAAACAATGTTAGTCTAAATTCATGTAACAGGAAAAGAATAAAACTATTTTGGGTAACCAAATTCTTAGCAAGTAAATAAACTTTGGTCTCTCAAAAAAGATTTCTAAATTTATTATTTAGAGTCACAATCACCATCATAACTTGCTTACATGAAGAGGGAACAGTAATATGTTTCCATAAATAAGGGGTTGCTCTTACTGGACACCCTTCCTTAGAGAATTAACACACAGTGATTAAGAACAAACAGTTGTTATAACAAAGACCAGGTTTACAGAATTAGTTTGGCCATTTATTGGAGTGCGTTTCTTGTGGTTAAATATTAAGCTACTCGGTCTTTAAATACCCTCACCAATGAACTTTGAGTAACGATACAAATATTTGAAGGTTGATAGAAAATTAAATTAGATAATGTGTGAATATATCTTAACACAGTATCTGCAAATGAGTGAATGCCATATAGATTTAGCTATTATATTCATTATTTTTACCATTTAATCACTTTTATTTTTTTCATAGAAAAATAACTCTCCAATAAGGTTACTATTGATTAGTATTAAGTAGGGAAATACATAGAGATGTTTTATTTTTAAAATTGCATGTGTGTGGTAGAGGAAAGAGACATCCAATAACATTAAAAGTGCACAGCCAGGTTAGACACATAAACATTAAAAATTCTCTAAGAAATAATAAAATTTAAATTTTTGGTTTTAATGACATTGAAAGAGAATGTCCTATTGTGAACAGTGAGAGGTTTGCAAAAACACTACAAAAGTTAATAAAGAGCAGTTTGTTTGCTTATTTTAGATTTAATAATTTTATAGAACACAAATTGCTCCTTCAAAATTATGAAAATTTAAAATCCACATGTTTTAAAGGGTGGCAAGAGTTTGAGCAATTCGGATAGCCCTATTTGACTTATTTACCTCATCTGTCTAGGAATAATATTAGTTCTTATGCTACAGTATTATTTTCACAGTGAGATAAGCCACACATGAACCCATAACACAGTGCCTGGCTGTGAACACTCAGTAAGTTAATAATTAACAATTAACACTCAATAATTAAAACCTAATAATGAAAACTCAATAAATTACTATCTTTATATTTAAAGCTGTTTAATGAAAGTATTTCTCTAACTTTGTAATTTCACGCTTTTTTTTTCTTAAAAAATGTAAGGCTTTAAAATGTTTTATAGTATGCTTCAACCTTTACTCCTAACAATCAATCTCATAAATTCAGGTGGGTAAGTTCCATTTGAGCAAGCTTACTTCTATTGAGATTTGAAAAGTATATGTGACCTGTAAATGTTATCAGAAACAGTAACTCTATTTGACAAATGGCCTAATCACTCCACTCTAGATCAACACATTTTTCTTGTTATAATAAAATGTCTCTTCTAAGAGTGCATATGGATTTTAACTTTCCTGAATTTCTATAAATTTTTAGCTACTTTATAATACAGCTTTGTCCTGGAAAACTGAAATGTTCCATGAGGTAAATGCTCACCCTATTTTGCTGCATGCCACACAAAAGTCACTTTCAAGGTTCAGAGAATAACTATTCTTTGGCTCTTTTTTTGACAATTGTCAGTTTTTGAAAATGCACAAACCTTCCTTCTCATTGAAAGGAAACATGGAACATTCAATATCAGGGGTCAGCTCAACATTAGGAGGCTATTTAAAAGCATGGCCACATTTCTCCTGGTATAAGTCACTTGCCAATTTAGAAGGAAAACCAGGCTGTACCAGAACTTTAAATGTCCAAAAGTTTCTTTAATCATATTATAGATTTTCACAGTGGTGTAACTTTAATTTTTATAATGTAAGTTAAGTTAAAAATAAACTACAATTTTACTGCATTAAATTATCACTTCTAACAAAGATGTGCTCTTGCAGCTGATAATGATTCTCTTTAATCTCATTTATTTCTCAGGTTCCTTAAACTTTAGGCCAGGTGGCGGCTCATGCCTATAATCCTAACACTGTGTCAGGCAAAGGCAGGAGGATTGCTTGAGCCCAGGAGTTTAAGACCAACCGGGGCAACATAGTGAGACCCTGCCTTTGCAAAAATAGATGTAAAAAATTAAAAAAAAAAAAAGCTAGGCATGGTGGCATGCGCCCATAGTCTCAGCTACTCAAGAGGCTGAGGCGGGAGGATCCCTTGAGCTCAGGAGTTCAAGGCTGCAGTGAGCTATGATCATTCCACTACACTCCAGCCTGAGTGACAGAGTGAAACCCTGTCATTATTTAACAAAAAATAAAGCAAAAAAAACAAAAAACAAAAAACAAAAAAAAAAACAACCTTTACATTTAAAATTTATCTTCCCTGATAAGTTATTCTTCACAGCTTGGCCTGAATTCTGATCCTTTCTTTATCTGTGATAACTCCAGTATTACTCTGCAAATGCTAAAGTTGATTGATTGGTGTGCAATTACATTTCAGGTAGTTTTAAGTTGTTCACTTTTAAAATATTTTGATGTAAGATATTAATATAAATATTGCCTTGTGCACAAAATGTGAAGTAATGCAAGTCTTTAAGATGTTTTTAAGGTCTCAAGATCACATACTTTCAAAGCTGTGGTTGAAATGACTTATAAACTACATTTAAACTACTGACACATGCATGACAGACCCACTTTAAAGAAAAGCTTGTAAAGAAAACCAGTCACTCTTCAACAGCAATAGGTGCAACAAGCTGTTATTTACATGGTGCTAATATTTTACATGCATTATAATTTTATAATTTAAACTAATTTAAGATGGTATTAAATTGATTTCCAATTTTCAAACGTGGGCATGTTAGTGTTAGTACTTTACAATCTCTAACTTTAATACAGAATAGCATGATTATATGCTATGTAAAAGCCTTAAACGTTCCATCTTGTGCTGCTAAGTTTGGAGTAGGGACTCAGATATATTGGTGGAAAACTGAAAAATAAAAAGTAAACTGAAAACTCTTACAAAATTCAGCCTGCAAATACTGTATTGAAGGGCAAGAGAAAGGAAATGATATTTGCCACATGGTTGTAAGATCAAAGCTGCTATAATGTATCACTAAGTCAAGGAGACCTATGTTCTAAGGTAGAGTGTATACTTGACAATTTAAGAGGAGGTGACAATAAAACAAAATGTTCTATATCAGGTTTTATTGTGCTTAAAAACTATTTGCAAAAGCAAAATCACGTTACCAGACACAACAAATACATCCTCCCTACTTTACATGTATCCTTATGGGAAATATTACTCCTGAATCATAATCCAAGATTTTCAGGACAATATTTCTTACATACCTTCTTATGGATTTTTCTGTACTTGTTAGATGGAACCCTGTGAATTTAGGGATAAGGTCTTATCTGTCCTTGTTTTCCCAGCACTGAACAAAGCACCAGCAAAACAGTAAGGGCTCAAAAGTAAATGAACAAATGAATGAATGAAAGATTATTATCTGTTATTTCTCCTAGTTCATAGCAAGAACCTTCGCAGTAACCAAAATTTTTGTTTAATAATTTTACTTATTGGAATGTAACAAAATAAATAATTCAAAAATAAAGCCACAAAAAGGATCATAATGTTCTTATATTGCGCTAACTCAAGAATATTATATTGAGCTAACTCAAGAACAGTATATGGCTAAGTCAATTATAAGATGCATATAAACATATAAATAAAAAATAAAATTTTATACTCATACTAAAGCTGATAATTATGAGAAAATTACAAATAATATGAAAATATTATTTTATTTTGATGTTAAGTAAAAACAGTAAGAAATAAAATATTGGATCCTAATTTTGTAATCATTGTTCTTTTTTAAAATAAGCATAATATTACCAAAATGTATTTAAATAATTTATTCTGAAATTCAACACTGGAATAGTATTTTATTTTATTTTATTTTATGCTGTTAATTTTCTTTCTGTGTTGTTTGGTATGAAGCAGCGAGTTAAGTTTTGCTCTGAGCCCTGTAGGTTTTTGTGTTGTGTTTATTGGGGGAAAGAGACCTTAACAACAAAAATTACAGTAACCAAAATGAAACCAATTTCCACAACAGAAAACTGGCAATGATGACTTCAGTAATAGAGACTTGAAATACTATACTTTTCATTTTAATGAAAAAGGTGTTAATGAACTTCATTTTGTTTGTATAAAACCAATAATAATTACAGTAATAATTACAGTGATTACAAAATTCTAGCCTTGCTTGTAATCAGTTTGTAATCAGTTTCTACTGAGGATTTTTTTTTATGTCCATAGCCATTGTTCTTAAAGGTTTTAAAATAATTAACTGTCTTTTTTGATACCTTAAAGAATAATGTACCACAATATACTGTTTAGTGAAGGAATTAGAAATATTAAAAATGCCTTCTCACACCTAGACCATCTACAAATAAAAACATTTAAAGGAAGAGTAGGATTTTTACACCATTTAGAGACTTCTTAGCACAAGGGAAAAAGACAAATTGTTCTGGCTTCAGAGGGCCATGAGGTTGAGCCCTGTCCTGCAACTTACTTGCTGTGTTTCTGAAAGTATTTTTCTACCCTAAGCCAAAGTATCCTGACCTAAGAACTGAAGATAGCAACTTACCCCACATAAGGGTAATTATAAAAATTATAACTGTATGTATTAGTTCATTTTCATGCTGCCGATAAAGACATACCTGAGATTGGGCAATTTACAACAGAAAGAGGTTTAATTGACTCACGGTTCCATGTGGCTGGGCAGGCCTCACAATCATGGTGGAAGGTGAAAGGCACATCTCACATGGTGACAGACAAGAGAAGAGAGCTTGTGCAGGGAAACTCCCCTTTATAAAACCATCAGATCTCATGAGACTTATTCACTATCAGGAGAATAGCACGGGAAAGACCCACCCCCATGATTCAATTACCTCCCACCAGGTCTCTCCCACAACACATGGGAATTGTGGGAGCTACAATTCAAGATGAGATTTGGGTGGGGACACAGCCAAACCATATCACTGTACAATACTTCAAATCTTGAATATAGTGTTATTGACTGGTGGTGGTGTATTTTATAATGAATAATGGGAGAAAGAAAAAAATTGTATTTAAATATATAGAACTGCCAAAGCGGGAATATATTTGGTGAGAATAAAAGTAGCCAGGTTTTGACTGAATTATGTTGAATTTACTACATATGGGTAGCAGGGTTCCTAATCATAGTGGTGTCTGCACAATAGGTAATATGTACTGAAAGTATGATTCCCCTCACATCTTGGGCAGCTAAGTAGGACTTAAGTAAGGGACGGATGGATGACTCTGGCCAGAGAAGCCATGCTTATATTAATAACATGATTTTCTGGGTGTACCATGATATAAAAGAAAATATTGGAAAGACCGGTAGAGGTGACTTAGTGGCAAAAATTTGGTGTGAAGTACTAGAGAATTTGTCGTGAAGCTATGCAACTGTTGGGGTATTTTACAGAAAGGTGCTCCTGGAGACTATGAAGAAATATATCATCAGTGATACATTATGTATTGGAAATTTTGTATAATTTTTATAGCACTATTTGTATGAGAGAAGAAGGTAATGGTGGTATAGGGGTATTTAGATGGAAAGAGACACTTAAATTCTATCCAAGTGGCATGACAGGCAGTAGAGTATCCTTCTGGCCATCAAGATGAAAGGGGTTATATTTTCCTATTGTTAGACTCTCACTTAGACAATTTCTATCAAAAATATGTAAAAATGCGAACATTACTTTATAAATTTTTATATATAACAACATTGAAATGTTTTTGACAAAAATCTGAAAGTCTTGGACTATTATTCAACCTTATCTGAATAACTTTGTAGTTATGAATGGAAACATAAACCCACAAACATGCTTAGAGTCATTTATTTATGAAATTGAAATCTTTCTATTAAGATTACTCATTTATTAAAGTTATTTATTCTCCTAAGTATAAACACTGCATTACCATTTGATTAAACAAGGTTGAACATACCTCTAAAAGAATCTACATGACACAACTCCAAGGGATATGCAATGCTTCACAATATGTTTTCTAAATCTTCAGTCAATTTAATTTGTTTAGAGAAATAATACAAAGTCAATTGGTTTTATGTTGGATTTTAGCTTTAAAATTGATTTTAGAGTGATGAGGAGGAAGGTAAAGCTGAAAATCAGGTGCCCAATGTACATTCTTTAATCTTCTAATCCCACAGCATGAAGAAATGCTGGATATTCATTGTGAGGTATATTTTTTCTAGGTTAGAGTCTAAATCTATCTCCATCATAAATCGTCATATTCATCTTTTCACTGGGACATAAAGTTGCCTTACCTTTTCTTCTTTCTGTCCTAGTTATTCCCATTGTATTTATTTTTGTCCTATATTTTTCAACAATTTCTTGACTTGGTCTTTCCAGCAATTTCTAGATCTTATAGAGTTGGATTCAGATTATTTACACAAAAAATAAAATAACAACCTTCTGGAGATTCTATTTTCTTGCATTCATTTCATGCATCTAAATCAAGTAAGATCTAGCCCCTCAATAAATCTCAATACCCCAAAAGAGTATGCAATCTCTAATTATACTGTCTCTGAATTGATCATTTCTTGTCTGCTACTTGTATCAATATCCTTCATGCTAATGAATATTTTTTAATTGCTCTCAATCAATCTTTAGCATCAGATAGCATTAATAAGTGTCTACAAGTCAAGAAATATCACCTTAAATGAAATATTTGAAACTACTCAAATTTACTTGGCACATGCTTGGTGGCATATATTTGGATGTTCATGAAGACTACATGCTGTGCATATGTAAAATTTATTATCAAAACTGGAATACACATGCTGTGAGTGTACTTTTTTCATACGTACCTCAGAAAAGAAATATTTGCAAGAATTATCCTCCTGTATCACATTGCCAAACTGAAACTACTTAATATACGCTACTATGAAGTTATTTTTAACAATTTTCTTCTAGATTTGTTCAGATACATATTTTGTTACAAACTTTTGTGATGTGGGGACTCTGCCAAAGTAAAAATCCACACTGAAAGACATTTAAGGATCAATATTTTAAATTAATGTTCAAAAACTCGAATACTCAAATAAATTTTGAAATCATTACATAAATTTGACCTGTTTTTTCTTCATTCTTCATTAAGACCTTCTTATAAATTGGTTATTTTAAACTTATAATATTACCATATTAAGTTGTTTTCATGCTATAATCATGAATGAGCAAAATCTTCAATATACATTTGCTCCAGATCAAGTGAGTTTATAAAATTAAGATTTTATAAAATCTTAAATGTTAGTATGAAAAAACGACTAGTTTACACTAAATTTTCAACTTTATTTTGTTTGACTAAATTTGTCTAATTAGATAATTATGTTTTAATAGCTAACTGTTGCAGGACACTCAACTTGCTTTATCTTTTACTTAGGTGCAGAGCAGTTAAAGAAAAAATATAAAACTAGGATACCAATTGTGGGATTTACAGGTTTTCTCTTTATCTATCATGAATAGCTCAGATTAACTGATGCACAATTGACATTGTTGACAACTGGCAGGAATGAATGATTCTGCTAACCTTTGTTATTAAATTTTGTTGCCTGAGCTGGGAGCAACAGGTGGTTTTATGTGAGTGCACATCTACACAGTGAGTCTTTTGTTGGTATCTTAACATCAAATGTATAAAAATTGCCTTTTAATTGTTATTTATTTTTATTTTTTTGGAGATGGAGTCTCACTCCATCGCCCAGACTGGAGTGCAATGGCGCAATCTCAGCTCACTGCAACCTCCACCTCCCGGATTCAAGCAATTCTCCTGCTTCAGCCTTCTTTCTGAGTAGCTGGCATTACAGGTGCCTGCCACCACGGCCAGCTAGTTTTTGTATGTTTAGTAAAGACGAGATTTCACCATGTTGGACAGGCTGGTCTCAAACTACTGACCTCAGGTGATCCACCCACCTCAGCCTACCAAAGTGTTGGGATTACTGGTGTGAGCCACCGCGCCTGGCCAAACATTGGCCTTTTTAAGCATGGCATGACTCTCAGAAGTCATTTAATTCCTTATGTTGTTGTGATTCAGAAGGTCTTCCATATAATGTATTTAGCATAATATCTGACATATAGTAAGCACTCTGTACTTTAGCTTTCTAAAAATCTTTAGTTTTCATTTATTATTTATAAATAATTTATGGCATAAGATTGAATTGTTCATATGTTTTCCCATTATAATATCTACCTTACCTCTTTTGCTCTTATAGTATAAAGTACACATGGTTATTTTCTCCTAAGCCGTCTTCTCTGAGGAACAGTTTCAATTTTTTTTTCAGGTATCCACATAGTTCTTACATGCTCTGGGGAAAGAAAATGCCAGTCCTCACTTTAGAAGTGGCTAACAGGTCGAAAAGCATTCTCCCTGTGTCAGATTCTGGGAGAGGGTACATTTAAAAATGTGGTATTTTTGCTTTCATCTCAAATTTGATGTGGCTTCACACTTTGGTCTGTCTACCATAAAATATAGACTAAAATTTTTTGTCTACCTAAAAGCAATCATACAATTTTTTTTGTCTACTAAAAACAAAGTTTAGTAAACATCAGTTATAATAACAAATTAAAAGCGAAAAGGAGGCAATTATTTTTTTAAAAAAGCAACATCTGTATACAGGTGCATCTTGTATTCTGGTTACATTGCAAATATACAAATCTATATTAATATATAGACCCGTGTTAATCATTCTGAATTTTATGATACATAGAAATCTACTGCAAAGCTAGAAAGAATGTTGCCCCAGATACTCATGTTACACGTAATGCAGTGATTAAGCAAAATTATTACTATTAATTATTTAGGTTAAATTCAGGAGATCAATATTTCATAACACCATAGAAATATAAAATATCTTGAAAGTGGTCTTTCTTTAGAATTTTCTAGAAAAGAAAAAGAGAGAATGGGCTAGTGTGATGAATTACTTTATATAAATTCCACAATCAATCGAACTATGCTTGTTAGTGTATATGGGAATAAAACCAAACTGAGTCACTGTACACATAAGAAAAACAATTACATGGATTTACTCTCCCACCTTTCATGGGAGAAAAATTTATAAAATTTTAATGTAAATTTGACAAATCACAAATTTAAATGAGAAAAAAGATCCCAGTGAGCAAATTTTTGCTCTTGTTCTTTTGCAAAAGATTATACTATTATGAATGAGAATAAATAGCCTACATTAATAGCATATTTGTGCATGAACATGCCTATTTGCATTGAGTATTTGTTGATCCTTGCATATTAATGTTTGTTTTTATTTATAATTATGTAGTTGTCTATGCTACAAATTACACCTTTGTTAGTACCCACATAATGAAATATTGAAACTGAATTTATGTTTAAAACATTTTCATAAACATAAAAATAATTCCTATATAAAGCAGCAATGTATTAATCATATATATTATGTATTCATTATATGAATAAGCTCAGGTGCTCATATTCTTATTATAAGTTAAAAAAACATTTTTTCAAAAGTTGGTGAATAATAATTTGCAACTTTATGTGGCAAAATTTCTATGTTCAATTCTGTTTCAATATTATCTTTTTTTCCTCCGCCTTTTCCAGCAATGTTTCATCATAAAGCTTGGATATATCTATGAATCAGATTTAGAAATATTAATAACATCAACTACAGAAATAAATTTTTTATTAATTGATTCAGGTACTGTATATTTTCTTTACATTCATTACCTTTTAAAAAAAATTTCAGAATTCTATGAATTAGTTACCATTTTTTAACTCCTTAATGAACATGAGGAAAATGAGGCTTAGGAAGATTAGTAGCTTGCCTGAAATCACCTAAATAATGAGTAGAATAAATGAAATGGAAGTCAATTTCATTTGGAGGAAGTCAGCCTCCAAAGAACATCTAAATTATACCCATATATTTTTCTTAATTTTGTAGAATATAGAAATAAAAAATCAAGTAGATACAGAAAGCTTATTTGAGTGAAATATTTATAAACAGTTATTAACATTTTTTGAAAACACAGCTGAACTATTCTAAATTACTCTATATCTGTTTTTATTTTAAAAAAGAATGCTGGCTGGGTGCTGTGACTCATGCCTGTAATACCAGCACTTTGGGAGGCTGAGGCGGGTGGATCTCTTGAGGTCAGGAGTTCAAGACCAGCCTCGCCAACATGGTGAAACCCTGTCTCTAATAAAAATACAAAAATTAGCTGGGTGTAGTGGTGCGTGCCTGTAATCCTAGCTACTTGGGAGGCTGAGACAGGAGATTCACTTGAACCCAGGAGGCAGAGGTTGCAGTGGCAGGAGCTGAGATCGTGCCACTGCATTCCAGCCTGGGAGAGCAGCAACACTCTGTCTCAAAAGAAAAATAGAAAGAATGCTTACTCTTACTCTTATTTTCTGTAAGTATTTGATGACTGGGAATGTAATAAACAGAAGGGAAACATGACTTAGAATCATAAAACAAAATTAATTACCTCAACAGCTTCTGATCAAACATCAAATTTCAATAGTTTACTGGGATGTTAAAGACCTACCTTTCTATCGTAAGCCATTATTGTCAAGAAAATATAAATTATGAATTTTCACCTCATGCTAAAACTAACATATCACATCTCTAAACATAGGCTAACTTGTTTTTTTTAATGAAATATATTGACTTTTAAAATATATTCACCATGGAAATGTAGGTATTTTACACTTAAGATGTCTTCTTTAATTCCCTTTTTAAAAAGACAGATCAGCTTCGCTTACAAGAAGTAGAAGAGGAAATTACTAGAAGTTTGTGGTCTATAAATTAATAAACATTCTCGGACCAAAAAGGTACCAAAAATTTGGAGGCAAAACTAAAATTATAATGTCATACTAAAAATGCAGTAATATACTTCTTCCTTTTATGCATTCATTTATTTTACAAATATTTAGTGTATGCATACTAATTGTTTATTACTGACTTAGTTGGGTTGAAAAACTAGTTTAACCCATTTTGGCTTCAAGTAACTGACAGTCAAATAGGGAAAGCAAATAGTAATGCCTATAATAACAACAGCAAAAACACAAAACAATACAAAATTTAAATTCACCGTGTTAAGTACTAGGAACCTGATCAAAATAAACATGTAAGAAAAAAGATGGATTCATTAATTGCAACTGATAGTGTTTGTGGATATACGTTTCTATGTGAATTTTCAGGGAAGAGAGGTGAGTCATAGAACTATTTCCCAGAACAGAAATGCCCACCTTGTGTTTTGTAATGATGATAGGCTTTCTAGGATAACAAATGGCTAGCCAATGGCTTTCCAACGTTTTTGAAAATAAGCTAAAGAAAAACTATAGGCTCGAAACAAGCATGGTAGAGCAACTACAAACAATTATAATGAAGAAAGTTTATGCAATACTTTAAAGAATAAGGAAATAAAGAACAAATATCATTTATATAGCTAGTCAGGGGATAAAATATAATACAGTTGATACAATATCAACTTGAAACATATATTCCTTATTCACTCACTATTTACAAACTAAAAATTTAACAATTTAATCACCTGAAAATCATTGTTTCTTCCAGGAATTCCTTAGATCCAGCGTGCAACCCGTTAGCATTATTTTTGTGATTCCCCAGGGATCTATCCTTAGGCACATTACATAATATATGAAAGAAAAAACTGCAAAAGATGATAACCACAGAAAATATGTTAGTATAATTTTTATTAAGTATGGCATTTTGTGGGTGGTGAACTCAGTTATCACCTTGAAAAAAGGGTCTTCATAAAGTTTTCGCTGAAAATATGACTTAAAATAACATTTAAATGGAAATTCAAATGATGGCTTTTCTACTTGCTTGCTCAGAAATTTTATTAAAAGTATTTAAGATCACAGGCTAAAATGTAGCCTAACCTCAGCTACATTTTTTTAAGGAAAAGAGAGCAACACATTTTATTCTAAACCTGTCTCCCATGCATATTTTATTTTTCTTTTGACAGTTAAACTGCACATTTTATAACCTTCATCCAGATAAGTGTTCTTTTCCCTCTCTTTCATGCCTCCCACTGATAAATAAACACAACCATCTACAATGGTTTAATAAGATAATTAGGCTCTGTTTCACTGGGTACTAAAGCCATTTGAACACTTGTGTCACCAGCATGCACTGTTAAAGATTCTGTCAAAATGAATTAAGTGTTGCATTACTTTTCTAAAAGTTTATCCCTGCTTGCTTGGAGGAGCACATGGAGACCAATTTATGAAATTAGAAAAGGGATCTCTGCACACAGGCTGCTCTTTATGATATTTCAGAGGATTTTGGTATTGCTTTCGTTGGTATTGATAATTCAAATGAAATGTGTTTCTATCTTTCCCTTTTCAAATGAACCTTTTTGCTCTTATTATAGCATCTTTCCAGTTGCTTAGCATTGTTAGTATTAGATTGTATCTGCTTCAATGCATTTTATTTACAACCATCTAATCATACTAGAAAATGAGTATAGTGAAGCTTACATAAATGATGAAAATAAAACATGAAACCTTTACAATAGACTGCCTTTGCAGCATGTTTTACAAAACCCACAAGAACAAAAAAAAGAAACATAATACAGTTTCTGATCAATGACAAAAAGCTCTTAAACAGATAATTGTATCATGCATCAAAATCTGTTATCGTTTTAAAAATGAAAATACACGCCCAAAAATATTAAGCTTCTTTCCAGGAAGTAATTTTCTTTCACAGATTATCATAACAAATACTGAAGAAGTGTGCACTGGCCTTGAAAATTTACATTCATCCTTTCTTATGATTATTTAATGTACTGCTCATAAGCAAACTTTAATAAGAGGCTTTCAGTAGAAACTTATCTACTGTCCTGTGAATTTCTTAAGCACTAATGGTCTAAAACATCATGTTTTATGCACATAATGGGTTGTCTGTAATAAAGTTTTAACTCTAAAAGTCATCTGTTTCCTGCTATGTACTAAATGTACTAAGAGGATATATTTTAAACTATTTCTATTGCTCTATACTGTGGCCTTTGGTGTATGATATTCTCATGCCTGATCTTTTCACTTTAGAAATACCTATCACACCTGCTGTATACAATTTGTTTTCAAAATGTAATGTGCTTGGTTTTCACCTTTTACTATATTTCCTTGCTCACATATTATTATTTTACTTTAGCATTATCTTTGAATTGCGCACTCTCCTTTAACAATGCTGCTATTTATTTTTGTGGTGCTGTTTGAAATAAACTGTGCTGTTGGTCTGCTTTGTCAGCTACTGTTCATCCAGGTCGTTTTCATTCAATGAGTTTACCTTTTACTAAAAGATGGCACAAACTTCTAATGTCTTGACTACTTCAGACTTTCAAAAACTGGGTTTTTCATTATTCTCTTGAATTTCCTATCCTGGTTTTAATCTATTTTTTATAAATTCTAGATCCATGCAACTCAACACAGGAAGTGAAACAAATAAAACTTACTCCAAGAACTACCACTGGAAATGTTATTTTGTTTTGAAACTTACTGTAAGTGATAAATACAACAGAATTCCAACTAACTAACCAATGTCATTCTTGGAAGAAGTGATTTTCTTTTTCAGTAGTGGCAGAGTTCACTTTCTTTGATAAAGTATTTAGTAAAAGTAAACAGGCCAAGAACAACTTGAACAGGTAAATTTTAAGGGGTTTTTTCAAACTTGACATTCTATTTTCTGAAGTTAATAATTTTATAGTAAATCTCAAAAATAAAATAAATATTTGGTGAGCAAAGAAAAAGATTTTTAAACATATTCAATATTATTTCACAGTTTTGACACTGTTGTAAACAGTACCTAATTTTTTCATGCCAATTGTTTATTGCTAGCACATAGAAATACAACAGATTTTTATATAGATTCTATATTCAACATGTCTAACCTTATTTATACATGTCTTTAGATTCCATGTGATATTCCGCACAGAGAGTCATAAGTGGATACAGACAGTTTTACTTCTTTCTTTCTAATGTGGATGTAGTTCATTTATTTTTTGCTTGATGACATTGGCAAGAATCTTCAATACAATTGTTTTAGTTATTATTTTGACAGATTTGACTTTTTATATTCCTTCTAAAACATGTGAGTGGTTTAGATATTGCAATTAGATGTTAGAATATTCCATATTTGTCTGGACTTACTATTACCCATGAATTTTATACATTCAGATAATTACTTGTTGTTTGTTAATTTCTGTTTCTTTCAGTTTAAAGAAATTTCTTTAGCATTTATTGTAAGATAACTCTGGTGGTGACAAAATTCTTCAGCTCTTGTACCTCTGTGAAAGTCTTTATTTCTCTCATGTTAGAAGGAGAATTTTGCTGGATATAAAATTCTAGGAGGAAAGTTTTTTTCTTCCTTCCCTTCAGCACTCTGAATATGTCATTCTACTAGCTCCCAGCCTGTAATGTTTCTGCTGATAAGTCAGATATTCATTCCAGTCTTCACAGTCCTGGCTTGTTTGTCCCCATTCTTCTTGAGAGGGCATTCCAAGAAATTCAAGGGGGATTGACTGTTGTGACCTAAGCCTGCAGTCACTGCATTCATTTCAGCACTAGGGTGCACTGTAAGCTCAGGAATGCTGTGACTCTTGCAGACGCCTAGATACACAGCCCTGGTGGAGTTAAGGAAGAGAATTCCCTTTGCTAGGCAAAGTCTCTCATTCTCTTTCGTCTTTTTCCCTCAGAAGAAGGCTTTCTCTGCTCTAGGCTGCCTGGAATTAAAGAAGGGTTGATGCAGGCAACTCCCATGGCCACCACAACTGTCATCATGCTTGGTCTTACCTGAAGACTATGGCTTTCCAGAAAAGCACAGTAATGGGGCTCACCCAAGGCTCATGGTTGCTACTGCCTGGTTGCTGCTGATGTTTATTCAAGGTCCAAAACCACCACCATCAGATGGTGAATCTTGCTGAGACTGGGTCCATCTCATCAGAGCAGCAGATTCCCTTCTGGCCAAGGGTATATCTAGAAATGCTATCAGGAGCAAAGGCCTAGAATCAATGGCTTTAATAATCTGTCTGAAGCTTTATTTTTCTGTGACTGAACTTGGACCCAAATTATAAGACAAAGTCCTCTGTATTCTTCCCTGTCCTTCTACCAAGTGGAAGGAGTGTCTCCCCAAGTTGCATTGCATGGATTTGCGGGGGCGGGGGGGGGGGTGACACAAGCACTCTCGTGGCCTTTACAGCTGGTGTTGCACTGATTCACATCCCAAATCCATTGCTTCGGAGACCAGCACAGCACCAGGGCTTGCCCAGTGACTGCAATCCTTGTGGCCTGACCACCACTCAAATTTATTTGGGGACCTAGGTAACTTTAATCAGCTGGCTGTGATTTGGGGACCTAGGTAACTTTAATCAGCTGGCTGTGATTCCAGCCTGGACTGACGGAGGATTCCCCTCCACCCCAGCACTGATCTAAATGTCTGTAGACACTGGCAAAATTCTGTCCTGTGTTTTATTTTGCTGCCACGGGGCAGCACTGAATTCCAATACAAAGTCTCACACTCACTTTGCTCTCCCTGCAAAGCACACAGATTCTCTTTCTGCCCTGCACTGCCTGGGATTAGGAGAGATGTGGTGTAGGCAATGCCAAATTGTCTTCCCTACCCTCTTCAGTGTGTCTTTCCTTGTTGTTATGTTAAAACAACGTGTCAGATGCATGCTAACCAGAGTGATTCCATCTTGAATAGAGGCTGGATAATGCCAAATCTACTGGATTACATTCCAAGAGGGTTAGGCATTGTTGGTCATAATATGTTTATGGTTGAGCAAATTAGTTAGTAATGCTAACCAACTAAAGACCCAGAACTTGTGGAAATGTTCCAATATTTCAAGAACAAAGAGATTTTTAGTTGAATAAGTTTTGCTTTAAATAGTACAGTCATCATTATTGCTGAAATCAATAGTTACATAGGAAAATAACAGTACTAATAGCCTGTCACAAGCTGATCACAAGCTTTTATAATAAAGTACACTATTCATAGCCATGATATCCTATATAAGCAAGCATTATGTTTAAGGTAGGGGTGTTTCTCTTTTTGCTTTATGAAGATGCTGTATTCTGTGACAGAGTAGTTTCTAATAAACTGTATTAACTTTACTATATTCCGAGACTTGCCCTGAATTATTTCTCACGTGAGATCCAAGAACCCACACTTGGAGCCTGAGACAAGAGTCCTTTTCCAGTAACAAAGATACTGTGATTGCTTCCCTGATATTTTGGTTCTTATGAAGGTGCTCTCTTTTATCTGATGTTCCTATAGGGGACAATTACTGCAGCACTCTTTGGCCATTTTGCTCCACCCTCATTATCTTCTTGTTTTTGTCACAATTTGCTCTTCCTAGTCTAGTTTTTTATGTTGGAAACTTATCTAATTTAAGAACTTTATATATTTCTAATAACCTAATTTAGTGCCATAAATTTATATTTAATTGATTCTTTACCTGAATGCCACAAATTTTGATGTGTTCTTTGTTTTTGTTTTCTACAAGATATGCTTAATTTCCTGTATAAGACTTCCTCTTTGAAATGTTATTTTAAAATATGTTATTTCCTCAAATTGTGTGAATTTTCTAAATATTTTTCTCTCATCAATATCTACCTTAATTTTATCATATTCTAGGAATATATTTTATATAATTTCCATTCTGTTACATTTTCAAGGTCTGTTTTGCAGCTCAGAAGGTGTTCTATGTTCTGTATATGCATTGTTCCTGTGTCTTTGAAAGCAATATGTTCTACATTTATCAGGTGTAGTGTTTTAAAAAAAATCAGTTAGGTCCAGTTGGTTGATAGGGTTACGTAGGTGTTTTATATCATTTCTGATTTTCTAGTTGCTCTATTTTTATTGATTATTTGTTCTATTAGTGCCTATTTGTTCTTTTAATTATGTGGGGAAAATAATTGAAATGTAAACTATGAATGTGATTTGTTTATTTCTCACTGTAGTTCTTTCAGTGTTTGCTTTATATTAGGTGCATGAATATTTAGGATTGATATGATTTCTTCAAAAATTGACCTTTTTATTATTATGAAATGTCCTTCACTGTGACTGTATTTCTTATTGTCAAGTGTACTGTGACTAACATTAATAAAACTACTCTAGCTTGGTTTTGATTAAACCTTGCATGGTATATTTTATTCTTTCATTTTGGATAACCATCTTTTTGACATGTTTCTATTTGTATAGATATAGATAGATACATCTGTATATAGTCACTTTAGTTTCTCCCTAGCTGCAGTATTTACTAGCTATGATACTTCTTAAATTTAATATTAATTTTAATTAGCAAATAATAATTGTATATATTTATGAGATACAATGTGATGTTTTGATATAGGTATATATTGTGGAATGATCAAATTAGGCTAATTAACATATTTATCATCTGAAATACTTATCATTTTTTGTGGCAAGGACATTCAAATTCTTTCTTTTAGCTGTTTTAAAATATATAATTCCTTATTACTAAATATAGTCACCATGCTGTGCAAGACATCAACAGAATTGATTACTCCTGTCTAACTGAAAATTCTACTGTTTCACCAAAATCTCCCCTTTCTCCATCCATTCCCTCCCTCAGCTTCTGGTAATTTTCATTCTACTCTCAACTTCTTGAGTTAAATTCTTTTGAGGTTCCAGATATAAGTGAAATCATGTAGTATTTTTTATTTTGTGCCTGGCTTACCTCACTTAGCATAATGTCCTCTAGATTTATCCAGGTCACAAGTGATAGACTGGATTTTCAAGCCTGAATAGGATTCCATTGTGTATAAACACCACATTTCAAAAATCTACTTATCCCTTGATGGGCAATTCAATTGTTTCCATATTTTGGCTATTGTAAAGAGTGCTGCAATGACCATGGGACACAGATATCTCTTTGATATATGTATTTTAATTCCTTTAGATATATATCCAGAAGTGGAATGGCTAGATCATATAGTAATTCTCTTCTTAATTTTTTGAGGACCCTCCATACTATTTTCTAAAATGAGTGTACTAATTTACAATATCACCAACAGTCAGCATGGGCTACCTTTTTCCACATCCTCACCAACTTTTGTTATCTTTCATCCTTTTGATAATAGTAAATCTAACAGTTACAGGTAAGTTTTTAAATTTGATCCACCATATTAACAGAAAAAAAGTGCAGTAAGCGTATATGATCATCTCAACAGATGCAGAAAAAAAATTTGATTAAAAACACCCAAATCCTTTCATGATAACAGCTTCCCATAAATTAAGTATAGAAGGTCTAGTTCTGAACACAATAAAGGCCATATATGACAAGCTTCCAGCGAACATTATATTAAACAGTAAAAAGTTGAAGACTTTTCCCCTAAGTTCAAGGACAACACAAGGATGCCTACTTTCAACACTTTTTTTCAGCATAGTTCAAGAAGACCTAGACAGAACAATTAGACAAGAAAAAATAAAATAAAAATCATCCAAATAAGAAAGGAAGATGTGAAATTACTTGTTTGCTGATGATATCATTTTATACACAGAAAACCAAAATTCATCACCAAACAACTATTAGAACTGATAAACTAATTCAGTAAAGTTTCAGGATACAATATCAACTTACAAAAATCCGTAGCATTTCTATACATTAACAACAAACTATCTGAAAAAGAAATTAAGAAAATAACCCCATTTTGATACTACTTACGATAGTGTCAAACACCACTTAGGAATACATTTAATGAAGGTGAAAAATCTATAAACAGGAAACTATAAAACATGAATAAAAGAAATTGAAGATTACACAAATAAATGGAAATATACATTGTATCTATGAATTGATAAAATTAATATTGTTCAAATGTCCCATACTACCAAAATTAAATCACAGAATCAATGTAATCATTATTAAAATTCCAATGTCATTCTTCAAATAAATTTTTTAAAAACCCTAAAATTTATATGGAACCACAAAGGACCCTGAATAGCCAAAGAAATCTTGAGCAAAGAGAACAAAGCTGAAGGTACCACACTAATAGATTTCAAAATATATTACAAAGCCATAATAATCAAAACAGCATTATGCTGACATCAAAATAAACAGGTTGACCATTGGGATAAGAAAAAGAGCTTAGAAATTCACCCACACACCTGTAATCAATTTATTTTTGACAAAGATGGCAAGAACTGATAGTGGAAAAGAGACAGTGTCTTCAGTAAATAATGTTGGGAAACTGGAAATCCACATGCAGAATTAAAAAGAACTTTTATGTCACCCTAATATAAGAATCTGCTCAAAATGGATTAAAGTCTTAAACAAAAGTCATTGAATTATACTTAAAGTGTGATTCTTGTTTACATACACAGTTGGGTCTTGCGTTTTTATTCAATTTAATAAACTCCTTTTTTAATTAGTTTTTTGTAAATTTCACATTTACTGTAATTATTGATGTGGTGAATTAAAATCTACCTACTTGCTAACTGTTTTTTATTAGTTTCTTATTATCTTTCATTTTTCCTCTTTTTCTGTAGTGGATATAGGTGAAAGAAGTCCAGGTGGTTTCCTGCTCCTCTCATAGGGGCTGATATTCTGCTTCACCGGTCTTGCACCAGGAAAAATGCTTTCTCATGACTCTTCCCAGTATTTTTTTTGTGAACTCCAGGTGTTCTTGCCCGTTAAACCTTACAAGAAAGTGCAAACTTGCCCCCAGGGCCTCCATACAATTTCTCTCACTTAATCTATCTAAATCATCTTCTTGTTGTCCAGCTAAAACCGCCCTAGGTAATTAAGCGCTTGCAGTCCTGTTGCTTTGGAGGTGCTTCCCTTTCTTTAAATTGTGGGATAGTTGATTGCCCTGTAAACTCAGCTCTCTGATGTACCCAAAGAAAGATAGGAACTTTCTGCTGGGCGCGGTGGCTCACGCCTGTAATCCCAGCACTTTAGAAGGCCGAGGCGGGCTAATCACGAAGTCACGAGATGGAGACCACCCTGGCCAACATGGCAAAACTCCGTCTCTACTAAAAATACAAAAATTAGCTGGGCATGGTGGCCTGCGCCTGTAGTCCCAGCTACTCGGGAGGCTGAGGCAGGAGAATCGGTTAAACCCGGGAGGCGGAGGTTGCAGTGATCTGAGATCACGCCACTGTCCTCCAGCTTGGGCAACAGAGCCAGACTCTGTCTCAAAAAAAAAAAAAAAAAAGGAACTTTCAGTTTGTCTGCCTTTTTTCTTTTAATAATACTATTAAAATTCGTTTTATGTTTCTTCTTTCCAATCCAAAATGCTTAATTTATAATTTTTCATTTCATTCAATGCTCAAAAAATATTCAGAAAAAAATACATGCTGTATTTCCAAATAGTGTTGTGAATTTTACCTGGTAAGGGAAGGTATCTGTAGCATTTTTATTGTTTTTATACTTATTGCTCTTCTGAGATTTTTAAGGTCTGTAAATGTAACTGAGAGGAAAAAAGCCATGAAAAACACCTAGAGAAAGGGTATGGGTGATGGGAAAATGCAGCTGCTGTTGGCTATAATTTATATGATTACTATTGTTCCTCATTTTAATGTCTTTCCAATTTGTTACATTTACTCCTTATTGTGTATGAACGAAGCAGAGGGAGTTCATTAACTCATTGTCTATCTTTGTATTCAATGTCTTTTCCCCTTCTGAAATACGTTTATTTAGTTAATTGTGGCTATGCCATTCAATATTTGCAATTATGTGCCTCCAGTATATATAGAACATATTTTCCAAAGCAGAATTCACACAACTGGGAGCTTTCTTTCATCAATCTCTATAGAAAAAAAAAAAGACGAGAACAAACACTTATTTCAGGAACAATACCTGCATTCTTTGCCAAGAAAGATACAATTATTTAAGTGACTTTATTCTTTGTCTTCTAATAAACTTGCCTGTTAAGATAATATATTGAACAAACTTTTCTTTATGTTATTCATTCAATTTAAGTGCATATCTTGTGCATATTGAATTCTGACAGTTTTTGAAAAAATATGGCTCCGTACCATGATAATTAACTTTAAATTTGGTGTGATATAGTAACAGTGATGAATTAATCTTATTTATCATGGGAACTTATAATAATAAAATTAAAGTAGTATATAAGTATGTTGGTTTCCATTACTTTTTTCTGTGAGGTTCCGATAAATACATTAATTGAATTTGATGGTTTTCAGTTTTATTATTAACCTATCTCCATTAATAATTTCTTGGGAGGTAAATGGTTGCCATGGGCAAGAACACCAGGCTTAGAGTATGCAGGCATGAAGTATATAACCAACTCTTCTCTTCATTAATGATGTGGCTTAGGGGGGCAGTATAAAGTACGCAGAAGTATAATGTATGTAAGTATGAAGTAAAAAGTATTAAGGTGAGGATAGGCTTATTTAAGCAATTATCTTATAGCAGCCTTGATTTCTAATCTCCCATATTCTCATTAACATATTTATAAAACCACCCATATTCAAATTATTATGGTCTCCCAATACCCAAGAATACATGATAATGATCAATGGCAATAATCTGTGAAAAAATTCAAAGTAATGCAAAACCAATCAAACTATTAGGTGGCCTAATTGTGCTATGGTAAATAGAGCAAAACCACTCAATGTAGAAATTGAGAATAAACTACTTTACCATTCTAAACTATATGTTTCCCAATTCAAAAATAAATACATATACACACACTATTGATATAGGCTAACCATTCTAACTATGAGGTGGCATAGCTAAGGTCTTATTGTCACACTGTAAAGCTGCTATTTCTATATTGAGCCAGAAATTGCTTATAAGCAAGGTGGGAAAAGCTTAAGGAGGACAGAGGATGGGGTAAGGATTTGAGGAGGACACTAAAAATGGGATATTGCATTTTAACTGAGGATTTTCATAAAACATAAATCACTGAAAGTATGAGAAAACTGTGGGAAAGTAAAAATTGGGGTGGCCATATTTTCTTATAACTATTACGAGCTTTTAAGTTGAGAAGAAATCATAAAATCAATGAATTCGGGGGCTGTTTTTTGAAAAAAATTAATAAAATAGACTGTTAGACTAATAAAGATGAAAATAAAGAATAATCAAATAAGCACAATAAAAAATGATAAAGGGGATATCACCACTGTCCTCACAGAAATAAAAACAACCATCAGAGAATACTATAAACACCTCTATGCAGATAAACTAGAAAAATCTAAAAAAAATGGGCAAATTCCTAGACACAAACATCCCCCCAAGCCTGAAACAGGAAGAAAGTGAATCCCAGAATAAACCAATAAAGAATGTTGAAAGTTAGGCAGTAATATCCTACCAACGAAAAAATGCCCAATGCCAGACAGATTCACAGCTGAATTCTACTAGAGGTAGGAAAAAGAGCTGACACCATTTCTACTGAAAATATTCAAAACAATTGAAAAGGAGGGACTCCTTCCTAACTCATTCTATGAGATCAGCATCATCCTGATACCAAAACCTGGCAGAGATACAATAAATAAATAAATAAGAAAACTTCAGGCCAATATCCTTGATAAACACTGATTTTATTTTATTCTGGCTATCATCTTCTGTATTTTTTTTATTATGATTCTTAGCTTCTTTTAATTGGGTTACAACATGCCCTTTTCTTCAGTGAAGTTCATTATTACCCACCTTCTGAAGCCTACTTCTGTTAGTCAGCCATCTCAGCCTCAGCTCAGTTTAGTGCCCTTGCTGGGGAGGTGTTGCTATCATTTAAGGAGCAGAGGCACTCTGGCTTTTTGAGTTTTCAGCATTTTTGTGTTGATTCTTTCTTATCTTTGTAGTCTTATCTACCTTCAATTTTTGAGGTTGCTGACCTTTGAACGAGGTTTCTGTGGGGTCTTTTTTTCTCAGTTGTTGTTGTTTTCCATTTGTTTGTTTTTTCACAGTCAGGCCACTTTACCATAGGGCTGCTGCAGTTCTCTGGGGATTTGCTCCAGACTCCAGTTGCCTCAGTTTCTCCCATACCTGGAGGTACCACGAATGAAGGTTTCAGAACAGCAAAGATGTCAACCAGCTCCTTCCTCTGGAAGCTTTGTCCCAGAAGGGGACTGACCTGTTGCTGGCCCACATGCACATGTAGGAGATGGCTGGAGACCTCTGTTGGGAGGTCTCACTCAGTTAGAAGGAACAGGATCAGAAACTGTCCTAAAGAAGCAGTCTGGCTGCTTTTTGGTAGAGCAGGTGTGCTGCATTGGTGGGGACCCTTTCTCATCTGGACTACCTGTATTCTCCAAAGCCAGCAGGCTGGAGTGGCTGAGTTGACCAAACCACAGACTTGGTGGTTGCCCCTGGGAAATTGGATCCATCAAAGGTGGACTTCAACCTGCTGCCATTGGCTAGCTGAATTCCAAGCCAGTGGGTCTTAAATTGTGAGGCACTGTGGAAGTGGGGCCCACAGAACAATGCTGCTTGGCTTCCTGGATTCGGCCCCATTCCTAGAAATATGTATAGACAGATTCCCCATCTTGCCAGGCATCCCAGGATCAGAGTGTGTGAAGCTCCTGGGTCTCTGTGTGCCTGAGTGGCTGCTCTGCTTATACTCCACATTGCTTCACATATCAGACTCAAGGCCCAGATGGTGTGGGCTCACAAGGGGATCTCCTGATCCATGAGTTTCAGAGATGCATGGAAGAAGCATGGTTTTCCAGGCAGGGTTGGACAATCACTCACCAGTTCCCTCGGCTGGGGGTGGGGCTTCCTTTGGCTCCATGCCACTCCAGGGTGGGCCATCACCCCTCCAACGCTGGCTTTTTTTTTTCATTCTCTGTGTGTTGTGTTGTTTGCCTAGTCAGTCACAAGTGAAAACCTGGATATTTCAGTTGAAGATGCTGAGTTCATTCATCCCTTTTCATTCCTGTCTGTGGGTGCCGTGCACTGCAGCTGCTTCTAATCGGCCATCTTGGGCCAATCTCCAATTCATTTTAAAATAGGCAAAACTTACTAACTGTCAGGAGCAATGGCCTGAATTAAAAATAAAGAATATTAAGATTAAATATCAGTAAAATGTTATTTTTATTTATTAGATGTGTCAAGAAATATGTAAGTTTTAAAATAGCACTATTGTATCAGCTTCTTGTAAGGGCAATATTTTTCTGCACTCTAGGTTAAATTTGATAGAGTGTTAAGGCCTGGCAATGTGACATTTAGCAAGAGTTAGAAGAAGTTCATACTATCTATCTCACTGATGTTACCTTTGCTAATATAGCCTAAGAAAAGTATCAACGGAAAATACAAGTGTACAAAACTAATACTAAAATCTTATAGTAATTTGGCTCAGGCAGGTAGGGTTGAGAATAAAATTTGTATTGTAATTAAGTTATTATCAGCATGTACAGGAACTGTAATAAGAAAATAGTGTTATTTAAATATTTAAACAAGAATACAAGCTTTAGAGATGGCAGTATCCTGAATAGGTTTTGCTTAGTCTGTGTCTCAGTTACCTTATCTCTAAAATGGTAATGATTACATGTGTAATTGTTTTAAAGCTAGTAGTACTCTTAAAATAACAAATAGTATAAATAATGTGCCAGTCATAAAATATGGTGTGGTTAAATAATTACATTTGATTTAATAAATATAGATATAGTATACATATAATAATGTAAATTATAGCTGTCTAAAAGTATTCAATATCATGAGAATACATTGATATTTAGGAAACAAGCAATTCCTAAAATTTTAACTGTATTATTATCTTTTATAAAAATATATGCATGATAGAGAATGAAATATTAAAAATGAATACCTATGGGTGTTTGGGCAATAGGTGTTTCTATTTATTTTAATTTTGTTCAATTTGATTTATACAACTTCTATAATGTTCACATGTCAGAATTATATTAAGAAAATTAATAATATGTAATTGTATAACCCACATGCCAGTGATAATAATAATAATACCCACCTTTAAAGTTTATTATGAGGATTAAGTATGATAATGCATGTAGGTTTTTTTAGCTTCACAGATATTCAATAAATTGTATTACCCGTTATTTGGAACTTTGTTGCTTACAGCTCTAAAATAAAAATGGACAAGACAGCCGCAGTGCAGACTTAATCTTGAAATCTGGACAACGTGAAGCTCAACTTTTTTACACAAGGGTTGATCTTCTAATTAAAACATAAATAACATGACTTAAGCAACTCAGCAAACTATCTACAAACAATAGCTCACTGTTTTGCCTAAAATGAATTTAAACTGACATTTATGAGGTGAGCACATATCCAATCATAAAGTTACGTCTCATTTTAACCTCATTTGTTAAAAGAAAATACCAGAAAGTAGACCCTTTTGAGATTTTTAACATGTGAAGAGTATATGATATCTTTATGCTATAACTCTGACCACACCAGTTATGTCCTTTGATATCTGCTACATTCTTCTTTCAGGAAAATTCAATGTTTTCCAGTTTTTTGTAATCCAATTATCTTCTGTGCAGAATGAAGTCACAATAAGTATTGTTGACTCATTGGCTTACAATAGACTAAAGCAGGACAATAAAATCAGGCAAGTGTTTGATTTGGACATTTTAGAGATTCCTAAAATTGCACAAGAAGATGCTCTGTGTCAATTTTTGCCTAAAGGCTCAAGTAATAGAGAATTCAGATCAAATATCAGTGTGCATGATATAATTCTATTTCTTCTGGAAACTCTTTATTTACACAATAAATTTAATGACCAAGTAATTGTGGTAATAAAAATAAAAACAATATATCTAAATACTTAAAAATACTATTTTTCTAAAAAAGCTGTTCTGAGAGCTCTACTCATGAAAAATTACTCAAAATTCTACCCAGTTTTTCAAAATCATTTTTATAGTTTTTGAATTGTATTGCTTGTGAAATTTAATAAGTATTGATTTCTAAACACTGAATGAATGAGATAACCCAATTTGTTTTAAACAGCTAACTTCTTATTAATATTTTATAGTTAATTGGTAGAGTTTAAATGATTGCACTAAGAAATAGGAGCCAAGTGTAAGTATTTAAATAAAAATGCATGTTTTTAAAAATATATATACTGATGAAGAATAAAATAAGGGTATAGTAACACTTTATTAATTAGTGCTATTCCAGGGTACACATGGTTTAAAATAATGTAGCCAGAAATTGGAATAATATTAGGTGCATTTCAATTTCATTTCAATTAGACTAGTTAAAAGTAAAGCCAGGCCAGGCACAGTGGCTCCCACCTGTAATCCCAGCACTTTGGGAGGCTGAGGTGGGCGGATCATGAGGTCAGGAGATCGAGACCATCCTGGCCAACATGGTGAACCCGTGTCTCTACTGAACACACAAAAATTAGCCAGGCATGGTGACAAGCACCTGTAGTCCCAGCTACTCGGGAGGCTGAGGCAGGAGAATCACTTGAACACGGGAGACGAAGGTTGCAGTGAGCCAAGATGGTGCCACTGTACTCTAGCCTGGTGACAGAGTGAGGCTCTGTCTCAAAAAAAAAAAAAGTAAAAAGTAAAACCAAAAAATTTATTCCATTATCCTACATTATACAGTCTATAAAATAAAATTTGGCCAGTTCAGTTAAGGATGAGGGTAATATTCTAAAACTTGTTCAACAACTTAGCACATTAGTTTATAGTGAAAGTAAAGCAATTATTTTGGCTAGTTGGACAAGTCTCCGCATATTTTAAAACAATAATCCTAATATTAACATATTGTGGCATATTCACAATGTATCTTGTGTATGAATTTTGATTAAATTTGACTGGAATAATGATTTACATAAAGCAAACATTTTAAAAATGAAGTCAATGTAAGGCCAAACTTTTGGCCTAAACCGTTAAGCTGTTTTATTCTTTTATTTTCCTTTTATTGGATACATAATTTATAACTATGACAAATCAATGCTACTTACAAAGGTATAAAATTAAAAGTTAGAGCTAGCAATGAAGGTGATGCTGTCTTTAGTTTCACCAAAACTTTAATTACTTGAACAAAATATGCTTGTTCAAACTCAAAATCATTATTTTCAGAAACCTTTACTAACTACTCAGAATCATAAGATATGTAAGCAACACTAACAAGAAATTTTACTTTCCCTACAGTGGACGTAGGTTGACATTACATATGCAAAGCGTCTTTCTGTCTTACGTGTATTTTAACTCTATAAGCTCTTTCATTATTGTCTAAGGAAGAAGAAATATATTAGTGCTTTTCTGTTAACTCAATAATATCTGGATATCAGAGTACAATGGATTCCTAATCAGGTAGTGGAGATTATTAAGTGGAGTTTGTAAGGCACACACACACACACACACACACACACACACACACACATCACTAAATAAATTTGGCTAATTCATGCAGTTTTCTTATTTCTCTTTTCAATCTAATCAAATACATCACTTTCTGATATGTATCAATTTATATATTAGATATTATTACAACTTAATTTATTTCATACTTTAGATTTATAACAGATATAAATAAAAGCTCGAATAATTCTTTACTTTGGTCCAATGAATCACCATTCTACCTTTCTTAGGCTATGCCAGTTTCACTGGGAATTATCATTGTAAACAATGAAATGCTAAACTTGTTTATTTTTATCTAAACAGATAAAAGTTATCTGAATTATTATTTATAGATCGTTTATTTTAGGTAGCATCATAAATAATATCCTGAAAGGGAAGGTCTTAAAAACAAATTAATGAAATTAAGCAAGAGAAAAGTGAAAGTTGGTGAATGTTCACTATAGAAAAATGACTTAAAACTATAAGAGATAAATTCAATTATTTGCTTTTTCTTGGGGCTTGTGGGATAAAATAGACTAATAGAGATCATTATGCTTGCTTTTTCAAGGACAGGAAACACTATTCAGATAACTCTGTATTTTTTTATGTTTTGCATCAATGTAAAAAACAGCTTCAAATCCCCTTATCCCTCATCATTTCTGGACTTGGTCTCCCATTCATGACTTATGCTTTGGCTAAATAATTGTACAGACTTTAGTTAGGTGTCTATTGCTTTCCAGGTTCTGTAGTAAGCATAGACCAAGAACGAAAATAGAAGAGTGCTTGCTCTCACAGATCTTAGATTTTAGTAGAGAAAACAGGCATTAGTTAAATAATCATACACATACATTCACAATTAAAATTGAATTAAGTGACCTAAAAAAGAAAAAGATTCTGTGAGCTAAAACAATAACAAAAACAAACAAACAAACAAAAATGGACCCAGCCTGGGAAACAGGAATAGAGAAGGTAATTTCACTCTGAATAGGTGAACCACACAATCTCATGAAAGATAGAATATAAGCAAAGATTATTTCATGCAAATGGACAAGTAGGTTAAAAGGTTATCTCATTAAGAAAGAATGAGATACACATTAGGAACAGAAGAAAGCCAAGGTGATGATAACCAAAATGAGGAAACTGATGAGAGATGAGGATGTAGAGTTAAGTAGGACTCGTGGGAATGTTACGAGATCCTTGGGGTGTGGCTTCAACAGCTGGAAACCTCTATGGCCAGTGGTGCCTTTGCCCAAGTTTTTCTTGGGCCCACTGGGCCTATTCCGCCTAGCAGGCTGTGCTTGGCTCATGCTACTGGCCTGGATCCCATGCCTGCCAAGGGCAGGTGAAACAGTGAGAGCTGTGTGGACAAGCATGGAGACCAGCTACTGCACATAGCCAGGCACACTGGCTACAGTGGGGCAGGCAACTCCAGGTGCAGGCATGAGTGCCAGCTCCCTGTGAGGCTGCAGTTGGACCAGGCATCCTTCAAGCAGGTTCCACACTGGCACTGGGGAATTCGGTAACACCTGAAAGTTTGGAGACACAAGAAATTTCAGTGCCTCAAAAAGGGCCTCACAGCCCTGGCTCAGGGAGCTCCTAGGTCTGAGCTCCCTGAAGGGCTGCAGCTTTTCTCTCCTTCTCTCTTCTCTTCTTCTCAACCATAACCTGGCAAGCAAGGGGCATATCTTGGTCCTGTTTGTGTTACAGCTCTTTCAGCCCCGCCATTCAGTGGGTCCCAGGTTCTTGTCCCACATCCAGAAAGAATGAGGTATGTGGACAAACGGAGAGTGAGTAAGGTGAAGAGGAGCTTTACTGAGGGATAGAATAGCTCAGAGGAGACCCACAGTGGGTAGTTTCTCTCCATAGGCAGGTCATCCTGATGAGTGTTCAGCTCTCAGTAGAGAGGGGAACCTGGAGTGGGTAGCTCTTCTCTGTAAGCAGGTTATCCCTCATTTCTCCAAGTCTGGCGGAATCCGGGGTTTTTATGGGCTTCAGAGGGGAGGAACTGCATGCTGATTGGTTCATGGGTGGCCATGGGTGGGGATCAAAAAAGCACCATAAATTTCCATTCTGGTCTGTTAGCCTGGCCCCAGGCTTCAGGCCATCCCTGATTTGAAGGTGGAACTTCATTAGGGGCCTGCCCTTTTTCTCTTAGGAGCCTGCCTGCCTCCTGCCATCATTGCCCAGGCTGTTTGTACTAAAGGGCACCTGCAGGCCCGTGCCAAACTGCCCTCAACCCTACTTGGCTTCCTTCCGATGCCGTCAGCACCCAAAGTCCAGAAGGAACTGAAGCAGCACAGGAGCTGACGTATCAGCCATGCCCTGAGCATGCACACCTGACCAGATTGCAAGAGCATCCAGGTTTGGCCTCAACTTTACTCTGAGTTTAGAGTGGGCACTGGAAGCAAGAAGAAGCCAGGCAAGGGACGCAAGCACTTCTCAGCCTGCTGGGGCAGGAGAGGCTTCTTTGGACCCTGAGAGTGCAGAGATGCCTGGGTCCGCAGGTACAGAGGTACAGCTTGAGTGACTGCAGTGGCACCTAGGAGGGCACAGTTACTTTGCTTATGTACTAAGAAGACTGTTAGATATTAAGCTGATGGTGTGACATGATTAAATTTGCGTTTTTTTTTTTTTTGACAGAGTCTTGCTCTGTTGACCAGGCTAGAGTGCAGTGGCACAATCTTGGCTCACTGCAACCTTCGCCTTCTAGGTTCAAGCAATTATTTTGCCTCAGCCTTCCAAGTAACTGTGATTACAGGTGCACGCTACCATGCTCATGTAACTTTTGTATTTTTAGTAGAGATAGGGTTTCACCATGTTGACTAGGCTGGTCTCGAACTCCTGAACTAGTAATATGCACACCTCGGCCTTCCAAAGTGCTGGAATTACAGGCATGAGCCACTGCGCCCAGCCACATTTGCTGGTTTTTAATAGTAAATTCTGGTTATCAAATGAAGAATAGATTGGAGAGAATCAGATAGGTTGGGGCCATTGTAATGATCCAGTGAGACACGGTGTTAGCTTAAGCCAGAAGGTAAAGCTGTAGATGATGTGTGAAATATTCAAATGAGATTTATGAAGTAAAATCAACGGAATTTTGTCATAGATTGGATAGGGAAGTAAGAAAGTGAAAGGAGTCAACAATATTTTCTAAGTGCCTAGTGTAAGAAATTGGATGGATTTTAGTATCATTCTTTCAGATAGAATACCCTAAATGCACAACAGATTATGTGTAATATAGTGCATGCTTGTGTGTGTGTGCGTGCGTGTGTGTGTGTGTGTGTAGAAAATGACTTCAACTTTTAGATATGATGAATATGAGGTTATTTTGACATGTCCAAGGGAAGATGTAGAATGGGCAAAGAAATATATGAATCTGGAGAGTTGGAGCCATAAATTTGGCAGTATTTAGATATATATATGTGTGTGAGATATATATATATGTAGTATATATATGTTTGTGATATATATGTTATACATGTGATAGTATATATAGTATATATGGGATATGATATATAGTATATATAAGATATATAGGATATTATATATCATATATATACTATATATTATGTACAATATAATATGTGAGAGTATACATGATATATAGATTGTATATATAGTATATATAGTGGATATATATGCAGTGAATATATACCATATAGAATACATATATAATACCTATTGTGTGTATATACACTATATATATATATACACACACACTCACACACTCACACACACAGTGATAACTCTGTATGTGCAAGGAATTGCCTTATTCATTATGGAGAACCACTCATAAAGCGGACATAGATGGAACTGGTAGATAGCTATGAGGAAAGCTAGGAGAGAATATTGCCACAGACACTGGCAGAAGGTGGTGTTTTAATAAGAAAAGTTTGGTAAGCAGTGTCAGACTTTGATAGGTATACAAATCAGGTGAAGATTGAAACATGTTAGGTTTTGTATCATTCTAATCAGGGTTGAATATAGGGAAAATGTTTCAGTGGAGTGTTATCAGTGTATGTAATATCATCTGGCTTTACTCAACAATGGATGCTAGAAAGCATGAAGCAAGTCATCACCATTTTAAGAAAAAATAATTGTGAAATGTGAGAACTAGATGCCAAATGAAGTGTAAAAATAATGAGGTACATGGAAAAAAATCTTATGTAAAGACTCAGGAGATTTGTTTTCAAAGTAGTCTTTCAGAGAATGTAATGTATCAAATCAGAATGTACTGTATCAAAAGAACAAAATGTATAGTAGGCAAAATGCTAAGATTGATCACGGAGTCTCACAGAGAGAGGGAGAGGGGAAAAAACTGATGGGTTGTGGAGAAAAGGCAACATTTGTACACTGTTGGTAGGAATTTGTAAATTGGCACAACCATCATGATAACCAGTATTGTGTTTCCTCAAAAAATTAAAAAATAGAACTACAATATGATCTAGCAATTCCACTTCTGAATATACATCCAAAGGAAATGAAATCAATATCTCAAAGAGATATCTGCACTCCTATGTCTCATGTTCACTATACCATTATTCACAATCTTCAAGTGTGCTTATGTGTGTGTGTGTGTATCTGTGTATATGCACACATAATTCAATAATATTAAGCCTTAAAAAAAGAAGATCTGGCCATTTGCGACAACATGGATGAACTTGGGGACATTATGCTAAATGAAAAACAAGATAGAGGAAGACAAATACTGAATGATCTCACCTATATGTGGAATCTAAAAAAATTGAATTCATAGAAATAGAGAGGAAAACAGTGGTTGTCAGAGCCTGGGGAGTGAGTGGGGAAAATGAGGAGATGTGGATCAAAATGCACAAACATTCCGTCATAAGATGAATAAGTTCTGTAGCTCTAATATACAACCTGGTAACTATAGCTAATAATACTGTCTTGTGTACTTTAACATTTGCTAAGACAGTAGTATTAAGCGTTCTTACCACACACACACACACACACACACACACACAAATGGTAACTATGAGGGATAAGGAATATGTTAAAAAATTTGACTGTGGTAATTATTTTACAATGTGTACACATATCAAATCATCATGTTGTACAACTTACATACAATTTTGTCAATTATACCCGAATAAAGGTGAGAAAATAAAAAGTAGTGAAAAAGATTTCAAGAAAAATCTAATAAAAATTCAAACTACCCCCAGGAAAAAAAAGAAAGCAGTATTTGGAAATTAGTAAGGAATGAATATTCAAACAGAAACAAACAGAAAAGGAAAAGAAATGAAAACAAAAAACTGAAAAGCATTGTTTAAAATATGACACAAGCTATAAACAATCCTGACTTGAAGAATTTATTAAATATACAAAGGAGAATACATATGAACTTTACACCAGAAATATTCCCATTTTTGTGCAAACTGGTCATAACTTTGGAACCACAAATAAAATAATGTAATCATAGCCTAAGTGATTATTTTAGTCTTTCAGCGGACTGTGGCTGTATGATAATACAAATCAATTAATTTTTACAAAGCTTAGAATCTGCATATAAACAAAACATAGAGAAGTGAATAAAATTTACCTATACTGAAAGAAAGGTAGGTCAGAGGCAACATAAGGGGGAAAAAAAAGGTAGGTAAGTTTGAGGAAAGTGGAAGGGAGCCAAATACCCAATAATCAAAGGGAGAGAGAATGAGGGAATGCCGGTGACATTTGTTAGGACAAAAAATGAGAGATTTAAGTATAACACCAAATTTTCAAATTGTTAAGCACAAGAAAATTTAAGCACAAGAAAAGTTAAGCAAAACACAACTAAAAATGTAAGACTTTCTGCCCTATCATAATATCTGTGTTCTTGTAAATAAGCTTTTGTTCTGCCAAACTGCACTCTTTAAAAATGACAAGGTAAGAGAGGTAAAAAATAGGACCGTGGCAAGTCAAAATCATACAACTACCCTGAGCACTAAAAAAAAACAATAATCAGTATCTTGAGAAATAACAGAGCCCAGGCTGGAGGCTTCCTCAGGGGTTGTTTAAAAATGCACAAAAGCAATAGATTGGAAATACTTGTCTTATGGTCAAAAGGCATGAAGACAGAAGGGGAGTTTGGGATACAAGAAGAGCAACCTGCCATGATTTGAGGAACCAAGAAAATATCTACATACAGATATTCAAAAATAATTTTCTTAAAATAGAGCTTAAAGGGCTACTTGATTGTGTAGAAGACAGCAGAGTGCTTTTTTCCTTGAAACTATAGTTCTACTTCTGCTCTGTTTCCCCTTTCCTAGGAAAAAAATATCAACAAGTTCCACATTTTTACTAACATGATTTCCCTATTTACCTATATCATGTGAACCAATTGATATTACAGAAAAGCCTTTTTCAGTGGAAGAGATTATAATAACTATCAACATTTTGGGAGGAGGTAGAAGGAGATTTGGGGTGTTATATGTTACATAATTTTTCATGTATTTCAGCAGTAAGAAAATAGATATTATCTAAAATAGTAAATCAATACATAAAATTAATAAACATTATTTAATAGATCGAGGGAACTAAACCATGAGGATCAAGCTAGGCATGGTGGCTCATGCCTGTAATCCTAGCACTTTGGGAAGTCGAGGAGGGCGTATCACGAGGTCAAGAGTTTGAGACCAGCATGATCAACATGGTGAAACCCGATTTATACTAAAAATACAAAAATTAGCCTGGTGTGGTGGCATGCGCCTGTAATCTCAGCTACTCAGGAGGCTGAGGCAGGAGAATTGCTTGAACCCGGGAGGCGGAGGTTGCAGTGAGCCAAGATCATGCCACTGCACTCCAGCCTGGGTGACAGAGAAAAAAACAAAACAAAACAGTATTTTCCTCTGGGGACGAGAACTGGGATGTAGACCACTTCATTCAATCATTAGCTCTTGTGTTTTACTTTCTATCTGAGGTATATTATATGATTTTGATTAAAAATCAATAAAAATAATAAAAATATGAACATTATTTTATCTAACAACAAAGCTTCTAATCCCAAATGGGAAGGATAACTATTTATCTTTGCCCTTGGCCTACCACTTAAACAAACTGATTATTCTAAATATTCAAATTAAAATTTTACTATGAAGAGGAAGAGTGCTTGGAAACTATCTGTCCCAAACTCTTCTTTAGCTTGCTTTTATCTCCACCCTCCATGAACTTGTGATGCAGCAGAGAAGGTGATTTTCATCAGCCTAAAGGAGAAAGCCTGGGCTTAGTTATCCCTGACTGTTTTGAAGGAATCTTGAACAAGGTACTTAACATTTTTTTTAAGCTCTAACTATAGGATGGATTCATCATAATGACTTTGCTATATTATTGGAGATATAAAGTTATATATAAATGTAAAGCACCTGTTTATGATAAGAGTTCAATAAGTGTTAATTATCTTCATGTAAATAATTTTAAAATATGCTTTAAGTTCAGAAACTCTAAGCAAATTTGCTTTGCTTTAGGACTCTCAAAGTGGAAAAATCATACTTAGTAAATATTTTAATGCACAACTTCCCAGTGCAAATAGAGTCTTTAAGATAATTTAACACTCTGGTTTTCTCAAAACAATTGCTCTTTTTGACTTTACATCATGCAGTCTGAGTACCTTATGTATTTCAGGCTCAGGGTGCTGAGAGATGATGGTTCATTTCCCTTTCCAGTATTGTCCACTTTGAAGTAAACAAGTCAGTGTGAGCTAATGTGCCACTTTAATAACAGCTATTCACTGTTAATAAAGGGAGACTGAGTTTGGCTATACAAAAATTTTTTAACAGCATATAATCTTCTAATTTCTGAATTGTTTCCTTTTCATAATATTGGCCTTAGCTGGAGAAAAGGGCATGTATTTTGGGAGCATCATACTTCTTCCTGTCCTGCAGTTAATGAGGCACATGAAGCATTGACTGGGGCTTGATCATGCATACAGAACAGGCAGCCAAAAGGAGGCACATTCTTCTCTCGCAATGAAACCATCTGCAGCCAATCCCAGCAGGTTTTCCTTCAGGGCTGTAAGCAAAAGGCAAGAATACACATTGTTTCTCATTCTACACCATTTTAGTGCAGCAAAGGCAAAAGGCAAGGGGGAAAACTTAAATAAACATGTACAGATGTCTTTTTCCAGGTTATTTTCCATTTTCCAAATCCTGACTTTGAGTTCTACAATTAAGAAAAAATATTCTCAGATTAAGTATATTTTCTTACATTAGAGAAACAGGGCCGTGTATGAAGAGATGCACATCTGCCAGGTCTTGATTTTAATCATTTATTTGATAGATGTTTCTGGACAGACTCAGCCATGACCAGATGTAGCATGTCTCTGTTAATAATCTGAGTTAATTGAATCTCCCTTTTGCCATTTGCCAATTATCTATGGATCCAGATTGAGTGGTTTTCTTTTTCCTTTTTTTCCCCCTACTAGACAGAGACACATAAACCTAGAGGTTAGCAGGGATAAGAATGTTATTATGATGTTACTGTAACTGGAAGTAGGTGCCAATGGTTACTTTCTGAGAGCAGTTGAACAAAAAGGAATGCAATAAACTTTTCTTAGAAAGTTTCACAGAAACTGTTGATGACTTTTAAAAGTGTTTTTCCTTTTGATTAAGGAAAATAGAGGGGAGGAAGGGGGAAGGAAATATTAAATGGAATGTATTCACTGCTGGAATATAGATTTTCATTTCTCTGAGTGCTTAGTAGAGATTTTCACCACATCTAATAATCATTTTCTCAGTAGGCTGCAGAAAATTAGATTGTGTTTCTCATAATCAAGGCCTATTTATCAAACACACTACTTAAGAATTTCATTGTTGTTGATAACTAGCACATGTTATTTATTTATAAATCTTGCTTAAAACGATGCATTTTGTTAAAGAGATGAAACATTGCAGAGCAAGTGACACAGAGTTTAAGTGATCAGCTGATTATAATCATTCAGCAGTAAAAGAAGCTACTATTGGTGATAACAGAGTCTTGAAAAATGTAGTTGAAAATTTAATATGAACTCAGACAGATAAAAACAGCATCTTTAAAAAAAAACAATAATTGCATCAACCCTAAACAAAACAAATCTCTAAAAGTCAAGACTATTAGCAGGGAGGTTAGTGTTATAAACACAAGAAATACTAATGTACTTGAGAATTGTATGCCAGTGTTATTGTTGAGAGAATATTACAAATTTTGAAAAGATAATTTTGTGTCTGAATGGTAATCCTAATTAATTTATAAATACTTGAACCACAATCTCCAACTTTATAAAAGGAATTTTCTCTTTAGTATAAAATGTTTCCCTTTTGGTGATCCTTTTGAAATATGAGTTGGTAGTTCTATATGTAGAGATAAGTACTAATTTTAACTTCATAAAAATGATAAAATAAAGAGGTGTTTTCAACAGAAAAAGAAAGTAATGTCAAAAGGCATAAAATACTCTAAAATAAGAAACAATGAAATGTACACTGTATTTTTAGTTACCTTTTTCCAAGTCTATCTCCAGAACTGAAGTGTGAGTTTCTTGGGAACAGACATAACTATACCTTATTCATCTTGAATTTCTAGCTCCAAGTACATTGCCTGACACATAGTGGTTGCTTAAGAAATGGTTTATTGAGTAAATTGAATAAATCAGTAGTAAATGTAGGCAATGACAGCCTCAATTATTTTTTCTTCTACACTTGGGAAATGACTAATACATTGGTACAAAAATCTTAGAATTAACTACCCACCTATTCTGAATTCTAACCTGAATTGATACCTTCATGAAGAAAATACTCAACTTTAATTTGTGCCCCCAAAATAAAATGAAAACAGAAGCTATTGCTCGTACGTTCTTTAAATACAGAGAAAATTCTACTTGGAGCAAGGCAGAATTCTCACAGAGTATATCACTGGTATTATACATTCAATGTTCTTTTCTATCTTTGGTTTAGACACGTATGAACTCCTTGTTTTAGAGAATTGAATATCATTTCCCTGCCATTTTCTCCCAGTTTCTTCCCTCCCTCCTGGCTCCTTTTTCTCCTTCCTACTTACTTTCCTTTCTTTATTCTTTCCTCCCCTCCTTTGTGAGTTTAAACATTTAAATAAAGTTGGCATGATTTTTTTTAAGTAGCGATGTTTTCCAATTCATTATGCAAATATGAATTTAGGTTACAGAAAGAATATACTGTTCATGAGAAAGTAGAAAATTATTTTATTCAAGCTATTGCAATAAGAAGAGCACCCCAGATGCTCAGCTGCCCAAAATATCAGCGTGTATCAGTATGGTGGTTTTGCTTTACTTTTAGAGAAAGGAGTAGCAAGTTATAGATGGGGTGATTTTACAGTTGAGACGGTTTTTGTAAATTGGAAGAATCTGAATCAATAAATGTTTATCTCTTTGTTGTGGCCATAAACAAAGACCACTTAAATAAGAATAAAGGAAAGATATTTATTCAAAAATTGCTTTAGCAAGTGAGTGAGCTACCAACCATCATTTGCCTTTGGCAGAGACTCAAAGGCAGATAGGGTAGTGGGAAAGCTTTATGATGGAAAAGAGGGAGGGCTTCAGGTAGGACATGACTGGAGGCTGTTGGCATGGGGAAGGTGCAGAAAGGCTAATTAGAAGTGGGGCATCCTATGTGATTGGTTAGGGGTATATATTTGACTATCCCTTGTTTGGTCCCAAGTTGGAAGTGGGGGCAATAGTTAGGGAATCTGTCAATTACTAATGAAGTCCTGGCTATGTGGGACTAATTGTTATGAGGGTTTTTGTTTAGATTCTTGACTGGGTGCTAGAGAGAGTCTGACTTCCTGCAAACCTGATTTATAGATTAAAATTGTCTTCCTGGACTAGTTACTATAAGTGGTATATTGGCTTTCTAGGCTAGTTGTATACAGATTGTTGATCAGATATTCCATTTTGTATGGAGTCTGACCATGGTCTATTTGTTATTCATTTTCTCAATGTCTACCTAGTTTCAGGGTGGAGACAGAACAGCTGAGTTCATAATTTATGAGATCAAAAATGGGAATTTTGAGGATCTATGTCAAGGAAGTCACCTGTGAATCTTATGTGAGATGTAAGGCCAAGGGTGATTCCTTGCAGCAAATCATTTCCCCACAGCACAAAAAGTTGGGGACAAACTTTAGAAAATAAAAGTTTGGGGGTGGGATTAACCTTCACTGTTTACTGGGGACACTGAACTCAGGTAAAGTTCATCATTGTCAAGTGTAATCTTTGTGTGTTAAGCCAAATAGGATCTAAGAATATTAAGTACTGCCATAGAACAAGATGAGTTTAGTCACTCTTGACCATAGTTGACAAAAAGGAATTTCTGAAAATGGCAAGTAAGAAAAACAACCATCAAAATGTGTAGGTGGTTATGAGAACAGAGGATAGCATATTTAGTTCCCTGCCTAAGTGCTCTTTTTTGTACGTCAAGTGCATAAGGAAGATAAGATAGTCAATACTTAGATGTATAGTATAAACCTCAGCAACATGATTTCCAGTGGGAGGCTTCCCAAGGCCCTAGCGCTGCGGCCAGTCATTGAGACAGCCCACATAGTGAAACCAAAGAAACATGTTCTAAGCAAAATTTCCGAAATAAAGAAATCACTAAAAACTAGTTTACTCCAAAATTTATATCAGTAGATCACATCTCACTCTAAAGCTCTAGTTCTGAATTTCTTACCATTAACTTATACTTTTTAGATATTAGGCTCAATATGCTTAGAAATATACTAAAATGTTAGCTCCTCTCTCCCACCGCCCTCCACCCAAAAATAGTTACTCTGAGGATCAGTGTACTAATACATAATCATCATCTTGAGTAGCTGCACAGAGTAATGTTAAATAAATACTATTATTTTTATTTTTTATGAGTTTCTCAGCAGTGTAGAAAACTAATTCTGCTTCTAGGGAAACATACGCTTCCCCATCCCGGACGGAGTCTCACTGGATTTCCGCTCACGGCAAACTCCGCCCCCGGGACTCACGCGATTCTCCTGCCTCAGCCTCCTGAGTAGAAAGTGATGGGATTACAGGCATGAACCACCGCGCCCGAGCACGTATGCATTTTTAAGAACAAATCCCTCTAGGAGTTATCCAATCTGATCCTGTGGAGATTACGCTTTTTCATTGCCATTGAAATATTTTACAACGCCTTAAATTGTAAATAACTGATAGAATTGAAAAATAATTATTTTCTATAAATGTGCAAATAAATTCTGTTGAAGATTCAGTTGACTCCCTTCACTCACTGTGGAAGCAGCAGGAGTTTTTTGAAATTAAATGCATAAAAATATTCCTTATCTATAAATGTCTGTTTTAAGATTTTCTTTTGAACAGGTCGTGACATCTTACTGATTCTCTCATTAATAATGAGTTAAATAAAAATTTTAACACATATACGCTTCATATTTGTATGAGAGAAATGATTTTAATTTCTTTGAAATTTTCCTTTAACAGAAGTTTACTTTAAAAAACATACTCTTAGATATCAAATAAAGCAAATAAAGTCTTAATTTTTAATTAGAAGTGTTTTCTTATATTAACTGATGTAATTGACCTTTTTTAAATCAATGTTTCTTTTTATTCCTATCTTTAAATATTTTTGAAAGATAAGTTGTTTTTGGTTTGTGGGTGTGTTGTGTGGAAATATGGTCTTATTTTTCCCCCAATTTATTGATGTATTGAGTTTTTAATCTACTCGCGTAAAGTTTTTAATTGCAGAATATTTCTTTAATTTTCAACATTAGAAATGAACAAATATATTTTAACTTCTCCAAAATAAAATGAAATATTTAGCATATATTTACTTTCTCTTCTTTTCCCACATTTCCTGGTTTCTGTATATATATATATATGAAATATAAAATTTTAGACATAGTTATTCTTAACATTTTATAATGCACAGTCTCTTTCAATGTTAATTTCACTTTATTTTTTCTATCCAAGTTTGGAGAATAATTTATACAATTCCATATTTGACTAGTTTCAATGTATATTACCATTCCTATTATATCATAGCTTAGCTTTTCTTTTTTTTTTTTTTTTTTTTTTTTGAGACGGAGTCTTGCTCTGTTGCCCAGGCTGGAGTGCAGTGGCACGATCTCGGCTCACTGCAAGCTCTGCCTCCCGGGTTCATGCCATTCTCCTGCCTCAGCCTCCCAAGTAGCTGGGATTACAGGCGCCCGCCACCATGCCCAGCTAATTTTTTGTATTTTTAGTAGAGACGGGATTTCACCGTGTTAGCCAGGATGGTCTCTAGCTCCTGACCTCGTGATCCGCCTGCCTTGGCCTCCCAAAGTGCTGGGATTACAGGCGTGAGCCACTGCGCCTGGCCTATCTTTTCTTAAATTCATTATTTGAATACCTTTTTAATAGTCAGAGGGTATATTTAAGTACATTTTCAAGGAAAGATACCTGAGTACCATACTTGTCTAAGTTATATTAAACTAGATTTGAGAGTCTGGATACACAAAGGGACAGTGGCCAAACCATATATAACACTTTGTCCTACAACCTCTACAGCAACCAGTCCAGAAAGCCAACACAAAATTACTGCAGAATCTGCCCATAATAGATGAAACTTGGCCAAAAACTTCCAACTTTCCTATTCTCTTCCCATCTGTAATTCCAACTATAGAATGCCAAATATGCTTCCTGAACATATCATATAAGATGCCATAATTTTACTTACCTTACCTATAGCCTTTCCTTTAACTCAAGCATCCTGGAAACTTTCCCCCTCACTGCCTCCAAGGTGACTGGCTTGGGTTTTTATTAACTCAAAGGTGGAATCAAGGTGAAAGTTCCCACATGAGGGCAGAGCTTTTGTGCTTTAAGTATCTTGCTAGTCCCCAAGAAGGGAACATACAGCCTTCCTATTAAATTGAATTAAATTAAATTGCCCAAATGTGAGGAGGAAGGGAAAGAAGAAGTGAGACTTTAAAAAATTGAGGCTTTCAAAGTTGTCAGCAGTCAAACATCATAACACGCAGTCAGACTCTTTATTATATAGAGAAAGTAACAATAGAAAGTAATAATAAAAATGATAATAGAAAGTAACAATAAAAATGTAGAAAGTAACAAGAGAAACGTCTGTAAAAGTAACAATAGAAATAACAATAGAAAGTCTCAGAAATAGAGGAAATAATGTAGAGCTAAGGGGAAATTTTAGAACTGAAATAATAACTAAAATTTAAAACTGAACAAATGGGCTCAAGAACAGAATGAAGAGAATGGAAAGATCAGATAACTAGAAGACAAAATATTTAAAATTACTGAATCTGAACAAAAGAGAGAAAAATAGACCAGAATAAATGAACAGAGCTTTAAGGGTCTCTAGGACCAAAACAAAAAATTGATCATTCATGTCATTGGAGGTCTAGGAGAGCAGAAAGAGGATAACGTTTAAAAAATGCTCAAGGAAATAATGGATAAACTTTTCTAAAACACCTAAACCTATAGATTTAAAAACTTGTGCAAATGCCAAAGAGTAACTCAAAGAAAGTCACATTATAGTCAAACTTTTGAAAACTAAGGACCAAGAAAGAAATCTTGAAATCAGGCCAGGGAGGTGGGTGGGGGTGCACAGGACAGAAAAGATACCTTACTATGGGAAAAAAGAACAATTTGAATAGCAGCAGATTTCTCATTAGAAACCGTAAAGGCTAGAAGGAAGTAGCACAACATGTTTTCAAGTGCTGAAAGAGAAAAAAGACCAATCCACCTGGACAATTATTCAGAGTGTTGTGCTAAGTAAAAGCCTCATTCTGAAAAACTTACCGTGGTGTATATTATTCAATTTATATAATATTTTTAAATGACTACATTATAGAAACTGAGAACAGATTAGTGGTTGCCAGGGCTTAAGGATAAAGATGAGTGGGTGGTTATAAATATGCAGCATGAGGAATACTTAGGGTGATAAAAATGTTGTGTGTTAAATGGGTACAAGAAAAAAAAAGGAGAATGAATGAGACCTACTATTTGATTGCACAACAGAGTTAACTATAGTGAATAATAACTTAACTGTACATTTTAAAATAACTAAGAATAAAGAAGTGTAATTGGAATTTTTGTAACACAAAGGATAAATACTTGAATAGATAGATACCGCATTCTCCACAATATGGTATTTCGCATTGCATGCCTGTATCAAAAAATCTCATGTACCCCAGAAATATATACACCTACTATGTACACACAAAAATTAAAAATAAAAAAATGAAAAAAATTGTCTTGACTGTATCAATGTTAATATCCTGGTTGTGACATTATACTATAGTTTTGCAACATATTACAACTGAGGTAAACGGAGTAAAGGGTACATGAGATGTCTCTGTACTAGCCTTACAACTGCATAGCTTGAATTAAATTTTTTAATTAAAAAAAATGAAACATAACTAGAGCCTTGCTTGTATCTATTTTATCCTGAGTTATTCTCGACACTGGATACAGATTAGAAGCCCAAAGTATAAAAAATACTAATAGTTGGCCGGGCGCAGTGGCTCAAGCCCGTAATCCCAGCACTTTGGGAGGCCAAGGCGGGCAGATCACGAGGTCAGGACAGGGACACCATCCTGGCTAACAAGGTGAAACCCCGTCTCTACTAAAAATACAAAAAATTAGCCGGGCATCGTGGCGGGCGCCGGTAGTCTCAGCTACTCGGGAGGCTGAGGCAGGAGAGTGGCGTGAACCCGGGAGGCGGAGCTTGCAGTGAGCCCAGATGGCGTCACTGCACTCCAGCCTGCGCGACAGAGCGAGACTCCGTCCAAACAAAACAAAACAAAACAAAACAATACAATACAAAAAAAAACCCTAATAGTTGGCTGGGTTCCATCTCAGATCAATTAAATCGTGATCTGTGAAACTGTGTCTTGAACAGGTTGTTTTGTTGGTGTTTTACTTTTTAGTATAGATCATCTCAAATATAACAGTATAATAAAAAGAACTTCCCATATGCACTTCACCCAGCTTCAAAAGCAACTAATATTTTGTCTTTGTTTTATTTATATCATCTACACTATCTTATTTTTTCCTTTATTTTCTCTGTATTCCTTTTTAACTTTTTTGGGTTATTTTAAATAATTCAATTTAAAATTGGATAATTTTAACTAACCCTTTCTGTTTTACTGGGTTATTTTAAATTAAACAGTAAATATATTTTCATTCCACGTATAAATACTTAAGTATCCATTTCTGATAAATGCAATGTTTTTAATATAATCATGCTGTTATAACACATAAATTTAACAATAATCTCATAATATAAAACATCCATCATCAAACACCCAATTCACACTCTAATGTTTTCATTTTATCAAAAGATGCCTTTTTATAAAAATCCACATATTTCTTTCTTTTTTTTTTTTTGACAGAGTCTCACACTGTTGCCTTGGCTGGAATACAATGGTGCAATTTCGGCCCACTGCAACCTCCACCTCCCAGGTTAAAGGGATTCTTGGACTCAGCCTCCCAAGTATATTTCATTTTTTAACAAACACTTTAATTCTCACGTCAATATCATGATGGAATTTTCTCTTAAACTTTTAACCAGCTTGTTGTTTGAATCATGAAACAAAGTGAATTCATACACTGTAATTAATATATTTTTTAAAGACTCTATAAGTTCTCCCACAAACTCATTTTTCTTCTAATATTATTCTTAAGAAATCTTTTTTGCATATTTTATAACATTTTCAAGTCTGGATTTTGTGTATTACATTCTACTGTTGCCATTTAACATGTGTCTCTGTCTCTTATATTTCCTATAAACTGGATATACAGGCTTGATAAGAATACTACTGGGCTTTTTTTTTTTTTTTTTGGCTGGACTTCTTCAGTAGTGCTCTTGTACATTTCCCTTCAGCATCACAAAATGTATAGTTGTCTCTTCTTTTGCGACCTAGAGAAAGAAAAACAAAAGTTGATTCCAGCTTATTCCCATTATTTTTAAAAGCTTGAATAATGGTAATATTTTATTATTCCTTCTTCATTTTTTAATTGATATTAATTCATTAATAATTCATTAATTCATTAATAATATAATTCATATTATTAATGAAGAAATGTTGTTAATCATTAGTTGGTAACTCTAAAGGAATAGTAATTTTAATTTTATATACTATTTTCCAAAACAGTGAGAATTGGTTTCATGAAATTACCCTACGAGGTGTTTTTTGTTTGTTGTGGGTATTTTTTTTTTTTTTTTTTGCTGTTTTGATGGTTTTATTTAAATGAAAATAAAATGTGCACATGAGGTGTCTATTGATTTTTTTCTCTGCACAGCCTGGCATTGGGATTGGTGGCTCTGATGGCCAGCTGTGCTCTGGGCTGCTCTTTCTGTGATGGCTTTGTGGTTCTTGGAGGAAACATTGTAAGCAATCTCAGCAGAGTAAGATTTGTTGCACATCAGCTGCATTTCCAGCTCCTTGACTTTGTGGACCAGGAAATTCTGGAAGCTACTGGGCAGCATGTGTTTTGTTTTTTGTTGCTCCCATATGTAGGGCATCTAGATCCAGCCCTTGAACCTTCTACAAACCCTGTTGTCAATACTTCTGGGTTTTCACCAGTTATGCTTATTTTTGACATATCGTCTAACTGGCGCCAGATGGACTTCTTGGTCCTCTCTTTTTGACGATTTTGTGCTTCATGCAGGGTCTGAGTGCAGCCATGGTGCCAATTAGGAGATGGCTGCTCCTCTCTAGGCAGTGCTGAGATTTTCTTTTTTCTTTTCTTTTTTTTTTTTTTAACATTTATTTGAAGCTCAGGGGTACATGTGGAGGTTTGATACATAGGTAGACTTGAATCGTGGGGGTTTGTTGTAAAGATTATTTCATCACCCAGGTATTAAGCCTAGTACCCATTAGTTATTTTTCCTTATCCTGTCTCTCCTCCTGCTCTCCACCCTCCTATGTGCCCCAGTGTGTGTTGTTCCCCTCCCTTTGTCCATATGCTCTCATCATTAGCTCCCACTTATACGTGACAACGTGCAGTATTTGGTTTTCTGTTCTTTTCTTAGTGTGCTAAGGATAAGGCCTCCAGCTCCATCCATGTCCTTGCAGAGGACATGATCTTGCTATTTTTCATGGCTGCATAATATTCCATGTTGTACATGTACCACATTTTCTTTATCCTTATATGTGTGTTTTGGAGTGCTAGTATGACTTCATGGATTTAAACATTTTATGTGTTTGAAACCATTACTTTTTCTCCAAATTTATGTTTAAACGTTTTCAACTTTGGCCTGTGATAAGCTATTCAATTTGGCTCCTACATCCTTTTGACATGACCCTTGTAAACTACTATACATCTTATTTTTGATTTGAAAGGACGTTCTAGGACAGTTTTGTACACTTCATGCTCATATCTAAAATCTAAAAATTCTTGGTTTCTTTAGTGAGTAATGATATTTAAATACTACAATATGGACTGTAGTAGTACTTATTGCTTTTGGGTTGGTCAATGTTTCTAGAACTCTTTAATGCTAGAAATATGTATTATGTTTTAAAATATGTTAAGAGTTCAAGTGTAAAATAAAATTTAAATTCAGAACCATATGTGTAATCAGTATTTTTTTTTCACACTAAATAGACTCCAACATTATTACTTATTTGCTAGCTCAGAAAAGTAATTCCACAACACTACTAACAATGTGATACTGAGATTAGTTTAGACAGTCCTGCTCCCATTTTTTGGGTAATCACACCAAAGTTCCAAGTAAAATTATTGTATTTTAAAGTTACTTGAAGTAGTTTCCTTATTTGGGACTATTCTGTCAACTCAATATATTTGTGTAACTTTTCATTTATAAAGAGGTTACTTTTGGGCTGGGCACAGTGGCTCACACCTGTCATCCCAGCACTTTGGGAAGCTCAGGCAGGTGGATCACTTTATGTCAGGTGTTCAAGACCAGACTGGTCAACATAGCAAAACCCCATCTCTACTAAAAATACAAAAATTAGCCAGACATGGGGGCACGCACCTGTAATCCCAGCTACTCAGAGGCTGGGCTCGAGAACTGCTTGGACCCAGGAGGCAGAGGTTGCAATGAGCCAAGACTGCACCACTGCACTCCAGCCTGGGTGACAGAGTGAGACTCCATCTCAAAAAAGAAAAGAAAAGAAAAGAAAAAAAAAGCAGCTACTTAGTTACTTTTATAAAATTTAATTAAAAGAAAATCTTTGGAAAAATAGTGTATGGTTTTAAAGACAAATTTATAAAATATAGCACATTCAAAAACTTTAAATTATGGTAAAGACTTTGTATATGCACATTAAAATTTTCAAAATGAATATTCAGATGGCTGTGTAGTTAATAAATATTAAATAAACTGCAACAATAAACTACTATGACCTCATTGATGACCCTTTTAAAAAACATATAATGTTCTTTAATGGGTCTTATTAAATGTGTGAAGCAGTTATTGTCACAAACCTTTCAAACCCACAATAATTCAGTGAGGCAACTTTATGCTTTATCAGGCAATTTCATTATTAGCTGCTGGCTAATATCTCCTCTTTATTTGATTATATCAAGGTTTAAATATCTATTTCAAATGCAACAGAATTTTCCATTGATATATTAGAACTTTGTGTTTGCTACTTCTCCCTTATGAATACTAGACTATTTTAAGCCAAAGTATAATTCTTTTTTCCAGTAAAAAATAGAATGTTCTCTTGAGTATATATGGACACAAAGAAGGGAACAACAGACACTGAGGCCTATATGATGGTGGAGGGAAGGAGGAGAAGGATGGAAAATCTACTATGCGATGGGTGGCATACCTGGGTGGCATAATAATCTCTACGCCAAACCCCCATTTACCTGTATAACAAACCTGCACATGCAGCCTTGAACCTAAAGTTTTTAAAAGTTGTCCTTTTTTAAAAAGAATATTTGCTTTGGATTTCTTGGGGATATGCATCCTGGAAAAATAATACTAATTTATCTTGATATCTATAAAATAATTTTCAGTCTGAAAAGTAGATTAGACTTAACTTATGAACTGGATTATCATTTAATTTTTTTTTAAAAAAAGATCAATGTTTTCAAATTCTAAGTGGTTTCAATTTTTTTTGAAATTGGAAACTGTTAAAGTTGAAGCTAGTGTTTGGGGGGAATATTAAAAAATGCATGTGCAGTACTGGGACAGAGCTTCCCTTTCTCCAGAGTTTCCCAATTTTCATCCTTGTACTACACTGTAATACTTAGCCATAATGTTAATTGAAATATAAGCAGCACTAAAGACTGAAAATATTTTAAACTATAAATTGTGGGTGAAAAGTATTGAGTATTTTGTACCACCTTCCACATTTAGGCAAAGATAGATTGAAATCAAGAATAGAAATAATTTAACATCTCACTAGACAATTACTTGTTAGATTTAATAGAAAAATAACTGTCATGGTGGGACAGAAAGTCCAGAATTTCCAAAAATCTAGAAAATCTCTGGATTGTCTAGTCAACATGATTTAAAATTTTCTTCTAGACTAAGTCAATCTATTGGCAAACTGGAGATGAAGACTTAAATTAAGAACCAAAAAGTTAGATAGTAGTACTTGTAATAATATTGTTAAATTATTAATTAAATCAATTATTAAGTATTTATTATTAAATTATTTATTATTTATTATTATTAAATTATTAAATTAAATCTTATTATTAAATAATAAGAAACAACCCCATGGAACACATCACAATATTACTTTATTGTGTATCATTCATTATCAGTATGTTTGCATAAAAGCAAATTCTATCAAGTCTTGGTATGTGAGTCCTCATCCAAGGACACACGTTTTTCTATCCAAATCTATAAAGCTGAATGCCAGAGTCTTTAGGAAAAATTCACATAATATGAATTATTTTCCAAATAAATAAATATTATATGTATAAATAATATATAGAAATAAAACTTTTGCTTTGATATGGCCTGGATTTTGTCCTCACTCAAATCTCATCTTGAATTGTAATCCCAATGTGTTGGGGGAGGGACCTCATGGGAGGTGATTAGATCATGGGAGCAGTCCCCCCATGCTGTTCTCATGATAGTGAGTTTTATGAGATCCGATGGTTTTATAATGGGCTTTTCCCCCTTGGCTTGGCACTTTTCTCTTCTGCCGCCTTGTGAAGAAGGACGTGCTTACATCCCCTTCTGCCATGATTGTAAGTTTCCTGAGGTCTCCCCAGCCATGTGGAATTGTGAGTCAGTTCAACATCTTTCCTTTATAAACTACCCAGTCTTGGGTATTTCTTCATAGCCAGATGAGAACGAACTAATACATGCTTGTTTCCTTATAAGATCATAAAACATCCAAAGATGATGGCTTGCAATGATTAAAGTTTTTAAACATAATTCACTATTCTATTCAGTAAATGAAATATGGATAAAAATAGTTATTTTATAGTAAAATGTAATGTTACACTAATAAAAATAAGAATTTCTTTGATATATTTATTTGTATAAAGCCAAAAAAGGATCCAAGTTTGTCACAAAGTCTGCAATGTAAAATTACTCTCTATAAGATAATGATACAAAACAAACATCTGAATTGTATAATTTCTTTTATTTTTGTAATTTGGAAACATAAGCTGGAATGATTATTCAAATCTACATATTTATTTTTAAATAGATTTTTAGATACTGAAACACATAGATATCTTTTAGCTTACAAAAAAAAAATGATACTATAGACTAAGAACATGACCTTAATCAAGAAGTTTCACCACATGGTTCTCTGAAGAAGTCTGGATACTGAGGGATGACACGATCCCTGGGTTCAGCCTGTTCACCATCTCAAAGGGATCGGAGTTGGCATTTAGCTGAATGTGGAGCAAGAATAGACAGACTGCTACGCTGCTCTTCTGTTCAACAGCCTCATCACAAAGGACAGGTTCAACTTGGTGCAGGGTTTTGTGCTTGTCAGAATAGAATCCTACAAAAACATAGACAAATGTCATCATGAAAGCAGATATAGAGCCTGTAACCTTCATAGAAAGGGCTTTGGAAAAAAATAAGTCACAGGTTACTGCCTTTTGACATATCCCCACAAATTGGCCATGAAAGCTGTTTCCATGGTGATTTTACATCCAGCCATGACCTCTAATTCTCTTAGCTTTCCAGATTCATCTTTCCATTTACTATAACCTTCAAGATACGTGTTATTATGCATAATGTGATATTTGGTTGACGATGTTTTATTAAACTCATTTTGATTATCCAAGTTTAAAAAATGGGGGCTAGAAATAGCATGGTTGATTTCAGTGTTAAAAAAAAAAGACTAAAGAAATTGACCAATGGTTGAGGCTTAGCTCAATCAAAATTGCTGTGAGACTTTGAAAATGTCATGTCACCTATCTGAAACCAGGTTCCTGTTGCATTAACCATACAATTTTTGTTTGTCTATAACATCTGTAGCAAGTCTTCTAAGCCAAACATTATAAAACGTTATAATATGAATAATTTCGTTTTACTATTACATGTTATGTAAATGTCTGTTGACTTATTCCTTTGAATAATGGCAACTCACATTCTGAAATATTTGATAATGACAGTCCTCAAATAAATAGCAATTTTGACACTCGAATTAGAACAATGAAATAGGCCATAACATAGAAGAATACATTCATTGACTTAAAACCCATCATCATGTATTAATATGTCTGAGACAGTTAAAAGCTAATCAAATGCAATTTTAATATCAAAGAATGTGTCTGATGTTAAAGCCAAAATAATAACACAGTGAATAAAATAATTAAAAAGGAAATAAAACAACAATTAGATACTGCAAAATAGCACAGTTTCTGACAATGCAGAAATGATGACCCAGTCTAATCACTGTATTAAACCTAGAATAATAGTTCAGAAAGTCGTTTTATACGGTTTTGCAGAGTAGATATTTGCATATTATATTGGAAATTGAAGCATAGAATTGAACTCTATTAGTTCATTTACCCTCACTTGTTCTAATAAAATGTTTCTTTACAAACCACTTCACTCCATTAATTATACATTTTATGCAGCAACATTTGAGATCATCACAGAATTTTCACTGAAGCTGAAAATTCCAATGAGATAACTCTTTAGATTTTGTTGGATAAAAGGAGGACACTGGAACCTGACAATGAAGCAGCATTGTAAATCTTCTACTTTGCATTAGAAGGTGTTTTAAACCATGTCTATTAGTTTCCTTCTATAACTACTGTCTTGCAAGCTAGGAAATGTTGGTATCTGAGAGTAAGTCTTGTTATTCACCAAAATTTATTAAATTATGCAAGTCAGTTTATTTCACCAGAAAATGATGATTCCGAAAATGTGGCTGGTATTGGCTGGTGTCGCCTCAAAACAGAGTAGATGATTCCATACTAATGACTTGGTTGAAGAGAAATTTATTTTCTACTACCTTTTCTTGAGTTTGACATTTAGTGCACTTCAGAAAATCCAAACTGGCTAATGCTTTGTTTTGTTTCTTCTTGCTTTCATTTTGCAAGCTGATATAGAATGGCGGTGCTACTCAAACTTTAATATGCATATTATCACCAGTGGATCTTCTTGAAGGGCAGATGTTTCTAATTCAGTATATCAGTAGTGGGAATTTGAACTTATCTGCATTTCCATCAAGTTCCCAGGTGATGCCAAAGCTGCTGGACTGTGGACCATACTTTGAATAGCAAGGATTGAGAGGTAGAAAACTACTGGAAGCAGCATCTCTTACTGCTCCACTCCCATTCACCTGCCTGGGGACACAGAAAAATAGCGTTAGTTATTGAAAGAGTAAACCAGCTTGGCAAAATTTGTAGTTATTTTAGATTCTAGGCAGGAAAAAGCCACTAAAGATTTTCACTGGAAAAGAAGAATATTAACTTTTCTAGCTTTCAGAAAAGTGAACATAAAATGAATTTTGAGCCAAACATCATAAAAAACAGTAACAGCAATAGTAATAATACATGTGTATTGTGTGAATAGAGGGCAAAGATGATTACTACACCAGGATTGCTGAATTCTGAGTCCCTGTCTGCTGAGAGTGGATATATGTAGTCTTTTCCAGCAAGTACTTTGAATTTCAGGAGAGCACACAAAATAAGCAAACAAACAAGCAAAAGAGGTAATAAAAAGATCCAACAGCCTTGTGGAAATCATTTCAGCTTTTCTCTGTACTAATAATTGTTAGGTCAGTTTGCAATACACAGGGAAATTTTTCCTCAAAGTCTGTGCAAAGGTAATTCAACTTAGACATCACAGGCAAAAAATAGAATGGGAAATGTAAAAAGTTTACCAGGTGTAATTGAATGAAGGACAAGTTTCCTAATCTCTTGTTTACTCTGTTGGAGATATATTTAGGAGAATTTCCTAGTCTGCTTTATAACTTCCTCTTTGGCCACTATCTTGACCTGGAATAATTACAAAAAGAATGTATTAGAGCACAGTAATATTGTCCACAGAAAATCTGTCTATCTGTGCTCATGTCCTCTGGCATCCACCTAGCTTTGTAGCTCATTTCGTTTGGAAAAGAAAAAATAAATACAGAATATTGCCACTTCCTGAGTTACATTTAGGACATGATGTTGTTACTAAATTTACCGTCTTTCACAGTAACATAACCTATGCAATGAGATTTTTTGAGAAGTAATTTTATTTTAAATAAGCGTTAGTATAGAGGCATTTAATCTTGGCAGATATAATTTGCTGTCTTTCAGACATGCTACAGTTGGCGGAAGAGATTACTTTTGTCATGCTGATAAGAAACATGCCATGTGATGTACTATATCATATCAAGTGATGTTATTGAATGACATAGACATCAAATAACACCTTCCCTCAAACCAACCCTTTGTGTATGCACTGTCAGGTTGAATGAATTAACAATAGCAACATACAGGTTTCACACAGACTTTCAAAAATTTTGAGCATTCATATTATGTATTTTTCACAAGGAAGCTGTTTCTTATGTATTTTATGTTAAATTTGAAAAATATATATACTCTGTGTGGATTCATTTTTATGATGTACTTTTTTCTAAAATTGTTTAATATTTATGTTTCAAGTTTTAGAATTGCAGTAAAATCCTATTGTAATTGCCAATGTTAGTGTTTGTCTGACTGTGATTTTTAAAAAATGTAAACCAAAAAATCATTAGGACAATAACAGGTATGATTTCAAGTTATATAGCTCTTAAGCTCATTCAACAAATAATTTTATTTGGTTTTAGAAATAAAATATGAGCTATTTTCTTGTATTTCATTATCACAAAGACAACGAAAACACTTATCAGTGAGTATTCATGTTACCATAACAAATAAGTATGCCACACTAAATTCAGACTGTATGTGATACAAGCCTGCCATCTACTGACTACACAGGAAATAGAAACCTACTTAGTCACAAGAAATGGATGAAACACTTCACAATTAATATTTAAATTTAAAGTAGGATAAAGTAATATTCTATATTTGACCAGTTTTCAGTTCATAATGATAAAAACACCTTAGCACAAGTCTCAGAAGTAGATTAGTATCCTAGTAAATAATTATTTAAAGACAATATAACACATTCAGATACTAATATAATCAATTTTTCTAATCATTAGCACTGCATTGAATCATTCTTGAGAAAAGATGACCTCTAATGAAAATAAATAATTTGAAGTTTCTTAACTATATCATAACCTGCCATGTTAAAAAGTAGTAATAGAGATTATAAAATTTTAAGTTTGTATAAATCCAATGCTTACTCAGTGATGAAAAACTAGATAAGAAAATGTTGCACACTGGACAAAACATATGTAATTACTAGCATTTACAATAATAAAGCTTTCCTTTTACAAAGAATGAAGGTAAAATTTATTGAAAAATCACAAGACGTGCATGTTATGAGGCTGTATAAAATATTTTTGATATCACTTTAAAAATTAGAAAAGACGTACCATTTATGTCTAAGTCAATATTCATTTCTGTATATTTAAACATGCACAGAAAATAATATTCTGATAGATAAAAAATTGGTGGCTATCATTAGGATAGAAGAAGGATGGGGACATTCTTATATTAAGGCCTTGTTTAGGAATAAAAATATTTTAAAATAAAATAAAAGTCATATGGTCAACCATGTTCTACTTTACTTCCCCTTGTGTCATCAAATTCAGTACATAGTTATATTTTATTCGATATTTAAATTTTCATTTTTATCATCAAGCATTTTTATTTGAAATGGAATTATGATAAACAGTTATAGGCACATGACTTTGAGGGTTTTAGTTTTAGTTTTGTTTTTTAAATGACAATCTAAATTGATAATATATCTTTAGAAGTACATATGAATGCAAACAGCAAGTGGTACAGAAAAAAAATTTCATTAAAAATTTAAGATAAATTCTAAATTGATCAAACAAGCCCAAAATACAAAATCTACAAAATGTCAACCTCTAATAATATCTTGGTCATTCTCTGTTGTTTAAATACTTCAAGACAGTCCTAGGTGATAAAAATTGGAGAATGTCAAGAGTTTTAATTTTTAATCATCTTTTCATGTTGATAATAAATGAGTGGGAATTGGGCCATTATTTAAAATAGAAAATTAAAAGATTTGCAGCATTTATTAACTAGCTCTCAGGACCCTAATTATATAAGAAGTATAAATGCAGTCTTTATGTATAATAAAAAAAGTCATTTTTTAGTCTACATATGATCATTTTGTGTGTTCATAGTTTCATATAATAACATATTTTTAATTAGCATTGCAAATGAGTAATGTCAATACATATAAATATTTCATGATATTCACCCAATATAACAAAAAATAGATTACCAATATTTGAAACAGGAAAAATCAGAAACTTTTTTTTATCCTTAACAATATTGTTAATTTCTTATTTTCAAAGCTCCTATGACTCAGTTACCTTACATAGAATGCATTACTAGGAGAACAAAAAGGAAATAGACTAATAAGAGAAAAAGATTGCTGTAAATACCATGGCAGTTTGTAAGTCGTAAAACTTTCATAATAAACATAAGGCTAAAGATAAATCTGTCTATACCTTGTGGAGTTAATTAGCAATTGATTTAGAGTAGTGATAAATGGATACTTGCTATTATGATTCTTAAGAGCATTCTTTAGGGACTAAGTATGAAATATAAGTTAAAAGATTCCACTGCAAACAGATAACTTGATTGCTTTTCAGCTTAAGAGTTGGAAACTCTTAATGATAATACATTTAGGAAAACACCTAAGACAAAATAGGACCTAATGTTCTCTAAGTTCACCAAATGCCCTGTGATAGAGATATGTAGTATATAATATGCCATAAGATACAGATCAGAAACAGAAATGGGTGAACTGACAAGTTTAACTGATTATACCAACTGAAAAGACAAAGAATATGTTTGTTGCTGAAACATGCTGGACTGAAGAGCTATAGTTTTATTTTAAATCGAGTTACAATAACAAATAATACTAGTCAAATGTCAATTCCATAGCAACTAAATGAGTCCTAGCTTTCTACCAAGTAAATTCAAATCAGGAGTGAGAAGTACTCTATTTCCACAGCCTATTTTTCCTGCTAGTCTAAAAAGGCAATGCTTTTTAAAAGTCAGAGGTACTGAACAAACATAAGGGAAAATAATCACATTTTCAAAGCTACTTTGGAGAATAGAAAATTGATAACTTCGTGGACAAGAAAACTTTCATGGATATTTTAAATACACATGTTTAGCACATGCAAGAATGAATTTTGTGCAAATTTGGTGTCAATTACAACAGAAGTCAGAATTGACTGTGGTGTACATTCCTTAAACTTACACTTTATTTGGTGATAATGATATTACTCTAATGATGATTATGCAGGTAATGTATATAATGCCCTTAGCATGGTGCTCAATAAATGTATTCCCACTCAATAATATTAACAGCTTTTCCTTAAGCTTCAAGGGTTGTAATTCTAGGAGTCAATTACCTTTTTTTAATCCAATATAAAAGTATGCACCCGGGCATGGTGGCTCACTCCCGTAATCCCAGCACTTTGGGAGGCCGAGGCGGGCAGATCACCTGAGGTTGGGAGTTTGAGACCAGCCTGACCAACATGGAGAAACTCCGTCTCTACTAAAAAAAAAAAAAAAAAAAAAATTAGCCAGGTGTAGTGGTGCATGCTTGTAATCCCAGCTGCTCGGGAGGCTGAGGCAGGAGACACTCTTGAATCCAGGAGGCAGAGGTTGGATTGAGCCGAGATTGCACAACTGCACTCCAGCCTGGGCGACAGAGTGAGACTCTATCTCAAAAAAAAAAAAATAAATAAAATGTGTGTGTGTGTGTGAGTATGTGTGTACTAAAAAAATAAATAAATAAATACAAAATTAGCCAGGCATAGTGGTGCCTGCTTTGCAAGTAATCCCAGCTACTTGGGAAGCTAAGGCTGGAGAATTGCTTTAACCCAGGAGCGGAGGTTGCAGTGAGCCGAGATTGCCCCATTGCACTCCAGCCTGGGCAACAAGAGTGAAACTCCAACTCAAAAAAAAAAAAAAAAGTACGCAGCAACTTTGGTATCTCAGAGAAAAGTGGCTAATATGAAAAGCACCATTAGTAGTAGTGTTATAGATTTAAGGTGAAGCTAATAAATTTTTAACTGCAGGACAGATTACTGGATGGAAATTTGATAATACATTCACAGGAGTCATATGATTTTGTAAAATGTACACATAAATATAACTTTTGTATTATTTTGCTTAAATTGTCTTCACTCTCAAAATTATATAAGCTTCAAGACTCACAAACCAAAATCTACTTCTGGGTAAAATGTAGACAAAAAATCTTGTTGAACCACTAATATTTTTTCTTTTCAGATAAAATCATAGATTCCTGGATTTCAAATAGGTTTAAAGAAACATGTATGTAAATTATATGACTAAATCTCTTAAAATATCTTAAAGAGTATAGTTGCACTGCTCATAAAATTGTACAGCACAAAAATTGATAATTGTAAACAAAATCTTTATTCTTTCTTTTCTTTTGAGATGGAGTTTCACTTTTGTCACCCAGGCTGGAGTGCAATGGTGTGATCTCGGCTCACCACAACCTCTGCCTCCTGGGTTCAAGCAATTCTCCTGCCTCAGCCTCCCCAGTAGCTGGGATTACAGACATGTGCCACCATGCCCAGTTAATTTTTGTATTTTCAGTAGAGACGAGATTTCACCATGTTGGCCAGGCTGGTCTCGAACTCCTGACCTCAGGTGATCCACCCACCTCAGCCTCCCAAAGTGCTGGGCTTACAGGCATGAACCACCACGCCCAGCCACAAAATCTTTATTCTTTTTTCAAGGATTTTTATTCTTTTTTCAAGGCTTGATGATCTGCCACCGTTGATTATTGAATAATATATACTTCTATGAAAATATCATCCCACTTCTTTCTGCCATTTTAATAACCTAATTTGACATATTGCAGTTGAATGCTTATAAGCAAATGGTAAAGAATACCATTGGTTTTATGTGGTAGCATTATAATTATAACATATGCCATGAGAGTGCAGTACAGAAATTTGTGGCTCAAAATATATTTATTACAAGTCTGCATTGTGAGCATTTTATTATTTGTTTTTATATAGTTAATATATTGATCAACTAAGCATATTCACTTAATGTATTCATTCATTAATAATTTATTGAATGTGTACTTTGTTTGCAATTCCATACCAGAAAATGAGGGAAAAATTATCAGCTTTTAAGTAGGCCACAATTTAGTTGCAGAGGTAAAGCATGAGTGATTCTACAATGAAACATAATCATTTTCTATATTCTCAAGAAGAAGCAGAAATAGAACATCCATGATGAAAAGCTGTGTGCTACATGTTCAAAAAGCATTAAAACCTCAAACTTTATTCTAATGATCTTTTTTCAACTCTTAGAATATGCAATAAATATTTAAAGCTGATGAAAATTAAAAACAGCCAGATGCCTTATTATTCTATTTTAATTTTGTTTTTCAGTAGAACTGAGGGCTTTGACTGGAATGATTATTTCCCTTTATCTAGTGTTTTAGTAAATATGAATATATAGATAAGATATAGGAAAGTACTTATAACTAGTTCTGAAAGCCAAAGATACAATGCAGACACTAACAAACAGTAGCTGATATAGTTTGGATATTTGCCCCTGCCCAAATCTCATGTTGAATGGTAGTCTTCAATGCTGGAGGTGGGGCCTGGTGGGAGGTGTTTGGGTCATTGAGGCAGAATCCTCATGGTTTGGTGTTGTCTTCACAATAGTGAGTTGTCACAGGATCATGTCATTTAAAAGTCTGTGACACCTCCGGGGCCAGGCGCGATGGCTCATGCCTGTAATCCCAACACTTTGAGAGGCCAAGGCTGGTGGATCACTTGAGGTCAGGAGTTCGAGACTAGCCTGGCCAATGTGGTGAAACCCCATTTCTACTAAAAATACAAAAATTAGCCAGGCGTAGTGGCGTGCACCTGTAATCCCAGCTACTCAGGAGGCTGAGAAGGGAGAATTGCTTGAACCTGGGAGGCAGAGGTTGCAGTGAGCTGAGACTGTGCCACTGCACTCCAGCCTGGGTGACAGAGTGAGACTCCATCTCAAAAAAAAAAAGAAGAAGAAGAAGAAGAAGTCTGTGACACCTCAGCCTCCCACTCTCTCTCTTGCTCTTCCTCTGGCCATGTGGTGTGCCTGCTCCCCTTCACCTTCTTCCATAATTGTAGGTTTCCTGAGGCCTCCCCAGAAGCTGAGCAGATGCCAGCACTGTGCTTCCTGTAAATCCTGCCAAACTGTGAGCCAGTTACACCTTCTTTCTTTGTGAATTACCCAGTCTCAGATATTTCTTTATAGTATTATAGGATTGCAAAAGGATATCATAATGGAACAAACTTCTATTTTCCCAGCTTTCATCCTAACGCTTATACACTCATGGCTGCAGGATGGCCATCTCACCTCCTGCCTCATGTCTCCATTCCAGACTGCAAGAAGAAAGGAAGGGCTACAAGCCTTTTTATTGCAAGCCTTTGACTTTTTATTTAAAAGCATAAATGTGTGCTTACAATTCAATGGCCAGAACTATTTTTGCAAGTTACATCTAGATGGAAAATGGACAGGAGAAAGGTATTTAACTTTTCACACTCCACAGTAGAAGAAAAGAAGGTAGAAGTCACTCAGTTGAGTGACAAATGAGCCAAATTAGAGTGTATTTCACAATGAATATGCTCAAAGTGAATTGAAGAACAATATGGCTTTTATTTTTTTCAAAACATTTATAAAGCTTTTCAATATATCATGTAAAAAGCTACCATGTTAAAAAGGTATTTGTGCTAGCATATGTAACTTCTTCTCACATGTTTATTTCCTAATCATCATTACTTTGTATTTATTGTCTGATTGCTTTTTCATGCTCATTTTCAGATGGAAATCTCAACACAAGTCATAATAGCTTTAAAATCATTTGAGTTTTTTTGGTTACAATTTTTATTTATAATGCTTTGATGCTTGTATGTGGTATTTACTGAAAATGGATGAGTAAAATCGTTGTAATATGGAGAGGACTACAGAAACAAATCCAAATTACAGATAACATTTAACTTGTACAAATTTTATGGCAGACATTGTTTTATATGCTTTACTGATATACACTCACTTAATCCTTATAACAAGTCTCTGAAGGAGTAACCTTTATTTTTTCCATTTTGTAGGTAAGGAAAATAAAGTACAAGGAAGTTTAAGTAAATTTCCTAAAACCATATAGTAATTGGTAGACTGACTTAAACTGAAGAAGTATGCCCCCAGAATTAATGCTGTTAGACACTCTTCATGTCTGCCTATTAGTAACATTAAATCCAATATTTTTTATAAAACAAAATATTATTGTTAATGACTCATTAATTGCTTTTATCTGAGAGGTATGAATAACAGTTTTATTTAGATATTGTCTTAGTCTATTTGGGCGGCTACAACAAAATACCATACACTAGGTAGCTTAATAACAACAGAATTTTTTTTTTTTTTTTTTTTTTTTTTTGAGATGGAGTCTCGCTCTGTCGCCCAGACTGGAGTGCAATGGCACGATCTCGGCTCACTGCAACCTCCGCCTCCTGGTTTTGAGCAATTCTCCTGCCTCAGCCTCCTGAGTAGCTGGGATTACAGGCATCTGCCACCATGCCTGGCTAATTTTTGTATTTTTGTTAGAGATGGGGTTTCACCACGTTGGTCAGGTCAGGTCTTGAACTCCTGACCTCAGGTGATGAACCTGCCTCGGCCTCCTAAAGTGCTGAGATTACAGGCATGAGCCACCACACCCGGCTAACAACATAAATTTATGTCTCACAGTTTTGGCAACTGTGAGGCCCTAGATTAAGGAATCACAAATTTATCTTTTCATGGATGGCTGTCTTCTCACTTTAACCTCACATGGTAGAAGGACTGAACGACCTTCCTCAGGCCTCTTTTGTAAGGGCATTAATCTCATTCATGAGGACCCCACCTTTATGACATAAGCACCTCCTAAAGGTCTCACCTCAATACCATCACCTTGGGAATTAGGATTTCAACATATGGATTTTGGGAGGACACAAACATTCAGAGCATAGCAGATGCATATCGTATTTATAGAAGAAAGATTTTGCAACAGTTCATCTAAATGTCTGAAATTTAGGAAAACGTTTTACTCCTATTGTCTCCTTAAATATTTACTGGCTATATATATCCCATATTTATGATATTCATAATTTATGAATAAATAAATGTGTTTTTTGTCAATGGGGAACAAGAGTAAGCAAGTTGTATATAACTTGTTATTCTGCTAATCTCTTTGTGAAACTTTAATAAACTGCAGTGGGACCAATGTATGTTAAATTTAATACAATGGAAGAGAATAAAACATCTGCCACAAAAATACCCATCACTAATTCCATATTCTCAATGGCTTCTGCAAGCTGGTAATAAGCAGATATAAATGATTTGACTCTGCCAATTTCTAGTTGTGCAGCCAGTGTAAAATACAAAGATTATAAAATGTTCCTCTGTCACGTATTTTGGTGGTGATTGGAGTATCTAGTGAAATATGGGATTTTATTCTTAGCACTTTAAGTTAATAACAATAACTGTAAAACTAATATTGTTCTTTCCAGTAATTGCCATCATCCATCACACTGCCGAGGAATGTAGGAACAAATATGTGCCACTTTGTTTCAGGGCAGGCTCCCGGGTAAAACTACAACGTTATTACTGAGTCTTTTCTACTTAAAACATTATTCAAAGAAATTATATAGTAATGAAATCATATATTTAAAGAGAAGAACAAAACTAAAAGTGTAAAAATAGTTTCATGTTTTACAGCAATCTTGCCACCTACACCAGAACCTGGTATTCTGAGGGCATCAAGTTGTTGTAAATATAGCCAAACTCCTGGCAAAATAGTAGGTAATGATAAGGTTTTATACCAATTATAGGTTTTTAAAGTAATAATTTTCAAAACAAAAATGCAGAATGTGAAATGGACTGTTTTTCCCAGCACTCTTGTTCTTTAAGCAAAGAGATTTTTAAAATCTTCAAGAAATTATCTTATTAGAGCCTAAGACTACAGTTTTACTGCATCATTTTTCTACTTTTTTTAAATAGCCAAGTAGAATCAGAAGTAAAATTAAAATTAAATGAACAAAAGTATGCTTCTTTTTCCTGGATTAATATTTATATTTGTAGTAAATATCTAAGTGAAAATTTTCTTTTTTTTTCATTATCTTTTCTTATTGTTCTTTCTTTCTTTTTTTGGGGGGGGTCAAGTGCTGTTTTGTTTTGTTTTGTTTTTTTTCCCCACTAGGCCATCACATTAGTAACAGGTGAGTTACTATTAATGTGAACTTTAAATATAGCTCACCAGTTATACCAAATGCCAACTCCAATATTCGTTTGAATTTTTCAAAGTGTCTCGGATGTTAAGTCTCATTTCACAATTACTTAAAGGTGAAAGGGCAGGTTGCTTTGGAAAAGCCATTAAAGCTTGTTAGAAAACACCACTTGAGTATGTTCAAGCACAGGGGAAATTCACATAAGGAGCGGGATAATGAAATTCATGGTCAATGGATTTGCATCAGGATTGACCTCAGAAGACAGTGGGACACGGAACTCATGGCTTTTTTTTTTTTTTTTTTTTTTTTTTTTTGAGACAAGTGTCTTGCTCTGTTGCCCAAGCTGGAGTGCAGTGGCACGATCTCGGCTCACTGCAGCCTCCACCTCCCGAGTGCAAGCGATTCTCCTGCCTCAGCCTTCTGGGTGGCTGGAACTACAGGTCCCCACCTCCATGCCCAGCTAACTTTTGTATTTTTAGCAGATACTGGGTTTCGCCATATTGGCTAGGCTGGTTTCAAACTCCTGAACTCAGGTGATCGGCCTCCCAAAGTGCTGGGATTACAAGCGTGAGCCACCGCGCCCAGCCGGATTCAATTTTTTTTTTTTTTTTTTACTTTCTTCTGGGCTTCTTGGTGCATCTGTTTATTTATTTATGTTTTTCTATTTTTGCAAACTGGTCTGTTCCTCTCAGTTCCACATGGTGGGAAACAGCTTCTGATAGTGTTCAGTTTCATAATTCCTCCCAAAAAGGAGCTAAGCAAATCCTAACTTCCTGAAGAAGAAACTGGTGGGGCCAGCATGGGATGTAGTCCCACCTCTGGAAAGACCAGTCTTAGCCAGATTATTTATAGTGAGTGTTCCAGTCTGTCTCGAACATCCGTCCTTTGAACTAAAATACTCAGTGGCTTTCTGTCACTGCAACTTTAGGCTTTGTGGATTTTAATCTCATGGATCCCAGAAGCAAATTGCCCTCATTAAACTGCAAGCTGTAGCTGCCATGCAGTTACTTTGTGCTCTTTGTATTAAGAGACCAACAGACAAGAAATGATTCACCATCTGGAAGGAGCAATCAAAATGGGGTTGTTGTTATGTAATGTCAGCAAGGAAAAATGCATCCAGCACTCAAGAAATCACTGGGACATGTCTTAGCACTTTCTTGCCCAAATTTGGAAACAAATGCAGCAATCACAATAAAAGCAGGCCATTATGATCAGAGGTTCAGGTGTCACAGGGATGGACATCTTTGTCACCTACAAGATCAGCCACGTAAACCAGCAAAGGTGATAAGTAAGGGTAAGGGCAATAAAACATGGATGGCCAAGGACTGAGATGATGAGGATCAATGGCACTGAGACCAGCTGCTGCAGTAGCAGGAGTTAGAGTTTTTCCCATTAGCTTTTCTGTCGTAAAAGTTTGCATAGACAAAAGTTACAACAAAAATCCTAAAGCTATTTTCTGATGAAATAAAATTATGTTAAAAATCAAATGGTGCAAGGGATGAACTGTAGCGGATGTTCTGGGTGCACCGTCTAGATCTTCGTATTTTAGAACTAAAGCACTAATTCCTCAGCTGTCAGGAATATAACTTGCTGTTGGATCACAATTGAATCCCTCACAGGAATTGTTCTTGGTCCAAGAAGCTGCCGTGTTCAGTGTCATGGGCCCTTTGTTGGGCAGCTTCCTACCAAGGGTTGGTTTATCTAAAGAAGTACAACAGGTGTCCCTCTTGCCTTCATTGTATCTGAAGAGCTCCCTGGGATATCAACTGCTGCTGAGAACAACTGTTTGAAACAGCTTTGCAGCTTCACTTCTCCCTCTGTCCCATATTACTTTTTCCATTTCCTCACACAAGGCATTGCTTATCAGAACATTCTCCATTAAACTTTTGCACACAAATGTTTATCTCAGTAACTGTTTCCAGAATCCCTGACATAGTAGAATAATGCTGTGAGAATAAAACAGGAAAACATAATATCTAAAGTTTCTAAAGTCAAACTATATATTTTCAAATCCCAGTTCCTTTCATGTTACATAAAATTGGTCTAGTTATTTCATCTTTCTTTTATCATTTTCTCTAGTAAAAAATAAAGGTAAAAATAAATTTTCATTAAAGAAAATAGATAATTATAAAAAACAGAGCAACTGCAAAAAAGCAAAAAATTAACTAGTTTTTATTATAATAATATTGTTTCATGGAACTCACATCTAAAACCACATTGGATGGGGGAAAGAGCCATTTTCAAAAAAAGAATGAAGAAATTCAAAAATGTGTGCAGTAATCTTGCCCATGTTTTTCTACATTACATGCCTGCGTTTTTATAAAATTCATATTATATAAATGTACGAATATATGTATATGTATAATCAAATTCTAGATTTTTCTTATAATAGCTTAATCGCATTTCTAATGTGTGAAACTAATGTGAAAAATACAGTGAAAAAATTGTGTAATATATATCATAATGTATACATTCATTAAAAGGTGTTAGTGAATGTATTACATTGTTTGATGATACATCCACCCCTTCATCTCTTTAAAACATGATTCATGTGTCTTTTAGAAAGAATAATAATATGATAAAGAAATTTACTAAGAATATGCGCATCTAAAATTTAATAGAGCCATGTTAATGTTAAATAAGCTTTAAAAGGCCGGGCGTGGTGGCTCACGCCTGTAATCCCAGCACTTTGGGAGTCCGAGGCGGGCGGATCACAAGCTCAGGAGTTTGAGACCAGCCTGGCCAACATGGTGAAACCCCATCTCTACTAAAAAAATACAAAAATTAGCTGGGCATGGTGGCATGTGCCTGTAATCCCAGCTACTCGGGAGGCTGAGGAGGGAGAATTGCTTGAACCCAGGAGGCAGAGGTTGCAATGGGCCGAGATTGCTCCACTGCACTCCAGCCTGGGCAATAGGGCAAGACTCAGTCTCAATAAATAAATACATAAATAAATAAATAAGCTTTAAAAGAAAATAAAGCAAGGGAGCTTTCCAAAGTGAGTTATGGAAGATCAAATTATTTACTAAATAAATAATAAAAATGGAGGCACAAGCTTATAAAACCAAATAGCATGAGTCATCCTATTCATTTGCTAACTTGATATGTGTGATGATATATTTGGGAGACATTATAAAAAGTAGTGTGCCCCAGCAAATTTTCCCCAACTCATGAGAGTGGATTGTGTGTATCTCTTTCCAACTCTGCATCGTATTTTTACTCTAGGGAGTTCTTTTCACTTTATGTTAGGGCAAACTTCACAAAAGAGCAAAATTCTTAAGAGGTCAGGACTACCCAAAATGGTACCTTGTCAATAAAATTTCTCAGGGCGAAGTACACCACATACAGAGTCAGCATGTCAAACTACCCTATCAGAATATATTTTAGGAATTTTTTTTGTTTACTCCTCTAATATTAAATTCACTATAGTCATATGCTTTGCTATACACTAGATATAAAAACCTAGGGTCTCTTTCCTCAAGAAGCTTATAGTCTAGTCATAAAATAGAGATTAAATACATAAATAAATCAATATGAAACTAGAAATTTAGAAAATTTATATTAAGATCATGAAAATGTGCCATAGTAGAAAATAACTAAGGCAAATCTAATTAGAAAAGATGTTTGGAGACAACCTCTCTGAGATGATATTTAAACTGAGATTTGGAGGATAAAATGAAGCAGGCCTTGTGAAGATCCACAGAAAATGCACCCCTGGCAGATGGACAAGCATGAAAGGGCACTAAGTAGGACTGTCCTTGGCTTGTTTTAGGAACTCTGAGCAGGCCATTTGGGCTGCAGCAAAGTCTGTAACTCGAATGCTTATTAGAGCCAGTCAAGTTAGGTACATGAGTTAAATAGAACAATGTCAGTGTCTTTAGTTGTATTTTTTTCAACCATATACACTTCATTTGCATATTAATGGAATCTTAATTGTATTATTCCCACAGGGACACTCTGTGATTGCATATAAAACACATAGGAATATGTTTTACTATCAGAAAGAAATATGCTCTGTCCTAATTTTTGTGATACACACTGGTCCTTTGGGTCTATCTTTTGTTTTCTCCTTCAACTTGGCAATACCAAAAACAGCAGGGCAAGCTCAATGATAAATGTCAAATGACAGTGGATCTCAGTATTAAGGTAACAAGATGGTGACATGTCTCTGGTGAATTGAGAATGCACATTTCATATAAAGATTAGAGTCTCTACCCAACTCAAGTGATGGAAAGAAGGTCCAGGTTAGGTTGAAATTATGATTTTTAAAGAAGAACTTAGATCTAAATATTTACACATAATCTCCACATTTTTCAATATTGGCAAATAGTTTTGCAAAAAACAAACACACAGGGATTACTATCAAGACTATATAATACTCCTTTCCATTGTCAAGAACTGTGGAGGGCCTAAGATTTTACCCTACTTGCAATCTAACAAGTTATTCTTCAACAGTTTCATCAATTCTGGAAAAAGATGTGAGATTCCTGTGTCAGAGAAAATGGACAGTTTATTACTCACATAACAGTGGTGGCCAGGTTATCAGCATTTGTGTTGGTTCTTCCAGTCTCATTCCCCACTGACCAAGGCAGAGCCAGCTGACACCTGCATATGTGTGGATTGCATTATAGAAAAGGAAGAACCTATTATTTTAGAATAATTTTATAATTATTTTTATGATGGCAAAACACATCTGCCATTTTGGTCTAGGTATAGATGTCATCTTTGTCTTCCAAGGCTTTAAGCAGACCCTTAGCTCTGAAGGGATACTAACTCTGTCTTCCAAAGTTACTCACTATATAAACTTATACTTAAGAAAATTAACTAGAATGGACAGTTGTTGTCTCTGTTTGCAAGATGTCTGGAAACATAAGAGACATTGAAAATTGTCTCTCAACATCTATAGGCCTCAAAATATCCACTTCTGCACTAAAGCATAATGAGTGAGAAAGGAGACTCAATTAAAATAATGTTTCTTGAGATAGGCAAGAGCCAGATTGTAAAAGAGCTTATACACAAAAGCCCCTTTATATTAAGTTTAATGGAAATCCATCGTTGAACATTGAGAAGAATAACATGAGCCACTTTACATTTTCAAAAGCTCATTAAGGTAGTCAGATGGGGAATGGACTTTGCTGGACCAGACTGATAGAGGTGAACCACTTAGGAAAGGCAACTAAAGATGTCTAGACATGATATCAGTGATGTCAGAGCAGACGAAGGAAACCAGATTGATAATATCATCTTATGATAACACTAGAGATTGAATCTATATTCTTGACTGACAAATAGGGAGCAAAATGGAAAGAAATTAATTAAGGGAGTCTCACAGTTTATTTGAGAGGGGAAGCAAGTGATGGAATATGGGGAAAAACAACAGTTAAATTTTTGTTATATTTCAGATATTTACTAAATATTTATAGACAGAATCAAATCAGGTATTTAAATATATAATTTGGAGACTCAGATAAGTGTTTTATATCATACATACTATGTTGGAAGCAGTTGTCAAATAGATGGCATTTAAATGATGGGTATGAATGGAACCACATATGGATGGCATAATAAAAAATATAAACAACCAAAAGATGGATTTTTGAAGAAAACTAAATTTTTAGAAGCTTTTTGGGGATTTAGAAGTGAAAGAGAGAGCTTTTTTTCTTCCTTCTCTTTCTTTCTTTCTTTCTTTTTTTTTTTAACGAGTTCTTGCTCTGTCACCCAGGCTGAAATGCAGTGGTGTGATCATTGTTCGCTGCAACCTCAAACTCCTGGGCTCAAGTGAATGGTTCATTTGAGAAGAAGATGTAAATAATGCTTTAGAAATAAGTGCAGTGCAAGTCATTTAAATGTGATCCATAGCATCTGTGGAGAAACAGTCTTTGACTGAGGGTGAAACACGAAACACTTTCACTTTCACAGAAGAAGAGAAAATAAAAATAGACTCAGAGGCAAATCTGTTGAGCATTTCAGCTAAAAAAAAGATGAAGGGATCTGTGTCTCACAGCTTTTATTTTCTCAATCACATAAGAGTTAAAGTCATCAGCAGAGAGAAAAGTATGGCAGGTTTGAGGAAAGAGGAAAAGGTAGAATACGATATGTGTAGAGAGTGAGCAGATGATCTTTGCTAAGTGCCCACATGATGTTAGTATTCATAAATTTACATTAACATTCTCATTGCAGGATGTGGAATTTTCTTCAGGAATAAGTAATTCCATTAGTAAAACATACAGAAAATAAATGTTTGGGTTTACCAGTGATTAGAGTACCAGACAAATATATCTGAAGGCCAAATGGACAAGGTAATTAAGGACATTTTCAAGAGAGGGATTGTGATAATGAACCATAGAATCTACACTGGATAAAGAAGAAAGCAAACATTGGACTGTCCACATAAAAATGTAGGGTTGGAGTGCGTGTATTCTTTTTTCCCATGAGAGTGAAAAGTTGTTTCTATGAGGCCACTTTAGGAGGAAACGTGAATAGATGAAAAATAATGGTTTGAACTGAATGCATGAATTTGTGATTTTTAGAAGTTCTACTGTTTCTGGTGTTAAAGCAAGTTAAGATGGACACCAGGTCAGAAGAAACTCTAAACAGACAAAGCCAGTTAGGCCTCATAAGTAACAATAACCTTGCTAGATCTGCAAACAGAAGCAAAACTTAAGCTATGTTTTATAAATGTCTATAGAAAGAAAAATGAAACTTAAGGCTAGCCAATAGAAGCTGCTAACTAACTTAAAGTTATATAACTGCAGACTTTTCAGCAGAATAGGTCAAAGAAGGCAACTGAATAACCATAACCAATCAATTTTTTTGTCTGTTTGTTTTACTTCTGTGTTTACTCTATAAAAGCATTCGCTTTGTGTTCCCTCAATGGAGCCCCCAAACCACTTCTGTTTTGGAGAGGACCAATACATGAATCACTGTTTCAGCAAATAAACTCTTTAAAAATTTTACCTGCCTCAGTTTTCCTTTTCATACTGGTGATGATAGTTTTTAAAGAGTTTGTGGCAAAAGTAAAAGGGAGGAAATGTACGCTGATGATCAAAGAACAGAGAAACGCAGACTTATCCATGTGATATATTATGCTTACTGAGATCAATTAGAAGTGTTGAAGGAGAAGGAATATTGTGAATCAGATAATAAGGTAAAGAGCAATAACCTTGACTGCAGCATAATAAAAATCATCAGAGGTACTTGTAGATTATTATTTTGCAGTTTCTAGACACTATTCCAGGAGGCTCTGAAAATGTAGACTTAGGTAGGGCTTTGAATTCTGTGCGTTTGCCAGTTATCTCCAAATATTTCTTTCATCAAACAGTTTGAGAAATATTGGGTTAGGACAAAGAAGTGTTCTCATCTCAGAATAGGAGATGCAGGCTTAGTAGTGCAAGGATATAGGGTAGAGTAGGAGCGAGATATAAAGCATGCATCAATAAAGATGAACTCAAAACTTCAAACAAGCAGCCAGCAGATTAGTGTTTACCAACATGTCTGATTGTGGATATGATTCTTCGGTGTTCTTCAGCTGGTCCTCCACCTCTTCCTCAAAAAGAATAACTGAATACTACACTATAAAAGGCGCTACACTAAGGTTTAACTGCTTAATGAGATTTCTAAACTGTAAAGGTATTTAGAAGTATAATTCTACAATTCCATGTATATACTGTTTACTAATGTTAAAATAAATCAGTGAGAATGCTTTCTGTCTCTTCAAAGATCATGGTATATAGTTTTTTCTACCAGATGTACAAAGAAGAGCTCATGCCATTCCTGCTGAAACTATTCCAAAAAACTGAGGAGGAGGGACTCCTCCCTAACTCATTCTATAAGGCCAGCATCATCCTGATACCAAAACCTGGCAGAGAAACAAAAAAAAAAAAAAAGAGAGAGAGAAATCTTCAGGCCAATTTCTTTGATGAACTTCGATGCAAAAATCCTCAACAAAATACTGGCAAACTGAACCAGTGGCAAATCAGAAAGCTTATCCTCCACAGTCAAGTAGGCTGTATCCCTAAGAGGCAAGGTTGGTTCAACATACACAAATCAATAAATGTCATTCACCACGTAAACAGAAATAATGACAAAAAAACACATGATTATTTCAGTAGATGAAGAAAAGGCTTTTGATATAATTCAACACTCCTTCATGTTAAAAATTCAGTAAACTAGGTTTTGAAGGAACATGCCTCAAAATAGTAAGTTATCTATAACAAACTCACAGCGAACATCATACGGAATAGGCAAATGCTGGAAGCATTCCCCTTGAAAACGATCACAAGACAAGGATACCCTCTCTCACTATATCTATTCAATATAATATTGGGAGTCCTTGCCAGAGCAATCAGGCAAGAGAAAGAAATAAAGGGCACCCAAATACAAAGACAGAAAGTCAAACTATCCCTGTTTGCAGATGACATGATTATATACCTAGAGAGATCCATAGTCTCCACCCAAAGGCTTTTTAAGCTGATAAACAACTTCAGCAAGTCTCAAGATTCAAAATCAACGTGCAAAAATTACTAGCATTTCTGTACATCAACAAGAGTCAAGCTGAGAGCCAAATCAAAACATATTCCCTTTCACAGTTGCCACAAAAATAATAAAATACTGAGGAATACAGCTATCTAGGGAAGTAAAAGAGCTCTACAAGGAATACCACAAAATACTGCTCAAAGAAATCAGAAATGACACAAACAAATAGAAAAACATTCCATGCTCATGGATAAGAAGAATCAATATCATTAAATGGCCATACTGCCCAAAGCAATTTATAGATTCAATTCTATTCCTGTTAAACTACCATTGAGATTCTTCACAGAACAAGAAAATACTATTTTAAAATTTATATGGAACCAAAAAAGAGCCTGAATAGCCAGGGTAATCCTAATCAGAAAGAACAAAGCTGGAGGCATCACTCTGCTCAACTTCAAACTATAGTACAGGGCTACAATAACCAAAACAGCATGGTACTGGTACAAAAACAGACACATAGACCAAAGTAACTGGGATTACAGGTGGGCCACCAGTACTGCTAAATTTTGTAATTTTTTGGAGAGACAGGATTTCACCATGTTGCTCAGGCTGGTCTCAAACTCCTGAGCACAAGCCATCCACCCTCCTCAGCCTCCCAAAGTGCTGGGATTACAGGCATGAGCCATTGTGCCATGCCTTTATTCAGCCTCACTTTTAAAAGTGTAGTTCTCAAACTTCATTACCCATAAGAATAAAGAAGAGAACTTGTTAACATATCAGATTACTAAACTCCATTCCAAACTTCTGATTCAGTTAATGAGGGAACACTGTGACTATTAAACGTAAACAAATATAGAAACTGATGAGCTATCTAGATGCATTTATTCCAACAACCACCATCTCTGTGTAAGTATGCTTGGGGTCGATTAATTCAAATTTGAAGTTCTTATGCCAGCTTTTGTGCTTCCAAGATATGAACAGTGAAAACAATTTATGCAAGTGAAGATAGGCTCTGAAGTGCCAGGGCCTAATTGATGAGTGATTAATGACCATTAATCAAAATTTAAACAATAAAACTAGAAAAGAAAATGAAACACCTAAACCTTACCATATCTAGTTATAATATTTCCGTAGAAGAAGTTAACTTTAAGACTCAGTAAAGTGTTGTGTCATTTTATTTGATTTGATTTGATTTTCTACTTTGATTTGAAATATTCATGCAAGTACATGTCAATTTTGGATCTTTTGTGCAGAAAATATCTAAAAACTCTTTGGGCTTGTCAGGAGAGCAACATTGCTGAATAATTCTAGTAGGCCTGATTCTGTTAAATCTCTGAATAGCCATATGTTCACTCATGACAAAACATTTTGTGAGAAAACAAAATATCTTATAAAAGACAATTGTACTTATGGTGTCCTAATATAGAATATTAATATAAATAAAAATTCACCCTATTTTTAGCATCTTTTAATTTGTATAGTTTTAATTTTTTCAACTTAACAATAATACAATTTTTTACAGATGTAATCTAATTTTGGTTTTAAATTCACAGTTGTATTATTCAGAGTTACTATATTTTATGGAATATATGTGAAAAGTCCACTTTAGAGAACTGCATTATTTGCAGATAGAGAGTTTTAGATCAAGTCAATTTGGTTTAATTAAAATGATCAAAACACATGGATTCACCTCTACCTAGATATGACAAGCTTTTCTTAAGGAATTTTAATATGTTAGCACGTGTTCAAACTCTAAATATAATTAGTCTGTATTGTATGTCCTATTTCTTTTTGGTTTACATTGAAAGGTAATTAAATAATATATTATGAACAAATAATTTTCAAATTAGTCAGTCTGCCATACTGCTATCAAGGTTTCTAGCCTTTTCATATCAGATGCATATCTATAATCTTTGTACTATGGATGCAAAATAAACTTACCAAATACAGCATAGAAAATTCACAAGTAGAATACAGTATTACCACCAAGGAACTGGTATTCACATATGATGGAATGTTCAACAAGTGTAATGTAATAAACCAGGTAAAATATCTCCAGACCATTCACTAACCTGGTTCCAGACTTTGGCAACAACTGAAATATCCCTAAGCCATTCTTTACTGCTTTTTCTCATTCAGATAAATTTTGTTATTATATGAAACAATATAGCAGTTATTGCTGCTGCTGTCTACATGGGCCTAGATTGTAGAAACTCATCATTTGAAATACTGTGTTACAACTTAATATAAAGTATGGCTGGTGGAACTCAACTATTTTATTCAATAAATTTTATAATTTATAGTCAGACTAAACAAACATTTATATTATATTTACTCAAGTCTTAGTGAATAGTGTACTCTAAACTTTAGATATACGACAGTAATCCATGGTACTTGTTTTTCCTCATAATGTAAAGAATATTTCCTAATGTTTTATAATGCTAGTTTTGAATGTTTTAAATTTATGGAAACCAACTAAACTATAAGGAGATAAATAGAGAAGGAAAATTTCTGAAATAGTTTGTGAAAATGAAGTGATTGTAGAAAAATAGAAAATGTAATTGACTATTTATGGATAAGTGGAAAGAAATAGATCATTTTGAAGAAATGCAAGGGAGTACTTCAAGTATAATTATGGCTTGTGTTCAGTATGCAGGTTTAAGCCACAGAGCACTTATTGGAAGTGATGAGGTCTGGCCTTTTAAAGCACTCAACATCTGAATGAGAACATTGCTGTTAGCTTTTCTAAAAGAGGATGAAATTGTAGAATAAAGTTGTTAAAAGTACATTTCCTCTTAAAAATATATGAAACAGAATGTTTGACTCAGATTGGATATATAACTGCTACCCAGACAGTCTATATTTATTAAAATGTCTGACCAATGTTTTTTGCCCCTTATGTTTTTGATTTGTATTTATCCTTTTAAATTAGGTGACTTACCTATTTAATTCTTGATGACACTTGAATTGACAAGATGTCCAATGTCTGAACAAAATGCCATTTCCTTATTTGTGTTATTGCTTTTCTCTAGTTAAGTATAAAGAACAATACAGAATCCTTTAGCTCTAGTTACTGACAGATTTAAGATATGCATCTCCGTGTGTGGAAGAGGGATTATCATTTGTTTATACAAAGGTAACCATGTCATTTAACTAGGTCAGCAAACAAACATCTTTTTTGTGAGCTACCCAAATCATCCAACTTTAGTAGCAAAACAAAAAAAATAATAAATCAGCTTGGAAAGGACAGAGCTTGTGGATCCATCATAAGGACAGCTGAAAAGAACGAATTGGCCATGTCACAGTTCAGTTCGACAGCTGCATGGAGAAATACACATAGTTACATTTATTTCAGGGAGAAAAATGTTCCTTTAATTCTTGTAGAGAATAACAACATTTTGTTGTATTTTTTTCACTTTTCAACTTTAGCTTGGAACACTAAGTCCTTTAGATACAAAAATGAAAGGACATTGAATGAAAAAATTAATGAGCATGAACAATTAAACCTATCAGTGAGATGTTATGAGCTGTTCTATGTGGGCATAAAGGGAGTCATATGTGCTTTCAAATTCCTTCATAGTCAAAAATTGCTACACAGGTCTCCATTCTGAGTTATTGGGGCAATAATGCATGTCTTTTTATTTAATGAATGTAGGGCTGAATATTATTATGTGGAACCAATTATATACTAAAGGAATTAAATAGCAGAGGAAACATAAAGAGCTTCTTTTTATTAAGCTGGAAACTGGCTTAAGATTTCTTCTTATTTTTTATCTTATGCAAATATTTGTGAAGGTCAAATTATCAAACAAGTGTGATATTCATTTTAAATATTGTTATAAAATAATACTCTTTATATGAGACATGTAATTAGCCAGTGACACTGTAAAGCAGCACTGTTTGTTCCTAATATTTCATACAAATATAATATGATGAAAATATAAACATATTCCATGAAAAAATATTGTCTTGTCTCTGCCTTTTATATATATAAATTCATGAGCTAAAAGAAAATCAAGTTTGCTCTGTATTGATGTCCTTTACTCTTCTTTTTGACACTACTGTATTCTGGTCAGCTATAAGTACATTATTCTGTGGGGTGAATAATTTTATATCTCCGGGTCAATAGAAAGCTTTCTGGTTCAAATGATTGTTTCATAGTTGCTTTATTCAAGACAGGCAATGCATTCTATTATGCTTATAGCAGTGAAAATTGGAGAATGTACTTGAGAAAAAAAATTGTAAAGGTGAGAGTGGCCTGTCTCTAAACTAATTATAACATAATTAATCATATTAAGGCTTAAGGCATTGTCGCTACTCTAGGGATTAATAGCGCTATGTTAACTTAGAAGAGAGTTTTGTGTGAGTATAATTTATTGTAACTCTTGGCATTAAAATCAGTGATAACTAGTGAGAAGCAGTTACTTAAAAACAATTCTTTGAATTTCTTCTAATGTATGTATTGAGACCCAATGTACTGGACTGTGTGTCTCTGAAGGTTGTTTTATTCACCAGTTTCTACATTATGTATCACATAAAAGGGCACATAATATATTATTAATGTTTATTTGTTTAATTGTTTAATTCAGATATTGTACAATAGAATTTCATACTCTCAAATTTAATAAGTATGCTATTTTTTAAATGATGGCATACTGTACAATATCAACGCCTGATAAAAAGCTAATATATAATAAGAGATGGGGGAAAATTGAATTTGTAGTGGTTTCTTTAAAAAAATTAGTCATTAGAGGCCTACATGGGAACATTAAAATAAATAAAATATAAAAAGATGATTAATTATTGATTGCATATGGAATCATCTATCACTTGGATAAGATTTCTTCTATAATTTATAATTCTGTTCAATTCCAAAATGAGATTAACACAAAATATGTACATTTGGCAAAAAGAAGTCATTAACAAATCTTCTAATTACTATTCCAAGAATGTTTTATTTAAAAAAGTAAGAGTACATCACCCCTAGCATTTTCCTTGACTACAAGTAATCACATTAATCTATGCTTTTTTAAACTTCACCTTCTTATTATTGCTTTAATCATGTTTTGATGAAAATATGCTCTTTAAACTTTTAGATACATAATTATGGCAGGATTTTCCATTATTGGTTTTGATTCTTGTTTATAATGATTATTGTTTCATATATCTAACTTAGTCATGCAAATAGCATCCTTGTAAGTTAAATATAGCCATATCCTTTCATGAAAATATAAAATTATTTGCTACTTCTTAATCTCTCTGAAATTTTGTAATTATAGAACTAGGTTGTTTTGTTCATCAAGTTAATTCATGAGTTTTCCTTTCATTATTTTCTCTATGATTTACTTAGGGATAGATACTGCATTAGATACTATATGCCAAATCTTATTAAAGATACCAGATTGAATTGATTCTATACAATCAATGTTAAAGTCTAGAAATATTCTGTATAATTTAAAAATGGTTTAAGTGTAGTAAATACATTTGCCTCTTTGTATGCAAGGGAAAAATATTTTTCTTACATGTAAAATGGGAGAAGTTGAAACTCCAAGTGGCTTCCAAATGCTAGAATCAGCTATATCGAAAAATTTGGGAAAGCTTTAAAAGTACACTTCCTGCATTTCACCTAGTACTGAATATACTAAAGTTAATCAAGGACTATACAATTTTTAATGATGCCTCAGTGTTCTGATTTCCAACCAGCTTTATTAATCCTTGTGCTATTTATTCTCCTAATTTCCTTCCAATTAAAAGGCTATCTAACTTTGAAATATCTTATCAATGTTAAATTTCTCCAGATATTTTCCTGTGTACATTTATTTTGTTTTTATTGTTACTATTACTATTTTGACCAGAGAGAAACATGCAATTATAATATATTTTATTAAAAATTGGCACCAATGTGATAAAGTATTCCTACAAAGCATGAAGTCTGTGCTCTCATGTAGGTGGGGATAGTAATGCCTCTATCTTGGAATTGTATAGACGGAATGACTCATGTGGGATCTACACAACACCTGTGAAGATATTTCAATGCCAACATTCACTTCGTTCATTACATTGTATAAAAAAAATACTGCTTCCTACGTGTATCTGGGTCTAGTTGAAGTTTCCTCAAAAGTGCTTTCTATCTAAAAAAGAGAGCTGCTAAGGAGTAGAGTGTTGCTTGATTCATTTTGAGCAGGTTAATATGTCTGTCTTGATATCATTATCTTTGAAGTCTTTTTGAAAAAATTAATTTATAGACCTTTTTGATTAATAAAACAATTTGAGCTAAGCATAGGTTTAGGGATTGAAATCAGAGTCACAGTGTGATTTTGGCTACACAGGGTAATTCTGAAACTTCTGTTCTTGAAAGCAATGCTGTGGTTTGGAACTAAGCAATCTGCATTTGTGAACTTGAGAAAGCTATTTAATGTTTCATAGCCTATTTTTCTATAATTCTGTAATGTAGATATTTATAATTTTCTTAAGAAATCTAAGTGAGGCTTACATGAGAAAAAAGACAAAAATTATCCAGAATGGGACCTGACATTTCACCACCATTGTCACAACCACCCCTGCCACCACCATCATCATCACATCATACAGGCAAGCACCTGTGTCATCTCTGTCCAAGAAAAAAATCTGCAAATCTAACCCAAGATGACTTGCATTTTGCAGCTCAGTATAAAAGTTTCCCAATTATGTATTTGTTTACCGTACATCATCAATGTCAGTCTTTTGGTTACAGTATGCTTTAATATTTTGTGAATATTATATGTCATCCATAAGGAGCATTTATAATTGTATCTCCATGTATATGCCAAATATTACCACACATTAAGAGTTGCTTAATGAAAATTTTAATCGTCGAATACTGGTGGCAACAATGTGATACCTCACTGCTTATAATATCCAAAGATGACTTTAAGTAAAATTATCTTGAATTATAATGTACTCAAAATAGATACATTTAGGGTTTGTGATTTTTTTCTTTACCAAAAAAGCCAGTTTTGCTCTATATTTTGGCATTTTTGACTGCTACCTATATGTTAGGTTATGAATTAATTTAATCCAGGTATTGATTAAGGTAATCTAGTTGAAAGAAAAAGTTTCATATTATTTGCAGTAAATGATATTTTTAAAACTCAATATCAACATTAATTTGATTACAATACTCCAGAATTGTAAACAAATAATTTTATATTGAATTATAATTCAGCTTTGAATCGAATATGAGCTTTGACTCATTCTCTATCCTAACAATACTTATTGCTTCTCCTCTGTATCTCAATGGGTGAAAGTGAGGTATTCAATGTTGTATGTTACCAGAGAAAGTCTAAATAAATCAATTCTTTAGGACATTGCCACTGAGAAAATATTAAAATGTGAAATAAAGGTTATTACTGTGACAAAGAGGAGCACTGAACATTGATAGCCATTTGGGTTTAATATTGTTAAATGAGGACACATTACCGCTGTAACAGTTGGCTGTCTAATAAGCTGGAATATTTCATCAGGAAAATTATAAAAAGATGTGCTTTGAAGAGTCTGTTGGAAAACAATAGCTTGATATAGCTCATTTAAGGTTCAGTATGATCACTCTCATTTGCCTCCTTTATATTGTGTATTTCTCCAGGGGTAACAATGAATACTAAGCACCAGGCCCTTATCAGTCTCTGGCACCCTGACTTAGTGTTTGGATTACTCCCCAAATAAAGTATGTTTCACAGAAAGATATTATGATTATTAACAAAAAGAAGCAGGGTAGCAAGTAAAATTGAGAGAAACTGCCCAAATACAGAATGAAAATATAATAGCCATTAATGCCATGACATTTTAGAGTCTGTTAAGCATTTGCCATCAAAGTATTGGGTACCTTGTATTTTTTGTTTTAGTTTCCATTCTCAAGGCTTACGTTAATCTAAACTCTACCATTTGAATGTATCATTATTTTCAGAATTACTGAGAGTCTCTTAACATAAAATGTATCATTTGGTTTTATGGATGTGATTATATATTTTTATTTTACAGTTTGAATTACAATAAACAACAGTAAATCATTTTAGATATTTTCCATTTAAATTTTGTATCAGAGTTTGCAGAATAAAAATATAGCCATTTTATAGAGTATGCTATTTTATGAAAAATTCTATGGGTAAGAGTATAACTCTCTGAGTCATTTTTAGAATGTTTCAGATTATTACAGAATCCTGTGCAATATTAATTAGAAAAAATATAAAAATCTCAATAACAATTATGAGAGTACCATAGATTGCATAAAAATCTTTTCATTGAAAAGTTATACATAATTTTAGTGACTCATAGTACACCTATTTAAGATTTATATTCCATTAGCTCTTGCAGGTTATTTTACATGAAATCCTGCATATTATAGTAGTGTGCAAATTAAAGTTTCCAGAAATCTAATACATAGTGTATTTCTACTTTCAAGGATGAACAAAACCTATGCATTAAAAATGCATGCTATTCCACTGAAATTTTAAGAGGTTTTTCTTTTTTGGTGTGTTTTATCATTCCCCAAAGTGCAGTGAAGATGTTTGGTTTGAGATTAATAATACCCCTTGCATTTTCAAGACTGCTTTAAAAATCATAAGTGTGAAATCTTCATATTTTGTTGATTCATCACCAGATTACTTTATCTACATAAATGAACCAAATTAATCATTTCTTACTCATTGACTCTGACTTGAAACTATATGTTAAGTACTATCTGTTGAGTGCCTACTATGTGCCAATGATGCCTAATGTTGGAGATTCCAGACGAGTAGGCAACAAATACACTCCCCTATTCTTACCGATATTACTGCTATTAGGGCCAGAAATCAAAATAGCACAGTAATCAAAATAGCACACTGATGAATCAGTGATCACAGACAGAAAAGTGATATAAGAAAAGCAATACAATTTGATGAGTAACTATTGTGAAATTAAAAACAAAGTTTCTGAGGAAGTGATGCTTGAGCTGATAGCTAAGGGATGAACAAGCTGGGCAGGGTGGCACATATCTGTAGTCAAAGCTACTTAGAAGGCTGAGGCGTGATGATCACCCGAACACAGGAATTTGAGTCTAGTCTGGGCAACATAGCAAGACCCCATCTCTGATAAAATAATAATAATAAAAATAATATGAGCAGCACCTAACTAGGTGAAGCATCAATAGTAAATGTGCAATGGAAAGTATTACAGAGGAAATAATTAGTGAAGACAATAAATCCTGTGGTGTGAGGAAGCATGGCACACTGCAGCTACTGACTGGAAAGCCTATGTAGCCTTGGAGGAGAGGATATGGAAAAAGAGCTTTTATGCCATAAAAAATGATGAGTTCATGTCCTTTGTAGGGACATGGATGAAGCTGGAAACCATCATTCTCAGCAAACTGTTGCAAGGACAAAAAACCAAACACCGCATGTTCTCACTCATAGGTGGGAATTGAACGATGAGAACACATGGACACAGGAAGGGGAACATCACACACTGGGGACTGTTGTGGGATGGGGGACGGGGGAGGGATAGCATTGGGAGATATACCTAATGCTAAATGACGAGTTAATGGGTGCAGCACACCAACATGGCACATCTATACATATGCAACAAACCTGCACATTGTGCACATGTACCCTGAAACTTAAAGTATAATAAGAAAATAAAATTAAAAATAAATAAATAAATAAATAAAAAGAAAAAGAGCTTTTAGACAACTCTTTAAAAAAGTAGAGTCATGAAGCAGAAATGAGAAATAGGATGACTTAGGAGTGGAAACTTAAAAAACCTTGTGTTTGAAGGTGTGGTTTTACTTTTATTTTTATCATCAAATGGAAGAAACATGAGCCTATGTGGAAGTTAATGTGACAGATAACATTATAGCAAGACTGATAGAATGTATAGGAAAGAAAAATATGATTGACAAGTTCTCTAGGCAGCAGGTAAACAACAGAATCCAAAGAGCAGATGGAGGGCATGACTTTAGGTAGTGAAAGGGTGAATTCCTCTTTCATAACAGCAAGGAAGGGAGCATGGTGGATTCCCTTCCTCAATTCTTTCACGACAGTGGGCATCAAGCCTAATGGCTTGAGGACAAGGCTTACTCATCCTGGTATGACATCAGGGTAGCCTGTGAAATCTCTGCTCTCCTTTACTCAGGGTGGTAAACAAGGAGATTGCTGTCTTATGATTTGTTTAGATATTTTCTGTAGAGGTAAATGTTTTCATTTTCATAAACAATGCTTTCATCCTTTCATTCCTAATTATACCCAGTTGTTCATGGGAAGAAATTTCCAAGGACATAAGAGTTAATAAGACACCACAATAAGGTTTTCAGTGTTTCAAAAAGAAAGTAGCTATTTGTGAAAAAAATAAAAGCTATTTTCCCTTGAACGAAAAATTGTAATCACATATCTTCTTTCCTCCTGCAGTTATTAAATACATGAGGTAATGACCAGTGCCTCTTTCATGGCAGTTTTGATTTATGCTGTGATACTAAAAATTATGTTCCTTCAGGGAATGTCACTGAAATATACTGCTGCTTGAAAAGTGTATGTAAAAAGAGACTTAATTATATATATTTTGTTAAAAGTTAAAGGTATAATTGGAGATTAAAATTAAGAATGACAAAAACATTATTAGGACCTAGTTAAATTACAGAACAACAATTGTTTTATAACATTATAACAAATCTTAATAATTGTGATATAAATATTATAGCATAGTTCAAAATATATTTTTCAGGAGAGACGAATTAATTCTAAACTAATGTCATATAAGAAAATGTTAATTTTCTTTTCTCATTTAAACTTTCTCAGTATAGCATAAGAGCTATTTCATCTCTACATTATACAAGCTTCCAACTTTCACAAGATCCAGCAATACAATTTTTATACATTTTTGCAATATATCTTAAAAATCTTTGTCAGAGAGTATGAAATTTTGAGCAACTCTAACACATGAACTCATTCTTACCAGGATTCAGAATTAGCATATATAATTAAAACCTGTTATAAGTATTTTTTTTAAAAAAAACTGACATTGTAAGATATTACATTTACATTGTTTTATTATTTTCTCCCATATTAGCTTATCCCCTGCAGCCTGATCTTTCAAAATAAGATTTGCCTTCTGCAATATTCTGCTGCAACAAATTCTTGCCCAGCCATTTAAACAATCAATCCTGGGCAACTGCAAGGTTTGAATCTGAGGTCCTTGATATATCATGGATGTGCTATTGCTTTCCCAGCAATGATTGTTGATGTAGTTAATTTTCCTCTGACTTACTATATCCTACATCTGTGCCAAAGTGTTTGCATTTCAATTTCTCCATCATGCTAAAGAAGGGCTACAGGGTCGACCCCTAAACAGAAAAACTACGCTAGCAGTGAATGACAGTTTGGCCTAACAGTTTACAATCATAACAAGGTAGGAGCAAGGGCTTCCCTGGTTATATATATTTTTGTTGCTTCAAAAGGCATAATTTCATTCTTTTTTTATGGCTGTGTGGTGTTCCATGGTGTATATGTGCCACTTTTTCCTTGTCTGGTCCACTGTTTATAGGCACTTGGGTTGATTCTATGTCAATGCTATTGTGAATAGTACTGCTATGAACATATGAGTACATGTGTCTTTTTGGTAGAACGATTTATTTTCCTTTAGGTATATACCCAGTAACAGGATTGCTGGGCCAAATGGCAATTCTGTTTCAATTTTTTTTGGGAAATCTCCACACTGCTTTTCATAGTAGCTGAACTAATTTACATTCCAACCAACAGTGTTTAACCATTCCCTTTTCTCTGCAGCCTTGCCAACATCTGTTATTATTTGACTTTTTAAATAATAACCATTCTGATGGGTGTGAGATGATATGGTGTTATGGGTGTGAGATGATATGGTGTTATGGGTGTGAGATGATATGGTGTTATGGGTGTGAGATGATATGGTGTTATGGGTGTGGGATGATATGGTGTTGTGGTTTTGATCTGCATTTCTCTGATTATTAACAATGTTGAACATTTTTTCAAGTTTTTGGTTCTTTGCATGTGTATTAATCCGTTTTCACACTGATGATAAAGGCATACCTGAGACTGGGCAATTTACAAAAGAAAGAGGTTTAATTGGACTTACAGCTCCATGTGGCTGGGGAAGCCTCACAATTATGGTGGAAGGCAAGGAGGAGCAAGTCACATCTTACAAGGATGGCAGCAGGCAAAGAGAGAGGGTTTGTGCAGGGGAACTTCTTTTTTTAAAACCATCAGATCTTGTGAGATTTATCATGAGAACAGCACAGGAAAGATTTCCCCCCATGATTCAATTACCTCCCATTGGGTCCCTCTCACAATATGTGGGAGTTCAGGATGACATCTGGGTGGGGACACAGCCAAACCTTATTAGTATGTCCTCTTTTGAGACATGTCTGTTCATGTGCTTTTGCTCATTGCATTGTTAAAGTTTCTTATAGATTCTGGATGTTTGACCTCTGACAGATGCATAGTTTGCAAATATTTTCTCTCATTCTGTAGTTTGTCTGTTTACTCAGTTGATAGTTTCTTTTGCTGTGCAGAAGCTCTTTAGTTTAATTGGGTTCTACTTTTCCTAGTTTGTTTTATTTATTTATTTATTTATTTATTTATTTATTTATTTTTGCAATTGCTTTTGAGGACTTAGGGATAAAGTCCTTCCCAAGGCCAATGTTCAGAATGGTATTTTTTAGGTTTTCTTCTAGGATTTTGATAGTTTGAAGTCTTACATTTAAATTTTTAATCCATCTTGAGTAAATTTTTTGTATATGGTGAAAGATAGGGGTCCACTTTTATTCCTCTGTGTATGGCTAGCCAGCTATTCAAACACCATTTATTGAAAAGGGAGTCCTTTCTGTACTGCTTATTTTGTCAACTTCATTGAAGATCAGATGGCTGTACGTGTGTGGCTTTATTTCTATATTCTCTATTCTGTTCCAATGGTCTATTTGTCTTTTTTTCTACAAGTACTCTGTTGTCTTGGTTACTGTAGCCTTAGAGCATAGTTTGAAGTCGAATAGTGCAATGCCTCTGGCTTTGTTCTTTTTGCTTAGGATTTCTTTGGTTATTTGGGTTCTTTTTTGGTTCCATATGAATTTTAGAATAGGTTTTTCTAATTCTTTGAAGAGCGATATTGGTAGTTGCATAGGAATATCATTGAATCTGTAGATTACTTTAGGCAGTATGGCCATTTTAACAATATTGATTCATTCTATTCCATTTGTTTCTGTCATCTATGATTTTTTCCAGCAGTGTTTTGCAGTTCTTCTCACCAAGATATTTTAACATATTCCATCATGTAAAATATGAGTGAGAATAATGAGGGTTAAACTATTGCAATTGTGCTGAAAGTTTAAAGACATTGTCTTGAAAAAGTAAAAAAAGTAAGTTTTCTGGGTCAAAAAAAAAAACTTTCACACTGATAAGGTCAAGCATGACTTTAGTAGAGAACATAATCCTTACCAAGGTTTTAGTGCAGTATTTCAGAAAAATAGCATGAAACACATGTTCCTTCGTGAAGAGTACACAATAGGCAATGTTGAGAAAGACTTAAATGGTGTTCACATTTCCTTCCTTGCTTTTGTGAACCAGATAAGTTCCCTTTTATGGAAGTGAGATATTACTAAGTGGAGTATAAAATTTGCAACCATTCAATCATACAATGATGGATAAAGCATCATCTATTTGCTCTACCTTTTCCCTTGCCTATCTTTTTTATACAAGCTCGGAAATGGAAATGCTTACTTTCTTTGTCTCCTTTTCAGCTAGTTGTGACCTGAGAAACAACTCGCATTAATGAGATGTGTGAGGACGTCTGGTTGCTCTCTGACAGATTTCACTTTCTCAATTAAAATGTTTAGCCTTGGCTAAATTCTCACCATTTTATTCTGATGCTTAAGATGAATGTGTAATCTGATGCTTGATAAGATCATGTTATTATGAAGGAAAGGAAATCACTGATTCTGACTTTGTTAAACTGGAGAACTAATTTAAGGAATCATCTTCCTTTGAATTTCTTTTTGGCAGGTTGGTGGTAAACTACTCCTATATATTTAAGTCACTATTGGTTATGTTTTCCACTTCTTGCTCTGACATTTTATCCTAATTGATGCAATTATAAGTTTTAAATTTTGTACTTTTTGTGTCACCTGTCAAATAGGTGAAAAGTTTAATGTCTGTTCTCAACAATTTATATTTTACCTGTTTGTCAGCTTCTTTTTTTGAGAAACTTAGTTTACTGTCAGATTATTAAGATATCACCTAATAACTTTCATATTAATTTTAAAAATTAATTTTTCTGATGTATGCATATACACTGCATACCCATATTTTAACATATATACACATGCATATACATTTACATATATTGAAACATGTATAAGTTTTATTCTGAAATTTATCAAAAAGCAAATCGTTAAAGAATTTTAGAGCCTTTTATTCAAAGAGAAATTACAAAACCAAATTAATTATACTCTTAAAGAGGTAAAGAATCTAATAAAATTTGCTTTGCAACAGCTAGTTCAAACTTTTGTAAAGTTATCCCAGTGGTATGAAGTAGTTACAATGAGCCAGTTTTCCTGTAATGTGCTTATTGACATTAACTCATTAAAATTGGATCTACTGGACTATCTCAGGCAATTGTTATTTTTCCAAGCAGTCCATTTTCCTTGTTCTATGTGTGAGTGCATAAGGAATTGATATGTCAACATTTTTATACTTTTATTGGATTTAAAGTTTGGCTCTGCTCAACAGCAATTTCAGCGCTAAATTGAGTTGTCATACAAACGGTAAGGCATTTGATATTTCTGCAAGAAACATATCTTGAAAAAGTCATCAGTAAGTCTTTCCTATTTTGTGAAAAAACAAATGAAACCATCTTAAACTTAAACATATCTTGAAAAAATCATCAGTAAGTCTTTCCTATTTTGTGAAAAAAACAAATAGAAACCATCTTAAACTTATTTGGAATAAGATTCTGTACTAGTAGATTTTCCATAAGGACTGAAAGGACAATACTTCCTGAGCACAAATTTCTGTGTAACCCAAATTCATTATCAATTAAACAAATATTAATTGAGCTCCAAATGTGAATCAAATTCCGTGTCTTCCTTCAAAACCTCTATTGTCTTTTGGAGGATAGAAAAAGGGAGATAAGCCATGGAAATATAGTACATGTTCTAGTGGGATAGGCGATGCTGTGATAATACACAAGAAGGACACTGAACCCAGAATTGAAAATGAAGAAATGTTTAGGCCAACACTCCAGGAAGAAGTATGAGTTAAGAGGATGAAATGGAGTGAAAGGGATAAATAGACACTGGAATGAGAAGGAGAAAAAAGAAATAAATCATTCTAGCTAATACACATTAGTTGAATATATTGCATAAGAAAAGAGAAGGTGGTGATAGATGAAGAGTAAGGGACAATTTATAATGGGAGATTGTACTTTATGCTAAGGGATTAGATTGTATTTGTAGGGCCGTGGAGGACTATTAAAGGTTTTATGAAGGGGAATTATAGTATTAGGTTTTCATTTTAAACTACCACTCTGGTCAAAGAGCAAAGATTGGATTTTAGGGAGGTGGGATTTAGAGACAACAGACTTGTTGGGGCAAAGGGAAAACTTCCTTTTTACCTTTGGTGGGTTCACTGAAAAAATCAAGTCCAATAAGGCAAATTCATAAGAGAAAAAGCATACAAACTTATTTAATCATGTACACAGGGAAAATTACAGAGTGATCACCCAATATCCCAGTGGCATCCAAATGCCTGTGCCTTTGTAGATTCGTCTGGTCTTTATGTAGATAGGGGAAAAGTCTTTTTCAAGCCCTGTGGATCTCTAAGAGTTTTTAATTCAAAATACTCAATATGCCAAGGAGCCTTATTTTAGGGTGAAATTTCCTGTGCTCCTTCAGACTGGAGGCAGGAGCCCCAATCAGCAGACTGTTTTATGAATTTCAGTGGTTGCCTAAACTAAACAGGCATCAAAATAAAGATCTGTGAATGGATTTGTAAGCTAAAAAGAAAGAAAAATACCTGAAGACTATTTTCTCTGTAATATAAGTCGTAAATTAAAGATAATGGGAGGTTTAAACTCAACAGGCTGAAAAATAGATGCATTGAAAAATGGAGAGATACTTTAGTAGCCTGGAGAGTCTGAATTTCTGTCATATAATGTAATTTTTCACATTTTTCAACACCTTTGCCCCTAAATACTAATATTAGGATGTCCTTATAATTTTTAGTTAGTTTTTTTATGTTTTGTTGTAAACATAAATCAATTCGAAAACCTAATCTATGTGACACATTCAGCCTTTCATGTACATTTTGTCATCTGAACAACCTGTTTTCAATTTTTTTTAAATTAAGGTAGAGCAGAGCCTTGACCAAATCTGTATATTTAACTAGCACCAGAGGAGGAATTTATGTGTAATTTTCTGAGTCTAAATTACTTGTATATCTGAACACTTTTTCATTAGTAAGGTAAAGGTTACATTTTCATATATATATATATTATATATATATATTTTATATATATATATATTATATATATATTATATATAATATATATATATTATATATATATATATATATATTTCTATTAGCTAGGATCCATGACAAGATGCAATAAAGAAAAACAGATTAAATTGACACCTGATCTGGCAGAACTCTGTTCTTCACACTTATCAATATCCTTTATTGGATAACATGTTGAAGAATTTTTCATTATGTGAGAAATCTGTGGGGGCATTTCAAAAAATGTATGAATAAAAATGTAAAAATCTCTGGATAGGTTAGATAGCAACATATGGTTCATCATATTTTCAGATGAATTACAGCAAAACAACATTGTTATAATTTTATTCAGGTGTCTTTTTTTGTTGCTATACGTTTAACTTTCAAAAGTGTTACCAAAATCATCACTTATGATTTGAAATAACAAGAAAAGGAATTACAAGACTATTTTCTTTTCCATTTCTATAGAGTAATCAGAACTCTACTGAACATTCAGTTTTTAAACTTTTTTTTAATGTGACTTGCTTTATTGCAATATTCACTTTATTGGGGCGGTCGGGAACTCAACATGCACTAAATATGGAAGACAACATTCCTGTGCAAGGAAGACTCCCACTTTTCCTTCCAATATAGACACACACACAGGTGATTTCACACATAATGAAGGTTATTCATAAGTTTACTTAGTGGTATTTTACTTAGGGGTATTTACTTAGTGGTGGTGTCTGGATGGGTGAGACTTTTGTTACCCATGCTCAGTGAATGGATATTTAAAAGACAAACAAAGCCTGGGCAAAAGATGCCTTACTTATTAGTATCATAACAATCATCCAGATCCATTATACTAATGACAAAGTCCATTAGCAGTAATTCACCATCTGACTTATCCAGCAGGTAACTTTAGTTTGACTCTTTTCCTGTTAATATTATAGAATGTTAAAAAGGAAACAGGTGGGCCAGGCGCGGTGCCTCATGCCTGTAATCCCAGCACTTTGGGAGGCCAAGGCGGGTGGATCACCTGAGGTCATGAGTTCAAAACCAGCTTGGGCAATGTGTTGAAATCCCATCTCTACTAAAAATATAAAAATTAGCCAGGTGTGGTGGTGGGCACGTGTAATCCCAGCTACTGGGGAGGCTGAGGCAGGAGAATTGCTTGAACCCGGGAGGAGGAGGTTACAGTGAGCAGAGATTGTGGCACTGCCCTTCAGCCTGGGCAACAGGAGCAAAACTCCATCTCAAAAAAAAAAAAAAAAAAAAAAAAGGAAACAAGTGTAGGGAAAAAGTCATGGAAGGAGAATCACTATATTGACAAAGTTGTGGTTTCAAAATCTTAAATCGGGGCAACTGCTCTAAGATGGCACTTGAAATCTTTGTTCTGTTTACTTCTGTTTGGTATTATTTGTAATTAGGATGATTAAAGGTTGTAATAAGATATTAGCATAGTATCCCCCACTCTGTGGCCAGCTTTATCTATGCTCTCAATCTGAATTGTAATCTTGGAAAAGAAAGTTCTTGTGATTTAAGTTTGAGTTCTAGGGCCAGTATGTTACAAGTAGATCCAGTGAGGGCTGTTGATAAACATGAAGTTAGTGTGCTGTCTCAAACATGGTGTAACTTTAGGCCATCGTACATGATATAATAGGCCCTCCAAATCTCATGTCGAAATGTAATTACCAGTGTTGAAGGTGGGGCCTGGTGAGAGGTGATTGGATCATGTAGGTGGCTCCCTCGTGAATTGGTTAGCCCTATCTCCTTGGTGATAAGTGCATTCTCCCTCAGTTCATGTGAGATCCTCTGGTTTGAAAGTCTAGGGCCATCATCTCTCTCATTCCCACTCTCATTATTTGACAATATGGCTTTTCACTTTACCTTCTGCCATGATTGTAAGCTTCCTAAGGCCCTTCTCAGAATCTGAGTAAATGTTGGTGTCATGCTTTCTGTACAGCCTGCAGAACCATAAATCAAATAAACCTCTTCCCTTTATAAATTACCAAGCCTCAGGTATCTCTTTATAGCAACACAATACAGCTTAGCACAGAAAATTGGTAGCTAGAGCAGAGTGTTGCTATAAAAGTATGAGAAAATGTGGAAGTTTCTTTGGAACTAGGTACAGGCAGAAGTTGGAAGCATTTGGAGGGCTCAGAGGAAGACAGAAAGATGAGGAAATTTTGGAACTTCTTAGAGACGGGTTCAATTGTTGTGACCAAAATTCTGATAGAGATATGGACAGTGCAATCTAGGCAAATGAGATCTCAGATGGAAATGAAGATATTATTGGGAACTGGAGTAAAGTCAGCCATATTACACCTTAGCAAATAACCTGGCTGCATTGTGTTCATTCCCTAGGGATCTGTGGAAGTTTAAACTTAAGAGTAATGACCTAGGGTATCTGGTGGCAGAAATTTCTAAGCAGCAAAACATTCAAGATGTGGCCTGACTGCCCTTAACAGCCTATGATATGATACAGGAGTAAAAAATAATAATAATAACAACTAAATTTGGAACTCATATTTAATGAGGAGGAAGAGCATAAAAGCTTGAAACTTTGCAGCCTGGCCCTGTGGTAGAGAAAGAATCCAAAAAGGCTGTGGAGGAAGGACTTGCTAGAGAGATTAGCATGACTAACAATGGGAAAATGTCCTCAAAGCCATTTCAAGAGGTCTTTAGAACAAACCCTCTCTTCATAGGCCCAGAAGCCTAAGAGAAAAGAATGGTTTCAGGGGCCAGGCCCAGTGCCCCACTGCTCTGCACAGCTTCAAGGCATGGCTCTCCACATTCTTGTCACTCTGGCTCCAGCCTCAGCTGAAAGGAGCTCAGACTCAAAGGGTCTCAGGCCACTGCTTCAGATGGTGCAAACTGTAAGCCTTGGTGACTTCCACATAGTGTTAAGCCTGCAGGCACACAAAATATAAAAGTAAAGGAGACTTGGCAGCTTCCACATAGATTTCAGGGGGGTTATGGGAAAGCTTGGGTGCCTGATCAGAAGACTGCCACAGGGACAGAGTCCTCACAGAGAGCCTCTACTAGGGCAGAACCAACGGGAAATGTGGGGTTGAAGCCCCCATACAGAATCTTAAACAGGGCATTGCCTAGTAGAGCTGTGGGAAGGGGGTTGCCATCTTCCACCCATGAATATAAAGCCAGCTGCAGCTTGCATCCTTAGCCTAGAAAAGCCACAAGCACTGGACTCTAACCCATTAGAGAAGGCCCATGAGGTGCATCAGTCAAAGCCACAGGGGCAGAGCTGCCCAAGGCATTGGAAGCTCACCCATCACACCACTATACCCTGCATGTAGAACATGGAGTCAAAGGAAATTACTGTGGAGCTTTAAAACTTAATGACTGTCCTATTGGGTTTCAGACTTGTGTGGTGCCTATTGCCCCTTTCTTTTGGCCAGTTTCTCCATTTTTGAATCAAAATATGTACCCAGTGCTGGTACCATCATTGTATCTTAGGAATGCATAATTTGATTTTGGTCTCACAGGCAAATTGGTAGGAAGAACTCATCTTCAGATGAGGCTGGACTTGGGACTTCTAAGTTAATGCTGGAATGAGTTAAGATTTGGGGACATATTGCAAAGGCATTATTGTATTTTGATATGTGAGAAGGACATAAAATTTGAGGGGCTATGGGTAGAATGATGATGTTTGGATGTTTCCTCCAAATTTCTTTTTATTATTATTATTATACTTTAAGTTCTGGGGTACATGTGCACAACATGCAGGTTTTTACATAGGTATATATGTACCATGTTGATTTGCTACACCTATCAACTCATTTATATTAGGTATTTCTCCTAATGCTATCCCTCCCCCACCCCCCAACAGGCCCCAGTGTGTCATGTTGAAATGCGATTGCCAATACTGGAGGTGGGACCTGGTGGGAGGTGATTGGCTCATAGAAACAGATCCCTCATGAATGGCTTAACACCATCCTTTTGGTAATAAGTGAATTCTTATTCACTTATTGCTCGTGCAAGATCTGGTTGTTTAAAGGAGTCTAGGACTGCCCCCTTCTCTCTATTGCTCCCTCTTTTGCCATGTGACATGCTGGTTCCCCTTTGCCTTCCTCCATGATTGTAAGCTTCCTGAGGCCATCACAAGAAGCAGATGTCGGCACCAAATTCTTGTAGAGACTGAAGAACCGTAAGTCAAAATAAACCTTATTTTCTTATAAATTATCCAGCCTCAGGTGTTTCTATATAGCAATGCAAGAATGGACTCATGCAGTATCAGAAACATGTTCCCCACTGGTTTTCAAGAGCACCTGGTGTAACTGGTATTAATTTATTAAAAAATTTATGTAGCTTGCAACAAATTCATACTTTGCATTATGTGAGAGTTAGAGAGTGCTTAGAAGGAAATTAGAATTCATATAATAAAAACCCATCCCAGCATAGATAACTTGTTCATAGAATTCTTGAGATAAATTTACCTCATGTCTGATCAGCTATAGCTAAGAGGGCTATCAGAAAAGGTTTTTTTAAATTATGAAATATTTCTAATCATTAAAAATGGATCCTAGTATAGAGCACACATTTTTCTCTCTAGTTTTCTCAAAATTTATATTGATTCTTCTACTATTTAAATCTATTTTAAACTTTAGCATATATTGACATCATATCTTTCCTCTTTCTCCATGGATGTAGGAGAAAAAGAAAAAATAATAATTTTACAAGTGGAGAGTACAGTTAAGAAAACGTACTAAGAGTCCAAACTTTGTTCATAGAAGATTTTTAATATCTATGCAGAATAATATAGTATTTATCAGCTTGGACTTAGGACTCAGGCTATTTTATTTTCAAATACTAATCTTTGCCCTTTATTAGCTGTGACATTGAAAATTACTTAAATTATTGCTTCCACAGTCACTTTATTTTAAAAAAAATTAATATCGACCTCAAAAGACAAATGATAGATTAATGTATATAACTTATCTGTAATTGTAATTTAAAACAAAAATATCACAAAATAATAAATTATATGTGATATAAACATATATATGCACTAATAGTAGAAATTTGTATATTATGTATAGTTTTCATCTGAGGATGGGTTTCAGTGCCAAAATTACTCCATGGTAATCTGTGATCATTTTAGCTGCAAGTCAGAAGTGATTATTCACCCCAAATTGATGAAGGTTCAGATTGTAAATTAAAAGTGAGAAAAAAAACATGTATTATGAAGAACTAGAAAGTGAAAACCATTTAATAAATGCACTCAATTTATTTATTTATTATTCTGGGACTATTTAATATCTTTAGGTATGTAAAAAACAAGAAAATTAATGTCTGCACAAAAATTGATCAATATACATAAAAACTTTTTAAATATTGAGGAACTGCTAAATCCTCCAATCCTTGACTCTGTAGTTCCATAATCCCATATTGATGCATAGAAATCTTCAATTAAAAAAACTACCTCTTTGAGATGCTTATTGAAGTCCTGCAATTTAGATTACTTTAAGAAAGTTCGTATGTGATCATTTATTCAAAAATTTGATTAAATACTTACTACGTGTCTTATTTGATTTGGCACTGTGGATATCTAGATTAACAAAAAAACAGGTTTTACCTTTGAAAATTTCAGTCTTGTATCAAAAATATTATAAAAGGAAATGGACAATGCTATGATATTTAAATAAAAGGATTAAAATTTTACAGTGTGCTTAGGAAGTGATAGACAATTTAAATATCTTACAAAAATGTACTCAATTGTTTCTCAAAATAAATTTAGGGGATAGGTACTCATAGTGTTTTTATTTTAAGATATAAACTGAGTAACACACACTTTAGATAACTTGCCCAAGATCACACAGAAAAAAACATAATAAAATGAAAATTTAAACTCCAGATAAGTAGTTCACAACTCCAGAGCCCAATCTCTTCATTAACACTATGCATGGAATGATACAGGTAAGTAAGTGTCAGATACCTGTAATCTCATATGAAAGGATACATGCTTCAGACACTGGGCATCAGAGATCTTTTTTGGAGACTCTAATGCTGCATTGTGGTTGAAATAACAACTAAGTAAAAAAGAGGAAGTCATTACAGTCCAAGGGACAGTGTGGCCCAAGTCACTGAGTCTTAAAAGAACTTAGAATGTAAAAAATATGTATGTGTTTAATACTACAAGCTTAGAATGCAAGAATAGCAATATATTATTAATACAACAAACCAAGAACAAATAAACTATGGATTCTGGAAATAAAAGTCCTCAACTGCACCCAGTCGACTCTGAGCTGTGTCAATTATTTATTTGTTTTTAGGATTTATTTAACGAATATTTATAATTAAATTATACATCAACGCTAATGAGTATGCTAATAGATATATCTAATTTGCAAGTTTTCTTAATTGAATATAATAAAAAATGATGCTTGGGAAATTTAGTTTTATTCAATAGTCATGATTCACAACCTAGTACCTAAAGTGTTTAACCCCCCCAAAATAAAACATCTTTGAAAATAAAATGTCAAATTGAGGATTTCAGGAATTCATACATTTATGCACGAATGTTGGTGTGACTATTTGAATAAGTAATTAAGAATAAAATATTATAAATATCATTTTCCTAAATGTATATTAACACCACATATTTTTATATATTTATTTTATAAATTTATATAAAGAAAATGGAATAAAACAAATTTATAAAATTCAACAAAACCTCCTCAGGTAAAATGTGTGTTAGTTTAATTCCATAAAATGCTATTTGAAGCTGTGCCAACCTTACTTAGTGAAAAAATTGGCATGTAGTTATAAAAGGGTTTGTATATTGAAAACTGTTCTTAAAATGACATTGCATCTACAAGTGCACATTCTTGGTTTTTGTTAGTTTGTTTTTTGTTTTTTTTTAATTGAGATGGAGTTTCACTCTGTTTCTGTTGCCCAGGCTGGAGTGCATTGGCTTGATATCGGCTCACTACAACCTCCACCTCCTGTGTTCAAGGGATTCTCCCACCTCAGCCTCCCAAGTAGCTGGGTTTACAGGCACGCACCACCACACCTGGCTAATTTTTCTATTTTTGGTAGAGACAGGGTTTTGCCATGTTACCCAGTGTGGTCTTGACCTCCTGACCTCAGATGATCTGCCCACCTTGGCCTCCCAATGTGCTGTGATTACAAACATGAGGCACCATGCTTGGCCTACGAGTGCGCATTCTCTACATAGTTACCTCCTGACTTTGCTTTTGTGTATATAAAATAAACATTTAAAAATATAGCTATTCTATTCTGGTTAAAATTAAAATTAGGGCCTATACAAAATATCAGGTGTGTAGTCAATACATCAAAACCTTTCAACTTTAAACTTTCTGCTGCAAAAGTATCACTTCAATTTTTATAAATTATTTCTCTATAATTTTAAAATGTTGCAATGTCATCAACTGATTATAAATGGGTAACTGATAAAATAGGTTGAATTAACTGTAAGGTTTGAGGGGGCTAATATTTTACTATAGCTTATTCAGTATAAACAAACACAGGCATGCAAGCACATAGAACTTAAGTTCAGTAGTACTGTTTTTATTTATGTTTTGTTTGTTCTCCTCATTATTTGAATTGTTGCCATAGCTTTCCTAGGTAAATCAATGTTTTTTAAAACTAAAGCATCGATTCCCTAATTTCAATGCTGTTTTTTTACCTTTTCATCACACATCACACAGAGTATTTGACTTTCAAAGTCTTTTATGCTACATTGTTTTTTCTCCACACTTTCTTCTTCTGTTTGATTTTATCTGTAAAGTCATTTTTCTCATGCTTAACTGATGGCGTACCTGCCGAATACGATTCTTTTCACATTGATATGTAACTGAAGGTGTGCATTCTCACATATACATAAGGATAACTAAAATATCATATGGTTTCTGACATATCTGGGATGGCTACCTTGAAGAAAAAAGTATATAATTTATGAATTTAGAATAACACATATTTTAAGAGTTATTTTCAGTTATTTATTTTTAAACTCAGAGCATTCTATGAAACATAGTATGAGATTTATATTATTGAAATAGCAATGAGGATGGAAGGGAATTACTATGATCAGATGACTGAACCCAAAATCCAGAAAAAAATGACAAAAGGGGGAGTCATGGAACACCAGGAAGAAGAAACTATATATAAAGAGTCAGGAATATGAGTATATCAATATATAATATAGTATCTTTTTTCTCATGAGTTTATATATCATATTTATTAATTGAAACAAAATGTATAGTACTATCTGATACTCAAGACAATGATATTTAAATATGAGGAAGATAAAAACTAAATGGAAGTGAGCTTCCTGCACATTACTTAGAGTGGTAAAATGCATATGTATATTGTAATACCCAGAGCCACCACTGTGAAAACTGTACAAAGAGATACACAATGGTCCTTGGTATTTATGAGAGATTGATTTCAGACCCTCTTTTGAATATCAGAATCTAGGGATCCTCAAGTCCTTAATACAAAATGACATAGTATTTGCATATAACTTACACACATTCTCCTATATACTTTAAATCATCTCTAGATTACTTATCATACCTAATAAAGTGAAAATGTCGTGTAAATAGTTGTTACACTATATTGTTTAGAGAATAATGACAAAAGAAAAATGTCTATAGGTGTTCAGCACAAGTGCAATTTTTAAAAAATATTTTCCATTAATGTTTGGTTGAATCCAGGAATGTGCAACCCACACATATGAGGGCTGACTGTACTCAAAAACACCATAAATAAATGAAGATGGAATCATGAACAAAAGATAAGTTCAAGTGACCTCAAGTAGTATTGATATAGTAACATCTAAATGTGCCACTTTTTTATTATATATTGTGATCCAGAGTAAACAAATATATAATAAGAAAGTGGCACATTTAGGTGCTAATATATCAATAGTTACTTTAAATGTAAGTGGTCTAAATACATTAATCAAGAGACAGAGATTAGCAAAATCAATATTAAAGAATGACCAAACTATATGTTGCTTACAAGAATTTTACTTCAAATTCAATGGCAAAGGTACCATACAAGTGAAATAATGGAAAAATATACAGCATGCAAATATTACATATAAAAAGCAAAAGTGGCTAAATCAATATGTAATATGAAGTAAACTTCAAAACAAAAAACATATACACCAAGAAGGACATTACATAATGATAAAATGGTCAATGCATTAATGTTAATGCATTAACAAATGAGGCAAATCGTTAGGCAAAACAATCCCAAATGTGTACCTATGAATAAAACAGATCCACAGAATATATAAAGCAAAAGCTGATAGAACTGATAGCAGAAACAGAGGAATTCACAGTTATAGCTGGAGGACTTCAAAGACCCCCTGTCAGCAATTAAAAGAACTATTAGATGGAAATTCTACAGATAGAGAAGAGTTAAATCACACAATCTACCAACAGGATCTAATTGTCCTATATAAAATAACCCATCCAATAACAGCAGATTTGTTTTTAAGAGCCCACGTATTATGGGTTGAAAAGTAACACTCCCCTCTACCCCACCAAAAAAAAAAAAAAGAGTTGAAATCTTTTTCCCCAGTACCTCTGAACCTTCAAATGTGACTTTATTTGAAAATCGGACCATTGTGCAGATAAAAGTAGCTAAAATTAAGCCATAATGGAGTAGGCTGGGTCCCTAATCCAATATGATTGATATCTTTATGAGAGAAGTGACATAGACAGGAACATAGGGAGAATGCCATGTGAAGGCAGAGTATGAGTGATACATCCACAAACCAAGGAAGGCCAAAGATTGCTGATCAACCATCAGAAGCTAGGAAGAGCCAAGAAAAGATTCTCTTAGAGATTTCGGTGGGAGCATTGTACTGCTAATTCTAATTTTAGACTTCCAGCGTTCAGCACTTTCAGTTAATAGATTTCTGATGTTTTAAGACACTCAGTTCTGTGGTAATTATAAAATACTTATTGTTAGGAAATGAATGTACCTTGAAACATTAAACAGTATTAAGCATATCTTAGGTCTTAAAACAAACATTATAAAGAAATTTAAAAGAATTGAAATTATATAGTGTGTTCACTGATAATAATGAAATTAAATTATAAATTGATACCAGAAAAAAATAGGAAATGTTTAACCTCATAGGAGTTTCAGAAACACACTTTTAAATAATATATGGGTCATAGGAAAAGTCTTCACTAAAAGAAAGTATCAGAACGAAAGTCAAAACAAGACATAAAATACGTGAGATTTACATAAAGGAGTGTTAAGAGGGAACTTTATAGCACCAAAGACTTACATTAGAAATGTGACATTTGGGAGACTGAGGCAGGAGTATCCCTTGAACCCTGCAGTTTGAGGTTACAGTGAGCTATGATCATGCCACTATACCCCAGACAAAAATTGCGGAATGAGACCTTGTCACACACACAAAAAAGAAGTGAATTCTCAAATTAATACCTTCAGTAACTTAAGTTCTTACTTCAATAAACTACAAAAAGAAAATCGTAATAAACCCAAGTAAGCAGAAGAGAACAACAAAGATAAGAGTGTGAAAGAAAAATAAACCTTGTGGCCCCAAAATCAGGAAGCTAAAGGGAAAAGTCAAGTTGGGAACTGCTTAGGACAACCTGTTTCCCATTCTATTTAAAGTCACCCTCTGCTCACTGAGATAAATGCATATCTGATTGCCTCCTTTGGAGAAGCTAGTCAGAAACTCAAAAGAATGCAATCTTTGTCTCTTATCTACCTATGACCTGGAAGCCCCCTCCCCGCTTTGAGTTATCCTGTCTTTGCTTCTAGTTGTTCTGCTTTTCCAGACAGAACCAATGTTCATCTTACATATATGTATTGATATCTCATGTCTCCCTAAAATGTATAAAACCAAACTGTGCTCTGACCACCCTGGATACATGTTGTCAGGACTTCCTGAGGATGTGTCATGGGCATGCGTCCTCAACCTTGGCAAAACAAACTTTCTAAATTAACTGAGATCTGTCTCAAATGTTTGGAGTTCACAAAAGCAGAATTCAAAGAAATTGAAAATAGAAAACAATCAAGAAAAGTAAATAAGCAAAAGCACAAATATACAAAACAAATCAATAAAACTGATAAACTTCCAACAAGAATAACAAGCATACAGTGAGTAAACACAAATATCTACATTAGGAATAAAACAACCATATTACTACAGGTTCTACAGCTATTAAAAGAAAAATAAGTGGATATCTGAATAATTTTACACTCACAAATTTGATAACTAAATAAATTGTACCAATTTCTTGAAAACTATAAGCAACAAAATTCAACCACGATGAAATACATCATATGACTAGAGTTGTAACCATTTAAAAATGTATTTGTAGCCTGGTGTGCTGGCACATGCCTGTAGTCCCAACTACTCAGGAGGCTGAGGCAGAAGGATTCCTTGAGCCTGGGAGATCAAGACCAGCCTGCACAACATAGCTAGACTCCACCTTAAAATAAAAAAGAATTTGTTATTTAAAAGATCTCAAAAAAAGAGATCTACAGGCTGAATGAGTTCACAGGACAATTCTACCACACATTTAAAGGAAAACTGACAGCAATTTTACATAATTTTTTCAAAAAATATTACTGTAAACCAAAAATAAAATTCTAAGCCCCCAACCAACTGAATGGACCCCTCCTCTGGGCCAAAGGTGTTACAAAGTAAACCTGAAACAACAGTTCAGGCCATGATGGGAATGGGTAGTTGGACATGCCTCATTATATCCTTCTGCCTCTGGAATTCTGACCAGCACAACTGACCAGCATTAACACTAAAACAGAGACCTCTGACAGAGAAGTCTCTTTGTAACAATAAGATACCAAAATGACAGAAGGTCCTAAAAGAAATCAAATGATTTTACCCCAAATTATATTTCTTTGACATGTTTTGAAATGGTCCTGAAAAGCTATCTCTTGTGCACAAAGTGTACATTCTGTGGGTAATCCCCTTCCCCTTACAGGTATTTTCCCTGATCTAGGAGAGAATTAACTAAGAATCTGGAACCTTTTTAAGTCTGATAAGAAATACTTACCATCTATTCCCTACGAAGCCTGCTACCTGGAGGTTTCATCTGCATAATAATGAGAGGTGAAGCCAGCTGGACTTCCTGGATGGAGTGAGGACTTGAAGAACTTTTCTGTCTAGCTAAAGGATTGTAAATGCACCAATATGCACTCTGTAAAAATGCACCACTCAGTGCTGTGTGTCTAGCTAAAGGACTGTAACCGCACCAATCAGCACTCTGTAAAAATGCACCAATCAGTGCTCTGTGTCTAGCTAAATGATTGTAAAAGCACCAGTCAGCACTCTGTAAAATGGACCAATCAGCACTCTGTAAAATGGACCAATCAGCAGAACATGGGCAGGGCCAAATAAGGGGATAAAAGCTGGCCACCCCAGCCAGCAGCGGCAACCTGCTCAGGTCACCATCCATGCTGTGGAAGTTTTGTTCTTTCGCTTTTCACAATAAATCTTGCTGTTCCTCACTCTTTGGGTCCGCACCACCTTTAAGAGCTGTAACACTTGTGTGAAGTCCGCGGCTTTATTCTTGAAGTCAGCAAGACCACAAACCCACCGGAAGGAAGAAACTCTGGACGTGTCTGAACATCTGAAGGAAGAAACTCCAGACATACCATTTTTAAGAGCTGTAACACTCACTGCGAAGGTCTTGAAATCAGCGAGACCAAAAACCCATCCGAAGGAGTAAATTCCGGACACAATAAGAACCTTGGTCTCCACAACCCCTTATCTTAACCTAGGCATTCCCTTGCACTGATTGCAGGACTTTAGATAAACACTTTCAACTGTCATTGAGAAAATCTTTGAATACACTTATGACCTTGGAAGCAGTTTCTTCCCACCCTGCACAATCCCACTGTTAGTTATTTCACTTTTCCAGACCTAACCAATGTATATCTTACAGGTATTGATTGATACCTCATATCTCCTTAAAACATATAAAACCAAGCTGTAGGCCAACCACCTTGGGAACATTCTTAGGATGTTCGTTCTGAGGTGGTGTCATTCATACAAAATATAAAATGGCTCAGAATAAATCTCTTCAAATATTTTAGAGATTGACTCTTTTCATCAACAACAAAGTAGAACACTTCACCATTTTTTTGAAGACAGTATTATCCTCATATCAAAAGTAGGGGGAGAGAGTACAAAATAGAAATTAAAAACCAATATCTCTCATAAATTTCAACATGAAAACCCTCAACAACATACTACCAGACTCAATTTGACAATATATAAAAAGAATTATACACCATGACAAAGGACAGTTTATCCCAGATTTTCAAGACTGATCTAGCATATTAAAATTAACCAATCGGCCAGACGCAGTGGCCCATGCCTGTAATCCCAGCACTTCGGGAGGCTGAGGTAGGTGGATCACCTGAGGTCAGGAATTCAAGACCAGCCTGACCAACATGGTGAAACCCCATCTCTACTAAAAATATAAAGAATTAGCTGGGCTTGCTGGCACGTGCCTGTAATCCCAGCTACTTGGGAGGCTGAGACAGAAGAATTGCTTGAACCCAGGAGGCGGAGGTTGCAGTAAGCCGAGATCACACCATTGCACTCCAGCCTGGGCGACCAGAGCAAAACTCCGTCTCAAAAAAAAATAAAAATTAACCAATGGACTCCATTATATTGGCATAGTAAAAAGAAAAGTTGTATGATTATATTAATATATTCAGGAAATAATTTGACAAAATCCAACACCCATTCATTATGTAAATTGTAAGCAGGTTAGGAATAAAGGGAGATTACCTCCATTTAATAAAATGTGTCACCTTCAGAGAATACCACACAATAATGAAAGACTGAATGTTTTTCCTCTAAGAATGAGAACAAGGCAAGGATGATAATGCTCATCATCACTCTTTCTCAACTTATTGCAAAACATTCTAATCAAGGTGTAGGGAAAGATACAGATTTAAAAGGAAGAAATAAAGTTCTGTGTGTTTGCAGATGACATGATTGTCTACATAAATAATCCCAATAAATTTTCAAAAACTCAGAGAATAAGTGATTTTAGCTGTGTTGCAGGACATGAGACCACACCCCCAAATCAAACAGCTTGCCAAGAATGAAATTAAAAACACAATGCTTCTACAGTCATTCCAAATAAAATTAAATACTTAGGTATGCATTTAGCAATACATATATAGGATTGTGTGAAAGGAAAATATGTTGGCCCCCCAAAATCACCAAGCTAAAGGGAAAATTCAAAGCTGGAAACTGCTTAAGGCAGACTGGCCTCCCATTTTATTCTAAGTTATCCCTCTGCTCACTGAGATAAATGCATATTTGATTGTCTCCTTTGGAAAGGCTAATTAGAAACACAGAAGAATGCAACCATTTATCTCTCACCTGTCTGTGACCTGGAAGCCTCCTCCTTGCTTTGAGTCTTCCTGCCTTTGCTTTGAGTTGCCCAGCCTTTCCATACCAAACCAATGTACTTCTTACATATATTGATTGATGTCTCATGTCTCCTTAAAATATATACAACCAGGCTGTGCCCTGACGACCTGGGGCACATGTCATCAGGACTTCCTAAGGCTGTGTCATGGACATACATCTTCAAACATGGCAAAATAAACTTTTATTTTTTTGTTGTTTTTTTGAGACGGAGTCTTGCTCTGTCGTCCAGGCTGGAGTGCAGTGGTGGGATCTGGGCTCAATGCAAGCTCCGCCTCCCAGGTTCACGCCATTCTCCTGCCTCAGCCTCCCGAGTAGCTGGGACTACAGGCACCCACCACCACGTCAGGCTAATTTTTTGTATTTTTAGTAGAGACGGAGTTTCACCGCGTTAGCCAGGATGGTCTCGATCTGCTGACTTCGTGATCCACCCACTTCAGCCTCCCAAAGTGCTGGGATTACAGGCGTCAGCCACTGCGCCTGGGCCAAAATAAACTTTTCTAAATTAACTGAGACCTGTCTCAGATTTTCTGAGTCCAGAGTTGTCAAGCTTACAATTACAAAATGTTCATGAAACAAATCAAAGAATATTTAAATAAATGGAGATACAGATCATGTGTATGGATTGGAAAGCTCAACAAAGTAAAAGTCAATTTCCTTAAACTAATCTATAGGTTGAATGCAATTCTTGTAAAAATTTCATCAAAGTTTTCGTAGACATTTACAAGTTTTTTCTAAAATCTGTTTGAAAAGGCAAGGGTCCTTGCTCAAAAACTCTTGGCAGAGAAAAATAGAGTAGGAATAATCACTGTACCTGATACTGGGGCTTGTTATATAGCTACACTAATCAAAAGAGTGTAGTATTGGTAGAGGAATAGACACACAGATTGGTAGAACCGAACAGAGATCCTGGAAAGAGATCCACACAAATATGCTGAATTGATTTTTGATAAAGGTGCAGAAAGAACTCAATGGATAAAGAATGGTCTTTCAACAAATAATGCTGGAGCAATTTGATATCAATAAGGGAGGAAAATAAAACGTGACCTAAACTTTACATCTTATACAAAATGTTAATTGAAAATTAGTCACAGAACTAAATGTAAAATGTAAAACTTTGAAATTTTAGAAAAAGTGGAGAATACCTTTATGTTATAGCGCTAAGCGAAGTATTCTTACTTGATATCAAAAGCACGATTCATAAACAACAGGCATTTGATAACGTGGACGACAGACATTTCATAAGGTGGACCTCATCAAAAATGAAAATTTTGCTCTGTGAAAGCTCATGTGAAGAGCATGAAAAAACAATCTACAAAGTTAGATAAAGTATTTGCAAACTACTTATCTAATAAAGAACTAGTTCTAGAATATATATTGAGAAGTATCAAAACTCAACAGTAAAACAATTTTAAAAAGTTCAACAAGAAATACTCAAAAGATAGAACAGACATTTCACTGAGGATGGTATATGGATGTCAAATAAGCATATGAAAAATGTTCAATTATTTTATAAATCAACAAATGCAAATTAAAACCAAAATGAGGACCCTATTAAATATCACACCTATCAGAGTCACTAAAGTATAAAAGCAAAAAAAAAAAAAATAATGACACCACCATATGCTTGTGAGAATACAGAGAAATTGGATCATTGATACATCGTTGGTGGAAATGTAAAATGGTATTGTCTCTCAGGAAAACAGTCTGTCTGCATAAAACTAAATATGCAATTACTATGTAACTTAGAAATTGCAGTCCTGAACATTTATCTCAGAAAAATGAAAACTCATTTTTTACACAAAAACTCGGACACAATTGTTCATAGGAGCTTTATTTATAGTAGTCTAAAACTGGAAAACAAAACAAAACAAAAAACGTGTCCTTCAACAAACCATGGTACATTCGTATCACGGACTATTGCTCAGAAATAAAAAGGAACAATCTATTGACATACACAAAAACTTTCATGAATCTCCAGGGAATTATGCAAAATTAAAAAGTCAGTCCCTGAGGATTACATAATGCATGATTCCATTTATGTAATATTCTTGAAATGGCAATTATAAAACTAGAGAAGAATATAACTGTTAAAATATTTTAGATTACTAACCTCGGATAGGCAAATAAATTAGCAAACTGGCAAAATAAGTATAGAAGGTCCTACAGAATAAATAGGATATAATATGATTCAAGATAATTCCAATAGCTCAAATAAAGCCAAAAATAAGCAGAATTTATTTGAGATAATTATGTAAATATAGCCCTTTGTATGATTGGTTTAAACTATTAATATTTCTATTTAACTCCAGGTATCTTTTCTTTTATATAATTTGCTTTCATACCTTGAAAATGCAATGAATATAATCATTACTATCACCTGCAAATAGAAATATATAGCTTATGTATTCAATAAATCTTGAATAAACTGTGATTAAATATATAGCAAATGACATTTGTTATAGAATCCATTAACTTAACAACTAGCATCTTTAACCAACACAATAGATCACTCTATTCTCTAAGGAAAATGAGAATTTTTTTGTATCTTTAATTGACTCTTATAATCCTAACTGTTCTTCATCTGAGAGTAAAAATAGGTCAGGAAAACACAAAATCTTTTAACATTTGAGTGAGGAATACTAAATAATTTTGGAAAATGATGCTTTCCTACACCACACTGTGAAATTATGTGAAAAGTAAGTAGGAAAACAAATATTAAAAAAAAAACTTACAATTACAAACTTTAATTGAAATAGATGATTTCAAACATATATTGCTTAGTGGAAATAGCAAAATGCAAATAATAGATTTATTATGAAAACTGTTGTTAAAATGGAAAATAAATTATAAATATATCATCACATCTTTATGGAAAGAAACACAGGAAAGATAAAACAATAAATTGGATACTAACGTGAGACATGGGGATATAGTGGAAGGGAAAAAGGGAAGGATGAATGATTTCTAAGTAGAGGTTTTTACGTTGTTTTGACTTTTTGAAGCATGCTAATGTGTACATCAACAAGAATGGAAAACAGAAAAAAAGAGAATTAAAACCAAGCGAGTCAACCTGAACCCAATAGTTTTACAAATGAATAGCACAACCACACTAACAGGGTGGTGGTCAGGGAAACAATCCAATAGCTTTTAAACACATTAATTTAATGTTTAACCTCAGTTTTTGTTTTTGATATTGGTTATTTCTTGAGGGGGTGGCCACTGCAATCAAACTCTAAAACATTAAAAAAAATTTTTTATGGTTGTATGGGTAAAGCAATTCGGATGTTATTTTAGGTGTGTTATATTGAATTGAACAGATGATAAAATGGGTTGATGTTTGAAAGAAGAGTTCACACAGTGGAAGAAAGGCAACTATGGAATTGCGAGCATGGAGTGTGTGCGTGTGTGTGTTTGTATGCATATGTGTGGGTGTACACACATATATTTGTACAATTATATCTGTACACATATCTATTAAAATTTATGTATAGTATATACATATATATTTCTTAGCTCTTTCTAAGAAAGGATCCTTGATGCTAGGATGGGGGAGATACAGGAAGACTTTGGAACATCATTTTACGCCAGAAATAAGGGAGTTAAAAAAAACATGTTGGGGAATGCATGTGAACCAGCTAGAAGATGCTTCCACTATCCAAACCTGGGGAACATTTAACATCATAATGATGTGGACAGTAAGAAGCTATAAATGTTTCAAAAATAAGAATTCATGTGGACATATCAAGATAGATATAGATAGATAGATAATAGACGACAAAATTTTTTTAAAATGAGGTTATATAATGCTAGTTGCTGACTACTAAATGTGATAGCAATGCTGTAATTGGAAGATCATTATTTTGTAAGCATTACTGTAAAGACTGGTATAGACAAGAATCATCAGTAATTGCTAAATCCATGGGAGGGATGTTGAAGATAATTGGATAACATTAAAATGTCTCCTCAAACACCGCTTTTACTACCCAGTGTATACCTGGGATAACACCTAGACCATGTGGTCTAAATATCACCAACAAGGGTAATATGGATACTGTGTGCCTTCCTTCAGTTTTCTCATTTCTTTCAATTCTCCAAAATTCAGGAAGCGTAATGTATCAGAACAAAATATTATTTGACAATATTGCATTCTTTTAATGGGATTCAGTGCATTTAGAATCACGTTCAAATTCCTTAATAAATCATACAAGATATTTCAGGATCTAGAATATTTCTGAATTGCTTCAGATCTATTTTCCACCTTGGTGGATACTGCAATAAACATTGAATGTCTTTTTGTTTCTAGAATCTGTCATGTTTTTCTCTTTTGCATTTTCTCATATAGATTTCTCATATAGTATTTTTCTCACATTGTGTCTTAGTTCATTTGGGCCTCTACAACAAAATGCCGTATACTGGGTAGCTTATAAACAAGAAAAGTTTATTTCTCAGAATTCTGGAGGTTGGGAAATCGAAGATCATGTTGCCAGCAGATTCAGTGGCTGATGAGAGCCTGGTTTTTGGTTCTTAGATGGTGTTTTCTAGCTGTGTCCTCTCATGGTAGAAGGGTCAAGGCAGCTATCTGAGGACTTTTTAATAAGGGCACTAATCCCATTTATGAAGACTTCACCCTCAGGACCTAATTACCTCCCAAACATCCTATCTTCTAAAACCATCACATTGGCATTCAAGATATGAGTTTTAGGGAGATGCAACATTCAGAACTTAGCCTGTAGAATATTCTAAAATAATATTCTTCTGTCAAAACAAATTTTTCCCATACTGTTCTGGGGTTTATCATTTGTCTAAAATTACTTTTTTATTCCATTCCCTTTTTTATTTTTTATAAGTTCTCTGCAATGAAAACCTACATACTTTCCCCAAATACATTTATAAAATTTTATTTTTAAGTTGACAAATAAAATTGGATTTATCACATGCAACATGATGTTTTGAGGTATATGGAAGTTGTAGAATGGCTAAATCTACCTAATTAACATGCATTACCTCACATAATTATCACCCCTCTTTAACCTATCAGTGAGGGATGTGTAAGTTTGAACACACAACACCCAAACTGGAAAAAAATGAAATTGACAGAAATTAATTTGTCATATATACTCACAGCCCAGAGGCAGAGGACACTGAACACCAGGTGGATTGCATTTGAGAACAGAGCAAACAAGAGGAGATATATGGGGCAGACATTATGGTATTGAGTGGTTGAATTTTCCTTGGTCCTATGGGAGAATGTGATTGGTTTGTTTCAGGAGTTCTGCATCCTGGTGGGAAACAGAAATACGATACTCAGGACTAAGTAGGAACTTCATCTGGTCTGTTTGAAAAAAAGTGTGGTTTGGTCATGGGACCTTATCTGCAGAGGCCAAGTGGGGAGAAAAACCTGCAGTTACAACATTCAAGGTCCTACCAGTTCTACCATGTGAAGTCAGCCCCAATCATTACTCAGTTGTATTAGTCCATTTTCATGCTGCTGATATAGACATATCCAAGGCTGGGAAGAAAAAGAAATGTAATGGACTTACAGTTCCACATGGCTGGAGAGGCCTCAAAATCATGGTGGAAGGCAAAGAGCAAGTCACGTCTTACGTGGATGGCAGCAGGCAAAAAGAGCTTGTGCAGGGAAATTCCCCTTTTTAAATCGTCAGATCTCTTGAGACTTATTTACTTTCAGGAGAACAGCGCAGGAAAGACTTGACCCCATAATTCAATTACCTCCTACTGGGACCCTCCCATAACATGTGGGAATTCAAGATGAGATTTGGGTGAGGACACAGACAAGCTGTATCACACTATTCAATAAACATTTGTAAATTTTTACTTTCCTTTCTCTCCAAATCATATTACCCCTTTGAAAATGCTACCGCTAGTCAACTAAACTATCCCCTGGATTCCTAAAGCTCTCTGTGACCCCAGTCTCCCATGCTTCATAAAAATAGTATTTTGGACTTTTCATTATAGAAAATATATAAAGTCAAAATCTATGTTAATTTACTAGCACTTTCAAATTAAATATTATTCTATTTACCACAATATTGTTCAAGACATACTGATGAGTCATTTAACACAGACAAACTATAATGTTTGAGATAAATTTAGTAAGTAATAACACTATTGGTACCTAGGGTTTCAGTTACTTTAGCTTCCTGAGGATATTACTTTTTCTTAATCTCTAAAAATGTTAACCTTTAATAAATGTTTCAAAGCATACAACCACCCATTCATCCAACCAACCAACAACAATAACGAAAGAGGCAAATTTGCTAGTAGTTTAAGAAATAAAATACCTGGGAATGAATAAAATCCATTATCCATCTAGAGAATTGGTAGATACTGATCCAGAATAATGTCTTAGTGTATACATTAAAAAGATATACAGAAAATCCTGATGAAACAAATATTATATAGAAACATTTTAATTTGTGTACAAGCAGTTCCGTATTTTTAAATAATGAAATAATGAGAGTTATTGACTCTGAACAGGATGTTATTGATAAACACATTCAGTGAACCTTTTTAGGAGAGAAAAATATTCGTGTTATAAACAAAGTTTTTGCTTTCTTTTGTTTCTAAATTCTTTAATCCCATTTTCATCTTTTTATACTGATGTTTCAAAATTTGTGTTAAATGCTACAACATGTAACAATATATTTGTCCTTGCAACATGTATGTAAATCACATGTGAAAACTTTATCGTGGCATTTTCTATTGCTATCTTAATCGATAATAATTAACAGATAACTGCTTTTTTTCCTCAAGAACATGCCTAACGGATTTTGATTTTCTATTATTTGAAACATTCACTTCAACTTTTCAACTCTACAGAAGTTCTAAGTATGAGTTGAAAACTATTGGCAATATTACATTTGATTTGTGTATTATTTATGGTGTTTGAAACCTCAGATGTGACATTCACAGCTTCTCTCAGTATGATCACTTTTTAATAAAGACTTGAAACACATTTGATTTGTGCTTTGAGGGAAAAAATTAAAATATATTTTTTTCAGATGAGTTTATTGACATTTCAAAGATGACATCTTAGAAAAAACTTTTCTTTCAAGTGTTTTTTAAATGACATATCTTCCACTTTAATTTGTCTTTGAAGTGATCCTCAAATGTACTGTTATTAAATCAAGAATGTTATCATAACTTGACCAATTGACTCCTTCAAAAATGCTCCAAATTCTCTCTCTCATTCACTAATATTTCATTAAATAATCAATTAAAACATTTCTGATCTGGACATAATATTATATGAATTGTTGAGAACAGAGTGGCAAATAAGCTAGGCATAATCCATTTCTTGAGTAAAATCACTTGAAATATTAGCTCAAAGATAAATTTCAAAGGAAGCAATCAATCAGCTTTGAATTTTTTTATTAATACATCCTAATTGTACATATTTATGGAGTACATGTGATATTTTGACAAATTTATACAATGTACAATGATCAAAGCAGGGTAATTAGGACGTACATCACCTCTTACTATCATTATTTTGTATTGATGACATTCCTAAATATTTATTCTAGCTATTTTCAAATATACATAAATGATTATTAATTATCATAACCTCACTGTAGTATTGAACAATAGAATTTTCATTCTATCTAATTGTATTTTTGTATCTATTTACCAAACTCTCTTCATTGCTGTCTCTCCTCCACCCTTCTCATCTTTCTTTACTCTCTACCTTCACAAAAATAAGTTTTTTTTTTTTGGTGGGCTGGATCTCACACCATAAGCTAGAACATGTGATATTTGTGTTTCTGTACCTAGCTTGTTTCATTTAACATAATGCCCTCCAGTTCTGTCTATGTTGTTGCAAATAATATTCATTCTTTTTATGGCTGAACAATATTCCAATGCGTGTGTGTGTGTGTGTGTGTGTGTGTGTGTGTGTGTGTCTAGAGGTATCCCTCATTTTCTTCATCCATCCTTCCACTGATGAACACTTAGGTTGTTTCCATCTCTCGGCTATTGTGAATAGTGCTACAATCAACATGACAGTACATATACTTCTTTGATATAATGATTTCATTACTTTTGGATATATTCCTAGCAACGTGATTGTTGGATCACATCATAGACCTATTTTTAGTGTTCTGAGAAACCCCATACTGTTTTCAATTGTGGCTACTCTAACTTACAGTCCCACCAACAATGTACTAGCATTTCCCTTTCTTTGCATTCTTGCCAGAATTTGAGATTTATTTTATTTTATTTTATTTTAATTTATTTTATTTTATTTTATTTTTTTCTGAGATGGAGTCTTGCTCTGTCACCCAGGCTGGAGTGCAGTGGCACAATCTCGGCTCACTGCAGCCTCCGCCTCCCAGGTTCAAGCAGTTCTCCTGTCTCAGCCTCCCATGTAGCTGGGATTACAAGTGCACACCACCACATCTGGCTAATTTTTGTATTTTTAGTAGAGACAGGGTTTCACCATGTTGGCCAGGCTGCTCTCAAACTCCTGACATCAGGTGATCTGCCCGCCTTGGCCTCCCAAAGTGCTGGGATTACAGCCGTGAGCCACCACGCCAGCCTTGATTTTTAAAAACTTTTTGACAATAGCCATTTTTACTGGGATAAGATTATATCTCATTTTGGTTTTGATTTGCATTTTCCTGATGATTATTTATGTTGAGCATTTTTTGTACACTTGTTGGACAATTCTATGTCTTCTCTTGGGAAATGTCTATTTAGATCATGTGCCCATTGTCTAATCAGATTATTTGATTATTTGCTATTGAGTTTTTGAATTCCTTACACATTCTGGACACTGATCCCTTCTCAGATGGACAGTGTATAAACATTTTCTCCCATTTTATAGGTTGTCTCTTTATTGATTGTTTCATTCGCTATGTAGAAGCTTTTTAGCTTGATGTTCTTCCATTTCTCTATTTTTGCTTTTGTTGCCTGTGATTTTGAGGTCTTACTGCAAAATTATTGCCCAGACCATTTTCCTATACCGTTTTCTCATTGTTTTCTCCTAGAAGCATCAGGCCTTACATTTAAGTATTTAACCCATTTTGAGTTGATTTTTGCATATGATGAGAGATAGGGGTCCAGTTTCATTCTTCCGCATACGGATATTCAGTTTTCCTTGCAACCCCTAATTAGACTATCCTTTCCCAGGTGTGTGTTCTTGGCACCTTTGTCAAAAATGAGTTAGCTGTAAAGTCATGAATTTATTTATGGTTCTCTATTCTGATCCATCAGTCTATGTATCTGTTTTTATGAAAATACCATGCTATTTTAATTACTAAAATTTTATACTATATTTTGAAGTCTGGTAGTGTGATTGTGATGTCTCCAGCTTTGTTCTTTTCCTCAGGATTGCTTTTTCTATTTGGGGTCTTTTGTGATTCCATGTGAATTTTAGGATTGTTTTTCCTATTTCTATGAGGAATATCATTGGCATTTTGATAGGAATTACACTGCATCTGTAGATTGTGTAGTATGGATATTTTAACAATATTAAATATTCTAATCCAGTAGCATGGGATATCTATCTATTTCCATAGTGTGTTCTTTTTAATTTCTTTCATCAGAAATGTTTAGTTCTCATTGTAGGGATCCTTCACATCTTTGATTAAATTTATTCCTAAGTGTTTTATTTTTTGTTGTTATTATAACTGTGATTTCATTATTGATTTCTTTTTCAGATTGTTCATTGTTGGTGTATAGAAATGTTATTGATTTTGCATGCTGATTTTATATCCTGCAAATTTACTGAATTATTTAACAGTTCTGACATGTTTTTGATGGAGACTTTAGGTTTTCCTAAATATAGGATCATGTCAACTTTGAACAAGGATAACTTGACCTTGACTTTTTCCTATCCAATTTGGATATCCTTTTCTTTTATTGTTTTATTGTTCTGGTTAGGACTTCTAGTACCATATTGAATAAAAGTAGTGAAAGTGGTCATCTTTGTCTCCTTCTAGAAGTTAGGGGCTCTTCATTTTTTTCTCCATATTAGCTTTGGGTTTGTCATAGTTGGCCTTGGTTGTTTTGAGGTACGTTTCTTCTATAACCACTTTGTTGAGAGTTTTTATCATAAAGGGATATTGAATTTTATTCAAAGCTTTTTTCAGCATGTATTGAATTAGTTGTATTTTTAAAAATTCTGTTAATGTGATGTATTTTGGTTATTGAATTGCACATGTTGAGCCATCCTTACATTACTGGGATGAATCCTACTTGATTATGCTGAATGATTCTTTTATTATGTTGTTGAATTTGTTTTGGTATTTTTGGTTGAGGAGTTTCACATCTAGTCGTCAGTGATATTGGCCTGTAGATTGTTTTTGTGTGTGCTTGTCCTTGTTTTATTTTGGTATCAGAGTAATGCTGGCCTCATAGAATGAGTTTTGGTTTTCCCTCCTGTGTAATTTGTTTGAAGAGTTTGAGTAATATTAGTGTTATTTGTTGTTTAAATGTTTGGTAGAATTCAGCAGTGAATCCATTAGATCCTTGGTTTTTCCTTTGATGGGAGACTTTTTAATATTGCTTCATCTCATTACTCATTAATGGTCTTTTCATGTTTTCTATTTTTTTTCATGATTCAATCTTCATAGATTGTAATGTGTCTAGGAACTTGTCCATTTCTTCTAAGATTTTCAATATAGTTGTTTATAATAGTCTGTAATGATCATTTTTATCTTTTTGATATAATTTGTAATGTTTTCTTTTATGCCTCTGAATTTATGTCTTCTCTTATTTTCCTAATGTAATAAAGACGTCCATTTTTTAAATCTTTTCAAAAAAACAGAACTTATTTTATTATTCTTTTGTATTTTGCAGTCTCAATTTCATTTATTTCTACTTTGATCTTTATTATTTCTTTTCTTCTATTAATTTTGGGTTTTTTTTCAAGCTTTCCTATTTTCTTGAAGTGCGTCATTGGTTATTTATTTGAAGTCTTTCTACTTTTTGGTGTAGGTGTTTATTGCTATGAACTTCCCTCTTAGACCTGCTTTTGCTATATCTCGTTTGGTATGTCATGTTCTCATTTTAATTTGTTTTGTGGGATTTTTAAATCTTCTTTTAAATTTCTTTCATGATCTATTTATTGTTTGGGAACAAGTTTTATTTTCACAAATTTTTATATTTTTTCAATGTCCCTTTGGTTATAGATTTCTAGTTTTATTCCATCAAGGTCAGAGAACATACTTGATATAATTTTGATTTTTAAAAAATTTGTAGGTGTTGTTCTTTACCTAGCATATGGCCTATATTAGGGAATATTTCACATGATGTTGAGAAAAAAGGTGTATTGTACAGCTGGTGGATGGAATCTTCTGTAAATGCCTGTTAGGTCCATTTTGTCTATAGTGCAGTTTAACTCTAGTTTTTTTGGTTACTGTTGATTTTATGTCTGGATGGTATGCCCACTACTGAAAGTTGAGTATTGATGTTTCCTACTATTATTATATTTCAGTCAACATTTTTCTTTAGGTCTATTAATATTTGTTTTATATATTTGAGTGCTCTGGTGTTGGGTATATATAAATGAACAATTGTTAATCCTCTGGCTGAATTGACAACTTTATCATTATATAAGGGGATTCTTTGTATATTTTACTCTTCTTGACTTAAAATCTATTTTATCTGATATAGGTTTAGCTGCTCCTGCTCTTTTATGTTTTCATTTGCATGAAATACCTTTTTTGACTCTTCACCTTCAGTCTGTGCATGTCTATATAGGTGAAGTGAGTTTCCTGTAGACAGTATGTATTTGTGCCTTGTTTCTATTTATTTATTCAGTCACTCTATATCTTTTAATTGATTATTTTAATCTATTTGCATGCATGATTATTATTAATGGGTAATGGCACAATATTGCCATTTTGGCTTTTGTTTTCTGGCTGTCTTGTAGCTCTTTCATTTCTTTTTTCCTCTGAGGTTAAGTGATTTTTCTCTACTAGTACATTTTGATTCTATGCTAGTGCTATTTATTTTTAGTGTATCTATTATAAGTTTTAGCTTTGTGGTTACAATGAAACTTACAAAACATCTTTTAGTTATAACAGGTTATTTTAAACTGATCGACATAACTTTGATCATAAAGAAAAGTAACAAAAAAATCTACATTTAACACAGCCCCTCCTGCACATTTTGACTTATTGTTTCAATTTAAATTTTATATTTCTTATCTTATAGCCAATTGAAGTTATTATTAATTTTAATTGTTTAATCTTTACATTTAAGATATAAGTGGTTCAATTCCTCCAATTAAAGTATTAGAATATGCTAAATTAGTCTGTTTTATTTCTTTTACTAGTGAGTTTAATACCTTCAGTTTTTTTTTAGTACATATTAGCATCCATTTCTTCCCGACTGATGAACTCCTGTTAGTATTTCTTGTAAGAGAAATCTGGTGTTGTCGAATTCCCTCAGTTTTGCTTGTCTGATAAAGTTTTTATCTTGCCTTCGTGTTTGAAGGATAACTCTGCTAAACATTATATTTTTGGTTGGCAGTTTTTGCCTTCAATACTTTGAGTATAGCATTCTATTTTCTCCTGACCTGCCAGGCTTTTGCTGAGAAATTGCTGAAAGCCATATTGGAGTTTCATTGAATGTAATATGTTTCTTTTCTCTTGCGAATTTGAGTACTCTTTCTTTGTTTTTGAATTTTGCTAATTTGATTATGATATGCCTTGGGGATTTCCTCTTTGGGTTGAATTTTATTGGTGGCCTTTATGCTTACTGTACCTGCATGGTGAAGTCTGTCTCCATATTTGGGGATTTTTCAGGCATTATTTCTTTAAATATGCATTCTAGGCTCTTTTCTCTCTTGTCTCCTTTGGGAATTATTATGTGGAGATTAGTTTGCCTGATGGTGTCCATGATTCTCACAGGCCTTCTTTATTCTCTTGTTCTTTTTTCTTTTTGCTTCTCTGATTGGATAATGTCATATGTTTTAAGTTCATGAATTATTTCCTGTGTTTGATCAATTCTGCTGTTGAGGCTTTCTAATAAGTTTTTCTATTCAATTATTGTATTATTTATTTATAGGATTTATATATATTTGTTCCTGTTTATTTTTCAAATTTATCATTTTGTTCCTAGATTGTTTTCTAAATTTTATTTAATTTCTTCTCTGCATTTTCTTGTGATGTCCTGAACTTCTTTAAGAGGATAATTCTGAATTCTCTTTCCAGTGTTTGACAGATCTTCAATTCTTCTGGGTCCCTTGCTGGAGCTCTGTGAGTTTACACATTCTTTGTTTTTTTACACTGATACCTGCAATATAAGGAGACTGCGACCTCTTCCAGGTTTTGCAGGTGTTCATTGGTGGTGGTAGACCTTATTTACTTAATATTGGAACTTAAACAGTAGCCTGCTGTCTCTCCTTGTTCTAGGGAGGACTTATAGTGAAGATTAGAACTAAAACATTGCACTAGAGCAACTCATTGCCCTGCTACTGTTTTCTGGTCTGGGAAGACTTATGGTAAGCAACGGAACTTGAACACTGCTCTGGAACTAAATTGCTGCCCTGATATTTTTTTCCAGTTTGGAGAACACTTAAGCAGCCACCCAAACTTAATTCAAACCTTTTAGTTGTTTCCAGCCCAGGGCAAGGCTCCACGCAAGCATCTTGGCTGTGTGAAAAATTATGCCAGGGATTCAGGCCTTTCCACAGATTGTGCCCCCTGCAGGACTATGGCATCAGCCAGTCCCTTCAATGTGGTGCCCCTGCTGATCAGAATTCAGAGTAGTTACCAATATCTTTGCACCAGTTGCTGCACTCAGTGCCCTGTTCTTTGTCCTTCATATAGTGCCAGAGGTTCAGCTCTCCTGATACTCCGAATGGCTCCTGTGAGATAGGGCTGGTGTGGGCTCCCCGTGAAGATTTCCAGACTAAGGCAGAGATCAAGTGTTTATATCAAATTCCCTTTTCTCACCTTTGAAACCATGGGATTAGGGAAATTATGAGCGGTAATATGCTGGCTTGGAGGAGGGTCAGCACAAAATTAAATCATCTTTTGTTTTACTGGTTATGATTTCTCTTGATGCTGTGGGCCCAGGAGGTCTCCCCTGAGTTCTGATTAACTTAGGGTGGTATTCTTGTATTTGAATAGTTTCTAGCTTATTTTTGTTGAGTACGTGCATCTCCTATTCTGCCATCTTGTGAATGTCACTCTGAATTATTTACTTTACATGAGGAAGATACAATATTGAGTAAGAGAAAGCATAGTGTTTGTAGAAATTTCAATAATACTTAGGGGGACATGAATTGGATACATTCAAATATTCAAAACATTGGGATACATAGATCTCACATAAATATCCGGTTCTCTTCTTATCTCTATTAGTATTAATTGGGGTTCTTTAAAGTCAAGAATATCATAAAATTATTTAATTGTAGGGTATGCCACTTTATGTAATTTGTATCTTGCAATAGTTTGCTAGAAACACTTTAAGAATGAGCAGAACTCACCACATTTTGAATAACTTTAATTTTCTCATGCTGCCATTATGATGATGATGATGTCCTGAAAGTTTGCAGTGTTTTCAATAATAGGCTGGAATTATAGTTGCCCTGATACTCAGCAGAAAACAAAGAATTTTAAGGAATTTGCAGTATTTTAAATTTCCCTGGTGAGGTCAGTCAGCAGAAAGCATCGTAAGCAAAAGAAAACAAAAAAATAAAATAAAATAAAGAGTAACCAATGAAACAAAAAACACATGAACACGTCTCTTAAAAGAACATGTGAAAATGGTAGTCTATTTTCAATAAATACTATCTATTTCTGCTTATATTAGGCTTTTAACAGTTGTGGAAATTACTCTGATTATGGCAGCATCAATTCTACTGGGATAAGAGGGGAAATGGAATAGTTGGATAGTTGGTAGATCACATAGAAACGATCCAATCATATGGCTAACTTCAGGGACTACTAAAAGGTGATTGTTTAAATATGATTACAGCATTTTCTTACACAATTATATAGGGATATTTTATTTCAGCTTGAAGTTACTTTTGTATTCTTTTTACAGTGGCTTAATTCACTAAAAAATGAATTCAGAAGACAAAAAAACTAATTGAAAAGTGCAAATGTAATTTAGAGGGCTGAAATAATATTTTGGCAGGCTAAATATAACTCTCACAGTGATTTGAATGAAGAGCTCCAAGAGAAATTGTCTGGGTGCAAAGTAACCTCAAACAAATTTGGTGAATGCATTAGTCAAGCAACATAAATGCAAAATGAAATTGACAAATTCAATACGGACTTATTCCCCAAGCATATTGGAAAGTAGATTCTGTGGGTTAGCTTTAAGTGACTTATGAGATAGGGATTCCATCTATTTTTCCTATATTTTCCATTCTATGGAATATTCTAAGGCAATTCTACAAATGCCACAGATTTATATTGTCTTTTCTCAATACATGAAGCTTATATTTATTTTTAAATACAATTATGATGGTTGCTCTGGAGAACCTCATAACAGTTATTTTGCAAAATAGTATTTAAATAGAACCTAAAATAGCCATGTTGTCTGGTGGTTTCACAATTAAGATAGTTTTATAATATGTAAAATATAAGTGGAAGTGTATCGGAATCACCTTGTCTTTTACATAGCACATATGATTTCCATTCTCAAACCAATTCTGGGTTTGGCGCACTAAGAATTAATGACCTCCCCCTACCAGCACATCTTCCTTCTTTCCTATAACAACTCAGGGCTGTATATAATTTACTTTTCCTAATGTATAATGGCCAGGGAAAAATAAGTTGTGAAGAAGTTGTGTAGATCTTTTAAGTCTGTATTTAATGAAATGTAATCAAATAATTAGGTTGCATTTTCAAATTCCTTCCTGTAGAATTTATTCATCTAATAAGAACTGTACAAAGTAGTAACTGATAAGATTGTTGGATTGAAATATTAGGAATGATTCATTTTCAAAAAATTTATTATTCTCACCATTTTTTCAATATCTCCAGTGTCCACGTTTTTGTACATGATCTGTTTTTTGGCTTATAGCCAGAATTTAAATACTCTCTTCTGACAAAGATGCTTTGTTGATCAAACTTTAGTTAAGCTCCTGAAACTTCTCCTGGGCCCATCTTGCACATCCTCGTAAAATCCAAACTTACCAAGAATCTCCTATCCTATTTATCTGATCATCCTGACATCTGATGGGCTCCTCATCCTCCACCATCACCCAGGTGATATCTAATCACCCTGGCCTGTCTTCAATCAGAATCTTATTAACGGTTTAGCTAGAATCCTCCCTTACATCTGACACTTCCTCTTAGAAATTTTCTATCCATCAAGCCTCTCCTTGCTATGAATTCCCACTTGTGCATGCTGTATTCAGAATTATATCTACTTCTATACTGAGGTGTGTTTTCCCTTCTTGCAATAGCTCTGAAAAATATCTGCTTCAACTGCTTTAACTACTATCCAGCTGTAGTTTCTCTTGAAAACTTCATAACATATAAGCTGAGTAAAATCAAGTCAGTTAGCAAAACATAGAGAATCTCAGTTTTCTCATGTATTAAAAATAAAAAAGAATAATTGCAAAGCATTATAGTGTAGTTTAAATGCCATTAGATATATGGAAATAACTATTAGAGTTAAATTTATATCATCCATTAAAAATAGTTTCCTTACTTTGTTTTTACCATCTAACATTTCTTAAAAATTCTGCTCAAATATCACACCTCCCTATCCTGATTTACCATCACCTCATCAGCACTGTCAAAGTATTCCTTATAAATATAATCTTATAAAAACATACCATCATTGTTTTATGTTCTCCTCTCTATAACTAGACTAGAAGGATTTAAGGGAAGAAATATGAATTATCTATCTTCCTTTCTCCAATTACTGGTAGGATATCTGACATATTTTTAGGATTCAATTCAGATTTTTAAGGTTGAGTAAATGAATAAATAAATAAAATGACTTGAACTAAAGGAGTTGTCATGTATACTTAAATTCTGGAATTATTTCAGTTAAGAGGAAGCATACGCAATAACTAACGAGATCACATCCAGAAATTTAAGACCCAATTCATGTATTCCAGAAGGTTTCATGGGGTATACACAAGGATGGAAATACAGCACTGAAGCCCCAGGAAAGACTATCATCAAGGAAATGGAAAGAATTCTATTGGAAAAAATTTGACAAGAATAAATCATTCATAACTTCCTGTTATTTAGAAGTTATTTATGTCCAAATAGAATCCATGTATGTAGTAACAAGTAAACTTTGGTGTTATATTTAATAATGCCTTTTACAAAATTAAGTCTAAAATATTTTTATTGCTTTCCAATGAGAAAAAAAACTTGTATCTACAAATTTTGAAAAAAATCACAATTGCCACTAGTGGATTGTAAATTCATCAAATATTGTGTTAACCTTAGTTCATAGAAATTAAAGTGAAATAAAACAGTTTTCTACTTTCAAGGAATGTCTTAGCAGTAAGTCTTTCTCCTCTATCAGCTGACCATGGGAAATACTACATGAGGAGTGGTTGATGGAAAAGTAGAGATGCAACCTGGTGTGGAACTCTGGGGAAACCTGTTCATCTAACCTACTTGCATCCTCACGACCTTCTAGTTCTAGTCTTGTAGTTTAATTATGTCTCATGGTGGGGTACTATATTAAGGCCCAATACAGGCCAACTGCTGCTTTTAAAAGGCAAAACCTTCTCAAAAATCCTAAGGTTCTGCTCTGTACCTGTCCTATCAGGATTTGACCCAGATTTCACATATCCTTCCTGTCACAATGAATATCATTGAATTCGCCAGTTCAGAGGCACAATTGCATAAGAAGCTTAGAATGCAACTGAACCCCTCTTTCTCTGAGCCATAGTAAAAATGGGCATCCTTCTAAATCACAAAACAAATGGAACAGAAAAGCATTGCCATAGGCAGGATATGATGCCTCAAAAATCCACAAAGCCCCGACAAATGCTATACTTTTTAAAAATTTCAGGTAAAAAAAGGCTTAATAATTTTCCTTAACCTATAATCCTATATGACCAAGACTATTATATTCATAAAGTTTAATCCAGTTGCCCATAATTTTTATCTTCCATTCTCTGGCATACAAATTTGCTACTTGCCCGTTGCCATAATTTATTAATATAGTGCAATTATAATTAATTACAGCGCTATTTAAAACAATGGAATTTATTTAGCTGGCTAAAGGATGTCCTGTAAAACATGAAAATAATCAGTTTCTAGGGATTATACAGTGACATGGAACAAAAGAGTTAGACTAGGCACCTGTCAGAAATGTAAACCCACACTATAGTCCTTCTCATATAATTGCAAGCATCTTTGATCCTCTTCATTGATGGTGATTGAATTTTTTTTTTCAACAGTGGTTATATTGGTCTGTTTCAGTAAAGATACCAAGTTCAGCTTAAATAGCTACCATTGAGGTTGACCTCAGATTCCATGGATAGTAGTCCATTGCCATCTTGTATAAGCCATCCATTTTTGCAGAGAAAAGTAAATTGAATATAGGTAAGCCACTAATGTGGTCTTCAAATTTTTTTATGCTGGAGCTAATTTCTGCAATTCTACCTAGGTTGTGGTATTGCTTCAGCTTTATGATGTTGAGCATGGTGGGGAGTATTTTCTAGGGACTTCCTGTTGGTGTTTCCTACCATAATTGTTTTAACTAAAAAAAGAGAGAGATACAATTATGTGAGTACCATAAGCTATTAAGATTACCTGTCCCAAGCCCTAACATCCACAATCTTTACGGAACTTAAATCAATAAACAAAAAACAAATAAACTCATTAAAATGGGCATAGGATATGAACAGATACTGCTGAAAAGAAGACATGCAAGTGGCCAACAAACATATGAAAAAATGCTCAGTATCACTAATCATCAGAGAAATGCAAATCAGAACCACAATGAGGTACCATTTCATACTAGTCAAAATGGCTGTTATTAAAGAGCCAAAAACAACAGATGTTGGCTAGACTGTGGAGAAAAGGGAATGCTTTTACACTTTTGGTGTGAATGTAAATTAGTCCAGCCACTGCGGAAAGCGTTTTAAACGTTTCTCAAAGAATTTGAAACAGAGCTACCATTCTACCTAGGAATCCCATTACTGGGTATATACCTAAAAGAAAATAAATTATTCTATCAAAAAGACACATGTACTCTTCATCCCTGCATTATTTACAATAGCAAAGACATGGAATCAACCTAAGTGCCCATGAGTGGTAGACTGAATTTTAAAAATGTGGTACATGGCCGGGCGCTGTGGCTCACACCTGTAATCCCAGCACTTTGGGAGGCTCAGGCGGGCGGATCACGAGGTCAGGAGATCGAGACCATCTTGGCTAACCTGGTGAAGCCCCGTCTCTACTAAAAATACAAAAAATTAGCTGAGCATGGTGGCAGGTGCCTGTAGTCCCAGCTACTCGGGAGGCTGAGGCAGGAGAATGGCGTGAACCTGGGAAGTAGAGCTTGCAGGGAGCTGACATCACTCTACTGCACTCCAGCCTGGGCTACAGAGCAAGACTCCATCTCAAAAAAAAAAAAAATGTGGTACATATACATCCCGGAATACTATGCAGCAATAAAAAATAATGAAATCATGTCCTTTGCAGCAGCAACATGGAAGCAATTGGAGGCCATAATACTAAGCAAATTAACACAAGAACAGAAAACCAAATACTGCATGTTCTCATTTCTAAGTGGGAGCTAAATGTCAAACATACATGGACATAAATATGGAAATAAAAGTCACTGCAGACTACTAGGCAGAGAAAGAAGGAGGGCACGGGTTGAAAAACTACCTATTGGGTACTATGCTCACTACATGGGTGACGGGATCTGTACCCCAAACCTCAGTATCACACAATATTCCCATGTACCAGACCTGCACACATACCTTCTGTATCTAAAATAAGTTGAAATTAAGAAAAAAAAAAAAAGATTATTTGTCCCATGAATGGACTAAGAAACTATGTGAACCCTAAGTGAGGTGAACTTCAACCAGAACTCTAAACACCATCTGGCTTTTAGAAACACCAGTCTAACTGGGAACCATATGCATTGTGGGTTCCCCAATATTAATGTGGTTACAGAACCTGTCTCCCACAGCCTTTGAAAGGTCTGGACATTCCCTTTCTTTGATTCCCTTTCTTTAACTCTGGTTGAAAGCTACAAGTTCCTTTGGGAAATAGGAAACATTTACAGTATGCATTTTTTTTTAAGATGTAGAGATCATTTTTAATGGTGGAAGCCAACACATTGACACTTGGATAGAAGAAGGCAGGATTCTGACACAGAATCAAAAGAGAAGGCCACCAGGCAAAGCCACACAGAGTTGCACCTGAATGCAATGTAACAACAAGTTGTAATTGTAGGAGACAGCTTATGAGTAAGTGACAGGAGTTTATCTAGGCTTCCAGACTTCCCTTTGGACTGGCTAATTTGAATAATTTAATAAGCTCTAGGGAAGAGTTGTCTGGCATCTGGTCTCAGGATGATTAAGATGGGTGCATAGTGACCTTGGATTTGAGAACCTGATAAGGAAAGCGGTTGGGGTATGAATTTACTATTTGGAGAACTGACTAGCTTGGATGAAGACAGGATTTGTATTTACGTATTTACATAAATTTATAGTTACATTTACAGTGATATTTTACAATTTTTTCTTAAAAGATCTTAGTCTCCCTCTTAATCAATGAGATCTAGGTTTAAGAACCGGCTGAGCTCTGGAAATTGAGGAGAAATTGAGCAAACTAAACTTCTATGGGCTTGGAGAAAGCCCTGGAAGAGAATGAGAAACGATAAAGTACTCTGGTTTAAGATAAAAAACCTGCCAGCTATGAGAGGAATCTAACATTTTATGGAATCACCTCCTACAGATTTGGTTCAAATCAGAGCAAGGTTGAAATGTGGTAAAAGTACTATAAGGCCTCTGCTACAAAAGCCTTCCTAGACCTATCTTAAGGTGGGGCAAAAATGAGAAACAGGTTTAAGTGATAAGTGAATTTCTTTGTCTGTTATGAAATGTTGAAATGGGAGGAGTTCCCTTATCCCCCTCCAGGGTATGCGACAGGGGTGAGGCTAGCTTCTTAGGTGCCCCAATGCTCAAACGCCTAGGGGGAGCATGCAGATGGGCAGGTCATGGGGGGTATTTTGGGGGTCCGGACCCCACTGCAGAGTCTAGGATTGAGTGTTTATAGCTCCAGAAGCCCCAGTGGGCATGTGTTACAATGTGCTCTTTCAGTTTTGCAATCCGCAGGCGGCTTGTGTTAATCAGCTCAATTAGACTCCCTCTGCCAGGGTTTCGCTGGTATATGACCTTCCCCTAGGAACATTTGACTGGTAAGGAAAGAATGCTTCAAGTGAGCGTGCATACAACTTCAGTGAACATACTGAAGTTCACATATGGCCCCTCTCAAGTGCTGGCAGGCCACTGAGCATGCGAAATGCTAATGTATAAAACCTCAAGTCAAAGGTCAAATCAAGTACTTGCATCACTCAAGTTGCCCTCTTGGCTCTCTTCCAAGTGTACTTCCTTTGGTTCCTGCTCTAAAACTTTTTAACAAACTTTCAATCCTGCTCTAAAGCTTGCCTCAGTCTCTCCATCTGCCTTATGCCCTCTGGTTGAATTATTTCTCCTGAGGAGGCAAAAATTGAGGTTGCCATTCATCCAAACTGATTCACTGCTGCTAACAGTTGCAGCAAATGCAATAATTCTTTTGGTTATCTTCGTTATTCATACGTATCGGGACTGGATCAGTCTGGATGCAATCATCAGTTGTTAAGAGAGCTTAAACTACACTTCAGTCATGCTGTGGAATGCACTCACTTTGCACGTGTGGTTATGTCGTTAGATTAAATCTGTTAGCCTTTTAAAACAAACAAATATTATCTTTTCAGTATACATGCTTGTTTCCAGAGCTGCATAATCTTTTTATTGTTCTTTTCCTGTTCTTGCTAAAGATTTTCTGCCTTTTAATGAGAGGAAACTCCAAGGCTGAGATGATATTTTTAAGTAAAAACTTTTTTTTTCAAGTTTAGGCTCAGATATATAAATTCAGATCCCTTTTCTGATGGAACACATTTAGGTCTTCCCCACTTTATTCTGTTTCCTAATGTGCTCCTGTGCCTCCCTGTTATTACACAGACTTGTAGGAGATACAAAACCACAGGTTTGAAGGAAATGTATGAACAAAATAAGTAGAATTTGGAGGAAAGAAGGGGGGATAAAGGAAGTTGGGGAACACATGATACTATGACCTCATATGTGTACTATGAGTATTGTGATACTCACATGTGAACATACTTACAGAGAATGACCAAATAAGCTTCTTTTCAGAAGGGTTCAGTCCCTTAAAGTGTATAATTGTTAATGATAAGTCATTAGGGTAACACTCTAATAGACTACATTCAGACCAAAGTGTGCCTCTAAACAGAGAAACTGAAATGCGATGGAATTAAACCATATATTAGAAAAAATTATTTTAGATTAATATTCATTATCCCTACACAGGGCATTTTCTCCTGTGGTTGCTTGAAAGCCTTTGTCTGGAGGGAATACTCTCTCTTTTTACTGAAAAAAATAGAAAAGGAGAACATTATTAAAAGTAAATAAATAATAAGTATTTCTTTATTATTATTTTTTATTATACTTTAAGTGCTGGGATACATGTGCAGAACATGCAGGTTTGTTACATAGGTATACATGTGCCATGGCAGTTTGCTGCACCCATCAACCCGTCATCTACATTTGTATTCTCCTAATGCTATCCCTCCCCTAGCCCCCCAACCCCCGACAGGCCCTGATGTGTGATGTTCCCCTCCCTGTGTCCATGTGTTCTCATTGTTCAACTCCCACTTATGAGCGAGAACATAGGTTGTTTAGTTTTCTGTTGCCATCTTAGTTTGCTGAAAAATTATGATTTCCAGCTTCATCCACGTCCCTGCAAAGGACATGCACTCATTCCTTTTTATGGCTACATAGTATTCCATGGTAGTAACCAAAACAGCATGATACTGGTATCAAAACAGATATATAGACCAATGGAACAGAACAGAGGCCTCGAAAATAACACCACACACCTACAGCCATCTGATCCTTGATAAACCTGACAAAAACAAGCAATGGGGAAAGGATTCCCTATTTAATAAATGGTGTTGGGAAAACTGGCTAGCCATATGCAGACAACTGAAACTGGACACCTTCTTTATAACTTATACAAAAATTAACTCAAGATGGAGTAAAGATTTAAATGTAAGACCTAAATCCATAAAAACCCTAAAAGAAAACCTAGGCAATACCATTCAGGACATAGGCCTGGGCAAAGACTTCATGACTAAAACACCAAAAACAATTGCAACAGAAGCCAAAATTGACAAATGGGATCTAAGTAAACTACAGAGCTTCTGCACAGCAAAAGAAACTATCATCGAGTGAACAGGCAACCTACAGAATGGGAGAAAATTTTTGCAATCTATTTATCTGACAAAGGGCTAATATCCAGAATGTACAAGAAACTTAAACAAACTTACAAGAAAAAAAAAAAATCAAAAAGTGGGTGAAGGATATGAACAGATACTTTTCAAAATAAGACACTTATGCAGCCAACAAACATATTAAAAAGCTCATCATCACTGGTCATTAGAGAAATGCAAATCAAAACCACACTGAGATACCATCTCATGCCAGTTAGAATGGCGATCATTAAAAAGTCAGGAAACAAGTCAGGCATGGTGGCTCATGCCTGTAATCTCAGCACTTTGGGATGCCCAGGCGGGCAGATCACGAGCTCAGGAGATGGAGACCATCCTGGCTAACACAGTGAAACCCCATCTCTACTAAAAATACAAAAAAATTAACCAGGCGTGGTGGTGGCACCTGTAGTCCCAGCTGCTGGGGAGGCTGAGGCAGGAGAATGGTGTGAACCCAGGAGGCGGAGCTTGCAGTGAGCCGAGATCGTGCCACTGCACTCAAGTCTGGGCAACACAGCGAGACTCTGTCTCAAAAAAAAAAAAAAAAAAAAAAAGTCAGGAAGCAACAAATGCTGGAGAGGATGTGGAGAAACAGGAACGCTTTCACACTGTTGGTGGGAGTGTAAATTAGTTCAACCATTATGGAAGACAGTGTGGCGATTCCTCCAGGATCTAGAACTAGAAATACCATTTGACCAAGCAATCCCCTTACTGGATCTATACGCAAAGGATTATAAATTATTCTCCTATAAAGACACATGCACACTTATGTTTATTGCAGCACTATTCACAATAGCAAAGACTTGGAACCAACCCAAATGCCCATCAATATTAGACTGGATAAAGAAAATAAGTATTTGTTTTTAAAATAAATGTATTAACTGTACAGTATATATAGTATCTAGTCTATATAGTATATAGTATAGTATATAGTGTGAACATGTATATACACACAGAATTTTAGAAGAGCAAAACAAACATATATATACACACAGAGTTTTAGAAGTACACTAGGAAAAAAGTAATGGACACTTAAAGAGGTACAAGCTTCTCTATGTAGCTATTATGGTAGGCTTCAGTATTTTGTGAAATAATCACATTTGTATTTTGCTTCCTTTTTAACTCAACTAATAGCTGTAGTCTGCATTTACAAAAGTTGTCAGAAAATCTACATTTTTACTTTTTTCTTTTTAATTTTTTATCATTTTTTATGAAGCTTTTTATGAAGCCATGATAATCTAGAAATTCAGGGTTATTTAGTCCAAAGAGGTTAAGATCTCCTTCCAAAGTGAGGAAGATGGGAGCTGATAAAGCCAACACTATCAATACTGTTACTTTGCCATGTAACATTGACATTAAAAATTAATCACATCACTCATAGAAGCTTATTCAATAGTCTTTTGAACTTTCTCTGGGCCAGGACTTAGAGCCTTCACTGGTGTTTTCTAGTTTGATTTTAAGATTAGAGCTACATTAGTTCACATGTGGCCAGTTACTGTGGTCCACACACAATCTATAAACGGCATCACTTTTTGACTTCAGCCAGAGTCTCCCACCTTAACCAGATGCCAAACTAAAATAAAACAAGATTTTTCTTTTTATTTTCTGAGCCCAGGTTATCTTCCAGAATGCAGCTTCCTTTATATTGAGTTACTCTATGAAGGCTTCATAACAATGATTCTCAACTGGGACTATTCTAATGCATTTAATGATATTGGCCATCAAAAAGGAAGTTACAGTATTGTTTTATTTTCTGCAGGGGAATTCTTGTCACCTTATATAATTTGTATCATCTGTTCACTAGAAACCAACTCTGATCTGCCAGTGTTTTGGATAAGAGATTTTGTTGGGCCACATCTCTTCTTGTGCTTGTTTTCCTTGCTTATTATAACAGGGTGTAATTAAAAAGAATTTGTTCCTAGAGTGTCTCTTTTAACTTATAAAATACAAAATAAAAATAATTCTTCCTGTTTCTCTGTATGAAACTTAAGTAGATCCTATAACTTTTATGGATTCTTTTAGTTTAACCAAAATTCCTATGGTCACCACAAATTACAAAACACATACTCAATTCAGGAATTACAACTCTGTTCCAATATCTTTAATTAGCCCTCTATGCTTCAGTGAACAAGAAGTTTTCTTCTTTCCCTTAGCCAGGCCTGTGGCTCATGGGAGTCAGACTTTGCGGAAGCTGTGGGATTGCTTTCCCATTTTTGCTCACTTCTTCCATTACTTGGTGACTCTTAACTGTGACTCTTCCAGGTGAAATGGAGGGCAGAGAAAGAAGAGAAATAACATTGTTGGGGAAGTATGTACCTGACTGGCTCTCTGGGTTAGGCTTGATATTGACTTTTTTTTGGAGGGAGTTGATTTTATGCACATCCCTTGTTGAAAACTCAGCCCATGCTTCGGATGGCTGATCCCCTTCAATTCCTAGATTTCCAATGTTTATTTCCACACAGACTTTTCTGCTGTGGTGCATTGTGCAGGAGCAAATATACAAATATTACCTTTTTTTTTTTTTGTGATGGAGTCTCGCTCCGTCACCCAGGCAAGAGTGCAGTGGGGCAATCTTGGTTCACTGTGACCTCTGCCTCCCGGGTTCAAGCAATTCTCCTGCCTCAGCCTCCTGAGTAGCTGGGACTACAGGCTTGCACCACCATGCCCGGCTAATTTTTGTATTTTTAGTAGAGATGGTGTTTCACCATTTTGGTCAGGCTGGTCTCGAACTCCTGAACTTGTGATCCACCCACCTCGGCCTCCCAAAGTGCTGGGATTACAGGCGTGAGCCACCGCTCCTGGCCGCAAATATTATCTTGATGCTTGAAGAGACTTCAATGTTAAAATCACAAACATTAACATGTTGTTACACACATGCACACACGTGCACACAAACATGTCATTAATAAAAGCACTTGGGTTGATTCATCCAATAACATATAATTTGTTTTAAGGTTATAGGCTCATGGTGTTTACAGTCATGGAAACAATGGCATATTTTTTGAAGTTCTTCCTGGCTAGGCCCTCTGTTGCATAAGCTGTTTTCTGTAATCCTGCCCCTTACATTGAACTTGCTCAGTCTATGTTGATTCCTAGTTGCACCATGAAATCTGATGAGGCCTTACAAGTTCCAATTTTATTCCAGTTGCTTTGTCATTCTACTTCTTCTCTTCACATTGTTCTTCCAGTCCAGTGGCTCTTAATCCTCACTACACTCTGGGATCATCGGGAGATTTTGGAAACTGTTGTGGCTCAGTTTTCACCCAATAGGTTGGTAGTTAATTGTGCTGAGGTGGAACCCTGGCATAAATATGTTTTTAGAAACTCTTCATGTGATTCCAATGTGCATCCAAGGTGAGAACTACTACCTTGGTCATTCTTCCTGATTCTTGGTTTTATTCTGATTTGGCATTTGCTCTCCTGCTTCATAGTAAGAATCACTTGCTTTTAGCAAAAAAAAATTCGCCCTGATGTTGTATTTCTCAAAAAGTAAAGATTGGTAGAAATATTATATGTTATACATCTATCTATCTTTCTATCTATCTATCTATCTATCTATCTATCTATCTATCTATCTACCTACCTACCAATCAAGAGAGAGAGAAATGTGGTTGCAATAATGACATTTTTATATGTCCAGACTCAAACCATTACTCCATCTTCCCTTAATTCCTTTAAGTATTTACTAAAGTAATTCTTTTTCATATATTAGGGACTTAGTTGTGTCCCTCCAAAGTTCCTATGGCGACTTCCTTCCCCATTTTCTTGGAATGTGACCATATTTGGAGACACAGTTTTTAAAGAAGTAAGTAGGTTAACTTGGGTCCTTGAGATGAGCCAGATTCTACTATGACTAGTGTCCTTATGAAAAGAAGGGATTTAGGACACTTACATGCACAAGTAAGCACCATGTGAAGACAAGGGAAGAAGGTGGCTATCTTCAAGCCAAGCAGAGAGAATTAAACCACTACAGTCAACACCATGATACTGGACTTCTAACCTCCAGAACTGTGAGAAAATTAATTTCTGTTGTTTAAGCTACCCAATCTCTAGTACTTTGTTATGGCAACCCTAGAAAACTAATACATCATATTTCTCAACTACTATTTACCTAAATCAGGCCTTAACCATTTCAACCAGGATGATTGTATTTGACTCTGTATTCTACCCCTAGTCCCAAGGATAATTTGAATTCAGTCTCCAAAATACAGTCAGAATGATCTACCGAAAATACAACCACAACTGCTATATCATTCCTACTTAAATTATTTGAGTGACCTATCTTCCAGTCCATATATTGCTATCTTGATTTTAAAATTCATTCTCAACTGTTTGCATATGTGTGTGATAAGCATGTTTATAAAAATTTTTATACTAATTATTCTAAACTCTCTGTACATTGTTCTCCTTTATATTTTTTTTAAATTAAGTTTATTGAAGAATTATGTCAGAAAAACTTAATATCACTCTCTGCAATGGTCCTAGTTGAGTCAATATAGTCACCATGGTACTAAAATATCCTGTGTATAAATCAGTTATTATATATATTTAATAATTAGAGTTATATGTTTCTATGTCTATTTTGACTTATGGATTATACAATTCTTAAGGAATCTATTATTTTAAATTCATTTTATAGTACCCATTAGTCCCCAGAGTTTAATACAGTATTTACAGTAAAAGCATTTACTATTTGTTAAAGAAATTTTGGGCTCACTTTTACAGTGTATGTTTAATTGCTAATGTCACAGATTACATACAACTCCTAACAGATAATACAACCCCAAGGTGACTGCTTAAAAACTTTCTTTACATTTTACTTTGAGAGCATATGACCTTTACCAGTGATAACATAAACTAATATGGATTTTATTCTGTTAGATTTTATCATTCAGTGAAAGAAGATAATAAATATATGTTACATAGAATGTGAACCTGCTGAAATTGTATGAAAATTTGAGCACACATTGCATTTGAGTATGTATTTTTGCTGAAGGACTTTTTATCTAGTCGTCATGTTTATTGATTACAAACTTTTAAAAAGCTTGATTATATATTTTAAGTCTTATATTTTACATTAATCCAGGCTAATAGTAACCAATAACATAAATCATATTATCTTGAGTCTTTCTGGAGTATTTTGGTATTTATTCCTCCACTTCTATTGAGGATTGCTGTCTTAAAAGCAAACAAACACAATAAGACAAAATAGCAACTGCAAAGCCTTTTGAAAGCTTTTTTTCCTGAGGGAGTTTTGATGAAAACACTGCCCATTACAACACAGTGCTCTATTAAGTTTCCCTATAAAGAATGATTTATGCACATCCACTTTCATCAATTTGGCAAATATTTATTGTTTCCTGCAGACTTGGCACTTTGTTTTACATCTCAAATACATTGATAAATTAGATAGTTTCTACTCTTTGAAGACAAAATTATAGAGAAGGGAACAAATATATGAACTAATAATATGTAAGGGGAAAATATGTAAATATTTACAGTGAGAAGAGATAACCACTGAGTAATACTTTATATTGGGTATTAAAGATGATATCTCTAAGTAGATTATATTTAAACTGAGGCCTAAATGTCATGAAGGAGGCAGACATACAAAGGTTACATAAAACTCATTATTGACAGATGGAGTTATTAGTGCAAGGTCACTAAAATGGAAAAGAGTTTGGCATAACTCATGGTAAGTTAGAAGACCAGAATGTGTGCCTCTAAGTGGGAGAAAGGAAGCGTGGCAGAAGATCAGATCTCAGAGATCAGCTGAGAGAAGGTCAGGTTTGACATTATACACCTTGGTAAACAGTTGCGAAATTATTCTAAATGGGATGGGAAACCAGTGTGGAATTTTCAGCAAGAGACATGACAAGATCTGATTTCCAATTTTAATAGAACTCATTGGTTTCTCTGTGAATAACAGATTTTATACAAGCAAAAATAAGAGAGAAACTGTGATGGCTCATTTGTGGTTAGCACTGGATAATATTCCATTGCCTGGATGTACTACAGTGTATCCATCTTATTCATCTACTTATTCATCTATATATATTAGAAATAATATAATCAACATATTATTTCTAAGTTTGAGTAGTTATGAATAAAGATGCTACAATCACCCAAGTGCAGGTTTCTGCCTTTGTAAGTTTTCAATTTACTTGAGTAAATGCCAAGGAGGTTACTGGGAGTCATGCACAGCATAATGACGTTTCAGTTGATGATAGAGCATATATAGAATGATGGTCCTTAGATTATAATGGAGCTGAAAAACTTACATCACTTAGTGATGATATAGCCATTGTAAAATCATAGTGAAATATGTTACTCAAGTGTATGTGATGATTCTGGTGTCAATGGACCCACTAAATTGGGACTCAAATAAAAGTGTAGCACATACAGTTATATACAGTACATAATACTCGGTAATGATCGCAAGCAACTATTCTACTGGTTTGTGTATTTACCATACTAAAATTTTTATAATTAATTTACAGTGTACTCCTTCTACTTATTAAAAAGAAGTTAACTGTAAAACAGCCTCAGGCAGGTCCTTCAGGAGGTATTCCAGAATAAGGCATGGTTATCATAGGAGATGACAGTTCCATGCATGTTATTGCCCCTAAAAACCTTTCAGCAGGACAAGCTGTGGAGGTGAAAAGGAGTGATATTGATGATCCTGACCCTATACAGGCCTAGGTTAATGTGTGCTTTTGTGCCTTAGTTTTTAACAAAAAAGTTTATTAAAAAAACTAAAAATAGAAAAAAAGCTTATAGGCCAGGAGTGGTGGCTCCCGCTTGTAATCCCAGCACTTTGGGAGAGCAAACGAGTGGATCACCTGAGGTCAAGAGTTTGAGACCAGCTGGCCAACATGGTGAGACCTCATCTCTACTAAAAATACAAAAATTAGCTGGACGTGGTGGTGTGTGCCTGTAATCCTAGCTACTCGAGAGGCTAAGGCAAGAGAATCTCTTGAACCCGGGAAGTAGAGGTTGCACTGAGCTGAGATTGCACCATTGCACTCCAGCCTGGGCAACAAGAGCGAAGCTCCATCTCAAAAAAAAAAAGAAAAAAAAGAAAGAAAGAAAAAGAAAAAAGCTTATAGAATAAGAATATAAAGAAAGAAAAATTTTGTACTGCTGTGCAATGTGTTTGTGTTTTAAGCCAAATGTTATTACAAAAGAGTAAAAAATTTTAGAAAATTTTTAAAGTTTATAAAGTGAAAAAGCTTATAAACTAAGTTTAATTTATTATTAAATAAAAATTTTAAAATACATTTAGTATAGTCTAATTGTGCAGTGTTTACAGAGTCCACAGTAGTTTACCGTAATGTTCTTGGCCTTTGCATTCACTCACCACTCACTCACTGACACCCACAGCAACTTCCAGTACTGCAAGCTCCATTCATTATAAATGTCCTTTTTAGGTATACTATTTTTTAATCCATTATACCTTATTTCTACTGTAAAATGTTTATCTTTTGATATGTTTAGACATACAAATACTTATTGTGTGTCACATTTGCCTACAGTATTTAGTACAGTAACATGTTGTACAAGCTTGTAGCCTAGGAGCAATAGGCTATATCATATAGTCTAGGTGTGTAGTAGGCTATACCATCTAGGTTTCTGTAAGTACCTCCTATGATGGTCACACAACACATTCCTAGAACATAGTTACATCATTAAGCAATACATCATTCTATTTATTTTTTAAAAATATTATTTGAGAAAATTCTACAGGATCAACTGTGTTTGTTTCTACTATGCAGGAAATATTTTGTGTTCATGAAAGATGTAAATTTGTATCATTTTAGTGATATTCCTAGTATATGTATTTTTTATTTTCCCTTTCTTTTTTCCTTAAAAGTGCTATAAAATCCTGAAGCTGGTTTTATTTATCATGACTACTATAATGAACTATCCATTTTTCAGAAATTTTAAATAAGATTAAATAAAAGTTAGGATGATTTTGACATTGTCAAAACCTAAAAACAAAGGGCATCTTAATGTTAAGCCTGTGACTCTGGCGAAATTAACTTGACATAAATGATAGGATGAAAGCCCAACTGGAGGGAGTGAAGGGGGCCTGAGAAAGCGTTGTTCTTAGACAACCCAAGACAATTTGCACTGAAATGAAAAGGAAAGAATTCAGAAGATAATTATCTTGATTATCCTTTTCTTTTTTTCCTTTTTTTTTTTTTTCAGATAAGAGATACCAGAGAACAGTATTTGTTGTTATAACTACATGGCAAGACTTTTTTTTTTTTTTCTTGAGAGCTGATGCAACACCTCTTTATTAACAATAAGAACTATCTAAAAAGACTGTTTATTATTTTCATTTTGACTACCAAAATAACCAAAGCCTATTTTAAGCTGCATTTTATAGCAATTGAATTCAAAATTGTTTTTTCTATAATTGTGATCAAGTTTATCTCTAAGTTTAAAACTTATTCTTTTTTTTTTTTTAATGAAAAATGTTTTGTTTTAGGGACATGGACTTGCTATGTTGCTCAGACTGATCTCAAACTCCTGGCATCAAGTGATCCCCCCACCTAAACCTGTGGAGTAGCTGGGAGTAGGTGCAAGCCACCGTGCTGGGCCAAGAAATTATTCTTTAATTCATGTTATTTTCTGATCCTTTTCCTTTAAATTTATATTTTATCATTTTGCCATATGTCTATCTATAATAGATGGACATATAATATGCCATTCCACATATTTTAAGAAACATGACAGAGCATAAATAAATTAATGTATCTTGAAATGTGATCCTTTCTAACATGTAATGAGGTAGCAAAATGGAAGGCATCTGGAGGTCATTTCAGGGGCTGATCATCTAGGCGTCCCTTGCTATTGGTGACTGTACTTTGTAATTTACTGAAAGGGATTGTTGTACACTAGTCTCTTTTCAACTGTACCTTCTGAAATATAACTGGATGCTAAAAGAGTTTCCATTTCTTCCTCGTTTGCTTTTTTGTCCTACCAGTCTCCCCCAGTCTAAACACATATGAGGTTGAGACGAAGGTTTAAAAATGTCTTTTATAGAGGGTCCATCCATCATCCATATCTCAACACATAATAGAATAAAGTAAGAACAGAGATTTTTTTTTTTTGTCCCAAGCTTGATAGTTCTCTTTCATGAAACTGTGGTACAGATCTACCTCTTAAATGTAAGAGTGATCCATGTGAATACTTCTTTTGTTCAATCCCTCACTCTCTCCCTTTCCTCTCCCTGCAAGGACAGGTAAAATGAGAATCCCTTAGTATAACTTTGATGTGGAAGCAATAAACCTGCAATTTCTGTGCTAAGCAATCTTTAACTGTTTCTTGGCTTTTAAAAAAATATCCAAGATGAGCAGTGCACAGTATTAATGGTATTATTTTAGACACCTAATATGGTGGTTAGACAGTTGATAGATCAATCGATCGATCGATCAATAGATAGATAGATGTACACACTATCACTCAAATCATATACTATGTCATATTACTTAAGTCAGTGAGGTGAGATTAGTCAACACAGGCCAGACAACAAATTGTGCTTTTTCATTTGATCATTCCTATGGAAATGTCACCATTTAGCCATCCAGAATAAGTAAGCTTAACATGACACTTCTGCTTAAAATATTTCTGCTGTGCTGCTTTTAGGATAAAGATGAAAGCTTTTGGCCATGTGTGGTGGCTCATGTCTGTAATCCCAGCACTCTGGGAGGCTGAGGCAGGAGGATTGCTTAAACTCAGAAGCTTGAGGCCAGTCTGAGCAACATAATCAGTTTCCATCTCCACAAAAAGTAAAACAATTAGCCAGGCATGATGCCATGTGCCTGTTCTCCCAACTACTTGGGAGGCTGAGGTGGGAGGATTGCTTAAACCTGAAAGTTGAGGCTACAGTGAGTTGTGATTGTGCTATTGCACTCCACCCTGAGCAGCAGAGCTGGAACCTGTCTCAAAAAAATTTTTTTTAAACTGATTTAACAAGGATACCTTTAATCATCTTCATCCTGCTTACTATTCCCACCTTAATACTTACTACTAGGTTCTTTCAAATGACAGGCTACAGCAATATTTAGTTACACTCCATTCCCTTAATGGGCCATGCTCTATCTCTGTCCTAAACATTCAAACATATACTTGTCTTGGACTTCTAGTTTCTTGTTCTCGAGGTCTCGGCCAAGTCATCCCTTTACATGGGAAGACTTTTCATGATGTATCTCCCCATGACTCCTCACCCATAATCTGAATTACATACCCAACCTTTATGCATATTGCTATTATACTACTTCATGTACTGTGTTGTAAATCTACTTTTTACTTAAAAATATTTTCATTCCCAATATATTTTGGGGGACAAAACTCTTTCCTTTATGGTTGTATCCCACATCATCCAGCAAGCAGAAAATGAATATTAAAAGAAAAATTAGATGAATAAATGGCTTCAAAATTTATTGAGTAAAATCATGTAGAGAACCAAGACAAGCAAATTCAGTAGTACATTCCAGGCATACTGCTAAAGAAAATAGACATATAATTTAGAAAAATACCTATTTCTCTTTCTAACCAATGCCTTTTTTTCTTCCCACAGGCTGAAATTCTTTCATTTTTCTATGGCCTAAGTTTCTATGAGTAAAAAATCTATTAGTAATTCATTTAGAAGGAAATAGTATTATCTTTCAACATTCAAATTCCCATAGAATGATTAGGCTTAGTATTTATTCACTGCCTGTTTTCAATTGCTTGTTCTGTTGCTTTTCTTATAATAAAGGGATTAGAAAGTTTAAGACTGCTCAGTGTTATGATATAAACTGAAATCTATAACAATTCAAAAGGAAATATTAGAAAGCTATCTTTATGTTATTGAGATTCAAATATGTTAAAGATATTAAATATTTCATGTTAATAAAGTTATACAAATTTTTTCATTGGGATATTTGTCCCAATTTATAAAATGTGTATAGATATCGATTTTTTTTTCTTGGAACAAAATAAAACTAATTTTATAAAATTGACATTTGTCAAATAATGACTTAACTTGAAACATATTTATTTACCCTAAATTAACACTTATTAAAACATAGGCTGGGTGCAGTGGCTCACACCTATAATACCAGCAGTTTGGAAAGCCCAGGCTGGAGTATCACTTGAAGCCAGGAGTTCAAGACCAGCCTGAGCAACACAGCAAGACCCTGCCATCTCCACAAGACACAAAATAATAACAGCAATAATAATAATTATCACCAAACTTCTAGCAATTAATTGAAATCAGCTGCAATGCAATTTTGATGAGCAAGAACGCATATAGGCAGGAAAAGATGATCAATGAACATTTTCAGGCATATAATATTATAGTAGGAGGATGACCTAAGGAACTCCGGACTTGGAAACTTTGAGAAGCCTAGGAAGGCAGCATGATGTCAGGCTCCTACCTCGAAAATTTTAAAAGGTTGTATAAACTCAGTCCTCCCTGATCATTTTCAATCCCTACTATATGAAAACCACTGAATATCAGAGCATGAATTCACCAATTAAAAGACCACATTAAAAATAACCTTGGGGCTGGGGGCGGTGGCTCATGCCTGCAATCCCAGCACTTTGGGAGGCCGAGATGGTTGGATCACCTGAGGTCAGGAATTCCAGACCAGCCTGGCCAACATGGCAAAAACCCATCTCTACTAAAAATAAAAAAATTAGCCGGGTGTGGTGGCACATGCCTGTAGTCCCAGCTACTTGGGAGGTTGAGGCAGGAGAATCACTTGAACCCAGAGGGTGGAGGTTGCAGTGAGTGGAGATCACGCCACTGCACTCCAGCCTGGGTGACACAGCAAAGATTCCTCTAAAAAAAAAAAAGCACCTCTGGATCTAAGCTCTAACAATTCAAAAAATGTTGAATCATCTACTCCAGCTTCAGAAGCACTTAACTTGTATCTAGTATGTCTACTCATACAATGGACTAATTAGTTGAAATATAATTCTCTGTCAAAGGAAATAAAGAAAAGAAATGACTTTTTCTTTTCTTAACATTTTAATTCAGAACTTTGTGTTTCTATGTCCAGATCTGTAAACTATTCTTGGCTAGTGAGAGTTTTAAAAAGAAAAGTCCTATAATGGATTCGGCCTTTTAACCTTCAATCAGGCAGCTTTATTTTCAGATAATTCTTCTTAAAATATCAGAATTACTCTGAACAAGTCTTTTGATTGAATATTTCATAATGTATTACCACTTCCTATATCAGGATATAATTCTAACTTCTTTGTAAACTTGTTTAGTTTCTCCACATGTGGATAATACCTCTAGATTATCACATCTAAATGTTCTATAATGAACTAGACAATGGAAAACTTTCTTTGTGATGGTATGCTATTAAAAATTTACAAATCTGCTTCAGGGCATCAGCAGAAACTGCGAAGTTCTTTCTTAACGCTGTAGATGGAAGAGTGGTCAAAATACAGCATTTCCAGTTTTTGTCTTTTAATTCTGAGTGAATGAACTGGAGCCAGATTTCTACCTCCAGCACTCCACTCAAATGGCTCTCTCAAGAATGCGGGTAACTTTGACATTGCTTTAGCCAATGGTCCATCCTTAATCCTCATTTTATTTGAGTAGTCACCCATATTTGACCAGAATTTCAGCGTCAAATGTCCAAAAGCCTAGTATTGTTGGCAATTTCTATTAGAAATCTAGTAAGAATTAGAAGCTTAACATATCAAAAACTTATACTTTAATCTTTTAACCAAAACTTGTTTACCCTGCAGATTTTCTCCCAAGTCAGCTAATGACAACCCATTCTTCAAATTCATCATGGAAAAATTATTGGTGTTATTCTTCCTTGACTTCTTCCTCTCCCTTGTCCCATGCTATCTATCAGAAAATCTGTGGACAGTATTTTCAAAAATGTTCAGAATTTCATCTCTTCTTACTCTGCCAAGTTTATCCTCTGGTCTAAGCCACGAATGTTTCTCATCTAGATCATTGAAAGGCCTTACAAATGTTCCTACTTCTGTCACTTTCCAATTTCTGCATGGCTTGCTATCTCACTTCCTTTGGCTCTATACTCAAAATTTACCCTGATGGTCAAACTTTTCATTTAACTTTGTTTAGAAAATTCATCCAGCTGCTCCATACCAGGCACACACACACACACACACACACACACACACACACACAGACAAACACAAATACATATACATATACATCACATTCTATCACATTTATCTGCATTTATTATTCTCTGCAGCATTAACTAATATCAACAGGCAGAGGATGAAATAGCTGTTGAATGTCTGCCAACAAAGAAGGAAGTACAAAACTCCAAATCCTATATTTATTTTAATAGTAAAAACTATCTGCTAGTAAATTTGCTGTTTAGGATGAAGATAATATATTACTTTAATTCATGTGCACACACATGGAATGACCTTGCAGAGCCTCCTCCATGCCTAATTACATTTAAATAACAAGAATCTAGACTTGGATCTAGACTGAACTTTCATATTGTAATGAGAAGAGATTATTAGAGTTTGGATAAGAATGAATGTATTTTACATGTGTGAAGACTATAAATAAATTTTAAGCCGAGAGTGAACTGTGTTGAAATAAAGATGACTAGAATTTCTTTGACACATTCCCACTGACATACGGGGTCTTTTTCCTCCTCTTGAACCTGGCCTTGCTCAGTGACTTGTTTTAACTAATAAAATGAGCAGTAGTAATGTTTACAATGTGAGGCAGGGACTTAAGAGTGCACAGCTTCTGTCCCTGCCATCAAGTTCTTGTTTTGAGAACTCAGACATGGATGCTGTGAGGAAGTCCAAGCTTGAACATGTAAAGGCCCATGTGGAGGAAAACTGAGTTCTTTGGTCTATAGGCCCAACTGAGTTCCTAGCTGATGTCTGGCTGCAAATGCCAGCCCTGGAATTTAGGACATTTTGGAGAGCTTAGCCATCCCATCCCTTTAGCTAACACCACATACAGCAAAAGCATTGCCAAGTCAACTCAGAAATATGAGATAAAATAAACTGTTGCTGTTTGGAGCCACTATTTAAAATGAATATTTTATTACATGGTAGTGCATAACAACAACAAGGAAGCAAAATGTGTTATTTCAAAAACCAGAACCCCTTCTTTGGTTTCTCTGCTATCTTCTAGAAACATGGTAACTTTTGGTGGATCCTCTAAAGCCAGGTGGGAGATGAGAAAATAGAGAAATATAATATTGTAAGGTATTTATTTTAGGAACCATACTTTAATGTAACATATAGCTCTTCTTCCCAAATTTATTGACCAGAAATTGTACAAGGCCACATACAACTACTAAGAAGTTCAGCTATTTAGTCTAGCAGTATGCCTGAAGAAGCAAAGAAACACCAGCATCCTCCAATAGGATAGAAACACAAAGAATTATACTACATTCTTTTTCATATCTACAGGAAGCAAGAGTGTTTGCAAAATATGATGGTGCAAATACTAAAGTAGGAATCTTAAGGAAATTATTATTAATTTGAAATAAATCCTTATTAGAATGAATGAGAAATGACTTTGGAGGCTTTTGTGTTATTATAGATTTTGCAATGGCACTGATATGAATAGTTCTCACTTAATAAATATTCTACTTTGTCACAAACAATTTGAGAAGAAATAAGGATCTGCCATGGAAATTGAATTGAGGTTTTGGAAAAAGATATGGGGATATTTAAGGAACAGATGAGAGAATTTTATTAGCTAGAAAGTTGACAGGTCATGCCTATTATAATATGACCTTTCAGAAAAGATAATAGAGACAAGGGACACAGCGATTAGTAACACAGACTAATACAAATGAGATAAGTTAAGTGATAACAAATAAAAGAGAGACATATTTGAAGGCACAATTAATTATTTTAGAGGTATAAAAGTATAGTGGATGACCAGGTCTTGCAAGTATCTGTATCTACAGGTGCCTGAATTGGACTGAAGTGGAGTATAGAGAAGGATCATATACATGAAGACATTACAAAAGTGTAAGCTTAGTTGTTTTATAGTTATATATATATATATATATATAGAGAGAGAGAGAGAGAGAGAGAGAGAGAGAATTCAAAATTATTCCAAGACGTGTGAAGAGTTTTGTTACATATAGTTTCAATTTTAATAGAAGTAGAAAAGGTAAGGATATAGGTAACTATTTTGAATGAGGTGAAATGGCTATGAAGAAAGAGATGCTTGGTATGACCCTCCAAGGAAGAAATTGTTTATCTTTAGGTGGTTTAATGATGATCTAGAAATTATAGTAGGAAATCACGGCATGGTGACCTAATAAAAATGGCAACTTCCAAGCCTCAATATAAAGTAACAATGGAATTGTGAAGTGTGTGTGTATGCCGGTGGGTGTGCATATGTGTGTTTGTGTTCCTGCATTGCATTATTAGTGCTTTCTTAATAATATTTAATGAAACTTGAAATCAGAATTAGAAGAATGAGCCTTGGAATGGAATTTATGACTGATTAAACAGAGAGAACTCCATGTAGATTCACCTCTTCAGAGCTATATTTTAAATTTCAAGGAGAGGTATGAGTCCTGGGATTTACCTTTCCTATGGATATACTTATTTACACTCTAAATTAAAGTAAGAACTCAAGATTCTTCTTTTGGAGGGAAGATTTTTCTCCCTTTCTTTAGGGTGAAGGGGAGCAGCACTCATCTAAGCAAAAATATTTCATATTTTCATGTTCTTCATCTGTGGTACAGACTCTGACATGTGTAGGATGCCACGGTTATCAGCACCTTGCCCAAGTAATAAGAACTGAAGGCAAAAAGAGATGGCATAAGTTTTATGTAAGAATCAATAATTAATATATCTGATACAGAAACCTTATATGTGCAATCACAATAATAATCATAAAGTAGAACTTAAAACTTAATAATACAACAGCGGAATACTAAGTTTTATTTATGACCTATAGGAGATGGGAGAAACCCGTAATATGAAGTCAGCAATATACAAGAATGTAACTAAGGAACAGGAACTCTGAAGATCAGTATGAAATGTTTTGAAATGGTTGAAAAAATAGATAAAGATAGATGTAACACAGAAGTGTGCAGACGTAAGACTCTAAGGTGGAATAATCTTAGGGGTGTTTAAATATTGATGGCTTTTGAAAGTGTCCAAGGTATGATATAGAATCAAATAAGCTGTATTCAAATTTTCAACAAAAACCCATCATAAAGTTGCTAAAAATCAATTGTAGCAAACTGAATGTTTTTAAGAAATTATGCTCTTAAACATGACTTAGACAGTGGCACAGAGGTTTAGACTCTGTATCTTGACCTTGTAGTGAAACAAACACTGATTTCTGTGGTGGAACAATAGGTCTTGCCTGAACTTGGTTATTCTTCAAAGGAAATCCTAGTCAGATACTAACATATTTTGAGAAAATAAAGTTCATGTTCAAAACTGGGTTAGTAAATGTTTGCAATAGTGAAGAAGGGTGGGAGCAGTATCACAGACTGGGAACCCAGAGAATGACATGTACTGTTGTACCTCTAACTTTGAGCACAAGATTTCTATTACAAATATGGGAATTTTATAGCCTCAACCCACTAGTTATTTTCAGAAAATTATCTTTGTATAGAGTAAGATTCCTTTATTTGGATTTCACTTATGCAGAAAACCACATCCTTCCATTCTGCCAGTAAACTAAGTACATGAAACTCTCCAATCAGGAAAAGCTAAAGAGACAAAGTTCCTCAAGCCAGCTTCACTCTGTACTACAATCATCAAGCAAATGGGTGGATGTTTAAAAATGAAACAAGAACTGCATTTTCTTAAAAATCACTCTAAACTAATTCTATAAGGTTGTTATAAGGAACTAATGAGCCAACTTGTTGAGGTGCTTGGAACCATTCTGGCACAGTGTTGGGCTATGTGTTTGTTGAATGAATACAATCATGATGAGAAGTTTGAATTGTTCATCTGAAAAGTCAGAGGCAACTATTAAGTTCATCTCCCATGGCTTCGAGAAGAAGATGCTCCTGAGGTTTCAGTTTGTAACTGTGAGTTTTCTATGAGAGTAGCTGTGTATGTGGGGGGTGTGTGTGTGTGTGTGTGTGTGTGTGTGTGTTTTGTTTCTTTAGATTTAATTTTTCTAAATAATTTTTTAGTTTCATACCAAAGTCTCATTATTTAAAACAATACGTCAGAGAATACATTCATGTTTCTGAAATTACTGAGTTCAATGTCACAATTAGCATCTGTGATAAAGTTTTATATGCTATTATTTTAAATTAATAGAATTCTATATTTAAAACCCTGCTATAGCTATTTAAAGGATTTATAATGTACTTTGAATTGTTTTAAAATTTGAATTAATTACCAGTATAATAATTAAGAAGAAACACAGGGAAATATATTTAGCATGTTTTATGTATTTTATGTTAAACTAAATACAGACATTATAATATAAATGAACTTTAGCTTTTCTTTGGAGAAGAGATGTGAACACTAACTTTGTTAACTGTAGTCACATGTTGTACGATAGATTTCTTTAATGTACAGTTAATAATATATTAACTATATATAAACTAATAAATTCTTGAAAAATGTAGAGACTGGATATAAAATGTTTTTACCTCAAAAAATGATAATTATGTTAGGGAAAGCTAATTAGCTAGATTTAGTCATTCCCCAATGTACATATACTTGAAAATATTATGTTGTACATGGTATGTACATATACTTTTTTCTGTCTTTTCTTTAGAAAGTAATTTTATTAATTAAATTTTGTATATGTTAATCAGAGTTTTAATATAGTTTCAATTAATGATAATCAATGTTTCTTAGGTAGGAAAAAAGAGAAGTCTTTAATATAAGTTATATGTCCTTCAACAAAAAGCATGAAGTCAGTAAGAACCCAAGTGATTCAATTTTCAGTGTAGTGCACTGTGGTTTAGTTCCATAATTCTCATTATGGTTAATTGGCATCAGGCAGTTAAACTTGCTATACTACACTAAAAATGAAATGAGTACAATAGCAAGCTGTGCATATACTTCAAATATGTTTAATATCCTGTTGCTGTACTTAAGGTTTACTCACCAGGGAGGTTGTTGTCTTCTAAATAGTCAGAAGGAAGAAAATAACTTTGAGCTTTCTAATTTGAACAGTAAATGTGCACAGAGGAAAATAGGCTATGTGGACGAATGACTTAAATGTCCCCACAAACTAACCATCTACGCGAAAATACCATATTATTTTTCAATTGCTGTGTAATTACCATAAACTTAATGATTTAGGAATACACAATTATTATGTCAGTTTCTGTGGGTAAGGAGTCTAGGCATGGTTTTGCTAGGTCTGTTGTAGAGGGTCTCACAAGGTTGAAATTAAGGAGTCAGAGAAGCTACATTTTCACTTCGAGGTTTAACTGAGACAAATATCCCTCCAAGCTCATTTAGACTACTGGCAAAATTTATTTCCTTGTTCTACAACTCAGGACCTGACCTCTTGCTGGCTTCTTCAGGAAGCACCCTCATGTCCCAGAAGCCATGAACAGTTTCCTCTCATGGGTGAGTCTCACCCAAACCTCTCAAAACATGACAGCTTGCTTCTTAAAGGCTAAAAAGAGAATAGCTCTCTCCAGTATTCTAAAATGAAATCTTCTAATTACAAAATGTGACATAACCTAACCCTGGAACTGGCATTCCCATTATCATTGTCATCTATTAGCTAGAATCTAATCTCAGGTCCCACCACAATCAAGGGGAGAGGATTATACAATGATTCACTGGAGTTCATCCTATGGAATGTCCACCACAAATGTCAATCTGCTTAAGACTACTTCTTTACTTCTTTATTCCATATTAAATATAGACTCATCATTTCATTTAAAACTTCTCTAGCCGGGCACTGTGGCTCACGCCTGTAATCCCAACACTTCAGAAGTCCGAGGCAGGAAGATCACTTGAGCTCAGGGATTTTAGACCAGCCTCGGCAAGGCTGGGTGCAGTGGCTCACGCCTGTAATCCCAACGCTTTGGGAGGCCGAGGCAGGTGGATCATGAGGTCAGGAGATTGAGACCATCCTGGTTAACACGGTGAAACCGCGTCTCTATTAAAAATGCAAAAAATTAGCCGGGTGTGGTGGAGGGTGCCTGTAGTTCCAGCTACTGGGGAGGCTGAGGCAGGAGAATGGCGTGAACCCGGGAGGCGGAGCTTGCAGTGAGCTGAGATCGCGCCACTACACTCCAGCCTGGGCAACAGAGCCAGACGGTGTCTCAAAAAAAAAAAGAAAGAAAAGAAAAGAAAAAGAAAGAAAGATCCGCCTGGGCCACATGCCGAAACCCGTCTCTGCAAAAAATACAAAACAATTAGCCAGGCGTGGTGACCTGTGCCTGTAATCCCAGCTATTCCGGAGGCTAAGGTGGGAGAATTGCTTGAGCCAGGGAGGTCAAGGCTACAGTAAGCGGTGATTGTGCCACTGCACTCTAGCCTGGGTGACAGAGCGAGACCCTGTCTCAAAAAAAATAAATAAATAAAAATAAAAAATAATTCAATTTTTCACTTCTTTCCTCGAACTTCCTGTTTTATTTCCTTATAATTTTCATCTTTTTTCTCATTATGATTTTTCATCTTTCTTGATATAAATGTATGAATTATTTCTCTTAAAAGGCTTATTAGAGAAAATATTTCTTCTTAATCCAGCTATCTTTCCTTGTATGAAATTATTTCTATAAATCACCACAACACATTGGATAATTGGATAAATTACCTCCTCTCTTTGTCAAACACATCATGTCTCTAAAACAACCCAGACTATTCTCTTTCAATTATTTGCTAAACAGGTCAGTGTTATGTGATGATACCTGGCCAATACGACAAGGTTTCTGGGACTATTTATTACGGTTAACACTTAATACATTGGTTGGTATTTTAATATAAAGAAGCTGTATGAACACCACTAGGTAAATGGTTAGCTGCATAAAAAGCGTTTTTTTAATTTAAAAAATTTACGTATGGATATCATATCATTATGAAACATGGATACTATGCAAAATTGTATATGAAAGAATGAATTGACTGACACATGCTTACTTTTAGTATAAACATGGATTTATATTCAGAGACATCAATATTTTTGTTATACATATAAATCATTATTGTCAACATATGGTTTAACTTTCATTTCTGGAATCAACAACACTAAATTGAACACAGTTTTATTTAAATCAAAGTGTTGTGGGAATCAACAGCCAGTTTCTGTAGTTGTATGGTTGTTGAAATATTTACCCGTTGGTGTCATTTCTTATGAAAATTATCAACATCAGAATTTGACAGATTTTTTGTATTTAGAAAAGATTACTTCATAAATTAATATGTCCTAGTTATTGCTACAAATAGTGCAGTTTTACTTGAGTTATTTATCACAATCTTGTTGCAAAGTTATTATCCCAGTCTTGCAACTCTATATGTCACTGTTGATTTTAAGGCCTTCTTTTTATGATCAAGTCATATCTAAAATGGTACTTAGCAATATATTGCAGTAATTAGACATTCTACAATCTATCATTTTTAAAACATACAATATTTTTCCTCTAAATAATTGGGTCTTATAATATCATGAATAATTTGCTTATTTTGAAAAAGATTTCAATGTTTAACAACTGGGCTTACTTTGACAACTACAAATAATAAATAGATAATATGATATAAAAGTAGGCACCATGTGATCTTTAAATTCAGATGATAATAGGTAATCAATATATTTAAGTGAATTAGTCCAAATAGCAATTTGATTCATTAGAATTTCATTGTTAGTTTATTCTATTTTGCTTTCATAACAGATATTTCATTGTTATATATATATATAACAGATCTTTCATTGCATTCATAACAGATATTTCAAAGCTGGTCCATAACTGGCCAGCTTTGGAATTTAGTGACAGAATTTAGTCACAGAAATTCCAATTACTTCAAAATAACTTTTCAAAGACAAAGATGTGCTAATGACCAAAAATAAATTTCTTAAAATACAGAAAACAAAGATTTATGACAAAGAGAAAATTATTTCCTTCTTTTTAAATTAATGAATAACAAAAATTTAGACTAACATAAAATTGATAATATATATGTTTACATGGTAAATTATTGCTACAAGACATATTTCCATCTAAAGATCTGTATACTATTTCCCAAAACATTATAAATTAATTTCCAACTTACCTATATACTTAGATGTTTTAGGGAAATGAAGTAAATTCACTGTGATATTATTTTTTCATAGAATAGTTATTCATAGCCCTGGAACTCTTCTAAGAGTAGCTATTAGAAAGAAAAGCATATACAAATATTACCATGCTTAAATAACTCTAGGCATTCTATGCAATTGTAGTAAACAGTGAGGCTGGAAAACTGCTTATTTCAAGAGTCATACTCCTTTTATTTTAAGTAAGCCTTTGGCTTTGAACTTCTAGAGAAGCTAGAGTTTATCTCATGCAAGAGGGATCAAGGATTTAATCTTCACTATAGGATTTGAAACATTTTCAAGGGAAAACATGAACTTCAAAAATGCATCACGCTGCCTGAACTACCCAGGAGTGGTTTTCTTAAGTTATATGAACACCCATACAGTGAAAGTAAATACTAAAAAAAGTCTGCTATTCTCATATACTCCTGGCTTTAAATAGAAGTTTGTTTTTTAACATTGCATAAACTTTGCATGGATAGGTCATTTGACTCCGCCAAAATTATTATAAAAACTGGATTAGCTTGGGGATTCTTAAGCAGTGCCTCAAGAAGAAACTTACACCGTTTTTTTTTTTTCCTTATAAAACAGTTTTAAAAATCTATTCTGAGATGGAAACTTTTATCTAACCAATTTTTTAAAACTTTAAAACCAAATAATATATTTTTTAAATAGCATAACAATTCTGAAAGCAAAGTAAATATGGCCTCAAGTCTGAAAACAGTCTCATCAAAATATTGTATAACACTTGTTACATGTTAAATATTTAGCTTTTACTAAAATAGAAAAACAAGAAAGCAAGCTTTCCTGAAAGTATGTGTTCTCCACTCTCAATCACATTTCATACCTTTACATGCCTGTATTTCAAAAATTCTATTGAGATAAAAGTATATTTTCTTTTTTTTTTTTTTTTTTTTTTGAGACGGAGTCTCGCTCTGTCACCCAGGCTGGAGTGCAGTGGCGCAATCTGGACTCGCTGCAAGCTCCGCCTCCCGGGTTCCCGCCATTCTCCTGCCTCAGCCTCCTGAGTAACTGGGACCACAGGCGCCCGCCATCACGCCCGGCTAATTTTTTGTATTTTTAGTAGAGACGGGGTTTCACCATGTTAGCCAGGATGGTCTCAGTCTCCTGACCTCGTGATCCGCCTGCCTCGGCCTCCCAAAGTGCTGGGATTACAGGCGTGAGCCACCACGCCCAGCAAAAGTATATTTTCTTGTGTATTCATTGGTTTGTTTGCACTGTCATATTAGGGGTTGTGGATAGAAATGAACCTATAGTGTTGGATTTCTGATGCAACTTTGTCCAAGCTTCCATAACAAACTTCATTGTTTTTTAAGTGTTTCCTGTGTATAAGGTATAGAATTTATAAGGTATAGCTATAGCCAATCTATTTATGAATATGAACAAGTACAGTTAATTTTAAAATTTACTAATTTCATAGTTTATATAATCAATACATTTCTATTAAAAAGTTGATCATTTAAAAGTAGATATGAATCAAGTGAATAAGATAATACGTGCTAAAAGTTACTGATGTCTAAATTATGTACAAATCAGTATATTATAATAAGGAGAATTTATTATTTCAGAGTTCTTATGTGAAAAAAGATAAAATTAAAAGAACAGAAAATTGTCTTGAAAAGAACTGAGAAAATACAGCCTAGATGATAAGGTGACTAGCATCTGACCTCTACTGTAAGGAAAAATTCAGTAAAGTATGTTCTTTTAGTTTTCTCACCTGTAAAATTAAAATATGAAATTAAAAAGCTTTTCTAGATTTGTGATCATCAATGTACTAATAGATGTTAATTTCAAATAACATTCTATGGTCAAATAAATTTTGTGATAATTACCTTAAACCAAGTTCAACATATTTCCTTATAATGTTTTCTTAAATGCTAATTGCATTGTGGATAAGCGTTGCCTGATTTAACAAATAAAATACAGAAGTGTCTGTTACATTTAAATTTTAGATAAACAGTGAATAATTATATGACCTATAGTAAGTATGTTCTTTGCAATATTTGGGTCATACTAAAATATTATTTCTTGTTTTTCTGACATTGAAGTTTAATTGGATGTATTTTATCTGGGAAATTTAATTGTAAATGTTCAAATTTAACTGGGCATATTTCATCTGTCAACCCTATTTGTGAATATCAGATAAAGAGGTGTAGCTTTCCCCAGAGACCTGTTTTTTTTTTTTTCTAATATTTGATGGGGAAGTTCTGGAAGACATCTAGCTTGTAAACAACGCTAAACTCTGTTAAGTCTCTTCAGTTGTAAAGAAAATTTGAACTGAGATTAATTTAAAAAAAGGAAAATAATATCAACAGCTAATATTTATTCAGTACTTACTCAAGAGAGAAACTATCCTTGAATTTTTTCATTAACTCTACATGACAATTGTTATAATTCTTGCTTTCCAATGGGGAACTTTAGGTACTTGAGGCTTCAAGACTGCAGAGTTTATAAGTGGTGGAGCTGAGGTTTAAAACACCAGCTGTTTATGACAGACTTCTACCACTATCAAAGCTTAGTCACTACTATGTACCTCCTCTTTACTGTGTATTTCATAATATAAAAATTTTTTCAAATATAACTGAGTAAACTGTATTTTATTTAGAGAATTAGTTTCATTTTGGTTTTATTTTTTGAGATTTTTTTCTTTCAATATTGAATTTGTAAGAGTCAGGTTAGCACATAATGGTGTTTTGTTAGCAAATCCTTGGCAGGAATAGACATGTGACTATGTGTTTAGAAGCCTTAAGAAAAATAACCAATTCATCTTTTCACTAACTTAATGGAAAAAACAAACTTCCAAGTCATCCCAAATGGAGTTTCTTTTTAAAAGTAAGTAAATGTTTTCATTTAAAAAACTTTAAGTGAATATATATTAAAGGTTGTAAAATATAGGGGCAATAGAATGGATTATGCAAAAACTACACATGTACTTTATGTAGTAACACTGATGTTGAATTGCAAAACGGGAATACACAAATTTGGTATTGGAAGGATTGTAATTCTAATTTTTCCTTTTTTCTTTGGTGGTAACAAGGAAATATTACATTTTATTATATCTATTTTTTTACTTGCAAGAACAAATTGCCTTTTTGTTTAAAATATGCTTTTTAAAACTTCTTATTAGTCATTTTAAACTGCTTTATGAATAGGAAAGAACAAGGGTTGCTGTATCATTGGATCCTGGATGACTAGGTCTACATCATCACCTACCAGATGCAACTGGGGCCTGAGAGGCATTGCTACTGACATTTCGGAGGTATGGAGATATAACGGCAGATGTGTCAGGCATAATAAGAAAGTCTGCAGGCTTCTTCTTTAAATTACAAGAAATGAGAAGCCAGAAATACTTAGCATTACTGAGATGGGACTTTTTATAGCCGAAATGTCCTTTAGCCTGCACACACTTTGCATCCATGTTCAAATTAACATCGCTATCTAGTCACTGCAGAGAAGCTGAATTCATATAAATTCAAACATTGTGGAAAAACTTACCAGATTAATTTTCTTTTCTTAATGATATTCAGGAACTAAAGGGAGACTATAATAATTCTGGCATTTTTGTCACACATTTTCTGTTGTTGCAGAACTTCTAGAAGAAACAAAGTTGGTGTTTTATTCAAAAAAGTAAATGTTAAAAAATTAAATACTGCATGTTTTTATATGATAATCTAGATGGAATTATTATCGAATATTAGGAATAGATAGGAATAAAATACTCTGTTTAATAAAAAAATAAAACAGAGATACATGGATGCTTTTAGAGTAAAAAAAAAAATGCTTTTAGGCCAGGCTCGGTGGCTAATGTCTGTAATCCCAGCACTTTGGGAGGTCGAGGTGGGTGGATCACATCTGAGGTCAGGAGTTTGAGACCAGCCTGACCAATATGGTGAAACCCCATCTCTACTAATAATACAAAAAAAGTAGTTGGGCGTGGTTGTGTGCCTGTAGTCTCAGCTACTCTGGAAGCTGAGACAGGAGAATCGCTTGGACCTGGGAGGCAGAGGTTTCAATTAGCCGAGATCGTGCCACTGCACTCCAGCCTGGGTAACAGAGTGAAACTCTGTCTCAAAAAGAAAAAAAAAAATTGCTTTAAACTAATGAGAACAAGGCTTGAAAGTGACTTAAAGATCACAAAGATCAACCATCCACCAATAATCCAAATGAGTATATGTTATATATATCATATTTTGTGTATCAACTAAACCTTTTAAATATTCAAAATTTGAATGATAATTTTATGTAATATATGTTACATTCAGTCCACAGAACCAACAGGTTTCATATGTACTTAATGAGATATAAACATATTAAAGCAAAGCAAGTAAATGAGTTTTTATTCATAAGTAACTTGTTAATATGATAGTAAAATAATTTAAAACATACCATTACATGGATATCATATAAATAAGAGATTATGTCCATCTAAACAGGCAGGTATATCAAATATATGTAGCAACTGGCATGTTTTAAATAAATCAACTATTCTTTTCTGCAAGTCTAGATCACATTTCTAAAAAAGAGCTTTTATTACTCAAATTATTTTTCTAAAAATCTTTTCCTCAATAACAATAATAATAATGATAATAATGTATAAATGACTAAATTGTTATGTTGTTTAATTTTTCTCCTTCCCTGTCTCCCACGTAGAGTGTTTTGAGTGTGGTTTGTGAAAGATTGCGAGTGTTTGAAAGAAGGTACAAGCCCAGTAAAAATAGTAGAGAAATTATTCCTAGAAAATTGACAAGTCTAAGTGACTCACCTATCGTAAAAGAAACTCTGAAAGGGATCATAATATTGTGGCAGGCTTGTGTCAAATTATAAAATGTTTTTAAAAAGCCAAAAAAATTATATCCTGATTTTTCCAACATTACTGCAGAATTGAATGAAAGCAGTAAGTAATAGCTCAATTTAGGAAAGGTCCTCCTATTTATGGAGTATATCATTTAATGTTAATTGCATTTTTACAGCAAACAGAGAACACTCTATAATAGCACAAATAATTATAAATTTTTAAAATCTAAACTTTAGGTAAGGTTTAGGTGCTAAAGCAGTAGGCTCACAGATATGCTGCCCAAGGCTCAAATGGATCACAAAGGGCACATATTCTTTTATTTTTCATTTCTGCTCTTTTGTCATTCATCTGTGACTTTCCAATCACAAACAGGAGATGTGCTGTAACTCTTCATTTGGGTCTGAGTTCCAGGAAAGAAAAAGAGCATTTTCTCTTAATAAAAATGTATCTTTATTATTTTTGGTAGAAGCATTTTGAACAATGTCCTACTAAAGCACTTTTACCTTTTCTTTTTTGACTAGATTTCTTTTATATGACCATCATATGTGCACACGTGAGAAGGTAGATATATTAATTTTGCCACCTAAAAGGTAGGGAAAAAAGGAGTGAAAAAGATTGTGAATGGCTTTAAAGTAACAAATTTATACTGTCTTCTAAGGGGATATTTTCAGGATATAAAACTATTTTATATTAAACTAGTCTATTAATATATTAAAGTAGTCATTTTTGTCAGCACTGTCATTTAATCATTTAAAGGTAAGTAATGACTACAGATTTGCTATTTCTCAAATTAAACAGAATAAAAGAAAGAAATTTAGCACGTACTTAAATTTTTTTTTTGTTTCCTCATTTTTAGAGCAATCTCTTCCCTCAGCCAGATAAAAGACAGTGAGAAAGATGTTGGCTTAAAGAAGTTTGTGTGTGTGTATGTGTGTATGTGTGCATAATGGTAATTTTGTTTTTCCTGAAAAGAAAGTGTAGTCAATGAACATTTATTCTGAGATTAAGCTTTGCTGCTGATTGCTTGTATAATGTGTTCATCTTACAATTCATTTCCAGATAACAGTTGCATGTAGAGTCCTGGGTTTGTATTAAAAATATTAAAGTTCTCATCATTTGAGCAAGTCTGCATTGAGTTTTTATTTTTATTTTTTACAATTTCATTACATAAGAAATCAAACACTCCTTTTCAAGTAGTTTGAATTTCTTGAACTTGGCTTCATAATTTATAGATGAAAGAGAATTCTTTGCCTATTCCTCTATTTGATTTTTAAGGGGAAAATGTGTTTGCTTAAAGACTCTGGGCTATACTGCATCCTTAATGAAATCAATAGTCTAGTGCAGAGATCAAGGATGGGTGAGAGCCCTACCTACATATTTAACCTGTGAACATTTTGTTTCTGCAGAGACCTGTGATCACTGTAGCCACCTGGTATCTAAAAGATTTCCATGGAAGTTCTTAAACATGAATCTTTTTCATCATGCTGAGATATTACTTGAATATTAGCAGAAATAATTCATTCACTCGTTAGAAATGTCAAGGTAAGCATTGTCAAGAAAAAGAGTACTATTAGTGCTGAAGTGCTCAACTGCTCTAAAATTGCCTTTAAAAATATGTGCAGACTACAAAAAAAAGCAAAATCTTAATTACCCTATATAGACTTAGAATTGATGCGTCACTGAAGACTGAATCAATTGGAAATGTCTGGCACTAATTTTTCCTCATACTTATTCAAATATACAAAGAGGTGTAATTAGATAACATGGTTGTTTATGGTTGTTTGGTTGGCAGGTTGGTTTTCTTGAGACTGGGTCTCACGGTCGCCCAGGCTGGAGTGCAGTGGCGAGATCTCGGCTCACTGCAACCTCTGCCTCCCGGGTTCAAGCGATTCTCCGACCTGGGCCTCCTGAGTATCTGGGATTACAGGTGCACGCCACCATGTCCGGCTAAGCTTGTATTTTTTGGTAGACATGGGGTTTCACCATGTTGGCCAGGCTGTTCTCAAGCTCCCAACCTCTGGTGATCTGCCTGCCTCGGCCTCCCAAAGTGCTGGGATTACAGGCGTGAGCCACCGCACCCGGCCAGCTACACATATTTGACAGACCAGAATGAGGCATATTTTTAGATACCCAGATTGGGTGTTCAAGAATAGAGAAAGAGCATTGGATATTTATGGAGCAATAAAGTGTTTGAATATGGGTTCAATTTAAAAGAATTTAAAAGAAATATGAACTGTCCTGCAGATTCCCTTTGATGGCAGTCTTTTAAAATGTGGCTCTAGGGGTTGTATTTGAACCTCTTTCAGGCAAAAATAAACCAAACAACAGAAAACTACTTTCTACAAGTCCAAATAAAAAGTAAATAATTTCTCCTACACTACTATGATTTTCATTATATTTGAGATTTATTGGAAGAAGCTTTTCCGTTTTTATTTCTTAGCAGGTGGATAGATCTCTAGAGATTAAAAACAGTATTTGACATTTTTAGGAAAAACTATCAAGAAACCCTGAAGATCTTTAGTATGAGAGTAAATTTCTGACTAGTCATTAGTGACACCATTAGTTAAGCATGTTGAAGTTACTTTCCTTTTAGATTGCAATTCCAAAGGTAGCATTTGATTGCTTCAGACATTGAGCAAATAACCATTAGCTTCTGAAACTATTGCTGGCATTGCTTATTTCAATCCATCAAAGCCTCTTCTTGTGATAAATATAGTATTTCAATCTAACTTCTCCCTTTGAGTCGTGCTGAACATCTGCATATCTTTTCAATAAAATGGCCAGGACTTAAACTGGCTTTTCCCTGAGGACATTTGATCCTTCTATTGCTAGTACAGTCCTAAGGCTGGATGTGCTGGGTCAGGCTGGGAGGCAGGGGCTCAGGGGTTATGTTCTTTGATACACGCCAATGCAATTTCTTGTTCTTGTTTTAGCTTCTTGCAAATTAATTAATTCATTAATTCATTCTACTTTGGGGCTTAGGCTATCTGACCTTATCATTATTATGTAACTATTATTTCATATTGTTATATGCAGTCTTCTGGGTCACTTCCTTGCATTTTTTTCCAAAAAACTGATATATACAGTGCAAACCAAAGGATCTTCACTCATCCCTCCTCACCTAAAAATGCATCAATGCCACACTCATTCTTTCTTCCTTCTAGTACTAGCGAATAAAATATCCATCTAATTAAAGCAATTTCAAACAACATTCTCTGGATCCTTCCCATTTGTCTTCTCTTTCCCCCAAAGTTCCCAAGGAAACTTGCTTGATTTCAAGACAATTGAAGTGTCACCTTCTCTGTGAAGCTAGCGCTGCCTACACCAGGTTTAACAGTGTCCTTTTAAGCTTTACTTCTTTGTCTCTCTCTCTCTGCTCTCATTTATTACATTTATCACACTACATTGTAATTTTTCTTCTAGCTTTTTTAACACACCATAAAGGAGAGAAATGTGTCTTTTTCAACCATTTATCCCTCAGATCCAGCAAAAAATCTACTCAGTAAATTCTTGTAGAATGTTAGAGAAAAATAAGTAAATGGCGATTTCAATTAATTGTTCTCTTTTTCTCATTGATGGGTAAACTAATAATATTTAAACTTTAGTAGTAAAATATGGCAAGTAGAATATGCATATCCAAAAAGACATGCAATTATCTGTTACCAAAAATTTTCCATTTGCTATGTCAAATATAAGAATTTACAAAAACATACAGGAACTGAAATTTAAGCAATTTTGTCAGATCACATTACCTGTACAGAAAGATGTGTATCTGTATTTAAATTATTGACTGAAATTTTATTGGAAAGTCCTGGAAATTGTCTGTAACATTATCTTCAAGACCCAAATATCCTAAAATATACCACATCTCTTTTACTGATATATAATTAACAGGTAACAAAATACAAATTGTAATTTTCTACTGATATTTCTGCCTTAACTGTAAATGAAGTTCACATTTATTGTTTGACTTTCAATTCCTCTACTATTAAAATAAGCATATTGCTTCCTGTCACCAATTTTCTACATGAATTATAAAGTTAATATGTATCTAATGAAAATCTTTCTTATAGTTTTACATGGTTAAAATTTATACATGGGTGAGTAAAAAAATAAGTCAATTATGAAATACCTTGCAAATTGACACAAATATTTAATTATCAACTTGGTGGTGGGGTAAGATGACTAGCTGTTGGTTTTTATTACAAAAAACACAATTCTATTTTAAAATGTTAGTTTTTATTATTTGGAAAAAACTATAGTGGGCGGCAACATCAGCAATTATTAACTATCAGTGAATTGTGTTACATGGCACCCTAAAAAATGTTGATTGGGACAAGACAATACAATTTGTGGACTTTAATTATAAAAGACAAATACAGTATTTAAAAATGTTAGAAAAGTACTCTCATAAGAACTGGAGACATCTTTATCAGCTCTCTTTTTTTCTCTTTTTGATAATAAAAAGAAGCACAACTCAGCCAGGTGCGATGGCACACACCTCTAATCCCAGCACTTTGGGAGGCCGAGATGGGTGGATTGCTTGGGCTCAGGAGTTTGAGAGCAGCCTGGGCAACACGGCAAAACCCCATCTCTACAAAAAATACAAAAATTAGCCAGGCATGGTGGTGCACACCTGTACTTCAGCTACTCAGGAGACTAAGGCGGGAGGATGGCTTGAGCCTGGGAGGGGGAGGTTTCAGTGAGCCATGATCACGCCACTGAACTCCAGCCTGGGAGACAGAGTGATAACGTATCTCAAACTCTTTGCCAGTGCAAAATTGAAGATATGTTGGCTTATGTAAAAAGGCAGTAAGAATAATTTATTGGCTCACGTAACTAAACCACAGGAAGGACAGTGTAGCTAAGACCCCAAAACACCTCAGTCCCAACCCTGATTCCTGACAGCAATTTTTTTTTTCTGTTTTTGACTATTCTGCTTCTTTTTGCTCTTTTGTTGTCTCAAGTCATCTTTCACCACATGACTAGAATCATATGACAGGCTATTTCAGGCATATTAAATCTTGCAAATTAAATTCAGAAAGGGCCTCCTCGATCCTTCTTTTCCCTTCTGAATCACAGTTCACAAATATTGGCCCAGCTGGCAAACAATGTGGTCTCTATAATGAGTTCAAAGAAGGATTCTTTGGGATTCTAATATACTTTCCCATCTCTTTGTGTTTGTAAGAATGGTTAGCCACCATCAACTCATGTAAAAAGATGTATTAGGTTTTATATAAATTTGGGATAACAAATAATTAGCAATCAATTCATTGATTTAATCTTTTAATCAATATATGACATGAAAGCAATCAAATTTAACGTTACTAAGGCTAACTGCCATAATAGAAGGTAAGTGCTTATCAGAATGCGTGCAATATGATTAGAATTTAAAATATAAACATTTCTATTATCATTTAGTATTCCATCATGAAAAGATAGAATGAGAAGAAATAAAATTGAGAAAAGACTTCATGTAAAAAGTAATTATTAAATTGTATTTTGAAGGACAAGAAAGAATAGCTACGGTTAAAGCTAAACCTTAATTTATGTTAGAAGTAACATTATATTGTAGAACATAAGTATTTGATGCTATCTGAACCTTAGTTTCCTCATCTGAAAGGTGGCTCTTGATTTTTTAGTATTAAAAACACTTTTCCCACTGTGAAAAGTACCTTTTAAAATATTAGCAAATTGTGTGTAGTTTAAGAGGCAGGAGAATCTCTTGAACCTGGGGGACGGAGATTGTGGTGAGCCAAGATCGTGCCACTGCACTCCAGCCTGGGCGACAGAGCAAGACTCCATCTCAAAAAAAAAAAAAAATTGCAATCTATCCATCTAACAGAGAGCTAATATCCAGAATCTACAAGGAACTTAAACAAATGTAGAAGAAAAAAACAAACAAGCCCATCAAAAAGTGGGCAAAGGATATGAACAGACACTTCTCAAAAGAAGGCATTTATGTGGCCAATAAACATATGAAAAAAGCTCATCATCACTGGTCATTAGAGAAATGCAAATCAAAACCACAATGATACCATCTCACGCCAGTTAGAATGGTGACCGTTAAAAAGTCAGGAAACAACAGATGCTGGAGAGGATGTGGAAAAATAGGAATGCTTTTATGCTGTTGGTGGGAGTGTAAATTAGTTCAACCATTGTGGAAGACAGTGTGGCGATTCCTCAAGGACCTCAAGGATCTGGAACCAGAAATACCAGTTGACCCAGCAATCTCATTACTGGGTATTTACCCAAAGGATTATAAAGCATTCTACTATAAAGACACATGCACATGTGTATTTATTGCAGCACTATTCACAATAGCAAAGACTTGGAACCAACCCAAATGCCCATCAATGATAGACTGGATAAAGAAAATATGGCACATATACACCAGGGAATACTATGCAGCCATAAAAAGATGAGTTCATGTCTTTTGCATGGACATGGATGAAACTGGAAACCATCATTCTCAGCAAACTAACCCAGGAGCAGAAAACCAAACACCACATGTTCTCACTCATAAGTGGGAGTTGAACAATGAGAATACACAGACACATGGAGGGGAACATCACTCACTGGGGCCTGTCGGGGGGTGGGAGGGCTAGCAGAGGGATAGCATTAGGAAAAATACCTAATGTAAATGACGGGTTGATGGGTGCAGCAAACCACCATGGCACATATATACCTGTGTAACAAACCTGCATGTTCTGCTCATGTATCCCAGAACTTAAAGTATAATTTAAAAAAATTTAAAAAAAGGAATAAAATGTTACCAAGACAAAAAAAAGTAGTTATTTTATTAATAGAGATTTACTCCGTGTATAAAATTAGAAAAAAAAGCTTTCCACCATGCCTAAATATACTGGTTATTGCAGTGGTCAAATAAGATATTGTTATGAAAGACCTTTCTAAAATACACATTTCTATAAATAGTGGGTGTAATATATAGTTATAAATGTATATGCAAACTTGGTGATAGTTTAAAATTTTTAAGCTTTTCTGTTTTAATGTATATTTTACTATTTTTCTTGCAATAAATGTTTCATATATTTGTATGATAAAGGCAAACTTGGATGCTGTTTATAAAATTATGATACATTTTGTTTTATCTGATATAATTAATATTTACCCACAGGACCAAATTACTCATGAATCACTGCTGCTTTGAAAACATAAAAGTTAGAGCCTGCTGTAAAATGAATCAACTCAGTTTTGTTCTCAAACTGCAGGTTTTTCAAAGTTAGCTATTATATTTCATAAAATATGTCTGTTAAAATGTTAATGTTGAATTTCTAAATTCATTCATGTTGACAAACACCAAAACACCATTACAATTCACCTAGGAATTCTAGTTAATTAAATACCAGTTGATCTGTTCATGCTTCTATTATGTTTTCTATGATAACTTAGAATAAAAAATTCATTGAAAAGATGGAAACACTTCATGGCAAATATTGGATGTTGTGTTAGAAAAAAGTTGAAGCTTCTTGTTCTACTTTAGGAAATCAGGTGTTTATTAAAAGTTTTTGAATTAATAATTTAGCCAATGATTTTTATTTAAATAGCTACCAATAATCACACAGGGACACAGCATACTGTCACAAAATTTAATTTATTAAAAGAAACCATAAGGCTTCCTAGAGAAGCACTTACTCTGGGAGCCTCATGGCTTAGCAGAACTGTTGGAGTACCAGAATTGTAAGTTTTATTTCTGATATCTCATTTACTGTTTATTAAATATAAGACCCTAGATATTGATATTTTCTCTCTATACCTCAAATTCCTTGTAAAAAACACACAATTGAACTATTTGACATTTATAATTTCTTTTTGCTCCAAAAAGAAACAAGTTCATGAGATATATGCAAATTATTGTTATATTTAAATAAAATATTTAAAAATATTTAAATTTTGTTATATTTAAACAGTGTTATTAACCTCATTTTTAGAAAACTATCCCCATAAATATTATAACATATAAATAGAATAATATAATAATAGAAAGGGATAATATTTTGCATTCCTCCTAACCCAAAACAAAACCAAAAAAATCTGTTTTAAAAAAAGACAACATAGCAAGATAATAAATTCCAAATCTGGAATAACATATTTGCAAAATCCAATAACACATTTATTTCAGTTTTTCAGTTTTATTAATTTCCTTTAAAATTTTTAAAAATAATATCACTATAAATTTGTATTCTGCTGTACTTATGAGAGTTGATCATGAGTTGGTTCATTCTTGTCCTACTCAACTAAAACACAGTCAAGATGCTTGAGGCAATGAAGTACTAAGCACCTAACATTGCTCTAAGAATGTAATTTTGGGTGAGCCTGGTTGCTAGAACTGTCTGCTGTAACCTAAAACCAGTTGTATCTAATGGATCTGCTGTAACTGTAATAGTTTTACTTATTGTCTTCTTTTATTAATCAAAACTTACCAGCTCTCCACAACCTTACTATGCCAATTAACTTTCTCAAAGAGTAATACATGTTTCTTTTTTTGCATAAAACCTCTAACCTTCCCTTTGTTCTTTGGACCCACCAAAGACAACCCGATCCAGGTGTGTGTCCCAAGTTGCAATTCTTTCTTCTTAAATAAAATGTTTAACTTCAGAGATTTGTCTCTGTATATTTTATTTTACTTCACCATACGTTATGATACAAAAGAAATTATAACATATGAGTATAAAGTGAATTTTGATTGTTTACATCCCTTATTGGTATGAATAGCAAAAACATAAGTTGCTGTCTCATTACAATTTGAGACCCTTAATTCTACATATAGAATAAAGACTTTGGTGGTTCATTGAGTAAAACATTCATAGGTGTTTTATATGTATATGAGAATATACTTGGGAACTTTTCTTGTTGCTTCAAAATTTTACTAGAACTTCAAAACGGAGGATAAAGCACACTACTGCGATCAGGTTTTAAGTAATGGTGCTAAACAAAATTTGGTGAGTCAAAAAATGTAAAAGATTGCCATTGCCATTCCTCTATTAGCTCTATCACACATCTACTGTTCAAATAAGGGTAGATTAGATTTCTGAGGAGATTCTTTAAGGAAATTATAGATGCAAAGAGATCTGGCATTTTATTAGGAAAAGACTGGATATTTCTGCCCATTCTTTTCCCCAATCTAAGGTGGGCATTCCTGGGAAGCCTCCCATAGACATTGGGGTTGTCATATAAGAGGACATTTTATCTCACACTCTTCCCATATATGTGCAACACTGTTGATACCTATATACACATTCATTGGGTGAGGAGGCAAGATCTGGTATTTATTTCTCAAATGGGAAAGTCTGAAGACAGTAGGTGACTCGATGATAACAAGGCACTATGAGAGGGGAGCCATTAGCCAAGCTGCGTTTTTACTATTTACTAACGTCGAGGGTACATTTTATTTTATTGAGGAAAAGACGGACAGAGGAAGATGAGGAAACTGAAGTTGTGATGAAAGAAATCTACCTAAGTTGGCAGCCAGCTAGAGTGAGGAAATTTCTACCAAAAGAAGCTATGATTGAAGTCCTAGAAGCAGGAATTGAGCAAAGGGTTTAAGAGACTGTATCTCCTATCACATCAGCCAAGTAAAAGGAAAATTGCACTTTTACTTATGCCCCTTCTGTCTTCTTTAAACCTGGAGTAACCACAAATGTCCACTGTGGGGGAGAGAGAGAACAAAATTTGAAAGAATCCACATTTCTGCAACTCCCCACATCCACCTCTGCAACTGCTAGTCTCTAGGCCACTGGTCAGGCCTCTACTGAGAGAATGAAAGGAAACTCAAAGTGAACATGAGTTTTAAGTTTTGATGTAGTCTGTTCTTAAATAAGTCTATTCTAACTTGGGAGGCCAAGGCAGGTGGATCACTTGGGGCCAGGAGTTTGAGACCAGCCTGGCCAACATGGTGAAACCTCATCTCTACTGCAAATACAAAAATCAGTGAGGTGTGGTGGCAGATGTCTGTAATCCCAGGTACTCCGGAAGCTGAGGCAAGAGAATCACTTGAACCCGGGAAGTGGAGGTTGCAGTGAGCTAAGATCACACCAACTTATTCCAGCCTGGGGGACAGAGCGAGACACAGGAAAGGGAAGGGAAGGGAACGGAAGGGAAGAGGAGAGGAGGGGAGGGGAGGGGAGGGGAAGGGAAGGGAAAAAGAAAGGAAAAATAAAGAAAAGAAAGAATCTATTCTGATAGCTATATGTTAATAAGAACCTTTAAGATTTGCTTGAGATGGGCTGGGCACGGTGGCTTACCACTGTAATCCCAGTGAGAGGTGACAATGTGTTAGCAGCCCTGGCTCCCTCTCAGTGCCTCCTTGGCCTCAGCGTCCTCTCTGGCCCTGCTCAAATAGCTCTTCTGCCCGCCACAGCGCTGTGGGGCCCCTCTCTGGGGCCGGCCGAGGCCGGAACCAGCTCCCTCTGCTGGCTGTGAGGTGTGGACAGGGAGGCACGGGCGCTCCTGGGCCGGCGAGGGTTCCTGGTGGGCACGGACTTGCCAAGCCCCTGGCGGTGGGACTGCCCTGGCTAGGTGCAAAGTCCAGGGGCAAATGCCAATGGGAGGTGAAGCTGGCTGGACTTCTGGGAGGGGTGGAGTGGGGACTTGCATAACTTTTGTGTCTAGTTAAAGGATTGTAAATGCACCAATCAGCAGTCTGTGTCTAGCTAAATGTTTGTAAATGCACCAATCAGCTCTCTGTCAAAACGGACCAATCTGCTCTCTCCAAAATGGACCAATCAGCTCTCTGTAAAATGGACCAATCAGCAGGATGTGGGTGGGGCCAGATAAGGGAATAAAAGCAGGCCACCGGAGCCAGGAGCCGCAACCAATTCAGGTCTGCCTTGGGGGTGTTCAGTGTTTTTTATTTTGCTCATCACAGTGAATTTTAAGACTGCTCAGTGTTTGGGTCTGCACTGCGTTTATGAGCTATAACACTTACTGCAAAGGTCTGCAGTTTTACTGCTGAAGCCAGTGAGACCAGGAACCCACCTTAAGGAAGAAACTCCAGACCCATCTGAACATCTGAAAGAACAAATTCTGGACACACCATCTTTAAGAACTGTAATCCTAACTGCAAAGGTGCGTGGCTTCATTCTTGAAGTCAGTGAAACCAAGAACCCACCAATTCCGGACACACCAGCACATTGGGAGACCGAGGCAGGCAGAACACCTGAGATCGGGAGTTTTGAGACCAACCTGATCAACATGGAGAAACCCCGTCTCTACTAAAAATACAAAATTAGCTGAGTGTGGTGGCACATGCCTGTAATCCAGCTACTCTGGAGGCTGATGGAGGAGAATCGCTTGAACCTAGGAGGCAGAGGTGGCAGTGAGCCGAGATCGTGCCATTGCACTCCAGCCTGGGAAATGAGAGAAACTCCGTCTCAAAAAAATAAATAAATTGATTGTGATGTCATGAAGGTGCAAAGACAGTTAAAGATTACTGATATTGTTACAACACTGTGTTGATTGTAGTAGTGGGAGAAAATACTGTTTTCTGATTAGTTTATCAGATATAGCTCATTATATATGTGGTGAGAGGTATGAGTGTCTTCATTTTCAAATCATAAAAAACTGTAGGGGGTTTACCAAGACTTAAAACTTGTTTGTTAAGTCTTTAAAGCCTTTGCTATATTTTACTAGGCATTCTATGGTTCCTTTAAGAATTTTATAGCTCATCATTTTAATTTTATTTAGTTTTTACCATATCAAGTGCAAGCTCAGATAAGTTTTCCAGATCTTTCATTAGTGTCAAGTCGTGTTAGCTAAAATGCACTTCAAAGTAGTTTCTAACGTTTATATATACTTTTCAGCAAGGCCAGACTTCTGACTACCCCATGATATACCTTCCGTATTCCTGTTTTTAAGTTTGCCTGGGCTGGTTCTTTCTTTAATAGCAATTTGTCACTTCTTGTCTGCCTATTTTGAAGGTATACAATTTTAAGATTCAGCTCAAGCTGGGTTTCCCAATACAAAAGAGCTTAACATGACTTGTTCTTTTCCACGTAATGTAGCTATAGTATTAACAAGCTAGGCTTTGAAAGAAAAGTAAAAGAAAATTTTAAACATTGTTGAAACATGACCACACCATTACACTCATTTGAAACAATTTATTTACCAGTGAGACATAAATTGTTTTTGTTGATTGCTATTTTGTAGTATAAGTTTGGATTGGCTAAGTATTGCAAGAAAGAGAAAGCTGATCTGGGAAAGACATCAAAATAAAGAGGAGTTGTATGCTTTAAATATAAAAATATAAAGCATTAACTATATTAGAATATATTTTACAAGTTCTTAACAATCATAGAATTCTAGAAATGGAAATTGGAAGATAAATATATTATTAGTGGTTAGAGGAAAATGAAAAATCTGCCTAATTTCCAGATGGCAGTTTTAATTTTATTTCCCTGTATCTATAAAATAAAGGTATTATTAGATTACACACGTATTTATATGTACATAGCTGTACTATAGTGACATAAATATATTTATAATATATATTACTATCACTTAGGTATAATGATTAATGACTACTAATTAAGAACTGATCCGTGTAGATCATTTACATGAAAAACAAAGAAATATATGCTAAAATTACATCATGAGAAAAAATGTCCCAATGTCAATGAATACATTTTATTTCTTAATTTAATGATGCAATATTATCAGTAAAAGAATATTCAAGGTAGCAAATAACTTGGATGTGAATTTGATTTCCATAAAAATTTTACTTAGGCTTCTAAATTTACTCCTCAACTTTACACAACCCATGCTCTGAATCTACCATGTTGTTTCCTTGATTTTCTTTGTATTTTAGGAGACATATAGAAACTCCTAAGAATATAGTAAAAGTACAAAGAGAAGATAGAGAGAGATCCCCAAAGAAATTAACAGCCCCCTAATTGCTAATTAAAAGCTCTTTGCTTTCTCTCCACATGGCCAGTACAGCTGCTTCACATCCTATCACTGAAAAGAAACACATAAATTCAAAGACGATATTGAGAGCAGCACCTGGTTCTGAGTGCACCTGTCGTGATGAGAGTATATTTCATACTGTCTGTAAATTAACATTTCCTAGGGCCCCAAAAGATGATTTTTTTCCCTCATTCAACTTCTTCCGTTGTCCCCAGTGTAAAGAATCAGTAGTTTCGCTTCCATTTTCGATACTAAATATATCATATCGTTATTTGCTTCACTGGTGCAGACACCTGCCTCCTGCTGTAAACGCCGTGTTCCAGCTCTAAAAGATTTCCCCAGGGCTTCCCATTCAAGTATTGGCTTGTAACTATGGCTTAATATCGTGTCAAAATCTCTTAAGGAAGATACAGCCTGTCACGTCATTTAAAGATTGAACCTTCATCTACTGAGATTCTGAAAATGTCCTTTGAGTGTTTGAAGCATGAGCAGACAAATAAAAGGCTAACAAGTCATTTGTAAAGATAATAGCTAACAGCAAGCATTCTCCTTTCCCTACCCCCTTTCCATTAAATGTTGATAAAGAAAAAAGAGAGCAGACTGCAGGGCCCTAGTTTTCGTTATTTGTAAACAGGTCAGAGGAAGCTTAAAACTCAAGTGTTTTAGACATGGAAAAAAAATATCTCCAACATCCTGCAAGGATTCAAGCATCACTGAAACGTGAATGAGATGTCAGTTTTCTGAAGGAAATAATTTTACAGACTCAGGATAGAGATGTGGTTGCTAAAATGCTTTTAATGATTTTTTAAATTCACTATATTATAGAAAATAAACTGGGTCTGTTTTTACCTCATGGTGGTTTTAATGCTTGGCTTGAAGAGTAGTAGAAAAAGCTTTACAAGTTGGGAAGAAGATCAGGAACCCCCTGTGGAATTTGGTAAGTGGAATAGTCAGTTCTACATTTTTGAATTACCATAATTCATACAAATCTCATAGGTGGCAAATAAATAACTTTAATCTTTGTCATTTAGGAGAATCAAACTTCTCAATATACAGATAATCCTTGAGTTAAGATGAGATTATATACAATAAAGCCATTATAGATAAAATATATTGTAAATAAAAAATGCATTTAATACCCCAACAAACCCATTCTAAAGCTTAGAGGGAAAGAGAGCCATCAGGTCAGGTTTGTATTTCTCAAATTCACAGTCATTGCCACCTTTGCTGCAGAAGTGGTCTGGCCTGAGTTTGAAATCCCGTCCTCCTGAAAATCAGAATGAGATGTTCCTAAAGAGCATTAACAGCATTTTTCAAAGAGAAATAAGCAGGGCAACATAAAATAATGTCTCGAATAGAACATGGCAAAACCCACACTAAAGCTGAAAATAACAAAGAAACCATTTTTGAGAACAGTGTTGATGTCCTACAGGTAGTATCCCCAGCCTTACTTCTTCCCTTCTATATCTTGAACTAAGATTACTGAAATACTAAACTCCTAAACTGCCCTTCTTTTGGAACAACATCAAGTGTATTAGGTTGGAGCAAAAGTAATTGCAATTTTTGCAATTAAAAAGCTGCAAAAAATTATTTTTGGGTACAAAAATAAAATGGACTTTGCTTCTCTGATCCTTGATTGGAATCACTCGCCACAAGTCCAAACTCTGTGAGAATACCTCCCCACTCAGCCTTTCTGAAATATACCATGGTTGCTCTAGTGTGCATTCTTCTTTGCTGCATTAAGCTATTCTGTTTGAATACAAGTACGCTCCTGGTAGATCTGGCATGTTGGTGTTTATTAGTGAGAATTTCATTATGACTTGATTGATATCCTTGCTGACGCAGACTAGGACTCAGTTACAGAATGAGATTCATTGAGTCTACTTGCTCAAGACCACCGTGCTTAAAATGGTGAGGCAATTCTTGCACTGAATCTGAACTCTGAATACTTTCTTGAGTCCTTTGGTATTAGTGCTATTTTATTTGTCATAAGAATAAAATCTTTAAGGAATTTTTGGTTATATTGTCAAATTTGTGCTTATTTTTTTTAATGACAATTTTGTTACTGAAATTCTAGGGCTTTAGTCTATGTCCTGTTAGCTTGCCACACAGAAAGCCAATCACTGAGACAATGAGTATTGCCAGGGATGGAGGCTTTATTCAGGTGATGTAGCCCAGGAGATGGGCAATTAGTTTCAACTCCATCTCCTCAACTGACTAAAATCAGAGGTTTATATAGCAAGAAAGAAATATAACCATGTGTGGGAAAACAGGAATAAGGGAGGGGTAAGGAAGAGAGCTGGTCAATAGGAAGTAGGTGGTTGGTTATACAGACATGTGAATGAGGGATCTGGTATTCATTGTCCACATGTGGTGATTTGGTAAGTTTCAGTTCCTTTACACTATCCTGATGGTTTGTTTTCCGAGAAAGGAACTCAGGTAAGACAGATGTAACTTTTTCAAGTTTTAAGACTGGGAAGGTCAACTTCGATGTTTATTCAAAAGAAACCACAAACATCAATTCTATGGGACAACTGGGACAGTTTCAGTTTGACAAAGCATGAATTTGTTCCCAGTCTTTCTGTTTGTCTAGTTATTATCTGAACAATTGTCTGTATATAAGGGTAGGTTTATAAAGAGTAGAATATATATATATATATACATATATATATATATATATACATATATATATATATATATATGGGTTGTATGAGCCTGTATTCTAAGCCAGTACCAAACCCTAATGTGTTCAGAAGTTCTATCACAGCTGCTTCCTTTGCTTTGTTTTTCAAAATTTAATAGGAATTTCTTCAGTTTTGGATCTGTGAAATTTGCTTTGAGATCAATCTCCTGGCCACACATTTGCTGGCTAAGGGACTGCTATCTGACCCAAAATAAGCCCATTGGGTAGTATTGCTTTGGCTCGTCCACTAATAAGCTTGTGCTACCTCTGGAAGAATGCTGGGTTCTTTTATTATTGTTGCTGTTATTATTATTATTGTTGTATTTATCTTTTTAAATGGCCTAACACTGACTTGACCATTTCAAATTGCAGTGGTTACTTAGAAAATTTTTGACACCTAGAAGATTGTTCATTTGAGAGTTACCTTAGAACAACAACAATAAAAAGAATCATTCACAGGGAAATCCTGTGTCTTATCTATGTAAAAGAGGGGTTAATTTGTTTAGCATAAGAGACATCCTTTCTTTCTTTCCACATTTGAGCATTGATAAGAATGACTATTTTAATCATATACTCTTAAAAGAATTTGGTTCTTGATTAAATTTTCTGTATATGCTGAATTATTGAATATATATAAACATAAATTTTCCTTCCTAATTGATAAGGAAATTCATAATTAACCTCCTATAATAGTAAGTCCATATATAGTAATATTTGTGTTTGAGTATGTGGCTTCTTCTAATTTCTTCCATCTCCTTTTCCCCAATTTTTTTCTTCTTGTCTCTCACACTTTCCTAGGAAACTTTAACTAATAAAAATAAAATTCCACCCACTATATTATTTCAGAATCATACATTTTAATGTGCTAGGGCTATCTCAATATTGACTCATTGTGAAATTTGTTCAGAATAATTCATGGAATGCAACAATATATAGCTATGATTAATCCACACTACAGCCTGTGACTACAATACATCTGATTATTGAGTTTGCACATATTTATTTCCTTTTGTGGTTTGCATAATTCCCTTTGGAGGTAATTACAAAAATGACTCCAACAGAATTACTGGCATATTTCACCTTTACTACAAAGGTGTATGATTTATTTCTAACTTAACTAGCCTTAGAAGCATTATCTTCAGCAGAATCCATGATAGCAGTTTTAAAATACTCAGGTGTAAGCATGGGCCCTGGGTGGCCTTCAAGATGGAAATTAAATGCATAAAAGTGTATCAGTTACAACACAAAAACAGAACAGAGTTTTCTTACATTATAAAAGTGATGCTTGTCTTCAAGATAGTTCCCGATATCACCTAGGGTACCTTTAGATCAATCAATTTTCCCATTCAAAAAGTGAAATGTTGAAATAACTTCATCCAAGAAAGAAAAACGCTTGAGCCCCAACTTGAGTCTCCCTTTTTATAAAGGCAGTGTGCCACATAAAAATCAATTAAATCACAAGTCATTAAATCATTAAATCAAAGGCCCTGCTCTGAAGTACATACTTGACAAATAGATGCTAATATTCCAATATTCCACAAATATCCACAGTAAAATTATCTGAGATTTAAATTCACATTTTTTAAGCACCACTCTGTTCTGTTCTTACAATACTTTTTCAATTTTAGTTCTTATTTTTGAAACTTGCCAGCATGTTTCTTGGTTGAATGGTCACTGAGCAAAAAGAGACCAAATCCACTTTCAAACCTTAACATAGGCACTATCTCTAAATGCAACATAATGCATAATAACGTATTTTTGTCTACTCTCTGATCTGTATCTGAAACCAGACCAATTATACCATAGATGGTTTTTTTGGACAAACATAGAAATCGACCCTCCTGGTCTTAAAGCTTGAAACTTACATTTGTCTTATCTGAGTTCCTTTCTCAGGAAACGGACCCTCAAGCCTCCTAGATAGTATCCAGTAACTGAAATTACTTACCCTCCCTAATTCCTGTTTTCCTAACTGACTGCTTGCTTCCTGTTGACAAACTCTTCTTCCTTACTCCTCTCCAATTCCTGTTTTCCCTCAGGTAGCTACATTCCGCACTAGAAAAGGCCCCAGTTTTAATCAGTTGGGGAGAAAGATTTAACTCCCATCTCTTCAGCTGCAGCATCCAAATAGAGCCTTTTTCCTTGGTAATACTCATTGTCTCAGTGACTGACTTTCTTTGTGGTGAGCAACGGGACCTAGATCAAACTCCTGGTATTTCAGTAACATATCAATTACATTGTGTGCTTATAATTTAGATTCTATTGACATGTAAAATTTTTCCTGAGTAAGTAAGGGAAAATAGTATATTTTGGAATATGCAGGTATATATGTATGGATTTATTTAATACTCTTTATACTCACATTCCTTCTGGAATAAATACACACACATATATGTATTTATACTCACTTTTCTTGTATTTTTTATTCAAAATGATAAGTAAAGTGGATCTTTAAACAATATATTTGGATTTAATATAGATCAAATATATAAGGCATGCACTATTAAGTACAACAAATAATATTAGATTATAATGTAAACAATGAATTCTTGATTTAATGAGATTATGTATCTTCTCAAGACATGATGGAATTGAGGAAATTAATAAGGCTTCATCTAATTTTAAATAGCATGAACACTATTTGTCCTTCAAGTCAGCTTTTGTTTTTTTCCTATGTGCTGCAAGATAGAGAAACCATCATGAGAAAAATTTTGAGACTTTGGAAGTATGGGAAAGGAGAAAATACAGAAATAAGAAGTTGGAAAAGAAATAAATATAGTTTGTAAAATAATCTCAAATGTTATTGACTTCAAGAATCTATTCTGGATTGAAAAACATTTTCATCTTTTCTGTAATTGGTCTTTTATTCAATAAGAGCATGTTCTTTCTTTTCTTTCTTTTTCATCTTCTCTCTCAAGATCTTGTTGAAATTATTTCTTTCAAAGAATCTGTTTCTTTTTATTCTTCCCTCCCCTTCTTGCAATCCATTTACCAATTTCGGAAACATTCTCAAAGTTTGCATAAAAGATAATATAAAGAATTATTTTTATTATCCACCAGCTTCCTCTGGTTTCTTCATCACAGTACTATATACATAAATAGACCGTATGTAAATAGTACAGTACTATTTAGCAAAATGAGTACTGAGGTAAGGTTTAGCTCCTTCATTTGAAATTTCTTTTACTGACAATAAAAGAATTCGTTTTTCTTATGACTCACCTATGAATACAAATTTCTGAAAACATATTGAGATATACTTCTCATATTATCCTTTTCTAAAAAGATGGGCTTTCTAAGTTCTCTGAACCAATACAAGAACATTTCTACTCTTAACATTTGTGCTCTTATTTCCCAACAGATTCAGTCACAATAACATATTTACATTGTTGTTTTGGGTAGAAATCCAATAATAAGCATGTATACGTGCTTATTATTGGATTTCTACCCAAAACAACAACGTAAATATGTTGTTTATTTATTTCTACCCCAAACAACAACATAAAATATGTTACTGAATATAGTTTTATTCAGTAGAATCAATTATTCACCTGCACACCATAAAGGAAAACAAGAGAAGATATTCATAGTATCTATTTTTATGGAAATTTTTGGCATGCATTATAGTATCTAGTTATCATAATTTATTTTTATCTGTTTTCTTGGTAAATAAATGTAATTTTCTCACCTTTAGTTTTGTTTACACAATGAAGTCTTAATTATTATGGGCTTTGGTCTCTGTTATTGTTGAAGTGTGTGTTATTTAAAATAATGTATTATTTTTTATTAAAAAGACTTCCAGTAATATTCATAACCGATATTATAAGAAACATCAGATTGTTGCTACATTTGGATTTTATTTCTGGATTAAAATAGCCATTTTAATTACATCATTTCAAGCAGAGTACCACTTATCAAAATCCCACTTGCTGAGATATAAATTATAGTCAACAAAAAAATTGAAAGAATAATTTTAAAAAAATGTTCGATTTATTCTATTTCTATCATCTGCACTCCACACTCACTCTTTCAATACATCACCAAACGACTCTGTTGGTTTGCAGGGGCGGCAGAGATGGACAGTGGATAATATAAATCCCCAACTCTCTACTACCCTCAAACTTCTTTCTCTTTAGACTTTCAGTGATTATTCTCTAATAACCTACAGCAATAACCTGTAAGAATTTCTAATAATTGAAAATACCAATCACACACACACACACACGCACACACGCACACTTCTATCTTCCCAAGGGGGTTCTTACGAGTACGATAGTAATATAGTTTTATTGAGAGCAAACAATTAGTGTTGTTAACAGCCACTTTAAGTACTACTTACACATGCTTGTATTTTCTTTATATTTAGTGCATCAGAATTGAAAGCACACCATAAAACCACCACCAGGTTTTGTGGTTTACCCAAATGCTGTGTCTTCTACCAATCTATCTTGATATTCATAAAGTTAAGCCAGTAGCTAATGTAAGTAAAGATTTAAATATTATATAAAACATTTCCAGAAATATAGAGACATACAAACGTGTGTTCCATTGCTAAAAAAGAAAAATAAGCACACAAGATACCTTAACTAGCTATACTCTTATTGTAGAGTAAATGTTAACAGTTTACAATTACATTGAAAATCTCTTATTTTATTAGTGCTTTTCTATAAATTGCATGGTTTTTATTTTAGCTTCCACCTGCCTGTTAAGTTCAACATGTAAGTATCTTTGTGTCTCTGTTAAGTTTAGCTGTAAAATTAGGTGGTTGAGCTGGAGCATCACCATGTGACCTTTAGTTCTGGAATACAATTATTTTGTGATAAGGATATATGTTACACAAGTTTACATTTTGTTTGTCTTTGACACCTTCGTTAATGTCATGCTGTATTGATTTTTAAAAATTTGTCCTTCATGTGTCTATATGATTTGTGTTCAAAATTGAATGATAAATTTTAATGTAAAGTGCGAATTCAACAAATAGTAGATGTGACTGTTTCATTTAGCCATAATACCTATCTATCTGCTTATCTATTTGTCATCTATCATTGGTAAATACATCTTAGGAAGAATTAATCTTGCTGCCTATAGCTGGATATAAGGACAAAAATCTTCAGTTGGAAAATATGTTAAGTTATTGGTTCATTCTTCGTTTTCTATTCAAATTGTTCTAAGTCATTCTATTGCCACTTTTTCTTCTTGAACATTATTGCTTTAAATGTCTACTCTAATCATATGTGGAATAGCTTCCTTCTGATTGCCAAGCAGAATAATTTTGTCTTTCTTAAAAAGAGCCACAAAAAGGAGACCAAGTAATTGCATAATTGTGATTATATTGGTAAAGTTGAAAATGTTACGATAACTTACAAAAAAATTCAAGGAGCTTATACCACAGTCATTTACCCATCTTTTTTGGCAGGTATATTTTATGGTTGAATTGATTTATTGCAAATATCTTTTATAAATCCCTAGAGTAAAGGCCAAATTGCCTTTTATCACTCTGAGGCAAAAACACAATAGAAACTCTCAATAGAAAAAAATGTGAAAGCGATTTTTAAACTGATACCTCATAGTGGCATGAAGAAAATATTTTTACTTTTTAAAATATTTTTTCATTGTTTACATGAGATTAAAATATAGTACATTTATAGATACACAAATACTTCTTGTCCTACATATCTTTTGAAATAGGCTTACTTGTCATGTTTAAGACTCAATAATTAGATTCTCAGGCCATAGAAAGTAAAGTTGTGTAAATTATTAAAAAAAGGTTTTTATTGTGAATTTAAAGCAAAATGTAAACCACTTTTCTATTGTCTATAAAATTTAATCTAAATTATCTTATCTAATTTTTCAGAAAACTCATAATCAGCTTACTGTCTATATGTAATATCATACTTGAACTCATCACTTCAACTATTATCAATCATGTAACGAGATTCCATAAACCTAGTATGCTTATTTTTAATCTCTAACTGGATTAATATATATAGATAAAGTTCTTGCTATCATGGAATTTATAATGTAATGGGATATTCAGTTAATACACAAACACACAGGCAAGATAATTTCAGATAATGATGACTTCCAGGAAGAAAACTAACTCAATTGGTGATATGATAAACAATTACATGTGGGAGAGATTGGTTGAGGGGTATTTTTGATTGTGTTATGAAATATCCTTTCAGAATTAGATGTTGGAATTTTTTAATGATTTCAAGAAGTTTCCCAATGAAGATCTGAAAGAAAAGTTTTCAAGTGCAAAGGATGGGTTTAAGTCTCATGTCAAGTTCAAATTTTACTTTCTATGCAATAAATGGAAATTTACTGTGGCTAAGTATTAGGAGTTGGGGGAATGCTATTTGGAATGAAGTCAGAGAAGCATATAGACGCTGTCAGATGTAGTGGCTTGTAGTGCATGGTAAAGAGCCTAGTTGTACTCTAAGAATAAAGAAAAGTCATTGGAGAGCTTTAAGAAGCAGAATGGCCTAATTTTACCTATGTTTTGTTTTGTTTTGTCTTTTTAGATGGAGTCTTGCTCTGTTGCCCAGGCTGGAGTGCAGTGGCATGATCTCGGCACACTGCAACTTCCACCTCCCAAGTTCAAGGATTCTCCTGCCTCAGCTTCCCAAGTACCTGGGACTACAGGCACACATCAATCCACGCCCAGCACTTTTTTTTTTTTTTTTTTTGAGATGGAATCTGGCTCTGCCGCCCAGGCTGGAGTGCAGTGGCGCGATCTCAGCTCACACTGCAACCACCATGTCCCTGGTTCAAGTGATTCTCCCGCCTCAGCCTCCCAAGTAGCTGGGATTATAGGCACCCGCCATCGTGCCTGGCTGATTTTTGTATTTTAGTAGAGACGGGGTTTCACCATGTTGGCCAGGCTGGTATTGAACGCCTGACCTCAGGTGGTCCGCCCACCTTGACCTCTCAAAGTGCCAGGATTACAGGCGTGAGCCACTGCGCCCGGCCCAAGATTTTTGTAAAGATTAATCTATCAGGAAATTAAAAGCTAAATCCAACAAATAACAAGAACAAAAAAGAGGATGGATTGTAGCAAGGCAAGGCTGTATGTAGAAAGGGCAGTCCGAAACTATTACAGTTTTCCAAGTGAGAAATAATGGTGGTTTGAATTCAAATGAGAGCACAGTTGGGGGAGCGAGGCAAACAGATTATAAATATAATTCAAACATAGAATCAACAGTGATTACTTTTGGACTGCAAGTGATGGGATAGTGAAAGAAAAGAAACCTAGATCTTTGGTTTGAAATATTTTCTTAATGGTTTTCCCATTCATTCACATAGACTATCATAACTAGGGGTGTTAAATGTTAAGTATGGGGTTTTAACCAGACCCTAGAGATCACCCCAGGCAAGGGCACTCTTAAAAATGATGTTTGAGGCCGGGCGCAGTGGCTCACGCCTGTAATCCCAGCACTTTGGGAGGCCGAGGCGGGCGGATCACCTGAGGTCCAGAGTTTGAGATGAGCCTGGCCAATATGGTGAAACCTCGTCTCTACTAAAAATACAAAATTAGCTGAGTGTGGTGGCACATGCCTGTAATCCCAGCTATTCGGGAGGCCGAGACAGGAGAATTGCATGAACCCAGGAGGCAGAGGTTGCAGTGAGCCGAGATCGCGCCATTGCACTCCAGCCTGGGGGACAAGAGCAAGACTTCGTCTCAAAAACAAACAAAAATGACGTTTGAAAATCTGCATAAATGTTATTTCGTAGCTACAGCACTTTACAAATTAACTTACGAAAGAATTACTATTAAAGATCAGAGGCCCAAAGATCAAATTGTGTAGGCTGTTGGACATTGGAGGTGTAAAGTCCAACTTCAATATCCATGGGAATTGATTCCACGGCCTCTGCAAATACAAAAATCTGTAGAAGTTCAACCTCCTTTTATAAAACGGCATAGTATTGCACAGTACTTATGCATATCTTCCAGTATACTTTAAATCATCTCCGAAGTACTTACAATACCTAATACAATGTAAACGCTACAGAAATCATTGTTATATTATATTGTTTTTATTTGTATTATTTTTATTGTGTTTTTTTTAAAAAAAGAAGATATTGAACCCACACCGCCTACAATGACCACTTCAGCATAATGCAAAAAAGAAAACAAAATTATCGGGCCAGGCGCGGTGGCTCACGCCTGTAATCCCAGCACTATGGGAGGCAGAGGCAGAGGCAGGTGGACCACCTAAGGTCAGGAGTTCGAGACCAGCCTGACCAACACGTGAAACCCTGTCTCTGCTAAAAAAAATACAAAAATTAGCCGGGCATGGTGGCGGGTGCCTGTAACCCCAGCTACTCGGGAGGCTGAGGCAGGAGAATCTCTTGAACCCGGGAGGCAGAGGTTGCAGTGTGCCGAGATTGTGCCACTGTACTCCAGCCTGGGTGACAGAGCAAGACACTGTCTCACAAAAAAAAAAAAAAAGTATCAGAGCTTGTTAAAGAACAACAGCTGCATCTTTTATACATTTGTTAAAGAAACATACTTTTCCTTGGGTTAGAAATGAATTACAAATTTTATTTCTCACATAAATATGTAGAGGAAACGTTAGGATTAACTTTCTAAATGTTTCTGCTTAGAATATTTATATTTAATTAATATGAAATTTGATTACACAATAAACAATGAGGTCTTAAGTAGTAACTTAATTATCCCTATGTTTGTTTATTGATAATCTGGTCATTAACTGAATTGCCTACAACAAACATTCTAACAAATTGAACTTCTACTAACAATTATATTGTTAGTAAATTCAGTTACCATTCATGCTTATGTAAAGGAAGCTTTTCAGTAGATAGAGCCTCAAGGCCAAGATTACATTAAATAGATAACAAAAACGAAACTTTAATAATTTAAAGAAGAAATAAAATCTTTTATCTTTAGTAATATTGTGCATATACTATGTTGAAAAAATTATCAGAAGTCATACTAATAATTGAATAAAACTAAGTTAAAAATGCACAGTAAAATTGAAAGGATTTTTTAATAGTTTCAGGGTGAAAGAGAGAGAATAACAAGAGGGTTAGATAAGGCTGACTGTATGGCCCTTCTGGAAGTGTTTGTTGATTTCAAAAACCAAAAGGCTGGCATTTTATAGTGAAGATGGGACAAACAGAAAATGAGGTCTTGGGTGAAAGGCAAAATATTAGACCTGAAGGCTCTTCCTTTTTTTTTTGAGTCGGAGTCTCCCTGTCGCCATGCTGGAGTGCAGAGGTGCAATCTGCAATCTTGGCTCACTGCAACCTCTGCCTCCCGGGTTCAAGCAATTCTCCTGCCTCAGCCTCCCAAGTAGCCAGGACTACAGGCACACACCACCATGCCCAGCTAATTTTTGTTGTTGTTGTTGTATTATTAGTAGAGATGGGGTTTCACCATATTGTCCAGGCTGGTCTTGAACTCCTGACCTCGTGATCCACCTGCCTCGGCCTCCCAAAGTGGGGAGAGATTACAGGCATGAGCTAGTGTGCCTGGCCCTGAAGCTCTTTTAAACTTCAGAAAATTTTATAGAAGAAAAAATGTCAATAAATGACAGAGGGTGTGACTGTGTCCCCTCCAAATTCATGTTGAAACTTAATTCCCAGTAAGAGAGTTTGAAGAAGTGAGGCCTATAAGACATAATTAGGCCATTAGGGCTTCACTGTCATTCACGGATTAGTGCCTTATAAAAGGGCCTGAGAGGCTAAGTTCACTCCTTCCATCACTTCTGCCATGTGAAGACAGCATTCATCCCCTCTGAAGGATGCAGCAATGAAGCGTCCTGTTGGAAGGAGAATGTAGCTCTCACCAGACTCTGAACCTGGCAGCACTTTGATCTTAGACTTTCCAGCCTCAAGAACCATAAACAATACATTTATATTATTTATTAGCTACTCAGTCTCAGTATCAGATATTTTTTATAGCAGCACAAAGGGACTAAGACAGGGAGACAAAAACAAAGCTTTCTGTCTTGTCCAGGGCTTTTTCTAAAAAAAAGTTTAACACACACACACACATCACACACATCACAGGATAAGAAAATAGTCTAAACATACCAGCTGAAAGATGTGACACATTGTAAAGAAAACATTAGCGAGGTCCCATACTTTAGCCATGTGTTAGACAGGAAACCTAGTAGAGGTTTTAAACTACAGTTTGATCCTTCATCTTTTGTTTCTCCAAAACTAAGGGAAATCTCTGAGAGTGAGTCAAAGAAAAGTACAATGACCTGAAACCAGAACATAGAACAATAAACAGTATATAAATGCAAAACAGGGTGGCCTAAAAGGCAAATGATAATATAAGGATTGGGATCTCAAGTGTAAAATTCAATCTTCTACAAAGTAGAAGGATATGGATCTGAGTACTCAATTTAAATCTTAGATGTTAGAATGGATCTAACATAGTCCCAGGTCAGCAACAGCTCTTGGTAATGGGCAGAATCAAATGGAAATTCATCCTGAACAAAGTTTTTCCAATGAAACCTTTTAAATATATAAGGATGAACTCTTATCAAAATATGATATCTCCAAAAATTATAAAAAGTGGAAATAAGCCACAATGAATTAGAAATAACAAAATCAATCTTAAAAATATATTCAATTGGAAATAGATTTAAAAAACAATTGTTTGAAAAATTAAAGAAATTAAATGTGAAAAAAATTGTGAAAGGAAAAAGAGATTTACCAAAGATGCCAAACTGATGTGGTAAAAGCTCTAAATAGAAATTTTATAAATGAAGAATAAATTTGTTGAAATTATACTTGATTGATCACCTAAACAGCAGACTAAAAACTGATAAAAGGATACTAGTAAACTGGAAAGTATATTTAAGAAAATTGTCTTAAGAAAAATATGGTATAAAAGTTCAAATTGTGAAGGTTAGACTAAGAATATGTAGCTTAGATCTAGTAAGCTTTCGAGACTTAGAACTATAAAAAATGAAAAATGTAGTATTTGCTGGAAAATGACTGAGAAATTTCCAGAATTGATAAAATGAATTAATAAATATAGAAGGCACAATATATCAAAAGTGAAATATAAAGAAAATTGCAAATAGATAATTATAGTAAAGCTTTAGTGCTTTAGCAACAAAGAAAAGTTCTTAACAGAAATAAAAGATTGAAAAAATCTACAAAGTAATAACAATTTGATCTATAACCAAGTTGTCAAAACTGATAAAGGAAGTTAAAAAAGAGAATGATACTCTTATATTACTAAAAAGAAAAAATAGTCAATCCAGTATTAGCTATCTAGAAAATCTATTTCATGCTTGAATGTAAAATAAAGATATTTATGTGCAATGAGAGAAAAGGAAATGATTATTAAGAGACAATTTTTAAGTAAATTTCTAAAATTCGTGCTGCATGAAAAATCAAAATGAACCTGGAAATAATTTTGATGTAAAGGAAAAACTCTGAACAATAAACTAAGCAATTCTGAACAGTATGCCTCTATAGAACAAATAAAATATTATCAGTTTATTAGGTTAAAACAAGAAATGATGTATAAACTGGACAAAACAATATGTAAATTAACATGTAAATGGAAGGACATGCTTTTTCCGAAGAATGCCTTTTACATTGAAGTCACTTTCATTCTTTTTTAAAAGTATTTTACAGACATATATTTCTTAATATTCCCTACTTTCAGGGAGTGAAAAATGAGCAAGTCTCACAATAGACATGTAAATTGGGATGGAGATATTCTCCCTTCTTGTATTTTCAGGAAAGCATTAAAATATTGATTTCATACTTTGTGAAACATAAAAAGTTAAACTAAAAAGTAAATTATTAAAAAGAAAAGGGAGGAATAATTGTGAAATCAGTAGAACAAAACAGTTGAATATTTAAAATAAAGAAAAATACAATAGAAATAATAGAAATAATAATACAAATAAAAAGCATAAATTAAGAAAATAGGAATAGAAAATTTATTAATGATTATATCACATGTAAAAGGAATAAAAAAACTCTTTATAAACAGAAACAAACAAAAAAACTCCAGATTTTACAATTTAAAAAGACATAAAGCAAAAGGGCACAGCCAGACTTATTCAAAAGTAAAAAAAATGATAATCTATACACTAGTAAGATGATTTCCAAAAAAGATTTTAAAAAGATGATTGCAAAATAAAAGACATTTTAAGAAAAATCACATCCTTCAAAACATCAAAAGTTTCAATACAAGAAAAATAATACCTAATTTGCATGTACCTGATAAAATAATCTCAAAATATATAAAACTAGATCTCATGGAACTACAAGAAGAAATTGTTAAATTCACCATTAATGTGGAATATTTAAATACACTATTCAAAATTATGAATAAACTGCAAAAATATTAAACTGCTTTAGAAAATACACATTCTTATTAATTTCACTTTTTTTTACAAGAGTAAACAGCATTTTAAGACATTAAAAAAGTTTCACATTTCAATGAAATGGTGTCATGCAAACCAAATCTTCTAACTGCAATAATATCAAATTAGAAATCATTAAATAAGAAAAACATATTTGAAAATTAATAATTATAAGACTAAACAACGTGTAGGTTTTAAAAAACAATATAGATCAGCTGCTTGATATATTGGCCATTTTGGTGACTTCCCAGAAAAGCCAGAAAGAAATAAGTGGAAAAGAATGAATGAGTGCTGGGCCAGAGTATATAGCTCTGAGTAGGCCAGAGAAGGTCAAGAGATCACCTGGAGCAATGAGGTGACGTCATGTTGTGGTGTCTAGGTGCACATGGGTGTGTGTCTGTCCAGTGAGAAGGACATAGAGGATGGAGTTTCTCATCAAGTGTTGAACTCTCATTTTCCTCACCTTTAAATCAGTTCCTCATATAATGATTTTCCTCTTGATAAACATTGTCAGCATCACCCATTCACGGAGGCTTCAAACCCTGGAAGCATTTTGACTCCTCTCTTGTTTTCACACCCCACATTCGATCCATCAGTCAACCTGTTAACACCCCCTTCTAAATGTAGACAGAGTCTGATAATTCTCACAACTACCCTATTAGCGCAAAGCAATATGATCTGTTGCCTGGACCACTGTAGCCCCATTCTAATTAGTCTCTCTGCTCACACAGTCTTTACATACACCAGGTATGAACAAATTTTTTTTTTTTTCCTTAGGCAAGGTCTTGCTCTGTCACAAGCTGGAATGCAGTGGTGTAATCATGACTCACTGCAGACTCTACCTCCAGGGTTCAAGCTATCTTCCTGCCTCAGGCTCCGAAGTAGTGGGGACTACTGGTGTATGCCACCATGCCTAGCTAATTTTTTGAAGAGATGGACTGTGTTACCCAGGCTGGTCTCAAACTCCTGCCTTCAAGCAATACTCTTGCCTTGGTATCCCAAATTCCTGGGATTACAGGAGTGAGCCACTGTGCCCAACCTGAACAAATCTTCTTTTAAAGGAAAGAGATACTTTTCATAGATAAGGTCACACTCTTTTTTTTTTTTTTTGAGATGGAGTCTCGCTCTGTCGCCCTGGCTGTTGTGCAGTGGCGCGATCTCGGCTCGCTGCAAGCTCCGCCTCCCAGGTTCACACCACTCTCCTGCCTCCCGAGTAGCTGGGACTACAGGCGCCCACCACCACGCCCAGCTAATTGTTTGTATTTTTAGTAGAGACGGGGTTTCACCGTGTTATCCAGGATGGTCTCGATCTCGTGACCTCGTGAACCGCCCACCTCGGCCCCCCAGGTGGCTCACGCCTGTAATCTCCTCGGCTGGGATTACAGGCATGAGCCACCACGCTCAGCCAAGGTCAGACTCTTTTAATGACTTCTCATCACACTTCAATCTCTTCTATACTCAATCTACTCTAGTCATACTGGGCTCTCTGTTTTTTTGCAGGAACACCAGATATGATTCAAGTCTTTGCATTTGAAGTTCTCTTTGCCTGAAACACCCTTCACCATGTAGGTGCAATTAGAGGAGGGTCTATTTAACCTATTTAAGCTTAAAACTAAGATCAAAGATTAGGCAAGATTCTAATGATTAGAATCATTACATTAAAAACTATGCCATGCTATTTGAGTATTTTAGGCAAAAACGATTTGTTTGTAATATGTGTGATTTTAGAAAATGATGCTGTATTGATGTAAGGGAAAAAAGTGGAGGGGAGTTTTGCAATAATCCAGGAAACAAGCTAATGTGTCTTTAATGAGTTGTTGGGAAGAAAAATTAAGAAATGTAAAAAGAATATATTGAGCAAGAAAAACTCCAATACATGATTACTAACTTGGAATATGAATATGATTTCAAGTTTTAACTTAGTCAACAAATTGGTCAGTGGAATTATTCATGAAGATAGGCAACAAAGAAAAGTAATTGGCTATAAAGTCTGCAAAAATATTTCTGCAAATGGACAAGAAGTAAAAGAAGCCAGGTGCAGAAAGACAAATATTGCATATTTTCACTCATATATGGGAGTTAAAATAGTCGATTTCACAGAGGCGGAGGGTAGAATAATAGATACCAGAGGCTGGAAAGGATGTGGGGCAGAGGGTGAAAAAAGGTTAATTAATGGGTACAAGCATACAGTTAGATAAAAGGAAAAGGTTATGATGTATGATAGCAAAGTAACGTGACTTTTTAACAACAATGTATTGTATATTTCAAGATAGTTAGGAGAGAGGACTTGAAATGTTCCCAACATACAGAAATGACAAATACTTGAGGTGTTGATTACCCCGAATACCCTGATTTGATCACTGCATATTCTATGCATGTAAGTAAATATCACATTTGCCCTACACATATGTACAAATATTATGCATCAATTTAAAAAATGCAAAGACAAGTTTAAATGTATAAAATTATCACTACTAAAATGATGGTTAATAAAGCTTCCAATTCACATCAAATTTTAAGATCCAAGATTTCCAGTCGTATACAGATTTATCTTATTTGTTAGATGTTAATATTTACACATTGTACATAAGAGATTATTGAGGTTTGCGTAATTAACAGTTGAAATTACACCATGATACACATTACTTAAATCTACTAAATACACTCAGAAATACATCCAAAAATCAAAGATATTAAAACATGTTCTTATATTTCTAAAATTTTAAAGTTTTGATTTTTATGTCTACAATTATTTCACCAAAAGTTTAAATTTTGGTGTGTGTGTATGTATGTGTGTGGATTGATCAACTTTTGAAATGTAAATGACCATTTATAATTATCTAAATGCACAGGTTACTAAGTGATATTATAATTTATGAACACAATATGAAATAACTATATCAAGTTAGATAACCTATTCATCACCTCAAATACTTCACATTTTTTTGTGGTGAGAACATTTAAAATGTACACATTTAGCTATTTTGAAATGTGCAATACTCTGTTACTAATTATATTCACCATGCAATGCAATAGAACTTAAAAGACAAAAATTCTCTTGTCTGAGATTTTATACATTTTGACCATCATCTCCCTTTCCCCCACCCCCATTTCTCTAACCACCATTCTGCTCTCTGCTTCTATGAGCTTGATTGTCTTAGATTCCACCTGCAAGTGAAAGCATGTAGTATTTTTCTTTCTGTGTCTGGCTTGTTTCACTTAGCATAATGGTCTCAGTTCTATCCATGTTATTGCAAATGACAGAATTACCTTATTTTTTGCAGGTTACCTTATTTTTTACAGGTTAAATTACCTTATTTTTTACAGGTTAAATAGTATTGCATTGTGTGCATTGTGTGTGTGTGTGTGTGTGTATATTGTGTGTATATATATAGTGTATATATATAGATGCACACACACACACAATGTATGTTGTGTACATATATATATATAAACCTTTTCTTCATTGATTTCTCTGCTGATGGACACTCAAGTTGATTCCATAACTTGGCTATTTTAAATATTGCTGTGATGAATATGGGAGTGGCAGAAATACCCAGAAGTTGAATTGCTAGGTAATATAACAATTATATTTTTAGTTTTTTAAGGACCCTCTGTACTATTTCCATGATGAATGTACTAATTTACATTCCCTCCAACAGTGTATGAGAGTTCCCTTTTCTCCACATTCTTGCCAACACGTATCTTTCATGTTTTTGATAAAGCCATTCTGACAGGTGTGAGATGATATCTCATTGTGGTTTTTATTTGCATTTCCCTAATGATTAGTGATGTTGAGCACTTTTTCTTATATTTATTGGCAATTTGTATGTCTTCTCAGAAATGTCTATTCAGGTTCTTTGGCCATTTTAATTAGGATTTTTTGTTTTTGTTTTTGTTTTTTTTTTTTTTGCTTGCTATTAAGTTGTTTGGGTATTAACCTCTTATCAGATGTATGGCCAGCAAATATTTTCCCCCATTTCAGAATAGATTGTCTTTATACACTGTTAGCTGTTTCATTTGCTGTATAGAAGATTTTTAGGTTGATGCAATCCCACTTGTCTAGTTTTGCTTTTGTTGCCTGCACTTTTGGGGTCAAATACAAAAAAACATTGTCCCATCCAATGTAATGTAATTTTTCCCCTATGTTTTCTTCTAGTAATTTTAGAGTTTCCAGTCTATGTTTAAATCTGTAATCCATTTTCAGTTGATTTTTGTGTATGGTATAAAATTAGGTTCCAATTCTGCATGTGGAAAGCCAGTTTTCCCAGCACTTTTATTGATGCGTCTATCCCTTTCCTATTGCATATTTTTGGCACCTTTGTCAAAATCAGTTGACCAATGCTGATGAATCACTGGGTTCATTTCTGGACTCTTTATTATGTTTCATTGATTGATGAGTCTATTTCTTTTTGCCAATACTATGCTGTTTTAATTATTTTGCAGTATATTAGGTAGTGTGATACCTCCAGCTTTGTTCTTTCTATTCATAATAACTGTAACCAGTAGGGGTTTTTTGTGGTTCCATATACGTTTTATTTTTATGAAACATTGGAATTTTGATTAGGTATTGCATTGAATCTGTAGATCACTTTGGGTAGTATGTACATTTCAGTAATATTAATTCTTCCAATCCACGAACATTCCATTTATTTATGTCTTCTTCAATTTCTTCTATTAATATTTTATAGTTGTCAATGTACAAGCCTTTCACCTAGTTGGATAAATTTATTCGTAAGTATTTATTCTATTTTGCAGCTATTGTAAATAGTATTGTTTTCTTGAATATATTTTTAGGTAGTTTGTTGTTGGTGAATAGAAACACTACTGATTTATATCTGTCAATTTTGCATCCTGCAACTTTACTATATTTATTTATTTATTCTAACAATTTTTTTGGTGGAGTGTGAGGGCATTCTATATATAAAATCATGCCATCAATAAGCAGTGGCGATTCTTCTTTTCTCATTTAGGTGCCTTTTATTTCTTTCTCTTGACCCATTGTTCTAGAGAGGACCTCCAATACTATGTTGAATAGAAGTACTAATAATGCATATCCTTGTCTTGTTCCAGATCTTAGAGAAAAGGCTTTCAAATGTCACCATTGAGTATAATATTACTTACGGGCTTCTCATATATTGCCTTTATTATGTTGAAGTTTATTTTTTCTGTACCTAGTTTGGTAAAAGTTTTTATCATAAAATAATATATTCAGTTTTATCAAATGTTTTTCTGCATTGTACGAAATGATCAGATTTAAAAAAACTATTCTGTTAAGATGATAAGTCACATTTATTTATTTGTATATATTAAGCCATCCTTGCATCACAATGATAAATCTTACTTGAACATGGTGGATGATCCTTTAATGTGTTGTTGAATTCAGTTGGCTAGTATTTTTGTGAAAGATTTTTGAATCTATGTTCAAGGATATTTCCTTGTAATTTCCTTGTCTGGTTATATATTAAGGTAATGATAGCTTCATGAAAAGAAGAGGTGAAAGTAATTCCTCCTCTTTGTTTTTTTTTTTTTTTTTTTTTTTTTGGAAAAGTGTGAGAAGTGTTTTATTAGTTTTTCTTTAAATGTTTGGTAGAACTCAGCTGTGAAGCCGGGAGATCCTAGGCTTTCCATTGATGGAATATTTTTTATTACTGATTCAATCCCCTTACTCATTATCAGTGTCTTCAGATTTTCTATTTCTTCATGAGTCTGTCTTGAGTGGTTGTATTAGTCTAGGAATTTATCCATTTCTTCTAGGTTGTCTAATTTGATAACATATAATGGTACACAGTAGTCTCTTATGATCCTTCGTGTTTCTCTGGTATCAGCTGTAATGTCTCCTCTTTCATTTTTTATTTTATTTATCTGTATCATCTCTCCTTTTTTCAGTCAAGCTAAAGTTTGTCTATTTTATTTATCTTTTTAAAAACCAACTCTCAGTTTTCTTGATCCTTTGTATTGTTTTCCTAGTCTCTAATTCATTTGTTTCTACTCTTGCCTTTATTATTTTCTTCCTTCTTCTAACTTTGAGTTTAGCTTGTTCTTTTACTTTCTGGTTCCTTGAGGGAATGTTGGTTTAATTATTTGAGCTGTTTCTTCTTTTTCCAGGTAGGCATATATTGCTATAAAATTTTCTCCTATAAGTGTTTTTGATATATACAATAATTTTTGGTATTTTGTGTTTCTGCTATTGTTTGTCTGGAGAAATTCTTTAATTTTCATCTTATTCTCTTCAGGGATTCATTGGTTGTTCAGGAGCATGTTGTTTAATTTCTATATATTCATGAGTTTTCAAAATTTCTAGTTTTATACCATTGTGATCAAAAAGATATTTGATATAAATTCAACCTTCTTAAATTTGCTGAGGATTATTTTGTGTCCTAACCTTTGATCTATCCTGAAGAATGTTTTGTAGGTGCTTGAGAAAAATGTTTGTTTTGTTGCTATTTGGTGGAATGTTCTGTATATGTATGTAAGATCCATTTGGCTTAAAGTGTTGTTCAGTCTAATATTTTTAAATTAATTTTCTGTCGAGTTAATTTTTCTGTTGTTGAAAGTGAGGTTTTGAAGTTCCTTACTATTATTATATTGTAGTCTATTTATCTCTTTAGATCCTTTAATATTTGTTTTGTATATTTAGTTACTTCAATGAAAGGTGCATATAGTTTTATATTATAACATCTTGATAAAGGACTTATTTATCATTATTTCTCAAAGAAATTTTTCTACTCATATTTTCTATATCTTTTAACAAAGAATAGGAATGTGAAGCTAGAAATAGAGAGAAATTATGGCTTAAGTTTTTACATAATTTTTAATTAATCTACTAGTTTTAGATAAGTTTATATGTAGACATAAATATTAGGGAATACTGATTATATAAAATTAGAGAAACCAAATATGGACCTATTATCAAGATTTCAGCTTTTTTCAGTTTCTTAAACACGCCAAACCTGTTATAAATTCAGGGGATTTTGCACTGGCTCTTTTCTATACCTGGAGGGCTTTTCCACCAGCATTTTTTAGTCTCTTATTTTTATTAGGTCTCTCCCCAGATATTTCCTCCTTATGTAAATCATCTCTAAACAGCCTATTAGAAGGAAAAAAAAAAAAAAAAACCTCTGTAGTTATCTAATCCTTTGCTCGTCTTTAGTTTATCTTAAAATTACATTGCATATCTTTTTTTTTTTTTTTTTTTGAGACGGAGTTTCACTCTTTTCACCCATGCTGGAGTGCAGTGGCAAAATCTCGGCTCACTGCAACCTCCGCCTTCCAGGTTCAAGTGATTCTCCTGCCTCAGCCTCCCGAATAGCTGGGATTACACACATCTGCCAAGATGTCCCGCTAATTTTTGTATTTTTAGTAAGACGGGGTTTCACCATGTTGGCAAGGCTGGTCTCTAACTCCTGACCTCAGATGATCCACCCGCCTTGGCCTCCCAAAGTGCTGTGATTACAGGCGTGAGCCCCCATGCCCTGTCTTTCCAGCTATTTAAACTATGTAACTCTAAAAAATTGGTTCCTGTTACATAAAAAGACACAATATACATTGATCATATCATATTCAATTTCAGGAAAGTTTGAGTGTGAATTTGATGGCCATCCTTTGATGTGGGTATGTTGATAAGACTTGTATTATTTTTCCAATAATTAGAGATAGGAAAAAGAATCACTAAAAGGTAGATGTTAGCATGAACAAATCTAGGCAATTCCTTCTCTGCTTTATCTCCCTCAGTTTGAAAAACCAGTCAGAGAAACCGATCATGTACAAAAGAAAATGCTGAAAATACACGAAATACACAGTCTGATTTCTGCATTTTATTTGGGAACCTTAGAATTCTAGTGACACTCTTGTCAGAATCCGTTTGTAATAACCTCTGTGATATTTAACACAAACAGAAAATGTGTTGAGACTGTGCACACAGAAACTTGTAGGTCACACTTTGCTGTGCTGTATGGTGTCACCAAGAAGCAGCAGTGAAACAGGGCCACACTGATTAAGGAAAGGAACTTCTCATCTGCATTTTGTTATTTTTAATGTTAATTTTAGTACCTCTTTGTTTAAGCCACTACAACTTATTTTATTAGTTTTAGCTCACAAAGTCCTAAAAAATGATAACTTCCTTGTTATGAAAGTTACATTTGCTTTGCATTATTCATCAGTTTAGTTAGTTCCTATATCTCTGAATCCTTGAGTAGGAACACAAACACTTCCAAATATCTGCAAAAGTAGCTTTGTATCAGAAATTCAGTGTAACATACTCAGTGTGCTGAGCTCAACTGATTATGGAAAATTGCCTTTTTCTGATGAAGTAATCTGCATCTAGATTTTTGTCACCATGGTGAAAGCAGCTTCCTTCAAATTCATTTTACAAGGAAGTTTGTAGTTTGGAAATAATTTTCACTTCTTTTTAGAGAGAAAAACATTTTTGAAAAATTCTTTTTCTTTGAAAAAGACCCTGATGCTCAAAATGTCTTAAAATATACTTAATTGACTTCTTTCAAAATTTCCTTTTTCAATTATTGGTGTGAAAAGACATTTTAAAGTCATAAGTAATCTATAATAAAATGAACACAGACCATAATATAAATCACTAGTAAGTAAATTTTGTATTAAAATATCAATTTTGCATATTTATACTAAAATGAGTCCTTGAAAATGAAAAGTTTTATTGATTAAACTGAACAATAAAATATGACAGATATATCATAAAATATAAACCTTCCATATAATAAATGTTCACTTTTTTAGAGAGTTTTATCATTTATTTAGCTTGAAATCGTCTGACAGCTTAAGCACCCAAAGAGCTTTTGATTTGGCCAAAGATGCATGGCCACCTAGGGACAGCATCTGGCCTCCAGAGACACTTGCCTGCTGTTCCCCTGCTCCTTTCATTACAATGAGTACTCTGAGTCATTCTGAGGGTTACAACCAAGTGAACAATGGATCTACAAGTAATTGTTATACCTTAATTTTTAGTCATTTTGCAGCTCAAACATAAGGCAGGGCAGTATAGTAAATACTTAACAAATCTAAGAAAAGATTTTCTGAAGTATTTTCTTAGATTTGCATAATGGCTCTGCCTCCCATTGACTTTGAGATTTTAGTATTTAATTAACTTTTGGGTCTTTGTTTTCTCAGAATAGACATTCTGTAAAAGGTAGTTATTGTTATCTCTGACCACAGTAAATGTATAAAACAGTTGAAAGACTGGCATACAATTTCTTATCTATGAAAAAAAAACACTTGTGAAATGTAAAACAGTGAGTTAAGATAAAGGCATTGTGAATATTAAACAAGGACAAGACAAAGATTTTTTTACAGTAGAAGGTGACATTCCAAAAAGAATCACAGACATCATTAGAGTCTCCTGGATTATCTGATACTTGAATCCCCAGCACATTAAATATTGGATAACAGTATCCTCATTATACTGACTTTGAGGTATGCGCTAGGCATAAGGTTCAAAGTTAAACCAAATATAATCCTTGTCCTCAATGGAAATTAGTAAAAGTAAATCAGCTAGTATACTGTAATGAAAGAAATCACAGATGTGAAATATGTTGCTAAGTGAGTAGAGAAGAAAGGTTTGGTTAACATTGTGCTTGTGTGTGTTGGGCGTTGGTGGGCACTGAGTATGTGCAATATAGCAAGAGTTAAAGACCAATGAATGAAGAGATAACAGAGGAGTTGCTTGAGAAGTGAATTAAAATTTACTTTTACCATCCTATAATTTTATCTTGTAACATTTTATACAGTCTGTCATTTTATCAGTATGCACTTGTGGATTTAATGCCTAAATATCCCACTGAAGTGTAAGTTCCATTAGGTTATGTCTCTTTTGCCTACTATTTTTTAAAAATAAATTTTATATTGTATTGAAGTTACAAGATATATAACATCATGTTGGATACAAAATAAAATTTATTTAAATAAAGTGCTTATTATAGTGGAACACATTTAATACATAGATCAATTCACATAGTTACCCATTTTACCCCTGTGGCAAGAGCAGCTATAATCTACTCATTTAGCAAAAATTTTGAGTATACTATTATCAGTGATAGTCCTCATGTTGTACATTAGATCTTTTGACTTGTTTATCCTACAGATCTGCTGCTTTGTATTTTTTTAAGTATATTTTCCCATTTCATCCCCCCTTGACAACCCCAACCCTGGTAACCACTGTTTTATTCTTTATCTCCATATATTAACCTCTTTTAAAGATTCCACAAATGAGATCATGCAATATTTTTCTTTCTGTATCTGACTTATTTCATTTAGCATAATGTCCTCCAGCTTCATCTAAATGGTAGAAAGTCCTCCTTTTTTAGGGCTGAATAATATTTCATTGTATGTATATATACCAAAGTTTCTTTATCCATTTGTTGATAGATGGACACTTAGGTTGTGTCAAAGTTTATTTGGTTGCAATCAACAGGACCTAACCCTGGTTAACTATAGCAAAATTGGAAGGATGCGGATAGTTCAATAATCCAAAGGAAAGGCTACATAGTAAGGACTAAGATATAAGCGGATTTAGGGTCATGCTTTAAACCTAAATATATATGAGTATATTAGAAATTATTTTCAAATAGACAGATATTATTAGTTTACTTTTAGAAATTATTTTCAAATAGAGATATTACTAGTTTACATTTAGAAATTATTTTAAAATAGAGAGATATTGTTAGTTTACTTTTTATTACAGTGGTAACACCTTGGAACATTGAATTTGAAGTAATTAGATCATATTTTTAAAAATTATGTTCCTCTGTTAATAATATCTATATTGTAAATCCACTTATATTTTGAATAAAATAATCATGAAAAGCAACATCATGATAAATGTGCAACCTATATGGTCTCTAATACAGGGTGTTTAGATGTATGTAACAAAATGAAATAAATGAAGAGCAAATTACTACATAATAGAAAACAGTGATGTGGCTGTGATAAATTCAGTTTACAGATAGTAACAATCAATAGTTTAATGGAGTCATTTATTAGCATGCAGCAGAAGAAAAATATTAGATGATGAAATTACAAACAGTAACTTACCACTTCCCAAATGGATTATAGAAAGACAATTTATCCAAAATAAAACCTCAGTCATCACTGTTGTTTCCTTAAGTGTACAGTTAACAAAGGCACATATATAAAAGAAAAAGGACCGAAAATAATATGTGTAAGAAATAGTTACAAAAAGAAAGTTTTAATAACAAATAAACCTATGAGAATTTCCAAAACATGTTACAATAAACACTATATTACATGAGAGATTTTAAGTCGAGATTGAAAATCTGAAACTTGATTACTGAAAACTACATATTCTAAATATTCTAAATGTTGCTATGGCAATAATTTATGTAGAAAACTAAATGCAACAGCATCATAGATACTGTTTGGCTCCAAAGCATAGCTCTATATATACAAGGGATATTAGCCAGCATATGGCTTATTGCTGTCATTTCTCGACTTTCTTTTGGTTTATTTTTCTCATCATGATGGGTCATATTTTTATCCCTCTTTTCTTTCCTGTTAATTTTTGATTGAAGGCCAGACACAATAATTTTACCTTATTGAGCACTGGATATTTTTACATGCTATAAATACTCTTGAGTTTTGTTTTAAAATACAATCAGCTTGCCTGAAAATAGTTTGATGGCAGGTTTGATGGCAGGTAGTGCCAGAACAGTATGTATCCAGGACTAATTTTTAAAAATAAATTGTATTACGTATGTTTGACGTTTACAGCATGATGTTATGTGATACTTGTAAGTTATAAAATGATTAGTATAGTGAAGCAGATTAAAATATCTCATATACTTTTTCTTTGTGACAAGAGCAGCTAAAATTTACTTATTTAGCAAAAAAATCCTAATGCAACTGTATTAATTTTAGTCCTCATCTTGTACATCAAATGTCCAAACATGTATCCTTTGACCTACATCTCACCATTTTCTTTCCCCCTATTCTTTCTGACCCGTCATAACCACCGTTTAATTCTTTACCTCTATGGATTTGAACTTTTTTTTTTCTATTCCACACATTCGTGAGATCATAGAATATTTTCCTTTCTGTGTCTGGCTTATTTTACTTGGCATAATGTCCTCTAGGTTCATGCATGTTGTGGCAAAAGACCAAATCTCCTTCTTTATTAAGGCTGAATAATATTCCCTTGTATATCTATACTGTATTCTCTTTATTCATTAATCAGTGACGTTTTGTTTTCATATCTTAGCTATCATAAATAATGCTGCAATGAACATAGGAGTACAGATATCTCTTTGAGGTGGTGATTTCATCTCTATTTGGCATGTATCTAAAAGATGGATTGCTGGGTCATACGTTAGTTCTATTTGTAATTACTTTAGGATCTGCCACATTGCTTTCCATATGGCTGTACCGGTCTACATTCCCACCAACAGTGTATTGGGGTTCCCTTAACTCCACACTCTAGCCAACATTTATTGTCTCTTTTATTTTTCATAATAAACATCCTTACAGGTATGAAGTGACTCTTTGTAGTGGTTTTAATTGGCATTTCCCTGATGATTAGTGATGTTGAGCACCTTTTCATACTATTGTTAGTAGAAACATGGTTTCGCCATGTTGGCCAGGCTGGTCTCGAACTCCCAACCTCAGGTGATCTGCCCTCCTTGGCCTCCCAAAGTGCTAGGATTACAGGTGTGAGCCACCGCGCCCGGCCATTTTTGTATCTTCTTTAGAGAAATGTCTGTTCAGGACCTTTACCCCTTTTTAAATTAGGCTATTTGTTTTTCTACTATTGAGTTGTAATGATTCTTTATAAATTTTGATGCTAACCCCTTATCAGATACATGGCTTGCAAATATTTTTTCACAGTCTGCAGTTTGCCTTGTTTTGTTTATTTTTGTTTGGGTGTGCAGAAGCTTTTATTTTGATATAGTCTTATTTATTTATTTTTGCTATTGTAGCCTGAGCTTTTTCTTTGATATTTAAAAAGTAATTGCCAAGACCTAATGTTGAGGTGCTTTTCTCCTATGTTTTACTTGAAGACTTATGTGGTTTCATTTTTTATATTTAGGTCTTTTATCCATTTTGAGTTGATTGCAGTGTATGACATGACTCCGATTTCACTCATTTCATGAAGAAATTCAGTCTTCCTAGTAAAGACTATCCTTTCCCCATCGTGTCTTTTTGGTTGTCTTGTCAAAATTTAGTTGCATTTATTTCTTGGCTCTCTATTTGGGCTATTTTTTTTTCACCCCTGAGGCCATACCTCTCTGTGTTGTCTACTCAATGGTCCACAAATTGCATATTTATTATTCGTATTAAAGTGGTTATAAATTATTCAGGGATAGAGGTTGGAGAGATGCTTAAATGAGGTTTCATCAGGTTCTCTACACCAAATGCTTTTATTCTGCTCTGAAATTTTTATGCCAACACTGACATTGGATGGTTTGTGCCTATAGCAGAGAAATAAAAACAGAACTTAAAAAATCATATCCTCACTGCTTGTCACAAGCTGGCCATCACTCCATGTAAGTCCAGAATATCCTTAGATCTACCTGGCAATTTATCAGTGTTTTATTTGTTATTGATATATATTCTTCCCTCTCTTTTCTGTAGTTTCTAGGGCTGCTATTGAGGGAAAAAGCCAACAGTTGGTGCTAATTTCTCATTTTATCAACAGAAAGACTGCGTTTGAACTTTTGACTTATTATTTTTATTTGTATAAACATTTATACTTTGCTAAAGTTAAAATTCATTACTGATATAATAACAACAAAGTTTTAGGATAACATTCAATTAAAAGTAATCAAAGTTATTGAAGTTGAAGTATCAGGCAAAATGAAATGAATGACAGTTTCTTCTCCTGTAAAAAATTATACCGGGTTTTAAATTCTGAAACAAGCTGCTCCAATCGAACGTCATATTTAGCTCAGTTATATGTCTCTAATCTTGGATTTGGATTATCCCTTATTCATTTATTTTTACATATATCTATCCTATTTTATTCAGCTTTCTGATTTTTTAATTTTTAAATTCTTAAGTACTGTTAACCTTTATTTTAGATTCAGGGGTATATATGCAGGTTGGTTACATAGATATATTGTGTAATGCTGAGGACAGGGGTACAAATGATCCCATCACCCAGGTTGTAAGCAGAGCACCCAATAGGTTTTTCAGCCCTTGTTCCTTTCACTCTTTCCTTCCTCTAATACTCCCCAGTATCTGTGTCTTCCATATTTATGTTCATGTAGGGTAGTCTATTTTTTATCACTCATTTTAATATTCCTTTAGAACAGTGATTTAATTTTATATATCTCTGTGTACTGAGGTCTGAGAGCAGAGCTAGGCAGGTGGAACTGCACGACATGTGTATTAATAACATAAATAGTGGCCGCCAAGTTGTTGATGAATAAACATAGAACAAGAAAGGTACATATTTTGGGTATTTTATAAATTATTAAAGCATGGTTTTACAATAATTAAGAGTGATAGATCTTACTATTTGGATCAGTTCCTAGCTCTGCTAGTTATTTAGAAACTATGTGATTAGGATCAATAGCATTAATTTTCATTTTAGTTTCTCCATTTATAAAAAAGAGATAAGGATAATGCGTATTGTTGTATTATATGTATACTAACATTATAAAACATCTCAGTATAAATGGACCTTTCTAAACCAACGGGCCTGTATTCTTCAATACCTTCAAATCACATAAAAATAAAGCTGAAGCATTTTTCTCTATTTAAGGAGACTAAAGATACATGAAAACAAAATGCAATTCATGTTCACTCCTTGAGTGCCAGATTTTTTTGATAGCTATAAAGTACAACTTGGGTACACTTGAATTTTTTATATTAGCTAATAATTGTTTAATTATTAATATTGTATTCACCACAACTGCCACCTTAACATTTCCTTTAGTTTAACCAAACTTCAGACAGGCTTCTGCCTGCCTCCTCTAACCTCCCTTTTACCTTTAGTCCTTAGAAAATCAGGTTGGCATAAGCAAAGATCTTCCTCTCCTCTCTTTTTTAGAGTATTTACTTTAGGTAACTTATAATTTAAAAATATTCTTCTGCCTCTTTAAGATGTAAAGCTTTTAAAAGCCTCTAGTCAGTCTTTGCAAACCACAACGTTTTAATTTTATTTTATGGTATGTAAGTTCTGGGATACATGTGCAGGATGTGCAGCTTCATTACATAGATAAACATATGCCATGGTGGTTTGCTGCACCTATTAACCTATCCCCCAGGTTTAAGTCCAGCATGCATTAGCTATTTTTCCTGAAGCTCTCCCTCCCCCACCCCCAGCAGGTGAACTCCAGTGTGTGTTGTTCCCCTCCCTATGTCCATGTGTTCTCATTGTTCAGCTCCCAATTATAAGGGAGAACATGTAGTGTTTGGTTTTCTGTTCCTGCGTTAGTTTGCAGAGCATAGTGGCTTCCAGCTCCAACCATGTCCCTGCAAAACACATGATCCCATTCTTTTTCATGGCTTCATAGTATTCCATGGTGTATATGTACCACATTTTCTTTATCCAGGCTAGCATTGATGGGCATTTGGGTTGACTCCATGTTATTGCTATTGTGAATAGTGCTGCAATGAACATACACATGCATGTATCTTTATAAAAGAATGATTTATATTCCTTTGGGTATATATGCAGTAATGGGATTGCTGGGTTGTATTAGTTCATTTTCATGCTGCTGATAAAGACATACACAGACTGAGTAATGTATAAAGGAAAAGAGGTTTAATGGACTCAGTCCCACGTGGCTGGGGAGGCCTCACAATCATGGCAGAAGGCAAAAGTCACATCTTATATGGTGGCAGGCAAGAAAGAAATGGGAACTAAGTGAAAGGTATTTCCCCTTATAAAACCATAAGATCTAATGAGACTTCTTCACTACCATGAGAACAGTATGAGGGAAACAGCCTGAAGAATTCAATTATCTCCCACTGGGTCCCTGCCACGACATGTGGGAATTATGGGAGCAGCAATTCAAGATGAGATTTGGGTGGGGACACAGCCAAACCATATCATGGATCAAATGGTATTTCTGCTCCCAGGACTTTGAAAAATTGCCACACTGTCTTCTACAATAGTTAAACTAATTTACATTTCTGCCGTCAGTGTAAAAGCATTCCTATTTCTCCACAGCTTTGCCAGCATCAGTTGTTTCTTGACTTTTTAATAATTGCCATTCTAACTGGCATGTGATGGTATCTCCTGGTGTTTTTGATTTGCATTTCTCTAATGATCAGTGATGTTGAGCTTTTTTTCATATATTTGTTGGGCACATAAATGTCTTCTGAGAATTGTCTGTTCATTCCTTTGCCCAGTTTTTAATGGGATTGTTTGCTTTTACCTTGTAAATTTGTCCAAGTTCTATGTAGATTCTGGATATTAGATCTTTGCCAGATAGATAGGTTACATAATTTTTCTCTCATTCTATAGGTTGTCTCTTCACTTTGATAATAGTTTCCTTTGCTGTGCAGAAGCTCTTTAGTTTAATTAGATCCCATTTGTCAATTTTTTCTTTTGTTTCAATTCCTTTGATGTTTTTGTCATTAAACCTTTGCCCATGACTATGTCCTGAATGGTATTGCCTAGATTTTATTCTAGGGTTTTATAGTGTTGGGTTTTACATTTAAGAATTTAACAATTTTGAGTTTAATTTTTGTATAATGTATAAGGAAGGGGTCCAGTTTTAATTTTCTGCAAATGGCTAGCCAGTTTTCCCAGCACCATTTATTAAATAGGAAATCCTTTCCCTATTGCTTGTTTCTGTCAGGTTTGTCGAAGATTCGATGTTTGTAGCTCTGCAGTCTTATTTCTGAGTTTTTATTCTGTTGCATTGATCTATGTGTCTGTTCTTGTACCAGTGCCATGCTATTTTGGTTACAATAGCCTTGTAATATAGTTTGAAGTCAGGTAGCATGATGCCTCCAGCTTTGTTGTTTTTGCTTAGGATTGTCTTGGATATAGGAGCTCTTTTTTGTTCCATATAAAATTTAAAGTAGTTTTATTCTGTTGTTGTTAAAAATGTCAATGGTAATTTTATGGGAATATCATTGAATCTGTAAATTACTCTGGGCAGTATGGCCATTTTCATGATATTGATTCTTCCTATCCATGAGTATGTAATGTTTTTCCATTTGTTTGTGTCCTTTCTGATTTCCCTGAGCAGTGGTTTATAGTACTCCTAGAAGAAGTCCTTCACTTCCCTTGTTAGCTATATTCATTGGTATTCTGTTATCTTAGTAGCAGTTGTGAATGGAAGTTCATTCCTGATTTGGCTCTCTGCTTATCTATTGTTGGTGAATAGGAATGCTTGTGATTTTTGCACATTGATTTTGTATCCTGAGACTCTGCTGAGGTTGCTTATCAGCTTAAGAAGCTTTTGGGCTGAGACCATAAGCTTTTCTAGATATAGAATCATGTCATCTGAAAACAGAGACAGTTTGACTTCCTCACTTTCTATTTGAATACCCTTTAATTCTTTCTCTTGCCTTATTGTTTTGGCCAGAACTTCCAATACTATGCTGAATAGGAGTGTTGAGAGAGGGCATCCTTGTCTTGTGCCAGTTTTCAAAAGGAAGGCTTCCAGCTTTTGCCCATTCAATAAGATATTGGCTGTGGGTTTGTCATATATGGCTCTTATTATTTTGAGTTGTGTTCCATCAATACGTAGTTTATTGAAAGTTTTTAACATGAAGGAATTTTATTGAAGGCTTTTTTGTGTGTGTCTATTGAGATAACCATGTGGTTTTTGTGTTTAGTTTTGTTTATGTGATGAATTGCATTTATTGATTTGTGTACTTACATCTCAGGGATAAAGCCAACTTGATTTTGATGTGCTACTGGATTTGATTTACCAATATTTCACTGAGAATTTTTGCATTGATGTTCAGGGACATTGGCCTGAAGTTTTCTTTTTTTGTTGTATCTCGGCCAGGTTTGGGTATCAGGATGATGCTGGCCTCATACAACGAGTTATGGAAGAGTCCCTCCTTTTTAATGGTTTTGAATACTTTCAGAAGAAATGGTATCAGCTCCTCTTTTTATCTCTGATAGAATTCAGCTGAAAATTCATCTTGTCCTGGGCTCTTTTTGGTTGGTAGGCTACTTATTAATGTCTTAATTTCAGAACTTCTTTTTTGTCTATTTAGAGATTCAACTTTTTCCTGGTTCAGTCTTGGGAGGGTGTATGTTTCCAAGAATTTATCTATTTCTTCTTCTAAATTTTCTAGTTTATTTGCATAGAGGTTTTTATAGTATTCTCTGATGGTTGTTTGTGTTCCTATAAGGTCAGCAGTGATACCCCTTTATCATTTTCATTGTGTCTATTTTATTTCTCTCTCTTTTCTTCTTTATAAGTCTAGCTAGTGGTATATCTATTTTATTATTTTTTTCAAAAAAACAGCTCCTGGATTCATTTATTTGTTTGAAGGGTTTTTTATTTTTTTTCATCTCTATCTCCTTCAGCTCCACTCTGATCTTGGTTATTTCTTGTCTTCTGCTAGCTTTGGGGTTTGTTTGCTCTTGGTTCTCTAGTTCTTTTGTGTATGATTCGGTTTGCCAAATTAGGATGTAGGTTTGAGATTTTTCTAGCTTTTTCATGAAACCACAATTTTTTTAAGGACCTGGGAGCCATTCCTTTGCAATGTAATCATCAAGGAATATAGTGTTCCTATCTCTGAGTCTTTGTAGGAGAGTAGACACCTAATTTTTATGTGTTTTGCTCCAAGCGGTAAAACCACCTTCTGTCATGAAGATAAAAGAAAGTTGACTTTTACTTTGGTTAAGAATAATCAGCAAACACAGAAGGTTGACCCCAGCTTTTAAAAACCCTGCCATTGCTTCGGTGGAGGGGAATTCAGTCTATGTTCTGATCTCTCTCCAGGATTGCAATAGAAATTGAGTAGAGTTTTTCTTAACTATTTACTTTAGACTGGTGAAATTTTTCCTTTGGCAGTATTAATGTTAACTTTTCTGAGTTTGGTAATTGTATTATGATATGTAGGGCAATGTCCATGTTATTAAGACATACTTAAGTGTTTAGGGGTGAAGCATCAAATAATAACTATCCAATGTTTTAGCAAAATCTCTCTCTCTCACACACACACACACACACACACACACTCTGTGTGCATGTGCATATGCATACATGCATAAGTAATTGACCAACAGTGAGAGCAAAGTGAGAATGAGAGTGAGAGAGAGAGAGAAGAGAGATACTGGTGAATAATCAGATGGTGAAATGGAATGAATGGACATGGCCTTATGAAATAGTATATACAACATATTACCACATCTGTTATAGTGATTCTGGGGGCATGGTCCTCTTCATCCCTTAATTATAAGAAAATCTTTGTCTCTATTTAGGACTTGATTTTTTTTTCTGATGGAAAAAATGATTAAAAATGCTTATGTCTAAGCATTATACTCTATGATTGTATTAACTTTAATCTACACCTTGAGGTGATTAATTAACATTTGAAATACATTAACAGAATCAATGTAACAGATGTGCTTTCCTGTACCTATTAAATATCATTATTGAAACCTGTACCAGAGGGCATTCCAATTAACCAGAGAAATATTAAAAATCAGTTTTATTCACGAAATGAATGGTGTTCAAGAAAAATGCTTGGGACACACTGTCTTTGTTTTTATGGGTCTCACAGTTTTATGGAACTCACTTTTGTTGTGAGAATGAGTTACAAGAAACTAGAAAGCTGATCTTTGAATACCTGCTGAGCAGTGCTCAGACTCTAATTCCCATTAGTCCTGTTTTTCCCCTACTTCATAGAAGACACTGTCTCCTCACATAATTTCTGCTTCTGGATAGATAAAGTGCCAGCCTTTCAGTGAACCTATTAAAAATAGGACTAGTGCATTTTTGGCCGAATTTACTCTAACATTTGTTTTCATAATTATATTCTACATATTAGTGAAGTTAGAAAATACCTCTGGATAGTCCACCACTCAAGTTAATTAATATTTACCAAAAGAATTTTACAATTAAGAACCACTACTAGATTGACTTTGATTAGTTTGCAACATTAGTTTTTAGGACTGTTGTGAGAATTGAGAGATAATACATATATGTTGCTTAAAATATTACCTATTATATTCTAAAATTCAATAAATTTCAGATATTATTTCATACTAATATTAAACATGTGCTACTTCTATTTTTTATTTTTAAATTTTTGGTTGAGACAAGGTCTTGTTTTATTGCCCAGGGTTGTCTTGAACTCTTAGTCTCAAACTATTCTCTACCTCCCAAAGTGCTGAGATTACAGGAGTGAGTCACCACTCCTGGCTAGTATATGTGCAACTTAATAAAAAAAGTCGATATTTATTTTTTAAAATTACAACAGTCCTGCCATAAAATCACGCTTATTTAGTAATACACTTTATCAGACAGGTTTGCTACAGTAAACAGGATTCTCCTAATCGTTCAAATGAAGGGAATATTTACAGATTTATGAGCAGGTTTAGCAGAATATAGAAGAGATGAAGAGCTATTCAGAGAAAAGCAACTACAAGGAGCTATTATATCACCTATGTCTGTATCATTAAGGGTAGAAAATGGTGTTAGAAAAATCTGAGAAGTGTACTCAGAAATGCTGTAGTCCAGGAAGGGAACAACTATTCTCTGACAGGCAGTGCTAAAACATGAAGAGAATGGGAAGGAATGGCTGACCTTCCTCTCTCTCTGATCTGTCAGTAACTTGCATTGTACATATAACAGAAAGCCAGAGAGCAATGGAGCCCAGATGATGTAACCCACAGGCTCAGCCTCCAGGACATCCAGGAAGGCACAGAGAGATGGATAATTTAAGGCAATCAGGAAATAAGCTGTCCACATTCTTTTATTGTCATATGCAAATTATATAGTGTTAAAAATATTTGCAACAGATGGCAAACTATATAAACCATTCTCCAATTTTTTTTGTTGTTTAAAACTGACACAGACACAATGAAACCCGTATGTCTGTCGGTTAATGCTTTGTGAGGCATAGGTTAGTTCAAACCTCAATCCAAACTGTTGAGCACCTCTCCTATCTGTAAATAATGTCTTCGTGCACTAAGGCTTTAAATTTCTATGACTATATAAGCATCTTCACTGACATGAACTTTTTTTCTTTGGTGTCTCATTCTACAATGTTTGGTATTTCTCTCTTTAAAACAAATGATTTCTCATTTGACAGGTGATAAAAATAAATGTTTCATTTACCACCACATTAAAATAAGTTGACAAAAGTTCTTTATTGTTATTTCCTGTCACTGCTTCTTCATAAGGCTTTTTTTTCCTTTCACACTCAGTGTAATAGTAATCAATATGCCCTCGGAATGTATTATGTTTTATGGTTATATTTTCCCCAAATTCAAGCTATGGAAGTTAATATTTTATATAGATCTGTATACGTTACAGAAAAATAAGTGATAGTGCACTTAGGGAAGGTACATTAACTACAGATAGACATCACATTCCACCAAATGGCACATCTATTCTGTACTGAATCTTGCTAACTGTATTTTTAGAGTGTTTTAAACATTTTAGAGTAATGTACCCGTTTGAGTCTAATTGAATGTTAAAAAAGGCAAAGAGAAAAAAAAAACATGTCTACATTAAAAGGCTGAGATACAGTGTTTTTACTTTAAGGAAGAAAATAAACTTTAGGCATTTAAGAAATCAGTTTTTTATCACTGAAAACGATCAAAATAGGCATTTAGAAAGTTAATTAAGAAGCATATTCTAAGCATCCATGTGTTAAAAATAGAACACTTTTAACGTTTAGACTTTTGTTGTGGTATTAGTCATGCAACTTGGTTCTTATTTCCAAATACGGTTTGGCTGTTATAGAATCTTTGCAAGTGGATACGAATTTTTGAATCAGTTTTTGAAGTTCTTCAAAAAATTCTACTGGGATTTTGATAGGGATGCATGAATATATAGATAAGTTTGAGAAAGACTGATGTATTAACAATATCAAGTTTTGCAAACTAACAATAATACGTATTTCTCAATTTTTTCTTTTATAACTACATTATTTTGTATTTTTATTGATTTATTTTTTTAAATTGTAACTTTTATTTCAGCTACAAAGGGTACATGGCTATATTGCCCCAGTTGGTGAACATAGTACACTATAGGTAGTTTTTAAATCCATGCCCCACCCCCTCCATCCCCCACTAGCAGTCCACAGTGTCTACTGTTCTCATGTTTATGTCTGTGTGTACTCAAGGTTTAGCTCCCACTTACAAGTAAGAACATGTTGTATTTGGGTTCCTCTTCCTGCAGTAACTCTCTTAAGATTATGACCCCCAGCTCCAGTTGCTGCAAATAACATGATTTCATTCTTTTTTTTTCTTGAGACGGAGTCTCGCTCTGTTGTCCAGGCTGGAGTGCAGTGGCGCCGTCTCGGTTCACTGCAAGCTCTGCCTCCCGGGTTCACACCATTCTCCTGCCTCAGCCTCCCGAGTAGTTGGTACTACAGGCGCCCGCCACTACACCAGCTAATTTTTTATATTTTTAGTAGAGACGGGGTTTCACCTGTGTTAGCTAGGATGATCTCGATCTCCTGACCTCTTGATCCGCCCGTCTCGGCCTCCCAAAGTGCTGGGATTACAGGCGTGAGCCACTGCGCCAGGCCGATTTCATTCTTGTCATGGCTGCATAATATTCCATGGTGTGTATGCACTACATATACTCTGCAGATTATCCAATCCACCACTGAGGGACACCTAGGATGATTCTGTCTTCACTATTGTTAATAGTGCAGTGATCAACACCTGAGTTCATGTGTCTTTTTGGTATAATGATCTATTTTATTTTGGGCGTATACCAGTAATCCCAGTACTGGGATTGCTGGGTTGAATGGTAGTTTGTTTTAAGGTCATTGAGAAATCTCCAAACTGCTTTCCACAGTGCTGGAACTAATTTACATTGTCACCAAATGTGTATGTGTTCTCTTTTCTTTGCAGCCTCACCAGCAGCATCGGTTGTTTTGTAACTTTTTGATAATAAACATTCTGACTGGTGTGAGATGTTATCTCTTTGTGGTTTCAATCTGCATTTCTGGGATGATTAGTGATGATGTACATTTTTCAAATATTTGTTAGCTGCTTGTATGTCTTCTTTTGAAATGTGCCTGTTCATGCTCTTTGTACATTTTTTAATGGAGTTATTTGGTTTTGGCTTTTTGATTTGTTAAAGTTCCTTATAGATTTTGGATATTAGACCTTTGTTGGATGCATAGTTCATTAATACTTTCTCCCATTCTGTAGGTTGTCTGGTTCTTTTTTTTTTTTTTTTTTTTGAGACTAAGTGTCACTCACTCTGTCGCACAGTCCGAAGAGTAGTGGCACAATCTCGGGTCACTGTAACCTCCACCTGCCGGGTTCAAGCAATTCTCCTGCCTCAGCCCCCTGAGTAGCTGGGGTTACAGGTGCCTGCCATTATGCCCTGCTAATTTTTGTATTTTTAGTAGAGATGTGGTTTTACCATGTTGGTCAGGCTGGTCTTGAACTCCTGACCTTGAGTGATCTGCCCACCTCGGCCTTCCAAAGTGCTGGGATTACAGGCGTGAGCCACTGTGCCAGGCATAGATTGTCTGTTTATTCTGTTGATACAGTTTATTTTGCTGTGCAGAACTTAAATCTTTAATTTATTTTAGTAATATTTAGGTTATTTGTAATGTGATTACTTATATTATTTAGGTTATTTGTAATGTGATTACTTATAAGTTAGCTTAAAATTTATCAACTTGCTATTATTTTCTGTTTGTTCCATCTGTTCTTGTCTCATCCTTTTCCTCTGCCTCTGCCATTTTTTGATTGAGTGATGCTTTTAATTAACTTCTGTCTTCCAGAATGCTCATTAGCTATAACTCTGGTTTTTTATGTTAGTGTTTGTTTTAGTGTTCATAGTGCACATCTTTAATTTATTAATCTTTTCCTTCTTACTGTGATGATCTACTACATTCCTAAAATAAAACTTCAAAATTTTATTCAGTTACTCTACTCCTAGCCCTTGCATTATTTTTGTCATATAATATTTAAATATATTACCTTTATTTACATCTTGGAGTGTTTAGTTAACATTTTAAATAGAGTAATTAGACTCAATGTAAGAAATGGGCCTACATAAGCATCAAATAATATGTCATATTAAGGACACTATATTGTTACTATGTTTAATTAAAGTCAATTGTCCTCTAAAGGTATTTAATAATAAGAAAAGTCTTATATATTTAATTATGTTTTTACCATTTCTGATATTCTTCCTTCCATTAGGTATATCTGAATACCCAGCTGGTATCATTTTGCTTCTGTGGCAGGCAGTCCTCAAGATTGTCCCATGATCCCCAATTCTTGGTATCTACAACATACATATTTTCCTCTTACATAGTACTCCAGCTATATGATGAATCCTGAGCCAGTGCAATGCAGAGAACCTACTCATAAATTCTTCACAATATGAAGCTTTGTGAATTAATAAATATTTATTGCTTTAAATTGCTAAGCACTGTATGGATTGTTATGCCACAGTATATAGATAATAAAGATTTTGATAACTGGAAGTAAAGTGTTGTGATCTAGGAGTGGCTTTGAAATGACAGTAGGTATTAGTGAGGGTCTAAAATGACTTGAAGAGAGTGACATAAATGTTATTTTAAAAATCTGGGCAGAGATAGGCATCTAGTTTCATTTTTCTGCATATGGTTAACCAGTTTTCCCAGTACCATTTACTGAAGAGACTGTCCTTTTCCCAATGTATGTTCTTGGTGCTGTTGGTGAAATTAGTTGGTTTATTAAAAAAAAAGAATGCATGTTTTGGTTCTCTATTCTGTCTTATTGTTTATGTGTCTGTTTTTATTCTAATATTATCTGTTTTGGTTAGAATAGCTTTGTACTATATTTTGAAGTCAGGTAACGTGATGCCTCCAGCTTTATTCTTTTTGCTCAGGATTCCTTTGTCTATTCAGAATCTTTTGTGGTTCCATATAAATTTCAGGATTGTTTTATCTATTACTGTGAAGAACATCATTGGTATTTGGAGATGGATTTCATTGAATCTGTAGATTGTTTAGGGTAGTTTTGGCATTTTCACAATATTAATTCTTCCGATCAATGAGCATGGAATATCTTTCCATTTTTTGTGTCCTTTCTAATTTTTTTCATCAGTGTTGGGAAAAATAGATAACCATACGCAGAAAAGTAAAACTACACTTCTATCTCACATCATATACAAAAAGCAAATCAGAATTAACCAAAGATTTAAATCTAAGACCTGAAACTATAAAACTAGTAGAAGAAAACATTGGGAAAATGCTCAAGGACATTGGTCTGGGCAACGATCTTTTGAGTAAGATATCAAAAGCATAGGCAACAAAAGCAAAAATAGACAAATGAGATCACATCAAGCTGAAAGGATTTTACAGACCAAAGGAAACAATCAACAAAGTGAAGAGACAACGCACAGAACTGGAGAAAACATTTGCAATTTATGCATCTGACAAGGGATTAATAACCAGAATAGACAAGAAACTCAAACAACTCAATAGCAATATTGTAGGATCCTTGGGGTGTTGCTTTTCTGGCCAGAAACCTCTGTGGCCAGCAGTGCCTTTGCCTGAGTTTCGCTCAGGCCCACTGGGCTTGTTCAGCCCACTCAGCCTGGCAGGCTGCGCTCGGATCACGATACAGGCCTGGATTCCATGCCTGCCAAGGGCAAGCCAGGTGTGGAGTGGCGAGGGATATGTGAGCCAGCGAGTGTGGGGTCTGCCCACTGAGCACAGTCAGACATGCTGGCTGCCACAGCGGGGAGGGCAGCTCCAAGTACCGGCATGGGCACCAGTTCTCTGTGAGGCTGCGGCTGGACCTGGCGCACTGCAAACAGCTTCCACAGCTGCCACCGGGAAACGCAGTGGTGCCCGGAAGCTTAGAGATTCCAGGAACTGCAAGGCCCCAAAGAAGGAGTCACATCCCTGGCTTGGGGAGCTCCCAGGTCTGGGGGTCCCCAAAGGATTACAGCTCTTCTCTCCTTCTCTTCACCCACAATGTGACAATAAAGGGTGTGTTTAGCCCTGTTTGTGTCACAGCTCTTATAGCCATGCCATTCAGCCAGTCCCAAGTCCTTGTCCTGCATGCAGGAAGAATGAGGTATGTGGACAGGTGGAGGGCAAGCAAGGTGAAGAGGAGCTTTATTAAGTGACAGAATAGCTCCTTTCTGTAGGCAGGTCTTCACATGGAGTGTTCAGTTCTCAGCAGACAGGAGGCCCTGGAGCCTGGTATCTCCTCCGTGCAGCTGATCATCCCAACGTCTGCTCAGCTTTGGCTGAGCCCAGGCTTTTATAAGTCTCAGAGGGCAGGAAGTGCACACTGATTCGTCCATGAGTGGCCATGGGTGGGCCCCAAAAAGGCACCACAAGTCCCCACTCCTGTTTGTGGGACTGGCAGCCTGGCCCCCAGCATTCAGGCCCTCCCTGGTCTGAAGGTAGAGCCTCACCAGGGACCCGTCCCCTTCCACCCAAAACCCTGTCTGCCTCCTGCTGCCACTCATGGTGTCCAGGCTGTAGGTGCCAAGGGGCACCTGCAGGCCAGTGGAGAGCTGCCCTCAGCCCCCCATTAGCTTCCATCCTGTGCTCAGTGGCACCCAAAGTCTGGAGGGAGCTGCGGTGGCAGGGGGCTGGAATGTCAGCACTGCCCCAAGCATGTGCACACCTGTCCAGGCTGTGACAGCACCCAGGCTTGGCCCCAACTTTGTTCTGAGATCAGAGTGGGCACTGACAGCAGGGAGAAGCCAGGCAGTGGGAGCAAACATTTCCAGGCCTTCAAGAGTCGGGGGGACTTTGCTAGACCCCCAAGAGTGCGGGGATGCCTGGGTCCACAGCTGCAGTTTGGGTGGCTCCAGCTGTGGTGGGGGCGGGGCGCGGACATCAGAGCTCCTTCCTGCTCCTTGGCGTAGGAGGCCCAGGTCTGCAGGTTAGGCAGCGGCAACTGGCCCTGGAGAGCAGGGCTCCCGCCTTCTCCTGGTCCCCTCAAGTGTACAGGGAGGTCCAGGAGGGTGGGGCTCCTGCCAGCTCCATGGAGCAGGAAGCCTGGGTTCATAGCCATGATTTGGGCAGTTGTTGCAGCACCCGGAGACTTCCTGCCCCACCAACACAGGAGAAGTGGGACTCTCATTTGTCCCCAGCTCCTGGCTCCACGGATGTGCAGCAGTGTGCAGCCCCAGTCGTGCCTCCCTGCTGCAGCCAGCGTGGTGGCAGCAGCTGCTCTAATTGGGCCTCTGCTGCCATCAGCAATAAACCCAAATAATCTGATTAAAAATAGGCAAAGTATCTGAATAGACATTTTTCAAAAGAAGACACACAACTAAGCATATGAAAAAATATTCAACAGGCCGGGGCACAGTGGCGCACACCTGTAATCCCAGCACTTTGGGAGGCCGAGGAGGGTGGATCACCTGAGGCCTGAAGTTTGAGACCAGCCTGGCCAATGTGGTGAAAACCCGTCTCTACTAAAAATACAAAAAAATTAGTCAGACGTGGTGGCGGGTGCCTGTAATCCCAGCTTCTCGCGAGACTGAGGCAGGAGAATCACTTTAACCCAGGAGGCGGAGGTTTCAGTGAGCCAAGATCGCGCCATTGCACTCCAGCGTGGGCAACAAGAGTTGGCAACTCCATCTCAAAAAAAAAAAAAAAAAAAAAGTTAAACATCACTAATCATCAGAGAAATGCAAATCAAAACCACAATGGAATATCATCTCACTGAAGGTGAAATGACTAGTAAAAAAGGGAATAACTGATGCTGAAAGGGATGTGGAGAAGGGGGAACCCTTGTACACTGTCCGTGCCAATGTAAATTAGTACAGCCACTATGGAGGTCCTCAAAAAACTAAACCTAGAACTACAACATGCTCCAGCAATCCCACTACTGTGTATATATATACAGGAATAGAAATCAGTATATTGAAGAGTTTTATGGAATCCCATGTTTACTGCAGCATTATTCACAGTAGTCAAAATATAGAATCAACCTAAAGTGCCCATCAATGGATGAATGAAGAAAGAAAATGTGATATATATGCACAGTGGAATATTATTCAGCCATGGAAAAGAATGAAATTCTATCATTTGTAGCAACATAGAGGGAACTGGAAGGCACTATATACTAAGTGAGTTAATCCAGTCACAGAAAGACAAATATCGTATATTCTCACTCATATTTAGGAGCTAAGAAAGTGAATACATGAAAGTAGAAAGTACATTGGTGGTTACCACCTAGCATAAAGAAAAGATAATAGTTCAAGGTGATAGATATTGTAATTACCCTGATTTGATCATTACACTTAATATAAACATGTCAAATTATCCCATGTAGCCCAAAATATGTACATATGTTAAATAAATACTGGGGGGGTTCCTGTGATGTAGTGGCAGAAAATTAAGCAAGACTGTCATTAGCAGTTACGTGGAAGTTAGAATTGCCTTGATAAACTGGATTTATAAGCTAGGGAGAATTCCAAACAGATTATCAAAAAAGCTAGTTAATTACTTCCTATTTCTTATTGTGAGATATGAGAAACAAACAAGCTGAAGAAATAATTTTTCAAATCCCCCCACATATTTGACAGTTTTAAAAATCCTTAGCCTTTTTTAGGTGTCAAAAGGTGCAAAATTAATGAATGGCTTCTGATCAAAGATCAAATCCAGGGCACTGCAGTTAGAAAATAGTGGCACCTAAGGTGTGATTGTAAAAATCTTTTGTTCAAATCTCATAAACATCCACATTGGTACCTCATAATGCTATACGGTTAGAAAAGGCTCTACAAAAATATTAAGGGTGTGTTTCACATATTCTCTCAATCCATTATTATGGCTTCTAGGAAGATGACAGTGTTGTTCCCAGGCAGAGGCCCATTTAAAGTTAAGAATGTCTTACTTTGAAAAGACTTGTTGGTGTGACTTTTGTTTTTTATTATTATTTTTTGAGATGAAGTCTTCCTATGCTGCCTAGGCTGGAGTGCAGTGGTGTGATCTCGCCTCATTGTAACCTCCGCCTCCCGGATTGAAGTGATTCTCCTGCCTCAGCCTACTGAGTAGCTGGGATTACAGGCATGTGCCACCACACCTGGCTAATTTTTGTACTTTTAGTAGAGATGGGATTTTGCCATGTTGGCCAGGCTGGTCTTAAACTCCTGCCTAGGAGTTTAATAGTAATACTCCTGCCTAGGCCTCCCAAACTGCTAGGATTACAGACATTAGCCACCACACCTGGCCTGTTGGTGTGAATTTTGTTGAACTGAGTGAACACAGTAAGATTCACAGAAGATTTACAAATATTTTAAAATAATCATATATGAAGAAATATTGCCAATGTGAACTGAAAGGGGCACAGACCAGACACAATAGAAAGAAGCCTTTGCATTCCTCTCCCAACCTGTTCTGCTTTTGAGAAGCAGGCTGAGAAAATTATTCTGCTGCAAACGTGTCCTAACTTTCAAGGAAAAGAAGAATGAGAAGGTAGAACCTGGAGCCCAGATGGTAGAGCTGAGAGTCATGGAGAATTTTTTTTTTTTTTTTTTGAGATGGAATCTCACTCCGTTGACCAGTCTGGAGTGCAGTGGTGCAATCTTGACTTACTGCAACCTCTGCCTCCCAGGTTCAAGTAATTCTCCTGCCTCAGCCTCCTGAGTAGCTGGAATTACAGGAGTGCACCCACCACTCCTGGCTAATTTTTGTATTTTTAGTAGAGACGGGGTTTCACCATGTTGGTCAGGCTGGTCTCAAATTCCTGATCTCGTGATCTGCCAGCCTCGGCCTCCCAAAGTGCTGGGATTATAGGCATGAGCCAATGTGACCATCCTGCCATGGAGAATTTTCTCAGGCATTGAGAGCTAATCAAGGAACTTCCAACATTTACCTGGCAGGATTTCAGAATTGACATGAATGAGGGCTTGCTTTTGCCTTTTATTTTATCCCTTTTTGAATGTGAGGATCTATAGTGGATTTTCTATGCATATCCCATGATTATATTTTGTGTGGGTGAGGGTTGAATAAATTGTTAAATGTCATAGGTTATGAGAAACGTATAGCTGAGGAGCTGTACTAAATAAAACAAACCCAAGGAGCAAAATCCAGACTTAGACATAATTCAGAAGACAAGATTCTGTATTTTGAGGTGATGTTTTAATGAGATGAGATTTTGTAGGCCTTGAGAAAGTATGCATATATTTTGTGTGTTGGAGTTACATTAATCCTTGGGGGCCAAAGGGCGGACTGTGGTAGTTAACCTTAAGGTGGTATACTATGCACTATAGTGCGTAGTATCCTACTGCACTATACCAGGGTTTGTATGTGAGACTAACATACAGTCTAAATGATGGACGACACTTCCAAGGTGAGGTTATAAAAGATTATAGACTTCATAATGACCACTGGATCTCTCTCTCTGTTTCTGATCACTTGTTCTGTGGTAACTCAGTCAACATATCATTAGGACACTGATACACCCTTTAGAGAAACCCATTATGACAAGGAATGGAAACCTCTGGCCAGTAGCCACTAGGGATTGAAGTTTGCTAGCAATCAATCGCATGACCATGTTAGCAGATTCTCAAGCCCCAACTGAGTGTTAAAATAACCAAAACCGGCCATGCACGGTGGCTCATTCCTGTAATCTCAGCACTTTGGGAGGCCGAGGCAGGTGGATCACAAGGTCAGGGGATGGAGACCATCCTGGATAACACGGTGAAATCCCGTCTCTAATAAAAAATAGAAAAAAATAGCCAGGTGTGGTGGCAGGAGCCTGTAGTCCCAGGTACTCGGGAGGCTGAGGCAGGAGAATGGAGTGAACCCAGGAGGCGGAGCTTGCAGTGAGCCAAGAGCGTGCCACTGCACTCCAGTCTGGGCAACAGAGTGAAACTCCGTCACAAAAAAATAAAAAATAAAAATAAAAAATAAAATAAAATAAAATAATAACCAAAACCCCAGCACGACTAAATATCTGTGTAAGTCTTTGTCCCAGAGGCCCCAGCTAACCCATTCTTGGACTCTAAAATCTCAGAAAGTTTGTAAGATAATAAATCCTTATGGTTTTAAGATGCTATGTTTTGGGGTAATGATTTATACATGAATAGACATGCAATACATCATCTACCTGAGGAAATTCCTTTAATATTTCTTGTAGTGCAGTTGTGCTGGTGATGAATATTTTCTGTTTTTATATTTATAAAAAAACTTCATTAACATTTTGAAAGATATTATTAATAAATATAGATTTCTTGGTTAACACCCTTTTTTCCTTTCTGTATTTTAAAGATGGCTTCTTTTTCTGCATTGTTTTTAATAAGAAGTGTCCTATTATTCCTGCCTTTGTTCCTCTACATTTAATGTACTTCTATCTCTGACTGCTCTATTTTTTTACTTTTAAACACCAAGTTTGAAGAATTTGATTATTATGATAGGTAACTTCTAAGATGACCCCAACATTCTTTACTTTCTGGTATTTAAGTGCTTGTGTAATTCCCTATACTTAAATTTGTGGGTTGGACTTGGCTTAAAATCAAATAAATATCAAAAATGTAATGGGATATCACTTTTATGATTAGGTTACATAAGATGGTGACTTCTATCTTGCTTACAGAATCGCTCTTTTGTTGGCTTTGATGAAACAAGTTGCTATGTTAGAGAGTCCCATCTGGCAAGGAACTGAAGATGTCCTCCAGTCAACAGACAGCAAGGAATTAAGCCTTTTACATCAACAATCCTTGAAGAAATGAATCCTGCAAACAACACCTACGTGGGCTTGGATCTGGATCCTTCCCCAGTCAGTTCTTCAGATGAGACTGAAGCACCAGTTGGTATTTTAATTGAAGCCTTGTGCGACACCCTGAAGCAAAAAACCCACATAAGAAACCAACAGAAACTGAAATAATAGATGTGTGTTGCTTTGAGCAACAAAGTTTTAGGGTAATTTGTTATGGAAAAATAAATATTATAATGTGCATGAATAAACTTTTGTTATTCAAACTAACCATTATAATCATTGTCTATAATGTAGTCTTAAATGGGAGAGGCCTTTGAATTGACTTACTTTGAATAATCTTTTGCTGACATATGTTTTCCATGCTGGCAGAATTAATACTTAATGTATAGTAATTCCTTTACTTGTAATAGTCATACACATTTCCAAATGACATGCATTTATTGGAATATTTTGAATCAATAAAGTTAATATGAAGAATATTTGGGTTTAACTACTTGATTGCTCTATTTGAAAAAGTTATTACAATTTAATGAATCTCGTATATTTGCATAGGATTTTCAATTCAGATTTCTTTGTAAAAAAATATTGTAAATGAAGTAATCCTCTGACAAATAAATGTGGATTTTGTCTGAAAGCAGATCAAATAAATGTGTTTGGTTATATGAACCCCTAAGAACAATTCCAAGCATCTTTGGAGGATGTGGCTCATTTCTATATAAACATATAAATATGTAGCTATATAAGAACATACCATGCACACTAATCTCAGATGTATAAAAAGTAGTTAAGAATCTTTAAAGTATACTGGGTACTATACAGCAAAAAAACCTTTTAAAGTGTTTCAGAATGTAACTTTTTCATGTTGGGCTGTGGAAATTAAAAGCTGTTTTAGAAATGTCTTTGATAACAAGAGTAGTTCCCAAGGTTTGTCTATCAGAAACAGCTGATATTAAGATATTTACATGGTAATTTTTCCTAACTTTAGTCATCTGTCATTTTTTAGTTATGATAATCTTACAGGCCTACTCTGAATCACAATTAGTCTTTATTAACATGGCCTAGGCTGATCTATATTCCAACAACTAATTGTCTTTGTATATAAATATAGGTATACATAGATATATACATATACAGATATAGATACATGGCTCTATATCCTCAATTCCTACTACATTGAAGTATTTATTTACATTTCCCATTGGGGAGTCTGGATTAATAAATCCTCTCTTGACTGGAGTTAGTGGCCAAACTCAATTCCTACTACATTGAAGTAATCATTTACCTTTCCCATTGGGGAGTCTGGATTTATTCCTCTCTTGACTGGAGTTAGTGGCCAAACTGGGGCTCATTTACCATCTTTCGCTTGAGCAAATTTCTAATCAGCTTATTTTGGCAATAAGCAAATTCTGCACCTGAAGTCTGGAAATCAAACTCCAATTTAAGATAACTGCCAAATCATAGTAATAATTGAAGTAACTGAAAAACTGCAATCTAAAAGCTAGCATAGTATACCAAAAGTGTATTACCTCAGCCTGTGAGGCAATCTGCTCATGAACACTTTGGGTTACATCCTGAAACCATTTTTTATTTTGAGTTCTCACTCATTTTGAGCCACAAGTTTCTTAGAAATTATGGGGAAGATAATGAGATTGTAATGTGAGGATATATTTGAAGATTATTCAAATTTTTTAAAAAAATCTATTGCTTATTAAAAGTCAGCAGAAGGTACTTTAAAAAAAAAGACCCTTATAGTTTTAAAAAGATATTATTATAGAAATATTTTGAAAGTATTTCTTTTTCTCAGAATTTCTTTTATATAAGAAATCTAGTAGTAATCTCTTATATAAGGGCATTTATGACTCAAATATTTTACAAGACTTCTTTGACGTTCTAGGTTATGATTTATCCAGAAAGAAATCCAGCCCATGCTTGATCTGCTGAGTGGTGTGTTCTTCAGTGTTCATATCAAATAGTTGGGCTTGGCTGGGCGCTGTGGCTCACGCCTGTAATCCTAGCACTTTGGGAGGCCAAGGTGGGTGGATCACGAGGTCAGGAGATCGAGACCATCCTGGCTAACATGGTGAAACCCCGTGTTTACTAAAAATACAAAAAGTTAGCCGGGTTTTGTGGCGGGCACCTGTAGTCCCAGCTACTCGGGAGGCTGAGGCAGGAGAATGGCGTGAACCCGGGAGGCGGAGCTTGCAGTGAGTCGAGATAGCACCACTGCATTGGGCGACAGAGCGAGACTCAATCTAAAAAAAAAAAAAAGAAAAAAAATAGGTGGGCTTTAGCCAGGGCTTTGTCAAATACTAATGAAAAAGGCGACCTGCAAGTTAACCTCCAGGCCCAATAGGAATCTGGGCAGTTGGATTTTAGTTCTTATTCAGGACAATCAGGAAGGAGGAGAAAAAACTAAAAATATTAGTTTCGAGGGATGTAGTTACATATTGAAGAAACCAGACAAAATTGAAAATTTGGTACGGATTGACAACTGGGGGAAAGGTAACAAGATCTAGTCTAATATGTAACTTCGTACCAAAGCTTCCTCCCCTCCAGAATGGAGTGTAGTAAATGATGCATAGTTTCATATTGAAACATGAAGTTTCTCTCTACAGTCACAATTCCACATTTAAATGAAAATAATCTAAAAGAAATTACATTTAAAAATTGTATACATGGTGTGCAACAGGATGTATCATATATATATAAATAGTAAAATGATTACTACAGCTAAGTAAATGAACATATCTATCACCTTCCATAGTTACTATTTTTGTGCTAACAAAACCTAAAATCTACTCTCTTAGCAAATTTTTAATATACTATACTTTGCTATTAACTGTAGTAGCCACACTGTATATTTGATATATGGACTTATTCGTCCTACATAACTGCAAGTTTGTACCCTTTGACCGACTTCCCTATATTACCTCCCCATCCCTGCACCTGGTAACCTATGTTGTACTCTCCATTATATGTTCTACTTTTTAAACAAAACCACGTATAATTGATATCATGTGGTATTTTTTTCTATGTCTATTACCCTAGGTGTAATTCTGATTACAAAATGATGCTAGTCTTATCAGATTTTGGCTTGATTATTTACATAGGTGTAGCAATAATGGTAACTCACCAGACTGGGGAATGACTTTTTTAGTAACTTGTATGGTTTTAAACACATAGGTCTAGGAACACTGTAAACCAAATATCTGACCAGGTTTCCCAAAAGGACCTTGTGAAAATTGGCTCCATTAAGCAAAGATTGATTGCATAAAAATGTCTATTTATACCTTATTAAATAAGCATTATTCTCAGGTATGATATTTCAGGTGAGACCTTGGTTACATGTCTAATATTTATAATCAAATACTGGTAACAAGGAGGACAGATTCTTACTGAACCTATGTAATAAAACTTAAAAGTCACCAAGTTCTAGAGGGCTCAGGCAGGGAGAAAAATATAGAATTTGCAAATGTTTAATTTCTGTTTATAATAACATAAATTGCTAAATTTTTATAATTTATAGGTAGTTTAAGGGAAAAGAGAAACAACTCGTTTATTTTTCTGGAAATTATAAGTTTACCAGAATGGTCTCAAGGTTGTATAAGTGAAGTCAACTTACAGATTATTCATAGAAGACTGCACCCAAAAGTATATGGCACAGTCCTGTTTTGGGGGGTTCCAAGATAGTCCTTACTTCTTTTAAAAACAAAACACTCAGGCCAGTAGTTGAATGCAAGGGCCTTTAGGGAAGAATCAGAGGTAAATAGTAGCATACATTAAGAATTATTTATTGCTAAACACATCTGAGAATGTTTGTCAATAAATGCACTAATCTTGACTGAACTCCTTATATGCCAGAATATGGATAGGTTGACTATTAGCTTCTCTAGGCTTGCCTAGGCTAAGACATTTCAGACTATGTAATGGGTGATGCTAGACATATGGAATATAGCCAAGGCACTCAATCATCCTATTGATGGTGGAAGATGCAAAGCCATGTGGGTGATAAAAGATGAGGGTGCAGGAATGGACGAAGCATTAATGCAATCAGTCTATCACAAAGAAAACCAAGTAATTTATTACAGGTAGAGCAAGTAATAATATCTTTATCATTAAATTAGTACACTGAGTACAATTTATTTTTTTCTTGAATTGCATGGGAGATGTGAAATTTTTCATAGTTTTACCCATACTTATTTATCAACTATTTGCAGGTTACCTAAAGCTCTTCAATGTGTTTTGGCCGACAATCAGTAATATATATCCTCAAATAACACACAATTTTTATGGGTTCTTAATGATTAAAATGCATGGTAACCTGTTCATTAGTGTCATAACAATACTACATGAATTCAGAGAAGGAAGCAATCCACGCTAACTACTGGGGGATGGATAATGTACAGTGCTTCGTTGCAGGTAACATGTTAGCTGAAGCTTGACAGATAAATAGGATTTCAATAGGTAGAAATGACAGGGTTTAGCTATTGCAGAAAAAAATAGTGTAAATAAATGAAGGCAATAAACTATAGGACATGCCTTGGAGAAAATCAATGACTATATGAAACTACACATGTAGGTGAAAGAGTTGGATTAGATCTGCACTAACTTCATATAAACCCTAAAATTTTCTTTTTATGGGTCTATCATTTTTACATGTCTGGTGTATTTTTCTCATAAATTTTGAGGATGAAAGAAAACACAGTCTAGTTTTTTAAAAGCTCTAACTGTTAAAATCCCTGAAAATTTTTGAGTTTACAGTGTTTGTTTTATTCCTTTAGTTGACCTTTATATTTAAAATGTCAAACGTAGCATATACCATATCTGCATGATTATTTTAAAAGATTGCATGACCCAAAATTTGGATTGCTAAGAAAGACTTTATTGTTAACATTCAAACTGTGTCCAGAGTTGGTTCCTGCCAGTGGGTTTGGGGTCTCACTGACTTCAAGAATGAAGCTGCGTACCTTTGCAATGAATGTTACAGCTCTTAAAGGTGGGACAGACCCAAAGGTGGAGCAACAGCAAGGTTTATTGTGAAGAGTGAAAGAACAAAGCTTCCACAGCATGGAAGGGGACCCAAGTGGGTTGCCGCTGCTGGCTGGGGTGGCCAGCTTTTATTTCCTTATTTGTCCCCTCCCATGTTCCATTTCTATCCTATCAGAATACCCTTTTCTCAATCCTCCCCGAGATTGGCTACTTTTAGAATCTTACTGATTGGTGCACTTTTGAGAGTGCTGTTTGGTGCATTTTACAGAGCACTGATTGGTGCATTTTACAGAGTGCTGATTGGTGCGTTTTACAAACTCTTGTAAGACAGGAAAGCTCCCCAAGTCCCCACTCGACCCAGGAAGTCCAGCTGGCTTCACCTCTCAATCCCCCCTCTAAACAGGACACTCCAACAGCTGCTGGGAATTGGGCAATGACCACTCTAGCTACTTCCTGCTGGATAGGTGCAAAGAAGGGGCCCTGCAGTTATAGTGTCCTCCAGAGGGGAATTCTCTAGGCTACTTGAAGGGCCAGTGGGTCCATCCAGGGGTCCTCGGTAGCAGTTGTGAGTTGAGCTCATTTGGGGTTCCATTTGTAAAACCATGTGTAGCTTGATGGCCTCGTTCCTGGAGGAAACAAATTTGACAAGGAGGTTAAAAATACAGGGCCTGAAGGTGAGTAATAGCAAGATGGCTGTCACAGGACCTAGAAAGGGGAGAAGCCATGTCACTGAGCTCCAGAGGTTGATATATGACTTTGAGAGCTGTTGTCTAGTTTCAGAAGGCTTTTCCTGTAAATGCTGGGTGGCATTTCGTATTATCCCTGACTGGTTAGTGTAAAAACAACACTCTTTCCCTAAGAAGGTGCAAAGTCCTCCTTTCTCAGCAGTGAGGAGGTCTAGGCCTCAGCAGTTTTGGAGAGTCACTGCTGCCAAAGAGTCTATTTGGGATTGTGGAGTAAGGATAGATTTTATTATTTCTTGCAACCTGTCTGAGAAATCCTTTGAGAATGTGTGGTAGTAGGATAATGAAGTAGATAAACTGGCTATTCCAGTTCTTGCAGCAGTGGCCATTCCTAACCCTGTAAGTAGGGGTATTAGTTTTATGGCCCTGTGCTGACAGACTTGAGCTTTGAGGGGCACTGATAGAGTCTGATTTCCTGGGGCAATGTCAATGTTGGGACTTAGGAAGACTAAGGTGCAGGTGCCTGTCCATTTGCTAGGGAGGCAGATACAGGATGAAGTTCCATATAAGAAGAATATGCCTTGGCTGGGTAGACAGAACTGGTTGTGTATGTTAAAAACATGTGTGAGTTTGTTGTTTTCATTTTCCCATACTCCTAGAGTACTTGCCAATGTAGCTCCGGTGAGTGGCTGGAAATGGGTGTTGGGAGTAAACTGAGTGGCTCCCTGTGTTCTATTTTCCCACTGGAGAAAAAACTGTTTTGTATCTACTAAGAACCATTCAAGAGAGTAATTGAAAGAGGGGATGGAAAGGCATTCACTAGTGGTGGGGGTGCTGCTGCAGGGGTTCCAGGGGTGAATGGTCATGCAGGGCTTATGTTTGCCATTACAAAGCCTGGGACTGTTTGTTAAGCAGGGAAGAGCTGATGATTTTTGGGGGCCCTGAGAAGTGGACAAGCAGTCTGAATGGAGCTGTTTGGGTGACTCAGAAGTTACTATGATCAATGGGGATTGAAATTGTAGGGAGTAATTACACTGATGGGATAGTAGGTGTCCAAGAGGAAGGCCTGATAACAGGTTGCATTGGATGCATAACAGGGCTTGGAAAGTTAAGATGGTATTCGTGGTTACAGGCTATGTATGCGCTTTTCATTGCTCATATAATAGGTGAGGTTAGAAATGTAAGAGCGTAAAAGCTGGATTGCTCATCCTGTTAAGGTATTTTTGGTTCTATCAGAGATGGGGAAGTCAGCTAATGATTGCATATTTAGAAGTTGGAAAGGGTCTTTTCCTTCATAATGGGAGTGGTAGGTTAAGTTAGCAAAGAAATCCCCTTGACTTAGGCGTATGGGTGAAGTCTAACTGCCAGTCCTCTCTGGGATAGTGCCCTATTCTTTGTTCTCCCAGAGGGAACTTATGATGGATCAAAGCATTATTCCTTTGGCATACCTCACAGGCTTTGACTACTTGCCGGATGGTCCAAAGGAGATGTGGCCCTGTAAATAGGGCTTTGGCCATTTGTTGAGTGTTCTCAATACCCATATGAAAAGTTTGGTGGAGGGTCTTAAGTATTTTCCACTGGTTGGCTTCATGTATGAGTACCTTTCCCTCTTCTGTTGTTAACTACCCCAAGGGAAGAAAACTATGCCCCTGTGAAAGTCTCCATTCTGTTTCAGCTGGGGAATACTGAGGCTTAATCTCTTGGAGAGGGTTGTTCCATACCAAGAATCCTTCCATAGGTATTTCTAATGGGAAGTTCCTCCTGGCAGCAATTTTTACCTCAGCATCTGCCCGATGGTTTCCTTCTACCTTTTCTCCTTCACCTTTGTGATGGCTTTGGCAGTGTAAGACTGCTACCTCCTTGGGTTTTCGCACTGTATACAATAACTCAATTATTTCCTTGTGGTATTTAATGGGGGTTCCCCTGGAGGTTAGAAACTCCCTTTCTTTCCATATTACAGCATGGACATGTAGGATTAGATAAGCATACTTGCTATCTGTATACAAATTTATTCTTTTTTCCATTCCAAGTTCTAAGGCTCGGGTAAGCGCCACTAGATCTACTAACTGGGCACTGGCCCCTGGGGGAAGAGACTTACTTTGAAGTGCTGTTACATCACTAACTATGCCATAACCTGCTCTTTGTATCCCATTCTCCACAAATGAACTTCCACTGGTACATAGGTTAAGGTCAGGATTAGCTAAGAGGACTTCTAAGAGATCCTCTCAGGCAGCATAAGTCTGGGCTATAATTTGTTGGCAGTCATGCTCAATTGGTTCGCCATCCTCTGGGAGAAAAGTGGCAAGGTTGAGATCCACACCCATGCATATTTGAAGCACCAGTCCCTCAAGGAGTAGCGCTTGGTATCTAAGCAGGTGGTTGTCTGATAGCCATAAACTTCCTTTGGCACCTACTATGCCATTTACATCATGAGTAGTCCAGACAGTGAGATCTTTTCCTTGTGTTTTTTGATAGCTTCTGAAACTAAGATGGCCACTGCTGCAACTACCCATAAACAGTGAGGCCAACCTTTTGCTACTACATCAATTTCCTTACTTAGGTATGCCACTGGTTGTGGGGTTGTCCCACGAGTCTGAGTAAGGACTCCAAGAGCTATTCTTCCTCTCTCTGTGACTTATAAAGAGGAGTTTTGTCCTGTGGGAAGGCTGAAGGCTGGAGCTTGTACTAGGGACTGCTTTAAGGTTTTGAAGGCTGTTTCTGCCTCTGGTTCCCATTCTACTAGATGAGTATTTGCCCTCTGGTCTCCTCGATTAGCGTATAGAGTGGCCTGGCCATCTCGCTCTATCTGGGGATCCATAGTTTGGAAAAGCCGGTGATCCCAAGCAATGCCCACAATTGTTTTAATGTCTTAGGGGGAGGATAAACCAGTATAGGCTGAATTTGTTCTTTGCTGAGGGCTCTAGTTCCTCTGGCTAAGATTAGGTCTAGATATTTGACTTGTTGTAGGCAGAGGTAGGCCTTCAATTTAGATGTCTTGTATCCTTGATTAGCTAGAAAGTTCAAGAGATCTAGAGTAGCCTGCTGGCATGAGGCTTCCGAACTGGTAGCCAAAAGCAAATCATCCACATCCTGAAGGACCAGAGTGCCTGGACTTGAGAAGTGGCCTAGATCTTGGGCCAGTGCCTCACCAAACAGATGAGGACTATCCCTAAACGCTTGAGGCAAGACCATCCATGTAAGTTGGGACATGTGGTCTGTGGGATCCTCAAAAGCGAAGAGAAACTGGGAGTCAGAGTGCAGGGGAATGCAGAAGGAAGCATCCTTGAGGTCCAGAACAGTGAACCATTCTGCTTCCTCTGGTATTTCAGAGAGCAGGGTATAGGGGTTGGGTACAGCTGGATATAGAGGAATTACTGCCTCATCGATGAGTCTAAGATCTTGCACTAGTCTCCACTGACCATTCGGTTTTTGTACTTCTAGAACTGGGGTGTTGCAGGGACTGTTGCATTTTCTTACTAAGCCTTGAGCTTTTAAATGTCTTGTTTTTTGTTTTTTTTTGTGTGTGTTTTTTTTTTTTTTTTGGTTTTTGGTTTGTTGTTTTTTTTTTTTGAGACAGAGTTTCACGCTGTTGCCCAGGCCAGAGTGCAATGGTGCAATCTCTGCTCGCTGCAAACTCCGCCTCCCAGGTTCACACCATTCTCCTGCCTCAGCCTTCTGAGTAGCTGGGATTACAGGCGCCTGCCACCGCACCTGGCTAATTTTTTGTATTTTTAGTAGAGACAGGGTTTCACTGTGTTAACCAGGATGGTCTCGATCTCCTGACCTCGTGATCCACCCACCTTGGCCTGCCAAAGTGCTGGGATTACAGGTGTGAGCCACCACGCCGAGCTGAGCTTTTAAATGTCTAACAATATTCTGTAATCTTTTATGAGCTTCAGGCCTTAAACAATATTGCCTTTGATAAGGAAAAGTGGTGGGGTCTTTTAGCCTGATTTAAACTGGGTAGGCATTTTTTGCCCTTCCGAATTGTCCTTCCAATGCCAAGACTTCAGGGTTGATTCTCTCCTCAAGTGGGGGACAAAAAATGTGTAACTTGTCCCCGGTATTCATGTAGATAATAGCTCCAGCTTTGGCTAATATGTCCCTCCCTAATAAGGGTGTGGGACTTTCAGACATAACAAGAAAGGCATGTGAAAAGAGCAAAGTCTCCCAATTACAACTGAGCAGGTGGGAGAAATACCTGGTTACAGGCTGTCCCAGGATTCCTTAGATGGTAACGGACATTGAGGACAGCTGTCTGGGGCAGGAGATTAACACAGAGAAGGTCGCGCCAGTGTTCAGGAGGAAGTCAATTTCCTGGCGCTCAATGGTTAAACTTACCTGGGGCTCAGTGAGGGTGAGAACATGAGTTGGCACTTGCCACAGACACCCTCAGTCCTGTTGTTGGATCATCTGATTGGAGGCTTCTGGCCCAGAGAACCTTTGTCCTCTGGAGCAGTGCATCTTCCAGTGATTGCCTTAGCATAGTGGACTTGAACGAGGGGGCGGCTTGTTTCTTGTTGGACAATCTTTTTTAAAGTGTCCTTGCAAACCACACTGATAACAAGCCCTACTGGGAGATTGGTCTGCTCCATTTTCTGTTGTCTCTGAACCACCAAGGTTTGTTTTTCTGAGGGCCATGACTAAGGCTGTGGCCTTTCTCTGATCTCACTTTTCCTTTTGGACCTGTTCCTCTTGGTCCCTATTACAGAACACTGAGGTTGCCAGATTTAATAATGCCTACAGATTTTGTTCAGGGCCCAGGGCTCGCTTTTGGAGCTTTCTCCTAATATTTGCAGCTGATTGGGTAATAAACTTATCTTTGAGGATCAATTGACCCTGGAGGGAGTCAGGTGACAGGGGAATACACTTTCTTAAGGCCTCCCATAACCGCTCAAGGAAGGCGAAAGGATTTTCTCCCTTTCCCTGACTTATGGTGGATATCATTGAATAATTCATGGGCTTTTTCCTAATTCTTCTTAGTCCTTCTAGAACACAGATCAAAAGATGTTTGCCACTCCAGTCCCCATGATCTGAGTTGAGGTCCCAGTTGGGATCCACACTGGGGATGGCTTGCTGACCAGTTGGGAATTTGTCCCTTTCTTTGGCTGTCATTCTATCATTTACTTCACTAACATACCAGGTATCTCCAAACTCTTCGGCTGCAGCTAAAGCCGCATTCTTTCAGTATTGGGCAAAATTCAGCCCTGATATTTCATGTAGGTTCTTTTCTATTTTCCCTGAGGGTTGGCTGGTCTGAGAAATAAAGGGACAGAGTACAAAAGAGAAAAATTTTAAAGCCGGGTGTCCAGGGGAGACATCACATGTCGACAGGTTCCATAATACACCACAAGCCACAAAACTAGCAAGTTCTTATTAGTGATTTTATAAAGGGGAGGGAGTGTATGAATAGGGTGTGGGTCACAGAGATCACATGCTTCACAAGGTAATAGAATATCACAAGGCAAATGGAGGCAGGGTAAGATCACAGGACCACAGGACTGGGGCAAAATTAAAATTGCTAATGAAGTTTCAGGCACACATTGTCATTGAAAACATCTTATCAGGAGACAGGGTTTGAGAGCAGACAACCGGTCTGACCAAATTTATTAGGTGGGAATTTCCTCATCCTAATAAGCCTGGGAGTGCTACAGGAGACTGGGGCTTATTTCATCTCTACAGCTGTGACCATAAAAGACGGCCACCCCTGAAGCTGCCATTTCAGAGGCCTACCCTCAGGGACACATTCTCTTTCTCAGCAATGTTCCTTGCTGAGAAAAAGAATTCAGCGATATTTCTCCCATTTGCTTTTGAAAGAAGAGAAATATGTCTCTGTTCCACCCAGCTCACTGGCAGTCAGAGTTTAAAGTTATCTCTCGTGTTCCCTGAATGTGCTGTTATCCTGTTCTTTTTTCAAGGTGCCCAGTTTTCATATTGTTCAAATACACTTGCTCTACAAACAATTTGTGCAGTTAATGCAATCATCACAGGGTCCTGAGGCGACATACATCCTCCTCAGCTTACGAAGATGACAGATTTAAGAGATTAAAGTAACGACAGGCATAGGAAATTGCAAGGGTATTGATTTGGGAAGTGATAAGTGTCCATGAAATCTTCACAATTTATGTTCAGAGATTGCAGTAAAGACAGGTGTAAGAAATTATAAAAGTATTAATTTGGGTAAATAATAAAAGTCCAAGAAATCTTCACAATCCATGTTCTTTTGCCATGGCTTCAGCTGGTCCCTCCATTCAGGATCCCTGACTTCCTACAACATTTCAGTAAAGGCCAGGGTTTGATCTAAGAGTAGCATGACATCTATCCAGGTGAGGTCCAAGGTTTGCCCTAGACCCTGTAGGACATCTATATACCTATCAGAATCATCTGAAAACTTCTCCAGGTCTACCTTGATCTGTTTTAAATCAGAGAAGGAGAAGGGGACATATATGCAGGTTGGGCCAAAATACCCTCCACCTACAGCTTAAAGGGGACATAACCAATAGCCTGGGGGTTTTTATGGTCCCTTGGATATTTCTTTGCTTGTTTCCTTCTGGGTTGGGGAGATTAGAGGAGTCTTATCATTAATAGGAAGGGGAGCTGTAGGAAGGCTAGGATCTGGAGTGTAAGCTGAGAGGTCCTCCTGTGGAATGTAAATTGCAAGCTTTGCATACTTGTGGATTATCCTCCAATGAAAAGAAAGCTTGGACATAAGGTATTTCATTCCATTTGCCTTCCCTCTTACGGAAAAGTCAAGATGCAGGATAGTATTGTAATTTATACTTCCCTCAGGTGGCCATTTTTCCCCTTCAGAGAGAGAATATTGGGGCCAGGCTATAATGCAGAAAAAAATGAGCCACTTCTTTTGCAGGGTTTGTGGGTCAAATTGGTCCCAATGGCTTAGGATGCATTTCAAGGGTGAGCCTGCTGATGCCTGAGTGTTTCCCACCTGAAAGAAAAAACTGCCCATTTTTTCCCACCTGCCAAGAACCTACAACAGTCCCTGGACCCTGTGTTCAGAATAGTTGCACTCACTGAAGCAGCAGCGGAAACACTAGTTTTCCTCCTAGACCACAAACGGGACCAAGGAAGGTTGGATTTAGTGGCCCTTACTGAAGCATTCTTGAAACCTGTTAGTTAGAGTCCTAAGCATTTTCTCCTGTGGGTATTGGGACCTTACCCTTGTCCTATAAAGTTATGCCTCAAAATGGAGTCGAGGGCCATACCCTGAGGGAGGGAAGGGATCTCCAGGGTTGGAAGAGTGACAACTTTTGTCCTCACTTCTCATCATATGAATAGGAAGGATATAATTTCTGAGGCTCCCCATATCCTAGCTTCGGGAATAGCCTTTGTTAGGCCTGCTAGTCTGAGGATGGATCCTAAAATTCCTGATAATGCCCCCCCAAATGGGAGTTCAGGCAAAAATTATGTCTTTCTGATTGGTGAGCCCAGGTGCCTAAAGAAGGGAACAGAGTCCCAAAATTTATATTAGAAATCTTCCTTATAGGAGAAACTAGAAGACCACCAGGGACAAGGAGTGGTTTTTAGAAGTGGGACTAGCCTTGGAGAAGAGAGGTGGGAGGGTTTGTCTGACAGCATTAGGAACCAGGAAGCAAGGGTCAGGATAGATAGGATAGATGGGCGAGTCTCTCATGGATGACATAACTTTGAGAGTTCTGCTCATGGCTGCGGGGTCAACCAAATTTTTACTGGGACCCCAGAGCTGAATGACTTTCTTCTGTCGACCCTCGGCTCAGCCCGGAAGTGCAGGAAAAGCAGAAGCTGGTTCCAGGCAAACCAACGCTCCTGACTCTGAAGAGTCAGCAATTGTTAGAGAGCCATTTCCCAGAAAGCCTGACACCCATGTCTTTATTCCAGCGGCCATGCTAGCCACTTTTAACTTGCCAACAGGTGACCAGTGTTTAGCCCCCAAATTCTAAGGAAAAATAGGACAGAATAGCAAGTGAAAGGGGTCCAGTGATACTCATCATGTGGTGCTATCCCAGATAAACCCCCAAGTTGTGTCCGGAGTTGGTTCCTGCCTGTGGGTTCGTGATCTTGCTGACTTCAAGAATGAAGCTGCAGACCTTTGTGGTGAGTGTTACAGCTCTTAAGGGTGGCACGGACCCAAAGAGTGAGCAGCAGCAACGTTTACTGTGAAGAGCAAAAGAACAAAGCTTCCACAGCATGGAAGGGAACCCAAGTGGGTTGCTGCTGCTGGCTGGGGTGGCCAGTTTTTATTCCCTTATTTGTCCCCTCCCATGTTCTGTTTCTGTCCTATCAGAATGCCCTTTTCTCAATCCTCCCCATGATTGGCTACTTTTAAAATCCTGCTGATAGGTGCATTTTACAGAGCACTGATTGGTGCATTTTACAGAGCGCTGATTGGTGCGTTTTACAAACCTCTTGTAAGACAGGAAAGATCCTGATTGGTGAATTTTGCAAGCCTCTTGTAAGACAGGAAAGTTCCCAAAGTCCCCACTCGACCCAGGAAGTCCAGTTGGCTTCACCTCTCAAAATCATTTCCTCTAAAATTGTGAGCACTGAAAAGTCAACAAATAGATAATAAAGTGTGGAAAATATAGCTTAACTTTTTGTCAAAGGAGTTGAAAACTTTGGGTTGGTATATAAGAATTGACCATGCCAGTAAACTTTCTGAGGACCCCTCCAAAAGTACGAGTGAGATGCAAATTAAAAGTATGAGCACTTTAGAATCAAAGCTTATTTTTCTTGGACTACTGACATAAATATGCCAAAATATGCCCTTCAACAATATGTATTAAAGACAATGGATATCGGCCGGGCTGTGATTATTCTTACACCAATAGCTTGAAATGCAACTCTCTTAAAGTTATAAAACTCTTTCAAGGCCTCAGTCTTATTTTGATGGCCTATTTTCATGTTTGTTGTTGTTATTTTATTTGAGTTTGTTTATTTATTTTCAGAATCAAAGCAAATAAACATCTTGACCAAGTCCTGACAGATCTGTGAAATTTTTAAGAAGTCTCAAAATTGATGTTGAAAAATATTACAATGTAGGACATGCCTGGCTTCCCATTCACCTTCTGCCATGATTGTAAGCTTCCAGAAGTCTCCATAGCCATGCAAAACTATAAGTCATTTAAAATTCTTTCCTTTATAAATTACCTCGTCTCAGTTATTCTTTATAGCAGTGTGAAAACAGACTAATAAAAAACCAAAGTAAAAATTTTAAAATGAGATAATGTCAAGCCAAAACACTTCTACACAGCAAAGAAAAATCAATATATTGAAAAGAAATCTGAATGGGCAAAAATATTTGAAAGCTATCAACTTAACAAGGGATTAATAAACAGAATATATAAAGAACTCAACTCAATAGCAAAAAAGCAAATAATCCGTTAAAAACGAGGAAGTGATTTGAATAGACATTTGTTTTAAAAGATACAAATGGCCAAGAGATATATGAAAAAATACTCAACAGCATTAATTGTCAGGGAAATGTAAATAAAAACCACAATGAGTTCTCATCTTACCCCAGGTAAAATAAATATTATCAAAAAGACAGAAAATAACAAATTCTGATAAGGACTTGGGGAAAGGCAAACCCTAGGGGAACACTTACATATGGTCCCTGAGAGTATAATTAGTGTAGGAACTATGGAAAACAGTATAGTGTTTCCTTAATAAACTGAAAGTAGAATTACCATATGATCTAGCAATCCCACCACTGGGTAAATGTCAAAAAGAGATGAAACAAGTATATTAAAGACATATCTGCCCTCCCATATTTATTGTATAACTATTGAAAAAGCCAAGATATGCAATCAACCTCAGTGTCCATCAAGACATGAATGTCTAAAGAAAATGTGGTAAATATATACAAAGGAGTATCATTTAGGCATAAAGAAGAATGAAATCCTTTCTTTTGTCTCATCATGTATGGAATTGGAAAACATTATGTTAATTGAAATAAGCCAGCACAGAAGGACAAATATTGCATGGTCCCATGCACATGTGAGAGCTAAAAACATGATCCCATGGATATAGTAAATATAATGGTGGTTACCAAAGATGGAAAAGGTGGTGGGGTGGAGAATTGCAGAGGAGTTTGTTAATCAATAAAAAAAAATTTATATAGAAGAAATAAGTCCTGGTATTCAATAGCACTACAGGGCATTGATATATTTTGGATGTATGTCACCTCCAAATCTCATGTCGAAATCTAATCCTTAGTGTGGGAGATGGGTCCTGGAAGGAGGTGTTTGGGTCATGGGAGCAGATCCCTGGTGAATAGCTTGGCACTATCTTCATGATAATGAATGAGTTCTGGCTCTGAAGTCATGTGAGATCTGTTTTTTAAAAAGAATGTGGCACCTCCCCACCCCTTGCTCCTGTTCTTGCCATATAATGTGCCTGCTCCCCTTTTGCCCTCCACCATAAAAGGAAGCTTCCTGAGGCCCTCAACAGCAGCAGATACTGGCATCATGTGTCCCATACAGCCTACGGAATAGTGAGTCAATTAAATACCTTTTCTTTATAAATCACTCAGGTATTTCTTTATAACAATACAAAAATGACCTATCACAGAAAATTGGTTCTGAGGAGTAGGGCCTCACTATAAAAAGCTGAAAGTGTGAAAGTGGCTTTGGAACTGAGTAACAGGCCAGAGGTTAGAAAAGTTTGGAAGGCTTGGAAGAAGACTCAATAGTCGGGGAAAGTTTGGAACGTGAACGTTTTGGCGACTGGTTAAATAGTTGTGGCCAAAATGTTGATAGAAATATGGCTAGTAAAGGCCAGGCTGATGATGTCTCAAATGAAAATGAGCAACTTGTTGGGAACTGGATTAAAGTTCATTCTTGTTACACCCTAGCAAGGAGCTTGGCTACATTTTACACATGTCCTAGAGATCTGTGGAAGGTTGAACTAAAGAGTAATGACTTACAATATCAGGCAGAATAAATTGCTTGGAAGCAAAACTTTCAAGAAGTGCTGTTACTGCTTCTAACACCCTACAATCAGATATAGGAGCAAAGAAATGACTTCAAATTGGAACTTATATTTAAAAGAGAATTAGACCATAAGAGTTTAAAAATTTTGCAGCCTAGTCATGTGGCAAAGAAAGGTAAAGCATTTTCAGGAGAGAATAAAGTGGGCTGTCCAGCAACAACTTGCTAAAGAGATTTTCATGACTAAAAGGGAGCCAAGTGTTAATAAATATTGTCCCATTTAAACAATGGGGAAAAGTCCTCAAAGGCATTTCAGAGTTCTTCGAGGAAGCCTCCCCCATCTCAGGTCCAGATGCCTAGGACAAAATAATGGGTCCAGGGGCCAGGCCTGGGCCCTGTTGCCCAGCTAAGCTTTAAGACACTGCTCCCTGTGTCTACCACTGCTCCACCTCTAGCCATGACTCAAAAGGCTCCATTTGCAGTTTGGATGCTGCACCACAGGGTGCAAACCATAAGCCTTGGTGGCTTCCATGTGATATTGAGTCTACAGATGCTCAGAATAGAAGCATGAAGGAAGTGTGGTGGCTTCCACTTAGACTTCAGACGACATGTAGAAAAGCCTGGATGCCTAGGCAGAAGCCTACCATGGAAATGAAGGCCCCAGAGAGGAACTTTCCTAGGGCAATGACAAGGGGAAATGTGGAGTTGGAGACCCCACATAGAGTCTCCATGAGAGCAATACCTAATGGAGCTATGGGATGGAGACCACTGCCCTCCAGACCACAGAATGGTATTTCCACGTGGCAGATTGCACCCTTTGCCTGGAAAAACCACAAGCACTCAACTCCTACTTGTGAGAGCAGCTATAAGGGCTGTACCCTGCAATGCCACAGGGGCAGGTTTCCAAGGCCTTGGGAGCCCCACCCATTGGACCAGTGTGACCTGAATATAGGACATGGAGTCAAATGAATTTGTTTTGGAGCTTTAAGATTTAATGACTTCCCTGCTGAATTTCAGACTTGTATGTGGTCTGTTGCGCCTTTCTTTTGGCTTATTTCTTCCTTTTGGATTGGGAATGTATACCCGAGGCATGTACCATCATTGAATGTTGGGAATAAATAACTTGTTTTTCATCTTTCAGGCTCAGAGGTGGAAGGAATGTGACTTGCAACTCAGATAAGACTCTGGACTTTGGGGAACTTGAGTGGATGCTGAAACGAGTTGAGATTTTTGGGGACTATTGGGAAGGGATGATTGTATTTTGCAATATGAAAAGGGCGTGAGATTTCAGGGGCCAGGGGCAGAATGATAGGGTTTGAATGTTTGTTTCCTCCAAATCTCATGTTAAAATATAACTCCCACTGTTGCAGATGGGGGCTGGGTCTTGGGGGCAGATCCCTCATGAATAGCTTGGTGCTGTCCTTGTGGTAATCAGTGAGTCTCGCTCCGAGTTAACGTGAGATCTGATTATTTAAGAGTGTGGCACTTCTCCCCTCTCTCTTTTGCTCCCATTCTTATGTGATGCACTTGCTCCATCTTCGCATTCTGCCATGATTAGTAGCTTCCTGAGGCCCTCAGCAGCAGCAGAAGCCAGCATTATGCTTTGTGTGCAGCCTGTGGTACCATGAGCCAAATAAAACTCTTTTCTTTATAAATTACTCAATCTCAGATATTTCTTTATAGCAATGCAAGAAGGGCCCAAAACAGGTGACTATAGTTAACAATAATGTATTATATATTACAAAATAGGTAAAAGAGATTTAGAATGTTACTAACAGAAAGAAATAATACATTTTTGAGGTGATGAATATCACAATAACCCAGATTTGATCATTATACATTTTATGCTTGTATCAAAATATCATATGTACCCCATAAATATGTTCAATAACTATATATCCATAAACATTAAAAATAAAAATAGAAAATGAGAAAAAAATATCCAGTTTGTAAATAAACTACATTCTACAAAGATTCACCTTAATGCCTGTTTTGCTTCAAGCACCCACATTGTCCACAGTTACACAAAATAGAAAAAAATAAGGCATTCAGTTTGAAATATAAAAATATTAAACAGGCCGGGGGCAGTGGCTAACACCTGTAATCCCAGCACTTTGGGGGGCCAAGGTGGGCGAATCACCTGAGGTCAGGAGTTTGAGACCAGCCTGGCCAACATGGTGAAACCCTGTCTCTACTAAAAATACAAAAATTAGCGGGGCATGGTGGCATGCACCTATAATCCCAACTACTTGGGAGGCTGAGGCAGGAGACTCACTTGAACCCAGGAGGCGGAGGTTGAAGTGAGCTGAGATCTCACCACTGAACTCCAGCCTGACTGCATTCCAGCCTGGGCAACAAGAGCAAAACTCCATCTCAAAATAAATAAATAAATAAATTTATGATGGGTTTTGAATAATGTTACCTACAGATGATTTTATATTTCAAATGATATTGAAATATAGGGATTTAAGCACTGTTAAACAGTATTCTTCATGTAAGTACATAACATTTATTATGTTAAGATGTATTGAGAGTCTATAAGATGCAATATGTTAGCAGAACTATTTTACTTTCTTGTGAGTGCTGTATTACATCTAGCAGAAAAATAATATATTATTAATGACATTTTGTAAAAGTAGACCTTTGTGAATGTCTGATTTATCTCCACTATATTCATATTTTTAATCTTGCAAGATAATTCTCTTTGATGGTATTATTGGAGGTAAACACTAGCAAAACATATTCTAGAAGAGGAACAGAAAACCCATAAAAATAGGCACATCACTATAATTAAACCTTGACTGCTGAAATGTTAACAGACATTTTAAGGAAGCAATGATAGGGATTTTAAAAAATGTACTAACCCAACCCATACTTGTATTAATTATTTTTCAAATTTCTTCCTTTATTTAAAAGATGTGATAGTGGAAGGGATAAAGTCTCTGCTCTCTACTCTTTCCAATTCTTGAAGGCTATAGAATATATGGAGGATCTAATATCTTACAAGGAAAAACAGGATTTAAAAATCAGTCCTTAATTTATTAGGAATATTTTCGTCAAGAGCAATGTCTCAGATTGTGGGGTTTTTGACCCCCAGGGGATTTTTGCAATGTCTGGTGAGGTTTTTTATTGTTTGTTACAACTGGAGAGGGGGAGCTGCTGGTAATCTTCCATACATTATCTAGTGGGAAGAGGATAGAGATATGGCTAAAAATCCTATAATTTGCAGAACAGTTCTTATGACAAAGAATTATCCAGCCCAAAATGTCAATGTTGAGAAACATTGATCTACAGTTAAAATTTCAATCAACATAACGCATAAAAGACAATATGCTCGAATTCAACTACAATTACATATTTATGGTCAGATTAGTTACAATCTTGATTGTAACTAGGGTAGTGGTATTAGGATTATCTTAGATTATACGTGTTGCCACATGGTAATACATGAGGCCAGGTAATATTTATAGAATAGAGGTTTATTTAGCTCATGATTCAGCGTGCTGTTCAAGAAGCATGACATCAGCATCTGCATCTGGTGAGGCCTTCAATCTGCTTCCACTCAAGGCAGAAAGTGAAGTGGAGCCAGCATGTGCAGAGATCACATGGTAGGAGAGGAAACAAGGGATATGAGAGGGAGGTGTCAGGCTCTTTTTGACAACCACCTCTCAAGGGAACTAACAGAATGAGGGCTCACTCACCACCCCCTTCCTCATGGAAGGCATCACTCTATTCATGAGGAATCTGCCCCCAAAACCCAAACACCTTCCATTAGGCCCCACATCCAACATTGGAGATCAAATTTTAACATAGAATTTAGATGACAAATATCCACACTACAGCAATGATATAGGAAATAAGGCATCAAGATGATCTGATGCTCTTGATCCCTGGAATCTTATAAATGTCATAAGAAAAAGCTTGTAAAATGCCCATTTAAGACTTCAAAATAATTTTAACCAATGAAATTGTGTGTAATTCTTCACCGATAAGAAATATCTACTATAGAGAACAAAGCATGTTTTTTAGCTTGATGCTATGAAACAATTGAATTATACATATGTCCTCCCAATGAGAAAGACCCTATGAGCCTGAGGTTATATTCATTTTTATTTAATCTGTTCTGCCACAATGTGTGCACATAATGCAGTATATATAAATCATAAATAAAGAAAGATATCGGTATATAATGCACTTGTGTTACTTTGTATGTGATTTTACTTCCTATACTGGGTAAGTCAGGATGGTGGGACAAGGGGAAAAACACAAACCTAAGCTTGGCTGCTGGCACTGACAGTAGGAGTTCTTACAACTGTGTTTAGGAAAATGAAAACCAAGCATCAGATCTTGCAACTCCCTACCCGGATTAGATTATCAGTCTCTCACATCCTGGCTTACAACTCTCTCCATCCTAATGGCACACTCACAGACGAATACTTTTTATTCCATCTGTGTGGTCTCAATATCTACCAGCACTGTAGTAATGACAGCTATGTAAACATTTTCATTCTATTGTTTTTGTTCAATTTAAATATTCATTATGACAATCTCTGCCCAAGCTGAATTGCCAGCTCAGACAGCTCAAGTTAGCACCTATGGTACAAACTAATGTTCTTGTTAGTGCTATGAAAATTTTTTAGAAATGCTTGTATTGGATTATGGCTGAAATGAGTTTATTGCCAAAAAGCAATTCTGATTGTATGCATCAGTTTTCTTAGTGCAATTAAATTAAGACAAGTTTGGAGAAGTGGATACATTCCATGTATTCTAATTAAATTATGTTTTGAGTCTGCTAGTTTTAGATGTACTTTCTTGACTGTGGTAAAATTATCAAGAAACTAATACCCTGTCAACCTTCTGGAAGCCAGCCAATGGGATTTAATCTGGTGATGTACATCTTTGTTATCCCATAAATCCTAGCACAAACATGCAAACACATTTGAACTCATGGGGATTGTATGCTTTTCAAAGGAAATAATAAATATCATTTCATAAATATGTCATATTTCTTTATATTGGCCAGTATATTTTATTATCTTACTGAGAAGAAATTTTTTACAGATTTAGGTATCATGAAATCACAGTTTTACTTAACATTGGTATAAATATCATATTAATTTTAAGTCATGAACAATGTGTATAAACTGTTGGCACTAAGGTAAACTTCATAATCTAAAAGTGAAAAGAAATGGGCACAGAAATAGAGGAAAACATGTAGGGAAATTAAGTTTACTAAAATAACTAATTTTTATTTCACCTTAAAATAAAAATACCCTTAGCACTTATCATTCCAGTGCTTCTGTTAATTTTAGCCCCATCCATATTGGCAAATATAATATTACCTGATAAAAATAATCTTAGTAGGTTATTTTTCAACCATATGTTATCAAACGAGCCTGTTGCAACATTAGATCTCCATTGCAGTACATGATACTATGGCTGTTGATATTTCTGTTGGAAGAAATGCAGTATGACAGCATTTCAGTGCTTCTTTGAAGAAGTGTTCATTGGCTATATTCTGGGGTTTTATCTTTTTCTGTTGAGGCAGAGCATTAAGGATTTAATCATTACAGTTAATTTTTTTTCAAGATCTTACTGTTTTTGAGTCAAAGTTATAGAGAAAAATAAAACACTATGTTAAATGAATTTGTTAGCCATTTTTATGCATTGAAAATCATTTTTTCTCCACAAATTTGAGCCAAGACTGAAAATCATTCACTATACATCTATCAATTTAATCATACAGTCAATCCTTCCTTCTTTTGGAGGCTATTGAGAATTATGAATGTTACTTATCAAAGAAACATTATTTTTTTTGAGTGGCACAATCTTGGCTCACTGAAACTTCTGCCTTCCAGGTTCAAGTGATTCTCCTGTCTCAGCCTCTAGTAGCTGGTAATAGAGGTGTGCACGACCATGCCTGGCTAATTTTTTATATTTTTAGGAGAGATGGGGTTTCACCATGTTGGCCAGGCTTGTGGCAAACTCCTGACATCAAGCGATCTGCCCGCCTTGGGCTCCCAAAGCGCTGGAGTTACAGGCATGAACCACCATGCCCAGCTGAGAAACAATTTTCTAGACTTGATTTTATTTCACATAAATCTTTAAATTTGTCAAGAGAAAACAAACTATGTGTTAATTGTTTGATTCACATTTGTTTTACCTTGAGATTCATAATTACTCTTAAATTGTGGAAATTAAGAATTGTGGAATCTCTGATAATGTCAGATCTTATAACTTAAAAACACAATACCAGAAAGTAGAAGTAAAACCATCTTTTAGTGATTAAAGAAGAAAATTGACTTTTTAAGCAATGAAAAAGTGAATTGATAGTTTTGCAAAGTCAGTATTGTGTTTAATATACAAGTAAAAACAAGTTAAATTGCTTATAGTATGTTAACATGCACTTAGAAGAAATATAATAGATGTTGCATTTCTAAGGTAGAAAATAATTCAGCCATGGAAAATATGCTCATACATGTATGTGTATTAATAATATTGTTTCTGTGTTATTGTATATTTTGAATATCACCTCTGTCTGGAAATAGCTGTATTCCATGTTTTACAGATTGCTATGCTCAGGAATTTACTTCTAAAGTCAGAGTCAGCCATACTAAAACAATAAATTTAAAGGGTTACAATTAGATACTGGAATGAAAGTAAATCACCCTGGTCCAAAATATGTATATGTGAACCCCAAATATCTGAGAGAAGTTTCAGTCAATTTAGAAAGTTCATTTTGCCAAGGTTAAGAATGTGCTCATGACACAGCCTCAGGAAGTTCTGAGATATATGCCTAAAGTGGGTGGGGTACAGTTTGCTCTTATACATTTTAGGGAGACATGAAACATGAGACATCAATCAATATGTGTAAAATAAACATAGGTTCAATCTGGTAAGGCATGACAATTCAAAAGCAATGGCTTCTGGGTTAGAAGAAGAGACAAAATGTTGCATTCTTTTAAGTCTTTGATCAGCCTCCCACTGAATATACAATTTAGTCTGGCTCAATGAATCTGCATTTTTACATAAACAATAGGGGAGTGGAAGCAATACGATATTATTTTGTCTCAGGAGAGACTCAGAGGAATGTCTTTGAATAGAATGGGAGGTACTATTATATTCAGTCCCCAGCTTGACTTTTCCCATTAGCGTAGTGATTTGGGGGTACTAAGTTTTATTTTCCTTTCACATTTCCCCCCTTTTCTTTTTAAAATCTTTCAGACAAAGCATTGTAGAAGAAAATTAGTCACCTTGTAGAAGAAAATTAGTCACCTTATAGAAGAAAATTAGTCACAAATTAGTCTCAGGTTTCATCTAATCTCTCATGGCTAGGGTGATTTATTCCTAGATGGGTAGGTCCCACATTATGAGGAAAGCTCATTTTCAGCTGATTGTGAAGTCTCATGTTCTATGAAGAGAAAATAGGGGCAGGAAAGAAGAAAACAACAACAAATGAAAAAAAAGAACAATCCTGGAAAATCAATGTAGGCTGTATTATGCTGAAGTCCACACACACAACAGTAGGCAGGTATCGATGTGGCTTATGTATGTAAATAGGTTGCTGTTATTTCCTTCCGAAGTTTAAGATGTCTAGCTTCAGTTTGCAAGGCTTTAAGAAAGCACAGATTAGTTTTCAGTGATTTCAAATTAGGAAAAATGAATGAAAAAGGGAAAAGAAAGAAGGAAAAAAATTCAAACATTATTTTGGAGACTTGTAGCCAAGAAAAATGTTAGAATTCAGTCCAATTTGTAGAGAATAATAAAAATTGAAAAACATTAGGCAAGACTAGAAACTAATAACAGATGTACTATAGCTTATTTTGAAATGCAATTTTTCTCTCTCCAGTCTCCCATTTTTATTAAAAACAAATCATAATAGGACTGATTTGTTTGCAAAAATAGCTTTTGTCTTATATGTGGCCTGATTATTTGTGTAAAGTGCAGCAAGAGTAATTATTTTTTACATAGTCTTTTAAAATTGGCTTTGATGGAACTTTGTTCCATAAGGAATCTCAGATAAGACTTTTTTTTTTTTAATCCAAACACAGCCATAGGTTTGTATCCTCAAATACCTATGAGTAAATTTCTCTCCTTTTGAGGTCTTGAGAAAACTTGGGGCATGTTAGAAAGTGACATTCATAGAGGATTTTTCTTGGCCCCTTTGTGGGCCTCACAGAAGGAGACACTCTGTCTATTCAGTCCAGTGGGCTGTGCCTGAGGGCAAGCCTCCCTTGTGGATTTGGCAGCTGCCACAACTGTGCACTCAGGCCCTAGTGGGAGGGAGCATGTGAATGAATGAGTGTGGGGTCCAGCTGGCTGCTATGAGTGCCAACGCAGGAGAAGGTTCCATGTGGGCCCTGCAGCCTGACCAGGCATGTTGCCCCAAGGGGAATGTGGTGGCACCCATGCAGGGGTTCCCTTGACCATAAAACACAAGAGCAGGTGCTACAGTGTGTTAATTAGCTCTTTTAGTTCTGCTGTCCAGAGTCTGACACATGGCAGCATGTTAGCAAATCATTCAGCCCCTTGCCTTGCTCTGGCCCATGACTCCAGGACTGGCTCAGCCCCACTGCTGCTTCTGTTGTATGGGGCAGCTGCCTCCACTAGCAAGGGCAGAGGGCCACAGTGTTACAGCCTTTCTAGGTACCTGTTTTCAGTGGGTCCTGAGCTCATATCATGTGCCCAAGAAGAATGAGGTCATGCTGACAATTGGAGGGTGATGACGGTGGATAATTTTACTAAGTGACAAAACAGCTTTCAGCAGAGAGGGAATGGGGAGGTGGTCTCTCACCTGAAGTCACATCATCCCCCCCATTGTTGCTGAGTCTGGAGTTTTTATAGGCATGGGATGGGGGAGGGGCAGGCCATACATAGTACTGGATAAGGCAACATTTGATTGGTTAAAAGCATTATTCAGAAAGAACCAATCAGGAAAGGTTGGGCAAACAGCAATAGACGTTCTCACTGTGGGTCATGGGTTTCGTCCAGAACAAGCACTCCAGGGTGTTTTTGGCTTGAAAGTGGGGTTTCACCAGGGACCGCATCATCTGCCTAGTCATTTGACTGCCTCCAGTCACTATCAATATTCTTTACTTATTATAGGTCAGAAGCCCTATACAGGGACTGTGCAGACAAGCTATAAGGCCAGTTTTCCCAAGGAGCTCTTATTGGCTAAGTCAAGCTTGATTCCTTAAAGGAGAGCATGCCATTTAAGTCAAAGCCTTGGTAAAACAATCAGTTTCTCCAATTGTGTCCTGTTGCAAAAGAAAACATTCTTATTGCACTTATGCAAATAATTACATTGCCATAAGTTAAGAACACTCACAAATATTTTCCAAATTCTGGAGAAATTAGATGGAGAGAAATGTGCTCCAAATTTTGTTCACAGGAGTATACTTTACTCAATTGTTAAAAGCTGTAAATAGCTTAAAAATTTTCTTCACTGAAAAACAAAACAAAGGATCAGCAACATTTTAAGCAAAAGGTCAAAAAGATTAGTTCAGTCTTCTAGCAGTTCAGTCCATGCAGTTAACTCTGCATTCAAGAGCACCTATCAAATTCTATAGCTGATTGTAAACCACCTTTTGAAGAGGATCAAAACAAGAGGGCTGTCTGTGAATGACAAAAAGTCTTGGGACGGACATTATTAAAACCACAATTGACTGGAAATTTGTTGCTTTCGTGACATACAACAATTTTACATAACAATTATAATTATTAACAATATACATTGTAGTATCAGAATTATAGGAATTTTGCATAATTTTAGAATACATACAAATAACATTTATACAAATACAGCCTAAAGAAAATCAAACACCATTTTATATTTGACCATGTTTTGTGTATGATTTTTGTACCAAATAAGCTGAATATGTCTCTTTTGGACTTCAGGGGATGAATATAAAAAAAAATCAATGAGGACCCAAGTTATAATTTGACTTTGGAAAGTTTGTCAAATACAAAAATTTAAAATGCTTGATATCATGAAAAATTGTCATTGTAAAATTAGTCATTCATTTAATCAAAGTGATAACTGGAAGACTTAAAAAAAGTGAAAATCTTTATTCATTGAGAGAGGAGACTTAATTTTCCAAACAATAAGCCTTAACTACAGCACAAGGCCAATTAAATCTGTCTTTCAAAATCTTATAAACAATCTTTAAAATTTTAATCATTTTGATCATAAGATATAATTTCCTTAAACCTTCTTGTATCCTTTATAATTTTTATTAAGGAGTGAGTTAATTCTCCAGGAAAATCTTGTTAATGCGACACAGGGGTCCAGATGCTGGTTTTGCATCTGTGTGCCTTTGATATTAATGGTTAATTTCTAGGGAAAGTGAACCAATTTTATCTCTTAAAATCGGCCCTTATGATCTCATGTGCCCATCTCTTCTGCGATAGTCACTGGGCCTCGAGGAGCTGAATAGTTTTTTATCTCTGGCCCTATGTCTCAGGAACACAGTTTATTTTGATTTGCGTAAGCTACTGGGCCCGAAGATGAGGGTTTAATTTAAGCTCTCTGTGTTTAAGATTTAGCAGGACTTGGTGTCCCTTTTAGACCCTGGAGTCAAAGCCCTGCAATGCAATGTCACAAGAAATTTAAAAGAACATATAGGAAGGTACACAGATGTAATATCTTTAATTAAATAAAATTTTTAAACTTTTTTTCTAAGTAAACCAAAACTCAATAATAATGACATAGGAATTATTTTGATAAAAGATACAATCTGTTAGGCCAGTTACCAACAGGCAAAATAAAAGACCTTCTGCAGTGCACAGAATATTATGTTGGAAGAAAACATTTCCTTTAGACCTTTAAGGAAACATTTTTAACATTAGGCCACAACAAACAGTTAGAACCCAAGGAAAAAAAACTTAAATGAGCTGAAAATGAATTGAAGGAGAGAGTTAATATTTTGTGACTTTTAAAAGGGAAGAGAAAAGTGAGCACTGTGAGATGCAATAGAAGTTGTACTTAGGGTTAAAAAAAGATCAAAACCTCTTATAATTTATTAAGAGTAAATCAATCCCTTAAGAAAACTTCACTGTTCTAACCAATTCCTAAGTGTATAAGTGTTTTGTTTTGTTTTGTTTTTAACATCAAAACTCAATCTCTAGAAAGACTAGTATAAATAATTTCCCTTCCATTATGGACAACTTGATACAAATAACTCATAACATGCTTGGACTTCCAGTTTTAACTTAGACATTCTTCTTTCTTAGTCAACCATTATTTTATTTTAGGATAAAAATTTACCAGCCGGGTGTGATGGCTCATGCCTGTAATCCCAGCAATTTTGGAGGTCAAGGTGGGTGGATCTTCTGAGGTCAGGAGGTCAAGACTAAACTGGCCAACATGGCAAAACCCTGTCTCTACTAAAAATACACAAATTAGCTGGGCATTGTGGTGGGTACCTGTAATTCTAGCTACTGGGGAGGCTAAGGCAGGAGAATTGCTTGAAGTTGAGAGGTGGAAGTTGCAGTGAGCCAAGTCACACCACTGCTCTCCAGCCTGGGTGACAGAGCAAGACTCTGTCTCAAAAAATAAAATAAAATAAAATAAAATAAAAGGCTGTGAGTGATGCCTCAGACCTGTAATCCCAGCACTTTGGAAGCCCTAGGCGGGTGGATCACGAGGTCAGCAGATCGAGACTGTTCTGGCTAACACGGTGAAACTCCAGCTCTACTAAAAATACAAAAAAATTAGCTGGATGTGGTGGCAGGCGCCTGTAGTCCCAGCTACTCGGGAGGCTGAGGTAGGAGAATGGCGTGAACCCGGGAGGCTGGGGGTGCAGTGAGCCGAGATTGCACCATTACACTCCAGCCTGGGTGACAGAGCAAGACTCTGTCTCAAAAAAATTAATTGCCTTGCAAGATTCTTTCTCATATAAAATTATTTTCTTTTTAAACTTTCTTGCCAAAAAAACTACTTTATAACTTTGTTTACATTGTTCTTATTCACTGATTACCTGTACCTAATTTCATAAATTTTCAATATCCTTTGAATTAGACAAAAATTGTTTTCTGTTAAATAAGAACACATTTCTTTTTTTCAGAAAGATGTTTTCCTATAATTCTAGAAGAGATTGGAAATGACCCAGACATTTAGTAAATATTTATTATTTAGATTTATATAACTTTAGACTTTAAATTATATGACAAGATTATCTACAAGCATCTATTCCATTACATTTACTTAATTAATTTTTAAATACTTTACTGAGATTAATTATGAAAACTGTGATAGCTATCACTTAAGGTTCTTTGTTAACCACTTTTATACCCTGTGAATTTCAGGCTTTCCTAAGTAAGAACCTTAAGGTTACATAGATGGGTTTGTTGTTGTTGTTTGCCAATTGCTCAGAATTTAGCTATTTTCATTAACAGAACAATATTAAATGCTGTATTTGTTAATTTTTACTTAAACAAAGATACTTCTCTTTTGGGCTGCATTCATAGCTTTATACCCGTCATGCCAAATTTTGACATCTAGCAGAGATAAATAATGTATGTTGACAGTTCTAAAGCCATTTCTAAATCTATTTCACCAAAATTTTTTAAACCAGCTGATTTATTAAAATTTTCTTAAGTTATGTGAACTTGAAAAATCATTTGGCTTAAAGTATTTTTCTGATAAAGTATTTGATTTAAGTGCTTTTTAAAGCCCATTAGAGTTTTTTAATATATTTTAGTAGTGAAACGTCATATACATGACACATAAATACAGAGATATATTAGACACATAGCTAGTAGATCTTATAGATTAATAAGACTTCTATTTTTCCGCCTATTTTAGACATCCAATTTCTTGATAACTATTTTATTACCCTAGGCAATTGTCAGAGAGCCCTAAATCTGCATATTAAAGGAACTCTTAGGTGAAAAATCAGATAATGAAATTTACATCTCAAAGTACAGAGAGAATCTGATGGTGCTTGAGGGAGATTAAAAATGAATGCCAAATCAAACATAAAATTATAGAAATCTATCATAGAATTATGTAATAAGACCAATTTTATTTTGCTAGAGACCACCTATCTCCTAACTGGGTATCTGAGCTTTGGGCAGAGCCCATGTTCAATCCTGGTTCTCCAAAAAAGGAGAATTCTTATGTGGCTAGGCCAGGTGATTGTTTTACAGTACATCAAGGAAATCTTTTTAACAAAGACATTTCTATGTGTCTAAGCTATACTATTCCTTAAAGATCCAAGAGTAGCCTCTGTTGTAATAACTAATTTATGTTTTACTTGTCAAAAAATCAGGTAACATAATACAAAACCAAGTAGTTTATGATCTGAGACGGACTTGTCTGTTTACACTCTTGGGGTTCCATAAGGAAAAGAGGTTTCTTCCTAAAAGGGAGAGTGGCACCTTCTCCAATTTATTTAAGGAACCCCAGTCTATTAGAAACTATTTTAGACCCTTCATGCAACAAAGGGTAGGAAAAGAAAGGAGAGACAAGAGAAGTAAATGAATAAAACAGAATTCAGTCAACTGAGAAGAAAAAAAATTTGCTCAAAAAAGACAAGATCCTAGGAGAGAAAAAAAAAAATAGAAAGGCCTTTTAATACACACACACACACACACACACACACACACACACACACACACATATCATGAATGTTAGCTTCTAATTAAGCTGACCTTTACCCATTGAGCTCCTTTAAAAAAATATTTTAAAATCTCATGACTATATTTTAGCTAGGCCAAATTAATGATATTTCAAAAGTAACAAGTATCAAACCAAAAAAGGGCTTGATTTAGGAAGCAAACTCAGGCTGTCATTGTGAAAGAAAAAGAAGGCAGGACCTTAGCTATGGAACTGCATAATGGGTGACAGCCATTGCTTTTCAGGTTGACTTGGCTAGCAAAAAGGTGGCCCTTTTATGTAAATAAAACCCCTTTAGAAGTCAAAATAAAAAATCTTCTCTCCCTTTTTTTGTGAGAATTTAGCCACTTCAGGTGCCTTGTTACCCATAAGTTGGAGCTTTCCTTTGGATTTGATCAAGTCAGATAGAGTTGGTCATACCCAATGGGAAAAAGACTGAAACAACAACAAAAACAAAAATAAACAAACAACAACAAAAAAAAACAGATGAGCAAAACAAACAAATGATTGCACAATTCATTTGAATATTGAGTGATCTAATGTTAAGGAGAAATTAAGACCAGCTGGTTGTTAATCAACTTTAGCCAAGACAAAATTCCCCAATTCAGCTACTTACCTATGGGTGGGTCTCAGGCAGAAGTCTGCTCTTTACCATCCTAGAAGCAGGAAACAATTCAAACTTGCCTTCCCTTTTGGAAGCTGAAACTCCAGAAAGGAGTTACCTGCACTCCATCATTAAGGAAACAGGAAAACTTGCCTTCTGTCACATGTGTCTATGTGAAGAGACCACCAAACAGGCTTTGCGTGAGCAATAAAGCTTTTTAATAACCTGGGTGCAGGCGGACTGAGTCTGAAAAAGAGGTCAGCAAAGGGAGATGGGGTGGGGCAGTTTTATAGGATTTGGGTAGGTAATGGAAAATTACAGTTAAAGGGTTTCTTTTTCTTGTGGGCAGGGGCAAGGGTCACAAAGTGCTCAGTGGGGAGATTCTGAGACTCATTGTCCAGGAGAAGGAATGTCACAAGGTCAATTGATCAGTTAGGGTGGAGCAGGAACAAATCACAATGGTGGAATGTCATCAGTTAAGGCAGGAACTGGCTATTTTCACTTTTTTTGTGGTTCTTCAATTGCTTCAGGCCATCTGGATGTACATGTGCAGGCTTGGACGTAGAGGCCTGACACCTTCCTTGTGGGGAACAAGTAAAACTCCAACAAAGGGAGTTGTACAGCAAATTAAACTTTAGATCCCAGTGAAATTTCAGGAGACAAGGGATTATCTGGAAGGGGAGCTTCCAGGTCTCAGCAAATTTTCCTATTGGTTTGTGCCATAAAGAAGCTCAAGCTGGTACCAAACACCAATAGGAGATTTGCCAAAGGTCAGTGGTACCTCCGCTCAGAATCCCTTTGTGATTACCAAAATGTGAACCCCAAATAACTGAGACAGGACTCAGTCAATTTAGAAAGTTTATTTTGCCAAAGTTAAGGACACTCTTGTGACACAGCCTCAGGAAGTATTGAGACATGCGCCCAAGGCAGTTAGAAGTACAGTTTGCTCTTATACATTTTAGGGAGACATGAGACATCAATCAATATGTGTAAATTATACATTGGTTCATTCAGTCTGTGATATTATTGAGCTGTGTGCCCAACCAAATCTCATCTTGAATTGTAGTTCCTGTAATCCCCACGTATGGTGGGAAGGACCTGGTGGGAGATAATCGAATCATGAAGATGGTTTCCCCCATGCTATTCTCATGATAGTGAGTTAGGTCTCACAAGATCTGATGATTTTATAAGGGGCTTCCCCCTCCACTGGGCTCTCATTCTTCTCTCTCCTGCCCCCATGTGAAGAATGACATGTTTGCCTCCCTTTCCATCATGATTGTAAGTTTCCTGTGGTCTCCCCAGCCTGGTAGAATCGTGAGTCAATTAAACCTCTTTCCTTTATAAATTACTCAGTCTGGGGCAGTTCTTCATAGAAGCATGAGAGCAAGCTAATACACTCCAGAAAGGCAGGAAAACTCTTGGTAAGGCAAGACAACTTGAAGTGGGCACTTCCAGGTTAGGAGTAGATAAAACACACAGGTTGCACTTTTTTGAGCCCTTGATCAGCTTTCCACTGAATACACAATTTTGTCTGGCTCAGTGAATCTGCATTTTTACATAAACGATAGGGGAGAGAAGCAATCAGATATCCATTTGTCTCAGGTGAGCCTCACCACAGGGATGACTTTGAATAGAATGGGAGGCAGGTTTGCCCTAAGCAGTTCCTAGTTTGACTTTTCTCTTTAGCTTAGTGATTCTAGGGTCCCAAGATTTATTTTCCTTTCACAGATGTTAACTAAAAGGTAAGAGGCAAGTACAACCTTTCCAATTACTTTTGCCTCAAACCATGATCTAGAAGCAGGGACCAGATTTACCTTCCTACCTTAAACAAACAGAAAAGCAAACAAAATATTTAAAACAAAAGTTCTCACATATTGAAAACACACCGAAAAGGACTATGATCATGAAGTGGAGGAAAACAAATGAGGTGAGCTCTAAAATCACATCAGCTTTCTGCCCACAGGCAGTTTCCAGGTCACCGCACAGAGTAAAAAGAGACCAAATAGAATCTGCCTTCTTGCCCAATTAAGAAGGCAGAAATCAGAGTTCAGGGAGGTGAAAGCAGCTCAAATTTGTGGAGCAGAATACTGGAGAGGAAGGAGCTAAACAAAAATAGCTTCCGAAATCTCCAGAGAGTGCCCCTTGAGCCTTTGGCCGAGTTCTAATCTGTTTATGCATGAGAGGAAATTTATCCAAGCCCAGAAAATAATAACCACTGGAAAGCAGTAGTCTAAACAATTCCTGAGTTCAAGCAGAGCAGGGAATAGCTCATGATCCTATCAGTCCAAATGGAAAGGTCTCTAAATAGATAAGACAATATGAAGAATTCTTAGATGAGCATTACTTCAGTAACCTCAGTAGTTGGGCTACACTAGACTAATGCCTGCTCTGGAGGTGGACTTGAAGTGAACCTCTAAAGTGTCAAATTGATTCTAAGCAACTTAAAACTTAATTGCCTGTCTAAACAAAGCCCAACGCTTCTCAAAAATAGAAATAAAGCATCCTGCAATTAAATTAACATCTGACATCTAATCAAAAATTGCCTGGCATTCAAGAAATGAAAACAAAATATGACCCACAGGGAGGAGAAGAAATCAATAAATAGTTCCAGAAATTACAGAGAAAATGGAATTAGCAGAAAATACTAAGTGATAATTCTGTTCTCCTTCAGGCCCTTATACTTCTGCATGCCTTGTAAACAAGACACACTGACTGCTCTTTGTTTCTATGTTTTCAAGAATGTTTGTATAGTGAGCAGCCTTTGTGATAGAGATGTTTTCTCCCTTCATAGCAAATGGTTGGTGTGCTTATAGCTTTGAAAGAGACAGATAGTGTTTCCCATTAGAGAAAAATGCAGGTACCTTTAATGACCATAATAGTAAAGGCAATGTCTCACTCTGGGGCAAAGAGCAGGGATGCTTATTGTGCATGATAAGAGACTCAAGTGTCCTAACTCAGCGTTCGTCTCCTGTAATGCAACACATTTTGTGTGCAGGGATCATGCAGTCCTCTTTGCATTGGCCTATGCACATTGGGGATCAAATAACCAAGGTGAAAATGCTGATACTCTGGCTGTAATATTACTGTGAGTACCAAACTGTCAAATGTTTAGGTCCCACAAGTATCATGCCATGTACAATCATCCATAAAACTGTCAGGGAAATTTGTCAGCTTGCAATTGGTATGTAATCTCATTCCCTTCATGGCTTATAACCACAAGTATATTAAAACAAAAAATATATCAATGTTCTATATGACTGAGAAAATAGAGAAAAGGAAAAAAGACATAGTAAGAGAATATAAAAACTAATAAAAAAGAAAGAAATAAAACTAGTAGACAAAAAAGTCAATATGTGATATAAAATATGCCTTGGATGAGATTAAAAGCAGATGAGATTCTGGTGAAGAAACCTCAGTAAATGTAAAAACACAGCAAACAGCAACTGTTAAAATCAGAAAGTCAAATACTGCATGTTCTAAGTTATAAGTTGGAGTTAAACAATGTGCACACATGGACATAGAAAGTGGAATAATGGACACTGGAGACTTGGAAATGTGAGAAGTTGTAAGGGGAATAGAGGATGAGAAATTATCTAATGGGTACAATGTACACTATTTGGGTGATGGTTACACTAACAACCTAGACTTCACCACTACACAATATATTCACGTAACGAAACTGCACTTGTACCCCCTACATCTATAAAAAAATAAAACAAACAAACAAAATCACAGAGAGGAAAAGAAAGAAAAAATCCTAACTTGATAAAAAGTCAACAATGCATCAGTGACCTGCGGAAAAAACGTTAAGTTGTCTAATATATGTCCTATTGCATCCTAATAGGAAAGAAAAGAGGAGGAAAAAGAAGAAACAAATTAATAAAACAATAGCCAACTTTTTTTTTTTTTTTTTGAGACAGAGTCTTGCCCTGTTGTCCTGGCTGGAGTGAAGTGGCGCAATCTTGGCTCACTGCAAGCTCTGCCTCCCGGTTCACGCCATTCTCCTGCTTCAGCTTCCTGAGTAGCTGGGACTACAGGTGCCCGCCACCATGTCTGGCTAATTTTTCATATTTTTAGTACAGACGGGTTTTCACCATGTTAGCCAGGATGGTCTCGATCTCCTGACCTCATGATCCACCCGCCTCAGCCTCCCAAAGTGCTGGGATTACAGGCGTGAGCCACCATGCCCAGCCAACAATAGCCAACTATTATATAAATGTATATATGAAAACCGTAGTCTTACAAATCCAAGAAGATCAATGAAGACTAAAATAGAAGTTAACCACAAGACACATCACAGTAACATTGCTAAAAAAAAGTGACAAAATTTTAGAAGGATTGTTAAATGTGGAAGAGATACCACATTACATGCCAAGGAATAAATATAAGAATAAAGGAATATAAACTTTGGTCATCTGAAAATATGCAGATCAAAAGACAATGGAAAGTCATATTAAAAGTAGTCAAAAAGAAAATCAATTTAGGATTTTACAGTCAGTAAAATGTGTTTCAGAAACAAAAACTGTGAAAGTTTATCTCCAGGAGAACTTGCACTAACCAAACAACAACGATAACCACAACCATCACCACAATAACAACAAATTAATGATGTGTTTTAGGAACATGTGTTTTAGGCAGAAGACAGATGATATCAGAAGGAAATATGAATCCACAAAATAATAAAAAACTCTGGAAAGGCAAACACTATTGATAAAAAATAATAGACATTTTTCTCACATCTTAATTTAAAAGATAATAGATTATTTTAAACAATAGTATATTTTAAATAAATATATTATGTTTTATATATATATATATATATATATATTTTTTTTTTTTTTTTTTTGAGATGGAGTCTTGTTCTGTTGCCCAGACTGGAATGCAGTGGAGCCATCTTGGCTCACTGCAAGCTCCGCCTCCTGGGTTCACGCCATTCTTGTGCCTCAGCCTCCTGAGTAGCTGGGACTACAGGCACCCGCCACCAAGCCCTGCTAATTTTTTGTATTTTTAGTAGAGATGGGGTTCACAGTGTTAGCCAGGATGGTCTTGATGTCCTGACCTCATGATATGCCCACCTTGGCCTCCCAAAATATTGGGATTACAGGCGTGAGCCACCACTCCCAGCCTTTTTGTTTTTATTTATTTATTTTTTTGAGACTGAGTTTTGCTCTGGTTGCCCACGCTGGAGTGCAATGGCGTAATCTCAGCTCACAGCACCTCTGCCTCCCAGGTTCAAGTGATTCTCCTGCCTCGGCCTCCCAAGTAGCTGGGATTACAGGCGCCTGCCACCACATCTGGCTAATTTTGTATTTTTAGTAGAGACAGGGTTTCTCCATGTTGGTCAGGCTGGTCTTAAACTCCCGACCTCAGGTGATCTGCCTGCCTTGGCCTCCCAAAGTGCTGGGATTACAGGCGTGAGCTACTGCGCCCAGCCTATGTGATTTATATTACAGGTAGAAGTAATGTATGCAATAATTATAACAAAATGAATAGAGAGGGAAATGAAAGTTTATAGTAGTATTATCTTCATATAGTATTATATGAAGGTAGATTATAACATACTAAAATGTACATAATAAATTCTAAAAACTAAAAGTCATTTTCATTTGTATATAGAAAACATCTTGCTATACAACTTAAATATATAAATAAATAAATAGATATTCTGGGAGATAAAACACATCTCAAGAAACATAAGGTTATTAGAATCATACAGATTATGTTCTATGACCAAAAGAAATTAAACTACAGATCAACAACAGACACATAATTGGAAAATATCCAAATATTCAGAAAATAGGCAACACATTTTTAAAGAACACATGCTTTGGGGAAGCAATCACAAGGAATCGATATATATTTCATTGTGTATATTATTTCCCAAATGCAATTTGTAAGATAAAGTTAAAATAAAGACTCTAAAACTATAAAACTTTCTATAAAACCACAAAAAAATGTAAAAAGAGAAAAAAAGAAATGTCTCAAATCAGTTATCTAAGCTGTTTCTAGTTTTTTAATACTAGTTGTTTCAGTAGATTTTTTTTGGAAGTGATAAGTCTAGCCAGACTGATCAGTGAAAAAAGAAGTGTAGGAAGACACAAAGTGACAATATCAGGAATGTACGAAGTGAAAAACTGTAAACTCTGCAAATATTAAAAGGATAATAAGGAATATTATAAATATTATAAATGTTTTTCAAAATTTTAATTAATTATTTATGTTGTTACTTTTTTCCGATACATTTGGTAAACTAGATGAAAGGAATAAATCCTGTGATAAATACAAACTACCAACACTGAATAAAAGGTAATTTACACAGAGTACCATATATATAATATATATATATATTTATATATAAACTAAATTCATTATTAGAACCATTCCCACTAAAAAAACCCAGACCGCAATGGCTTCAGTGGAGAATCTCACCAACTTGGAGAAATCCTAAGAATTCTACAAAGTTCTTTCAAAATATAGAAAAGGGAATATTTTTCACCTCATTTTGTAGGACCAGAATTACCTAATAGCAAAATGAGACAAAGGTACTACAAGAAAATAAATGTTATTATAAATGCAAAAGTCCTTAACAAAACTTCAGTAATCAAATTCACATATACATAGTTAAAGGACTACACTTGAGGATCAAGTGGGCTTTATCCTAGGAATGCAAAGTTTATGTAACCTTTAAAGACCTATCAATACTCACTATAATGACAGGCTATAAAACAAAAAAGTGATCACTTCAGTACACGCAGAAAAAAAAATTCATAAACCTTAAAATCATGTTTGTTATGGTTATTCTCAGCAAACCAGGGTTAAAAGATATTTTCTCATTCTGATAAAGGTTTTTTTTTGTTTTGTTTTTTTAATCTTCAGATCAGGATATCCACTCCTATTACTTCTATTTATTTACTAATTCTATTTACTCTTACTAATTCTATTTTCCTGAAATTCTTACCAGAATAAGGCAACAAAAAGGAAATAAAAGGTGTAGATTTAGAAAATGGTCAAATAAAATAGTTATTATGCACAGACAATATTATTTTCCATGTAGAAAGTTACAAGAAATGTAAAACAACTACTAGAACACATTTGTGAGTAATGCCACAAAACCCACGGTTATTAAACCATTTCTTTGTTATAATAACAATTAAAAATTGAGACTGAAGTTAGCACATACAGATACATCAAAAATGTCTAGAAAAATTTTAACATATAAAAATCTGTAGAAAAGGGGCTATAAAACATTATAGAGAAATAGTAAAGATGACAACTAAATAAAGGTACCATGTTTGTAGACTGGAAACTCAATATGATTAAGATGTCAGTTCTGCAATTTCACTCAAGATTCAGGCAATTGTATTTTGTAGATATCAACAAAATAATTTTTTACTAGAGATTCAAAAGAATTAAATAGTCAAAACAATTTTCCAAAGGAAGAACAAAGGTGAATGACTATCATTACTTTACATCAGTACTTTCTGCAAAACTACTGAAATCAAAATAATATGGTTTTGCCATAAGGAGAGAGTTTTTGCCATAAGGAGAGTTGATAAATGGAACTGGACATAAAATTCAGAAATATAACTATATATAGACAATGTGAAATTGTCTGGATACAATGTGAAATGGTACAGCCATTTAGAAAAAAAAAAGAGTTTAGAAGTTGTTTTTGTATAGATAAATATGCAATTACCTTATGATTGAACAATCTCATTTTTAGGAATACACTAAATAAAAAATAAAACGTACTATATAAATAGACTTGCATTTCAATGTTGAAAACAATATTCATATTAGCCTGAAAACGTTTCATAAGTGGTCAGTGAATTAACTACAGTTCATATGATGAAATAGTACTCAGCACTAAAAAAAAAGAAGGAAATAGGGATACACATTACAACACAGATGAATATCAAAATGCTTATGTTTCATAAGAAATGCCAAACATAAAAACTCCATATTTTATGATTGAATTATATAAAATTCTAAAAGGGTAAAATTAGGAAGACTAAAAGCAGATCAGTGGATATCAGAGAGCAGGGGTAGGAAGAAGGGGTGGACTGCAACGGGCATGTAGGATAAGAGAAATGTATCTCATGATTTCTCTGCTGTTCACATTATTGTATATGTTTGCCAAAATTCAAATGGTTGACTCGAAATTGGGAAAACATTCTATCAAAGTTATATTTCAATAAAACTGGCTAAAAATTTTAAATACTCTTATTGTCTAAAGGACAAGAAATACTTTCAGACCCTGATATTTCAGAATTAGACAATATAAAAATCAATTAAATGATGATAAAATTCTGTTGGTGTGATTAGATTATATTTCATTTTAAATTGATTTTCATTTAAAAAATTATTTTTAATTATTTTGGGTACATAATAGCTTATTCATGGGGTACATGTGATTTTTTGATACAGACAGACATGCAAAGTGTAATGAACAAATCAGGGTAATTGGGGTAATCATCACCTCAAACATTACCGCTTCTTTGTGTTAGGATATTCTAATTCTACGTTTTTAGTTACTTTTGAAAATATACAATAAATTATTATTAACTATAGTGACCCTATTGGGCTATTGAATACTAGATCTTATTTATTTTATTGAACTGTATTTTTGTGCCCATTTTAAGACTAATAATTGACTGTTTTATTTTCCTAACAGCTGAGCTAGCCTTATGGGACTGGTCATGGATCATGTTTCCCTGTATGGTCAAAGAAGAGAGACATTGTTATGGAACATAGCCAAGAATAGCATAGATTAGTTTGCAGATAGAATGTTCCTGTCATTATTATTAGTTTGCAGATAGAATATATATATTATTAGTTTGCAGATAGAATGTTCCTCTCGTTATCATAATTTCTCTCCATGATTATATGTTTCCTTTACTATATTCCACCACAAAAAAGGAAAAGGGAAAAGTTCTGTGGATCAAGGCTGAGATCACAATGTTTCTGGTATGAGGATATAAATCTCTTATGTCCATGTTCATTGCCTTTTCCTATTCAGAGAATACCTCCATAAACAAAAACACACATATAAATATACTAAAGGCATCTATATGTATAGTCAAGTGTTCTTGAGATAAAAGGATACTATAGTATAAGAACTTGACCTTGTTTAAGAGGTCAATACTAATGAAATGCACCCTAAATTCATGAATGGTCTTCACAAAAAAAAATCTTCCTTCAAAAAACAAATCAGTGAATTATGTAACTGTGCTTTCTCTGAACAAAATATCTAAGTCTTGCAATACACTATTTATGCCATCACAGAAATCAATTTTTATTGTTTTTGTATTTTGCTATTTTTCAAAAACAGAAATAGCTAAATTAGTTGTGAAGTGTACATATATTTGTAAGACTGTCCTTATTAATATGTAAAAAACTTCCTATTATTTCACAATTTACCCTTTCTCTGTAATCCTTTTACACTACCTTTTTGCTTCTCTTTGCTTTTTTTAAGTAGAACCTATTGCTATATCTTCCTGATCACTGATATTTTCTTCTAGAATGTCTAATCTGCTATTGATCACACCCAGATAAATTTGTATTTCACATATTTTATTTTCATCACGTTTCATATAGTTGTTAAAAAAATGTAATTTCTCTTCTCATTGATTATGTGTTTCTTTGAATATTTGTACCTAGATTTAATAATTCTTTAAACTCAGTGGTCTAATAATTTCATGACTTCTATCTTTTTCGAGTCTTTATATATTAACTGACTTTTACAATTATAGGTCACTTTTTTCCTTTCATTTAAAAATTAGATATTCCATATGGTTAAATTTATTTTGTTGAGTGTCTAGAGTCTATTAATCTTCCTTTCTTTAAGAATGTTTAGTTTTGCTTTTGATAGTTAAACTAGTTACAGTAGGGCCTATTCCTTTTTAGCCCACTTTAAAAGTTTTATATGACTAGTCTATGAAGAGCTTTAATCTGCCGACAGTTCACTCTGACTTCACCGTTCAATGTGCTAGTGACAACCAAGGAGGCTTTGTCTTGGCTGTTCAAGGGCTCAAAAATTTTCTTACTCTGTGTGAGCTGCAGAAGTTGTTCATCTTACACCTCCCAGTTTTTTCTTCACTGTTTCACGTACTTTTACTTAATACAAGAGGGGCCAGGCCGAACATGTAGAATGACCTAGATAGGACAACTGTGCAAATTTGTGAAGTCTTTTTGGCATAGTTTCCCATTTTTCTAGAACTCTGCTTTACAACTTTGAGCTACCTCAGACTCCAAAAACTCTTGATTTCTGCCTTTTCAACTCAGTGAAGCCCCCATACTCTGGGTTTCCCCTTTTCTCTGTCCATAGTTTGGAAATTGCTTCCCAACAGAAAGCTCAGGTAGCAATTTCATCTCTTTTGTTTCCTTTCTCCCAAGGATGGATTTGTACTGCCTATTGTCCAATTTTTAAAAATTTGTTTCACATGTGTTGTCTATTTCCTACCTGTATATGGAGGAACCGTTTCACCAATGGCTGAAAAATGAAAATCTCTTTTTTTTTCAAATTATTACACATCTATAGTTTATCGATGATAATTTCTTTTTCTTTTTCTTTTTCTTTTTTATTTTTCTTTTTTTGAGACGAAGTCTCACTCTGTTGCCCAGGCTGGGGTGGCATGATTTCAGCTCACTGAAAGCTCTGCCTCTCAGGTTCACGCCATTCTCCTGCCTCAGCCTCTCGAGTAGCTGGGACTACAGGCGCCTGTCACCACGCCCGGCTAATTTTTTGTGTTTTTAGTAGAGACGGGGTTTCACCATGTTAACCAGGATGGTCTCGCTTTCCTGACCTCGTGATCCGCTCACCTCGGCCTCCCAAAGTGCTGGGATTATAGGCGTGAGCCACTGCGCCCGCCCAGTATATCAATGACATTTTCTAAAGGCTATAACTAGGAAAGTTACTCTTTTCAAGAAGTGTATCTAGTTCTTTCTATTGTTAACATCTTTGTCATTTAAAAAAATTATATCTATATTAGCTATACAGTTATTAAGCCGTGACTTGGCCGAGCTTGCTGCCTGCTTTCTTTCCTCCCTTCCTTCCTTCTCTCTTTCTCCTTTTCTTTCTCTCTCTCTCTTTTTTCTTTCTGCAGAAATGCACTATACTCATAGAAGAGCAATTGTCACTCAATACAGATTTCCTTTTATCTTGTGTACAATGAATTATTGCACGTATATATTGATTGCACTCATCAATTGCCTTCAACCAGTCAAGATGAAAATGTTTTCCCTACTTTTTCCCATGAATACTTTGCTGTATTTCTAACAGTGAGGTTTAGAAGCTCCTTTCTTTTCTTGCTGTTATCTTTGCTCCCCATTCATAAGAGAGCTACAATATAATAGTAAATATTACCACCATAAAAAATAAATACAGAAAACACATTGAAACCAAATAAATTATTCAAAGCCTATTTCTAGGGCAAAAATGACACAATATTCAGCCTAACTTTGTCTAAAGTAAAATTATTAATATTGTGAAGCACAAATCCAATATGTGACAAGCAGGTTGGAATCCTTTATAACTAGAATTTCTCATAGAGCAGTGATTTTTGAGTTAAGATTCCCACTGGAGAGCTTTAGTCAGTTCTGATTTTTCCGGGGAACTCCTAAATCATTGCCGTTTAATCCTTTTGATGTCAATGTCAGGAAGTATTCTCCAGAAAACCAAAATAACTGGTCTCTTGAAGCTGCCTAGCAGTCTAGCATAGCACCAGAGGCTCTTTCTGATTCTTATCTATCTAAGGTTGTAAGTGAGTCCTGAAAAGGAAGAAGGGAAGGTGCTGAATTCTAACTTGCCTCAACACTTTGGTCCCATGCCAGCTCTAGATCTGAATGTAAGAATTGGAAGAGGAAATTTAGCTACAATACAATTGAAGGCCTTATTTGGTTTTAACTGCTTGATCAATGTGTTTTTAATTTTTCGTCTGACTTGCTCTATTAAATAGTTCTGAACATCAACCAAAATCAGAAAGAAAAGCTTATCATACTAATTTTGATTCAATGATGAACGTTTTGTTGTCACCCCTCAACATTTAATTCCCAAAAATAAATATTCCAAGATGTTTTCATGTTGCTACTATATTATGGTTTGTCTAGATCTTTAGTGATTCTTATTTTTCTCTTCCACTGATAATTCTCTACAGCATGCCTGATTTTGCTAGAGTCAATGAATGGATTGAGAACAGCACTTGAGGGACAGAAAACGGACACTATTCTGTGCACAAAACCAAGGAACCAAAATACTTAAAAAAAAAATAAAAGATTTTTTCAGTGTCTTAAGACCCACAAATAACCTTGAAGACAAGAAACTTTAGTTCTATTACATCTTTGGAATTGCTGAAAAAGCTGTAATAAAAATAAAAGTAGATAAACATTGCCACCCAGTGTTCAGTTTCAGGTATTGTATAAATTACAAACCTAATATCAGAGATTTTTCTTTCTTTATCCACAAGGTTCCAGATTAAGTCTTTAATCATTTATATCCTGAAAGATCTTGCTTCCTTATTTGGGAATCATATTCTATCTCCAAAAATTGATTTGTTTATTTCAATCCGATATTCTTTTCAGCATTTCGATGGCCTTGTATCTCAGAGTAGCTGGAATTTATTCAACATCCTATTAAAAATATCTAGTTTTAAATAGCGCAATAAAATATGTATGTATGCATATGCATCAGTGTACATTTTTCCTTGAATAATATTCTGTATCTTTTCATCTAAAATCATAAATGATTATAAATTTAATTTTAAAAGGACAAAACCATTATTTTTAGTTTCCACTGTTTAGTATGCATCTGCAGTCAAAAAAATTTTGGAAGGTAAATTAAGATCCATTGATGTGAATTTTCTATTTACATAGTGATATATTCAGACACATACTCAATGGGAGTTTCAAACATACATACCTCATTGCAAAGTCTGAAGTAGCATCCCCACTTTCTGTCCTCCTAAGTTCATAAACGTAAAGAAGTTACACTAAACATATGTGTTACTTATGACAACTCGTTAACCAGTTTCTTTTGCCTAAAAATATATTCTAATTTTAAATCAATTCTGTAGCAATTCATGAAAAGAAAATTTTAGTGAAACAGAGTTGGTAACAAGACAAGTAAATATTTAAAATATTTAGAAAGGTACATGGAGAAAGATACAAGAGAAGGCACATATCCTTAGGAGAAAAAGACTGGTGCCAGGAGAAAAAACAAAACTATTTTTGAATTCTAAAAATTGCCTAAATTCCAAATAGAGTGTCCTTCTTCATTTGCATCTTTTTAAAGACTAATTAAATCTCAGTATAATTCAGCATCATATATCCTGCATGCTCTAGTTTTTAAAGGAGAGGATGAAAAAGGAAAAAAAAAACACCAAAAAACTCCTACTTCTTTTTTATTTCTAGGTAGACACACTCATTAATAGATTTGTTTTAATAAATGCTATTTTTGTAATAGAAGTCATCATAATCAGTTAAGAGAGAAAAGCCTAAGAGCTTAGACTGAGACAATGCCTATTGAACAAGATGAAGAAAATAGAGCTCTCCTGAGATTTATGATTAAAACCAGGATGAGTAAAAAACAAAGCAGGAAAAGAAATAGTGTCAGTAATGTCATTTGAAAGCAAAAATCATTCAGTTCCATAAATTAGCTACGTATAGTGCAGCAGTAGAGAAAGAAGGGTATTCTTTTTGCATTGTTACAAGGGAAGTGGAAAATAATTAAATGATACTGTAATCAGAGAACAACTGTTGTATATCTTTAGCCAAAAAAGTTTAGAAAATAAAAATATCAGCTCAGTGTGATGGCTCATGCCTGTAATTCCAGCACTTTGGGAGGCCGAGGCAAGCCGATCACTTGAGGTCAGGAGTTTGAGAACAGCCTGGCCAAGATGATGAAACCCCCGTCTCTACTAAAAATACTAAAGAAAACCAGGTGGGATGGCGTGTGCCTGTAATCCCAGCTACTCAGAAGGCTGAGGCAGGAGACTCTCTTGAACCCAGGAGGCAAGAGGTTGGATTGAGCAGAGATTGCACAACTGCACTCCAGCCTGGGCAACAGAGTGAGACTCGATCTCCAAAAAAAAAATAATAGTAATACATATGTTTGTGTGTGTGTGTGTGTATATGTGTGTGTGTGTGTGTGCATATATATCCTTGATGAGTATTTTTCTAAATGCTTGTGAGCTAACATTTTAACAATGTTTGCTCTATCTTTCTTTGGTTTGAGGTTTTAGTCTGAATAAATGACAATTTTTTTAGCTTTTCATTGAAAACAGATAAGCAATGTTTTTTTAAAATTTTCTTTTTACATACTATATTTTCTGTTGTCTATGAAGGTTGTTTTATAGGTAGTGACTTAACAAATCTAAAATTAATTACCATAATTACATTTGTAAACATGAAGGGTGAGTTTTATGCAATGTGTAATTTTAAATATAGTCACAAAAAGACATGATAAATAGTTGAGAGGATGGATATGCTAATCAACCTTATTCAATCATCCTACAATGTATACACTTGTCAAAACACCACATTGTACTCCATGAATATATACAATTTATACTTTTTCAATTAAAAATTGTAAAAATTAAAAAATAGATTTTAAAAAAGAACTTTAACTCTTTCCTCAGTTACTAATTTTACTTCAGCTTGACACCCTCTCTAAAGGGTGGGGAAGAAAAGGCAAAAACCTGATTATTTGCATGTTTTGACAGCAAATTTGTGCAGAGCTATCAATTCGAATAAAGGTTTCAAAATCATTAATGTAACTTGGATATGTTTTTCTTGTTTTCTCTTTAGGAAGAATTAAATACAATAAATTTTAAGAATATATTCTTATATAATCTTCCTGAAAATAAAAAAAAACATGCCTATGTGATAAATGCCTCTTTAGAATCTTAAAAAATTGAAGTAGATATTGATTTCCCTTGCTTTAGCATTAAAGTAAAAACAAATTCACAGTAAACATAAACTAACCTATACACATTATGGGGCTTCTGAAGTCAAACTCTCATACATTTATCAAAGCCAGAGCTTTTTTACATGAGATATATGTATATGCATATATATATGCAAGATATATATATGAAAGATATATATATATATGCAAGATAAAATAAGATTGTCCTGTAATGATTTTTTTACTTATTTTCATCTTTCTGAAATGCGAGTAGATGACATTTTTAATGAAATCTGATGGTAAAGAACCAGCAATAACATAACTTTCTCTTGAATTTTATTTTCTGAACAATGTCCTCCATCCTTAACTGTTTTAATTTTCTTGCGATGGAGTCTATCTTGTTGCCCAGGCTGGAGTGCAGTGGCAAGATCTTGGCTCACTGCAACCTCCGCCTCCTGGGTTCAAACGATTCTCCTGCCTCAACCTCCCAAGTAAGTGGGATTACAGGCACACACCACCATGCCTGGCTAATTTTTGTGTTTTTAGTAGAGGTGGGGGTTTCACCATGTTGGCCAGGCTGGTCTCCAACTCCTGTCCTCAAGTGACCCACCCACCTTAGTCTCCCAAAGTTCTGGGATTACAGGCATCAGCCACCAGGCCCGGCCCACCATCGTTAAAGTTTTTCCCTCTCATACTATAATTGAGTGCAGGCCTGACTTGCAAGGTCAAAAACAGGACTAAGTGCAGTGAAAGGAAAGTGATTTTATATCTAGAACTAGCAGTGGGGAAGCAGGCATGCTACATCCCACTAGAACCAACTTCAATAGTTTGGGCTGAAGAAAAGGGTTTAAAAAGGGGAAGCTTGATATGGGAGGTCTGCAGGAGTTGTACAAGGTGCAGAAACTGTGAATCTTGTTCTAATGCCTGTATTGAGTTATGATCCACTGGGAGTGTGGGATGGTGTCATCTTGACAGTAACCAGGCTGTAGATTATTGGTTTTGAGGCAATCATTAAGTGGAGGTGAATTCTGCAGCTGGGCCTTCATGCCTGGTTTGTTTTCAGTTAGGCCCTGGAATTTCTTAATAAGCATATAGTTAGGTAACCTTGCATGGGGTAAGGGGGAACATGGTGGGAAAGAGAAGGGAGGGGAATTTCATAGTAGGTTTCAAGGCTATATTTTAAGATGAAGAAAAACAAGTTTTCTACCTTTTGCTTTGAGGTTACATCTTGAGACTGGGAAGGAAGGAGGAAAAAAAACGTTTAAAATGCATTTTGAAGCTAACCTACTCAATTACAATACTAGATATTGGATGAGAAAAGACTGTACTCCAAAACTGTGTCTTAGTGTACAGGGAGGACACATTCAAGAAACTAACCTAGAAATGATTAACCTATTGAAACGGGAAAAGTTCCCTTGTCCACCTCACAAGGCATGTGATGTGGTGTGGCTCACTTCTTCAGTGCCCTGCTGTTCAAACCTGTATGGGAACATACAGATGGGCAGGCTGTGGGGCTCCGACCCCATGGCAGTGTCTAAGGGGTGAATGTTTACAGCTCCTGAAGCCCCACTGGGCGTGTGTTACAGGATGCTCTTTTAGTTTTGCGCGTTTAGTTTTGCCATCTATAGGCGGCTTATGTTAACCAGCTCAATTAGACCCTCTACCTTGTCACAAGGACAGAGGGCTTTCTGTATCCCGGGTCCTTGCCTTGATGTACCTGGAGAATCAGATCACACCTGGGCTTGGAGAATGAGTGCAAGGTTTTATTGAGTGGAGGCAGCTCTCAGCAGATGGGGGAAACCAAAAGCAGGATGGAGTGGGAAGGATTTCCCCTGGAGTTGGGCTGTTCAGCGGCCTAGGCTGTCCTCTGACTGCCCCAGCAAAACTCTGTGTTGTTCTGCTGCTTGATGGCCTGCCTGCCAGCATCTGTTGGTGTGCTCTTCCGCCTCCACGTCCAGCTTCTGGTGTCTTCTTCCTTCAATCCACTCATCTCGAAGTCCAGCTGCTTGTGTGTCTGCCTACTAGGGCCTCGGGGGTTTTTATAGGCACAGGATGGGGGCACCGCAGGCCAGGGTGGTCTTGGGAAATGCAACAAAAATGCTTGTCCTCACCTAGGTCTGTTGGGGTGGAGCCCTAGGCAAGGACCACTTTCTCCTCTACCCAGCACTTCCCTTCCCCACTTCCGGATCATTTGAAGGGACCACACTCTTCTCTCCTCAGCTCTCCCATATCAGTAAGATGAAATTCTCAAAAAGCTTCCACAGCCACAGGAGTCCCTACACCTGGCTGAAATATGTCTTTGATTGTTTATTCACCTTGAGAGATCCCCAGACACATCCCTTGGGAGTCTGAAAATTGATTGCCAATGACTGCTGCAGTTGCCCTCGCATTGAAGGTGAAGAGTGAAAAGATATTATGGTAATGAGTTAGAATTTTCTGTAGTGTTATAGAAACTTCCCTCTCCATCTACTAATGGTGTAATCTAAACATTTTATATTAACGAATGTACATGGATTTCACTGTCTACACTAGGAACTGAAAAGATGAAATGTCTTCAGAGACCATGCTTTCCCCTTTCCCTGTGTTTCCTTTTCCTCACACATTAAAACAGTGTTGTTGACTGGGCGCGGTGGCTCACACCTGTAATCACAGCACTTTGGGAGGCCAAAGTGGGCGGATTACTTGAAGTCAGGAGTTTGAGACCAGCCTGGCCAACATGGTGAAACTCCATCTCTACAAAAATACAAAGATTAGCTGGGCATGGTGGCTGGTGCCTGTAATCCCAGTTACTCGAGAGGCTGAGTCAGGAGAATCACTTGGACCCGGGAGGTGGAAATTGCAGTGAGTGGAGACTGCGGCATTGCACTCCAGTCTGGGCGACAGAGCAAGACTCTGTTTCAAAACGACAACAACAACAACAACAACAGTATTGTTGTATTTCTAGGCATATCTCAGAGAATACCTGGAGGCTCCTTGGGAAAGAAACCCGAAGGTACACTAAGTTATTTTTAAAAATTTATTCATTGCTTTTGTGTTTTATAAAGTATGAAACAACAAAATTAGAATGAGAAGGATTCACTTTATCTTCCTAAAATGTTGCCTTTTGAAGTTGAGGCTCTTGACTTCACATAACAAGGATGAGTTATCTCTTTTATTAGAATAGCTCATCTTCTTGTCTGCTCAGATATATTTGCACTTGACATGATTTTTTTTGTAACCATTTTCATATGGAGTCAGCTGTTTTCATTGTGATCTAAACAGAAATTTAAAGAAGAAATTTTCAGAGAGGTGTGTCAATGTGTGGTTGTCTAATACCTGCAGAGAAAACTTTATGTTCTTACTATCGACTTTGACATGGTAATGTGGAAAACTGCAAGACCTAAACTTTCAAAACTACCTATTTTCATATGGAAGTGCTCACCACTAAAAAACTTCAATATAGGTAATCTAATATATCTAAATTAAACCTTACAGTTATACATATCACATAAACTCAGATTTTTTTGTGGTGGGGACAATAGGCCATAGTACTTTAACCTTTAGATGATTTTTGCACTGAATTTATCTTCTTAGAGGTATGAATGTTCTTTCTCTATAGTGGCTTTGTGTAGGCATCACTGTAAACTGGATATGGTGCAAGTTTATTAGAGTCTTTGCCTAGATATTCAGACTTGTAATGTTGGCTGGAGGACAAGAATTGCATACTCCTATGTTGGGAAAACAGTCATCATCAAACTAGGAAAGCTTAACATTTTCATCTTTAGTGAACTCTGATATGTTAGTCTTAGATATGATTAGTGCACAAGCTAGTTCTATCTCTGCCCATGTTTGAATATTACACACACGTACACACACATACACACACACACGAGCTATTCAAGTAAAGGAGATGAGTCATCCTTATGAAGTCAAGAGCTTCAACTTCAAAATGTGTGTGTATGTGTGTGTGTGAGACACACACACACAGAGAGAGAGAGAGAACTGGGCAAACCTGATATGTTGATGTTAGATGTGAGAAGTGCATATCTGACTCTGGATGTATAGTTCACACGCATGCATATTGGGTAGCACATTTAAATAAGGTGTGAAATACTTTCCTGGATGCAGACAGCTCTTGTGTGTTGATAATGATAAAGTATTGTGGCCAGATGGTGCTTTAGAGAGATAATTCATACATACAAACACTCTAGAGAGTGGATTCAGATTTACCTTGACTGTCTGTGCTTGAATAGGCAAGAAGGTTACAAAGTAACTTAGGTTATATGCAGTGGAGTTCTTGTTTAGCACAGAACAGCATTTCAGAGGGTTTTCTGTGGAATTCTATATCTACAGGATGTAAAGAGAGAGGTTACTTTAAAAACTGTTCTCTGGTAAAGCATACTTGTAAAAAGTAGGATAAACAAAGCTGAACACTTATTCACTGAAAGATTGTTCAGAACCCTTGTTTTGTGGGTTGTGATTTTCCATGGATGGAATATAGTAGGCTCCATTTCCCAAACTTATTTAGTCCTGACCCTCTTTTTGCATAGAAATCTTTAAGAGCTAAAAAAAAAATGGGCATATGACAGAGAAAATACCAAAAAGGATTTCTCTTAGTGATTTTTTTTAAATTAATGCAGTATTGCAGTATGTTTACTGTCAAGATTTTTTGGGTGTGTTGGAGATCTACTAACTGTTTGACAGGATAATTTCAAAAGAGAGAAAAAGAATATTTAAATAACCATGAAGAAATATAAACCTAGTTTTCCGTATAAGCACTCTGATTTGCCTCATTATTCATTATTTAAAAAATAATTGTTGTTAGATACCATAAATTCATGCAAAATATATGTTTGAATTTATGAGTTGGCAATTCAACTGTGTAGTGTAACTTATTCAAGTTACACATCTATAAGACTAGATGATGTATATTTTTTGCATTGCACTCTTTGCATCTAGCATAATGGGATGATTTTTAGTCATTTCTAAAATATTTGATTTTTCTTTGTATTTTCTCATTGAATTATAAGTACTGTATTCTAAGGATTTTAATGAAATGAAGGCACATTAAAATCATAATCCATGGTAATTCAATGCAAATCACAATTCCTTTGACAATTATTTCTACTATTGAAAAATCAGGCAGTCTATTCCTTACAAGCAGTTTTGCTTCCAACTTCTTAAGGCAAAATACTGCCCCTCCACCCCCACTGACCTCCGGAGCTGCAACATAAAGGAAACATATTTCTATTACTTCCAAAGGATGAGAATATTGGGATCCCATATTTAAATTCACCAATTCCAAACACAAACAAGAGAAAAAAGTGAAAAGCATAGCATTTATTTTAAAATGCATATCATCTAATTCTAGAAACAAAATTTAGACACCACAGAACACACTAGATAATGCAATTTCTACTAAACATAATAAAAAGTGGATACTATTATATCCATCAATAAGAGATTTCTATTTAGTGTTAAAGTTAATCTTGAAGGAGCACTAATGATTTTGACTAGCACAATTTACACACATACATACATACAGATACATACGGAATTCTGGACTCTGTGAATATTAAAGCTAAAGATGTTACACACCTGGGCAGCTTCAAGCTCAATGCATCCTGTTGTAATGAAAAAGTAAAAGAAAGCAGATTAAATAGGAGATGTTAGTAAGACAAATGCATGGATCTGATCCCTGGGAGACATACTTTGAACAATTACATGTGATTTTCAGAATCCAAGCTCAACTCCAACATCATATTTGGTTAATACTGTTTACTATTTTCTTTTTTGAGTCTGCTACTGCTACCATTGAAACAAGAGGTTTATACTGTATCAAGTAATTGAGTAAAATATTTTTAGGTTACTCAAGAAATGCAAGGAGCCTCTCAGAGTTATAAATTTGTTACAACTTTGGTATGATCATATATAGTTAACAAATGTACAACATGTGAAATAATTTGTGTACTACCACACACATAAATATTTAATACACTATTAGGAAATTGACAGGAATTTATTTAAAGGAAAATGAATATTAAAATGTAGAAAGATATCATGGAAACTTTTCCTCACAGCTTCTTAGTCTGAAGAAATTAATATTGCACATGTTAAATGATGAAAGTTAAATTGCAATCAGAAAGCATTTATATTAAAATACACTATTTATTTAATCTGCCAAGGCCGGAATCTGCTAAGTGCATTACACTCTACAAATGCAGTTCATTTGAAAAACCAACAATTACTAGGCTATTTAATTTTTTTCTTACCTATTTCTGTGACTATTATGTGAAGGTATTTTCATTTTGTAAAATCTGTAAAAGCCATTGTAATGTGTTTTTCTCAGGGATTACACCTTGACTTTCACATTCTAGCTGGGTGAATTCATAACCAATTTCTATTTTTTAATTTAATGCATATTGTTGTTTACCATTTAACAAGTACTGTTCTGTAGTATATTTCATATTTATTATTGTTTAAATAATTTAATTCGGGTGCATTTTGTTTTTAAAATATTTTACTGAAGTTATTTAAGCATTATATTTTGAATGATAGTGTTCCTTTCTCAATAAAAAAAGTACAAATGTTTATAGTACCTACTATCTTGTAAGCAGAAATTGATGCATGCGTTTTTAACTGGTAATATTTAATATTAAGCAATATAAAATCATATCCTTTGTAAGCCACTTCTGTTGAAGGCCTTCATTCAACCATTTTAGCAAATATCTATGCAACCTGCACAGAATAAACAGCACATTCATGTATGACTCCATATAATTCCAAGCTGCTTATGCAGCCTACAATTATTATATGGGGATAAAAGAAAGTATTAGGATAAACATAGTGATAACATTTAAAAACCAATTTCCTTGGTTTTTGGGACAGTTTCCTTGGATTGGGACAGTTAAAGCAATAACTAGAATTCATGTTACTGTGTTAATAATTGATGTAAAATTCATTTATGAGAACGAAAGATAGAGTAAGAGCTTTCTGTGTCTTTGTGTCAAGAAGCATGCCTATGAAGGGCATGTGGCGGTGAGTTGGAACCAGCATGTGCTGACTTGTGAAAGCTGAATTTTATCATTTCTAGCAACCCTACATTTGTCCTTTGAAATTGGCCATTGAGGAGTATTTACATCATAGGAATAGGCAAAGAGTATGACTCAGCATTTCTTTCTCCTTTTTCTGTAGAATAAATTTACCAGCACAACAGTACGCCATTGACCTGGGAGTGGAGGAGTGACAATGAACACAGTAAGATACAACAAGCCAAAGACAAAATTGGAATAGCATAGACAAAAAATTATGATTTTACCTGCTTCACTGTTTTAATCAGGACAATGCTGCATGTATTCCCGTTTATTTTTGCATTCCTACAAATGGTTCACAAAGGGCCTGCCACAGCCAGAGGCTCAGTGAGTACTCATTAACTAACTGAATCTTATGCTAAGTTTTATCATCAATAGGGTCATGTTCTAAAGATATTTAACCTAAAAACTTTTTACCCACCATTATAAAATATTTCAAATTTTCCAATCTGTTTATTTGAATTCTTTAATAGGTACAGTATTAATTCATTTGGCATTTATGTCTTCATTAAAATAAAGGGGGAAGAAAAAGCATATTACCACTCACCACCAGGGACAACAAGTACTCCTGATTGAAGGAAACATTAAGAGAAGTATGTTTTATGTATTTAGAACTATTTTTCTACTTTAATTATAACTATTGCTAATTGCGGGCAGTGGAAAAAATAGTAAATCATTTCTGGAAGAGTAACAGCAAAGACACAGGGAAAGAAAAATGAAAAAATCTTCTCCTTAGTCCTAGTCCCATTAAAAAAATACAAGAAAAAGGATCAATTAAAGTTATAACTGCCAGAATATATGATCACTTTTTATGAAATGATAACTCTAACAATTTACTTATGATAGGCTCCCCCTCTCCCCGCAATTTATACCTTTTCCCAAAAGGTAATTTATAATCAAACATAAAGCAAATACGTTCTTGGTGATTTCTCTGTGTTAAATATTCAGTACTGAGTACTATGAAGATAAAATGAGCACAGTTTATGACTAAAATATATCATTTTGACTTATTTTAAAATTCAGAATCTTATGCAAAGAGATATGCATGTGAAAGAAACAATTATGCTATAGAGTATGAGGTCTTGGGGAAGAGATATAGCTAAAAAACTCTGGAATGCTTTCATAAAGGCAACATGTGCATTCGATCTTAAAGGATAAATAGGAGATCACCGGGATTTGAAGGTGTAAAGAACAGTCCACATGGATAGAGTAGCATGGAATGAGTCATGACAGTGTGTGTGTTATGGCTGCAAAGCACTAAGATACTTGATTGGGGTGCCTGACGGAAAAAGTTAGGTAGAGCTGAGGGGCATTTTTTTATATACATTTTTCAGGTGCCACCTTCAGAAGGTTTTAAATGGAAGAAGGTGTGTGGTGACATGGTTTTTTATTTTTAAGAGTGATCACTTAAATTGTTCCAGCAGGTAAGGAACAGAAATATGAATAGACCTTTTTGACATATTGGAGATAGACGTAAGAGGCTAGACTATCAATTGCTTTCAGGGATTGAGGTACTAAAATTGTCAAGAATGTGTGAGTGACTAGTCGAGTGATGAAACAATTGATTCAAAAAGGGACCAATGAGGTTGGGCAGGTTGGCTTTGATAAACCACACAGTAGTATAGTGTAGGGCTTATGACGCATGAGTAACGAAATAAGATTTCTTGGACTAGGATTGAGTATTCATTACTTTATAACGAATATTGCCTTTATAATTTAAATATTTCTGTGAATTTTGGCAATGTAAACTCTCAAATCTATCAAATTTCTCTCATGGTCAAATATAAAAATGTATAAAAATAATTCCAATTTTCATAAGGGTTGTTGTAGGAATTAAACGAGTGGCTGCACATACACTCAATTCTTTGATTAGGCCTAACATATTTTTTTGTTGGTTACTAATTCTCAGTAAGGTGTTGAAAGCCAGACAGTAGGCATTTGATCTCAATACTGCATTTAAATTTTATTAGTAGTTTTGCTTTAAGCCCTATGAAAATGTCCGTCAAAGTGTTATTCAACCTCAGTAGTTTGAAAAAAGAACTTCAAATGCCAATATTGCAGTTACATTTTAACTTTTGCAAATTTCTTAATCTAAATTTAGTAATGGAATTAAGAGATGCATATTTTGTGCTTTATTATTGGCACTATCCAGCTCCTACACAAAATCTTTTTTTTTTACTATGATTTTACTTATTTTTTTGGAGTAATGTTACTTCATTTTAGGGCATTCTTAGTCATTCTTACTTTAATCACCAATAATGTGATATTGTGCATAATATTTTCCTCATTTATATTATATGCTGCTGAAGCACAAGAATTGTATTTCACCTTCAGGTTAACCATAATCATAGAATTATAGTGTCCAATTCTAACTAATAATTTATTTTTATATTTTTCTTTGATATACACATGATTCAAATTATAGTCCATCTTTCTACCACACTGCATTTTTATTTTTAAATTAAAAGTAGGGCTGTTCTATTTACTCTGTAAAGTTGAGTTAAAGGAAATCTATGCAATGATAGTAATACACAAAAAGAAAATGAGAAAAAGAGATAAAAGGAAAAACAAATTAGAAAGTATTTCACACCAGAATGCCAGCTATCAAATATAGAAAAATGATGGAATTATAAAATTACAGTTTACAAGTCCCAATATAGTATTTGATTCAGATAAAAGCCATTGATGGATTAAAAATCCGTTAATTAAAAGGTTAAGGAAATGAAATCAATATATGAAAGAAATATTGACAATTCCATGTTAATTGTGGCTTATTCACAATAGCTGAGATATAGAAATAATCTAAGTGCCCATTGAGGGATGAATGAATTAAAAATGTGAGATAGATAGATACATATAGATATACATGATATGGCTCTACATAATCTACATGACACATATTACATATGTCCTATATGTGTGCTGAAATATTATTCAGCCTTTCAACTGGAAGAAATCCTCCCAAAAGTGATAACATGGATGACCCTAGAGAAGATTATGCTAAAGGAAGCCAGACACCTACAAAGAAATCTTGCATGATATTACTTATATGTGGAATCTTAAAAAGTTGAATTCATAGAAAGAGGGAATATGATAGTAGTTACTAGAGGTTGGCTAGGGTGGCGAAATGGGAAGATGCTGTTCAAAGAGTACAAAATTTCAGATATAAGATGAATAAATTCTGGAGATTTATTGTACATCATGATGACTATAGTTAATAATAGTATATTATATACCTGAAATTTGACTTGATTTTGAATAGGACTTGATTTCGATTAGATAGGAGGTAGTAGAAAGAGAGAGTTTCTTGGGAAAAGGACCTCCAGAGTGAATGGTAATATGTAGACCCAAAGATGGGAAGACAAAGGCCTGTATGGTCAAGGCTTGCTTACCGTGACATGGGTTCTCTACAACAAGATTTGAAATTGAGGCCTTAGGGTAACGAGGGATTATATATTTACCTGCTCTTTCATGTATCACTTTTCCCTGGGGATCCAGAACAGTAAGAGATGTCTTTTCAAATAATTCAGAGATTCAGAGTCCCAAGTTATCTCTCTTCCTTTCTTAAAAATAAACACAATAAAATAAACCAAAACAACAACCACCATCTCCCCTGCCCGCACTGATATCATTTTAAAATCTGATAGCTCTTAGAAGACTGTGGATAACTCAATAGTTACAATTATTTAACTTTGGGTTTGGAGTCACATCCCTGAAGTAAATGCTGTAGCAGAAAAATAAAATATTGTCACAGGATCCTCAGAGTGTGGCTTCACCAGCCAGAAACCTCTGTGGCCAGCAGTGACTTCTGTCTGAGTATTGCTTGTGCCTGCTGGGATGGTTACACCCACTCGGCCAAGCAGACTGTGCTCAGCTCACACTACTGGGTCAGATTCCAAACCTGCCAAGGGTGAGCCAGGCACAAAGTGTCAAAAAGTGTGTGGGTGAGCAAGCATGGGTTCCAGCCACTGCCGACAGCCAGCCACACTGGCTGCTGCGGTGGGACAGGCAGCTCTGTGCAAGGCTGTGGCTGTACCAGATGTACTGCACATAGCTTCCGCTGTGGGCACCTGCATCTGGACAAGGGGAACATGGTGCTGCCCAGAAGCTAGGAGACACCAGGAACCACAGACCCTCAAAGAGATGTCATGGCTCTGGATTGGGGAATCCCTAAGTCTGATCTGGGATCCTCAAAGGGCTGCAGCTCTTCTCGCCTTCTTGTCACCTGCTTCGTGGTAAGTGGGGGCCATGTTTCAGCCCTGTTTATATTACAGCTCTTTTATTCCCACCATTTGACAGGTCCTAAGTTCTTGTCACATGTTCAGGAAGAATGAGGGATGTGGGTAAGCAAGGGGCAGAGGAGCTTCACTGAGTGACAGAACAGCTCCTAGGAGACCCAAAATGGGTAGCTCCTCTTTGCAGGCAGGTCAATCCAACATCTGTCCAGCTCTCCGTGGAGAGGAGACTCACGGTGGCTAACTCCTTTCTGCAGGCAGGTCATCCCAGTGAGTGTCAAACTCTCAGAAGAGAGGAGACCTGCAGTGGGTAGCTCCTTTTCACAGGCAGATCATCCCTGTGAGGTCTGTGCAGCCCTCAGCAGAGAGAAGACCTGGAGTGGGTAGCTCCTAACCATAGGTGGGTCATAGGGGATGTCTGTTGGAGTCTGGGGTTTTTATGGGCTCAGAAGGGAAGAAGTGCATGTTAATTGGTCAATGAGCAGCCATGGGTGGGCCTGGAAAAAGTACCATAAGTTCTCACTCAGGCTGCGGACTCCACCCAGAACTGGCAGTCCAGCTCCCAAGTTTCAGGTCATCCCTGGCATGAAGGTAGGCCTTCACTGGCTCCCCCAACTTTCTGCCCAGGAGTCTGTCTGCCTCCTGTCACCATCCATAATATAATATATATAATTATTATATTTATATTCTATGTGATATAGAAATATAACTATAATATATACCTATAAAACAAACTTCTGTACATTCAACAGAGGCTAAAAAGGCTATATAAGAATCAGATGACTGATTAAAAACATGTCATGGTAATATTTCTCCTCAGAGTACTAAATTTTGATCTCAAGTCACTGAGTAGGATAAAAATAAACAATTTAGAATAAATGTTAACCCAACCTCCTTTAAAGAAGAAAAAAGGACAAATTTCTCAGTTTTTAAAAAAAGATGTTTTAGACTTTCTCTTACATCTTTTCATTTTAGTAACTACTAGAGTATTTTCATCACTGTCTACAATCTATATATATAATACCAAAATTATCCCGTTGGAAAACAGTTTTGCTGTTTTTGGTGTTTGTTCTCTTTTGTTTTGTTTTTAGTCTTGAAATCTCTAGGGTTGCATAGCCAAACCCACTGTTTCATTTTCTGGTGCTAAAATAACAAATAAAAAACTACAATTTACTATTAACAGCAAATTTTAAAAATGCATCAATGCTCCAAAGGGAAAACTATACTGAGAATTATAAGTTCTATTAGGCAGTGTCCCACTTGCAGGGCAACATTAATTTGCATCTTTACATGATATTATTCCTCACAAGACACTATGGAATGCTTTAGAGTCAGCAGTGACTCACCCACTAAAACTAGCACCAGAGAAGCATTAATGTTGCTTTTTGGAATTGTCTTTCCAGATTTTTAATTTTGACCTTCAAAAGTAGTATGCTTTTTTACTAGTTAACAAATAATACTATCTTATAAATTTATCTGGAAAAATGCATCACATATGATTTTAAATAGAAATAAACATTACACTTTCTGTTGTTGTTTGGTCTTTCTCTCTCTCTAAATGTTCCATTGAGCTAACGAGTCCAAAATAGTGAGGTCAAATCTCTCCAAGGGATATAAAACACAGAATTTGAGAATGACTGTCTTTGTGATCCCATGTCCACTGACAGCATGATAATAGGCCAAATAAACTTACCACTTCAGGTATATGAGCCTTAACAGTGAATTATTTACACAGCTGTCACTTTGTGCCTCAAGATATACCCTTTGTTGGCCAGGCGCAGTGGTTCACATCTGTAATCCCAGGATTTTGGGTGGCCGAGGCAGGCGGATCACGCGGTCAGGAGATCAAGACCTTCCTGGCTAACATGGTGAAACCCTGTCTCTACTAAAAATACAAAAAATTAGCTGAGCGTGGTGGCATGTGCCTGTAGTCCCAGCTACTCGGAAGGCTGAGGCAGGAGAATTGCTTCAACCCAAGAGGTGGAGGTTGCAATGAGCCAAGATTGCACCACTGTACTCCAACCTGGACAACAGAGTGAGACTCAGTATCAAAAAAAAAAAAAAAAAAGATATACCCTTTATTACAAAGAACTTACCTGTTTAGTAATTCCTTCCTTTCAGAGTGAGGTTTGAAATTTAAATGAGCAGAGAGTCAGGTTTTTAAAAGACAAGAATTTCACAATCGGCATCTAAGGAGATATTTCTATAGGGCAGGGAAGGAAACAGAAATTAGGGCTGATGTTCAGGAATCCTGGAGAGGTCTAGTGAACGGACTCACTTGTCACCACTCATCAAATTCTCCCCAATAGTGGACCCTGTTGGTGTGCACCAATGTGTCTCATCATGAGGATCATCTGCATTGCTTGTGGTTAAAATACAGACACTCTGGCTGTTATCTAAAGGAAGATAAGAAGTATTGACAAGATTGTAGAGAAAAAAGAACCCTTGCACATTATATGTAGGAATGAAAATTAGTATAGCCATTATGATATACAGTATGAAGATTTTTTTAAAAATTAAAAATAGAACTACCATGTAATCAAGCAATTCCACATCTGAGGGAAAGGAGAATTAAATCAGTATGTGGGAGAGATATCTGTCCTTCTCTGTTTATTGCAGCACTATTCATAATATCCAAGGCATGAAATCAACCTAAGTGTTCATCAAAAAATGAATGGATTAGGACAAGAACAAAGAAAAAAATGAATGGATTAAAAAATGGGGTATTGATACACAATGGAGTACCGTTCAGTCATACGAAATAATAAAATCTTTTTATTTGTATCAACATGGATGAATCTAGAGAGCATTATGTTCTGCCAGACACAGAAAGACAAACACTGCTTGATCTCATTCATGTGTGTAATCTAAAAAGTTGATGTCCCAGAAGTAGAAAGCACAATGAGGTTTACCAGCGGGTGGGATGTTTGGGGTGGGGGTAAATGTTGGTCAAAGGATACAAAATTTTAGTTAGAAAGGAGGAGTAAGCTTAAGAGATCTATTGTACAACACGGTGACTACAGTTCATAATATATTCTTGAAAAACAACAAGAGTGTATGTAAGTGTTCTCTGCAGAAAAACGATAACCATGTAAGTAATATGTATGTTAATTAGCCAGATTTAGTCTGGGTAAGATTAATATGTTAATTGGTGACATTTAGTCCATAATGTACATATATTTTAAAACATCACATTATATACAGTAAATACATTCGATTTTATTTGTCAATGCAAAAAATAAAATAAGAATACAGATTCTCAGACTCCTCTGGATAATCAAATTCAGGAGATATAGAGTAGAATGTAGAAAATTCAATTATTAACAACAATCTCAGGTAATTATATTAATTCAGCAACTCGGAGTCATACTGAGTTTTACAACACTTAAAATCTCCCAAGGTTAAATCAGGAAGAAACAGAAATCCTGAAAAGACCAATAATGAGTAATAATAATGAATCATTAACAAAATTCTCCCCCTACCAAAAAAAAAAAAAAATCCCAGGGACGGACAAATTCACAGCCTAATTTTACCAGACACACAAATAAGAACTGGTGTCAATTCTACTGAAACTGTTTCAAAAAATTGAGGACAGAATCCTTCCTAACTCATTCTACAAAGCCAGTATTACCCTTATACCAAAGCTGGGAAAGAACACAACAATAAAAATGAAAACTACACGTCAATATTTTCGATGAACTAAAGGCAATAATCCTCAATAAAATACTAGCAAACTGAATCCAATAGCACTTAAAGAGAATACCTCATGGTCAAGTGGGGTTTATTCCAGGGATGCAATGATGGTTCAACACACACAAATCAATAAATGTGATTCATCACATGAACAGACTTAAAAACAAAATCCATATGGTCATCTCAATAGATGCAAAAATGAACATTTGATAAAATTCAGCACCTCTTAATGATCAAAACCCTCCAACAAACCAGGCATTGAAAGAATATACCTCAGAATAGCAGAAGCCATATACAATAAGCACAATGGGAACACCATACTGAAGATAAAAGAGTTGAAAGCATTCCCCTTAAGAACTAGAACAAGACTAGAATGCTCACTTTCAATACTCCTATTCAACAGTGTCCTGGAAGTCCTAGTCAGAGCAATCAGGAAAGAGAAAGAAAAAAAAGGCATCCAAATTGGAAAAGGGGAAGTCGAATTATCTGTGCGGATGATATGATTTTATAGAAAACCCTAGAAAAGACTCCTCCAAAAGACTCCTAGTGTTGATAAATCAATTCAATAAGGTATCAGGATACAAAATCAACATACAAAAACCAACAGCCTTTGTATACACTGTTAACAATGAGCAGAGAATCACATCGAAAACTCAATCTCTTTTATAATAGCTCCAAAAATAATAATAAAATACCTAGGAATACATTTAACCAAAGAGGAGAAAGATCTCTAAAAAACCTACAAAATACTGATTAATAAAAAAGATTGTAGATGAAACAAACAAATGGAAAAACATCCCATACTCATGGACTTAAAGAATCAATATCATTAAAATGACCGTACAGTCCAAAGCAATCTACAGATTTAATGTAATTCCTATCAAAATGTCAATATCATTTTTCACACAATTAGAAAAAATGATCCTAAAATTCAAATGGGAAGAAAAAATGTGCCAGAATAGCCAAAACAATTCTAAGCAAAAAGTATAAAACTGGAGGCATCACTTTACCTGACTTCAAATTATACCATCAGGCTACAATAACCCAAACAACATGGTACTGGTACAAAAATAAACGCATAGCTCAATGGAACGGAATAGGGAACCCAGAAATAAAGTCACATACCTAGGGCCAACTAATCTTTCACAAAGTCAACAAAAACATACACCAGGGAAATAAAATCTTATTCAATAAATAGTGCTGGGAAAATTGAATAGCAATATGCAGGAGAATACAACTGAACCCACATCTCTCATTATATAGAACAATCAATATGATTTAAAAACTTAAATGTGCATTAAAAAACTTAAATGTAGGACCTCATAAAAATTCTAGAAGAAAACTTAGGAAATACTCTTCTGGACGTTGACAAAGAATTTATGACTAAGACCTCAAAAGCAAATGTAACAATACCTAAAGACAAATGAGATAATTAAAAAGCTTCTTCACAGCAAAAGATATAATCAACAAAGTGAACAGGCTTTCAGTATGGGAGAAAATACTTGTAAACTATGTGCCTGACAAATGACTAATATCCATAATCTACAAGGAACTCAATTCACCAAGAAAAAAACACATAACCCCATTTAAAATTGGGCAAATGGCATTTTTCAAAAGAATGCATACAAATGGCCAACAAACATATGAAAAAAAAAATGCTTCACATCACTAATCATCAGAGAAATGCAAATCAAAAACCAGAAAGAGATACCATTGTACACCTGTCAGAATGGCCATTATTAAAAAGTACAAAATAAGACATTTTTGGGGTGAGTGTGGAAAAAAAGGAACACTATAAGCTGTTTGTGGGAATGTAAATTAGTAGCACCTTTTTGGAAAAGAGTATGGAGATTTCTCAAAGAATAAAAATAGAACTATCATCTGATCCAGCAATCTCATTACTGAATATCTACCTAGAAGAAAAGAAATTTGAAACAGGATATTTCCCTGACCCCTCTGCTGGACCCATGACCGGGGTACACCGTTCACTCAGCCTGCTGCTCTCAACTCCTCGTCGGTGGGAACATGCAAGAGAATGAGGCAGGAACTAGAGTACATGAGCTCTGGAACCAGCTGGCTGGTTCGGTGCTGGCAGGGACAACCACAACTCACTCGGACTCGCTGCATTCCACCCCTCGCAGGAGGGAATGGGCGGGTGGTGGGTGCAGGAGCCGGGAGGAGCACTTTTGGGTGCTGGCAGAAGCAAACTCTATGTGGGTACTGTGGCAGTGTCAGAGGGTGTGCCTGTTACTCCCAAAGCCCCAGTGCAAGTGTTGCAGTGCTATTTTAGCTCTGCCATCAGTGGACAGCTTAAGTGTTAAGAACTCAGTGGGCCCTTTTGTATCTGCATTCACTTGTCCAGCATTCGGGAAAAATGAGGTCATACAAACGAATGGAAGGATGGTAAATGCAGGGGATTTTATTTCCAGTGAAAGTGGCTCTCAGCAGGAAGGGGAGCTGAAAATGGATGGGCTGGAATGGGGGGCAGGCGTAGGTAATCTTCTCCTGAAGTCCTGCTATCTCCAGCTGAATTCTCCAAAGTTACACTGTCAAGCTGTCCCTCTGAGGTCAAGCTGCATCTATTCAACGTCTAGCTATGGTCTTCCCAATGTCCAGCTGCTTCTTCCTCTCTGCTGGCTGAGTCTGAGATCTTTATAGTAACAGGATGCTGTGGGGTGGGGCCATGGATGGTTTAGGAAAAGGTAACATTCGAGTGAGAAAACAGGGATATAAGTTCTCGCTTTGGGCCGTGATCTCAAACTTTTCGGCTTGAGGGTGGGGCTTTGCCAGGGACCCATCCTTTTCTGCCTAGAATTTCTCTGCCTCTTGTTCCTACCAAAATCTTTATATCAAAAAGATGCCTGCATTCATATATGTATTGCAGCACTATTCACAATACTAAGGATATAGAATCAATCTAAGTGTCCATCAACAGATGACTGGATAAAGAAAATATGGTATATATACATAAAATCATGTCTTTTGCAGCAACATGAATGGAACTGGAAGCAGTTATGAATTACTCAGAAACAGAAAGTCAAATACCACATGTTCTCACTTATACGTGGAAGTTGAATTATGTGTATACATGTACACAGAGAGTTGAATTAATAGACATTAGAGACTCAGAATGGTGGGAGAGTGGTAGTGGGGAGAAAGATGAGTGCTTAATGAGTACAGTGTACGCAGTGTGGGTGATGGTTACTCTAAAAGCCTAGACTTCACCAATGCACAATATATCCATGTCACAAATCTGCATTTTGTACCTCCTAAATCTATACAAGTAAAGAATATATTTAAAAATCCAAATAAGACAAATAAACACAAAATTTTCCTAGATGCTCTTCTCCAAGTGATGACACGGGCCTTCAATCTTCTTGTGCTTCCTCCTATTCAAGGCTTTTGTTTCCAGTTGCATGATCAAAGCAGAGAGAAGAAACTGTGCCTCTTCAAAGGTATGTTAGGACTGTACATTTCTTCAGATGATGTAGTTGTTTCTCCCTAACAAAGCAGGGGTATATATTCTTACCATCATCTTGTGTTGAGGAAGAAAAACAGGGAATGCGGAGGATGCAGCCAATCTATCTTACTGACGTATTACATATGGAATCGTATAGCTTCTCTATTCTAGGCTCACCTGACAGATGATTTGTATTAGATTTCAAATTCCTGATTATGCCCCTTAATGTGTTTTAATTTGGGGTTCTTACTTTAGATAAATACAATAGAGATTCCAACCATATTAACAGTCCAGAAAGGTAATTTAAATGCCATGTCTTTGCTGCTTATCCCTTTTTCAATAGGAAAGGTTTTGAACATTGACATTTAAAAAATATGTTATTGTGCTAAAATTCTAACCTATTGTAATTATTTAAGCAAACGACATTGAGCTTTAATTCTCTGGGGGCAAAGGAAGATTACTTTTTCCTTTCATTGAGAGGCATAAAGGAAAATGTCCCCACCACACACCAGCATCTCTATGGATTTTCTAAGTACAGTCAGAGGGAAAGCTGCCTGCACACAACAGCAATAGCATTTGCTTTGCTCTTTACACCTGTATAAATGCAACATGGCTACATTTTTTCTCCCCATAGCTTATTTCAAGAGACATTTTTCCAAATTGTAATATTCAAGGCAATTATTTGATTTGTGAATTCTTTATTTAAATGGGTTACACTATAGACCCTATGGGAATATGAACTAAGCTACTTGGGAGGAGCCACTTGACCTTTGTATCTGTTATTAATAGAATTTGGATCCTGTGGTCAGATTCTCTCAAATTCTTTTGAGGTGTCCAAGTTCAATTGCTTGAGCTTTGTTTTGGCAACCCTCTGCCCAAAGTTGCTTATAGGCTGATTTTTCACCTTGTTTTCAAGACAGAGGAATAGAAACTAACTTCTGTTTTGAGGAGGTAGACATTAAGTATATATTTATTTTTTACTGTGACTTGTTCAGGACCACATTTTACAAAATGTCTTTTTTTTATTGTTTCTGAAAAGGGAAGTTCTATTAATATTGTTTTAGTTTGCATGTAGAATAACTTTTAAATTAGGGCTTATTTTGAAACATCAAGATTAATACAAATGTATGCCAGTACCTTTCAAACGGAGGTAATATTCAGAGACAATTGTTCTGATTTGGGGAATGTTCACATCCAAAGATTTTTTATCAGTGAATGTCTTTGACTTAAATCTAACCAAAACTACAGCATTTTTTTGTATATTTTTACTATATAGTGTTCACAAGCATAGTTGCAAACAAAATACAAAATATATTTTCAGATTTTATACAAAGTAGAGATTCAATTTCATTTTTTCTCCTCATTAGCTATGAAATAAAGAAGTTTTAGTATATATCAATTATTTCCAGTTAGATCCATCTTTCCATTCCCTCTAATAATTAGACTGTTCTTCCCACATTCAGTGCTTGAAGAAAATAAATTATTTTTCTTTGGCTTACAAAAATGCAAACTGTTCTACATCAAAACCTTTTCTCCTGTACTCTTTTCCTCTTACAAATTATGTGCTGATTTTTACAAATACCATTAACAGAAGCAAAGTTACAAATTTTTTATGTTGCTTACATGTTCCCTGACTTGAACAATTTCAACAACCATTTCTTCAGTCAGCTTTAACATTAATCAGTTTTGACATTCTGACTGCCCTATTCTTGGAAAGGTTGATTACTTCATACTCTTTGACCTAGAAGTGATATCTAGCTATGTTTTTATACATCTTGTATCTCAGAATTTCCATTTTTTTTTCCTGGTGCTATCTTTATTGTTTTGAGTATTTTACAGGGACAAAAAAATCTAGCCTAAACTCTATAAAGATGCAGAGATTTTTTTTCATTTTTGTGAGTTTAGCTGAGTCTCACCTATCTTACATAATTGATACGTAAATTTCTCTAAATTCTGTAATAATCCCAAAAACATTTTATTTACTTTCCCTGCTTTTCAAATTAATAAAAATGACATACAATTGCATGTATTTTTGTGATTTGCATTTTTTACTAATTAATGTTTTTGTGAGTTTTCCATGTAGAGGTGTAAAGCTTTTTCCATTAATTTGCAGTAGAGTATAATATTAATCATAGTAATTTATCACATTTTACATTTTCTGTTTTGCAATTAGTGGACATTTGAATTATACTAGAAGTTTTGCTGTCATTAGTGCTTTTATATAACTATTCTTGTAATCATTATTGTTGTAAATATCTCCTAGTGCATATATAATATAATTTTATATGATATGTTGATAAGAGGAAAACAGGTAGTTTTTAGGGTGCACACAGGTACAGTATTTTAGACATTTTTTTTCTAAATCACTGCGACTACATTTTAAATTTCCATCACTTTTAATGAGAGTCCTTTTTCTACACATTTATGACAATGTTTTATGTTGAGAAAACTGAATTGTTGCTAATTTTATATATCTTATATAACATATCACATTCATTCTAAAGTATATTTCTTTATTATTAATGAAGCTGAGAAACATTTCAAATGTTATGGACCACTTGAAATTGAGAGGTGAAGCCAGCTGGACTTCCTGGGTCCAGTGGGGAATTGGAGAACTTTTCTGTCTAGCTAAAGGATTGTAAAGACACCAGCCAGCGCTCTGTCTAGCTAAAGTATTGTAAATGCAGCAATCAGCACACTGTAAAAAAGCACCAATCAGCTCTCTGTGTCTAGCTAAAGGACTGTAAATGGACCAATCAGAACTCTGTAAAATGGACCAATTGGCACTCTGTAAAATGGACCAATCAGTGCTCTGTAAAATGGACCAATCAGCAGGATGTGGGCAGGGCCAAATAAGGGAATAAAAGGTGGCCACCGGAGCCAGCAGCAGCAACCTGGTGGGACCCCCTTTCATGGAGTGGGGGCTTTGTTCTTTCACTCTTCACAATAACTCTTACTGCTGCTCACTCTTTGGGTCCACACTGCCTTTATGAGCTGTAACACTCACGGAGAGGGTCTGTGGCTTCATTCCTGAAGTCAAGGAGACCATGAACTCACCAGGAGGAACAAACAACTCTGGACGTGCCACCTTTAAGAGCTGTAACACTCACTGCGGAGGTCTGTGGCTTCTCTCCTGAAGTCAGCGAGACCACGAACCCACCGGAAGGAAGAAACTCCAGACACATCTAAACATCTGAAGCAACAAACTCCGGAAACACCATCCTTAAGAGCTTAACACTGCGAAGAACCTTGGCTTCATTCTTGAAGTCAGTGAGACCGATAACCCATGGGAAGGAATAAATTCCAGAGACAAAATGATGCTTTATATAATTCCTGTCATTTTCCCATTTCCAAAATAATTTTTTTCTTTTTCATTGATTTATTAAAGTTCCTTGTAGATTATAAATGCAAACGGTTAGTCAATATATGTTTCAAATAATATGTTCAATGTGTGGCATATATTTTACTGTCATTAACGTACCTTTTAATTTGCAGAAATTATCATTTGTATGTGATAAAATAGATCAATCTTTTCCTATATTCTTATCAGTTTTTTATCCTGTGGAAAAAATTACTGCTCATTCTAATGCCATGGGAATATTCTTTCATATTTTCTACAAAAGTTTTAATGTTTTCTTTGATTCATCTGTAATATATTTTCAGATTTTGTACATGTAAGGATTCAATTTCATTTTTTTCTCCTCTGTAAACAAATGTCCCATTAGTTTTTACTGAGTACTTTCCATATAGGTATCTGTCTCTTCCTGGTCTATTTATTCCATTGATTTGTCTTTCTGCTTAATATCCCATTAATTTTCTGAATTTGCTGTGTCAGCAGTGTCTTGTTTTGGCTAATTTGGGCTATTATTTCTTCCATATGAATTTTAGAGCCATCCTGTTGATTTCCGCATTAATCCTATACATGACAAGAGGACTAGCATTTAAAAATATCTATTAAACACATCCAGAGTACAGTCACATGGCAGTACCTAACCAGAAGACTAACTGCTGTATCTGGAAAGAAGAGGCAGTTGTTTATGTGAATAGCTTGCCAATTTATCTCACAGTCTTCTCTTCCTGTTATGAAATCTTTGTTTTAATATTCTTCCTACATATATAACAATACACGCATTGCTTTCTCAAAGGAGACTATTTAGGTCATCAACTAATTATTGCCTTTAGGTCAAACACAGACTTTCCATTTAATGTGTAGTCCTCTCTATTGTATCTGCACCTGGGTTCTCTTATATTACCCATATGTAATCTAATTATTTTTACGGTCTCTTGACCGATTCACAGTAGAGGCAAATTCAAGGATAATTATAACAAAGACGTTTATTCTTAAAAAGGGGGCATTCAAGACACACAGCAATAATTATCTGTAATGAGTATGAAATCAGGTGGAACTAGCATTGTAAGATTCCTTTGTTGTGCCACTTCAAGGTACCAATTTCTCTGTTCAGTAGCTAGAACAAACAAAGCTCTGAATCAAGAAGATTCAAATACCGAAGAAGGTTAGTTCTTGATTACATACAGTCCAAAACCTATGTTTCTATTTGGTGGGTGGCTCTACTCCAAAAAGACTACCTCTGTCTTATCATGACTTCCAACTTTGCTGTGTTTGCCTCAAGCTTACAAGAATATTAACAGCATGGATGACTGTGAATGGAAGAATTTTATGGGCCCAGCCCTGGAAGGGGAACACAGAAATTATCTCCAATTTCTAGTGGACTAGAATGTTGTCATATGGCCAAATGCAACTGCATGACGACCAAAGAAATTTAGCCAAGTCAGCACCTAGATAGATGGGGATATTAGTTTTATGAACATCTGCTATTTGCCCATATTTATTCATGTTATATAATTTTCCTTGGAGAGGGAAGCTGGGTTTAATGCCAGAGAGAAGTATAACATGAAGACAGGATTATATAATTTTTTAAATTATTAATAACTATTCTCTATAATTTATTCAGTTGGTGGTTCCAATGGATCAATAGCTGTGATATGATACATAAGTTCACAACTTATTTATCATGACATCATAAATAACTATACATATATTTAATTTAATTTTATTTTATTATTGTTTTTGAGACAGAGTCTCCCTTTCTTGCCCAGGCTGGAGCGTACTGGCGTGATCTCGGATCACTGCAATTTCGGCCTCCCTGATTCAAGTGATTCTTATGCCTCAGCTTCACAAGTAGCTGGGATTACAGGCGCATGCCATTATGCCTAGCTAATTTTTTTATATTCGTAATAGAGATAGGATTTCACCATGTTGGCCAGGCTGGGTTCGAACTCCTGGCCTCAAGTGATCTGCTTGCCTCAGCCTCTCAAAGTGCTGGGGTTACAAGCGTGAATCACCACATCCAGACTAAATAAATATATTTTTTATTTACACTTAAATATGAGAAGGCTGAAGTCAAACAGAGAAAATAGCTTGCACAAAGTCACGAAAAAAAAACCTGATGTAGTATACTTTGAACTCTGTTTAATCTGTTTCTATAACCCTGCTGCTAAGTATTGCATAATATAGCCAACAGTCAAGAATAGATGAAGCCATATGCTTAGTAGCAAGAGATAAGTTAAATGAGAGAATAATGTGTCATATGTTACAGGTTGAAAGGGCAGGTATATGCTAAAATGTGTAGATTTATGAAGAAACAATGTTAAAGATTCAGTAAATGTAAACTAAAGTAGTATAATGTATGTGGTATATATTCAATAAGCATGCATTGTGGTATCATATGTTTTTTTCTTTATTCTGATACAAATATATAACAAATTTTGCCATCTTAATCGTGTTACAATGTACAGTTAAGTATTAAGTATGTTCACACATGGAAACAAATCTTTAGAAGTTTTTCATCTTGCAAATCTAAAATGCTATACCCTTTGAACAATTTCCCTCTTCCTCCTACCGCAGCCCCTAGTAACCACATTCTACCCATAATGTATTTTTAAGACACTGTGATTCTAAATTTAGGATAAATGAAAAGATCAATTGGGAACAATCTGCCATTGTGCATGGAAACCAGCTCTTTGTCAGTATATTGTCCACGTATAATCAAAGCTTTCCAGAACATCTTTACATATGAGAAAATACCGGTATATACTTGGGGTGACAAAAATACAGTGTAAAGATGGATAATGCAACTGTTTGAAAGATGAGTGATCTTTTGTCTGAATGGAACTGCAATGATTGACTTACAAGAATTACACTTGCATAGGCTGACAGTACATTTATGACAGGTTGCTGGCAACCTACTGAAGCAGTGAGTGTCTATGTAGAACTTCCAACAGGCAACATCACTTAATGGTTAATCGTGTGGATATGGGTTAATGAAACCTGAGTTCAAATCCAGTTGCTGCCTATTTGTCTTTAAGCAAGTTACTTTACCTCTGTAAGACTCAGTTTCCTTGTTTATAAAATGAGGTCAATAGCAGTACCTATCTCACAGGGTAATTAAGATAATTCACATAATTACTCTCATCAAAGTTGATGTTCATTGCTTCCAGTAGCTGGTTGGCTAGAGATCCTAGCTCTCAGAGGTACGAGTGAAGGAGAGAATACAGATGTGGGGCAGAGAAGTGAGTAGACTAAGAAAGGAAGAAAAATATCAGGTAACATGGAAGTTTTGCTTAGGCCTTGTGACTGGAAAAAATAATATTTTTTCCCTAATACTCTCATATAATTATTCTCATCATGGGAAATAGAAATATTCTTATTTCCCCACCAAATCCTTCCAAACAATATCTACTTTATTCTCTATGCAATCCTATCTTGAAAGAGTATGTTGAACTATAGTAGCACTGAGTTAGAAAGAGCAAGACACATCACTGAAACTTTAAGGTTCTCTATCCCTGATTATGGACAAGCCTGTATAGGATAATTAGAAGTTGTCTTGTCACAAAATGTCCAATGTTTGCTGTTGATATATTAAAATACGAATGGCTATTTTTATTAGAATACTATATGGCATTTTTCTAATTCTCAAAAGATTAAATGATTAAAACGATTAAAAGGTTAAAATGATTTTTGCTTCAGAGGATTTATTCCAAGTTTAAGTCAATTTGTGAAAGTATTGACTCCATTCTTCAACACACAGAGTATTTCAATCATGCTTCTAAATACACTTATTTCTTAACCATGGAATAAGAAATGAAGAAAGATGGATATTATTTCAGAAGGAAGAATTTTGAATAATATATAGTAACAAATACATTATATAAAGCTTAAAAATGAAATTACATGTATAAATTGATAAATATTTTACATGAAATTGTATAGTTATGTAATATATAGTTATATAATATGTACATAACACATTTGTGTAAAATATGGTATATTTTGATTGTAGAATATATGATTGTATAATTTTATGATTATATAAATCAGTAGTCATTTTGGCTCAAAAATTAGTGAATTCATAAGCAATACAAATTTAAAGATTTTCTGTTCTGTTTGAAACTACCTTACTGGTGAGCAGCTCTGAAGAAATTCCTTCTCCTCCCAAACCCTTTCTTTTTTTCTCTTCATATCTGAGAACTTATTGAACTTATAGCAGAAAAGCGCTTACTGTAGTGATTTGATTTCTTTTATATTGGATTATGGAAAGGCAGTAGTATTCATGAGGATTTTGTGATAAAATTACTAAGAAGATTTTATACTATATGGAGATTATACATTTTGGTTTCTAATAATGATTAAGTTCACAGTTCTTCAAGCTTTAGTTATTCAAGCTTTATTTAAGAATGACTTTGGGCCAGAATCCCAAGAAGTTTCAATTTCTGCAGAATAGGACATTCACCAATTCTTTGAGAAATAGACGAATTGTCAAGGATGAAACAGAATTAATCCAAATATTCTAACATCTTAAGGGAAATAGGTTATCATTGATACTTTAATACTCTGCTTAAAATCTGTTGCTCATGTTTGGCAGCTTTAAGGGAACATTAAATCTCTGCCTAAAATATAGTCACTAGCCTTTCATTACATTTTTATCTCATTCATTAATGTTTTGTTTTTAAGTGTGTGCATTCATATTGAGAAGAGAGTCGCAGCATTACAATGTTCTACCCATAACAATAATGTAATATATGATTAGGCTAAAAATGCATAATGAGTAGTACGTTACTAAGCATGTCTTACTATGTCTCAAAACAGTTTCTTTGCATAAGGACTTTAATAACACCAATGGGTGACCAAAATTCTTTTTCTAAAGTGAATTGAAACCTCATACCATATATCTCATAATGGATTCCAGAACTGTGAATAAGAAAATCATGATAGGAAAATTTTAAGCGAACTTTGAGCATGTGCTTAGGAACTTGCCTGTCGCATGACCCTGAGTGTGGATGATGTGACAATTTCTAGATGACAAGTGACCGGAAGTCCAGGGAGAGGAATGCAAAGCAATAGCTTCTCAGAAGCCAATCAGACTGGCATCAAAACAGCCTGTGTTTGCAACTTACAATGTTTTGTGGTCTGTGACTTCACCATACTGCTTCAACTCCATCTAATGGCCTGGGCAGCCTGATTGCAAGCCACTAGCAGAATTCTAGAAGCTTAGGACTTGAGGAGAAAGCATCTGCCTGTGTGGAACTCCTGTAACCTGTCAATCCTGAGCTGACAAGGCATGGGCTTCTCTCAATTAACCAGCACCCTCTGCTTTTATGAATCTCATCCCTGCCTTGGTCAGACACTGTGTTCCTGTGGGTTGCTCTTATTCATGCATATATAAATACAAGAAAATAACAAATTTTTATCTTTAGGTTATTGTTTGCTGGTTAGTTACAGAGCTCACCCCACAAGGCCTGAGTCCTCTGTCTTGGGTCAGATTTGCCTTGCTTTTCCTAGCAGCATCCTCAGTTTCACAATCACTATTTTGCAAACCTTAATTATCTATCACTCAAGTCTTCTGCACATATGCAAGAAAATTCCAGGAAATGTGCAAAGAGTAGGCCACTAAGGAATATACATACAATTTCTAATGTTAAATGAAACAAATTTCAGAACAGACTGAAGAACATGGCATTATATCAGAGATCTTTGGGATAATCACTAGCAGATAATCACATAGATCCAGAAGTGGATGTGGAGATTAAGGGTGAAGAGGTGATTGAAGGTGATGAGGCGACTAAACACAAAGACATTAAAAACCAAATGAGGGAAATGGCAAGCTATTATAACTTAAAAGAATCATTTTCATTATTGGGATGTGTTTGCTATCTCTACAGAAGCTAGATCTGGACAAATTTGCACCCTTCAGAGGATGGGTTATAAGAACTTATGGAGGACTTATCGTATATTTGTGTTTTCATAATTTGGGAAAGACAGATCCTAAATGAGGAACAGAATATTTTTAGGTTAACTTTAATGAATTCTGTATCCATAATATTGAGGACTTTATCGTGTCAGAGTGGTATGTTGTTTTAGATATTGTTGATTTTATGATCATTTATTTTTTAAATTACTGACCGATAGGTTATCTTCTGAGTGACCCCTGGTATTTCTATTTGGGGTTAGGGGATTTCAGAGATGAGGAAACATCTTACCTCTTCAGTTCAGGGGAATTTGGGAACACACGCCAGAAAGGGAATAACATATTATGCCAGAACTGGTGCTTACAGAAGGGCCTAGACATGAGGGACATAGGACATGAGCTGTAAATAAAATATCCCCCTGCCACCAACTTTTATACTAATTAAGTGTATCATGTCAGCTTATGTGACCCCTCTTACTTTAAATTCACAAAAATAAGATCCAGGAGTCTATTTGCCACAGAGGGAGTCTAATTGTCAATTGAACACTTCGTATAATACACAACACCAACATAGGAGGGTTTTTAAAATAAATTATAATGAAAGCATTGAAATACTGTCAGGAACTTTCATATAAGCTATATCAGCAAGTCAGTTTATCTGGTTCATGCTTTGCTGAGCGCTTTCATCTCCTTTGATCCTCACAGCAGAAATTATTATCCCCCTTTTACACACACAATTATGCAACCTTTGACAAATCGCTTAACCTACTGGTGCTAGCCCCATCCTCTGTAAAATAATGTGATGGAGTGACTGTTCTTTGACATTGTTTCTATTACATTCTTATTTTAATTTGACCATGGGAATTCTCAATCAATTAAAACCAACATGACTAACTCTGTAAAAGCAAAATCTTACTTTCCATTAAGCACAACTCTTCTTCTGTGGTACATAGGAAATGCAGCAGAAATGCCCCCAGTATTTGAGACTTACAAATGCTACAATCCACATCTTCACCCCATCAAGGGGTTAACATTTTTAATTGATCTACATGTTAGAGATATTTATTAATAGAAAAGTAATACCATTTTTGTGGGTTTATATTTTCTTCTTAGTATTCAGTGACCTGTCTGGAGTAAGCTCAGGAAGTGAAATGAAATATTGCAAAATTTTCACCCTAAACCACACAGTCATTGTCCACCAAGTTTGAACACACTTTTCATTTGTCTCTCTTGCTGTTCTATTCATAAGTAGACCTGACATGTAAAAATAGCTCCAGCAGTAAACCTTTGGTTTCAAAGTGCCTACCATTCCCCATGAGTGCTTTTATTACTACAGCTTACTTTGTAGTAAAGTTGTAATGACAGCTGTCATCAAAAGGCTTTCATGAAGCATTTGCTGACCTTTAGATGCTCCATGTAACAAGTGCTGCTGCACAGTCTTCAGGGTCTTACTTTGGAATTTCCTACTTCAACATAGTTTTCATAGGTTAACCTTTAATATACTAAACAAAATTGAATAATTCATGTGTTTTATTTCCCTCATGGCTTTCTTATTCCATATGTATTCATCGAGTTCCTCTCATGTACTAGGAAAAGGATTAGGTCTCGACTATGTAACAATGAACAAAATAGACATGCCCATATCGATTTGGAAATTACCAACTAGTGGTTTTACTGAACAGTGAATGAAAAACTATAAAGTAAATGTTTTATTAAAATTTTGACAAATATCTTGAAGAAAATGTGTAGGATATAAGAAAGAATAATGTGATGGAGGACTGCTTGAGAACTAGAATACAAATAAGGCCAAGACCTATGTGAGAAGTAGAGGCCTGATAGAAGAAAGAAGCTACCCACCTGAGACAGGGGCAAAGACCACTGCTCTGTGCAGAGTGGGAGGACAAGGCAAGAGCACCAAAGTGGGTAAGATGAGGTGCTTTGTAAAACTCAAAATGTTGTTTACCTTCAGAAATTCTGATCAACTCACACTATAAAATTGTATTCCTATTGATAATCCTGAGATTAACCTTAGCTTTGGCACTTTTAGATGTTTATGACTTCAAAGATTATGTCTAATAGCTAAATTTTTAAAAAGAAGAGGTTGGTATCAGTTGAATATCTCAAACTTTGATGTTGATGAAACATTAAAATTTGTGATATTAATAAATCCTGAACATCTACTTCTCACAAAAGAGTTTTTTATTTTTTACACAATGGTGTGTTGCTCTCCAGTCCAGTATTATAGTGAGTAAATACATTCTGCAAGAGATAGAGTAACGTGATCCATTGACAGACTGTAATTCGATGTTACCTAGACACTGCTTATTATGAAGGTCACAAAGACTTCATAGCCAGCAACAGTAATGACAGAAATAATTCCTCTCCTATGAGCAACTGTCTTTGTGCTGTTTCAACTATCCCTCCTCTATCAATTTATGCCGTGGACTGTATGACATTCTCACACTTTATAGCACTTAATGATATCTGGAATATATTTAGATCTGTCTTATTTCTCACAACTATATAATAGAGATAGGAGGGATAATGTTCCATGGAAGGTACACGATCCACAGAAGATCATTTCTGTCCTGTTCCTTAAATAGCTGGGAAATTCCCACTTCCTATATCATTATATTAGTTCTGCTTTCATTCATATTTGTCAAAAATGTATATCCTCTGATGCAGTCCAGAGTAATTTACAATGGATGTCCATTGAGTGTGGAACAAGCATTGATGTATTTTAAAGGCAGCAGGTCAGGGCTCTTCAAACAATTGTTCCCAAAGTAGGATGATTGAAAATATACTCTGTGAGGTCTGTCAATTTAATAAGATCATTATTATATTTTAAAATTAATGTTAAATTTCTAGTATCTATAATCCTGAACAATGCATCATCTTGATAACACTGATGCTCATGTAATAAATAACGTCAACAGTATTTCAAAGTGCATTTTATTTTTGAGCTTAGGTCTGTGTTTTTACCTCTAGTCTATGGCATGGTGATCACATAAAGTGTCCATGTTTAATATTTAGTACAATGTTTCCTAAATTGAGATTCATTATGTATCATTTAGCAGTTGCTAGAAATAGACTATACTAATTTTAAAATTTCTTTTCAAGTCGTTCCTTCTAATTGTAGATCACAAAGTAACATTAAGAATAACTAGTAGCGAGATCATTTTCATTCTTTATAAAATATTTTTTTTTCCCAAGAACACATTTTACCTGGCCTCATAAAAAAGTATTCTTGGTTAAGAAAATAATTGTAGAAGAAGCAAACAAATCAGAAAAGCCTTAGAAAGTTCTGTATAAATGACACTGGAAAATACAAACGACAGTAACTGCGAGGTTACGGATCTTGAGTATGCTTTGCTTGGCCAGATTTTCTAAACATGCCTGAAAAAAATTCTGACACATGGGGGAATTAATATAACTCTATTTTTTAACCTAAACTATATTATATATGGCTCTTTGTTTCTGATTTTTCTAATTCCCTCTACCTTAGTGACTCTGTAGAGAGTTTCTAGCCCTATTTCCAACGATCAGTTCAGCATCTTCCCAGGCCTCATGTGAACAAATATGAAAGATCTGAAAGTGCAACTGCTCAGTACAATGGGGGCTCATTAACATTGTTTTAACAAGCCTTAGCTTATGCAAGCCATTGTCTAACATGCAGCTCTAATTTGAATCCACACTTCGCAGCATGGTAATGAGGGCTCTGCTGAATGCCAGTGTTTGTGCATATACATGAGCACTCTGCATTTAATTCAATCAAGAAAACAGAAACTTTCAGATTCAAGTTTAATTTGGCATTGGATTAACAATTCTGACAACCTTAAAGAGTTCCGTATGAACTCATACACCTCAAAGAAAGTTTAAGAGGAAACGAGGAAATAGTGTAAGATTGACATTTACTTTAAAAGGAGAAATACTTAAAATTCTTCTAGGGGTAGTGGGAATCATGTTTTTCTGTTTCATCACTGCATTAACAATGTAATCTGTGCTTAGGTGTGGTTTAAGAGAAAGAAACTTATGAATCTCAGTTTTGCTACATAGAGCTGATGCAGGGCAGGCCAGTCCCACAGTGCATTGGAAGGTTCTTGGGTTTGCCCAGGAAAGAATTAAAGGGCAAGCTAGAGTTGGATAGAAGAAAACAGCATTCTTGAAGAGGCAGTACATGACTGCTCCTGCAGAGCAGGGCTACCCAGTAGGCAGAGAGAAGCAGCTCAGGGCAGTTTTGCAGTCACATGTATACCCACTTTTAATAACATGCAGATTAAGAGGCGGTTTATGCAGAAATTTCTAGGGACAGGGTAGTAACTTTTGAGTCCTTGAGCCATTGCCATGAAAAGAGGGGGATACTCCTGAATTTTAACCCGAGTGGCAATGGTAAACTAACATGGCACATTGGTGAGCATGTCCAATGGAAAGCCACTTCCACCCTGGCCCTGTTTTAGTTTGTTCTTAATTTAATCCAGTGTCCAAGCCCCACCTGGAGTCTCCTACCTCAGAACAAGGTGGCCTCAATATGTTACTCAAGTTTTCACATCTGCAAAATATCTTCCTATAATATGATTGCTAAGATTGGAAAATAAAATATATATTGAATGATTAAAATAAATATTACTTTTTTCAGAATTAATGAATCAATGAAATAACACACTAATGTTGTACAGAGCATTTTGAAACAAATTTTACAAATTATAAGTCATGTAAATATTTTAATTAAAACTGATATGCAGGAGAAAGTATATTTCTTGGATTTGTTTTCATTTACTATGAATGAAGTGTAATACATTTTATTAATTCTGAAAATGTATTGTTTAAAAGGATTTTTTAAATTAAATGCACACAAAGTTAAATATTATAGAGCATATATCTTTAGGCTTACAGTTATAACAAGGAATATTTCTGGGGGGATTTGGGGTGATGGGTTGGCTAGGAAAACAGTCTACTTACATAAAACAAGTCTTTATGAAAGAAAAAATAAATATAAAGTTTTTCTATATTTATACTGAAGTTTCATCTTTGCCTTCTTTGCCTTAATAATGTATAATATATTATTAAAATATTAAATGTTTTTCCTTTGTTTATTTGCTAGTGAACTCAGTTATAAATTTTATTCCATACCCAAAACCAGTTTAAAACAATATGTAAAAAGTACTTTTATTCTATATTACATAATTCTCTTTTTTGCTTACAACTTTATAATAACTCTCCATTTTACTCAGTCAAAGGCAAAGTTCTTATTACTGCCCACAGGCTGCTACTATTTATTCTGTAGTTAGCTTCCCTCAAGCCTTGTAAAGCCCTATAGATTATCCTCTAGTTTCCTTTCTCATCTCATCCTTCATTTATTTCCTTCTGACCTACTTCCTTCATTCAAATTGTCATTGGCTGTTTCCTCTGCATCAGAAGTTCTTCCACTGGATATTTTTGTGGTTAGCTTCCGTATTTCTCCAAGTCTTTGGTCACTTGTCACTTTTCCAAAGAAACCTAGTCTGAAACACCATATTTGAAATTGCCACCCACTCTGGTACTTTGGTCCCCCTTACTTGCTTGTACTTTTATTTTATTTTTGCATAGTATAATTTATTTATTTACATGTTTAATAAGTATGTAGGCTTCATATCTCCATTTGGAATACAATATTAAGTACATTAAGTAATATATTTATAGATTTTGTTTATCATTTATTGTTTCCCCAACAAAAATATAAGGTCCTTACAATAATGATTTTGTGTTCATATTTACTTCTATAGATAGATAGATAGATACTGAATCTGTCTATTTTTGTGATTATTGAATTTTCCCAGGAAAAACAATCCAAAAATTACATATTAAGTTATAAATTCCTTTATGTATTTAACTGTCATATCATTTGGTTCATGCCAGATATTGTATAGACTGTGTAAAATTGTCTTTTAATTCTTTACATTCATTAATGTTAAATTCCACCCTACATTAATATGGTTACTTCTCATTTATTATTTATTGTAGTAACTAACATTCTAGTTGTTTATCATAATTCTTAAACATTTCTTATTATTTTAAACCAGTGTGTGCTTCTTATAATTGGAATATTGTCAACATTCTATTTTTTTAAGCTAACACAATAGCCTCTAATTTAGTGGAGGACATTAATGAATTTCTCTTTAGTATAATAACTGTTATAATTAAATTTTTTTCTTTGTAGTTTTGTTAGTCATGCTACATTTTCAACTTCCTATCCTAATTGGGGTTTGTTAAGATTCATTAGTACTTGTATGACTTTCCTTTAGGGAATAGTTGTCTTCTTTTTTGAGCTCTTATTTAGAACATATATTAAAACTTCATCGTTTTTCCTAATCCATTTTAATTATATATAAAATAAATTGATAGATATGTATTCAAATATGTATTTCATTATATATAAATGTGATTAAAATACATATTTCATTTCAATTACTTTTATATATACGTAATGCAATGTGTTTTTAAATATGTATCAAAGCTTCATTGCTAACTATACCCTTCTCAATTCATCATCTATCTCCAACTTGTAACTATTGTGTTGTTTTAAATTGTTAAAATTATTTTCGAGTGTAATTTTTTTCCCCAAATTGGGATATGATGTAGTTCATAGACAATAACCTCTCCAATCTCTTGTGTATCCTCAAGATATCCTCCCTTTGGCTGATTTCATCATTTAAAGGTTGTGGTCCTATTTTTTCTTTAGCCTATATATTCTTACATCAAGAGTGAAGAAAGAGAAATTCAATGCTTATATTATTTTCATTGTTTGTGACTTGTACATTCTGCCTGGAAGCTTATAAGACTAATGTTTTTTGTTTTTTGTTTTCCTTTGAGATCACCAATTTTATAATTTACTCCTAGGAACATATATTTTCTAATAAATTCAGTTTGAAATTTATTGAGACATTTTAATCTGTCACAAATGGGTTCTGTTGTTTAATTATTGGCATTCTACACTTGTCCTATTTTGTCTGCTGAATTTATTGGACAACTTTTTAGCCTCTCATTCTAGAGTTTGAGAGCTTTATATTTTTGCCCTGTGCTTGATGCTATTTCTGACACTTCATTTTTCAGGCTGTGGACATAGGCTTTTCTCTCATTTAATATAATTTTTATAATTGAATACCTGTGTTTCCTGTAGTTTATGAGTTTGTGCGAGTTTAAATTTTTAAGCTAAGCTGAATTAATTACAACATTTATGAAGAGATGTTAGAATATGTAGTTAATGTTTTTATTTTGTTTTGCTTCTTTGAAATAGATTCAAATACATGAATTTAATGCCTTAAAATTAAAAACTAACATTTTGTCAGCATTCCCAAATTGTGACCACTCATTGTGATCTAACTTTTAAGACTGTGACCATTTCAAAGTATAGATATTATAGACTGTTTTTTGTTTTAATGTAAAGAAGAACCACTGGGTTTAATTTCAAGAATGAAGTGTTATTTGGCAATTTTCAGACTGATAAGTCTAGTGAAGTACATTTAAAACATGTATCTGTTAAGTTTAAGAGAATTTCATAAATTAGAATCAGTTGGTTATGCCTAATCAGAAAAGTTCTATGTAATTTACAGAAGTCATCATAGTGGAATTTTGAACAATAAATGTTCCATGAGCATATTTGTATAATTTTGTATCCCTTCTCATATGATAAATTTAACATAATTTATTATATAGAACTGAAAATATGAGACTATATTTGTTTCTTTTGGAATTTAAATTTAAAAAGTGAGTACTATTTTGCTTTAAGAGGATACAGGGTAAATGTGCAGAATATTTATTCCTTCAAAGGTTTATAAAAGAAAATGTTTTAACTATTTATACTGAATGGCACTGATAACAATTTTAAAAAGAAAAACTTAAGGCTTACATAAAAATGTAATTCACCCATAGGGTTATCTTGTTTGTATGAAAATAGTGTATTAATAATTCAAAACACTATATCCCTATGCATATGCACTATATCCTTATTCTGTGGCTTAGTGTTATTAATGTAAATCATGCAAAATGCAGTTTCAGAAGAAGTCATCACTACTCTTAAAAAAGTGAAAATCTCTGTTGAGGTTAAACCAATAATGTTTTAACTAATGGTGAAGAATAGCACACATATAATCAAAGATATTATATTAACAATAGACTAACTCTTTTTCTCTTTACCTCTAGGGGAGAAACATTAGAACACACAGTCTATTATTAGTAACACTAACTGTAAGACAGCATTTTATCAGGAAAAATGTGGATGAAGAAGAATAAAATTTATTAACTTTCCTGTGCTTGGAAAACATATTTCCCAAATTATAAAGATATTTAAGAGATTATATTATCTAATTTTAAATTATCTGCAAAGATTAAAAACTGATGCCTCTGATAAAAATGACATGTTAAAAACATGTCATTATTTGTGCTACAATTTTATTACCTGATCCTTAATTCTTAGGTTTTATGTTTTCAGAAGAAAAATGAGGTGAAGGCTTGGATATTGAATGATCTCAGGCTTTATATATTGAATATTTAAAAACCAGAATTATTTATATAAAGATGTTTGTAAGTTTATTTTTATATTGTTGTGTAATCAATAAGATTACCTTGTACTTGCTCCACTTTATGGAATGTATCAAGCAATTTAATAAAAAAATTTACAAAGGAAGATTGTAACATGAAGAAAGAAAACTAGTTTTTCTATATCTACCATGTAAACTGAAGATTTAAAAACAATATAAGCTTCCATTGCTTCAAATTAAGCACAAGTAGCTAAAAGTAAAGGCAATTCTTTTTATAGATATCTTCTTGGAAAACCCTTTAAGTTTTATCAAAATAATACATATTAATTTCTGACTTCCACTTAGGATATTGTATTAGTTTATTTTCATACTGCCATAAAGAACTGCCTGAGACTGGGTAATGTACAAAGGAATTTATATATTATTATTTTATATATGTGTGTGTGTATATATATATATATATATATATATATATATATATATATATATATATATATAATTGACCCACAGTTCAGCGTGGCTGGGAGAGCCTCAGGAAACTCACAATCATGGTGGAAAGTGAAGGGGAAGCAAGGCATTTTCTTCACAAGGAGGTAGGAAGGAGAAGTGCCTAGAGAAGGTAGAAGCGCCCCTTATAAACCATCAGATCTCATGGGAACTCACTCAACATCATGAGAACAGCATGGGGGAAATCGCCCCCCATGTTTCAATTACCTCTACTTGGTCTCTACCTTGACACATGGGGATTATGGGGATTACAATTCAGAGGAGATTTGGGTGGGGACACAAAGCCTAACCATATCACATACAGAGAAACTTTGAACAGTGATGGAAGTGATTCCACCCTAACTGCAACAACAGCAACAAACTTTAGACATTCTGCAGATTCATAACTTCTTAACTGATCAGAGGAGCCAAGATGACAGGGCAATCGACAAACCTGATATAAGAAAAACTAGATACCTGCAAGACGAAATAAAATGCAAGTACTTGCTTACCTGGAGCTAATTCTGTCAAGCAGTATTTAAGAAGAATTCAGCAAAAGTTTGAAATAATAAAATATAGTGCAAGTGTTACTGGTGATAATGAAGGGTGGAATAGACATTAAAACTTATTTTAGCAACTAGGCCTTCAATATAAACAAAAGGGACACTAGATAACACTATTCAATTTTATGGTACCTGAGGGTAACAATAATAACAACTACAAATCCAAAATTCACAGGTTGAGATAGTCTACAGGGAAAATGTTGATCATTTCTACATTTGTAAACTACCTCAACCTCTTTTTTTCTTATTCATCTAGTTTTAAATACTAATACAAAATTAAGGGATATCAAAAGAGCATAAAAATACATTGTCAACAAGTGATGTAATTAATAGAAGCAGACTCACCTGTAACACATACGTTGGAAAATACATTTTAAAGTATTATTAAAGTATATAATGGGAAAGGTGGATTACATGTAAGATAAATGATTACAGGAGAAAGATGGCTATAATAACTAAGAATCAAGTGAAAATGTGGATAATAAAAAAGCACACTAACATGACACATTTATTGACTTCACACAGTTGAGAAAACAATTAGTGATTAGTGTAAATGTTAACAGGAATCATCCAAAAATAAAGGATTTTTTTAAAAAATTGAGACAGCTCTCCTTCTGTCACCCAAGCTGGAGTGCTGTGGCCTGATCTTGGTTCATTGAAGCCTTGACTTCTTGGGCTCAAGAGATCCTCCTGAGTAGTTGGGACCAAAGGTGCACTACCATGACTTTTTTTTTTTTTGTCTTGTAGAGATGGGGTTTTGCCATGTTGCCAAGGCTGGTCTTGAACTGCTGAGCTCAAGCTATCCACTGCCTTGGCCTCCAAAAGTGCTTGGATTACAGGTGTGAGCCACCACAACCAGCACAATTTAAAAAAAAAATGAAAAAAATAGAATGTAAAGAGCTGCAGGATATTATCAGACAGACTAACATATGCATAACTAGAGTCCCAGAATAAAAAGAAAGAGAATGGGTCAGAAGAAATATTTAAAGAAATAATATTCCAAGTTTTTCCACAATTAATGTAAGATAGAAGTTTGGATCTACCCAAATAATGAGCACTGAAAATATAAAACACCCAAGTATATATAAAAATTTAATTTCTCTATTTTGATTTCTCTAAAAGGTTACTGAATATTTCAAACAAAATTAACAGGATCATGTTGTGTGTTTATAGTATGTATAAAAATAAAATGTATGACAATAAGAGTATAAAGAAAGGAAGAACTGAATTAAAAGTGCACAGTTTTAAAGCCATTGTGCCACATATACAGCAGGCATAATATTATATAAAGGTAGGAGCTGACTAATAAATGATGAATACAATTTTTAAAGCCAATTTTTAGAATTTTAAAATACTTTTCCTTGGAATTTAATAAACATACAGAAAAGTAACATAACGAATGAGTGTAGTTCAATGAATTTCTACAAAGTGATGGATACACTTGTAATAAGTTTCTTTCCAGGTTTTGGATTTTCTTTTTTTGATTTTTAAAAATATTTTTCATTTTATTTCTAATTGACACATAATAACTGTGTACGTTTATGGGGTACAATATGATGTTAAGACAGAAGTGTACATTGTGGAAAGACTAAATCAAGCTAATGCATTTATCTTGTCAAATATTTTTTATTTTTTATTTGAGGTGAGAAAATTTAAAATCTACCCTTTTAGGAATTTTGAAATATACAACATATTATAATTAAATATTGTTAACATTTGCAAAATGGATTGCTACCATTTATTCCTTTTGTCTAACTAAAGCTTTGTACCCTGTAGCCAACATCTCCATTCTTCCCATTCACTGTCTCCACTCCACAGCCTCTAGTCATAACCATTTTACTTTCTACTTCTAGGAATTCACCTTTTCTAGATTCTGTTTATAAGTGAAATCCACATGAGCTATTTGTCTTTCTATGTCTTGCTTATTTTTTTTAGCATAATATCATCTAGTTTCATCCATGTTCTTGCAAATGACAGAATTTCCTTTAAAGGCTGAATCTTCTTCTCTTTTGTGTAGGTACTATATTTGCTTTAATCATTCATCTACTGGTGAACACTTATGTTAATTTTATGTCTTGTCTATTGTGAATAATGTTGCGAAGAACATGAGAGTGCATATATCTCTTTGACATACTGATTTCAATTCCTTGGATATATACCCACTAGCAGGATCAGTGGATTATAAAGTAGCTCTAGTTTTTTTGAGGAATTTTTATACTCTTTTCCATAATTCCTGTATTAGTGTACATTTTCATCAAGTGTGTAAGAATATTTCCCTTTCTGCATGTCCTAACCAACACTTGTCATCTTTCTTCTTCTTGATAATAGCCATTGACATCTCTTCAATAAATGGTGCAGGGAGAATTGGATATCTACATTTGTAACTATGAAATTGAATTCTTATCCTATAATATATACAAAAATCAACTCAAGATGTTCAAAATAATTAAATATTAGACCCCAAACTGTAAAACCAATAAAATAAAACATATGAGAAAACTTCATGACATTAATATTGGCAATGATTTCTTGGAAATGACCCCAAAAACACAGGCAACAAAAGCAAAAACGTACATGTAAATGGGATTACATGATAGAGCTTCTGCACAGCAAATTCAGCAATTAACACGCTGAAGAGACAAGGCATGGATTGGGAGAAAAATTTTACAAACCATACATTTGATAAGAGGTTAATATCTACAATCTATAAAAATCTCAAATAATTCAATAATAAGAAAATAACCATCTTGAAAGCCATCTTGGAAGCAGAGAGTGAGCCTTCCCTAGAAACTACATCTGCCATTGAATGCAGATTTATGAGGCTCCAGAGATGTAAGATGTAAATTTCTGTTGTTTATAAATTACCTAGTCTGTGGAATTTTTATAATACTGGGAATAAATTAAGACATGTTTTTTAATCACTTCTATTTAGAAAGACCTTGGAATTCTTAGTTTATTAATAATGCACTAAAATAAATAAAAAGACATACAAGATTGGACATGAAGAGCTAAAACTCTCTGTTTACAATTACCATACTGTTTCTCTTAAAATCCTAAAGAACCTACCCAAAATTTAATATAACCTGTAAATGAGCTTAGCAAACTCCCGTATATTTATATACAGAAAAGCCATTTTGATTGACAAATACTGGAAATAAAAATTGTACATTAAAATAAAATTTAAAGGTTATTATTTATAATGGCACCAAAAACATATATTTATGGAAAAATCTCACAAATATATGCATGATTTGTATGCTGAAATACACTAATGAAAGACTTCAAAGAATACCTAAGTAAAGCAAGTGGCATTCCATTTTTGTGAACTGAAAGACACAATATAATAAAGATGTCAGTTCTTCCCAATGATAGACTGGATTGAGAAAATGTGGCACATATACATCATGGAATACTATGCAGCCATAAAAAATGATGAGTTCATGTCCTTTGCAGGAACATGGATGAAGCTGGAAACCATCATTCTCAGCAAACTATCACAAGGACAAAAAACCAAACACTGCATGTTCTCACTCATAGGTGGGAATTGAACAACGAGAACACATGGACACAGGTAGGGGAACATCACACACTGGGGCCTGTTGTGGGGTGGGGAGAGTGGGGAGGGATAGCATTAGGAGATATACCTAATGTTAAATGACGAGTTAATGGGTGCAGCACACCAACATGGCACATGTATACATATGTAACTAACCTGCACGTTGTGCACATGTACCCTAAAACTTAAAGTATAATAAAAAAAAAATTCTTCCTAAACTGATTTATGGATTCAGTGTGATTCCAATCAGATTTTCAGCAAGGTTTTCCTTTTGGAAATCAATACATTATCTTAAAGTGTCCCTGTTTACAGAAGACATGATCTTATATATAGAACACCCTAAAGACCCCACAAAAAACTGTTAAAAGTAATAACTGAATTTAATAAATTTGCAGGATACAAAATTAGCATACAAAAGGCAGTATCATTTCTATACATTAATAACAAATTATATGAAACAAAAATCAAGTAAACAATACCATTTATAATAGCTACATAAAGGCCCTCTTACAAATGAATTTAACCAAGGTGGTGAAAGACTTGTACACTAGAAGTAATAAAACATTGATGAAGCAAAGTGTAGAAGGCACAAATAAATGAAAATATATACTATATTTATTGATTAGAAATTTTAATATTGTTCAATGTCCATACTATCTAAAATAATCTACAGATTCAATTCAATTTTTATCAAAATCCCAAAGACATATTTTTCAGAAATAGAGATAAAACCCTCAAATTTATATGAAACCATGAAAAACCTTAAATAGTCAAAGCAATCTTAAATCAAAAAAACAAACCTGGAGGCATTATACTACTTGACTTCAAAATATACTACAAAGCTATATTAATCAAAAGAGCATAGTAGTGGCATAAAAATTCAAGCTGTGCCAATGCAGAATCCCTTTCTGGGAATGTTTGTAGTGGATCCAGGAGAGAGAAGCCCTATTTTCTTTCTGATTAGAAATCTAGGATGGCAGAAACCCAGTAGCTACCAGAGGGCCTGAAAGAATGAAGCCCACACAGACACATAGACCAATGGGATAGAATGGATAGCCCAAAAATAAATCCACATATTTATGGTCAATTGATTTTCAACAAAGTTTCCAGGAACACACAACAGGGAAAGGACAGCCTCTTCAATAAATGGAGTTGGGACAACTAGATATAATATGCAAAAAAATGATTAAATTAAACCCTTATCTCATGCCATATACAAAAATCAACTCAAACTACAATGAAAACTTAAATGTACAACTTGGAATCAAAAAACTACCAGAAGAAACCATAAGTGAAAACTTCATGACGTTGGCATGGGCAATGAATTTTTGGATATGACTCCCAAAAGCACAGGGAACAAAAGCAAAAAGAGACAAATAAGATAACATCAAACTAAAGAACTTGTGCACAGTCAAGGAAACAATTAACAAACTGAAGAATGGCCTATGAAATTGAAGAAAATATTTGCAAACCATTCATCTGATAAGGGATAAATATCCAACATGTCCAAGGAACTAGCAACTAATAGTTATTTAACTTACTAATAGTAAGAATACAAATAACATTATTAAATAAGGGGAAAATGTTCTGAATAAATATTTGTCAAAAAAGACATAAAAGTGGCCAACAGGTATATATAAAAAATAATCAACCTCACTAATCACCGCCAGATTAACATCACTAATCACCACCAGATTAGTGCAAAATTAAAGCCACAATGAGATTTCACTACATACGTTGGAATGACCATTATCAAAAAGAGGAAAGATAAAAAGTGTTGATGAGGATATGCAGAAAGGTAATCTTTTTATACTGCTGGTGAAAATGTAAATTAGTAAAGCCATTATGGTAAACAGTATGGTGGTTCATCAAAAAAATAAAACTATTAATGTGTATCCTGCAACTTTACTCAATTTGTTTATCAGTTCTCAGAATTTATCCAAAGGAAAGGAAATCATTATGTTGAACAGACCTCTGCACCCCCACATTTATTAAAGCACTATTTACAATAGCCAAGATATGGAATCAACATAGGTGTTGAACAGATGAATGGTTAAAGAAAATGTGTCTACACACACACACCACACGGAATACTATTCAGCCATAAGAGAGAATGAAATCTAGCCATTTGAAGCAACAGAGATGAGACGGGAGGACATTGTGTTAAGTGAAATAAGCCAGAAACAGAAAGTTAAGAAGTGCATGTTCTCACTCATATGTGGAAGTTGAAAAAGAAGTTTATCTCATAGAAGTGAAAAGCAGAACAGAGGATATTAGAGGCTGAGATGGGTACAGAGAGGGTGAGGACCAGTTAAAGGATACAAAATTACACTGATCCGATTACTGTATATTTTATTTATTGAAAAATCACTATGTGTCCCATGAATATGTACAATTATTATTTTCAACTGAAAAAATAAATGATGTATTCCAACCTTGAAAAATAACTAAAATAGAACTACTATATGATCCAGAATTTCTCCTATGGGGATATGTTCAAAGGAATTCAAATAAGTATGTTGCAGAGATAGCTGCACTCCCATGTTCACTGAAGCATTATTCACAAGAAGATCTAGAAGTAACCTAAGTGTCCATTAGTGGATGAATGGATAAAATAAATGTGGTATATATACAAAATGGAATACAATTCAGTCTTTAAAAACACACAATTCTATCATTTGATATAACATGGATGAATCTGGAAGACATTATGTTAAGTGAAATAAACCAGTCATAGAAAAACAAATACTGCATTATCTCATTTATTTGTAGAATCTAAAAAAATTAGCCTGCTAAAGTAGAGAGTAGAATGGCGGTTAACAGGGGCTGGAGAAGGTAGGATGGTTGGGGAAATGTTAAAAAAAAGGAATTGCTGAATTCTAAATTTATACAAATTTATATTCTAAAATCTATGTAAAAGGAAAAAAATGACTTAACAAACAATTTTGAAAAAGAACAAAGTAGGCTTACTCATGTTACCTATTCTCTGTACCTATTATGAAGATATAGTATTCAAGGTAGTGCAGAATTGGAAAAGACATGGGTATATAGATCAAAGAAATAAAAATAATCTCCAGAAATATGTACTCAAATTGAAGATCAATGAATTTTTAACAAATTTACAAAGGGAACTCTTTGGAGGAAGAACAGTCTTTTCATAAACAGTGTTGGAACTATTGAACACATGTATGCTAAAAATGAAAGTGAATCTGTATCTCCCATCCACTTAAACAAATCCTCAAAATGTACCATAGACCTAATGAAATTTAAAATTAAGCAACATAAAACAATCTAGCAAGCAAAATCTTTCCACTAGAAAACATAGGGAAAAACCTTTGTGATCTTGCACTAGGCAAAGTTTTTTTAGGTCATCACAAAGGCAAAACTCATAAAATAAAATATTGATAAATTCGACTTTACCATAATAAAGACATTGTACTCTATGAAAAAAATAGATAGCATTAAGGAGATGAAACACAAGCTACACACTGGTAGAAAATATATTAAAGTCGCATATCTGCATCCACAAATATAAAGAACTCTCAAAAATCAATAAGAAGGAAAGCAAATATCCCTAACTTTAAATAAAATATTTGAACAGTCAGGTCTTCAAAACAGACATATGGATGGCAAATAAACATGAGATGCTGAACATCAATAATAATTGGGGAAAAAAATATGAATATAATAATATGTTACTACTGCATGTTTATTAAATTTCTAAAAAATTACAAGTACTGGCAAAACCATAAAGCAACTGGAAGTCACAATGCTTTCCCTAAGAATGCAAAATCATACAGTCACTTTGGGAAATATGATTTCAATTCCTTGTTATGGGAACATTTACCATATGATCCATCAATCCCATGCCTAGCTGTTTCTGTAAAAATAAACAAATGTTCACTAATAACCTATATGTAAATATTTATAGCAGTTTTATTTGCAATCAACAAAAACTGAAAACAGCCATTTGTGCTTTACCTGCGGAATGAATAAACAAAATGTATTGCATGTATACAATGGAATACATCCCTGGAATACAAAGGAATAGATTAATGAGATATGAAACTATATGGATTGATCTAAAATTGAAAGAAGCCAGAATCAACAGGCTTCCTACAGAATTGATTCAATTTATTTGACCTTCTTACAATCACAAAACTACAGGAAGAGAAAACAAATTAATGACAATGCCAGGGGAGTCTCCGTCTGTAAAGGAACATGGAGGAATTTTTTCCAGTGTTGAAAACACCTTGATATTCGTGATGATCACATGACTGAATATGTTGATAAAACTAAAGTGGGTAGATTTTACTCTACGAAAAATATACTTACTTAAAAATGGAAAATCACATTTATATTCATTTATGTTTGCAGGTAGCTGATAACTCTAATTTCCTTCCAATTTAATTTGTAGCTAATTCTTATTTAACAAGAGGAATTAAGTTCATTTTCCAAGATTATGTAGCAAATCTTCTATTCAATGAGAAAAAATATCTAGCCAATTCTTCTAATGAATTTGTTTCATTTGTTTGAAATATTTTAACATCTGATAGTCAATATTTTGTGTCTGAAAGTAATTTTTAACCAAATAATACTGTAAGCTTTGAAAAAATGTTATAATAATAAAGATAGCTCTTCTCTTTGAACATACAGTTGTGACTCTTCCCCTTGTGAAAGCATTTTAAAGACTGAATTAATTGAAACACACATATTTTAGATTATACAGTTTCAACTTTTTTAAAAAAAAAGCACATCAAGTAGAGGCTCAAATAACCTTTTGTGAAGTGACTTAACAGCTCATGTCTTGCAAATTAATTTTTCAAAATTAATATTTCAATTTACAAAGAAAAACTGAATATAATTTAAAATATGCATATTAATAATCTTATGTTTCAACGTATAATATTTTAAAATAATATTATAATTAAAGCTTACAATGTGTTAAAAATGGGAATAAATTACACATGGAAACATTTGGATAATCATATTGTTTTCGTATTCTAACATCAGATATCTCTCTTCTCTGGATATTTGCCGTCTAAGGTAAAATTTTTCTATCTGTAACCTAAGGGTGCCTAGAAGAACAACCCAATCTTCCAGCATTCCCTACAGCTAACCACAATTAAACAAGGAGACATAGAAGGGAAATGCAGGATAGAGCTTTTAGTTTATCTCCTTGAGAAGAGAAATAGGTGGCTAGTGTGGGCTCTCTTCTTCTTCTTCCTTGAAAATGTCTTGAAATATGAGGTGAAGTTGAGAACGGAAGTCAAAAGCTAGTGTTGGCGGGACAGTTAGTGAAAGATCATGGGTCCTTGGTGCTATCATGAGATTCTAATACAAATATTAGGTTGATTACTTTTGATCAATGTGTCCGACAAAAAATTATAACTAATAATCTCATTTAAGCTGCTCTGTTTCCTGTCATTGCTACTAGCAGGCAAACACAATTCTTAACTGGTATAGTTGATGGTAAAGTGAAATGAAAAGACATCAATGGATACTAATTACACTTTAAACTGATCAGATTTGTGGCTTAAAATCATATGAACTCGGATCACGAGGTCAAGAGATCGAGACCATCCTGGCTAACACGGAGAAACCCCGTCTCTACTAAAAATACAAAAAAATTAGCCGGGCGTGGTGGCGGGCGCTTGTAGTCCCAGCTGCTGGGGAGGCTGAGGCAAGAGAATGGCGTGAACCCGGGAGGCGGAGCTTGCCGTGAGCCGAGATGGTGCCACTGCAGTCCAGCCTGGGTGACCGAGAGAGACTCCCTCTCAAAAACAAAAACAAAAACAAAAACAAAAAAAAAACCATATGAATTGTATAGTGGAGAATGGCTTGAAGCAGTAAAAGAATGGACATGAAAACTGTGGAGGTTCCTATTCCAGATAATGATCATTTTGAGAGGTGTATGGCAGTGGAGATGAAGAAACCCGGGCTAAATATAATAATTTGGAAAAGGCTCAGTTAAAGATAAATTAAGACGCAAAACCTGCTTGTAGTCATTCACCTAGACCTTCACTCTATGAACCCTTTCGTTCAAGCTGCTAACAACCACATCAGTAAGCTAAAGGCCTCTGATTTCAATAATGGGTAATTCCAAAGGCAGTCAGTAATATGTATTCATATACACCCTTAAATCTTATTGCCTCTGGCTTCGTGTGTTGAACAAGTGGGACTTTCAGTCTTTTCTACAATCTTTCTGCTGACATATTTTTGAAAATTCATAAAATACCTATATAATATGAGTGTTTAAGCTTGTATGATTTGGAAATTCTGAAGTACGACACATCCTTCCTACCATTTGGTTGCACTTGACATTGCATTACCAGACATTTCAATCTAATGCTTCAGTCTATATTACTTGCCAATTTCCTCCATAGAAGTGTGCTGGAAAATTCATATGCAAGTGTCTGTACGTCTATACCATCATACATTTTCTTTTTTCTTTTCTTTTCTTTCTTTCTTTTCTTCTTTTCTTTTTTTTTTTTGAGATGTAGTTTTGCTCTTTGTTGCCCAGGCTGAAGTGCAATGGCGTGATCTTCGCTCACTGCAACCTCCGCCTCCTGGGTTCAAGCGATTCTCCTGCCTCAGCCTCCCAAGTAGCTGGGATTACAGGCGCCACCACGCCCAGCTAATTTTTGTATTTTTAGTAGAGACGGGGTTTCACCATGTTGGTCAGGCTGGTCGCGAACTCCTGACCTCAGGTGATCTACCCACCTTGGCCTCCCAGAGTGCTGGGATTACAGGCATGAGCCACCTCTCCGGGCTCACATTTCTTAATATATAGTGAACTCCTAAGTACAATGACCCACACATAGTGGGGAGTAAATTTCAGTTCATTTTTAATTAAAGAGACTAAAGCAAACTCATTGTTTATTCATTTTTCGGTATAATGAATACGGTACTAAATGTCAATGTATTTCAAATTCCAAAACAAGTAATTAAGAAAGGGTAACTTTAGATTTAGTCCTTTTCATTCCATTGAGTTCTCCAATCTTTAGTTGTTGGTAATGGTAGCCAAGAAAGAGGGCGCTAATGATATAGAAAGAGTGCAAACTATGAAATGAAACTTTAAATGTCTCCACAAAAAGAGTCTGTAAATTTTATTTTAGAAAACTTTTATTTTAAATATTGTTGATTAAGTATTTCATACCCTGAAGTACATGATCTAAAAGGTAGTTGCAAACTAAATATGAAGTGGAACTATGAAGAGAAAATCAAAATTATAACATTTTTGACTTAATGTAAATTAGGTGTATTTCAAAGAAACATTAAGACAACTGCCAGTGGAATTTGAAAAGAGTTAAAAATAGAATTTTATTTTTCCAATTTCATAAGCTGTAAAACTATATTTCATAGTATAGTAATTTTCCAAGCAAATCTTTTTTTTAAATTTTAAATCAATGTCAAAATATTCTAGAACTCAGTGTCAGAAAATGTACTAAAACTCTTGAAAAGCAGTTGTCTCTGAACTATCTGGATAGAATACATTAGAGAAATTTCATATCCATCAGTAGGCAATTATAGTTTGAAGTGTAGATGGGCTAACTAAAACTGTACTACTTCATCTATTGTTTCTATTTCAAATTGAGTGACAGAAAAGAATTTAGAGAATGAATAGGAAATGAGAGAAATGTACCTGGAATGTATTGTAATGTGTAAATATGTGTTTTCTTCAAGGGATTTTCCCAATAATTTTGTTGCTATTAACTTGTAGCCAATTCTGTGAATTCCTCTGAATAGCATAAAGCATGTTGCATAGATTTAAAAATTTTCTTGTGAACATTCTAATTAGCTTTCACGTTGTTTCATAGATCATTAGAATGCTAAAGAGCAAGAAAAAGCTTGTTCGCTGTAGGCTGTGTTCCATCAACCAATGTAGTTTTCTCTCTGATCACCACCTCAAGTTCCCCCTGCTTCCTCCACCCCGTGCCACAGTCCAAACCACTGCTGGCACCAGCAGATCTTTTAATCTTTTTCCTTACTTTGCTTCTCTACATTCCCCCGCCTCATAATTATCTTCCTTTTTCCAGTTAACCCTTACATCTACCTCCAACGTCAGTGCTGCATGCATTATTTTCTTTCCTTCAAGTTTCATGTTTGTCAATATCAGGCCTTCTTCACTGAGTAGTCCAATAAATGGATATCCTTTCTTCCACACTCAAGTATCCAATGTTTAGGAAGAAGACAGTTTACCCTCATCTTTGGTGGCTTTAGATGTGTGGTTCGCTTCTTCTGGTTCATTCTTATCATCCTGTTATACCACCTTCACTTGTTCACTGTCTTCATTCTATGTAGTCCACAATTTTCTTTGAAAACGAGAACAAAGCAAAAAGAAAAAGTTCTCAATACAGGGTACTGCTCTCTGTTAACTACCCCTGGTGACCAGCAGCTTCAACCAGCTTCTCTACTGTCGCTGTTCAAATAATTGGCTGTCCTCCAAATCTTGAAATCTTTAATGATTTATCTTCCTCCTTTAACTTGTAACTACTGAAAACTCCTGACATTTTCTACAATGTCTGATTTTGTCATGTATCTAGTAAATCCTTCATCGGGGTAGGGGAGATTGTCAAGTTTTCGTTACCACAGGCAAATCATTAACTTATCTCTACCATTATTGCTGCAACTTCTCAGTTACCTTTTAAATATAATTACTACACCCCTAGAATTATTTACGTTATTCTAAAATTAAAATTAGGCTGAACACAGTGACTCATGCCTGTAATCCTAGTATTTTAGGAGGCTGGGACGGGAGAATCACGAACTCAGTAGTTTGAGGCTTCACCAAGTTAGGTTTGCACCGCTGCACTCTACTGGATGACACAGCAAGATGCTGTCTCAAATGAATAAATAAATATTTATATTTAAAATTAAATTATATTATCTACCTTCCCAAAGAATAAGGCAGAAATCTCAACCACATTCCAAGTGAAGAAAAACATCGAGCTTCTCTGTTATGCAATAATAATTAATGTATTAAAGATGATGTTTTAAGATAATAAGCATCATATACTCTATCTTAGCCTCATGATTATTTTTAATATGTCTACCTTACATTTTATTAATTCTTACTTCACATCTCAATTTATGCTGATTACTTATGATGTGTACTTTTCTCTTGGATTTCATTGTGTTCTTACTGCTTCCTAAGGGCTATTTGGGTTGACTATTCTTTCATGGTCCTTGCTTAATGGACAGGGAGTAAGATAGTTTTGTATTTTTTTTTAATTTAGTTATTCCTGTTACCATATACATTAATGTTTTATTTTAAACCCAATGTACATGTTCGTTAAAAAATCTAGCTCTTACGTGTGATCCTGGTTTAATCTATTTTCCTTTTTCAGTTCTCAATGAGATATTTTTGAGTGAGATGTTTATAAATTTATCTTCTTATTTATTACTTCTAGTTAATATGTAAGGCCCCAGGTGGCAACCATGGAATCTATACAATTTTTATTTGTATAGTACTTGTAATGAGCTCAGATTTTTTTTCTTGTTTTCATTTAGTTAATATATAAATGTAGGTAATCTCTGTTATTCATCATTTTAGCCTCTGATTTATACCTTTGTAAATCCATTATTTTAGACTCATTCTCACTAAAAATAACTTTTCAGACTGTTGCTTTATCAAGGGCAAGGATGGATCAAGGGCTTAATTATGCCTATTACTTTAGTAATTTACATGATTCTTGGGCACAAATGAGAATTCGTTTAATATTTTTTGTATGTATTAATAAAGCAAACTGTAAAGACCCCCAAAATACCAAGTAATATTGTTTATATAGCGAGACACAACCAATTTCACTAGGCTTTTTTTTTTCTTAACTGACAATGAAACACTTTATATTTTTCTGTGTCCTAGATAGTTGTGCTAGCAAAGGGTTTTGTCTCAAGCAGGACTAACACGACCTTAAGATTCTGCATTTAGAAACATTTTTTTTTCTACCTGAAATAAAACACTTATTGAAAGTCTAAATTAAATACAAGTAGAAGTGCTTTTATGAAATTCTATTACGGCTTAAAATTGAACTCTAGTAAGAAAGCCCATCATAGGACACTACTAGCTGGTAATTCATGAGCTACTGACATTTCAGGTTTTAGTTCTTAATGCACAGGAAACCAATTATTACCCAAATGACAACATATGTCTAAGTCTCATATTGCCAGGAACTACATATTCAATCATTCTACTTTTGACTATTTTGTGGCTTTCTTTTCAGCCCTATTTATTGTTGTACATGTGTGTACTTTCCAAACTGTCATTTGCTGTCATTTGTGCACATGGGATAAATGAATGATTCATTCTTTATCTTTTTTATTTTAAAGAAATCCACTTGTTCTAAAGGGCAAAAAAGTGCTGGGTTTCCTCCAAATTGTAGTAAGAAAGTTAATTGGAAGCAATAAAATAGTAAGTTTCCAAAATGTTATTCTTAAGTAAAAATCAAATATGTTTTATAAATATGTAAAACAAGGAGTATTTCCATTTATTTGCTATAATAGATACCCCCCCCCAAAAAAGGAATAGCGTGCTGTATTTTTCAATATGTATGCAAGGAACCCCTGTCTTAGATTATTGAATATGTAGATTTTTGGGCTTTATCCCCACTGTCTCATCAGAGTCTCATTTTCATAAAATGAGGACTCAGACAATTTGTTAATTATTTTTAACTAAAGGTTAGAATCAATGATTTAGATCGAATCATTGGTTGTGTTTGTTGATTAATTTGATTGCTTTTGATTATGTTTGTTTTCTCTGTGAAATTTTGAGATAGCATGCTTGTGAAAATGACTTTCGGTATACCCGGTCTTGCAGTTTACAATTAGGAATATGCTGGGGGGGTAATTTGTATTTTGTGTTTTGAACCTGGAAAGTGCTTAGTCAGAGTCTATGCATTTGTGAGAAATATTAGGAAGACATCCTGAGGGTAGGAGGGTACACTCTTTTCAATGTACGACGAGATATTGGTGTCAGGATGATCTGAGAGCTTTTGTGTGATAAAGAAAACACACACACACACACACACACACTCACACAGTTGCCTTTTTACAATTCTTTATATGGCTGCCCTTTCATTAGGCACCACAAATTCTTATCTTTCAATTACTAGTTGATACTATATTAAAAAAGCAAATACGGTGTTAACTTAATGTAATGCTGAAAGCATAAAGAAAGGCTACAATTAAACATGACTAAAGTGATACTATAAAGAAAGTTTCCCCAGTACCCTGTGAGTTTTCTGGATATCAAGAAAAATATATATGTGTACTTAATGTGTCAGTAATGTTGCAATAGTTTATTAATTAACCTTAAAATAGAGTCAGATTTTTTCAAAGGCAATGAGGTGTTTGCTAGATTAATTAGGATTCAACCAGGAAATAGCATAGTTTATATAAATATAGCATATGACAAATGGTATAGCATATGGTCTTTTAATGCACTGTTAAATTGCAACTGTCTTGGGTAAAAGAAATATACATAAAGATTGTCAGGAGAACTAAAAGTAATATATCATCTTCTCATAAATAATAGTTACCTTCAACATGGTTTTGTGTGCAGTAATTCAAGTTAAAGAGTACTGTTTCTATTGCCAGTGTACCTGCACTGTTTCAGTATATATATTTTTAAACCCAGTTTTAGAAGCAGTTAAGCCACTACTTACGACTAACAATAAAAGCACATGCATGGTTTAGACAGGAGAGTTTTACTATCATATAATTTTTAAAAAATCATATGCCCAGTTTCATTGCATCTAGTTATACACTGTGTAGTCATGTGGTAGAAAAAGTGAAAACTTAAATTGAACTAAAACTATTTTATTTTACTTATTCTTACCCTATTTTAACAATTGGTTGCTTTGTAACATTACAATTTATTATAAACTCATCTCATTTAATCCTCAAAATGACCTTCTATGAAATAAAGTTTTATGAATTGTATCATAAATATAATATTGATTTTTCTTTTATTTATTTTTATTTCTTCTGAAAAAAAAAAAACAACCAAGATACATGTGCAGAATGTGCAGGTTTGTTACACAGGTATACGTGTGCCCTGGTGATTTGCTGCACCTCTTGACTGGTGCTCTCAGTTCTGTCCCCTCATTCCCCACACCCAACAGGCCCTGGTGTGTGTTGTTCCTCTCTGTGTTCATGTGTTCTCATTGGTCAACTCCCTCTTATGAGTGAGAACATGTGGTGTTTGGTTTTCTGTTCCTGAGTTAGTTTGCTGAAGATAATGGCTTCCAGTTTCATCCATGTCCCCGCAGAGGACATGATCTCATTCCTTTTTATGGCTGCATAGTATTCCATGGCATATATGTACCACATTTGTTTTTATACAGTCTATCATTGATGGGCATTTGGGTTGGCTCCTTGTCTTTGCTATTGTAAATAGTGCTGCAATAAACACATGTGTGCATGTGTCTTTATAGTAGAATGATTTATATTCCTTTGGGTATATACCCAGTAATAGGATTGCTGGGTCAAATGCTATTTCTGGTTCTGGATCCTTGAGGAATTGCCATACTGTCTTCCACAATGGTTGAACTAATTTGCATTCCCTCCAACGGTGTAAAAGTGTTCTTATTTCTCCATAGCTTTGCTAGCATCTATTGTTTCCTAACTTTTTAATAATTGCCATTCTGACTGGCGAGAGATGGTATCTCATTGTGTTTTTGATTTGCATTTCTCTGATGATCAGTGATGTTGAGCTTTTCTTCATATGTGTTTTGGCCATGTAAATGTCTTGTGGAGTTTTGTCATGAAGTCTTTGCCCATGCCTATGTCCCGAATGGTATTGCCTAGGTTTTTTTCTAGGGTTTTTATCGTTTTGGGTTTTACATTTAAGTATTTAATCCATCTTGAGTTAATGTTTGTATGATGTGTAAGGAAGGGGTCCAGTTTCACTTTTCTGCATGTGGCTAGCCAATTTTCCCAGCACCATTTACTGAATAGGAGATCCTTTCCCTATTGCTTGTTTTTGTCAGATTTATTGAAGATCAGAATTAGTTCTATGGTCTCTGTTCTGTTCCACTGGACTATATGTCTGTTTTGGTACCAGTATCATAATGTTTTGGTTACTGTAGCCTTGTAGTATAGTTTGGGATCAGGTAGTATGATGCCTCCAGCTTTTTTTTCTTTTTGTTTAGGATTGTCTTGGCTATATGAGGTCTTCTTTGATTCCATATAAAATTTAAAATATTGTTTTCTAATTCCGTGAAGAATGTCAATGGTAGTTTGATGGAAGTAGCATTGAATCTATAAATTTATTTGGGCAGTATGAACATTTTCACAATATTGATTCTACCTATCTATGATGATAGAATATTTTTCCATTTGTTTGTGTCCTCTCTTATTTCCTTGAGAAGTGTTTTGTAGTTCTCCTTGAAGAGGTCCTTCACATCCCTTGTTAGCTGTATTCCTAGGTATTTTATTCTCTTTGTAGCGATTGTGAATGGGAGTTCATTCATGATTTGGCTCTCTGCTTGTCTATAGTTGGTGTGAAGGAATGCTTGCGATTTTTGCACATTGATTTTGTATCCTGAGACTTTGCTGAAGTTACTTATCAGTTTAAGGAATTTTGGGGCTGAGATGATGGAGTTTTCTACATATAAAATCATGTCATCTGCAAACAGAGACAATTCGACTTCCTCTCTTTCTATTTGAAATATCCTTTAATTCTTTCTCTTTCCTGATTGCCCTGGCCAGAACTTCCAATACTATGTTGAATAGGAGTGGTGAGAGAGGGCATCCTTCTCTTGTACCGGTTTTCAAAGGGAATGCTTTCAGCTTTGCCCATTCAATAAGATATTGGCTTTGGGTTTGTCATAAATAGCCCCTATTATTTTGTGATATGTCCCATCAATACCTAGTTTATTGAGAGTTTTTAGCATAAAGGGATGTTGAATTTTATCGAAGGCCTTTGGGCAAAGACTTCATGACAAAAAATGCCAAAAGCAATTGCAACAAAAGCCAAAATTGACAAATGGGATCTAATTAAACTAAAGAGCTTCTGCACAGCAAAGGAAACTATCATCAGCATGAACAGGCAACTTACAGAATGTGAGAAAATTTTTGCAATCTACCCATCTGACAAAGTTTTAATACCAGAATTTACAAGGAACTTGAACAAATTTACAAGAAAAAAACAACCCCACCAAAAAATGGGCAAATGATATGGACACAAACTTCTCAAAAGATTTTTCTTTTCATGATAATAATGCTAATAAAGATTCAATAACCTACCTCATATAACAGACCAAATAAGTATTAGAGACTGCATTCAAATCCATTACTGTGGAATTCCAAAGGCCTAGATATTTTCAAATTATTGTAAGCTCCTCTCACATTCTGTGTTCAGTGACTAAGTAATAACTATCAACCAAATTGAAACTTTCAGAGATTCTGACTGTAATATTTACGGCTGCATTACTAAAAATTATTCCACTTATATATTTGATTGGTTGAAACCTGGATTCAATAGAAACATGGAATAAACACGGTTTAAAAAAAACCCTTTTGATGTTAAAAATTAAAACATTTAGGTTTATATAAAATTTGAGTAGATTTATCATGTTTAATTCTGACATGAGTTTATAATAAAACATATTTCATAATAAATTTATTTTATAAAGAAGTATAAAATGTAACCTTTATTTCATAATAAAGTACAATAGATAAACTTTATATAGTAGAACTGAGGTATATATTGGTGAGGGGAGCATTACCATTATTGAAAAAACATTTTGTATTTGTGTTTGTAAGCTAGCAGAGAAAGAGCTATAATTCCATGGAATGGACTCCCTAATTTCAATGAGGATGAAATATATAATATATTATATATAACATTTTATATAATATATATAATACATTTATAATATATGTTATAACATATGTTATATATAATATGTATAATACATTTATAATATATGTTATAATATATATATACATAAAATATATAATATACTTTATAATATATACATAAAATATATATGTTATAATATAATATATATTAGATATAATTAATATATTATTATATATTAATAATAATATATATTTATATATTTATATATATTATTTTTAATATATATTTTAATACATATTTTAATAATAATAAATACATTATATATCATATAAATATAATATATAATATATTATATATCATATAAATATAATATATAATATATTATATATCATATAAATATATAATATATTATATATCATATAAATATATAATATATTATATATCATATAAATATATAATATATAATATATGATATATATTATATATCATATATTATATATTATATATTTATATATAGATCTAGAAAAGTATACATACATAAAATTTATAATATATGTTATAATATTATATATATACATAAAATATATAATATATGTTATAATATATATACATAAAATATATAATATATGTTATAACATAATATATATTATATTATATATTATATATTATATATTATATATTATATTATATATTATATATTTATATATAATATATATAATATAATATATCATATATTATAATATATTATTATATATAATATATGATAAATTTTATGTATATATACTTTTCTTTCCTCCTTGGATGCAACCAGGCCACTCTTTGATGAAGACTCTCTTTCAGTGAGTCTTGACCACCTCACTGAGTTCTAGCCAATAAGACAGTTACAATATGATTGATGCCCTTTCCGGGGCTGCCCCATACAAATCTTTCACATAGTATCCACATTCTCTTTCCCTATTTGCACAGAGAGAAAGAGAGAACTCCCAGGTCATAGAGGATAGTGGAGCTGGAAGATCGAGAGAAGATTGCTAACCAAATTATGGGTTGGGAAGCTGCCTGTTGAACACTCATTGAATTGTCATAACAGGTAGGAATAAATTTCTGTTTTATGTTGCATGCCTCAAGTACTCTGTTTTAATACAAAACTTTATTATTAAGTGGGAATATTGGCATACAAATACATTAAGCACATGTCCTTAGCATAGTGTTAAGGTGACAGGCAGTAAGGCAACAGAAACAAAAAGAAGGAAGACTGGACAACTGTGATTTCCTATGGAAAAACACTTGTAAACTGTTGGCCTGCAGTTACTTGAAGGGAGGCCCATGTGGAACTATGCCTGATGTTCTAGGTGAAGTGGCGAGACAGAATGGGGCTGATTGCATGGGTTGGACACTATTGGCTGCTTATAGAAGGATTTTATAATAAGGGAGATGGAAAAGGACAAATTAAGTGATTTGCAAGCATAAGTATAGGAATAGAGAAAATTCAGGAATATGGGATGTTGGTTGTTCAAATAACTTCTCCAGGAATCCAAATGAAATATGATTGAAAAAGCCTTTGGGTGACAAAAACCCATTAAGAACTCATCCTTGAAACAAAGTTCAGATTAACGGTTTGCCCTTCCTGCCTAATCCTAATGACAACGAGATGGCCACTATTAAATTAAGAGAGAGGCATAACAGTGACAAAGCATTTAATATATCAGGATTGAGCAGTATATTTAGGAATATATTACATTGTGATTACTGGGATATGAAACTGACTGAAAGCAATTACAAAAATAGTCCATGAAACCCCTATTCTTGATTTAAAACAAACATCAATTCCTCACATTTATTCCAACATGGAGTATATATCATATTTATAATTCAGAGAAATAGGTTTTATGAAAAAAATAGAAAAAATAGAAATGAGAGACAACTGTATTTGCTGTATTCACAGCAATAACAGAGAAACACAACCTCTATGCACATATCTTGCAAGTCTAATAATATACAAGAGCATATGCTTGTGTATATGTGTGTATGCACACCCACAATATGCATTCTATCATTGTGATAGGGCATACATTTTTACACACACGCATATATGCACACACATACTATTTGCACAAAATTCATGTCTACATATATAATATGGATTATATGTACAGATATATCACTTAGCAAAAGTGCATGTAACTATGCCTGCATGTATATGCATATAGATGCACACACATATGGATGAGTGTGCTAACTAAATGTATTAGCTAAATAGGAGTACTCATAAATAACATACACATATTATCAAAAGTACATGGTTATATTAAATAAGTATATGACATCCTGAAACATACACACACACACCTGACACACAAACATTTCTGCATGCTGTATTAAAATATTATCTATAGTGGTTAAGGACATTGTATTCATAGAACCAGTCTCCTAATTATTGATTATATATAGCTATAGCTTGCAGATTTAAAAACAGCTGTGGAGTAGAAAAGTGTAGGTTTTAGTTCTGATAACTTAGAATAGGCAAGCACCCCTTTTGTCTTAAAAATTAATTGCAAATATTGATGGTGATGGGAAGAATTCGGAGGGAGTATTCATCTTGGTGTGTTGGTTATAGGACTGGAATAGTGTTGTAAATTCTGCTCCAATAAAATACCTACCTATTCCATATCAATTTCAAAATTAATCAAAGAAAAGGAGCTGACAGAGCTCATTTCACCATGCTCCACCAAACTGACATAAGATCAAAGTTTGCAAGTCCTGCAAACCACCAGAAGCTGAAGAATCCAATCTCCACTTCGGTTTACACTCTGAGAAATAAACTCTAAAAGCACCAAAAAGCCCCTTCCTCATCATCTGCAAGTTTTTAAACACTGGGTCTAGTTAAATCTATCCTCATTCAAAAATAAATAAAATGAAACAAAAAAGCAACATGACTTCATAGAACATTTCTTTATAACAAGGGGATACACAGAGGAAAGTCACCATTCAATAGAATGGCTCCACTAAACAGAATGAGCATTCAAGGAGCATTCACATCCTTAATAGGCGTTAGGCTATGTGAAATTTCTGGGCTAGAGCAAGGTGCTACTGCATAAAACAGGCTGAAATTGACTGAATTAAAAATGAACTTATGCGAATTCATAAAAAAACATTTTCTGTGGAAATCCAAAATGATGTATTAATATTAAATTTTATATTTGAACAATTGATGACAAAACTAACATTGTGAAAATTGTAATTACTGCTAAGAAATGCAAACTTCTCTCAGAAGTAAAGGACAAATAAATGGGAAAAATTCTAGAAATGGTAACATTATTAAGATATAACATGTGGATAACATTTCCTTTTAAAAATAAATGCATAACAAATATTGTATTAACTACCAAGAAAAAATACAAACCAGTATTAAATACTAACATAGTTGTGACATGAACCATTAAGAATACATCTGGATTTTCAGGGTAATTTTAAAAATTAGATATAGCTCAAGATTTGGATATAAGATCTAGATGGAATATATTCTAATTTCAAATTTATTCATGTAATGCATCTTAATTACATTAACTAAATAAAAATATGTTTAAAGTATTCTAAAAGAAAAAAACATTCCTCTCATGAATCTTCACCTTCCTCCTAAGAATTCTTTAGCTGAGGATTCCTCCTTTTTTGGATTTTAAGGCAAAGGAAGACGCTATCTTGTGATCAAATACTCTGGCTACCTATTTATCTTGTGTAATAGATTATAAGGGCCATAGATTACAAGTACATGGATTCTTTTCAGAGTTTAGCACTGAGTCTTTCTTGGGATGAATAATAATGTATGAATAACATTAAATAAGATCTTTAAACTGTTTCATTTTTGTTTTTTTAAAAAATTATATTTTGGTGTAATCACTGAGAGAACCACTAAGAGCCTTCAGTGCTGTGTCAACAAATACTGAGGTTTGAGAAACCATAACAGTTAGAATTGTTTTTCATTCCAACACCCAGCCTACATACAGTTGCAGATAGACATGTACATTATAACTAATATCTTTGAACTTTGTATATTCATTATTGTATAAAGGACATGCTTTTTTTAAAAAAAAGTATTTTGCTTATTTTATATAGAACAGGAGATTTTTGGCTTTGTACATTTATTTGCTCTTGAGTTTCTTTGACTTTCTATGTTTATTTGAACATGCGTGGAAATAAGTCTCTTGGAAAATTATTTCTCTTGGAATAATGTAGTTATTGCCAGGTTTTGAGCAGTCCCTTTAAATGTGCTGTCAGAACAAATACATCAGGTCACACAGCAGGTGGTTTATCTCTGTGAAAGCCTAAGCATTAAAATAGAGAAGGCTGCAGACTAGTAATTAGATATTGATTGGTTTATCTAACACATTCTGCACATTTCTAAACAAATACAGCATCGTTTCTGATTCTTTTCTTCTAAACCTTGAAATTGGTCAGTGCATTCATTTCAAAGATTACAAAATATAAAGTGCAGTTTTCTACAACTTATTCACTGATCTCACTTGAACCTAATCAATAAAATTCACAACATGATTCAATTTTTAGCAAATGTCACAAAGATCACCAGAAGCCCATTTATACCTCCAGTAAGTATTTCTACTTCATATCATCAGAAATATGTATTTTAAACATTTACAAAGCAATAACTTTTCTTTTAGAAACTTAGGGCATTACTCTATCCTGCAGAGGTAAACAGAGAAAGGAGGAATCACAAAGCCAATTGCCATGGGTTCTACCATTAATAGGGCCCCAAGGTGAATAGAAACAAAAGAATATAAATACAAAAATATTCATTTGGACAACAAATATGTGCATAACAAAACAGACAAAAACATGGAAAACAACTAACAGATTATAAAAAAATAAAAAATATAAATGAATAATTTAAAGCATTAAAAACCAAGATTTAGATAGATTTTCAGTATTATGACAACACATTATATAATTTGTATCTTATTGTGCTCAACAGTGACCACAGTCTTGTAAGATCAGGACTAGAATTAGAAAATATAAAGAATCTGAATTTTTCAAAATAATTGAAATATATGGTTTTCCAGAGGGTAGTAAAATGAGAACAGAAGAATCAAGATATAAAAGACAAAAAAAATAATTTATAGAGATTTACACTATGGTATTTTCTACACTAATACAATAAAAATCCTACAAATTTATTTTTACTTTAGAGATAAATGTTTCACATATTATCAAAAATAACAATGAATTTGATATAATTTAAAGATGATCACAAAAACAATAATGGTGGATCTCATGGATTTTAAAAATAAAATTAAACTACAGTATACCTTAAATATTGTTCTTATTCTATATTTAATGCCAAAGATGGCACATGTTTTTCAACACGTACCTGACCGAAGTACATTATGTCATATCTTATTTGTTCCTCAGAGTACCACATTCCAAATTGAAAGAAGTTTTTGCTTTCTCTAAGTCAGCTGGGAGCATGTCAAAGTTTAGCATTGTACTAAGGGAAATGTGATTTAGAGCCATACTTTCTACCATTAGGCTTAAGAATTGCTACTGCTAAGGAATAAATCAGATCTTATAAGTAAAGGTGCTTCCATAATATTTGCTTATTATGGAAGCTATCTGATGGTCCATACACATTTTCCACCATGGTACTAAATTGGAGAGTCAAAACAATGGAAGCACGTTGTAGTTTGCATAAGTGTATACATTTCCTTTTTTGTTTTTTGAAAGCTTATTTCATGACAAAAAATATTTGGGTATCCTGTGGAGATGATGTATGTATGTATGTATGTGTGTGCATGTGTGTGTCAGTGTGTGTGTGTATGTGTGTGTGGTGGGAGAAGTATTTACATAATTTGAGGGGCTGAATTTGTTTAGCATTTATGAAAAATGTTACCAAATATAAATTTGTTTTTCAGTAATCAAATAATTTTCCTATATATCAGTTTTACATACTGATTTTTTATCATCCTTTCCAGTTACATATATACATTTTATTTTAGGACAAAAAAAACAGAAATAAATTGTGCAAATGTACCTGATGTGGTACAAACTTAGAAAATTACTCCTGTTCACTAACTTCATCCATTGCATTACAGAGATTTCTTTTAACCTGCATTTTGTAAGCCCAGTGGAAGTGGGATATAAATATGTAGAAGGTTGCCAAGTCTGTCATGCATTTTAATATAAGGGAAGCATATTGGGAAAATACATTTTTGTAAACTTCTAGCTGTAACAATCTTATTTTGGGCTATATAAAAACACATAATGGAAAAATGTGCATCTTTGCTCTTCTCTTTTTAATCCATCTTTTTGCCATGGTTGAAAGGGTGAACAAATAGCTGCTTCTATATATTGTCACAATGACTACTCACTGCTTGATTTTATGCATAAGACAGATGATTCTTCTACTTTGCATGACTGCGCAAAACAAACCAGATTTATATATATATACAGTAGCTATTAAGAAAAAAATGAATGCTATTTCATCTCTTCCAGATAAAACTTGTAGAGGGTCAGTTGATAAGAAATGGAAAAAACAGATGTATGTTCCACATGCCTGTTTAAATGAAGAATGTGCATATGTCAAATCATTCCACAAATTGATTTAAAATCTAATGGAAAATTTTAAAATTATATGACCAAAGAAATGTTTGACATATTAAATCGATAAATACTGATATCTGATAATGCTATAGTGACTCAATTACTTTTTAAAATACTCATTGAACCAACATATTCACGTAGTACCTACTATGATTCATGCCCTCTTCTAGATGCTTGCTTGAGGTATGTCAGTAAAGGCAACAGATTAAACATATTTAACTTTGTTGCACTCATGCTTCAGTATGGATGTTAATTAGTATGGAATCTTGGATAAAGGTTTAAAAATTTGTAGTTATAAAATAGATCTTATAAAGGATATAGAAATTGTTAATTCAATAATTTGTGCAAAAGTGCCTTCTGAAGTCTAAAGTGATTGATATTATAGAGTATTATAAGTATGGAAAGAATTATTTTATTTTCTAGTTTATTTCTATACATATTTGTTTCCTTAAAGTTACAATACAGTTGAAAATCCAGTGATTTTGTAGCTCTTATCAACTGGGTTTCATTGCTTTTATTAGTAACACATAAAAGTGAGAAAGTACCAAAGGAGAGTTTAACAAAAGAAAAAAAAGACACCACTTTTTTTGTGACATAATAAGAATGATATATAAACTCCTTAATCAGATTATTTAATTTTATTGATATTGTAAGGAATGAAAATTTGTGACATTTTATAAAATAACATACACTGAATGTGTAATAAAATCCTTTTTAAAATGAAGTACAAATAAAGTTCTATACAAGTGAGCTCCTGACCACATACCTAGCCTCATTTCCCCTCATTTACCTTTACTGGGTTTGCCCTTGTCTTCAAGTCCTTTGAGCAGAACATCTCTTCCACAGACCCTCCTCTTTATCCTTGATGCATATTGCCTGGAACAATCTACTCCTGTCCCTCTTCTTCTCAGTTCCTTCTCTTCCTCTAGGACAATGGGTCATTCATCCTCAAACTTAACTGCACATTAAAGTTGCCTGGATGGCCTCTTAAGGCACAAGTTGCTGGATCTCATCACTCAGAGTTTCTGATTTAGTAGGCCTGGGAAAGGAGGGACTCTAGAAATTACATTTCTTACAAGTTCCCAGATGCTGCCTAGAGGACCACACTTTGAGAACCACTTCTTTAGTTTTAGGCTTAAATAGGACTTTATCACAGAAGTTTTCCCTGGCCTCTTAGAGTAGATCAAAGCGTTCTGATATGTATTTCTAATATTCTTTAACATTTTCTCTTTAATGATATTGTTCAGGGTTTTTTTATGTAATAAATGTCAGCCAAGTTTATAATCTCAAAGAAAGCAATAATTCTGGCTATCAATTACCACCAATGCATTAACATACTGCTCAATAATTGAATGGGCAGAATTTATTTAGATAGTTCTTGATATGAAATTCAAAGTAGAATTTAATTTGTGGTATTTCAAAATCATTAATTTCTTAGTAAAATCAAAACTTGTAATTTAAACATTTTTGAGCATAAATATAAACAGAACATCATTTAATAATTTTACTGTTTATACTCCCTTTTGAATAACATCTTCCCTAAGATTGTTATCCTGAGATATAACTTACACACACGAATGTGTATATGTATATACATATATATTAAATAGTATATATAGCAAATTAAATTATAAAAACTCTAGTTAAATTGTTCAAATAAGTAAAAGTCTTGTAGATTGGAGTAGAATTTTAAAGGGATCTCAATTATTACAGAGTAGTAAGTTCTGTAATTATTAGTTAAAAGTTCAGCTTTTATGTATATGCAATTTTGCCCATTTCCTGTTATTTCAAATAAATTAAAGTTTAGTGGTATAATAGAAAGAAATCCATGGGTGTTTATAATAATTAAAATGGAGAAGCACACATTTAAACAGTTTAAAATTACCACATGTGTTTTTTTTACTCTAATTTATTCTCTGAGGTGCTGTGAGGTTAATCTCTGAAAGTTTCTGGATGAGTTTTTTACTTTGTGAAAACTATTTGACCAAAACAAAGACAAACTTTTAAACAGCCATTTATAGGGCTGTTAAATTATTATTACTTTAGCTCCCACATATTTTGAAATATTTTCTCTTATATCATCCCATTTATGCATTCTAGATACCAGTGAAACTCTGTAATGCTTGCCATTTACTAGAAACGTCACTTCTCATTTGCATTTTATGACTTTACTTCAGGTTCCAAGTCTCTAACTAAATTATTCTCTCCATGCTGTAACAATGATAATAGCCTCTCATCAAGGCTCATGAAAATTGCACTTTATTTCTTGATCATTTCTTCCCTGATTCTAGGAGCTAGCAATATTCATAATATTTTTAAACTAAACACTTCTTTCTGGCATTTTAATTATTTAGATTTATGCATAGTGTATTAATTTGTTCTCACACTGCTAATAAAGACATACTTGAGACTGGGCAATTTTATAAAAGAAAGAGGTTTAGTTGACTCACAGTTCCACGTGGCTGGGGAGGCCTCACAATCATGGTGGATGATGAAGGAGGAGCAAAGTCACGTCTTAAATGGGGGCAGGCAAGAGAGCGTGTGCAGGAGAACTTCCCTTTGTAAAACCATCAGATCTTGTGAGATATATTCACTATCAAGAGAAGAGCACTGGAAAGACCTGGCCACATGACTCAGTTTCCTCCCACCACATCCTTCCTACAATACATGGGAATTATGGGAGCTACAATTCAAGATGAGATTTGGGTGGGGACACAGCCAAACCATATGATTCTAGCCCTGACCCCCACAAATCTCATATTCTCACATTTCAAAACCAATCATGCCTTCCCAGCAGCCCCCCTCCACCCAAATCTTAACTCATTTCAGCATTAACTCAAAAGTCCACAGTCCAAAGTCTCATCGAAGACAAGGCAAGTCCCTTCTACCTAAGAGCGTATAAAATCAAAAGCAAGTTAATTACTTCCTAGATACAATGGGGTACAGACATTGGTTAAATACACCTTTTTCCAAATGTAAGAAATTGGCCAAAAGAAAGGGGCCACAGGCTCCATGTAAGTCTTGAAATCCAGTGGGGCAGTCAAATCTTAAAGCTCCAAAATGTTCTCTTTTGACTCCATGTCTCACATCCACATCACGCTGATGCAAGAGGTTGGATTCCATGTTCTTGGGCAGCTCTGCACCTGTGGCTTTGCTGGGTACAGACCCCTTTCTGGCTGCATTCATGGGCTGCTGTTGAGTGTCTGCGACCTTTACAGGTGCACGGTGCAAGCTGTCAGTGGCGCTACCATTCATGCATCTGAAGCACGATGGCCCTCTTCTCACAGCCCACTAGACAATGCCCCAGTGAGGACTCTGTGTGGGGGCTCACATCCCAAATTTCCCTTCTGCACTGCCCTAGCAGAGGTTCTTCATGGGAGCCCTGCCCCTACAGCAAACTTCTGCCTGGACATCCAGGTGTTTCCATATATCCTCTGAAACCCAGTTGGAGGTTCCCAAACCTCAATTCTTGACTTCTGTGCACCCACAGGCTCAACATCACATGGAAGTTGCCAAGGCTTGGGGTTTGCACCCTCTGAAGCCATGGCCCGAGCTGTACCTTGGCCTCTGGAGCAGCTGCGAAGGAGGGCACCAAGTCCCTAGGCTACATACAGCAAGGAGGCCCTGGGACCAGCCCAGAAAATCATTTTTTCCTCCTAGGTTTCTAGGCCTATAATGGGAGGGCTGCTGCAAAGATCTCTGACATGCCCTGGAGACACTTTCCCTATTGTCTTGGTGATTAACATTCAGCTTCTTGTTATTTATATAAATTTCTGCAGCTGGCTTGAATTTCTCCCCAGAAAATGGGTTTTTCTTTTCTACTGCGTCATCAGGGTGCAAAGTTTTCAAACTTTTATACCCTGCTTCCTCATGAACACGCTGATGGTTAGAAATTTCTTCTGCCAGAAACCCTAAATCATCTCTCTCTAGTTCAAAGTTACACAGGTCTCTAGGGCAGGGGCACAATACCATCAGTCTCTTTGCATAGTAAGAGTGGCCTTTAGTCTAGTTCTCAACAAATTTCTAATCTCCAACTGAGACCACCTCAGCCTAGACTTTATCGTCCATGTCACTATCAGCATTTTGGTCAAAGCCATTCAATAAGTCTCTAGGAAGTTCCAAACTTTCCCACATCTTCCAGTCTTCTGAGCCCTCCAATCTCTAGGAAGTTCCAAATCTTCCCAGATTGTCCTGTCTTCTTCTGAGCCATCCAAATTGTTCCAACCTCTGCCTGTGACTCAGTTCCAAAGTCACTTCCGCATTTTGAGTATTTTTACAGCAGCACCCAACTCTACTGGTACCAAGTGACTGTATTAGTCTTTTCTCACACTGCTAATAAAGACATATTCAAGACTGGACAATTTATGTAAAGGAAAGAGGTTTAATTGGGTCACAGTTCCACATGGTTTGTGAGGCCTCACAATCATGGTGGACAGCAAAGGAAGAGCCAAGTCTTGTCTTTCATGGCAGCAGGTAGAAGGGAGAGTTGGGGGGAACTCCCCTTTATAAAACCGTAGGATCTCATGAGACTTATTTGCTATCAAAGAACAGCATCGGAAAGACCTGCCCCCATGATTCAATGACTTCCGACCAGATCCCTCCTATGACGTGGGAATTATGGGAGCCACAATTCAAGATAAGATGTGAGCAGTGACACAGCCAAATCATATCACAGAGTACCTCTTTTAGATTATAACTTCTCTGATAGTCTTTCAAAAAATATTCTTATTTATCCCAGATTACTTTTAAGAACATATCATCTTAATCTTTTTTATACAGACCTGTAGATGCTTAACAAAAATCCGTGTAAACAATAAATGCTAGACAATGGTAGCTAGAATCCACAAAGCCCTGAAGAATCTACTCAGCTAACATATGTAGCAATGTTTTCTTGTAGGAATGTTTTGTTGGAAATCATCCATTATAAAGGTATATAGAAGAAACATGAATGAACATTTGAATGAACATATAACCAGAACAACAAAATTTAGTTATATTTTAGTAAAACAGATACGTAATTCTATCATAGCTTTATTAAATGAGAATTATTAAAATAAGCATAAAAATATATATGTATAAATTTACTTCTTCTAATTTTAAGAATTTAAGTCTACAAATAGCATAAGACTTTGTTCTTATAGAATTATAAAACATTGAGAAAAAGTAAAAATTTTCCTTTTCCATAACTCAATATATTATGCCAAATATCATATGTGAAGTTTGACTTTTATAAATAAATGTATTTGGGTTAAATTTCATTTTTGAAATTAGTAGGATTTTTTTTTTTTTTTTTTGAGATGAAGTCTCACTCTCTCTCCCAGGCTGGAGTGCAGTGGCGCGATCTCGGCTCACTGCAACCTCCGCCTCCCGGGTTCATGCTATTCTCCTGCCTCAGCCTCCCAAGTAGCTGGGACTACAGGCTTCCACCACCATGCCTGGCTACATTTTTTGTATTTTTAGTAGAGATGGGTTTTCACCGTGTTAGCTAGGATGGTCTCAATCTCCTGACCTCGTGATCTGCCTGTCTCGGCCTCCCAAAGTGCTGGGATTACAGGCATGAGCCACCGCTCCCGGCCTGAAATGAGTACTTTTAAAGAGTCATTTACTTTTCAAAGCTAGCAAGATGCCATAAAAGCTAGAATGTAAAAACTTTTGTTAATAGTCTGTAAGTGAACTATGATTTTAATAATTATGTTTACAAGTTGAAGTCACGCAATTTGTACAATTCGTATAAATGTTGGGCATAAAATGAAACACTCATTCCATTTCTGATTTTAGTATTTTCATGAGTTCTTTAAAATAATACAAGTTTTTAGATATTCCGTGGGTTGTTCACAACAATTTTTATTCCACTTTCAATCATTCACTTGAAGTACTACTATTTTGTTACTTAAAATAAGTTTTTGACTTAAAATAATTATTTTGAGATTTTGACTTAAAATAATACATATTTAACAGGTATTCCCCAAGTTATCAAGTGATAAATTACTTTATGTTTAATACATTTGTGGGTGAACATAACCAAAATTTGTGAAGGATTATTTTGCCATGATGATGTGGTGGTCCAAATATGAATTTGATAATATTTCTTCTCCTGAAGAAGAATGACATTTTAAATATTGGAAAAGACAAATATTTTCTTGTTCAAGAACATGCTTTAATTCAAACACCTAATTACTTTATATGACTAACAGGAGATCTTCACATATGTGTGTCTGAAAAAAGTTGTAGTTATCACTTGGTTAAGACAAGAGTTACTCCATATGAAAAAGTTTAGGATTTGGAGATTTATTTTTCTTTTCTGTAATCCTTCAGCTGCAGAAGAACTTTCTGACTCAAAGGTGACATTTTCTGGAAATCCCAGAGGAGTATTAAGTTGCCTTGGACAAAACTGAATCATCAGTGATCGCATTAGCTGTTAATGACCTATAGATGACATTTGTATCTAATTAATTAGACGTTTTCTTTTGAAAGAAACAGTGCATTGTGCATAATTAGAAGAGACATCAAGGTTGGAGTCATTGGCTCATTAATGAAGCTAGCCTATGGCATTTATATTGCTCAGTGGTGTTATATGTTATTTTATTTGCAATTAACAATGCTGTATATAAAATGTTAATTCTTGATTTAAAAACGTAGAAATTAAGCACAGCATAATTTTCAGAGGAAATTTCAAACTCAGCTGTTTGACATATGCCCTAGTCAGTTATTTCTGTTACTAGGGCATGAAAAACCTGCGATATTATTTTTGACTCACCAGTTACCTGCAATCACACATCAGCCATCCATTCATAATATCTCATCTCTGTCACAGAGGTGAAAAAGTGCCACTTCTTCAACAATGACATTGGTTCAAGGTGTAGACAATGGATGTGATCCAGGCCTGTGTGTGTCCTTTCGTAGAAACTTCCAAATTGTTTTGAGTATGACATAGCTTCTTCCTGTGTGCTCATAGAAGTAGAAGTTTGCAAGCCTGAATGAAGAGAGAGCCATGAATCCAGCTAGACTGAGATCATAAAGTCATCAAAGAATAAAAGAGATAAGAGGATAAAGTCTCTGATTTCATTAAAATCCTTGGCTATTTCTAAGGCTGGCATAATTTTTTAAATTAAGAAATATAATTTTCTTCTGTTGTTTTAACTACTTAGATTTCCATTAATTGGAATTGAAATAGGTCTGGTTATACAAGATATAATTGATTATCATATAAATTCAGAGTGAAGGAAAAGCAGAAGAAACTCAGTTAAGATAAAAACAAATAGAAAATAGTATTGTATTTTAAATTCATCTTAATCTCATTGTATAAACATTTTATTATTACTATTCCCATTATATAGTACAGAAGATTCTTTTGTATCTGAGAAATTATGTGATCCGTGAAACTATGCCCAATAGACTGAATGAAAACCCAATTCCATCTGACTCCAAAGTTCATATGGTATCTATAATACTGTGAAGTACACAAAGGTATAACTTATAAAAATTTGAGAGCTAGAAAAAATATATTTTTACCAAAGAAAAATCCATAGATTATTTGAAACCAGAGGCATTAACTTAATATTCTGTTTAATTTAGGGTTACACTTTGCACACACAAAAAAATTGCTATTTGGCTTTTTCAATTTTACTTCAGTTTTAAACGATAAGCTCAAAGCTGGAACATTGTGTTTGATGGCTTTTATGAAACCCCAAAAGAAGAAATATGGAATACATTAATCTGTGCAGCAAAAGCAAGATAAGCAATTTGGACCCATTTAGCATGAGGAAAAATGATTCTATATACTTCAAAAATTATATATCATTGAAATATTAAAATAATATCAGTACTATATATCTAGATTAAATGGAAAGTAGACTGTCATACTTTACAAATGTTTTTAACTTGGATGATTTTAATCAGAAATAGTTAAATTAACTACTCTAAGCCTCAATTTCCTATAAAAATGATAACATTATCTCCCTTAGAGGGTTATACAAAGATTCCATTTGGCAATACTTGGAAACCATTAATCACAATTTCTGTTGCAGAATAAATTGTTTATTAAATCTTATTTCCTATTATCACTTGTTATGTAGATACTCATGAGAGGTGATAATGTGCTAGCAGCACTTGCTGGCTCTCAGCACCTCCTTGGCCTCGCTTGAGGAGCCCTTCAGCCCACCGCTGCACTGTGGGAGCCCCTCTCTGGGCTGGCAGAGGCTGGAGCTGGCTCCCTCTGCTTGTGGGGAGGTGTGGAGGGAGAGAGATGGGTGGGAACTGGGGCTGCGTGCAGTGCTGGCAGGCCAGTGCGAGTTCCAGGTGGGAGCAGGCTCAGCGGGCCCTGCACTCAGAGGGGCTGGCTGGCACCTCCAGCCACAGGCAGTGAGGGGCTTAGCACCTGGGCCAGCAGCTGCAGAGGGGGCGCCGGGTACCCCAGCACTGCCAGCCTGCCTGCACCATGCTCGAATTCTCACCTGGCCTCAGCTGCCTCCCTGCCGGGCAGGGCTCAGGACCTGCAGCCCGCCATGCCTGAGCACTCCCCAGCCCAGCCGTGGGCTCCCACGTGGCCTAAGCCTCCCCGTCAGGCACCCACCCTCCCCTGCTCTGCAGGACCTGGTCCCATACACCGCCCAAGGGCTGATGAGTGCAGGCACACTGTGCGGGACTGGTTGGCAGCTCAGCCTGTGGCCCTGGGGTGGGATCCACTAAGCAAAGCCAGCTGGGCCCCTGAGTCAGGTGGGCACTTGGAGAACTTTTCTGTCTAGCCGGAGGATTGTATATACACCAATCATCACTCTGTATCTAGCTCGGGGATCATGGAAGCACCAAATAAGCACTCTGTATCTAGCTAATCTGGTGGGGACTTGGAGAACTTTTATGTCTAGCTAAAGGATTGTAAATGCACCAATCAGCACCCTGTGTCTAGCTCAAGGTTGGTAAACGCACCAATCAGCACCTTGTGTCTAGCTCAAGGTTTGTAAACGCACCAATCAGTGCTCTGTGTCTAGCTAATCTAGTGGGGACTTGGAGAACTTTTACCTCTAGCTAGAGGATTATAAATACACCAATCAGCACTCTGTGTCTAGCTCAGGGATTGTAAATCCCTGCACAATCAGCACTCTGTGTCTAGCTCAGGGATTGTAAATCCCTGCACAATCAGCACCCTGTCAAAACGGACCAATCAGCGTTCTGTAAAACGGACCAATCAGCTCTCTGTAAAACGGACCAATCAGCTCTCTGTAAAATGGGCCAATCAGCAGGATGTGGGTGGGGTCAGATGAGGGAATAAAAGTAGACTGCAGGAGCCAGCAGCAGCAACCGGCTTAGGTGTGTTTGAATAGCATGGGAGATTTGTTCTTTTGCTGTTTGCAATAAATCTTGCTGCTGTTCACTGCTTGGGTCCACACTGCGTTTATGAGCTGTAACACTCACTGAGAAGGTCTGCAGTTTCACTCTTGAGGCCAGCGAGACCATGAACCCGCTGGGAGAAATGAACAACTCCGAATGGGAGGAGGGAACAACTGCAGACGCACCGACTTAAGAGCTGTAACGCTCACCCCAGAGGTCTGTAGCTTCACTCCTGAAGACGGCAAGACCAAGAACCCAACAGAAGGAAAAAGACTCTGAACAGGTCTGAACATCAGAAGGAACAAACAACGGACACACCACCTTTAAGAACTGTAACACACACCGCCACGGTCCATGGCTTCATTCTTGAAGTCAGTGAGACCAAGAACTCACCAGTTTCGGACACACTCATATTCAATGACACTGTATAGTATTCGAAGATTCACAGAAGATTTGTTTTTAAATAATCAGGGATGAATATAATTATAATATGAATATATGAATACCATAAAATTAAGGATTTTTATTTGTTTTTGGTTTTCAAACAAGCTCTCAATCTTGTCACTCAGGCTGGAGTGCAGTGGCGCGATCTCAGCTCACTGCAAACTCTGCCTCCCTGGTTCAAGCAATTCTTATGCCTTTGCCTTCCATGTAGTTGGGATTCCAGGCATGCACCGCCATGTCCTGCTAATTTTTGTAGAGATGGGGTTTTGCCATGTTGGCCAGGCTGGTCTGGAACTCCTGGCCTCAGGTGATCCGCCTTCTTCGGTTTCCCAAAATGCTAATGTTACAGGCATGAGCCACCGCGCCTGACCATCATTAAGGAATTTCAAATAAATGATTTTTCTCAGTGGAATTCAAAGGTCAGTATAATTTTAAATTTATTTTCAGCCTTTAACATGTTAAAATATTCTATAATCCTTCATAATGACTGCCAAGTCAAAAATTGCTCTGGAACAGTTAAGCAGGTAATGACTTTATTCAAGGCTATTGTAGTTGTGGAGAGAAACCAGAGTGAACTGAATTGCATTGAAACAAGGAGCAGGATAGATTTTAAGAGATGGGGTAGAGGGTTCTTTGGGCCATCTGTTTGCTAACTGGCCCAACCCATACGAAAAGTAGATTTCCTTATATCTCATGACAAGAGAAAGTTTTTCTACTTTGAGAGAGGGCCTAAGGCCCCTACTCACTCAGAAAAACACGAGAGATAGGGGTGCTATCTTCCTTGATGATTACATTTCGAAGAGATGTTTCTCAGGTTTTGGAGAGGCACATTCCTAAGTTGTAATACTTACAAGAGGCTTATACAAAGGTTTTACCTACATCTCAAAGAGGCAAAGAAAGAATTGACAATGACAAATTTTCTAATGTCAATGCTTTAAGAAAAGGGAGGGAAGAGACCTCTGTGATTGGGCAATCTGGATGTTGTAAGGGCCAGGGTGAGAGGAAGGTCAGGTGCCCAGAGGCAGCAAGAAGCTAAGAGAAATGTTAAGGCTGTCTTGGACATTATTTCTTGGAATTAATTTTAAATTTATAGATTTGTTTATTATAGTATTCTGGTATCTTTTATTGTGAATAAAGCAGTCAATAAATACAACTTAAAAGTAACATCAAATATGTCTAAGATTTGAATGCTAAAGCAATAAAAGAAAAAGCCACCATTATCTTACGCATAGTCTTTTGTTTTGTATTTATTGTTTGTTATTCATGGATTTATCATCTGCATTTAAGTCTGGAGAGTTTTTAGTTTGGTCTTTATCCATTTGCCCAATAGTAAGAAGCTTTTCATGTATTTTATTGCAATTACATTATATACATATAAAAGTATATGTATTAAAAAGTATTTAATATGGAATGTGCCTGGCTGGGCAGTTCAATTACTGGGAGACAGCACTAAAGAGGCCAGGGCCACATAGTCAATTTTACATCCTTATGCCTAAGGTCTCCAACTAAGAATCTATCATAAATCTCATCATTCCAGACATTTTCATGAAGTACCTGAGCAAGATGAGGGAGATGATGTAAACAAGTTACTACTAGACAAACCTATATTCAGTATTTGATTTATGGGCTTTCTTGCCTCTAATTGCGTCATGTCCCTTTTCTTCCTTACTGACATTCTTCTTCCCTGAACATGTGTGTGTACATGTGTGCATGTAAGTGTGAATTATAATTGTGTAGCACGCCCGCCAGTCTCTAATGGGAATGATTCTTATGAGAGCTCTCAAGAAAATATAAAAGAATCACTTGTGAATGCTTTCTTTTTTCCCAAGTGATAGTTCCCTGTCTCTTTCATGTTCCAATGTTAATTTCAGCGTACTTCATTCCTATCTGGAAATCCCTTCCATGTGGGCACTGTGGAACGTTTCTCAAATTTGTCAGGGTGGTGAAAAGAAATCTGGAGAGTGCTATGGTAATTTGTTCATTGATAATCAAGATGCTACTTGGAATAATTTTCTCTTTTTGCATCTCAGCACAATCGTGATATTTTCTTCAAAGACAAAAACTGCATCATACTGTCTTATTTTGTAAGTATCTTATAATTATAAAAATTCACCTTAGAAAGTTTCTTAGAAATTATAAATACATTGATGCCAAGTAAAAATGTGGAGATTAAGCTCTACATACAGGAGGTAAAGTGAATTCGCATAAGCAGTCTATCTAAAAGTCACTTAAGCCAACCATTAAGAAACCTATTAGTTTCAACAGTTGGTTTTTCATCTGACATTGAAACAGATTGAAGTTTCTTAAAGTGATTAAAAATATTAGCCGCCAAGTAATACGAAAAATCTGTATTGTACATTAGAACGCGAATTGCACACTACTTTGTGAAATGCTCAAACCATTACAGGGCTTTCAGAATTTGAATTTAATAAATGGAACACGATTTTCTGTTTTCCACCTCACGTCAGCTCACCTGCATAAACCGGCTTGAGCACTCTATTTAAATATGTTTTCTTGTCCGCTCTATTTAGATATTTCACACACTTAATATTTCTGTCTCCAAAAACATATGATCATAGTTGCCTAAATTAAACTCACCTATGCACACCTATAATAAATTTCACTGTAAAGATACAGTAATTTCTATCTCATCTTAGCTATACTATCTTATATATATGATACCTATACATATGAATTTATCGAGATAAAATTAAAAACATAACATACCGATAATTTTTGATTAGTGAAAATAGTTATTTTTAATCACTGTAGAATACTATATACTTATGAAGTATTATATCATGATATTGATACATTAGAGGGTTTATTAAATACCAAATTATTTATTCATATCTAAAATAATTACATTGATGAAAAACAAAAACAAAAATCCTTATAAGTTGTCAAGATTTTTCTTATGCTTAACAAAAGAAATTTCTCATATTAGTTACTTTGAGCCTAGTTTCCTCCATTTGAAAAAGGAATTGATGTGAATAATAATGAAGGAGTCAGATGAGGTGATGCGTTCCCCTAGACAATATAATTGTCTTTGCAAATAATTTTATTTGGAAAAAACGTTTCCTTCACAATATTTTTTTTCTTTGGCTTATATGAAAATTGTGAGTCAGAAATTAATGGGTTTCAACTTTCATAAAGCTGATTTTCTAGCTGATTCATTTATTCATTTATTTTATACACAAATATTTACTGAGTCCCCACATCATGCGTTAAGCAATATAACAGGCTGGGCATTGTGGCTCACTCCTGTAATCCTAGTGTTTTGGGAGGCTGAGGCAGGAGGGTCACTTAAGCTCAGGAGTTCGAGACCAGCCAAGCAACATAAGGAGACCTTGTCTCAAAAAATAATAATAAAATAAAAAAAATTAAAAGCAGTATGATAGGTGCTGATGTACAGTACTGAAAAACATAGATATAGTATGACATTAAATAATTTTGTACTTTATAAAATTCAGCTGCCTTTAGATATGTCTAACTTGGTTAAGTATCAATGAATTAACAACATTTTCTGAGACATTAAAAAGAACAGTGAGGCTGTTTCTAATTTTTAAAAAAGATTAAGTTGATCAGGTAAAATTAATTTTGTAATAATGGAAAACAGAAGTATAATATCTGATTCTGACAATTGTATTGTAATCAATAGCACACATGCTACTTTCATGACAATATTTAATGTCAACATTAAATAAAACTCAAATATTTACAAAATATGAATGAAACCTTAAAGTTAAAATCTGCAATCTCTTTAATAGATCTGAATTATACATGTTTTAAAGATTTTGATCTATTAAGTGGAGTAGCTAAAATTTCAGCTTCGCCAAGTAAATATATATTTATAATTTTATATAATTTCTATATGTTCTTTTATATTCAATGAAATAAAGACATGAAAATCATATGCTTAAGACCTCATGAGCAAACCCTTGCCATGAGGCTTTAATAAATATATATGGCTTCTCTTCAAAACAAAGAAAATGCTTTCATTTCAGTATATAACAATCAAGGACTTCTCTTTTCAGCAGCAATATATCAGTCAATGTAAATTAAATGGCCATCCTTAATGAAAAATACAAATACAAATTCTTATAAGACCAGGTACATGTTAATTGATTTTTCTTTACTCAGAGGAAGAATGTAGTTAAAATGAGCAAGCGTATTTTTAGTATGATTGAAGCTTTAAATCTCCCCCATTACCACCACCACCTCTGGTTTTATTTTTGCCACAAATAGGTAAAGCTTGTTCTTGCCAGTCTCTTTAGTGACATTTCCTGGGGAGAGCCAACACCATCATCCACAGTAATTGCTGCTGAAGTATGATGTGGGCATGCTGCTCCGCTCTACACTGTTGAAATTTTACTGTTGTTTGCTAAGGACTAAGAATGTTTGTGTTTTGTTTTGTTTTGTTTGCATTGTGCTAGCATGAATTAAAACTTAAAAACAAATATTTACCCCCTTTTTATCATTGAGAAATGGCAGGTTAACTGAATGGATTTGATCTCCTTGACAGGCCAAAGTGTCGCAAATCAGAATTCTATATCTATTTGTGTAAGTACTTCTGTGGATTTTTTAGATCCCTTTAAAATCAGAGGGAAAAAATAAGCTAAACAAGACTCATGGAGACCTGACAACTCAGAGTAAAGCCGTGGGTTATTTCAGTGGTTACACTTCTAAACTCTATGTATTGCACTTATTCTCCTTTCTGAGTATTGGAATGATGAATTAATCTTAACTTATAAACATTAAAAGCAAAATATGAGAGCATGAATATGGCTAAAAGGTAATATTCAGTCTCAATATATATACCACAGCAAGCTTATGTTTTGGAATGTTAATATGTCCACATTCATTCAGCACAGCAAATAACATATATTTCTAATTCGACAAATGTGAATATTTTCTATTAGAATCTCTGACTGTTAGGAAGTTCTGATATATTAATACAATTATTAATCCTAATTCATAATTAGATTTTGGAATCATCTCTAGAGTTCATAATTGGCATCGTTTTCCTGTAAAGAGAGGTATACTATATATCTCCCCAATCGGTTTTAATTTAATGGATTGGTTTACATCCTGGCCATAATTTGCTGAGTCTGTCTTTTTCTGTGACCCCTCTACAGTCCCAGTATTAGTGTAATGATTGGCACATAGAAAGAGATCAATGAGTTTTTATTAAATTGAATCACATGCGCTGACTTTGGTATGTAAAACTGACCTTCAGGAAGCTGCTAACTTTAGTAAAAAAAGACTTGCATTTAGCATGCATTCATTATTCATATTATGTTGATACCATCTATTGCTATGAATAATTTTAAATGCACTATAACAATATATGGTATTTGTGCAATAAGTTAGTTTAATCAATTCTATGTTCTCTTCCGTTCAGAGAGAGAGAGAGAGAGACAGATTTAACTATAGGCAGGGAGGCTCAGTCTTCCATGATCAAACAGCACTCTGGTCCAGTAACACATCTAACATGTCCAGAGAGTTACAAGTCACTTGATAGCATTTCTTGGAGAAGTTGATGTATTTTCTCCAAAAATAATGTTCACAGTGTTACAGATAAACATCTTAAATACATGTCCTAGATTGAGATTTAACCTTCACTTCTGACAAATATTTCCCCCACAATATAAATGTCTAGAATATGTAACCACACTCACTCTTGCAAGTTATTATGTTTGGATGACTCAGACAGAAGTCTATCTTTTATAAATATAAAACTTCTGTTCTCTAACTACGATAAATATTTTGCTTCTAAATTCCACTGTCATTGCTGTAGTTCTGAATTTCTACCTCCCTCACCCAGTGACCACTACGACTGCTTGAGCAGCTGCCCTGCCTCTATAGTTCTGGTATCATTTGTGTATAATCTGACCGAACTCTACCTGTAAAATGGTCTTTCTAAAAATGTCAATTTGCTTATGTCAAGTTCTATTTAAATCCATTCTATAATACCCTTTTCTATATAGAATTAAAGCTGAATTCTGAATATAACTCAAAATCTCCCTAATTTTCCAGCTCTTGTCTGTTTTTCTAGCTTCACGTTTACTACTTTCCTATTCTTGAGTCATAAAATTTCCTGCAATACGCTGCAGAACTTATATCTGTCTGCAATAAAATTCACTTTCTCAAAAGCCCACCTCTTCATTATGATCTCCTCTGAACTATCTTCTGAATGGTATCTGTGGTTATCATTCCATGAACGTATGTCTTGCAGACTGCATGGATAATCTCACTTTTACACAAATCCTTTACAGACTTCTGCTATAGCATTTCCATTTGAAATGAACAGCTATGATGCGTTATTGTCTGTTTCCCTAGGTAGATAGTGTAGAGTGAATAAGTAGAGGTTTGAAATTGCGCCATATTCAGCCTCTTAGCTCCAGATTTCACCACAGACTCTGACACATGCTAAGTTAAAAGTTATATTAGTTTATTTAGTTGAACTTACAAGCTACATAGCTGTTAACACTTCATTTAAATATATCACAAAATGTAGAATAATAATAAAGGATGTAGACTATGCATATGATAGTAATCTAGATTTGCAAATAGTACTTTTCATATTTTTACTTTGTAAGACAATTTCTTTTTCTCTAATTCCCCATATATTTCTCATGTTGCTCTTTCTCACCTTGTCACAGGATTTTATGTTATTCTTCCTCTTTCTATTCTTTTTCTCCAATTTCTTTTTCTTCTTCAAATAAAAGCATTCCTATAAGTGCATTTCCTTGCTTTCTTCTCTTCTAGGACTGTTTCCACTTCTTATCAACAGCTTGAACTTCAAATAGCACCTGTATTTACCAATTCACAAAACAATATATTTAGCTTTACGCTTCTCCTAAATTCTAAACTCTCAGTGATTACAACCTAATAGGTTGTGCAAAAGGAATTGTGGTTTTTGCCTACTGAGTCATTTCTAAACTCCTCAGCCAGTCATTTTCAGACTCTTCAATTTCTAGCCACAACCATCATTTCCAGTCTTATATTCCACTAATTACATATATATAGGCCATATTTGAGTCAAATTGATCTACCCAATTTTACTTCAAAATACCAACCTTCTCTAATAGATCTGTGCAATTGTTTATGCTACTTCCCCTGCATAAAATACACTTTTTGACTCATCTTTCTACAAATATCTGCTTGTCAAAATTCTCTTGATCTCATTGGTAAAACAAAGGGGTGGAAATAGAAAACACCAAAAATCCCTGTTCATCTATGAAATTCTATGGTTCTATAAAAAATCTATCCATTTTTAATAAATCATTATAAATGCTACCAGTGTCATCAGCCCTTTAATTCTTCCAGTGCCTGGATGTGGAAGTTGATTCAAAAGTTTATAAGAACCCAAGCTTTTAAGTTAGACCAGTAAATTTAGATACAGCTCTGCCTCACACCAGCTGTGTGACTTTGGGCCAACTTTAGCAGTTCTCACTCTCAGTGATCTCATCTAGAAAAGAGAATAATAAAATTTACCCATCAGAACTGATGTGATCATTCACATGATCATGCAATTTATGCCAAGTGAGATACTCCAAAAATTTTAGTCACTTTAACTTCTTGCCCTCTTAACATGCATAGCAATTTTAATTATTTCAGTGTACTATACCTTGCATTAAACTTAATGATGTACCTAGCATTTTCCCCTTGCATGGTAAATTATTTAAGAATATAATCCTGTGTATAAATGGTGAACGTGCACATACCAATAGTAAATATCAAATAAATATTTAAAAAATCAATTCATATAGATTTTTAAAATATCACCTGTTAGGTGAAGCATTGCTTTGCTGATTAATCGAATCAGACATTCTACCACCTTGACTCAAATTTCAATAACAACTAACCACTAGTTTCATGATATTAGACTCGCTACCTTAGACACCCTGTGTCATAGAATCTTTACCTATAATCAGGATATCTCTCTCAGATTATTTAAGTGCGTGAAGAAATAATTTTTATACCTGTGATGGTTAATATTGAATGTCAACTTGATTGGATTGAGGGATGCAAAGTATTGTTTCTGGGTGTGTCTGTGACGGTGTTGCAAAAGGAGATTAACATTCCATTCAGTGGACTGGGAGAGGCAGACCCACCCTCAATCTGGGTGGGCACCATGTAATCAACTGCCAGTTCTGCTAGAATAAAAGCAGGTAGAGGAATGTGGAAGGACTAGAGTGGCTGAGTCTTCCGGCCTTCATCTTTCTCCCATGCTGGATGCTTCCTGTCGTCGAACATCAGACTCCAAGTTCTTCAGCGGAGACTTACACTAGTGTGAAAAGTAGGTTTGCCAAGGGCTCTTGGACCTTGGACCACAGACTGAAGGCTGCACTGTTAGCTTCCCTGCTTTTGAGGTTTTGGGACTCAGACTGACTTCCTTGCTCCTCAGCTTGTAGATGGCTTATTGTGGGACTTCACCTTCTGATTGTGAGAGTCAATACTCCTTAATAAACTCCCGTTTATGCATACATCTATCCTATTAGTTCTGTCCCTCTAGAGAACCCTAACACAATACCTGTAATAATTTTATTAAAATTATAGTGTATTTTAAACATATCTGGAACCTAATAAGAAAACAATAAATATAATTTACTCTTATAGCATGTTTAATCATTTATTTGTATCACAAAATATTGTCATCCATTACCCCTACAACAAAACTGAACTTGGTAAATAATTTTTATCTTCCACCTTTTTGAGTCTTATTTTTCACAGTGTATTATTTCCAAAGCACGTGATACAAACTTCCTACACAGACACTTTGGGCACCAGGTGGTTGCCCAATGCCTCATTTTCTAGGCTTGCTCTACCGCATGAGTTGAATTACCTTTAATTGATTACATATTTATAGAGCACACACTGCACTTGAGATCCCCAAGTCTGTATCAATACCATTTACCCACACTTCAAGCTAATTAACAAAATCCAGTTTTAGTACTTCACAGGTGTGACACACTACACTAAGTGCTTTAATTAGAATATCTTAGCTCATTATCACAACATCCCTGTGAGATACACTTTATTATTATTACACGTAAATTAGTAATAAAGAAAACAGGTGGAGATAAATGGATTTGCTCACTATCACACAATGCAACCTGTGATTGGGCAATCTACAAGTTGAGCCTAGGCACTTGAACTCTGAAAATTCTGCTAATAACCACCTCCTTGTCATGAGTGAAAGCACTTATCAAGGAAGCCAAACGACTGTTGTTCCCTGTCTGTGAGCAGATAAGGGAAGAGAGCCAACTGAAGAAGATGACATATGAGCTGAGTGTTTAACTTTTATATCTTAGGATTTCCCAGTATTCTAAAATATAAAAAGGACAAGATTTAGCAAATAAATAAGACCCTCATGAGTACAATAGAACAGAGAAAAATAAAAAAATTAAAATATTAAAGAGGTTTAATAAATATTAACATTAAAACACAAAAGTAAAGAACGTTTTACTAATTAGTGGCCCATGTGTAATTGAAATCTCAGCCTGTATTTTTAATCAAGTTCCTGTTGCAGTGCCCCTTGGAGGATTTTTATTAGGCAGAGCTCATTCTGCTTAGAGACTGGACAACAGTGTAGAAGGATAAAGAGAACACTGTGATAGATAGGATGATTCTAATCTGATTTCAGAATTTGACCTCTTTCTCCTTAGGTCTGAGACATTCTCATTTGGAATTCAAGATCCCTTTCCTGTAAACATGTTTAACTTTATAAAAAGGCTTAATCATTAAAATTAGAATAACTTCTTTAATGAGACAAAAAAGTTTAAGGGTAAAAACCAGAGGGATAAAAGGTCAATCTGACTTCAGACTGGCAGAAAAATGAAAAAAATAAAAATTCTATGTTGTACAGTCTTTGTCATCAGTCAGCTCCTACGGTGGGTGTCTCAATGTCACACCTGCCATTTTAGACACTTGCTCTCAAAGTGAAACAGTACTCAATGTGAAATTGTCGAAAGCAGATTTGAAAGGACAAAACAGACATTTCTCTTTTTAATACGTCAACTTCATCTGTTTTTTCATCTGTTGCTAGTAGAGACCATTGAGGAGGCAATTAGAGAAATTTGATTGACTTAGACTTTCTCTTTTAAAGAAAATTTCCAATAATTGAGCTTATAGAATATGTCTTCAATGGTAGTTGGAAAGTGATTTCTCTTTCCAGGTAGTCCTCTCAGAGGTCAGATGGCTTCCCTTTTATGATGGACTCTAATTAAATGAAGAAAGGCTAATATAATTTTAATGAAATAAAATGAGACTTCTTTCTCACTCATTTTAAAAAAACAGTGCCTTAACTTCCTTTTAAGAGTAACTTCTGTGAATTTAATTTTCAAGATATCACCCCAAAGATATCACCTTTCTCATATCACCATTATTGTTTTCTTGTTTACATATGAAGAAACAAGAAAAAAAAAAATTGGTGTGCCTCAGTTGTCAAAGGTATTCATGTTTGAAATGGAAAATACACATTTTATTTTCATATGACATTCAATAGGAATGCAGGGTCCTAGGCAAGATGGTCAAAGACGGGTGAAAGCTAAATGTTCAGAGTTCAGCAGGAGCAAGGTTCAAGGGTAGGGTATAAGAGTTTCACACTTTTGGCCAGGCACGGTGGCTTATGCCTGTAATCCCAGTATTTTGGGAGGCTGCGGCGGGTGGATCACAAGGTCAGGGGTTCAAGACAAGCCTGTCCAATATGGTGAAACCCCGTCTCTACTAAAAATTAAAAAAAAAAAAAAATTAGCCCAGCGTGGTGGCGCATGCCTGTAATCCCAGCTACTCGGGAGGCTGAGGCAGGAGAATCGTTTGAACCCGGGAGGCGGAGGTTGCAGTGAGCCGAGATTGCACCATTGTACTCCAGCCTGGGCAACAGAGTGATACTCCTTAAAAAAAAAAAAAAAGAAAAAAAAGAGTAAGAGTTTCGTACTTTCATTCCCCCCAAAATATTGTCTACGTATGTAGTTCAGGAAAAGAAAAAAACGGAAAAGCATTCAGTTTGCTTCTGTCTTACTCATTTCATCCTCTGGAAATGTAGAAAACAATAGAAATTTGTGAGACAGGTGAGAAGATTTATCCACTTGTATTTTTTCTGCCATAATCCCATAGTTTTAGTGTTATATGCTCCCCTTTGAATTGGAACTCCATTTGAGCAGGAAAGAGCTTTGGATCACAGGCTGTCAGAGAGACTGAAGAGTCGGAGCTCCACAGAGAAGCTGCCTGCTTGTGACAGCTGGGCAAGCCGCTGTCCAGCTCCCGCCTGCTCACTCTAAAGAGTTTTTGTTTAGATAAAATGAGGCATTCAAGTGGCTGCTTTGCTGAAATTACAAACAAAAACAAAAAAAATTAAAAATTTTGTAAGCAGTTGGACGGAAATAGCACTGAAACTGCTCAGGGAACTTGGCTTTAAAAATGAATATTTTGACACCAACAAACATACCTAAAATAAGAAAGATATGCACTACTTAAAACTTAGAGAACCCAGAAACTTATTTTCCAGGTGTAAGCATTCTGTGCTTCTAAGCGCCTGTAGCTCTGGCATGCATGAGATCATTACTAGGGGCAGAAAAAGGAGCCTGTGGGCCTTGTACCCTCTTTTTCAGGAAATTTGCTAACATTAAAGCCCTGCCATGCACAAAAATGGTGGATTTACTATTCTGTTTGATTCCCCATGTGTACAGTTTTTGCTGTGCCCTCACTACAAGTTTTTTGCTTAGAAAATCTCAACAAGAATCATCTAAAGTCTCTTTTATGAGCTGAATAAATGGTTCTGTTGCCTTCCTACTTGATAGATTCTCCTCACTTCAAATTTTTGATGAAGTGGTCTTTAGACTCATAATCCCCCCAGGCCTTTTGTTCTGATCTCTCCATTACCAGCCATCTATTAACTTCCCACCCTCTTCAGCTCCTGGAGTGTTTCTAATTTTCTTAGTCCTTAATCCTTCACTAGAAATATATTCCTGCTTTGCAGAAATGAGAATTATGTCATTCATACTGAATCATCCCCTGGAGAGGATAAAATAGATTTACAAAAAACATAGAGCCTGGTATGTAGGGAACTTCTCTCCTCCAATTCCTATGTTGTATCTTTGAGCCATTAACATTTCTAGATTGTGCCTTCCCTACTATCCTGGCGTGGTACAGGGCTTCAAACAGGACTTTCTACCCTGGACGTTCTGCTCTCATCAGCAATTTAGGGGCGGCGAGTACTAAACTGGTTTCTGGTCCAAGCAGAATAAGATTCTAGGGAGAATTTGGCAGATACTAAAGACTGGCCTTTTTTATACACTCACAGAAAGGAAGCCATAAACCAGAATGTGTGAAGGAATATGATGGAAAAAATATATGAAAACTCTGTCTATAGCATCTTATTCTACTTTCTGTACCTAATATTACTCAGTGTACTCATGACTCCATAGACAAAATGTCATAAATTTTTATTCAGTAAAGTTTGAGTTCTTGCTAAATGCTAGGTGCTTGCAATTGAATGATGTATCATGTGTTAGGTAAAGTTGAAAACACATAGATTCTGATGAAAAGAAGCTTGATGCCTCATGAGAGCCTCTGCTTTCTAGTTACTAATAATCTGTTAGGGTACATCATTCAGAGTTGGTCTCTTATGCCCCATGTTCTAAGCATTTTTTTCCCTTTTTCCTTTAAGATTTTCTTATCAGTGTCCCGTTTTATTTTTTCTATAATAGTCTTAGGGATCTGATAAACTAATCTGATCCAAGGTGTTAATAAATAATTGTACCAATGTTTGCCTCACCAAGTTAATTTAATTATTTAATTATGTAACTTAAAGAGGTTAAGTAATGTGTTGAAGTTACAGAGTCAGTAGAGAAAGCATTTTTAACTCTTTGCCCTTTTGTCGTAAAACCTTATTTTGAAGCACTATTTATCCAACATTAGAGGTGAATAATCTTTACTCACCATAAGGAATTGGTTTCTGGCAATAAGACTATTTATGCCTGAAAAATATTTCCACTCTGAGACTTTATACTGGTTAAAAGCTCATATTGGAATTTTAGAGCTTTCTAGAAGAGTTCCCACCATTTACAAAATGGAAAAAAAAATCAAAGTAAACTTGATCCATTAATCATGGATAACCAAACTCTATGAACTGGGAAAACGTGTTTCAGATATTTCAGATGTATTAAATCTAATATGATCTAGATGTATTGTGGGTTTTTTTTCATGTTGGTAGGAAAACAAACAAACACACAAACAAAAATAATCAGCTAACAGATGTACCCTTGACTAGCTTTCAGAGAAAGGGATCAAGGGTTGAGTTTCAATTTTTTTTTTTTAATGAAAATCCTACATACTTTAAAAGCTACAAACCTGTTTAATCAAACTAAATCTGTAGAACAGGAAGATAGTTTTTGATATTAAAGTTTTGACTTTTCTTGGAGGCTACCTAAAAAGTTACATAGCATGAAAATTTGGCACTAGGAAATGAAACTTGAAAAACATGATTCTGACAGGGTGCCAACATTTTATAGAGGCTAAAAGCAACCATTTTATTCAGAAGCTCAGCTTGGTGGTGAGCAACCTACGACTTTGAAGACTAAATAGGAAGGCTCTTCCTAGGTAGACTTCTTTTCTTTTCTCCAGGATCCAAATGGGCTACTTGAAATATCTACAAGTCGTTCATCTAAACAGCAGTGCATCATTACAAGAGCTAATTGCTCATTATTTTTGCAGCCTAGTTTAAAGGAAATACATGAAAGATTTCTCAGAGGGTTCATGTTTCAATTTTGAAGCCTGGGGTGAAAGGACTTAGACTGTGATCCATTGTGAGAGCTGACTAGCAAATAGAGCCTGTTGCAAACACCCACTGTGCCCCATGTTCTAAAAGAATACAAGCCCACTGTGTCAGCAGTTGTATCAGGCCCACATGAATGAACTTTCAGAATGACCATTTTATTATGTGTATCTAAAAATGAGACAAACCCATATGCCTGGGGTATGGGTCTTCAGAAATGAGGAGGCATCAAGGCCTGTGGTTTGATTAAGCATTTTACCTTATTTTAGAAGGGATGATGTCTGTGAGATCAAACTAAGACAGGTCCCTGCTTGTTCTCTATGAATCTGACATGCATTCATACAGAAGGGATACTAATAGGCTGCTGAGCTATTAATGAAATTCAATTTCAAACCATGTTTCATGGCCAACCGTGCTGGTTGGATGCAAGAACAACAAGCACAGCACTTTTAACAGCCCTCTCTGGATGAATTAAATAAGGATGATAGAAAAATCCCATGTATAGCAAATAAAAAGACATTGAATAATGGAATCAGACCAGGCGGCAAGGTAGTTCATTGTCAATATCTTACGATCGTAGAATATAAGCCTCTACAGTGTTTGGGCATTCTGTGATTCATGAAATGATAAAAACAATGAGGTGAAAGACAGTACACTTGTTTTTTTTAATTCTTATAGTTATCTCATAAAAATGAGGAAACTGACAATTTTTTAGTACCATAAAATGTCCCATTGAAATTTCACTAAATACTTAGCTAAAATTTTACATCTTTGACCTACTGTTTGGGCATTCTGTGATTCATGAAATGATAAAAACAATGAGGTGAAAGACAGTACACTTGTTTTTTTTAATTCTTATAGTTATCTCATAAAAATGAGGAAACTGACAATTTTTTAGTACCATAAAATGTCCCATTGAAATTTCACTAAATACTTAGCTAAAATTTTACATCTTTGACCTACTGTTTTTCCTTCTTTTAATGGACAAAAGCTTTCTCCTTTTCAATTAAATGTGATAGGTCATATGCATGTATATTATTATTTTACATGTAATATTTAGATTTTTTTAATTTAAATTATAACACGGCAATCCTCCATTATTTTTTTTATTTGGTAGGATTCAATAGTTGCTTTTACTCCTTCCATTTCTACTACAAATTTACATTTTACTCAAATATTCTTATATTTACATTTTACTCAAATATTCTTATATTTACCCAATTAATATTATTTTATATACTTACGTATATTTATATACATATATTTTATATACTTATGTGTATATTATATGTAATCACCCTTTAAATCCAATAGTATGATTGATTGCAGGATGCATTAACTGAAAAACATTTTCTTAATGTGGGACATTTTCTTTTCAATCACAGTTTATATTTAATATGTACATAGCTTTAATTTTTTGTAGCTTTCTTTTCTTTCTCTGTTACTTTTGTTAAAATTCAAGCAATAGAATTCGAGAACTTTCATATCAAAAACATATCATATTATTTATTCCTTAACTTTCATTTCACAGGTAGATAATTAGGGTTCAGAGATACAGTCAAAGACTGGCAGTAAAGGTCAACAGTATATTCCTAAAAAATAAGTACTGGGGATCTAATCTCCTTAGTTCTTATTTTTATAATCTAAGCCATAATATTGGCAATGAGCAAATAATAATCTTAAACTAAATTGTTTCGTCTGAGTTTAGTGCTCTAGTTTTTCAAACTGCTCATTGCTTCTCTGATGAATAGCCCTTTAAAAAGAGGTGACACGGAGTTAAGATATAAAAGAAGTCAGAATTAGTATATATATCTCCAAGCTATCTGTCACTTCTCCTTTCTTAACCCAGACTGATCGATCGGTTGATTGATATAACCCAGCACTATGCATTCCTGATGCGTATTTGAATCAATTCCTGTTTCGGATTACTAATTGGCCTGCTTCCTTCTCCTAATTGCACTTTGTGAGGACTACTCTAGGCAACCAGCTTTGTGAGCTCATTAACAGCTTTGTTCAACCTCAGGGAGGTTAAGGCACTCACTCAAGGTCACACACCTAGTTAATAGGGAGTCTAGCTTCAAACCCACATCTGACTGAATCTAATTCCACCTACAGCTTTGAAGGCTCAGAAAACATAACTGCTTGAAAAACTGAGTTAACTCTATGACTGCCAGGACAAAAGCTTAGGATTTAGAAATGAAACAATGAATAAGTAGACATTTTGCTCTCATTTTGTTATTTTTTACTTTATTTTCCAAATATGTTTAGGTTAAAGAAAAGAACATGGGATTTAGAGTCAAATAGGCAGGTGTTTTGATTCTACCCTTGCTAACCCTGTGACCTTTGGTAAGTGTTTAAACTCTCATAGCTTCAGTATTTTCTCTACTCTGATATACACATGGGTTCTTCGTACATAATATGTTCTCCGTAAATGTTATATAAAGGCTTCATAAGAAAATGAATAATGTACCTAATTATAGCTACAGCTTTGCAAATTCAGTGCATTTAACAACAATGATAATCAACTTACACGAGCACAAATTAAAGTAACCCTCCTTCAGGTTTTCTAATATATTCTAGTTTATAGGTATATGTACTGTTTCTACTTATCAAGGCTTGAAACATAAGTGTTGAATTCTTAGTCTTTAATGCTATGACATTTGGGCGATGAACAGATTTTGATAATTGTACCCATACCCCTACAATATCTTTCATATGTACCTGCTCCTTGCTTTCCATTCTCATTCCATTTCTGCCGATGTATTGCAGTGATTCTTATAATCATTCACAAAAGTTTACTGACTGCTCACTATGATCTTGTTGAGAAAAATATTCCCTACCTGCACTTTTCTAATTTGTCTTGAGTTCTTAAGTTTTGGAGGTTACATTTTTTGAAGTAAGGATTCTCTTTCTCCCTTTGTTTTTATTGTTTTTAGATAATATTTGTCAGAAACTGATTTCATTTGAATAACTCTTTACTGACATAGGACTTCCTTCCTTCCTTCCTCCCTCCCTCCCTCCCTCCGTCCCTCCCTCCCTCTCTCTCTCCCTACTTTCTGTCCTTCCTTCTTTTTTTTCTCTGAGTCTTGCTTTGTCACCCAGGCAAAGTGGCGCAATCTTGGCTCATTGCAACCTCCACCTCCTAGGTTCAAGTGATTCTCCTGCCTCAGCCTTCCTAGTAGCTGGGACTACAGGTGCTCACCACCACGCCTGGCTGATTTTTGTATTTTTTTTTTTGGTAGAGACAGAGTTTTGCCTGCAGTGAGGTGTTTGGCCAGGCTGATCTCAAATACCTCATGTCAGGTGATCTGCCTGCCTCAGCCTCCCAAAGTGCTGGGATTACAGGCGTGAGCCACAGCGCCCAGCCTGACACAGGACTTTCATGTCTCATAAATATTTCTGTTCTTTATCTTATGGTTTAAAGATTATTCTAGTCAAGATATATATTCTGGATATAGTTAAAATCATTAATTTTTCCTTAAAATTTTGTAAAGTTTGAGTCACATTTGGCTTAACCTTTACATAATGTTTTGTTTTAGTCATGTACATTTATTTGCTAAGTGTTTCTATTCAAAGACAGCCTCCTCTTCTTCACCAACCATCTATTGTGATCTATTACAGCATGGTTGCTATAACCATGTTGGTTTTTATCACATATGTCTTCTTTATATCTTTATTTTATTAATTCATGATTACGAAGCCATGAATTTTCTTGGCAACTTCTTATTAGACCTGAACTATTTCTTTGTCCTTTCAAAGTCCCAGAGAACACTAGAAATACCAAGTTACTGTTGACTTTCCAGTACCTTCAGAAAATAAATAGCACACTGTTTCTTTTGTTGTTTTTTAAGGTGAGTATTTATCAAAATCATCAGTAAACATGATTTTGACAAACATACATTTATGCTTACTCACTACTTTCTTTATCATTTTCTTATCTTACCCTGATCTAAATGGAAGACTAGAACAAACATTGTGCCCCCTTCATCATCTGGATCCTTATAAAATAATTTGACCCATGAAATCTTATCTCTTTTGCTCACAAACTTCATAAGTGAAAAATGAACTTATGATTTTGTTTTTGTTTTTTTTTGAGAAGGAGTCTAACTCTGTCACCCAGGCTGGAGTGCAGTGGTGTGATCTCTGCTCACTGCAACCTCCACCTCCCGGGTTCAAGTGATTCTCATGCCTCAGACTCTTGAGTAGCTGGGATTACAGGCGTGTGCCACCATGGCTGGCTAAGTTTTGTATTTTTAGCAGAGAAGGGCTTTCACCATGTAGGCCAGGCTGCTCTCGAACTTCTGTCCTCAAGTGATCCATCCACCTCGGCCTCCCAAAATGCTGGGATTACAAGCCTGAGCCACGGCGCCTGGCCAGATTTATACTCTTTTTTGATAGAGGGTCGCAGACCCCTCTATTCTCTCCTGTGATCTGAGATATTTCCTTCTCAGGCCTTCGATAATCATTAGTTTTGAGTGTGAGCTGAGGAGAAGAGGAAGTTAAGGAAGATTTGTATCTAAGCCATGCATTATCTGATTTTCCACCATTTCTTATACTGATATTTTAGGTACAATCATAAATTATCAAATGCTACCTTGCTTTTCTTTGTGACCAACCATTTTGTTTTTTCTCTCCCCAGGGATATTTCTAAATAATTGAGGGTTGTGGCCTACAATTCTGTTTTTCCTAGTTTCCCCCCAACCCAATAATGTTATTTAATTACCTTAATTAATAACTGCTTTGTTTTGACCAGTGCAATGACCAGTATGATTCTGAATATATACATAGTTCCAAAATAGCATTAGTAGCTATTGGATCTTTAAACAATTAATCTTTTTTTCTCTCATTTCTGTTGAAGACGTTGCTAGACAAAGTTGTAAAAGAGGTTCTGTGATAATCTCCTTGACAACAAAATATGTTCAATGGATATCTATGAACCTAGAGAAATATGCATCCTGGATTGTAGTTCTCAAAAAAATAAATGTTGACAAAAGCATTTAGTATACATATGCCCTGCTGCTTTAATTCTTTTGTGAGTTCTCATACAGTTTGTAAGGTTTCCTGTATTGTATGTATATAATAAATTTTAATGAAAACCTGAAGCAATATTTGATTGCCCTAAATTTATCCTTCCATATGATCCAGGTTGTTCCTTGGATATTTATAATTCCGGAACTAGAATTTATAACACATACATCAGTCTCAATCATTTCTATTTTCTCCTGTGCATCCTCTGAGTGCAAGAATACCAGTATCTAAATATAATCCTCAGTGTTCCATTTCAGCCAAGTCCTTTGCAGAGAAATATTAGCTTTCACATAAGCCTTTTTTTAAAATCTTGTTATTCTTCACAGTGTGATGGTTCTCCCTGTCACTGAATAGATCTTCATTTAGGAATTCACTATGTTATGATTTTTGTCCCTTAAATTTAGGCACAGTTTATAATAACACTGAAGATGAGTTTATTCTTTAAAAGAATAATGGAACATAATACATTTATCCACATTTATTCACATAAAATAACTCTACATGCCTTGTGGGTTTATGTTGTGTTATATTTTTTCAAGTGTTCCTATGTGTGTTCATGGGAAAATCTAGAGCTGCCTGCCCTGTTTTGACTCACAGAGCAAAGAGAATAGCAAGTGCAAAAAAAGTAATTCCTAATTTTACATAGAACAGTGTTCACTATTCACAATGATTAAAAGGAGGGTTTTTCATAGTTACTAAACATCACACAAATACACATGTGAATACAAGTATTTTAGTTGTTAATTTTCCTCACTATCTTAGATATCTGTCTTGTGTAACACAGATAACATGATTGTTCAGCCCTCACTCTTTCAGTGTTGAGTGTTTTCAGGTTCGCCTTCTTGGTTTTTATTTGAACGTAGGCTAGGCCTTAGGCCATTTACGTCTGCTCTACCTGTTCTCCTTCTGGGACCCAGACTTAAGAAGCAGTATCACTTTTGCAATGTGTTTTTCTCATGGTGGAAGGTGAGCATTCAAAAAGTTCAGTAGAAGCTTTTGATGTTTCTTAAAACATAAGCCTGAAACACTTATACTGCCACTTTTCTTTCTTTCATATTCCATTGGTCTAAGAAGGCTAAACCCCAAGTGAAGCGACCAGCAATAAATACTCAGGTGACTCTAATGGAAGCCAAAGCAATGCCATATGACAAAGGCATTGGATGTTCATTCATTTTCCAAGAAAGGGGTAAAAGGTAGGAAACCATAATATAATCTCTAAAAGACAGATACGGTAGAAAGGCTTGCCATAAATATTTAACCTGAACAAAATAAATGCCACTTAAATAGCACTCATTTTTATTTAAGGACTTTTCTCTTGTTGGATTCTCCATTAGCAGTGAAGCATTCTTTTAGAATAATAGTGGAGGTAAATAGATGAGGTTATTAAATGAAGGTGGTCATCTCTCCCACATTGTTACACCATTTCTGGATTCAGAATGTCACATTCCTATATCACATTACCCACCCTTAAGCAAAACATGCATAGGATGAGGAATGACATAATGTCTTTCTTGGCTTAAGGGCACCTTGACTAAATGACACAAGTATGTTTAATTTTCCCCCTAATTTTCTGTTCTAGGGTATTTTATAACCAGTGTCAACTCATTATATTCCAGAAAGATTAAAATTAAGATTTCCTTTGGTTACGTGCAAGAAGAACAATTGGGAAAGGGGAATGTGTGCCTATTTTCAGACACATCTATATTAAGAAAAAACACAATTTAAATTGATTCTCTTAAAATCGTTCAAGCCTGTACAGTCCCTGGAAAGTTTTTGAACATTTTTAAGGGGTCCAGTCTGAAAACCAATTAAATATGTTATATTGAGCAATTAATTGGAAAGTGAAAAACTATGATCCTCACAAGTAGATGCTTAAAAATAGTTAACACATGTCAACATTAATTTGTGATTTAAGGAGAATGTAGGAAAAAGAAATAAAATATCTTTAACTTAAGAAATGACATAAATTGAAAATAAACAGTATATTTAGCATCGAAGTGAACTGAAATTAAAATAGGAAGAAAATAGCCCTTTTCACCATGCATATTCAAACTTTCATTAGAGGCCCTGGGCTATGCAATAAAATCAAAAACAATGTAAAAATCACAATAATTCATAAAAATGAATAAAAACATTTAATTTTAATTGACTTGATTGACTACATAGAAAATCCTGAAACTCCCATATATAAGCAATTTAAGTTAATAAGAATATTAATCATATTTGTTAGATAAAAATTATCAAATAAAATAAATATTGCTCTTTGATTACAGACAATGATCCCATTCAAAATGGATAACAAAATCAATAACAGCTAAGAATAAACCTAACAAAAGGCATACAAAGCTTCTTAGGAGATGGTTCCGAAATAATAAAAAGATATAAAAGGCAGTCTTATCGTTCATGGACTGGAATACACAATGAGATAATACAGTCTCCCATCTCCTAGATTAATCTCCCAAAGTGTTAAGACTTTTCCTAGCAGAAATATACAATAAAATTATAAAAATGAAGATGGTTCAGTATTGCTGAGGGGTAGAAACATCAGTCAATGCAACAGAAACTACATTTTAAATTAGACCAACCATATATAGAAAACTTGATAAAGGGCAGCAGAGGTATTATAAGTAATTAAGGAAGAGTTAAACTAGATCAATTAGGATACAAAAAATGTATGGTTTTATACAATAGGCAATGTCATAAAGAAATTGTAAGCAAACACACCCTGGAAGATGGTATAACACATAAAATTAGCAAATATTAATATCCAAAATGTTTACATATCAAACTCATTTAAACCATTAAATTTCCAATTATTATTATTTTTTTTAAGAATGAAAAATTTCCAATTATTTTTAAGACATGGAGTCTTTCTCTGTATCCCAGGCTGGAGTGCAGTGGCAAGATCATAGCTCATTGCAGCCTCAAACTCCTGGGCACAAGCCATCCTCCTGTCTCTGCCTCCTAAATAACTGAAACTACAGGAGTGAGCCACTGTATCCAGCTTCAAAAATTTTGATTCATAGCCAAGGTTACCCAGGCAGTTCCCAAATAATAGCCAAGACAGTGACAAAATTTCTCTAGTACATCATTTAAAAAAACAAAGAATGCAAAACCAAAATGACTAAAATCTACTTTTGCCTTAGAAAAAGGAAATAAGCATGGACCTATCAGTTTTTTATTTTATTCTGTCTACAACAAAATTGCAATATGGCAATTCATAAACATAAATATCTTACTATAGTTTGTATTAAAGCAAATTTAAATTATTATCAAATAAGACTTTGAAATTTAAAAATTCTGGGCATATGACATAGAAAAAAAAGTTCTTAATTGAAAGACTTTTCCATTGTTTAATATTTTATAGCTGTTATGCAAACATACTCTCAACAAAGAAACAGTTCCATGTACTTTCAACATTTATTTTCTATATGTCATCATAATATTTCTCTCTTCAAAATACATACGAAGGAGTTGAAAATATGGAACAAACAAATTCTAAAAAATAATACTATAGAATTTTATCAATCTTCCTGCCTTCCAGTAGCACACCCTCTTAGGATGTTTAAAATTGCCATTGGTCATCCCTCTAGTTCTGATTTCCTCAGAACTTCCCTGCCCTAAAGCAGATATCCAGAAGCCATTAGCTCATGGCTTTAGCCTTGCCCAGGACCTGGACAAATAAGCACCAAGAAATTCTAAGTATTTAGATTTGTATCCTTGCTGACAGGTAAGGCTTGAAAATATTCTGCAGCCTAGCCATGTAATCTGAAGTGCTAGCATCAAGTTTACAGAGGCCCCATTATGGCATATGCTGCAGTATCCCACCTGTACTCCGTTCTTTATTTTATTTTTGTTTTCATCTACAATATTAGGATTTTGTTTGCAATTTGATCTAATTTCCTATTGTGTCTGTAACCCACCCTGAGCTACAGTTCATTTTGTGAACTTCTACATCCTTCATGGACAGTAAAATTTGCATTTGATTGCTTGCCTTGAACATGAACTCTAATTTAACATGAATGAACATTCTTGCCAAACCACTCTTTGGTGAGTATGCCTTCTGAGACTGCTGTTCTCATAGAGCAGAAGGTCACCAAACTATACAAAGTGATTAAACCCAAATTTTGAAAACCACATTTTGGAGCTTACATCTTCCTCTGTAGAGTTGAACATTTCTTCCCCTTCTCCATTTTCTGGCTGATTCTTATTTCTGGTAGATAAACCACCATGAAGGTCTCATCCCATCAGACAAAAGGGTCCATGTGAGCTTTGAATTAATGCTTTTTTAGAGCAAATAGATTACAAAACTGTGGTCAATGGTATCAAAGAATGCACCTAAAAATCAATAACTCTGATAATTTTTCTGAGCAAATTGCTGTGGAGATTCTGAGAGCTTTATTCATAAATGCTTGTGTGTATTAGTCCAGTGGAATAAGCATCAGTTTAAAACCGAATTGTTCATGACCAGTTTAAAACTTATTTGTGATCTTACAGAAGTGACATTCTGAGCCCCATATTTATTTTCTGTAAAATATAGTAATTAAGACACTAGCTTTCTTATATTGCTACAGAAATCAAGAACAGTTATAGTGTTAAGTTCTTTGCAGATGTTATAAAAATTATCCAGTATTTTGATGAATTAAATGCAATATTTAGCCTACTTTCCTGTTTAAAACTCCAACCAAAATTTTAAACTGTATTTTGTAATATAATTTTATATGTAATTAAATATTCTATTGTTTTATTTAAATATTTAGGGGAAGTCAGGTTACTTCACATATGAAACAGCTTGATGCAAATATGTTACCAAATGAATCATATTAAAAACCTGAGCTCACCATAAGGGTGAAACAGACCGGCTATCTTTCAACTATACTTATCAGTGCCAGTTAGCACAGAAATATTGAATATTAGCAGATTCTTGTGGCTCTAGTGTATGTTATCAGCCTGTAGGCCAGTCTGGAGAAAAATAAAAGACAGCATTTATTTTTTCATTTAACAAATATTTATTGAGCAGTTGCCATGTGCAAAGCTCTGTTTTAGATAATGGGAATAGAGCAGGAAACAAACCAAATAATGTTTCTGCCCTCAAGATATATGAGTAACTCAAGAGACATAAACACTTGGACAAATAAATGTTATGGTCGACCTTTGTTAAAGGGTCACAAATTTCATTTCCCTGTTCTGAGTACACAGCATAGAGACTTACATTTTCCAGCCTTCCTTTCAGTTACAATGGGAGTTACAATGGGACTGGATTTTGGCTAATGGAAAGAATTGATATATGCCACTCCTAAACCTAGCCATGACAAGCCCTGCATTGTTTCTCTCTCTCTCTCTCTCTCTCTCTCTCTCTCTCTCTCTCCTCACTAATTTACTGGCTTACTGCTGAGGATGCTCTAAAAAATGGCAATGGCAGGGCACAGAATTGAAGGATTTATGAGCCAACAGTCACTGCTTGGAGCAGAACCCTCTAACAAGAGTCAGAAGTGTAATGTCAGCAAGAAATCTACTTTTACTGGACTTAACCAGGATTTTTTTTTTTTTTTTTTTTTGCGGGTAGGGGAGCGGTGTAGATTGTTACAGAAGCTGGAGTTCATTACACTCCCTAATGCAAATGTGTAACTTACTGAAAGGTAGTTATAGATACGTAAAAATTAAGAGAAGAGGTTGTGTAGAGGAAGGCCATGCTATTCTAGATAAAACAATTAGTAAAGGCTTTTGTCTTTTGCTGAAGGTTGAACAAAGAGGTGAAGAAAGAAACCATGTAAATATTTGGGGAAAAGAAAATTTGTAGGTACAAAACACCCTCAAATGCTATAAAGCAAAACTGTAATTCACATTTTTTTTTTTAACTTTAAGGTCTGGTTTACATGTGCAGAATGTGAAGGTTTGTTACATAAGGATTACGTGTGCCACCGTGGTTTGTGGCACATAACGACCTGTCACCTAGGTTTTAAGCCCGGCATGCATTAACTATTTGTCCTGATGCTCTCCCTCTCCTCACTTCCAGTCCCCCAACCCTGGTTTGCGGGGTTCCCCTCCCTGTGTCCATGGGGTCTATTGTTGAGCTCCCACGTATGAGTGAGAACATGCAGTGTTTGGTTTTCTGTTCCTGTGTTAGTTTGCTGAGGATAAGGAACAGTGAAAGGGGATATAGTTGGGAATGTTGGAGAAACAGCTAGGGGCCAGCTCATTTGGAGGCCACAATAAGGACTTGAAACTAAGAGAATTAATCAAAAAGCTTCCATTAAGATTATAATTACAAACAACAAAACTGTGATCCAATTAAAAAGAGATATTTTGCAAATGCTAAGTCAAAATTTCAGGTATTCAGAGATGCTTTTCCTCACAGAGAAGAACAAGATGCTACTTGCAGGTAGCATCATCTTTAACACTAACTCACCCATTCATATTCATTCACAATGCTGTAATATCATTCAGATCTTCCTTACTTGGGCCATATTGTCCTTCTCCTTAGCAGTAATGTTGCCCTAGAATTTTGATGTATACAATTCCTGAAGTCTAAAACCATTAAATAATAGCTTTAGATAGTTTTCCATAATGATCATTAGCTATTCTTCCATTATCTGGAAGACTGTTTGCTCTGTACTTTATATTGGATATTCTTATTCTATAATATCAATAGCAACTAAGCAGTCAATATAAATAAGCTCATTGTACTCCAAATCCACTCTCTCTCTGTGTATATGTAATATTATATATTATATATTATATTATATATAATTATATAATATAATATATAATTATATATAATATATATTCCTGAAGTCTCTCTATATATAATATATTATATTATATATTATTATATATTTATAATTATATATATAATTATACATATTATATATTATTATATATAATATATAATATAAATTATATATTATATATTATATATAATATAAATTATATATTACATATAATTTATATTATATATAATATATATTATATATATAATTTATATATATAATTATATATAGAGAGAGACTTCAGGAATATATATTATATATTATACATTATATATATTATATATCAGGAATATATATCAGGAATATATATTCTATATTATATATAATTTATATTATATAATTATATATTACATATAATTACATATATTATATATAATATACATTATATATAAAATTATATATATTATATATATTATATATTATATATTATATATATACAGAGAGAGAGAGAGACTTCAGGAATTGTATACATCAAAATTCTAGGGCAACATTACTGCTAAGGAGAAGGACAATATGGCCCAAGTAAGAAAGACCTGAATGATATTACCGCATTGTGAATTAATATGAATATATATATATAGAGAGAGAGGTAGAGAGAGAGAGAGAGAAAGAGAGTATTCTTTTGTAAGAGAGAGAATAAATATATATAAAAAGAATATATATATATTTCTTTTTAAAGCAAAAACAATATCAAAACATTTGCTTTTCAAAGTTGTATTATTTGGTTGCTTTAAAAATCCTAAAGAACACTAACAATAATGAGACTTGTTCAAGGTCACATATATTGTACGTGCCTGCATTGGTTACAGATTCAATTTGTTTCTGGCTCCAAACTACTCAGTTGCTTTAGGACAATGCCAAGAAAGATACCTTTTATGTGTGAAAGAAAATATATTTTCTAATACATAATGGGTCATTTTAGATTTGTAACTTCCTGTTGATTTTGATTATATTTTCTTTTAAGCATTAAAAGAGAGCTAGCCAGATATTTTTAGCATAACTAGATTTTACTATATAAATTTTGCAGTGAGAAGCAAAAAGAAATTATTATGTCTATGAAATTAGTGTTGATTATAAATGCTTCTCTTCATTCACCATTACACATCATGGTAAAAAAACACTCCCATCGGAATTGCTTTAAGAAACAAAGAAAAGTAAAAATTTATTAATCAGGACATTTAAAAAATAATATATAAATAAAGAGTTATTCAAATATTATAGTTAAATTATGGATTACCTTTTCACATATTGAATGATAAATCCACCAATTAAATGCACCATACCTGTAGCAACATGATTTAACTTCTGTGCTGCAAAAATTTACACTAAAGAATATGAAAAACCACCACCAAGCAATAATAATGATAATAATAATAATTGGTCTCTTAATGGGATGGTGCTTAAGATGTCACTGAGAACCTCTCATATCAAACACATTATAGTACATCATATATTTTCACTAAATTTATAGTATTTAAACAAAAATGTATATTCATTCACTCCATAAGCAATTCTTCTCTATTAAAAAGTAAGACAAGGCAGAAAAGTTGAGTCTAAAATCAGTAATAATTATTCAATATTATATAGTAAATTTTCCACTTGTACTCCCTTATTGAACTTTAATATTATAAAACTAAGTAAAGAAAAATAATGATTTATAATATGCATTGATAATAACTAGTATTCATGTTTTTGAAATGCCTTTTGATATATTTACTATATATGATTTTTACTTATATTTCAAAAAATAGTTTATTTACAATGTTCTAGTATTTCAGTTTTGTATCATGATTAAAATAATTCTTTCTTTTTGGTTGTCATTCTTCTTTTTCATTATAAAATATGCAAATAAACCAGTATGGCTCTATAGTAAAGAGTTCAATTGGAAAACTACAGAGTTTCTTAATGATTTTTTTAATATCAGCATTCTTCAGTAGTTTTTGTTTACTTAAGAAGAAACAGAAATGTAATTGGGCTTTGGTGCACCAAAACTCATCATCTGAAACAATTACCATTAAGAAAATAGTTTCCCATCTTGTGGGTTTTATTTTATTTTCCAGTGCTGTACATAGACCGTTCAATGCCTTGCAGAGAGCAGGAAGTTGGCATTATATTTTAAAAGAATACATACATTAACAAATAAAACCATACTTTTATAAGAGAGAGAATAACTTTTACTGCAGGTTGAATAGATTATGTTTCTGAAAATGATGCAAGCTAACAAAGAAATTGAATGTTTGAGAAAGTGTTTTTATCTTTATCTATCAATCAATCAATCTATACACACACACACACACACACACACACACACAAAATGAGCTATAAAAGGATATCTCTTAAAACTTAGGTATGTTTTTAAGCCTAAACTACATAATTTGCAATACTGTGATAGAATATGGTACAATTAGCATCTCAATTTAATTTTCATGACTGAAAAGAGTACGACATGTAAGGATTTTGGATAATTAAGAAGTAGGTTTGAGATGGCTGCTTTCACTGAACAAGTAGGTGTCCTTCCTCTCTCACAGTTGCCAAAATTACCCTCAAAATTATGTCCTTTAGCAAAAAGATCAACTCACAGGTAAGAATGTTTTTTCTTTTTCTTTGAGAGACTGACCCTGGTTGGATTGTCAACCTTGAGTGTACAAATAATAATACAGTTCTGAAATCTTAAAAAAAAATTTTATTAAGAAAACACACCACCATAAAAATAATAAATTAAACATGAATAAATATTTTTAAATTGTATTTTATTTTTAATTGACAAATAATAATTATATATGTTTATGGAGTACAATGTGATGTTTTGATACATATATACATTGTGAAATGATGAAATCAGAGTAAGCATATCTATCACCTCAAATATGTCCTATGTATTTTTATGAGAACATTTAAAATCCCCTTTTAGCTAATTTGAAATATACAACATATTGACATTAATTATAGCTACCTTGTTGTGCAACAGAATATCAGAACACATTCCTCCTAACTAACTGAAAAGACTATTCTGAAATAGCAAGTATATCATGTTCAAAATAACTGGTAAAAATTGAGATCTATTGTTCTGTCATGAACAAAAAAAACAACCAAAAAAATCTTTTAAAGTTTATGTCCTAGAACTATCCCATAGAAAGCTAATGCAAGCCAAAATTGTAAACCAATGTAATTTTAAACTTTAAAATAGTCATATAAAACATCAAAAGGAAATAAATTAAAATGGCTTAATTATGTTTCATTTAATCAAAAATATCCAAAATATTATCTTTTTAACATGGAATCAATATATGATGACTATTAATGAAGTACTTTACATTCTTGTTTCTATACTAATTCTTTGAAATCTGTTTTATATTTCAAACTTACATACATTTCAGTTCAGACTAATCATATTTTTGGCTCTTGATAGCCAAATCTTGCCATTTTATAAGTGAGAAATGGCATTCCAGAATTGAAGTGATGGACCAAATTGTAAATGGTTGAACTATGATTGCATTAGACTTTCTTTGACATGTAATCAATTCAGTATTTCTATCCTCTCTGGCAAATAAAATGATACAGCATGTATGCAATAGGTGGGAGAAATGATGTCCAGCTTCTTCTGTTGGAGTAGTTTTCAATTGTTTCATGTTATCTGTTATGTTTTGTTTATTTAATTAGTTTATTATCCTTAAAATAATTAAGAAGAAGAAGAAGTGGAGAGTCAAAAATTGACCTGGATAAAAAAGCTAACTATCAGTAATTTATCAAATAAAGAAATTATTTTTGCTGTATCTGCAAAGAATAAGAATAACAATCCAAAAGTTTATTACTGGGAAAACAAACCTAAGGTACAGTAGGTCTAAAACATAGTTAATGGTAACAGATTTGTGATAAAAATTCTTATACTAGGCAGCCTAGTAGAATTTTCTTTAATTGATTCTGAGTAGATCCTGCTAATGAACATACCCCACACACTGTAATTATGTTTTATATTAGAGAAGGTGAATGATGGAGTTTTAGTTCTATCAGTGAATTTTTAGACTGCGGGTTCTCATAATGATCATTGCATGCATTTCAAAGTGGGTCGGTTTTTCACTAACCACCTTCATTGTTACCAAATGTATTTAAAATAATCAAAAGCATTAATGGAAACTCAAATCAAGCAGTACATGACCCCTGGGATTGAATGGGCTTGTACAGTTACAAATAGGATTTGGGGTCATCCTTTGCCTTATCTTTAAAACAGTTGTTGTTCAGGAGAAGAATTAAATGCTTATTTTTTTACCTGTATAGAAGCAGAATTTGGGGCCCTTAGGCTGCCTTTCTTCCATGTCAAAGATGTTAATAATGTATCTGCTTACCAATGTGACAAAGAATATGTATTGGCTGGGTTATTTTCTTTGAACTGAAGCAAACACTGAAAACTTTCATTTTATCATTAAAAATCTTTCCCATATAATTTTGCCATATCACACCCCCTGTAGAGCACTACAGTCTATGTTAACTCTGGGCATAAGAAATTCATGGACTTTCCCCCGGTTAATAAATAATATATAAAATATACATATATATATATCAGTGACATAATCTCTTGTGTTTATGTGGCTGAAGAAATATGTAGGTGGATACTTCATAAAAATTGTATAATTTATACATTTTTAAAATTGGAAACCTGAAGCTGAGCTAAGTAAAAAACACTGCCAAGTAAATATGAAAAACTGTGACCACTTTAGGCGAGCTTTCTTTTGAGAGAGCAATATACTTCTGAAGGAAAGTTTTAACAATTATTATACATAATGTATGTCATTGAGCTATTTGTTTATCAGTATCTGAAAATATTGTGACATCAAATATAATTGAACAGTTACTCATGTTTGTAGATGCATTTACTATTAATTTTGGTATAAACACATCAATTACATGTTAAAATACTTGCATTTCCACCAAGAACAGAATGTTACAATTCAGTGGTCATCATGCCATGTAAAAACATGAACGGTCATACAAAAACTTGTTTTTTTGAGAGAATAAAAATAATGTGTGTAATTGAAGTAATCTTTTACACTGAGGCAGAGATAATTTAAAAATGAAAATAATAGCCTCATCGTCAGTCTCCAATGCCATGAAATTTGTGTTAAAGATCTTGTTTCTCTTTGCTACTTAGCAAGGACCCAAGCCATCGGTAGCAACCATTGTGTCTAATTTACACTCTTTATGTCAAAAGGAGAAATGAAAACTAGGGAATGACAGAGGTGAATGAAGCTGTCCTTCCCTTAATTTTATTTAATCACCGTAACCAGCTCTCTCAACATATGCTCCAGGAATAGTTTGGTTTTTATATTATCCACCAGCACCACCAAGTGGTAAAATTTTTATTTTTTCTTGTACAGTGATCGTTGAAGACAAAACAAAATACAATACTGGAATAATATTAGGACTAATTAAGGGCCTCAGTTATATCCAACAAAAAGTACATCCTAGAATCCCCAGGGTTTATTAAAGAACTGTTGAAAAGCTTACATTTCAAAAATTAAAAAAAAAACAAAGATAAGTTTAAAAATAGATTTTGTGGTTATGCTTATTTTTCTTGTGTTTCTTTATATTAATGCCGATAACATAAAAAGGTAAATTAAGAGATGATTTTACAAAGCAATTTATTTTAATTTTATTCCACAATATATACAATTTTACTCTAATAGCATAAATTATACTTTTTATGATCAATATTATTCAATTTGCTGGTAGAAATTTGAAGAATTAAAAAGTGTGCTGTGAGCTAAAATATTTGTTACTTGAGTGAAGTAAAAATGAACTGCTATACAACACTTTTTATAAACTCATGTAATAAAATCATTTTGTTTAGTGATAACATGAAAACAACACATAAATTCTTTGTTTACTAGGAATAAAATTGCATACATATATATGCTTAAAATATTTGTTGAAAATAACACAAATTTTAGGTGTCAACATTTGGGGGGGTTAACTATTTAGATATTTAATTTTCTAAAATATATGTGATTTGCAAAAATAAGCAATGGCAAAACTCAAATCACACTAAAATTGTATTCAAATTTGCCAGGTAGAAAGTGCGAGAATCCCAGTTGCAAGTTGTATTATAACTATCTAGGACGTGAGGGGACTTGAGCACTAGTAATGTGCTCAGGTACATTTCAGTACTCAAGATAAATTAAAATCTAAATCTATTAATACTATTCTACCTTAGAAAATATTAGTGCATTTCATATTGGAAATGAAATGTGTCTGTTTTCAGTATTAGTCCAATTACTCTTAGGGTTGCTTTGTTCAAATATGGAATATTTATATCTCTCTACTTATGCTGTTAGATTGTCTTGTCAAGTGATGATGCATTAAGGACAATTAATATCAAGTTTCAAAATCATTAATAGCAAAGGTTAACCATATAAAATTATTTTGTTCTCATTTATAGCTTGAGCATTCTTCCTGTTGATCAAACAAAGCAAACTTTATTATATTACTGCCATAAAACAACACCACCTTGACAGAGCCTATCATGTCTTTCAAGGAGGAAACAGTGTTTCAGATGAATTTTAGCTCTGGTCTGTATAAATTTAAGAAGGGTTTTCCCATATGGGGATCTATTTAGGATTCAATGTAGCTTATTATCTAATAATTTTGCATTGATGGGCATAGGGAGGCACTTGTTTGATATGTGTGTGTATTGATGGTTGAGCCATGTATAAGTCTTGATAATGAAATTATTTTAGTTGATTCACAGTCGAGTCTTAAGAAGAAATTATTTTGCAGAATGAAAACAATTTTTACTTAATTCCAATGTTGGTTAGTACAAACACAGCTAAGTATACTTTATCAAATTATTATTTAGACAGGGACAGGTATACATGTTTGGCTGAGAATTGTTTAACATAAAAAGAGTTAAATATGGTTTTAATTCTTACTTTATTTCTGAAAACAAGAAGAAAAACATCAAAAAATTATGCTATTACAACTGCTGAAAGAGAATTCATGTTGGATCACTTACATTACTACATATCTTGCAAACCGAGGCAGTGATTTTATTCTGAACTATCTTTTCATAGACGTTTGCATACTGAGCAGCCTTGGGAAGTAGAATAAGTGGCTTCTTCTGGAGAAGAGACAAGGGATACCAAAGGCTAAAATGGTCTTAGCAATGAAATTCTCACTGTCTAATATGGAACATTGGATGAAAACATGGGAACATTTATTTGGTTAGGCCATAGTTGTTACTATGCCCTCAGTACACAAAGTAAATGCAAAGCCCTTTTCACTGGAGACTTCACTCCCTCTGTGTGCCCTTATCAATCATTTCCCTTATATCCAGAATGCTGGGACTTTATAGTGAAAGATATAAGGTGGGGATGAAAGATAAAAGGTGAAAGATATAAAGATTGGGCTAAGCAGACACTAACATCAAGAGAATCAAAGTCCATATGTATCCATCTGACTATGCTTCAGAATTTTGAACGAAGAGATTTAAATAATTATAGTTCTGTTGGATATGAGACCCAAACTTGCCATCCTACCCATAACTGTGGAAGACAAAGGTACACTTATTCAACTATCAGTGTTTGGGCAGGATTCACAGTGAGGTAAGAAAGCTAATAAGACCCCGTGGGCAGGGTCCTTTGGGTAAATTCATTTTATTATTATTGATTTTATATAATAAAGTTTACTGGAAATGAATATGTCATATGCTTGTGCCTCCCGTCCCATAGTGCCAGAGAGCATTCTCTCAATCAGAAAAAGCCACATGTATAGAAGTGCTAATGAGACAAATACATGGCTAGCCAATATGCCTCCCTATAATCTCCTGGGGGATTCAACATAATCAGTTTAGAATGCCAGGAGGAGAAAGGAGAAATCACTAGCTTAATTAAAGATTTAAAGGCAGTAGAAAGTAGTATGAGATGCAATATCTCAATATGCCCTCTGTTCCCAGTGATATAGGAAGCTTGCAATGGATTAAGTTGTTGCTCCTACGGCTCTGGCTGTTCCATTGTACTCAGAAATATCAGGATCAAGATCCATTAACATGCATGTCACAAAGGCTCCAATGTATTTTTGTAGTACTCCTACAGGACCATCTAAACTTTCCAGCCAGCCTTGAGTGTGCCAAGATTTAGTGTGAGTGCCTCTACCTTCTGATGTCAAAGCTTCGACTATGCAGATAATGTTCTGTTGGATGGCAATGACTCGGATTCAATGCCCCTGACCTTGGCGCTATCACACCTCCTCCAGAAGGTTGGAATGATAAAACCTGACAAAAGTTAGAGCACTGATTGGCAAGTAAACTTTCTTGGAAATATGTCAGTGTATTCACAGTGATTAATTCCTCTGGCAGTCAGGAAACAACTTCTCAGCTGCCCTCCACATAAAAATAGCTTCCCACCTACTATGCTCTTTATTATTGGAAAAGGCTTGTGCCTCACTTGGGTATTCTACTTGTTCCTTAGTCCTTAAGCTAACTCACACATTAAATTTTTTGGTTAGCATCCAAATCAGTAGACATAACCCAATAGAAACTGTCCAGCAAGCTGTAATATACTCTATATTTGGGGCACCACAACACTTGTAACTTCTTTGAACCACATGTCTCTATGAATGATGATTCTGATATTTGGGGCTTCTGGCAAAGAGAAACAGCTTCTGTTTAGAGGAACGCCTTTTGTTTTGAGCTAGTCTTCCATACATTTGTTGTTACTAATTGTACTAATTTTTAGAATAATCTGTTAGCTTGCTATTTTGTTCCTGTTGAAACTCAACTTCTGACACATGGAGGTCTGTGACTCTCTGACATGATACTGTCATTTGGAGGTGGATCAACTTAAACCCAAGAGTTAGCAAGTCAAGCAGTATCCAACAAGACTTACTTGTTAAATGGGTATAAATATTCAAGAATACAGACAACAGATTATCTCACCTTTGCATGAAAATTTAGGAGCTGTCACTTTAGAGGAAAATTTACTCTTGACTGTGCTACCTAATGTAAAGCTGTTGAATCACCTGGACTCTCAATTAACAGAGATTCCACTAAATTCCATGCCTGGTTCAACAATTATTTACATAATCTGAAACGTGATGGTGTCCATGAGGTTGCTATTGCTGTTGATCCTCAAAGACAAACCAAAAATTGATATGGTTGTCTCCCTCAAGGTCATTTTCATAGCTCTGCCCAATACTTAATGAAATTTGTTATCCTTCTACTGACCCTTGGGTCTTTGCTAATGGTCTGGCTCTTTATCTGGCATGCAGAAAACTATAGGCTGGTAGATTTAAGACACATCTGTAGGACCACTTACTATAGAACAAATTGCAGTCTTTGAACAAACCATCTGGGCTACACATTTAGGTGACAACTGTAAGGGAACATTCTCTGAAGATGCTGAATGAAAACAAATTGCTGATTAAATAACACCCAAGTTCCCAACATTTCTGCCTATATACGTCATCATACCAGGCATGGAAACACATTGTCCACACAGATTGGGCTCTAAGTAAATCTGCATTTCCAATGCAGAGGGTACAACTATAACTGCTTGCTATATATATATAGAGAGAGAGAGAGCAAATATATATAAAAAGCCAATCTATAAAAACTATATAAAAAAGATTGACAAGAGATTTTATAAGTTATATAAATTACCTTGATATATATATATACACATATATATATACCACTGCTTGCCATATATATATATATATATATATATATATATATATATATATATAGACATTTGACAAAAGTTGACCTAATTGGGATGTCATTGTTCCACCTGTTACTGGAAGATTGACTGCATATGATTTTTGAGCCCTGTCTGAGAGGTACCAGTGATGATACTTTCTCAGGTTATCAGGTTATGATGCTGCTGCTGCTGCAGGGTGATCAGCTGATTTTGGCTGCATCACATTAACTCTTGAAACTATTGTTTATCATAATTCCAGCTTTTCAGGTCATTTCCCAACTAACAGTGGTGCACCTTTTATCTCAAAAGCCACTGAATGCTCATGTCAAGTTATTTAATGGGACTTCCACATTTCCACCATTCATTTATAACTGGTATTGTTGAGCACTTGAATGGTCTCCTAAAAATGCATTCAAATATTCTGACTATCTTGTTGACTTCTTTGACCCTACTAAGGCAATTTGGTCTCTAAATGTGTTACCTTCAGAAAGTGATTATCTCCTCTCAGTCTAGATAATGATGAAGATAAAGGTATAGGTAATACATAGGCTTTTTTGGAAATTTGGAATTCCATCCTGACTGCTCCTGGACATTATATTTTCTTCTTTCACCTATGGCAACCAAGTCTGAAGTGGTTAGTAAAACTTTCAGGTATCAACGTGTCCTGCCCTAACAATGTCACACAGTTAAAAGAAGGCCTAGGGCTAATCTGAAAAGGCTATATATTGCATGATCCCAACTGTATGACATTCTGAAAAAAGGCAAAATATAGACAGTAACAAGCGGTTGCCAGGAGTTGTGTAGGGGGAAATGATAAGTAAGCAAAAAACAAAGAATTTTTATGGCAGTGAAAACTTCTCTGTATAGTACTATAATAGTAGATACATGTTTGCTTGTTTGTTTGTTTTGTTTGTTTGTTTGTTTCTTTGAGATGGACTTTTGCTCTTGTTGCCTAGGCTGGAGTGCAGTGGCACGATCTTGGCTCACTGCAACCTCTGCCTCCTGGGTTACAGCGATTCTCCTGCCTCAGCCTCCAGAGTAACTGGGATTATAGGCATGTGCCACCATGCCTGGCTAATTTTTTATATTTTTAGTAGAGATGGGGTTTCTCCATGTTGGTCAGGCTGGTCTCGAACTCCCGACCTCAGGTGATCCTCCCGCTTTGGCCTCCCAGAGTGCTGGGATTACAGGCGTGAGCCACTGCACCCAGTGATACATGTCTTTATACATTTATACAAACTCGTAGGACATAAAATATCAAGAATGGATATAATGAGCTTTGGGTGATTATGATGTTCAATGTAGGTTTGTCAATTATAACACATGTACCTGCTCTTATGGGGAATATTGATAATGGGGATGGCTATGCAAGTCTTGGGGGAGGAGATATAAAAGAAATCTCTGTATCTTTCTCTGGACTTTGCTATGAGCCTAAAACTACTCTAAAAATAAACTCTTAAAAAAATGATGACTTAAGTGATTCAAATTTATCTGTTTCAATCACTTGCATTTTCTTATTGGATTTACATGGTCCTAACCACTATGGTTACATGGTAACTAACCACAGTGATAGTTACCATTTGTTGAATACACTCCTTGCTCAGTCCCCCTTAGACTTAGTCAAAGTAAGAGATGTAATGAGATTTTATAAGTTATATAAAATTACCTGGTCCCTCTTACATCTGATGTTCCAGAAGAAAGATCTATGTATGAGAAGAAGATTACTGGGCAAAAGAAAAATGTATAGCTACTGTAGTGGTACACCATGATTTTTGTAGTGGTGGAGGGAGAGCAACAACTCAAGTACCCTAGAGAAGAATCACCTTAGAACACAGGACATCTGGGACTGGGAGAGGCATTAGTGGTGTTTCTCTTTTGAAGCCACCTCTGAATCCTTTCTCATTAAGGAAGACACCCTGGTTCAGGTCTTCACACCATTGCAAGACCTTTAAATTGGACTCAATCTTGAAAATGTCATGTCGGCCAGATGACTCTCATCTATCAGAAACAACAGGAGATGTCCCCAGATCCTGCACTTCTCATACAAAACACCTGTCAACTACTATGGATGTTTTCTCCGTCTCCATTCTTGTTACTGTCACTTGTCATTCTACGTAATAGATGATTGTTGCCTGGCTGATGTCAAGGACAAGAAGACAGATTGAACTTATTGCCCTTAGACAGTTCTTGAAAAACAAAACTTGACTTGATTATTCAAAGTGGACTGTGAAACTTATGGCCTACCAAGTGGCTGGGAGACCATACTAGACACACTGTCAACCTGTACCTACTAACTGATGTATTTCCCTTGTATGCGTGTGGGGACAGGGGAGTCCCAATAATTTCAATGAACACTTTTTCTTTCTGGGGATATCAGACCACTGGGTTGTATTACTTATTTTAAGCCAGTCATTAAAACATCGAATTGAACAATGAGAACACATGGACACAGGAAGGGGAACATCACACTCTGGGGACTGTTGTGGGGTGGGGGGAGGGGGGAGGGATAGCATTAGGAGATATACCTAATGCTAAATGATGAGTTAATGGGTGCAGCACACCAGCATGGCACATGTATACTTATGTAACTAACCTGCACATTGTGCACATGTACCCTAAAACTTAAAGTATAATAATAATAATATATATATATAAAAAATTAAAAAAAGATTTTGTTAATATTTGTAAAAAAATAAAAATAAAAATAAATCCTTTTTCTGAAAACATAGCCACTTGTACCTTAGTGTATAAGAGACCTTTAGTGTTAAGGAAACACAACAACCCATCATGCCATTATTTAACTTACAGGTGGCTATGGTTAGCCCTCCAAAATGAGGCTACCTTAGGTTTCTTAGTTTCTTTACCATCCTGGAGGGATAATTGACCTGATAGTTGTAAGATTTGTCAGGTAGGACCCGAGAAGCGCTCAGTTTAGGGGTAATTATTTCCCACTACTGAGACTGCACCCTTCTGTGTACTCACTCAGTGCCCTGTGAATCATGAAGTTTTCCAAACTGGCTAATGAAAAGATGCCCCGTGAGTTCAGGACACTGGTATTATTGCCACTAATTGTTTAATGCAGATCTTTCCCTGGCCTCATGTGTTTTTCTCACACATATGTACTGATCAATATTCAGCTGACTATTCAGGAGGAACCCTATGCATATTTCTGCTGGATGTTACCTCCTCGTTATTACTCTGATTTGTGAACCACTGTTGTCACCTTGGTGTCAGTGACCTTTCAGCTCTCTCCTCAAAATTAGGAAGTCTCTTCGGCTCTGCCTGTATTCCTTCTTTCTGTGCCAAGGCCTGGAAACTCTCTAAAGGAAGGGAGCTTAGACAATCAGAGGTGTAACCTCATTTGCTTTTCATCTCTTACAATCACTTTCCTTGTGCTGCTCAGTGTGTTGAAATCTGCTGTTAAAGTGTTTTGGTATTTTTTTTTGTTTGTTTCATTAAGGAACGTAACTCACTGTTAGTGAATCTTAGGTTGAAATAGAAGTCCCATTTAATATTTCTTATGGATTTTAGTATGTTAGACAATTTTTATGAACAAACAAGGAAAACTATTAAATTTTTGAATGGAGTATCACTGAATTTACCCATTAACACATGTAAAATTCCTGTCTTCATGAAGTTGGGTTTTCTAATTCATTGTGATATTGTTTCCATTTATTAATGGATTTTTATCTTTTAATGCTGCTTTATCATTTTCTTCCTAAAAGTTTTGCACATTTGCACAATTTATTTCCATAAACTCTATAATGTTTGTTATTAATAAGAATATTAATCTCAATATATTAAATTTCCAGATTGATTGCTTTTGATATAGATAAGAATTCGTTTGGTTAAGGATTAATATTATATACTTGTTTCATTATATTATTAATTCAATGACTATGTTCTTCATTCTATGATTTATGTTTTTATGCCCTCATTTCTTTCATTTCTGTGTGATTTTGCTCCATTATTTCTTGCTATTTACTTCTGTGGGTAATCTCAATATATTTTTACTTAAGTATCTTAAATTATTTTATGATATTACTCTTTAAAGTTATTTGTTAATTATCTAGTTGTTTATTTGTGATGGCTGCCTTGGGAGAGTTGAATAATTTTTCTAACATATCTAATTTAGAATTTTGGTGTGCAGTATCATTTTGAGTGGGATGGCTTATCTTTGGTTTTATAGTTGTCTCCCCTCAGTTCTCTGAGGCCTTCAGTCTAGAACTAAAGCTTGTATGATGAACTCAGATACCTTGCCCCAGAGTGATAGTGAAGATATCTTGGATTCTGCCAAAAAGCCAGTAGGATATGTCAGTTCTTGATTTGAGAACTATACGAACATACACAAACACAAATGAACACACACAGGTACATATTATTCCACATATTTTAGTCCTTTTGGACTGGTATAAGAAAATAAATGTGCTCTCTTGTTATGTTCTCACATGGCAGAAGGCAAAAGGGATGTCTTTTGGATCTCCTATAAGGATATTAATCCAGTTCTTGAGGGCCCTGACCTCATAATCTAATCATCCCTCCAAAGGCCCTATGTCCTCATTCTAATGTGGTAGAATTTGAACATACAAATTGGGAGGTGGGGACATAAACATTCATAATGTGTGTTTGTGTGTGTGCATGTGTGTGTGTGTGTGTGTGTGTGTGTAATCTGTGTTCAAATCTCTCACATCACTTCATTTAAATCTAAGTTATATCCCAAGGAGGCAATCAACAATGTAATATTTAGCCTTATATTAGGAGCAAGCAGATTACACCAGTCATTGTTTTCAAGCAACTAATCCTTTACGTGACTACCTTTCCTAATTCTGTAGTAATTAAAACATGATGTGGTTCTCTCTATTGGTCTCCAGGCATAGAGTTCAATAGGCTGGTGGCTTTAACTATTCGCAGTTTTTTATTTCTATTTTATTTATGCTTCTCAAATGTATTTACAAACTTTATTTTTTTTTTCTCTTTGGTATTTTCCTCTTACTGCCATATAATTTTGATGTAAAATTTTAATATAGTGTATAAACAGGAAACCAAATGGATTCCAATGTAAATCATACTTTATGCTGTTATTTATTTAATTCATCTATTTACTTAAAGTTGATCATCTTCCAGAAACATTTTAATGTGGCTTACAAAGCTGTATTAAATGCAACACAAACAAATAATCTAAAATTGATAGGCAAACAGAGGAAATAAAGAAGGGAAAAAAGAGAGAAAAGGAGTAAGAAAGAATAAGGGAGAGAAAGATAAAGTAGCAGAGAAAGAAAAGGGGAAACATTAAAATGAATAATTATCTATGAACTTGATATAACTCAAAATGATTAGTTAGAAAAAATAGGGTAAATTACACACCTCAAAAGGTCAATGAACTAAAACCAAACTGATAGTATCTTAGCCTATTGCTTTCTTTAGACAGTAAAAATAAAGCGTGACTCTAGTCCCAAATGCCATGCAGAGGTTTAAAAAGAATACTTTCAGATAGTAAGGGGCTCTGATTACGTATTTTATTCTATTCTTCCTTAATTTGGGGAATAATTTATTTTCAACTTCACAAAAATTGTGAAATCTTCATATTCCTTACTTGATGTTTCACAGGACAGCCTACGTTGTCCAGTGGAGGCAGCCTTCCCATTCCAACGGACATTTGTGGGATATTAGAGACCAAGAAGTGTTAAGAGATGATCTTCACAAAATGCTGAGCTTGTGTGGGTGTCGAACTACAAACAGGAGGAGATGGATATTCACATGCAGTGGTGGAGGGTTATGGCTCTCCAGCCTGGAGGATTGGAGCTTGAGCCAGGTGAACAGTGGGTCCATTAAAGGGGCAGCTCAGTTCAGCAAGTCAGAGCCTGAACAGGATGAAAGGGGCAACCCACAAAGATGAGGACTGAATTGGAGTTACAGATCCCAGTTGGTTGGAGAGACCATTTTCCTGGAGGATGACCCAGTTTGGGAGTCACAGCCAGAGCTGGGATAAAAGATAATCCACACTCTTTTGGATATAATATGTATTATAATTTCTTTTTTCTCTCAAGTAGTTTAAAAGTTTTACACTGTTTTCATTAGTCACTAATAGAAACATATACAATAGTTTTCTGCATTCCATCAAGCTTAATATTAACAGATATGTTTACCCATCTCCTGAACATTACAAATATCTTAGAATATTAACCTCTCTTAGGATTAGTTCTATTCAAATGCATGGATTACTTTGCTGTGTAATTCCAAGACTCCATGATATTGATAATACTCTATAATAAAGTTAAATTTTCTCAGATTTATCCACATATTTACCACTTTCTTTGATCTTTAGACTAAAGCAATTTTAAATACCAGGCTTACTTTTCTTTATTCTAAGCTGGAAATGCATTTTTTTTGTAGATTTTCAGTAATCCCTTGTTATATCATTAACTCTTTGATCCGTTTTAACATGCAGTTTTCATCCATCCTTTTTTTGTTGTTATCTTTGAGAGAATTGATCATAGTGACTAAGCTGCAATACTAAATTAGAGGAGTTTTAAATCTTAATATAACTTTGGCATAGTAAAATAATTTAAACAATAAAATGAGTTCATATTGTATGCTTGCATCTTAGCCTTTGACATTACTCCTGTTTTAATGATGAAACTTTACCTTGAAATGTCGCTAGTTTTTATTTCTTTGTGTGTGTGTTTGTTTTATTGATCTTGCCAGTAAACATCATTAAACATACTATTTCAAACATTAAAATGTCTGCTGAAAGGCATCTGACAATTTAAAAGTCAGTGACAAATTACTGAACTAAAACTTAAGAGATGATATAAACATGTAGAACTGAGCCTAGAATTAGGGACTGCTTTTCTTATCCTCTGAAAAGGGCACTAAGAACCAGAGATGCTTAGCACCACTAACAACTTCAAGGTGCTAGAGCTTTTTTTTTTTTATAAAAAAAAAAAAAAAAAAAAAAAAGGGAATCCCAAGTCTTGTCAGTTTGAAGGCAGCTAGTAAATTTTCCATTTATTTTAAGTTAGGACTCAAAAGACTTCCCCATAAGTAAGGGTAACAGGTAGGTAGTGCTCTTACTAGAGCCTATATTATAGCAAGGCTTAAAATCATCTCATTTTGTGAAATTAAATTAAGGCAAGCCTTGATTTCTGGTTATACTGGGCACATGACACAAAGGAACATAATCTCTTTCTGGAGGAGTAAGCGTCATGAGAGTTCTCAAACTATTCCCACAGTAACAACTGGATTACTGTTATGCACATGTTATTTTGCTTGATGGTTTCCTCTTGGTCTCTGAGGCTCTAAGTTTTCTTTATCCTTTTTTATCTTTCTGCTCCTCAGATCAGATGCTGATTATTTCATCATCGCAAACATGCTTTTGAGTTTTTCTACAGATTTAAGACATTTTTCAGTTGTACTTCGATTTGGTTCTGTGTGTATACACACACAAGAACACACACACACATATATTTATTGATATTCTCTCTTTAGTGGAAATCATTGCTATACTTTAATTCAACTGGCTCAATTTAGATATGCCTTTAGTTATTTGAGCATATTTTAAAAGCTTATTTTAATTTTTATTTAATATGAATTTATTAATTCTGTTAATTCCTAATTCATTAATTGCATCTTTCAATAATTGACATTAAAGTTTTAAGCAGGAAGTTGCATGTCAGGAATGAAGAAATTACACTGGAATAAATCATTTTCTAAATTATTCACTTTGTTTAAACAAAGCTATTTATTTTTTTGGGTATATATGTCCTATATGGACTAAAGATACAAACTGACAAATGGAATCAATCTTAGAGCTCAACTATTATTGGTATCTAGCAAAAGATTACCCACATATTGACTAAAAGAAAAATTACAAGAAAACTTAAGGTCATTTAAGTCCTAGTTAATAAATTCTGAAAAATATGACGAGGCTTCTCTAAACCCATGATTCATAACTAGATGGAAGATTGTTGGCCTTCCCACTAAAAGGAAAACAGATATTGGCTATTTTGATTTACTGATCACAAAGAAGCAAAACATGCATGTATGACTGTAAAACATGAAGACAACAGGGACATCAAAATTAAAGAGTATTTATGTTTGTATACAGCGAGACAAAGAATGGCTATTTAGCATATCACTTCTAAATATATGTATATCCAGATCTATTTGGTATCTTAGAAAATAGTATTACAATAACTGGTATAAGATATGATGAATACTTTTCCCCATAGACTTCAATGATTAGCTTTAGTCCTTCTTTAGTTTTAGGTTTTAGAGATAGTGCTTAAATTTGAGTAGAAATTAAATGGATCAATCTAAAGCTTAGTGGGTTCAGTTGCCTTATTTTTGCCTATATCACAATAATTTGTACAGTTCAAGTCGTGGTGACCTAGAAATCTGTTTAGGGTTTGAGTCAGACACATGGTTACAGGTATATCAAAGACAATGTTCAGTTTAGCTACGAATACTGATTATCAGTATTCCAAGGAAAAATATGTAAGAGAAACACTTGATTTATAAATTATAATTGTTCCAAATATCATATCCTACAATTTATTGAAAGTGTTATCAAAAAAATGAAATAATATATTTTGTTGAAATATTCAGTGACAATATCTGTGGTGTGGGACATAGTAATGACTGAGGGTTATTAGAGATACCAACTGAGTATTTTATTGAGGGGTATGTTGTGCACTGTACTATGGCTTAAGGATACTACTGCAGTGTTCCTAGAAATTAAATTATACATTTACAAAATTAAATTTTAAAAAGCTATTTGCCAGTCTGTGTTCTCCAGAAAAACTATATATTATCAACAGACTGACAGATAAATTGATTAATTGGTAAATAATAGATATAGGTATATAGATACAGAATAGAGAATATAGGAAGAGATGGCTATAAGCATTTGGATTATGCAATTCTGGAGGCTGAGAAGCCCCAATATATGCAGTTGGCAAGGTGGAGACCCATCAGGACTGATGATATAGCTTCAGTCCAAGTCCAAAACCTGAGGACCAGGAGAGCCAATGATATAAGTATGAGACAGAGTTCAAGTAAGAGAGGAAGAATTCTTTCCAACTCAGCCTTTTATTATATTCAGGCTTTCAATGGCTTAGATAAGGCCCACCCATATTGGAGAGGGCAATCTGCTATACTCAGTCTATTCATTCAAATATTAATCTCATCCAGAAACACCCTCATAAAAATAGCCAGAAATGATGTTTAACTAAATATACGGGTACCCTGTGGCCCAATCAAGTTGATACAATAATTTAACCATCACAGTTGACTTTTTATATTTGGAGAAATTTATTTTTTTAAGTTTAAAAGTAAAAAGAAAAATTGGATCATTTTTTCTCCCTCAGAAGATGTTCATTGATCATTTACTGTAGTTTTTCTCTTCAGATTCTTAGCTAGTGCAAGACAATTGTTTTTTTCAATATACTTTTTGCTTATAATATCAAAAGACGGCCTCATCAAGTGAATCTCGCCACTGATGTCTGATCACTGGAGTGTAAGAATCTAGTTGTTTCTCTTGGGTCATCAGTTTCTTCTGCTTTTGTCCTAAAGCCCTTCCAGAATCTTCAAGGATTTGGAGACTTGAGAATGGGACTGTTTCTTATGGTAAATCTTACATTTCTGGTTTGAGTTTATTTTTTTAAAAAGTAAAGAGATAGCTGGATCATTTGTTTAGGGATCTATTTCAAATCTCTATTAAGGCATTAGAGTTTGCTCTTGAACTCTCCTGTGAATTCATCCTTTACTACTTTAAAAACTGAATTAGAGCTTTGTTTTCATAGGAAAGAATTGGGGATGGCCTCCAAAAGATGTTGTCTCTTGAATTCATGACCTCTGAAGTGACTATCAGGATTTTTTCATTCTGATTTTTCCATTAATTTTTTTTTAATCTGAGGGCCCTACTAACCTATAAACAAATGGATAAATATTTTAGAGCCTTAGATCATATGTTAATGGAACTATTCTAAATAATCTCTAAATGTCTGTGTATCTTGTCTAACCATTAAAAAGTCTCTAACAGTATTTCATCACTTTGAAAAAGACAAGTGCTTAATATGAACCGTAATACATTTGAAGTATTATTTCAATGGCCTGCAGGGAAGAGAAATAGTTATATAAGACGGGTAGAGCACAGGTTAAGAAAGGATCATAGGAGACTATCCATGAGTGAGTAAACTTAGAATCAGTTAAACTCATGAAAATTTGGCAACAGTTTGTATGATATATTACTTTTATACCTTGGGTTTTATTGGGGTCGAAACAAGTGGTGCATAATTTCTTCTAGTAACATCCAAAAATCTACTATTCTTGGCAGATAAAAAATATGGCAAGGAGGTTTTTTACAAGGCCATATTCCTACAGATATTATAAGACAGGTCTGAATTCAATACTCATAAGTTTTAATAGATGACCCAAGGCAAAATTTGTCTTAAAAGGTGGCCAATCTGATGAGAACTTTTGATGCTACCATCCTATGTATGTTCTCTTAGCTGTGAATATTTGCTTAAAGACACACAAAAATGGATAAGGACAATCAAAGAATGAAAGAATAGTGTTGTTAGTAATTAGGTAGATTTGCATCAAGGATAAAAGCTTCCAAATCAGAGGAGTTAATGAAAGAAACACTAAAAAATATTTTCATCCTGGCTGGGCACAGTGGCTCACACCTGTAATCCCAGTACTTTGGGAGGCTGAGGTGGGTGGATCACAAGGTCACGAGTTCAAGATCAGCCTGGCCAGCATGATGAAACCCCATCTCTAATAAAAATACAAAAATTAGCTGGCTGTGGTGGCAGGCGCCTGTAATCCCAGCTACTCGGGAAGCTGGGGCAGGAGAATCACTTGAAACCAGAAGGGGGAGTTTTCAATGAGCTGTGATTGTGCCACTGCACTCCAATCTGGGCAACAAGAGTGAAACTCCATCTCAAAAAGAAAAAAAAAAATCAACCTTATAAATCAAAATAAAGTCAAAATTCAGAGCATGGCAAGATGAAATCAGAGCACAAATCATTGAATGATTTATCTCATCGTGATAGTGACAGGAAACCAACAAATTCCTAGGCAGACAGGGATGGGTCCCCACTGAAACCTGCTGTTTAAGCCAATGACAGTTTGAAGCCTGAAAACTGAGCTGCTGCCAGTTCCAGATAGAGTCCACAACTGGAGTGAAAACTTCTATCTACATCTTACCCACTGTCTCTGTTGGTTTTATCTGAATGATGCCTTTTAATCAATCAAATGGTGCTTTTTCCAAGACCACTCATGGACCAACAAGCATGCCCTTTCCCATTCTAAGCCCATAAAAACCCCAGACGCAGCCTCACAGATGGCATCTGCTTTCAGGTCCCCTGTCCTTGCTGAGAGCTTTATTTCTGTCATTCAGTAAAATTCTACTCTGCCTTTCTCACTCTCTGGTGTCCACCTACCTTATTTCTCTTGGTCATGGGACAATAACCCAGAACTTTCCAAACTGCTGGGGTGAAAGACCTGTAACACTCCCCTCCTGCTCACCAAGCTGCAGGCAGTGGAAGTAAAAGAGGTGTAATCCTCCCTCCCACTTGGTAAACAATGGGACTGGAGAAGTTGTTGGGCACCACTCCCTTCCAATCACCAAACTACAGTAGCAAAAGAGTCACAATAATTGTTTCAGTTGAAGGACTCCTAAGAAGAAGGCCAAAGGAATCTCAGAGGAGCATTCTGAGTTTTAAGTAAAGCTGCTTGAGCCCCAGAGAAATGGGCTTTCAATTGGACAGTTGCCATTCAACTTACAATAAGGGAGAGACCCATAATTAAGTAAAAAATATTGTAAGTCAAAAATGCCTCTATAAACCCATCATAAATTTTTTAAAAAATCTTAAGTCAAACAACTGTTAAGTTGAAGACAATCTGTACCTGAGTCCACTGGGTTGGCTGACAGCGTACTTACCAAAATGACAACGGTTGATTAAATAAAGCTGTTTATGAAGCCTATTGCAGGAAGAGAGAACACTATCTTGACAGAGATTTAGTAATGTCTCAAGTAAGTCATGGGTGGATATTCATAGGCTTGGAGGAGGGTCTGTGTTCAAGAGATTTAATTTGAGTCTTTTGGTATGAATATCTAAATGAAATTGGGAAAATTTGATATTGTGGCATAATGTTAGAACTTATGGTCTCAGAAAGCCAAGGGTCTTTAAATATGTCTTGATAACTTAAACACTGTTGATAAATGAGCTGAATGCCTGAATGAGAAAGTTATTTTTTCTGAGAATGGAGGTATTTACTCAGATGAGCAAACTATTTGATCCAATCAATTAGATTGAAAGACTTTTCTGTATAAGCATAAAGAATACTTACTCTTTATAAACGTATCTTCCTGGGCAAGAATGTCCTGGAACAAAGAGTTATACTCATGGAAGTAGCCTTAATTCCCACTGGGTTATAGGAAAGAAATTTTAGATGAATTAAAAGTTTTACTACTAAAATACACTATAATTTCTTCCATAAATAGAGCAAAAAATTTTTAAGCTTGAAAAACATTACATACGGTTATGTACTAGAATGTACTTAACGGTGGTATCTTAAAATGTCCAGTGAGTATTGTGGTAAGGTAATTTCTGGTGAAATCGACTTAATCACTAAACTTTGTTGTTGTTGTTGTTTCCTTCTTTGAAAAAAAAAATCTGTTCAATGCATTTTGGTGTTTATTACCTAGAGTAAAATGTCATTCTATAATACTAACCACGAGCGCTGAACATAAACAGCTGGAAACATACATTTTAGGCAATTCAGTTGATATATTATATATATATTTCTGTCATTTTTAACCTTTTAGGAAAGAAGCTTTCATTTGCATCAATATGCTAGTCCATGGAGTACACAGATTGTTCTACAAACCATATGGTGACTAAGCCTCATTATTGAATGCAGTTGACATGGAAACAACTAGTCAACATCAAATAAATAGATTATTTTGTGCAAATAGCTGCCTCTTTGTGACAATAATAAATACTTTATTTGTATCAGGAAAATGTCTAACAATAATTCAATGACAATTAACAATACCTTTATGGCCTTCAATTGCTTGTATATTCTCTCACTCTCTCTGTATGTATATACACACAGACACACATATGTATACATATACATATATATATATATTTTAAGAAAAATTATTGAAATACTAAAGCAATAATCAACCTCTGGGATAGCCTAGCAATGCATAAAGTTATGTCTCAAGGTTTCAATATCATCTCCATATATTCTATAGCCATAAAACAATACCTTTGACATATTTTAGATAATTGTATTGAGAAGAAAATCAAGGTTTGTAATATCACAGTGCTGAAAAGTGAAAACTAGAAGCTGAGAATGGTAGATTTTGTTTCCTTTCCCTTTATTGTGAAATAATGCATGTGGGTTTGTGTTAGCTACAGCTCTTTTTTTTAACATGATTACAAATCTTTATTATTCAAAATATCATGTTGTACATAATAAATACATTCAATTTTATGTCTATTGAGAAATAAAGAAAATGGAAAATGATAAATAAATGCAAACCTTTAAACCGTGACTCAACATGAAAATATCTCTGATGTGCTTGTAGTCATATAAAGTTATAGAAAAATAATGCATGGAGGGGCATTTTAATAAGATGATTTGGTGGTGATGAGAAGAAAATGAAACAGCTACAGCTCTTTGATAGCATTAATAAAGTTTAGCTTTCATTTACATCTTGAATAATTGTGAAATGCAAAACAAATGACATTTGCACATATTTTATGCCATTAGGGGAAAATGTAAAAAGTAGTTTTAAACTTTTTCTTAAATACCTAAATCTAAATTTTGACAAGTAAGCAGTGGAAGATTGTTGCTAAAAGTAACATGTACTATGGAATCAAATAGAGTTGTAGCTACAATGATAAGATTTTAACGCTAAGCTCTCTGAACTGGTTTTTGTATTAACAAATATTTATTGAGAACCTATTAGGGAATGATGATAGATCAGTGAATGAAAGTTAAAACTTAAAGTCTTCATGAATCTTTTATTGTAGTGAGTGGACAGTAACAGTAAACAAATTAAGTACACACACAAATACACATAGCTCTAGCTATAGATATTTATCAATTTAGAATGTGTTACGAGCTTTTGAAAAAAGTAATAAAAGGCATATGTAATTTTCATGGAGTAAAAAGTTGGGTTTGCTCTTTTAATTAAAGTGGTCATGGAATATCATGGTGGAATATTAACATAGAACTAAATATCAGGAGGACGTGTAGGTGCAAACCAGACAAATATCCTAGAGAAGTACAATCCAGGCAGAGAGAACATGTGTGAAGGCCCTGAGTTTGCAAATATGACATTATCTCAAGGAACTTCAAGAAGGCTAGTGTCAATGAAGTGGAGTGATCCAGGGAGATTATTATGTGAATTGAAGAGAAATAGGAAAGGAGAAGGTAGACTTCAGATAATGCCATGCTTTTTAAGCCAAGGTAGTTACTTACGCATTTATCCTGAATAATGTGAGAAACTACTGAGATATTTTGAGTAGAGGCATAAAATGACCCGTCCTTTGTTTTAACAGATATGCTAGATGCTGTATTGGCGATAAAACTAGAAGGGAAAGAGTGAAAGCAATGAGAAAGAAAAATATTTTAACTATCTAGATCAGAGATAGGAATGTAGTATGCCTAAATTGCTGAAGAAATAATTTTCACGAAAAACGAAACAGATACCCTGTAAAGTATGGAATGAAGCATGATACAGAAGGGGCAGGGTGTGGAGTGGAAACTAAGGAAAATGATTCTGGTAAGCGCTGACATTGACCCAATCAACAGGAGTAGGCACTGCAGCACAAACCACATTTCAGAGTTGTTTTATGGCTCTGTAAGTATGAATTTGATTTGAGCCAACTGAAAAGTAGATGAGATCTAACCTGCTCTCACCCTCCAACATTCATTTCTTTAGTCAACTGGGGGCAACATTCAAAAAAGTTAGGGTGTGGGTGTTGACTCCATAAAGGAAATCGGGGAGGGATATCAAAATACCATCCACCATAAAAAGGTTGGGAATTGGTTTGATTTAAAATTATACGTTGAAAGTAGATTTCTGATGGATTAAATGTTAGCACAAGATTAATAAAGGAATTAATAATTATTTTTTAAAAATTAATCTTGAATGGAGTTGCCATTTACTGAAATATGAAAGATTGCAGGAATAGTATATTTGAAGTTAGAGCTATCAAGAGTTCAGGCTTTTACATTATAATTTCAAAATACCTATTAGATATCCAAGTGGTAACTGAGTATATAGGTCTAGAGTACAGAGAAATCGTCCTGGAGTTGTACATTTGGAATGGTCTTTATTTGGAGCATTTAGATAGTTTAAAGCTATCAGACTGTTTTTGAGACAACCAAAAAGAAGTGAGCATTGAAAAAATGACCAAGGTCTAGGCCCTGGAGGTTTACATTATGAAAAAGGTTGGGAGCTAAGGATGAAGCAGCAAAGAAGACTCATCTGGACACAATGACTATGAACAAGTCTTGAGAAGTTTATGTCAAACTGGAGGAGTTTTAATATAAGGGAAAAAGTAAAATGAGCAATTATGTGCAGGTGAAAATAGGGTTACAGAGCTTTATTTTTAAGATAGAATGATGGTCTGATATTTGCCTAATAGTGGTTAAAAATTCAGTAGAAAGTGCAGAGAACAGAGAATGATTCTGGAGAGAGTGAGGAGGATTGTGGGAGCAGTGTCAGAGGAGGATTATGGGAGCAGTGTCAGAGGAGGATTATGGGAGCAGTGTCAGAGGAGGATTGTGGGAGCAGTGTCAGAGTAGGTGAGAGGGAATGGGATCTGCTAGTGTTGGTCTTTGCTAAACAACATGGAAATATATCTAATGTACCAGGAGAGAAACGGAAGTAGACAGGTGGTTCATTGGAGCAATAGAAGCTAGGGCAGTTGTTTGTTTTCTGCGTTTGCTGAGAAATCTTTGATTTTTATTGGGATCGTTGTTTGGCTATTCATTACACATTAGAAAATAATCTATTTTTGAGAGATATCTTCTGAATGAATTACTGCTTATTCTATTGACGAATAGCAGCCATAAAGATCAATTTTTGTTTGGAACCACAGCCAACTCTGAGAGAATTTGACTATTGGTATTATTGGGCAAGTTAGGAAAAATAGAAGAGGGCAGATAAGGGAATTTATTTTTCCTGGGCAGCATTGTTATGCTAATTACTGTTTTATGCAATTTATATTTTTATATGCATAAGCTATGTATTCATAAACTTGTATCTTTTTACCTCCATGATATAGACAACTGATTTGTCTCTATATAATAATTTTCTCAAAAATATAAGGCTAATTAATTATAAAACTTAGTTTCTAACACAAATTAGCACGATATTGGTATGCTGTCAAAATGCTATTGTTTAACATGTTCCTCTGACTCCTGAATTTCCAGTAAGTTTGTCATAATTAAATATTTGAACATTCATAATTTTTTGAAAGAATATTTTATATGCTATGTACTTTCTAAAGCATCACATCAAGAGGCATACACTACATGATTGTCTTTCTCTTTGTTTCCTGATATGTTAAGATATTACAAATTTATTTTGGATGTTTTCTGTCTACAACTAGGTTTGGCCATTTATTTAAAAGCCCTGGTTCCTTTTAATGGGGAATGTTATCTAGCTAACTCAAATTCATGCTACAAGTGCCTGTTCTGTTGCCATTTGATTGTGGTAGAATGCTTCCAAAGGTAGAGGCAACAGTTCCATCACGTACACTTTTGGGTAATGAAATTTTGACTCCTCCCATCAAGAAGTCAGGTCTATTTCTTCAGCCACTGTGTATGTGAAGGCCGTTTATAATGTGGTGGAAATGATGCTGTGACTTCCAGACCTTGGCCTTAGGAGACCTTGCAGCTCCCATTGTTTGCTCTCTGGGAGGCCAGTCGCCACATAAAACCTGAGCTATCTTTTTGAAGAGATAAGACCTGCAGGATAAGACTCTATATGGAGAGGGAGACCATATGAAGGATAAGGATCCAAATATTTAAAATGGTCAAGAAAAGAAAAATGCTTAGCCATTCCCAGCAGCCCCCCAGTCACATGAGCCATTCCAGCTGAGGTGCCAGAGTGAAACTTTCTTAGAGCCTCTGGCTTCTACCAGGCCTCTCAGACAATGCTATGGGAGCAGATCTGAGCTGTTCCTAATGATCTGGTCCTGACTTTCTGAACTTCAGAACTGTGAACAATTTAATGCTGTTGTTTAAAGCCACTAAAAATTTGTTTTGTTTTTTTTAGTACAACAATAAACAGCTGACATAATTGTCAACGTTTTATGTTGACAGGTGTAAGAAATATTATTTTAAAAGAACATATATTATGAGTTCATAGTATTTCCTTTCAAACTTAGAATTGTATAGTCTTTAAAATTAACTACTTTGATTTTAAGTTTTATCTCTTTCTCTTACTGAAGGTCTTTATTCTTGTAATATTTTACAGAATAAAATTGTATGTTTCTTCTATCTGCGTGTATATTCATGTGTGTATGCATTGCGTTCTGAGTAAATATCTTAATATATAAAGTCATTGACACGATCTTATTACCTAATTATCCTTCTAATGAGAGTAAATGGAACTAATAGAATAATAGCATAATTATTTTTCAAAGTGCTAACAAAGCTGCTGTATGTTGATCGAAAGATAGGTAGCATGTCTCAAAATAGACTAAATAGCAAATGCTAATTCTCTATATATCTTTATTTAGAACTTATGTTTTTTCTATTATTATGCACCCTTTATTTCTCCTTCTTTCCAAACTTCCTTTATTCTTTCTTCCTCCATTTGTCTTTGTTCCTTACTCTTTTACGTAAATATGCAAATGTATATACATGTATATACAGTTATGCTTATGAATCTCATTATTTTAATATCCAGAGCAAGTAAAAGAAAATTAAGTTCAATCTCACCATGAAAACCATTTTACCCTTTGTTAGAAAGTCACCCTTTGTTCACACAGAAATTGACTATAAGTTGCTTTAAAAATTCCTTTCTGTTCTGATCTAGCCACATTTACTAAAAGCTCTCCAGAAACCAACTTATTGGAAATTAATTCATCCAAGGATCATTTTACCAAGTTGTCAGCCCAACTTATCTAACACATTTACTAACTTCAAAACTTAACTGAAATGTTTAATTTCTTTGTAAGTAATATTACAAATTACTTCTCATTGTCTCATATAGGAAAATATATGTTATCATCAAGATCACCAAATAATAATTTCAAAACAAAATTTTATAGCTTTAAAAGTTTGAAAAAATATTATAAATTATATATACAAAATATTTAAGAGTAAAAATAAAATATATAAAATCATGTGATTCTACTTGTGGTACCTCATATGCTATTAAATTTTTAATAGCTTGATTCAATGTTAATTTCATTTTTATCTTTTGAATTTAATATTTTCTTCTAAATTAATTATAATTTGTTGAATAATTCAAATTATTATGAGTCACCAAGATTAATATTTTATTTTCAAATTAATATTTTATAATGAATTCATATATTATAAATTTTATCTTATATAATAAAATCATTAAAATTATAATAAAATTAATGTTTTAGTATAAAGTAATTATAATTCATTGATTATAATAAATTCAATTTAATTCCATAAGTTAATTTAATTATATTTAATAAACATAACTGACTTCTATTTTAATAATAGCTTCATATATTTAGTCTAACATTGTATTAAATAACATTTTAGAAGTCTTTTAAAAAATTTCTGACATTTTATTAAATTTTCTTATGTAGTGTAATTTTTAAATTTTCTTAAAGTAATCCTGTATTTGGCTGTAATATCTTCTTATCTACCTACTTTCAATCAACTGCTTCAAATGCATTCATCCTTTGATGTTATAATTACTACACAATTTCTGTACCCCAATTATTTCTTAGGAGAAACCAATATATCAGTATTTTTCAAAAATATTATGTTAATTATGTAAATATCATATTCTGTTAATAATTTTATTCTTTCAAACCACAAACACTCTCCTAAATAACTAATAACCTAATAACCACAGAAGAAATCACAGGGGAAAATAGAATATACTTTGAGATGAATGAAAACAAAAACAAAACTTACCAAAGCCTATGGGATGCAACAAAAGTGCAGCTGAAAGATAAAGACATAATTGTAAATGACTATATTTTAAGAAAATTATCTAAAGTCTCACTTTAAAAACTAAAAAAAGAGAAGATTAAACTCTAAACCAGCAGCTAAAATAAAATGATAATGATTAGAACTTAAATGAAGAACAGAAATATATATATATATATATACATAATTTAAAACCAACAGCAGCTTCTTTGAACAGATTGGCAACTAACAAAAGTTAATAGACTGATCAAGCTAAAAAGAAAGAAAGCTCAAATTGCTAAAATCAGTAAAAAATGATAAAATAAAATAATTATAAGAAAATAGTATGAACAATTGTATGGTAACATGTCTAGAAAAAATGACAAAGTCCTAGAAATACAAACTATAAAACATGAATCAAGAATCATAGAAAATATGAATGTACTTACAAGTAAGTATAAATGAATTAATAATTTTAAAATCATTCACAAAAAAATTAAAAAAAAAAAAGGCAAGAGCCAAATGGCTTCACTGGTTAATTCTGCAAATATTTAAAGACAATTAACACCTATCTTTCTCCACTTTCTCCAAAATTTGAAGAGGTGTAAACATTCTCAATTCACCCTATGAGGCCAGTATTACCTTTATACCAAAACTAGACAAAGGCATCACAAGAAAAGAAAGCTACAGACCAATATTACTTATGAATACGGATGTTAAGTGTTCTCAACAAAACAGTATAAAACCACTTTCAGCAAGATATTAAAAAGAATTACGCAATCTAACAAAGTGTGATTTACTCCAGCCTTGCCAGGTTAGTTCAACATAATAAAACATATCTATATAATATATTCTAAAGGCAAAAAATGATCATCTCAATAGACACACACAATAATAACATTTAATAAATTCAAACACTCTTTTATGAGAATCGCTCAACAAACTAGTAGCAGAAGGAAACTTCTATTGCATATGGCCAATAATCACATAAAAATATGCTCAACATCATTAGCCAGTATAAAAATGCAAATATAAACCATGATGAGAGGAACTAGTTCCCATATACTATGATGGCTATAATCTAAACGATGGATAATAACAAATGTTGGCAAGGTTAAGGAGATATTGAAACCCTCATATATTGTTGGAAGGATTGTAAAATGGTGCACCCACTTCAGAAAACAGTTTGGCAGTCCCTAAATTTTATTCATAGAGTTACCATATATTGAAGCAATTCATACATATGTATGTACTACACATATAACCAAGAGAAATCAAAATACGTATCCGCCCAAAAACTTGTTTACAGATGTTCATAGCAGCATTATTCATAATATCACAAATTTGAAAACAAACAAAATGTTCATCAACTGAAAAATGAAGAAACACAATTTGTTATAGTCATACAATGGAATAGTGCCCAGCTATAAAAAATAAATAACATAGCAATACATGCTATAATATAAATGAATTTGATAACATTAAGCTAAGTAAAAGAAGCCAGAAACGAAAGGTCATATAGTGTATAATCTCACTTTTATAAATCTAAGATATCAGGACAATTTAAATTTGTGTTGTCAAACATATTAGCCTCTTTTAATTTCATTCTCACTTTTAAAAATACTGCTAACTATATGAGAGGTGGATGAGTGTAGGGGCTGTTACACATGGGCAATACCTGATTTCTTTTTGTAAGTACTAAGAAGGGTTTCCCACCACTAGAAATGGAAACAAGTGCTATCTAAAGCTGATGTATATTATTCAAAGGTTTATGTGGAACAATTGAATAAGCTATTCTGTGAAGATATATACATCCTGAAAATACATTTACTGGACAAAATGCAATCAATCTGATAAATTAAGTAAAACATGTCAGTGTTTTTGAAGAAAACATCTAAAAGCGTGGGTGCTCTTTATTGCAAGGACTGTTTTTAATAGCATTCCCTGCATAGCAGTTTGATGGACAGGGAACAAGGGAACATGAGACCATTGACCTAAATGTTTGAATAACGTTTTTGGCAAATGAATGGTTTCTTAGCATGGCCTTTCAGATCTCTAGAACTTATTCATCATGAATAACTGAAACTTTTTACCTGTTGAAAGGCAACTTCCCACAATAGCCATGGTATGAAAACAACTTAAATGTTCATTGACAGATAAATACATTAAAAAGTGTGATATACATAGAATGGAAAATTATTGATCCTTAAAAAGAAGGAAATCCTGCCATATATGGTAACAGAAATGAACCTGGGATATTATGCTAAGTGAAATAAGCCAGTCACAAAATGACAGGTACTGTGTGCTATAATTTTCTTATAACTGAAGCAAGAGGATAATTTTTAGTCCCCATTAGCTACCTAATTTTGTGTGCATAACTGGCTTTGCAAATACAAGACTAATGACAGATTTTAAAAAGTAAAATGCCTTAATTTTAACTAATAAAATGTGAAATAATCATATAATGTTATTATAATAGTTTTAAAAGTCACTTCTTTCACATTTTCACTTTTTCTGTCTGATTTTTTATGTAATGATGTTAAATTTTATGTAGTCTTAATAGCTGTCTACCAATTGTGAGATTGCATATCCTCATTTTATATTAAATTTTGTGACTTACTAATGAAAATGAGTGTTTTAATGAATTGAACCTTTGCAATACTGGCAATAAAACATGGGCTCTATAAGGTCATATAAATTAAATCGAGCTATAAAAATTTTAAAGACAACATTTCACATCAATATTTTTTATTGAATCATTGACATACATGCATACAGCTGCAGTTCATTCATTTTGATATTCTCTACTAAAAATTGAAGACAATATTTAATTTCAATAGCGTCATGTATTATGACACTATTACCTGCTCATATAGAAAATAACCTTCAAAGTCTGGATTCTGAGTTCAAAGACTTAAAAATAAGAAATCTGGTGGTATTAAGTAAATTTAAAATGATCAAAATTTAAGTTGTGGTGTTGGTCTGATTTTTTTCAATTGAACAGAAGTGAATCTTTCCTTACATCCAGAAGTAGATCCACCTACATAATTTGTGGTGCCAAAAGCAAATTTAAAATGTGGAGACCCTATTTTTTTAAAAATGTGTTTTTCTTTTTCTGCAGTCTCTTTCCTTACCTGTCATGGTGTTAGTATTTGCTATTTAATGGCAAATTTCTCGGGGCATAGGACCACCTTTGGGATGAGTGCAAATCCTCACATGTGCCCAAGGTCCAGCCCCATGACTTGGTGCATTGGATGGGTGTGCATGCGTATATGAATGTACTCATGGTGTACATGAGTGCATCAGTGTGTGAGTATATAGCATCACCATCACCTTCTTTGACTGGAGGCAACTACACTAAAAAAATAGATAGATAGATAGATAGATAGATAGATAGATAGATAGATAGATAGAAGGTAGATAGTAGATAGATGAAAGACAGACAGATGATAGTTTAACACTAAAATTAATATTGCTAGTAAAGCATCTTTCTGCTTTACTTTCACAATTCTTTCTTTGAATAACAGCCAGAATTTGTCTGTAGAGTTAGGTGTTTTTGTTAAATGACCTTGAGACACTTTTCTCTGGCAACCCTTGCTTGCAATGTGGAAGTGCAAAGTCAGAGATAGACTCAAGGAAGTAAATAATCCCCAAAGCAAAGCACTTAACTCATCTTTGGTGCATTAGGAAAACTTTTTTTTAAGGGGTTATTTTTAAGTCAAGTTCTAAAAGATGCTAATCCCATTGCTAGGTGAAGGGGTCACAAAGATGGATTAGACAGAAGGAAGAAAAGAAGTAAACACACAGAGTTTGAAAATCACAGGGGCAATGCAGAATAACAGAAAGGGATTAATATTTTCCCAGCAAAAATCAGGGAAAAAGAATGATAATAAATAAAGTAACCACAGGCCTTCATATTCTGTTTAATAATTTCAACTTTATACTGTAGGTAAATAATTCTCAATTGGAAGCAATTTTGCCCACCAGGGAACATTTGGTAATGCTTGGAGACAATTTGATTGTCACAACTTGAGGTGGGAGCTGCTCATGGAGATAGCAATAGAACCAAAGATGCCACTAAACAGCGTTACCATGCTGAGCAAAATAGCCCCAGAACAAATATTATCTGACCCCAAATGTCTGGAGTGCCAAAGTGCAGAAACTCTGCTGTAATTGAATGGATACACATCTAAAAGTTTCAAAACATGGAGTAAACTAATCAGCTATGCCCTTTGGCTAGCCTATGATGATATCTATATGGCTACATGAGATATAATTTATGAACAGTTAATATCATATTTTTAAAATTGTACTAAATTTTATAGATAAGATAACATATACTCTCAATCCTTATTTGACTTCAGAGGAAGCTGAAGTATTCCCATTAGTGAATTAGGTAGTCTATAATAATACATCTTGCAAAATTGAAACTGCAGCTCATAACTCAACAAGTGGTTAAGGAATAATTTTTATCCCCTCTGTTACCATCTGCTTTGCTGTTTAATTGCACTGTTCCACAGAATATTGATTTTAATTATAAAAGGTTGAGAGAAAATTAATTTGGTACTGGCTCAAGGAAAAGATCTCAATTAGATTTTCCAATATTTTCAGTTTGACCTCATATATTTTCCGTTTTTACTACTGACTGTAGACAATATTTGAGAGATGAATTGTAATTGGTTAAATATTAAAGTGATCTAGCTTTAAATATAATTATCCCAAACATGAAATGCTAATACATTTGGAGTCTAGATGAACTATATTATTTTCTAAAGCTAAAATTGTAATGTTAAAAGTAATACATTGATAATGGAAAATAAAATGTCTGTTGAATTCATTAAGCAGCTCTACAAGTTTATAGAAACACAAAACCAGTGATTTTGCAGAATTTAAGCAAACTACCACTACAAAAAGGTACGAGTATTCAAATTTCAATTCTTCATCATGAATGCAATCAAATCTAGAAGATATACTCAAAATAAAGCTAAACTATAAATTCAAACATGTAATTTAAAGCTTCAAAACCACAGAGTTCTTACCAAGGTACTCCTTTTTTCCAAGCTACTTGCAAATATACGATATTAATATATCAAATGTTATTTTTGATTGGCAATCAAACCTAGCTTTACATTCATCACAGTGTGATAAAACCTAAAAAACAGAAAGTATTAGGTATTTGAATCATTGTTCATCATTAAAAATGTGTACAATCAGATTTTTAGAGCCCATAAAAATTTTTTATTAATTTGATTGAAATTGGATTATATCAATGGAATAATTGTAAACAGCTAATATTTTTGCAAAATTAAATATTCCTATTCATGAGTAAATAAAATATTTCTAATAATTTAAGTCTCCTTTAACCTCTTTCAGAAAAATTATATAAATTTCCAGTTATGGTACTTTTCATCTTCTGTAAAATGTATTCTTAAGTATATTGCTCAATAAGTAGAGAAAAATTTTAAGATATGTTTATTTTACTTGTTAATAGTACATTATTATTATTTTGACTTTTATATCTTTCTTGTTATTTTAAATAAATTCTTTGTGGATTCTTCGGCGTACTCTATCACCAAAGGCATAATCTACAGGCAATTCTGGTTTTACATTGTTTCAGAAAATTTATACTTTTACTTTATGTTTAATGTTATAGCATTTTGTTTGATTATAGTTGACATAGGGAGTTGATCATCTCACCTTATTACCCAAACTGGAGTTGCAGTGGTGCGACCTTGGCTCACTGCAACCTCTGCCTCACAGGTTCAAGTGATTTTTTTGCCTCAGCCTCCCAAGTAGCTGGGATTACAGGCGCCTGCCACCACGCCTGGTTAGTTTTTTTGTATTTTTACTAGACACAGGGTTTTGCCATTTGGGCCAGGCTGGTCTAGAACTCCTGAACTCAAGTGATCTGCCCGCCTCTGCCTCCCAAAGTGCTGGGATTACAGGCATGAGCCATAGCACCCAGCCAATTTTCTCTCATTTTAAAAGGAATATTTGATTTAGTTTGGACATTCCTAATAACCCGCCATCCTTTCACTAATGCTGATTTCTCTGTTCAGTCTGCTGCTAAACAATATAGTTATTGGCTTTTCAATTTAAATATGTGTTTTTGAGTTCTAGAATTTTTATGTGATCCTATTTTTATTCAAATTATCAGTAAAAATTCTCCATATTTTCATTTACTTTCTACATGTTTTTAAAAATATTTTCCTGATGATAATCACAAATAAATCAGTGTTCTTATTTGCTAATTTCAATATTTGGGTTCCTTTTGTGTCTGGCTTTACTGTCTTGTTTGTTCTCTTATACAGCCCTTTCTATTTTCATAACACATTTTTAATTCAATAATTTTTTTGTGTTTACCAGAATCTAGAGATTTGAGACAATATCTCCTGCCAGTGAAGGTTTATTTCTTAAGCAGATAGAGTGCAGGCAATCACAGACACCTAAGTTCAACCTGGATTGCAGTTTTGGGAAGAACAAGTCCACCTCTACTTTGCCCTTGTTTCTCATGAATGGACTTCCATGTACTTTTCACTGTGACTTTCGCATGTCTCAGTGTTGAAAGAGTGAAAACATTTATGCTGCTTTTTAGAAGTTTTGGCTTAGCCTGACATTGGTTGAAAAGATAGCAAATATCTTTAATTTGTACCCTTCAGATTCCTCAAATCTCCAATTTCATATTTCCATCCCTCACTTTCAGCTACTAAAATTTAGCTGATTTCTCTGCCTCCCAGGAGTGGTACCCAACGAGACATCAAGCCTGCTAAAGCAGGATAACTCCTCAAAAGGGTGGAAAAATAAGAATTTTCAGTACCAATTTGGCACTCTTTCGAGGACTTTAATCCTTCACATGTAATCTTCTAGACCTTCTCTTGCATAGGCATTTGTCTTCTAAGTGCAAGACCGAAATCCTAATGGGGTTTTCTGAGGTTTTCACTTTTGTTCTTAAGTCTCTTGTCCAACATAGCTATGGGATTCAGCAACTGTCTTGAAGGATAAGTCAAACATATGCCGATGCCAGTGATGTCTAATTTTGCCATTGCATTCTATGGTACTGCCAAAAGTTCTGCTTATTGCTCCATCCCCAAGCAATTGCCCTCAGCCTCTGTCCAGCCTAAATTCCCAGGTTCCAGCTCTCAGCCAGCATTAGTAGATATCAACGATGAGAGCTTCAAATTCTCAGACCACCTATGCAAGATTTGTCTATTTCCAGAATTCTATTCTGTTTGTGGAGTGTTTTACCTGTCGTCGAACTACTGTATTCCCATCTTAATAAGAGTATTTTTGTAAAAAGCATGAATGATTATTGAATTTTATGAAATAATTTATCATTGACTATTGAGACTATCTTACAGTTTTTCTTCTTTAAATTACTAATGCAGTAAATGCCATTTAAAGATTTTTATTATTTAACCCTTCTTGCATTTCTAGAAGAAACTCAAATACAATGCCATGCCTTGTCTGTCTGCCACCATAGTGCTCTAGTGTCAAGAAAAGACACTTTGACCCTTTTTGTTGACTGCAATCCCAGACCAGGTCCCATACCTGTTGACTTCTTTCTTTCTAGTGGGGTGGTAATGGTAGCAGGTGGGGAAATAGTTTTCTCTTACCTCCTGGAAGATGGACAGCACAGATTGTTTCACTGAGAAAAAATATCTTGTTTAATTATTAGTTATTCATCATCCCTAAAGCAGAAAATTTCCTCTACACTCAAATTAGACAAGGGTTTGAAAAGTGAAGAAATTTGGGTTTACATTCATTCTTAAGTAGTCTAACCAATAATTTATCATTGATTATATGACTGATATATGTGTTTGTACATAAAAATAAACATAATAAAATATTCATTTTTGTTTAAACTATTTTATGGTGAAATAATTTACATTTTTATTGATTAATTTGCCATTCTGGATAATTTAGAAAACTATAAAATAAAGAGTATAATTTATGGGCACAATCTTTACTTAATAATTATTTGGGGATACACAGTTTTCTATTGCTATGTAATAAATCAGCAAATTTACATAAATAATTAAATAACAAATCTAGAGGCTCAAAGAAATTACTTCCAAGCTTATTAGGATTGTTGGAAGAATTCAGTTACCTGTGGTTCCAGGACTGAAGTTCCTGGGTTTTTTTTTTTTTTTTTTTTTGAAATGGAGTCTCGCTCTGTTACAGCCCAGGCTGTAGTGCAATGGTGCAATCTCGACTCACTGCAACCACCGCCTCAGAGGTGCAAGCCATTCTCGTGCCTCAGCTTCCCAAGTAGCTGGGACTACAGGCACTCGCTATCATGCCTGGCTAATTTTTGTATTTTTGTAGAGACAGGGTTTCACCATATTAGCCAAGCTGGTCTTGAACTCCTGAACTCAGTTGATTTGTCTGCCTTGGCCTCCCAAAGTGCTGGGATTACAGACTTGAGCCACTGCGCCTGGCCGGGCTCTTTCATCTTTACAACAGCAAGAGCACATCACATCCTTCTCATGTTTTAAATCTGTCTTTTCATTCTGTCACATTTTTCCTGCCTCCAGACAAAGAAAGTTTTGTAAGAGTTTATGTGATTATATTTGGACCACCTCTATAATACAGAATCATACCCTAATCTTAATTGTCACTAATCAGTAAACTTAATTATACCTGCAAAGTCCATTTTGCCTGTAACATAACATATTTATAGGCATGACATCAGATGGTAAAGGCCATGGGGCCAAAACTCTGCCTCAGGGGAGATGCTTTAAAGTTAAATAATATGATTATTATTGAGACTTATATGAACTACACGTCTGAGTGAACTTTTCTCCTCGATATTAAGATTATATTTAATTAATTACAATTTTAGTTGTTTGCCTTAGGAAAAGTTTTAAATGATTCAAAAAATAAAAAGTGAAAAATATTTTCTATATATGGCAAGACATAGCAGATTAATACATTCTAAGTACTAGAGTAGTACAGGTAGTTGGTGGAAATTGTCCAGATTTCAGCACCATTTTCTCAGGGAGGTTATGATAATATTTGTGGATATAAAGTAGCTGAGCCTACTGATAGAGTATAATACAAGTAGGTAGGTATGTAATGGGTTAATGTAGAAACATTTTGAGAATGTAGCATAGGATTTTGTCTTCAGTCTTGTTTTAATAGCATAATCTAAATGCAACTACCCAATGGGTTCTTCTTGCCCACTGCACAGACAAAATCAATTAAGTGAGACCATGGCATTGCAGTAAATAGAGTTTAATCAATATGAGACAGGCCACGCCACATAGGAGACGAAGTGATTTCTCAAATCAATCTCCCAAAAAACTCAGAGGCTAGAGTTTTTCAAGAATAGTTTTGGAGACAAGGGAATGGATGCTACTGATTGGTTGGGCATGCAATCATAGGGATATAGAAAATGGTCCTTGTGTAGTGAGTATGCTTCTGGGTGAGGGTCACACGACCAGTTGAGCCAAGAATGGTGGGTTTGAGTGGGGCCATTAGGTGGTCAGAAATGCAAAAGCCTGAAAGGACATCTCGAAAGGGCATTCGTAGGTTCTACGATAGTGAATTGGGGAAATTACAACCATTGTGACTTCCTGAGTAATGGCTGGTAAGATTTAACTAACCATACGTATTAGCAGAATTCTGGCCCCTGTCATCTGGTTTTGTTTTAGGGAAGGGCTATTATCATTTAAAATATAAACTAAATTCCTCCCAAAGTTAGTTCAGCCTATGCCCAGAAATGAACAAGGGGAGCTTGGGGGTGAGAAGCAAGATGGAGTTGGTTAGAACAGATCTCTTTCACCGTCATAATTTTCTCCCTGTTATAATTTTTGCAAAGGCAGTTTCATAAGGCATGTATAAAGATATTTGCATCAAATTTTGGGAATGTTATATAGGAAGACGAATAGTGATCACTCCATGAGACAAAAATCAGAACACAATTTACATGCTGGAATGATGAACTCATTAATACATTTAATATCAATAAATATTCTTGAGGTTTTTTCCAAAATATTTACTGCTTATTTTATCTGAGTGGAAAAAATCTGAACAAGTGAACATATAAAGCTGATATACAAGTGGTAGCTGACAATCAGTCAATACTAATGAATAATGTAATATATTTCCAGGAAATTTAATGCAAAATGAGGATTTATAGAAATATTGCATCTAAAGAGAAACAGGATTTTCCCTTCTGCTCTGATTTTTTTTAGAATCCATCTGGGTGTTTAAATTTTAAAATATAAGCAAAAATGCAATATTTACACCTTCAAAGAAAAGCAAACTCAGGTCATTATTGTGGTCTTTAACTAATTTAGGCATTTTTCTTATAAATAATTGATTAAACTTTGCCTGGTAATGATGATGACAGTGAAAATAATAAAGCTGGCAGTACAGACTATCACCTTTGTTTTACAACAGATAATGATTTAGAAAATGGAAGGCAAACAGAAATAATTTATTAAGTTCTTACTAAGATAGGAGTTTCTTAGTAATCAAAAAGCAGCTACTGAGTAGTAAGGCAGCGTTATTCATGTAGGCCTTGAACAGGGTGAAAAGCCAATCATTATTCTGCATAATAGTAGCACCTATTGATTCCAGAGGAAGGAAGACATTCAAATTAATAACTACAAGATTGTTGAGATATTATTTGAATCTTCAGGATTTATTTAGTCTTAACCAACACAGAAATTATATTATTTGTAAGATGTGCTTATATGTTTTGTTGCCAAGAAATAACATAGATTACTAATAAAATAAGCATGCTGACAGTATGCATTGGTGGTATCAACACACAGGATCCTTTACTGAGAGAATCTATGTCCATCTTGGGCTTTAGTGCTTTTTTGCCTGCTCCTTTCTCCTGTGCCATCACCTGCTGCTCTGAAAGATGTCCTGATCAACTGAAAATTACTCCAAATTTAATGATCATTGAATTCAGCAGCTGTTTTTTTGAAAAGATCAACAAAATTGATAGACTGCTAGCAAGACTAATAAAGAAGAAAAGAGAGAAGAATCAAATAGATGCAAAAAAAATGATAAAGGGGATATCGCCACCAATCCCACAGAAATACAGACTACCATCAGAGTATACTATAAACACCTCTACACAAATAAACTAGAAAATCTAAAAGAAATGGATAAATTCCTGGACACATACACTCTCCCAAGACTAAACTAGGAAGAAGTTGAATATCTGAATAGACCAATAACAGGCTCTGAAATTGAGGCAATAATTAGTAGCTTACCAACCAAAAAAAATACAGGACCAGATGGATTCACAGCCAAATTCTACCAGAGGAATTTGGATGAGCTGGTACCATTCCTTCTGAAATTATTCCAATCAATAGAAAAAGAGGGAATCCTCCCTAACTCATTTTATGAGGCCAGCATCATCCTGATACCAAAGCCTGGCAGAGACACAACAAAAATAGAGAATTTTAGACCAACATCCCGGATGAACATTGATGCAAAAATCCTCAATAAAATACTGGCAAACCGAATCCAGCAGCACATCAAAAAGCTTATCCACCACGACCAAGTGGGCTTCATCCCTGAGATGCAAGGCTGGTTCAACATACGCAAATCAATAAACGTAATCCATCATATAAACAGAACCAAAGAAAAAACCACATGATTATCTCAACAGATGTAGAAAAGGCCTTTGACAAACCATGTCATCATCTTGAAAATATTGAGTCTGCTGAACATGGTGGCTCATGCCTGTAATGCCAGAACTTTGGGAGGCCGAGGTGGGTGGATCACCTGAGGTTGGATCACCATAGATCAGGATTTCAAGACTAGCCTGGCCAAAACAGAAAAACTCTGTCTCTATTAAATATACAAAAAAAAAAAAAAATTGTCGAGTGTGATTGCGGGCGCCTGTAATCCCAGCTACTTAGGAGACTGAGGCAGGAGAATCGCTTGAACCCGGGAGGTGGAGGTTGCAGTGAGCTGAGATCAGGCCAGTACCCTCCAGCCTGGGTGACAGAGCAAGACTCCATCTCGAAAAAAATTAAACAAAAATAATAATAATAATAAGTTTCTGATCCATTAAAGTGGAATGTCTTTCCATTTAGTTAGATCCTCTTAGATTATTTTTATTAGTGTTTTAACCTTTTTGGATACAAATATTGTGTGTATTTTGTTAGATTTATAGCTAAGTAATTCATTTTTCTGGGTGCTCTTGTAAGTGGTATGTTTTTAATTTCAAATTTGATTAACGACTGGTATACCTGGGAGCAACTGGCTTGTTTATATTAACATGTCTTGCATTTGCAGTACTAAATTCTTAGTGAGAACTTTTTTTTTAATTATTTGGGATTTTCTGCATAGAGTTAAGGCATTTGTGAATGGAAATTTATTTCCTTCTTCATAACCTGAATAGCATTTGTTTCATTTTTTTTAGTTACACTAGCTGTGGCTTCCAATATGATGTTGAATAAAAATTATGAGAGAAGAATTCGTTACCTTTTTCTCCATCTTAGTGGGAAAGCATTCAATTTCTCACAATTGTCCTAGCTATTGGTTTTATGGTTTTCTTTATCAAAATGTGTACCTTCTCCTTTACTCTCAGCAAGGGAATAGATTCTCCCCCTGAAGCCCTTAGAAGGAATGCAGCCCTGTTATCTCCTTAGACTTACAACCTCCAGAACTGTCAGAGAAAAATTGTATGTTGTTTTAAGCCACTAAGTCTACAGTACATTTTTACAGCATCAATAGGAAACGAATACACAAGTCAAGCGGGAGACAACCTTCTCTGTGGATGTATGAGGTCATCCATGAAATTTACACTATTACAGACCTGAGTATGTAGACAAGGGGTTGCATAACTGCACAATAATATTTGAAATATGAAATACAATGATACACATTAAATATTGAAGACGATTGAACACTCACTGATGTTCCTACTTCTCTTTCCACTACAGTCATGGCAATTACTACCCTATTTAACAGTAGCTCAGAATATACTCTGGAGGCTTATAGTAAGTAGTTTAGAATTGAGAGAGAAAGAGATTTTCATTCTCAATTAGTAAACTGTTTCAATGAATAATTGCAGTATTTGACATCTACCTCCTCCATCTTCCTTTTACATTTTACACATCCTTCCCACTCTATTAGAAACAGGGTGCCAAGACCTAATGGAGGTCTAAGAGTAAATGATGCATTCTCACTTCTCATTTAATTCAAATAATTGGTTACCACTGCTAAATTTGCAGAACTCTTACTGAAATCTTGCAATTTGGAACATTAAATGAGCTTGAACAACAGATGGTTAAGTTCAAATATTTTTGAGAGTCAAAACATTTGAATTATATAAACTTATAAAAGGTAAATACCAAATTCAATTATAATAGAAAGTAAAACATACGTATAATTTTCAGATCTAGAGCACCCATGAAATAAGGTGCTTTTTGTTCATTGAAATATTATTAACTAAATGACTGAAAGATCCAAGTCAAATTAGATTTAGCAGAAAAGTTTCCTAAATACTATTCTTTTATTTCACTAGCTTATCTACTCAATAAACATAAGAGTATTGTCCAGGCACTGCGTTAGTCACTAAAGATATAAAGGTGAACAAGACATATCCCTTGCTCTCAAGAATCTTACATCTTACTGGGGAAGATAGACAATTAAAGTGCAATGTGATTGGTGCTATTACAGAAGTATACACAAGTTACTGTTAAAGCGGATAGTTGGCAGAAGAGTGAAAGTGAATCTTAGGTAAAGATGTGTAGAGACAACTGAATTTACAGTAAAGTTTTCTAAAAATACACGGAAACATCAATATTGCCTTTACTCCATAAATTTATATGGAATGTCAGTATTACCTTTATTCCATAAAAGTAGTAGTAATAATTTAAAGACTTCACAAGATGTAAATATAAAAATTATAGCTTACCTGTATAATAGAATTCCTAGTTTTGATGAAATATGCACAAAGTTTAATTAATGTAATATTGGAGATTAAAAAGTTTTTGAAAACATGTAATATTCTATGCATGCCAATTGTATCTATTGAATAAAATACACAATTCTTATTTATCTGGATGCAGGGTACTGATTATAACATCCAATTTTTGTGAAAACACCCCAAAGTTTTCGTCATCTGATTCTCCCGAACTGCACTGATTCCCTAGAAACTTTTTTCTTTTTTATTTTATTTTTGAGTGTTCTAGAATAAGACTCTTAGAATATAGAGAAGAAAATAAAAAACTTCATCTAACGCTAGCAGGAGAGTAACTCTGAGAGACAGATCACCTTTTCTCTATTGTCAAATAGAAATTTTATATAAAATAATCAGTCTGGTTGTTAGAATAATGGTGATAAGGAATATGGGGTGAGGTGAAGGCCAAACCAGAAATTAGGTAACGGTTTCCAGTTCACAGAAGCAAATGGTCTAAAAGTAATCTAGCCTAGGGAACTGTTTGAAGCACAGTTTAATTGATCAAAGAAAATTGACAGTTTAAGTAAGTTCAGAAGACTACGTATTAACAAGATAAGCGGGTATTATATATCTGCAGTTTTTGTAGGTTTGCAACTTTATATTATGTAAAAATTATGCTCACAATCTTTACACACTCTCATTCAAAAAATTATTTAGAATACATTTAAATTCATATTTTTGAGCACAGTAATAGTTACAACTAGAAATTCAACAGGATCTCTGCCCATTTTTGTTTTGTAGGCATTAATAATCTAAATAGCTAGGGAAACTGTTACTATTTAAGCAAATTTATCAAAAATTAATGTTATGTTATTCACAACACTAGCTAATTCAAAAACATTCAAACACTTTACATATTGAAAACACATTTAAGACAAATGCCTGCATTCTAAGAAACTTTCATTTTGTTAAGAATAAACATCTAAGTTAATATCAATGAGGACAGAAATGACATTGACATTTTTATAAATATACACTAATCATCTTCAATTCCTGATATTCTAATTCTGGAAGTGTACTGGATTAAAACCGAGAAATGAGAGGAATATTTATACTGATGGAGTATTTCCCTTGCCCTCATTCTTTCCCCAGTTGGTCTTCAAGATCATCAAGTGATCATATTTCTGAAACACAAGTTAGAGCTAGTTTAGAGGCTTTATAGACAAGGGTGCATGAGGCTTGAATCTTTGAGCCTTTTTTTAAGTTTCAAAGGGTTTGACAATTAGTTGCCTTTGAATGGCTAAGGATGCTAGCCTTAGAAAAATCTACTCAAAAAATGTCATCTCTCAGTTTTAAGAAAAGCACCATAAAGGGGGTTATAGATGTAAAATTTCAGAACCAGCCCATTTTTTTCCAGCAATAGCCTTGAGGCTAGAGCCATTAGGCTAATCCTTCTGTGCCAGTGTTCAGGTATAGTAAGTATTCTTTCTTGGTTAACTAAAAAAGAAAAAGAGCTAGTTGACATCACAATGGATTTCATTCATTTCCACTTAAAATTATTTGTGGACATGGACATCACCTGCAAAAAATTATATTATTTTTATTTATCTTCATCTCTGTCTTGATCAAGAGTGTCAACATTTTCATTACACTGTGCACAAGCAAGTCCTATTTTCATTTAAACAATGTGAAGCATGACACCAGCAAGCTGTGCAGCTCCACAGACTTTTTCTGGTTGTTCAACTCTTGCTCTAAAGAAAGGGGAAAGAATATTAAGTGTTTTGGACAAATGAGAGAAAGAAAGAAAGAAATCGAATAACTTTTTAATTACCTGCAATGTGAAAAATACAATAGTTGACATTTTCACTTATTAATTACATGAAAAAATGTAATCGTCTCAACAGCTCTAAAAAATAAATACTGTTATTATTTTAGAGAGTAAAACACTGAATTTCGGAAAGCTTAAATAATGCCCACAGTTACATAACTAGAAAGTGAAAGAAACAGAACTTGTGCATGATTAATTCCAAACACTCTGTAGTTTCTGCCACATGAAGCTGACCAATACATTTTAATCAGATGTAATTGACCATCAAGTAATTATACAATGTTTGCTTCAAAAAACATTAGGTAATTTTAGCCTGACATATGCTTTGGGTTTTGCACAATTTATATGCATTTTCTTTATTTCTAAGTAAGTTATCTAGAGAAAAAAAATCTAAACATTTCTATTCATCAGTTATTTGAAATGTATACAGTTCTTGTTTATTAACCTAGAATATAAATAAAGTTTAATGAATTGGTTCAGTTTTGTCTGAGCAAATAGAGGTACATTGCTAGTATTTTAAAATAATACTAATCTTGATTTTCAGCTCATTATAACAATGAATATTTTATTTCCCTAATGGCATAGCCATGTTCCTGATTTAAAACAATTTAATAAGTTACACTAAGTACTTGAAACATTGTCTTATATGTAATTTATTATTTTCTATGTAGGGAATTAATTATTTGAGGTTTTTCAGTCTGCTATTAAATATAAACACTATTTTCAATAAATATCAACTTAACCCTCTGAATTTTAAAAAGTAATATTTAAATAGGCTACTGCTACCAAGCAGATTATAATTTCCTGAAATATTGTCATTCAAGAACTATTGAACCACTTCTCTGACTTTGTGCTTTTAACATCTCACTTGCTTTAAAACTCCTCTTGGCTCCTTATTTCTAAGGACCACATGAGCAACACTTTCCAGTAATTTTCTCCTTGTGTGTTATTGATCTTTGCACTTTATCCATGCCAGTTAAGAATCTGTATTATATTTAATTCACTATAGCAACTTCTGCACATTTATATTAGAGAAAGGCACTGTTCTAAATGGATGGCCTCAAAACTCATGTTACTTAAACTCTATTTGGTTTTGTTGGTTGCCCCATCACATTTTTAGTAATTTCACTGGTTTTATTCCCCAATCCTTAAACACTGCCTCCAGATTCTTTACTTCCAACAGATATCCTCACTTTATACTACACTCAAGACGCTTTGTCCTGTGAAAGCACCCTCACTTTGTAACATAGTTCCTATTGTTGAGGCTATTTTTACTCCCGCTCTTTGATGAGTAGAAGGCAATAGCACCCAGCAGCTTCTTCACTCCCATAGTTTGGCCAGTGAGAGGGAGTGTTACAGCTCTTTTACTCCTGCCACCCATGGCTTTGCAAACGGGAGCATTACAGCTCTTTTGCTCCAGCAGTTCAGTGAATTCTGGGTTCTTATCCCATGACCAAGAAAAATAAGGTACACAGACACCCAAGAGTGAATAAGGCAGACTAGGAATTATAAGTTACAGAAAAGCTCTCAGCAGCGAGCAGGGGCCTGAAAGAGGGTTGCCAGCGATGAGGCTGAGCACAAGGGTTTTTATGGGCTTAAGATGGGGTATGCTCAGACCAAAAAGTGCACCAAAATGCACCACTCAGACAGACACAGTAGTGCAGAGGGATGCAAAGAACCAATTGGGAGAGGGCAGAGTAAGGACCCATTGGGACAAAGCACAACAAAAAGGACAAAGGCGCGTCCAAGTGGGAGAGAAGCATGCCCCCCAGAAGGAGTGGAATTTATTCATCTGGGCTGGCAGAATGGGAGTTTCCCTTTAGGGACATGGGCTTTTTTTTTTTTTTTTTAAATCAGGGGCCTGCAGCTAGGTTTTCAGGCTGTTCTTGGTTTGAAGGAGTTTTACTGAGGGAGCCAACCTAACTGTCTGCCCAACCAGTTTCTTCCTTCCTCTTCTCTCAAAATTCACTTTGCCTTTGTTACAAACAAACTCCCCCCGAAAAAAATCATCTATGACAAATAAAAAGTTCAACAATCTGTTTATAGACTCTTTTCTTAGACAGATGTACTTTATCCATTCCTAATGTAACTTGAATATGTGCTTTGATTCTATTTTTTCCTAACCTAGATAAGTTGCTCTGTGATCTTCCTAATTTCTTGTATTTTCACTCTGTTTCTCTTTTTATTGATTATATCATTTTTTCTCTCTTTATTGGCTACATGTTTTTGCTTTAAAAATATTCATGCTAGTAATAACTAGGAAAATATATACAAATTTTTGCTTCAGTAAACCACTTCTCATCGGTGAGGATCTTACTTTGTCTTCCTCACCACCAGTTTCTCCCTATCCTTAATAGAATTATGGACTCTTGAGATCCTAAGGGGCCTTACTTGATACCTGGAAACTTTACTGAAAGGAAGCAATTTTGGTGTTGTTTTAAAGTTTCTGTTATTAGGGAACTAACTTTCTGGTAAAGTATCTCATTTTCCTTTACTATATTCCAAAGTACTGGTACATATCTAGTTTTTGTTATCTAATATAATCCTATTGACAGGTGAAGCCAGCTGAACTTCTGGGTCGGGTGGGGACTTGGAAAACTTTTGTGTCTAGCTAAAGGATTGTAAACGCACCAATCAGCACTCTGTAAAATCACACCAGTCAGCACTCTGAGTCTAGCTAAAGGATTGTAAACACACCAATCAGCACTCTGTAAAATGGACCTCTCAGCGCTCTGTAAAATGGACCAATCAGCAGGATGTGGGCGGGGCCAAATAAGGGAATGAAAGCTGGCCACCAGAGCCTGCAGCGGCAACCCACTCGGGGCCACTTCCATGCTGTGGAAGCTTTGTTCTTTGGCTTTTCACAATAAATCTTGCTGCTGCTCACTCTTTGGGTCCGCACTACCTTTATCAGCTGTAACACTCACCGCGAGGGTCTGTGGCTTCATTCCTGAAGTCAGCAAGACCACGAACTCACCTGGAGGAACAAATAACTCCAGACCTGCCACCTTTAAGACCTGTAACACTCACTGCAAAGGCCTGCATCTTCACTCCTGAAGTCAGCGAGACTGCGAACCCACTGGAAGGAAGAAACTCCGAACACATCTGAACATCTGAAGGAACAAACTCCGGACACACCATCTTTAAGAACTGTAACACTCACCACAAGGGTCTGCGGCTTCATTCTTGAGGTCAGCGAGACCAAGAACCCACCAGAAGGAATAAACTCTGGACACACTATCTAGTATGCAGTAAAAGTATTTTTACTTGTATCACATTATTTCTTCTAAATCCTAACTACAGACATTCTTTCAAGTTTCATTTTGATATTTCTTTTCTCTTCTGTATCCATAGTCCCTTTTAGTGAATTCATCCATTCTTAAAATTTTCTAATGTTTTTCCAGACCTTCATTTCATATATCCAACTTCTTAATAACATCACCATCCGAATATGCCACTAGCCCACCAACTCATAATTTAAAAAGTAGAACTCATAATCAACCCTCTTTGCCAATTCAAACTCCAATCTTGAATCTTTAAATTTCTATTTGTTATGTTAGTAAAGTACTTTTATTTTGTTTTTTATTTTACTTTCAATTTTCAATCAGTTTAGAAGTGTTGATCATTCTCTCATCTACTACATTTTATTCGAGTTACGAGAAATAGAAAGGTAACCACCAACAGCCAGGACCTGGCTTAGCACTATCAACTAGGGTTAATGTTGCCAGAAAGTGGCATATCTCTCATAGCTAGACCATGTTGTTCTTGTGCTGAACATTATAATTGTAGAGAACAAGGCTAATCTGTGACTATGATAGGTCCAAACCAAAACCGGACTACTTTATAATCATGTCTATACATGGAGAATATGCAGAGACAAAATCAAGCCATGTTGACACCATAAAAATGACCCTACTTACTAGATAAGAACTATTAGGTTAATGTTATGCATTAAATTGTGGCCCCCAGTAGATATACTGAAATCCTGTCCCCCAGTACCTCAGAATCTGACCTTATTAGGAAATAGGGTAATCACACGTATAATTAATTAAACATGCAGTCATACTGGAGTAGGCTGGGCTCTGAATCCAATATGACTGGTGGCATTAGTAGAAGAATGCCATGTGAGGACAGAGACAAGCAGGGAGAACACCGTGTGATGGCAGTGGAGAGGTTTGAATGATACAGCTGCAAGCCCAGGGATACTAACTATTTACTGCCAACCCCAGAAGCTAAGGAGAGGCAAAGAAATATACTACCCAGAGTTTCAGTGGGAGCATGGTCCTTGTTATATCTTGATTTTAGACTTCTAGCCTCCAAAACTGTGAGAGAATAAATTTATTTTATTTTAAGCCACTGACCTTATGGTACATTGTTATAGCATCTCTAGGAAACAAATACAAATACCAATGATAGCATTATCCTGGCTCCTGACAACATTCAGTCTATATGTAAAGCCCCCATAAAATCACATTACACAAGACCAAATTCTATAATTAATCCTTCCTAACATTCTCTTACTGAGATGATACATGACTCCTCATGAAGGTCATTCTTTCTGCTGCAAAAATCAATAAACCCAACTTTATTCAACTACTTGTTGGCCTTTAACTAAAATGTAGTGAAATATTTCTCCCCTCATTTAGGATATGTTTTAGCTTATGATTAAAAAGTTAATATGGGCTTCTCACTATTATTATGCCTTAAGTTTTGACTACATTAATTTTCTGACCAAGTTAATCTACTCATTAATCTACGTAAATATGTTCTGGAAAGTTTTGGTGCCCCCGGATGAACCATAACTTTTGCATTAGTATATAATCCCCTCACCTTGAATCACTGCTCTGTGATATGCTTTAATAGAATGTGGCAGAAGTTATGCTGTGTTGGTTTCCAGGCTAAGCCTCATCAAGGTTTGGCATCTTCCAGTTTTGCACTCTGAGAGAAATTAGCCACCATTTATAAAGTTTAAATACTGCAAGGTCCTCATTGTTGTGGGCGGGAGGTATACATGAGAATAAATAAAGGCTCAGACAATAAATTTCTAAATATTTGAAAATTATTAAACTAAAAAATATTTAATAAAATGTCTGTCCTCAAAAAATGTAGAAATACAGCTTAATCATAGCCTGCAAGGCCAATTTAAAAATTTCAACTTCTCAGAATTCTTGCATTTCTCTGCTGGAATCTGTTGATGTGGGGAGAGCTTGACTCCAGGCCCTTTTTGTCTTCTCTTCCCATTTTCACTTCTGTCCCATTTTGCAAAAGGCCTCACACACATATTCAAGATCCATCCCCATCCTAGGAGAAGTGGTACATCTGGCCAATGATTGGTAACACAGGAGGCCCTCAGGAGGACAGATGGAAGGATTAGGTAGGTGCAGGCCTTCAAACAGACTCAGGATTATTTGATTGGGAAACACTAGGTTTCTGTTATCTGTATTTGCTTGAGGCCCTAAAGAAATAGAGGGCAGACTTGGTATTTATAGTCTCCTTTGCCTTGTTAATGCCTCATCCTATGGGACCATGTATCAAAGGAGAAGGGCAAGAGCATGGCTCCCTGAATTTTGGGCCCCTGGCCAAGGCTCTCATAACAAGTCTCCCACAGTGCTGAGCAACATTCTCAATATCTTACAAATGGTACCTCATATCACAACACAATGCAAACCATTATTTTAGTGATTCTGAATAAAATTTTCTCTCTAATGTATACATAGTGCTAATCCTAGACATAAAATTTTTAGTTGAAGTTTGTTCATGCTCTTTCCTTCTTCACCGTGGGGACTTATATTTATGGCTCACATTTACTCAGGAAAATAGGCTGGCTGCCTGTGTTAAAAGTTGGACTGGTACTTTAAAATGAAAATAGAACATAATAAAATAATTGAATTTATTGCAATGTAACTTTTTAGTGAGTTACTAAATCACCCTATAATATTTACATTTAATGGAAGTTTCTTGAGTAGATACCTCTGTTTTTTCTTTCTTCTTTTTTTGTTTAAGAGTTGGGGGTCTCACTCTGTTTTCCAGGCTAAAGTGCAGTGATGCAGTCATAGTTCACTGCAGCCTTGAACTCCTGGGCTCACGTCATCCTCACTCCTCAGTCTCTGGAGTAGGTGGGATTATAGGCATGAGCCAATGCACCTAACTTTTTACAATTTTAACTTTTCAATAATGGTGAACAATTACTGTGCATTCAGACAATCAATTTTAGGTATTTTGAAATGTTTTGTAATGTTAATAGTAAATGTAACAGAGAATATATTACATTTATTAGTAATTATTTCAGGATAGTGCAAAAGATGCCATTGTGTCAGATATTCTCCAAGGTATGTGTACTCATATACAGTAAATAATAGATTGCTTGAAGCATGGGTTGTTTCCATAATCATGTCTTTGCTCATATGTTTAATATCTTAAGAAATATTACCTTAAAATTGCATGTAGTCAAGAATGGAAGGTAGCTGGCCATTTGTGTTCCTGCTAGACTTTTCTACTTTTGAGGATCAATCTGTTTGTAAAAGTAATGGCAAAAATTCTCACTAAAGACCACTTTGGCACTCCATCAGACACCAAATCAAAAATCGTGTTTCTCTCATAAGCTATAAGGAGAATCTAGAAATACTGAAAAATGAATTTAAAGTGTATATTTTAATCAACTTCAGATTTTGAAGTTTTTTCTTTTGTTAATTTAGTCTTTGGTTGTAGACTTTTGTTAATATGTCATCACTGTTACTGTCTTCATATATGTGAAGAAAATAATCTGTTGATGGTGAGGAGTTAAATTCAGAGACTGAAACATTGGAATTTAGTTCATATTAAATAACCTAATGCTTTACTTTCATGTTAAAGGTCAGTATATTTTGGCCATGATTTCTACCTTACTCAAGTTTTTAGTCCATTCAGGATGCAGAACATGTATTGATAAACACCAACTGTCAAAAGCCCAATTGATGCATTGTTTTTCTTTACTGTATTAACAATATCATGAAGAAATTATTACAATTGCATCCCCTAACTCAGACATTCTTAAGAACATGTGTTTCACTACCATGAGAACATTCTAAATTAGAAAATAATTTGTTATATATCCACTTATTCAAACAGGTATTTAAAAAACACATGTGGCCATGATATTTTGACTAGCAATTTGCACTATTTTTGTCTACACTGACTGCAAAGAAAGACCATATTTTTGACTAACAATTATGTTTTAAATAGGGCAGTTTTTTTATTGGTATTTAGATGTAAGATCTTTTATGTCTATATTAAGTTTTTTTCTACACACATAGTGGTTCTGTAAACATTGAGAAAAATTATTAGGAATTAATATTAATATTAATATTGTTCCTGTAGCATACATTCTCAATAATAAATAGAACGAAAAGTTGTAAAGCACTTTTCTTTCCTATATTAAAACATATTTCCAAGAGGTACCATATACTCTTCATATTAATGTGTTTGTTTAATTGTAAGCTGAACTTTTGATAGTAATTACTCTAAAATATTATATGTTATTGCTTTGAATAGTCAAGCTTGCAATTTTGTAAAGCTATTTTTTCCAGAATCTTGTTTTGCTTTTTGCCCCCAAATCTATTATGTGTTGTTAGCTTTTTAGGTGGCATATAAGCTTTTTAACAATTATCTTAATCTTACATTTCAAATTTGTGAAATGCATATGAGAATACTTATTCTATCACTTCCTTCACTGAAACCATCAAACAACTTGTAAACCATTTGGTGTATTGAGAATCACATTTTCAAATCATTGCCTTAAACTAAAGGAATGAGTATAAACTGGCAATATTGGAAACACATTGGAATCTTGATGTGTTAGATACTTTTGTGGAGGAATCAAAATATAAAATATATAGACAAAGCTGGACAGGTTTACACTTGATGCATTTGTATTTAATATCACATCTAAATATATTTTACTGAAATGACATATAGACATTTCCAATGAATACATTTCAGTCTAATTGCCAAATTTAAGCTTTAATCAACATGATTCTAAGTATAAATTAAAAGTCACAATATCTAGCAAGCTTGCTAGTTTGCTAATATAAGAAAACTGTGGATCTATAGTTTTCACAACAATAATTTGCAAACATCTGCCTCATAAAATAAGGAAGAAAGGTATTGTCTTTTCCTTATATGAGTTACTGTAAATCACTGTTTACTAACATTATCAGATAGATAAAAGTACAAGTGTTAAATATGCATATTCTTAATTACTTGTTGTGTTGATATTCAGGAGTTGGTATTATTACCACTGCCTCACTTGATTTTTGAGATGTAGTGTAGTGTTATGGTTAAGGGTATGGATTCTGTATAATTGCCTCACAATCTTTCATTCTGGTAACCTTGGGTGTGATAATTTATCTTCCTGTACCTGAGTTTCTTCTTTCAAAAAACTGAGATATTAATAACATTAATACTAAATGAATTAATATATTAAAGTACTTAGAAGACTCACAGTAATTACTCTATAAGCCATAGTATTAATACAACTGCTACTGCTACTGTCATTGTAAACTAATTATTTAAAAATAACATATTTAGATAATGTATCTTATGATGGCTTTGGAAAGTATAAAATGAAATTTTCCCTGTAACTTTTTCTACAGCTAATCTAGTCAGACTGCAAAGAGCTTTGTGAGACAAATGTATCCATATATCCATCCTCTCATTCATTGTGAGAATGCCAGGAAAATATTGCTGGTCAGGTAGGCATAGTCTGTGTCCTCATGGAATTTATACTTGAGTATTCCCACATTTATAATCAGTACAAGTTTTCATTACTTTTCACATGTTATTTATTGTAAAGAAAGCATACTTTCTAAAAAACAGAAATGTATTTATTTATAAAACATCTAAATGGCCATAATTATCAAAGTAGTTAAGAAAATATTTGTATTTTTCTGAAATAAAACAATCTTTTACTATTATGCCCACATTGTAGAGATATGAGATATATATATAATATATTATATATATTATATATAATATATTATATATATTATATATAATATATTATATGTATTATATATATAATATATTATATATATTATATATATATAAATTTATTGGTTAAAACTAATGAATCTAGTTTATAACAGTTCTGACGAGATAATATAGCTGACTTTTTAAAATATAGCCGGAAGAGAAGTGAAATCTACTCTGGAATATAAAATGTTTGATAATGTAAGTTGTCTCTGGTAATAGAATATTATCAATGCAGTGTTAAAAGTTACACTGCGTGATATTTAACATATTATTCATAATATATAAGTGGAAGTAAGCTTAGTGAACTTTATACAGTGGTTGTTCTATAAGGACTGACTTTCTGAATTTTACTTCTGAGATATAGCTTTCAACAATGATTAAGCAAATTGTATAAAATTATCAGTATATGTGGGGTGATCTTTCGTAAAGATGATTATGGCAGCCCATTGAATCACAGGTTTGAAGCTATAATTATGAGAGCAGCATTCATCTTGATTATGTGCATCCTAGACATCAAATCTAATGTGGTAAAATGTATATGATTTATGGAGGCCATGACATGATAAATGAACTTAAGATTCCAAGAATAGTGATTTTCATTATACAGAGAGATGTTTAAAGAGGGCAAGTATTATTAACATTTAACCATATGAGGAAGAGTATAAAAATAGACATGAGATAAATTTAAATTGCACCGAGAAGCAAGGTTATTGTAACTAGAGTTGATACTTATTGGTGGGCCATAGAAAATGGCCTAATTGTGGCTAAACTGATTCTGAGTTTACTTTTGTAGCCCTTGTTATATCATCACACACACACACACACACACACACACACACATATAATGTATAGTGTTATTAGAGAAAATTAACCATATGGTTTGAAACACTCCATTGGTATTCTAATAAAGGAAGCAATTTGAGAATCATCCAATTGAGACACCTCCACATTGTTTTATTGTTAATTGCTGTTATGTGAAAGTATAGTGGATGGAATGAGCACACTATATATTCATATGGAAAAAAACTAACATCCATGTGACATTTTACAATATGCAACCATTACACAGGTTTTCTCTTCACAATAAGACTGAATAGTATTATGACAATGTCTTTGAACTCATGAAGAAGTAGGAAATCAGCAGGGTGGAATGCTCCATCTATAGTCTCTAAGGTATTAAGTGTTGGAGGAAGCTGAGGGAACATTAATGAGTGCTTTTTAAAGGCCAATCCATACACCAGGCTCTTTTAGAGTGATTACATTTTTTAAGCTATCCTATACCAACACAACAAGTAATTCAAAATTACTGTAAGAAAGATGCAAAGGGCAGAAAGAGACCAGAGGCTATTTAAGGGTTTAGACCAAATAAATCCTATCAGTTTTTCCAACAGACTTCATCAATCATGGTGTTGAGGTCCAGGGTCCACAGCCCAGACCCTGACTACTAAAACTGTCACGTTAGAAAATACACATTCTTATCTGTGTCCCAGAGTTCGTTGTATTTAATTAGGCTGACAACACTAACTAAACTCACAAAAATTGAAATATATACCAACAGATCAATTAATATACTAGTTTATGGTGAGCAATATAATTGTCACACAAACCAACATATTTTCTTGTGTGGCCAAAACAATCAATTTGGGAAACCAAATCACAATCAGAAATTTTCATTAGAATTATTGAATGATAATAAGGAGTGTGATTTTACATGGTTCAAATATGAGATGTCGTCAGACTGTAATTGCTTCATTTACAGATTTCTGTTGCTGAAAAAAATCTGTCATAAATATCAAGGTGACTAAGTTTTAAATCATAACTCTATTTTTCCTGCACAGTGCTGAGGCTAAATTGACAATTTTGCCTATCATTCATTTTTTAAAAAATTAAATGTACCAATAATGAGTTTTTAACGTGTACAATATGATGTTTTAAAACACAGGGTCCCGAACAGCTGGGCCACAAACCAGTACCAGTCCATGGCCTGTTGGGAATGGGACCGCCCAGCAGATGAGTGGCAAGCAAGCTAGCTAAGCTTCATCTGTATTTCCAGCCTCTCCCCACTGTTGGCATTACCACCTGAGCTCCACCTCCTGTCAGATCAACAGCGCATTAGATTCTCATATGAGTGGGAACCCTATTGTGAACTGTGTATGCAAAGGATCTAGATTGTGAGCTTCTTATGATAATCTAATGCAAATCTCGATTTAGATTCATTATGAGAATCTAATAAGAATCTAATGAGAATCTGTCACTGTCTCCCATCACCCCCAGATGGGGCCATCTAGTTGCAGGAAAACAAGCTCAGGGCTCCCACAGATTATACATTGTCATGAGTTGTACAATTATTTCATTATATATCACAGTGTAATCATACTAGAAATAAAGTGCACAGTAAATGTAATGCATTTGAATCATCCCAAAACCACCCTCCCACCAACCCCCTGATCCATGGAAAATTTAACTTCCACAAAACGGGTCCCTGGTGACAAAAAGGCTGGGGACTGCTGTTCTAAAGTATATGCTGGCCGGGTGCAGTGGCTCACGCCTGTAATCCTAGCACTTTGGGAGGCCAAGGCAGGTGGATCACGAGGTCAGGAGATCGAGACCATCCTTGCTAACATGGTGAAACCCCGTCTCTACTAAAAAATACAAAAAAATTAGCCAGGCGTGGTGGCGGGCAACTGTAGTCCCAGCTACTCAGGAGGCTGAGGCAGGAGAATGGCGTGAACCCAGGAGGTAAAGCTGGCAGTGAGCCGAGATCGCACCACTGCACTCCAGCCTGGGCAACAGAGCGAGACTCCGTCTCAAAATAAAATAAAATTAAAATAATAAAATAAAATATAAAATAAAATAAAATAAAATAAAATAAAATAAAATAAAATAAAATATAAAATAAAATAAAATAAATAAAATAAAATAAAATAAAATATAAAATAAAATAAAATAACATAAATAAAATAAAATGAGTATATGCTTTGTGAAGTGGTTAAATATAGCCAACTAGTGAATGCATTCCCTTCAATAGTTATTTTCTATGGTGAGATCACATAACATTTCTATGGAGCACAGAACATTTTTTATACTGAGAGTGCATAACTCTCTTTAAAGTTTTTCGAGAATACAATATGTTATCATTAATTATAGGCACCATGCTGTACAATAGATCTCTTGAAATGTATTCCTTCTATTTAACTAAAATTATGTATACTTTGGTTAACATCTCCTATGCCCCCTGCACACTAGCTACCTCAGCTTCTGCTAACCACCAATGTACAGGCATACATTATTTTATTATACTTCACTTTACTGTGCTTCACATATATCTATATGTATTTATGATTATATATAATATATAATATTATATATTAGGTTATATATAATCATACAAAAATAAGTGCATATAATTCTATAAATAATTACATATTATATATAATTATATAAAAACTATATAATTATATATAATATATATTTATAAAATATTCATATCTATACATATTACATATTTATGTTTATATATTTATCTTTATATTTTATAATATATAACATATATTTATATATTTCATAAATATATAAATATATTTTATAATATATAACATATATTTATATATTTCATAAATATATATAATATATTTTATAATATATAACATATATTTATATATTTCATAAATATATAATATGTTTTATATTATATATTGATATAGTATATAAAATATACTTATATATTGTAAAAAATTCCTATATATTTATATATAAATTATGTATAATATATGCTTATATAATTTATATATTTTACATAAAAATTATATATCATATATGTTTATATAATGTATATATTTTGTATATAAATGTTATATAATATATAAACATATATAATATATCAATATATAAATATAACTTATAAATAAATATATAATTATGTATAAATAAATCTATTTATATATTATGGAATATATCTATATACTATATAATATATTTATACATTATATAATATATTTATATATTATTTATATATTATATAATATATTGATATATAACATTTATATATAAAATATATAAATTATATAAACATATATATAACTTTTATATAATTATATATAATTTTCATATAATTATATATAATTTTATATAATTATATATAATTTTTATATAAAATATATAAATTATTAATTATATACAATTATATATAATTTTTATGTAAAGTACATAAATTAAACATATATATTATTTTCATATATTTTATAAAATTTATATATAGAATATATATAATTATTTATATTTAATCTATATTTATATATAATCTATACATAATTACATATAATTTTATATAAAATATATAAATTATATAAACATATATGATTTGTATATAATATATATAAAATATATTTTAAAATATATGAAATATATAATATATAAAATATATTTTAAAATATATGAAATATATAATATATAAAATATATTTTAAAATATATGAAATATATATAAAATATATATTTATACATAATATATAATATATATTTATACATAATAAATAATATATATTTATACATAATATATAATATATATTTATACATAATATATAATATATATTTATACATAATATATAATATATATTTATACATAATATATAATATATATTTATACATAATATATAATATATATTTATACATAATATATAACATAATATAGATTTATAGAATATATAATATATAATATATATTTTATAGATTATATATATAATACATATAAAATATATAAAATATAAATAAAAAATATAAAAATTTAAATATATATAAATATATTATATCTATTTATATATTATACATGTACAATATTTAAAATATATAATTTAATATATAATATATAAATTATATAAATATAATATATTATATATAGAGAGAGAGATGGCTATGAGAGGACTACTCAGAGCAGTTTTTTTTTTAAACTGCATGGAGCTTCACCACCAATTATGTGTTATATACATACAAAAGGTGATTTGATTTTACTCAACTCAGCTTGTCTAGTAAATGTATGGATCACAGGCATATTTTTGGCAAGGTCAGGAAAGGTTATCAGGAAACATGAAATTTAATTCAGTCTCCTTCACTTACTGCCTATTTTATGCTACTCTCTTAGCCATTATAACCTTCAGTTTCTCTTACTTGTTATGAATCTAATCTAGCTGTTTAATGAGAAACACTGACACAGAAAGTATGAAACTATTCTGAGAAGTATGTAGTGCAGAACAAATAAACTGAGTGAGCTTTTAAACCATACCTGAAGTGTAAATGCATAATTTTATTTTTTCAAAATCTAAATTAGTTTTCTTTTCAGAGCCTATGCCATCTGAGGTAGATAGAGGCAATCATTGTAAATTCAGAGCACACTTAGTCAATTTTGCAATTAAAACAAATCAATTTAAAATGTACCTCCTTTTTCTCTCTACAGTTACGACTAAGATAACATCCTTACATTACGGATTTGCCTTTCTACATTTTCAGACCTGCAAGCTTTGTGGGAAGTTCAATTGCTTACCAACTTTGGAATTACCACTGTTAAAGGATCGTCTTCAAAAATATTACAATATCTATTTTCTTGCCTCTTCATCTAGGTTTTCTTTTTTAGTCCTCCTTATTAGCTATGCGCTCTTTATGTAGTCTCGAAAAGTCAGAAAAACTCATCTTATCTGATCACACATATTTCCAAGTTCTTTGAATTAGGATGTCGGTTTGTACTTGCAATTCAAAAAGTAAATCTTTCAAAGCTATTGTCCGTACCATTAGCTTCCAAAATGCATTTTAAAACTTAAAGTCTGAGAAAGGACCAATAAGAATATGGTAGTCAAAATTTATTTGCAATGCTTTATGAGTGGAGAGAGCGGTCTTGAAGGGTGACCAAATAAATGACATGATAACTTTGACTTTAAAAGTGCATAAATTGGACTTTAGATAGTATTATACCACAAAAATATATGATACTACTACAGAAACAGCTGCAGTAGCACAGTATTGGGCAATTCAGTATGTCTATTAAGGTCTCACTTTTCCATAACTCCCAAACAATAGTTAATCCCACTAAGCAGGGAGACAAGAAATCAGAAGTTGTGTTTATGTGTCTAACAATGAATGTAGTGTATAGATAATGTTATATATACATCTGATTGTCTATTAAAAAATAGAGAATGCTTATGATATTGGCACAAATACAGGCAGAAACTATGGGTTAACCATAAATTTTAGTGAAAACAGAAATTTTAAAAGCCTTTAACTTACACATTTTTCATCCTATAATTCAAGTATGAATGATCCAAAAACACCTTAGTTCTATAATAGCCCTGTTATTTATCACCACAAAAATAGCTGACACTGTCCAGTTATTCCAAATGTTAGGACAGAAAAAGAGTAATGGATAAAATTAATGGAATTGTTTTCATCCTTAATACTTATACCCAGATAATCAATTTTTCTCTTGCCATGTTATGTTCTGTGATATATGAGCAACTCAGGGAAAGCAACTAAAGGTAAAGAAATATTTTCTCTCTCCCCCATTCAAGACAAAAAACTTCTATAAAAGGAAACATTCTCAGTATCCAAAATCTATCATATTTTTAAAGAATCTGACCAATCTATCTCTTCACACTGCTTACCCAATTATTCTTCAAAAATAATTCTCTAGGCAGAAAATTAGAAATATCAACCTCACATAGGAAAGAACTAATAGTGCAATTGTAAAACGAATTATTATTAAAGTTACTCAAGTTTGGCCAGCCAAACAGTGACATGTTCTTTTTCCTTTCTTTCTTTCTTGAAACCATTAATAAAAACATTAATGTATGCATCAATGTCTGCAGATACCTTCTGTATTAGTCTGTTCTCACACTGCTAATGAAAACATAATGGAGACTGGGTAATTTATAAAGAAAAGAGGTTTCTTGTTCCACATGGCTGGAGAGGCCTCACAATCATGGCTGAAGGTGAATGAGGAGCAAAGTCACATCTTATTTGGAGGCAGGCAAGAGAGCTTGTGTAGGGGAACTCCTCTTTATATAACTCCTCTTTATATATCAGATCTCATGAGACTTATTCACTATCACAATAACACCACAGGAAAAACACGCCCCCATGATTCAATTACATCCCAGTGGGTCTATCCCACAACACTTCAGGATTATTACAATTCAAGGTGAGATTTGAGTGGGGACACAGAGTCAAATCATATTACCTTCTCACCAAATATATTCATAGAAACAGACATATAAGATATTTCTTATGGAAGACCTTGAAGTTATTTTTTAAGTGTATTTAAGTGTATTTAAGTTTAAGTGTATTATAGTTACAAATATTAGACTTAGTGTCATAGGGTTTCTACAATCCGTATGCAAATATGTGTAATGTGCATATATATGTACTTTAATTTTTAAGAAAGTGCATCTAATTCTCAAGTAAATCTGAGATTCATGCAATGGTGAGATCAACTGATGTGGCTAAGAACTTTATTTTACAGATGAGAAAATAAATATCGAGAAATGTTAAATTTTGGCAGAGTTAAAGTCAGGTACTTGTCCTTCAAATTAACTGTTTGTTTTCCCCAACGGCATCAATTTGTATGTGTCTCTTGATGCAACTAATATATAATTCAACATATAGCACAATTATCAATAACATTATCATAGTGAAAAGCTAGTTTTTGTATGAAATTCATTTTGTTTTATTTCAAACATACCTTCTTAGTTATGTTTCCTTAGGCCAAGGAACTCAGCATTCCCAGACCTGGCTGATGACAATCTCTCATATGAGTTGTTAACTTGTTTCACCCTCTTTCTGTAAGATAATCATTGATAATAGGGACCTCTAGAATCCATGTATAGATGAAATAGCCTCTGTTAGCCTGAGAATCTGAATTTTTCTGTGGAGTAGAGACCTGTTCTGCTATGCTACCAATCCAGACATATCAATTTTTAATTCACATAAAGAAGAAAACAAACCTCTATTGAGCTAAGCTACTGAGATTTGTATTTTTACCTATTACAGAAAGCAGCATTATCTTAAATATCAAGACATTAGGACACCATCTAGAAATGGAATTCAGGTCTTTAATTTCAGGTTAGTTTCATATATTGTATTCAAATTTAAAAATAACTAATTTTACCATTAAAATCTATTCAATGGCCTCTCCATTAACACCGATTGTGAAAATAAATTCTTTTAAAGAAAAGTAGCTGTGTGTGGTGGCTCATGCCTGCGAATTGGACACCAGCCTGGGCAACATGGGGAAACCGCTACAAAAAAATACAAAAATTAACTAGACATGCTGGCACACACCTGTAGTTCCAGTTACTCAAAAAGCTGGGCAATAGAGCCAGATCTTGTCTCAAAAAAAAAAAAAAAAGGAAAGAAGAAGAAAGAAGAAAGCAAGAAAAGGAAGGAAGAAAGGAGGGAAGGAAGCGAAGGAAGGAAAAGAAAAGCAATCGAAATTGTCAGGCATTTAAGACACCAACAAGTTGTGTATGGAGAAATCAAATTCAAACATCTCTTTTAGAAAGTCAAGGAAAAATAACTCTATATTTTAAAATAAAAATTTAAAATACATTCTCATTTAGAGGTATTAGGTAAATTTAAATTAACACAGTAAACAATTGTATAACAATATATTATTCAATATAGAATCATTTGATAATTAGTATTCCAAATAAATAATAGTTTAGGAAATCTTACTGTACATAGGGTACTATCAATTAGTGGCTTATTGATGAATCCTAAAAAGCAACATATGAAAAACCTATGCCTCTCTTCATTAGTACCTCAAAGATAAGTTAGCCTAGATGTTCTGGAATGGAAATCTACTTTGCAGTGTAGACATAGGCCTAAGTCTGGGCACTATTCCCTAAGGCCTTGAAAGAAGTTGTAGGTTTATATTTGTCTCAGCTGATAATCAGTGGTGAGAAGTCCACCTATGTTTGAAGACACTGACATTTACACTTTCAAGGAGTAGTAGAAGGGGCAATGACAGTGATGGTGGCCAACATAGTATAAGGAGATCAAGCTCCCATTTTTTCTTGTATTTTCTTTCTTTTATTTATTTATTTACTATTTATATATTTGTGTGTCACCTAGGATCTCCAAACAGCATGTGTGTATGTGTGTTAATGTATATACATATATATATATATATATATACTCACACAGCAATTTTTTTAGTATAAGAGATTTGATCATTGTATAAGAAAATTACCAATAATTATATAAAATCAATAAAAACAATTATCTTCACTGGGAAAGATAAATGCTTCTTAAATAAATAAGATCAAAATCACATGAAATAAAATTTAAAATGTTAAAAAATGATGTCTTTTGCCATTAACACATACAAATTTCAAAAATCTTAGGTTGGAATAATATATTTTATTATATGTTTAAAGAATACTTAAGTAAATTAAATATTAACTAATTTTTACTGTAAAACTGCCCATAAAATGACATAGCATTGGACATTATTTTTTAAATTTACAGTAAAATATTATTTAAAAATATGTGGTTAGTTGAAAAATGAAAAAAAGATCCTTATTCTCAATCCTTCCTTTATTCATGAATTTTGCAATGTATTTTTGCAAGTCCTCACACTGAGGTGAATCCGTTTTTCCCACCCCTTCAATCTGGGTTGCCTTGTAATTAGAGTTAACCAATAACAGTAGTAAGATGAAAATGTGCCAGTTCTATGCTTAGGCCTGCAGAGACAGGACTTGCATGCTTCTGTTCTTAGATTCCTATATGTGCCATGAGAATCAGCTTAGGATGATTTTCTGGAGGATGAGAGACCATGAGGAACAAAACTGAGGCAACCTACTTTTCCAAGTTGAACCTCAAACATATGAGAGCACTCAGCCAATATCAGCAAATCACCTAGCTATCCTCTATCCTATCTGACCACAGACATGTAATCAATTCCAGTGGTATTGGCCAAGGAGTTTTGTAGTGGTTTGTTACATCATATGACTGTAGCTGTAGATAATTAAAACAGAATCTTATACATAACTATATAGAATTCTGTAGATTCTTTAGACTAATTGTGTATATCCCTGCCCTTGACCTGCAATCAGCCTAATCACAAATATTAAAAACTCTTTAAGAAGTTACTAACTTTATTCAGTAAATAAATTGTAAGAAAAAGGAAGATAGTGGTAAAGGTAATTTTACTTGACAGACTCAAAGCACACTTCAATAAAATGTCATATGTGGCTTTGTTTAGATCCTAACTTTAATAAATAAATTATAAGTAAAAGCATTTGTGATTCATATAGGAAGAATTAAATACTAAAATTATTGATAATAATTTTGTATTTTAATAGTATAATGACAATATTGTGAATATGTTTTTTTAAAAAAGAATCTTAATTTTTGCGACCAGCATTATCACACCAGAGCCACATAAGGACATCACACACACACACAAAAAGCTACAGACCAATATCCTTGATGAAAGTAGATACAAAAATTCTCAACAAAATACTAGCAAACAGAATTCAACAACAATTAAAAGGATCATTCACCATTATCAAGTGTGCTTTATCCATAGGATGCATGGATGGTTCAACATATGCAGATCAATAAATGTGATACACCATATTATCCAAATAAAAGAAAAACAAATATAGTCATCCCATTAGATGCAGAAACAACATCTGACAAAATTAAACATCTTTTCAAAAAAACTCTCACCAAATTACATATAGAAGAAATGGACCTCAATACAATAAATGCCATGTATGATGAGCCCACAGTTAACATAGTTAATGGTGAAAAACTGACACTTTTTATATAAGACCTTGAAACAAGACAAGGGTGCCTGTTCTCACCACTTCTATTCAATATAGTATCAGAGGTCCTTGTTAGACTAATGAGACAGGATAAATAAGTAAAAGACCTCCAAATAAGAAAAGAAGTGAAATTGTCACTATTTCCTCATAACATGGTCTTATATATAGAAAACCCTAAATATTCCACAAAAAGTGTTCAAACTGATAAATGAATGCAGTAAAGTTTCTGGATAAAAAATTAACATAAAAATCAATACTATTTCTATGCACCAAAAACTTTCTAAGAGATGCTTATTGGATTATTTAAAGAGGATATGATATATTTGGAATTTAAAAAATCCAATGTTAGTAGTAGAGAAGTGGGTTATACTATAGGCTAACACTTCTTAAAGTTTAACATACATGAGAATCATCTTTAAGATGTTTAAGAAGTTTAACATGTATGATTCTCAGATGATTCTGAGAATGCAGATTCTAATTCAGTACTTTTGCCGCGGGACCTGAGATTCTACTTGTCTAGCAAGCTCCCAGACAAGCCCACCTATTGTAGTAAGGTTGTAAATTTGATGAATGGCCATAAATACATAATTGTGTTTCTGGGTAATGGGTACATGAGGATTCATGGAATCATTGTCCCTATTTTTACATATTTTAAACATTTTTATAATTAAATTGTTTAAAATAATATTTCTAATTCAGTGAGGACCTAAATTCTGTGGGTTTTCTTTTTCGCTGACTTTAAATAAAATAACTATTTTCAAACGATGAACCATTGTGACCTAAGGGAGTTCAGGAAGCTTTGATGGAGGAGGTATTATTTATAGTTTGGCCTTGATGAGTGGACAAATATCAAAAATGTGGAATGAAGGAATGAGAGTGGAACATTCTAGGAGACAAAAACTGGCTTAGTAAATGCATAAAAGCAAAAATGGACATGGGATGTTTACACAGAAGACGACCACCTTGCATGGCATGCAAATGGAAATGTATTTACAAATTTTCAGGGTTGGAATGGAATTTAAGAATTCAAGATAGATCTTGGTGTTAGCTTTAATTGTGGAGCTTAGTGATCAAGTTGGAAAGCAAAAAACCAGAAACATAATTTAATGAACCACAAGATGGCAACAAAGTCCCTTCGGAACACATCTCACAGTTTGCCTCTTCCCCACCATAGGATAAAATCTGGAGTAGAATTCGAGAAGAAAATAGGAAGTCAGTCTTCTAAGCAAGTAGTTAAAATAATTAAAATTTGAACCTAGCTATTACCAAGAATGATTTAATCATCAGGGAACTCATGCATTTTAATCAGAGATATTAAATGCATTTATTAGCTCACATTAACTGATAGAAAAAGTACACATTCATATTTGATAAGTTTATTCTTCCTTAAATATCTTGGGCAAACAGCAGATAAAGTTTTACTGGAAGCACTAATAACACCACTAAGATGAATTCTGCATCTTTATTTATTATATTCATTATTGTGAATGGTTTTTGAATACCTATTCAAAACTGATGATACAGAGTAAAACAACAACAACAACAAAAACCTGGTGAATTTTTTCTTCCTAAAAGTTTCCATACATAGTGAAATTAATATTGTTATTATAAAAGAACATATGATTTAAGTATACCTATTTTTCTGATAAATGTAACATATTTATAAATTAGATTTCTTACATTATGTTTTGACCATACAAGGATCACTCTGGCCCTGTTTTTAGGTGCTCACTTTTTTCGTGCTAAATTTTTAAAGACACTGGAAACAAGGAAGTTGACTATTGCATTAAGATATTGCTATTAATGAGCTGTATGTGTAACTTGTCAAAAATTTCAGAAGCAAAACATAAATTTAAATAGAAATTTGTTGTGAATTTACTATGTGCTATGTAATATGTAATTTAAACAATAGTGAAGTAAAAATAAATAAAGCAAATTTGAAAGAATGTATGGTGAGCAGCGTTAAATGTGGAAAAACATTCAAACAAAGCCATAAAATTCTTTCTTGAAAATAGTGGTTAGGAATTCATTAGTTAATTAGTGATTGAGAGTTTCATCATCAATGATAAGATAAAATATTCTTATTTTAAATTAAAAGTGAAAATTTGTACAGTAATTGGGTGCTACTCTTTCAAGAACTTGGGCACAGAAGGGAAAAAGAAAGCTAGGACTGTATCTTAAGTGAGAATTCAAAATAAAGACAATTTAGAATAAAACAGTTGGATTTACTATGTAGGAGTGTCAGAGTGACATGATTTACAAGTTTGGGCTCTACTTGTATATTATAGATTAGTTTAAAAATGTTTTATGTGGGAAATAATATACACTTTAGTGTTTAATTAGTGTGGTATATTATGGTTTTATATTATGTTGGTGCAAAAGTAATTGTGGTTTTTGTCATTACTTTCAATATAAAAACTGCAATTACTTTTGCACCAACCTAATAGATTTAAAAATATATCGTTTACTCTCAGGGTTAAGTCTACGTTTCAAGTTAAACTGTTTATGGCTACAAAGTGAAAATTATGTAACTGGGAATGATATGAAACAAATTTTATTAAGAAAGACCAATCAGAAATGATTTTGAAACTTTCAAAAAGAAATATTATTTATAGTTTACTATTTCATATGGAACAAAGGACTTATAAACCATTGCATAGTGAAGATTTTCACAGTCATGTTTTTAATAAAACATTATAAATGGTTAGTAATCACCATAAAAATTGCAGGCAATTGAATGTCTCTAATTAATGATAATTTTTAAATACGTTATTTTATTTATCTTACTAAATTGTTTGGCAAATAGGCTTCATTAAAAAACATTAAGGTAATCAGCTTGTGCCTCCAGTACTAATTCTAAATTAAAGGAGACCTATTAATACAGAATTTTTTCATAGAAATTGACACGTGTGACTCCTTCTATGAACTGTAAACCTTTGTGTAGTATGGGTGCTTGAAAATTAAATGTCAGAAAATAAATTTAAAAATATGTGAAATATAAAAAATTAAATTACCATTTTGCACAATTAATTACTGAACTAATTACGCTCTTGAAACTTAGAGCTCAAAAAGCTTTTTAATGCAATAGCATAGAAGGCTTGTGTCTTTAGTTAGCCAAAGTTACTTGATTTTTTCTCTTTATTCATTACTGAACAAATCTTAACATTCTTGGTTTCACGACAATATTGTTCAAGAACACCTAAGCTCTCTCTTGGCTGATACAAAACCACTCTTAACAGCTTAGGTGAGATTCATTGAAAAGTGATCTCTTAAATAGAATGAGGTGCTTAGCATCCATTATTTTATTATTGGTTAGAAGAGAATGTTGGAACTCTTTAGGGTTCAAATACTTTATGAATAACTTGGAACAAAGTGAGATGTGTGTTGTTTAGAGGAGCAACATCAATACAGAAGATTTAGTAATAGGAATTTCATTTTTCTACGTTTGTTAAAACAAAATTATTATGACAGAAAGAACATTTAGATAATCCACATATTCAGTACTATTTGCCCGAAAGTAAAATATTCATTTATATTTGGTTTAATAACTGGCAAAATGTGACTCACAAACTGTGAGCACATTGTCTTAAAACCACATTTTTGTAATCCATCATTCTCGACAATTGAAAGTTGACTTTTGTTCCTAAGTAGGTAATTTATCTGTGTAATATTTTCCATTACTATTCAGTAAATATTGCTTGGGGATAGTGTGAGGTGGTAATTCCCTTTTTAAATAAGTTATCTATTTTTAAATCATTTAGAAGACATTGTATTCTAGCATTTGTTTAATATTATCATCCTTCAAGCTATGGATTCAATTTTGTTTCTTAAGATTTTCATTATATTTGCAAGCCTTATAAAATTATTTTTCTTTATGCCAATTAAATTATACATGGGTCAAACTAATTTATACCATTAGACTTTCATCCTTATAATTCCTAATGCATGTTGAGTTTCCCTTATCTGAAATGCTTGGAACCAGAAGCATTTAGATTTCAGGTGTTTTTAGATTTTGGAATATTCGTATATACACAATGAGAAACCTTGGAGATGGGACCCAAGTCTAAACACAAAATTCATTTATGCTTCATGTGTGCCTTATACATATAGCCTGAAGGTAATTTTATACAATATTTTTAATACAACTCTGTTGTGCCAAAAACAAAGTTTGTATATATTGAACCATCAGAAAGCAAATGTGCCAAATGTGAAATTTTCCACTTCTGGTGTCATGTTGGCACGCAAAAAGTTTTGAGTTTTGCAGCATTTCAAATTTCAGATTTTTGGATTAGAGATGCTCACCTTGTAACATTGGTGGAAAACATGTTATGAGTGCAAGAAGAGTTTGTAGGACCCCTTTATTAGCTAAAAGATAAGCTAGTTCGGCCGGGTGCGGTGGCTCACTCCTGTAATCCCAGCACTTTGGAAAGCCGAGAAGGGCGGATCACCTGAGGTCGGGAATTCGAGACCAGCCTGACCAACATGGAGAAACCCTGTCTCTACTAAAATATTTATCAGAAAAAGTCAAGAAGAGACAGATAGTCATGAAAGATCAGAAAGCAAGCCATCATATTTTAAAATATTGCACACTAACAGAAAAGAGAACTTTATAAAGTTTGAAGGACTATTTTAAACCACAAGGTTTTTACACCTTTACAAAAAAATCCATAAAATGGAACAACAAAAAACATCATAGTATAATGTCATGCAATGTTATGTTAAGTAAAAAAGAGGATGAAAATAATTACATCACTACAGAAAATAAAAGCAGCTCAGAAAGGCATACTCACAAAACAGATGAAGATTGTAACCTCGTATTTTAAAACAAGCCCCATAACATTAAGTAAATAAAATGGGTATAAAGAATATTATAAGTTAAACTTTAGAAATTCAGAAATGTGGTTACAGAATGTGATGGAACTAGAGATAAAAGAAAAATGATTTCAAAAATGACAAATGAACTATAAAAAATGAAAGAATATCCTACAAATGACTAAATGCAAAAATAACACAATCCTTAACTTCTGAAGACAAATTGACTTTTTAAGAAAGAGACTATCGAGAAATATAAATAAGATAAAATATTTAAGAAGGTGGCGACTAAAATAGCAAATAACTAACTTATAGATAATATGAATTCCTGGGGCAAAAAAGCAAATAAACTGAACAATTACTAAAAATTATCATTCATAAAAACTCTCTTGAAGTTTAAACAAAAAAGGACTTGAAGCTACATAAGAGTACACAGCATATCTGTGAATATTGACCCAGAACAAACAATAAGAAGATATACTTCAGAAATGTTAATATACTTTTAAAACAATTAGTGTAAACATAAGAGGTACAAGTGCATTTTTGTTACAGAAATATATTATATAATGATGAAGTTTAGGCTTTTAGTGTACCTATCACCTGAATAATGTACACTGTATTCATTAAGTAATTTCTCATCCCTCAGCCCCCCTCCCACATTATGACTCTTCTGAGTCTCCAATGTCTATCATTCCACACTCTGTGTCCATATACACACATGGCTTAGCTTCCACTTAGAAGTGAGAACATGTGGCATTTGACTTTCTCTTTAAGTTGTTTCGCTTAACATGGATGGCCTCCAGTTCCATCCATGTTGCTGCAGAAGACATAATTTTTTTATCTTTCTTTTTTTTTTTTTTTGGCTGAGTACTATTCCATTGTGTGTGTGTGTGTGTGTGTGTGTGTGTGTACACATTTTCTTTATCCAATGGTTCACTGATAGACACTTAGATTGATTCCATATCTTTGCTAATGTGAATAGTGCTGTGATAAACATAGTACAAGTGTCTCTTTTTGTATAATGATTTCACTTCCTTTGGGTAGATACCCAGTAGTGAGATTGCTGAACTGAATAGTAGCTCTACTTTTAGGACTTTGAGAAATCTCCACACTGTTTTTTATAGAGGTTATATTAATTTAAATTCCCACTAACGCATATAAGTGTTCTCTTTTCTCTGCATTCTCAACAACATCCGTTATTTTTTGGCTATTTAACAATAGCCATTCTAACTCGTATAAGATGATATCTCATTGTGGTTTGCATTTTTCTGATGGTTAGTGATGCTGAACATTTTTTCAAGTGTTTGTTGGCAACTTATATGTCTTCTTTTGAAAAATGTCTCTTCATATCCTTTGCCCACTTATTTTGGGGTTGTTATTCGATCTCCTTATAAATTCAAGATATTAGTCCCTTGTTAAATCCGTAGTTTTCAAATAGTTTCTCTAATAATGTCAGTTGTTTGTTCACTCTGTTGATTATTTAATTTGTTGTGGAGAAGCTTTTTTTAGTTTAATTAAATCCCATTTGTCTATTTTTGGTTTTGTTGTATTTGCTTTACGGGTCTTAGTCACAAATTCTTTGCCAAGACCAATATCCAGGAGAGCGTTTTCTAGGATTTCTTCTAGAATTTTCATAGTTTCAGGTCTTACATAAATCTCTAACTTACCTTGAGTTGATTTTTGCATATAGTGAGAGATTAGGGTTGAGTTTCGTTCTTCTACATATGGCAATCCACTTTGCCCAAAACCATTTATTGAAAGGATGTCTTTTCCCCAGTATATGTTTTTGTTGACTTTGTCAAAGATCAGTTGGCTGTAGATATGTAACTTTTTCTCTAAGTTCTCTATTCTATTCATCTTTATGTCTATGTTTGTTCCAGCACCACATTTTTTTGGTTACTATAGTCTTGTAGTCTAGTTTGAAGTCAAGTAATGTGACGTCTGCAGCTTTGTTCCTATTGCTTAGGATTGCTTTGGCTATTCAGGACTATCTTTTGTTCCATATGAACCTCAGGATTGTGTTTTCTAATTCTCTGAAAAAATGACATTGATATTTTGATAGAGAGTGCATTGAATCTGTAGATTGCTTTGGGCAGTATGGTCATTTTAATGATATTAATTCTGATGAATGTTAATATGCTTTTAAGAGAAAAATCTTACATAATAGAAAGAAAATTATACATCTTAGAAAGAATTTACATCTTAGAAATTGTACATCTTAGAAAGAAAATGATATTGCAATCACATTTTTCCACAACAAAACTTCATACTAGAAGAAAATGAAGTAACATAATCAAGGTACTCAGAAAAAAATATAAGAGCCAATGATTATAAATCCAGCAAAACTGGCTTTTAAGGATAAAATAACAAAATGTTAGAAACATCTAAGAATTCACATCCCAAGAGGCTTTCCTGAGAACTTTTTTTGGACAGCAACATTCAGACCACCAGAGAGAAAAAAAAACTTTATTAGTGATATTAACATAAGAGCTATCAGCAAGGAACAATATTTAATTTTGTAGAACATACATTAAATAAGGTGAAAAGAGACGAAGTAGAGTATATAAAAATAATTGTTCTTACAATGTAAATATAATGTTAATATTTTTAAATGTGTTTTTCAGTTTTAAGGTAGTCAAAATAAATGTAGATATACTCCATAACTATGAATTTGAAGACTCAGTACTCCTAAAAGTGGTCTATGAATTCAACGCAATGCCTATCAAAATCACTACTGGCTTTTTTTGACAGAAATTGATAAATGAATCATAAAATTTATATGAAAATGCAAGGGGCACAGAGTAACCAAAACAAACTTGAAGAAGAATGCAAAGTAGGAGGACTTAAACATTTCCTGATTTCAAACATACTGCAAAGATATAGTAATCAAGATATTGAGGTAATGGTTTAAAGATCCACATTTAGATATCAATTTAGAGTCCAGAAATAAATCCTTAAAATGATGTTCAAGTTATTTTCAAGCAAAGGTGCTAGGTCACTTCTACAGGGAAAGAATAGTCTTTCAACAAATGACACAAGAAAAATTGGTTATGCTAATGAAAATATAGGAATTTATTCCCATGCCATACCATGCACAAAAATTTACTCAGAGGCCTAAATATAAGAGCTAAAACTGTAAACTCAGAAAAGCACACAAACATCTAGATATAAAACTAAATTATAATTGCTATAATAACAAATTGGTCATTTGGACTTCATCAAAATTGAAAACTTTTGAGCTACAAAAGGTATTATTAAAAAGTGAAAATGCAAACCTGACCGGAAAAAGTATTTTCAAATTGTATATGTGATAAAGGACTTATATTCAAAATACAGCAAATTTTTACAACTCAATTTTATGAAAACAGTCCAATTAGAAAAAAAAAATGGGAAAGTACTTGAATTAACATTTCTCCAGAGTAGGAAGGTAACACAAGTGATCAATAAACAAATTAAAAATCCTATATAATGAGTTTCTAATAAAATACAAATTAAAATTATGAGACACCTTCTCATACCCACAAGAATGGCTATGACAAAAAAGCTAGACAAAAACAAGTGTTGGTTAACATGCTGGGAAATGTAACCTCATATTTTTATAGGAATGTAAATATACATCCATTTTAGATAACAGTTTGTCAGTTTCTTAAATTGCTAAACGTAAATTTACCATATGTCCCAGCAATTTCAGTCTGAGATATCTAATCAGAAGAGATGAGACTTGCATGAAAGTTGATAGAACATTATTTATAACAGTCATAAAGGGTAAACAACCCAAATGTCCTTCAATTAGTGAAATACTATTTATTCGTTATATAATGAAGTTCTATTTGGCAATAAAAACAAAGAGTACTGATGTAAGCCACAGCATGGTTTGACTTCAAAAACTTTATGGTATGAAGGGAGGTAGTCACAAATGACCACATATTGTATGATTTCATTTTTATTAAATACCCAGAAAAGGCAAGTATGTGGGGACAGAAAATAAAATAGAAGTTACTGGGGCCTAGGTTTCTGAAACCTGAGTGATAATAAGTGGGCATGAAGTTCCTTTTTAAGGTGTTCTAAAATTAGATTGTGGGGTGGGTTATACAACTCCATAAATTTAGTAATAATTATTGAATTGCACACTTGTACTGAATAACTTTATGATAAATTACATGTCAGGAAATCTTTTTGTTTGTTTTTGTTTTTCTGAATACTATTTTTATAATTATTATTATTTTTTATTATTATACTTTAAGTTCTAGGGTACATGTACACAACGTGCAGGTTTGTTACATATGCATACATGTGCCATGTTGGTGTGCTGCACCCATTAACTCATCATTTACATTAGGGATATCTCCTAATGCTATCCCTCCCCCTTCCCCACACCCCACTACAGGCCCCGGTGTGTGATGTTCCCCTTCCTGTGTCCAAGTGTTCTCATTGTTCAATTTGCACCTATGAGTGAGAACATGCGGTGTTTGGTTTTTTGTCCTTGCGATAGTTTGCAAGGACAAACTATCTGAGATATTGAAAGTAATATCATCCTCTCCCCTTCTCGATATTAGGAAAAATATCCCAGGGTGGGTGTACATCCTCTGCGATATTGGGCGTAATACCATTGTCTGTCAACGTGTGTATATTGGGAACAATGTCACAGTGGCCGTGTACACCTTCTCCGATATTAGGAGTAATATCATCCTCTCCCCCCAGATTGTAGGAAAAATATCGAAGGGGTTTTACAACTTCTGCGATATTGGGAGTAATATCATCCTCTCCCCACCTGGATATTAGGAGCTATATCATGGGACGCTGTACACTTCTTGCGATATTGGGAGTAATATCTTCCTTTCCCATCATAGATATTAAGAATAATATCAGAGGAGACGTACACCCTCTTCAATATTGAGAGTAATATTATGCTCTCCCCTTCTGGATATTAGGAATAATATAACAGGAGGTATGTACAAACCCCTGCGATATTGGGAGTAATATCGTCCTTTCCCCCCTGAATATAAGAAACAATATCACAGAAGGATGTACACCCCCTGCGATATTGGGAGTAACATCATTTTCTTCCCCTCTGGAGATTCGGAACAATATCACAAAGGGGGTGTACACCCTCTGTGACATTGCCATTAGTATCATCGTCTCCCTCCAGGTATATAAGAAATCTAACAAGGGGGTGTATACCCCTGTGATATTGGGAGTAATATCTTCCTCTCCCCCGCTGGCTATTAGAAACAATGTCACCGAAGGGGTGTACACCCCCTGGTGTGTTGGAAGTAATACTAACCTCTCTGTCCCTGCATATTAGGAACAATATCACTGGGGAGTGTACAACTCCTGCGATCTCGAGACTAATATTATCCTCTCCCACCCTGGATATTAGACACGATATATTGGGAGCAATATAATCCTCTCCGTCCGTGGATATTAGAATCAATATCACTAGGGAGTGTACACCTCCTGTGATATTGAGACTAATATCATCCTCTCTCGCCTGGATATTAGGAGCCATATCACAGTGGTGGTGTAGACCTCCTGCGAATTTGAGAAAAATATCATCCTCTCCACCTTTGGATATTAGAGACAATATCACAGGGGATGTCTACACCCCCTGCGATATTGGGAGTAATATCATCCTCTCACCCCGTGGATATTAGCAACAAGAAAACAGAAGGGATTTACACCTCTAGTGATATTTCAAGAAACGTCATCCTCTACCCCCTGGCTATTAGGAACAATATCACAGAAGGGTGTACAGCTCCTGCGATATTGGCAATAATATCACCCTCTCTTCCCCCAGATATCAGGAATAATATTATTATTTATTAATAATTAATAATTGATTGATTTTAATTATTAATTCTAATTAATTTATAATTACGAATAATTAACAAATTATTGGTTATTTATTAATAATCATTGCTGTTATATTATTGAAAATAGTAATAATTATTATTAATTGTAAATATTAATAAATATGACAATCGTGATACCAATTAATATTAATAATTAATGTTAATAATCATAATATTAATAAAAATTAATATTAATGATTAACATTAGTTGATGGTGATATCAACAATAACAAAATAATATAAGTAATTACATTAATTACTGTTACGATTAATAATTAATAATATATTAGGAAATAATATCAATTCATATTAATATTGATCATTAATATTAATAATTTATGACTAATCATTAAGAATGTTATTACTCCTAATGCCGCAGGGGGTCTACACTCACCGGTGATATTGTTTCTAATATTCAGGGAGAGAGGGCATGATATTAGTTTCAATATCGCTCTAGGTGTACACCAACCCTGTGATACTGATCCCAATATTCATGGGTTAGAGTATGACATATAGCAGTGGGTGTACATTCACCCGGTGACCCGGTGATATTGCTTTTAATATTCACGGAAGAAGAGAATGATACTACTCCCAATATTGCAGGGAGTGTACACCTCTTCTGTGGTATTGTTCCAGGTATCTGGAGGGGGAGGGAATGATAATACTTCCAGTATTGTAGGCTGTGTACACCCATTCTGTGATATTGTTCCTAATATCCAGGAAGGGAGAGGATGATATTACTCCTCATATAGCAGGAGGTGTACCCCCACCCTGGGATATTGTTCCTAATATCTAGGGAGGAAAGAGGCTGACATTACTCCCAATATCTCAGGGCGTGTACATCCACCCTGTGATGTTCTTAATATTCAAAGGTCGAGACGTTGATATTACTCCCAATATTGCAGAAAGTATACACCACCGTGTGATATTGTTCTTCAAACACAGAAGAGGAGAAGACGATATTACTCTCCATATCGCAGGAGGTGTACACCCACTCTGTGATTTTTTTTTAATATGCAGGAGGGGAGAGGATAATATGATTCCCAATATCGCAAAGGGTGTACACACCCCCGTGATATTGTCCTCAATTTTCAAAGACGGAGAGGATGATATTACTCCTAATATCGCAGAAAGTGTACACCCCCCAGTGATATTGTTCCCATGACCCAGGAGGGAAGAGGATGATATTACTTTCAATATCGCAGGGTGTGTACACGCCCCCAGTGATACTGTTCCTAATTTCAACGTGGGAGAGGATATTACTCCCAATGTCGCAGGGGTTATAAACACTCCTTTGATATTGTAACTAATATCCAGGGGTGGAGAGGATGATATTACTCCCTATATTGCGGAGGGTGTACACCCGTCTTTGATATCCTTCATAATTTCTAGAGGGGGAGATGATATTACTCACAATATCATTAACATGCAGTGTGTCCACGGTGGACCGTAATATCCAGGCAGGGAGACAGGGGTGACATTCCTCCCCATATCGTGAGAGATGTCCACCCCGCTTGTCATATTGTTTCTTATATCCAGTGGGGAGAGGATGATATTACTACCAATATCGAAGAAGTGTACATGCCCCTGCGATATTGTTCCTAATATCCACGTTGGGAGAGGATGATATTACTCCCAATATTGCAAGGGGTGTACACTTCGCCTGTGATATTATTTCTACTATTCAGAATAAGAGAGAATAATATTACTCCCAATAGTGCAGGGGTTGTACACCCCTCATGTGATATTGTTCTTAATAGCTAAAGGAAGAGAAGATGATATTATTCCTTATACTGCAGAAGGTGTACACCCACTGTGATATTGTTCCAAATATCCAGGGAGGGGGAGCATGACATTACTCCCAATATAGCCGTGGGTGTACAGCCACCCTGTGATATTGCTCCTAATATCCAGGGGGCAGAGTATTACTCCCAATATAACAGTGGGTATACATCCACCGGGGATATTGCTCCTAATATTCAGGGAAGGAGAAAATGATATGACTCCCAATATCGCAGAGAGTGTACAACCCTTCTGTGATACTGTTCCTAATATCCGGAGGTGGAAGGATGATATTACTTTCAATATTGCAGGCTGTGTACACCCACCCTGTGACATTGTTCCTAATATCCAGGAAGGGAGAGGATGATATTACTCCCCATATAGTAGGAGGTGTACACACACGGTGGGATATTTTTCCTAATATCAAGGGTCGGGGGAGAGCCTGATTTACTCCCAATATCGCAGGGGGTGTACACCCCCCGTGTGATACTGTTCTTAACGTTCAAAGGAGGAGAGAATGACATTACTCCAGATATCGGAGAAAGTGTAAACCCCCGTGCGACATTGTTGCTAATATCCAGAAGGGGAGAAGAGGATATTACTCCTCAAGTCACAGGAGGTCTATACCCACTTTGTGATATATTTCCTAATATACAGGAGGGGAGAGGATAATATTAGTCCTAATATCGCAGGAGATGTACACCCCCGTGTGAGAGTATCTTTGATATTCAGAAGCGGAGGGGATGATATTACTCCCAATATCGCACAAAGTGTACACCCCCGAGTGATATTGTTCCCATGATCCAGGAGAGAAGAGGATGATATTACTTTCAATATCGCAGGTGCACACGCACCTAGTGATATTGCTCCTAATTTCAATGTGGGAGAGGATGATATGACACCCAATATCGTAGAGAGCATAAACACCCCTGTGATGTGTTGTTAACATCCAGCGGGGTTGAGGATGATATTGCTCCCAATACGGCAGAGGTTGTACACCCGTCGGTGAAATAGTTCATAATTTGCTGAGGGGGAGATGATTTACTCACAAAATCATAAACACGCTGTGTGTCCAGCGTGGATTGTAATAGCCAGTGGGGGAGACGGGGGTTGCTCCTACTCCCCATATTGCGGGGGTGTGCACCTCCCTGCGATGTGGATCGTAGGAGACAGGCGGGGAAAGGGGGGTTGCTCCTACTTCCCATATGGCGGGGCGTGTGCATTCCCCTGCGATGTGGATCGTAGGAGCCTGTTAAGTGCAAAGATCATAAAGTCACAACACTACTCCAGTACACAATCTTAGCATCACTAACGGGGCCAACACGATGTTACACATCTCCTGATGTGATATAAGGAAATTAATAATTGAAATGTAAATACTTTGAGAAAAACACCAACGTGGTAGATAGTAGAAGATACTCTTCAGAGAATGATGGAATAGGACTCAATGTGAAGAACTTCCCTGCAGAAAATGATAAAACAGAATATAATAAAAACCAAACAGAACATCTGAAGGTAATGGAAGGTGAAGAGAAGACAGACGTTGGTACTGACTCCACACTCGTTGGAAGAGGGATGATGTAAAGCTACACAAGAAATTTCTTGTCTCCTTGGCTTTTACCTGGAGGTAAGTTTGGTCTGTGTAGTGTGCACAGGCAGCAGGATGTACTCACGAAAAAAAAAAAAAACAAAATATTCCTATTTCTGGGAACCAAAAAGTGAAATCCAGAATTTGTGAATGTGAACAGAGTGCAGAAATTCCTAAAGGGATAGCGTTAAGAAAGGAATACACACTGTGTCCACAACTTTGATCTCTGAACCACAGTTGCAGGGAACAGACTCAAAGCAGGTCAGATCAAGGCATTACTCTGACTGGAGTCTTGAGTCAGTCACCTGAAAAAGCTGATGAACGATGAGAAGCAGACAGACAACAGTGGGGGTGCACTTGGAAAATGGGACATAGGAAAGATCTCTTTTTCATGTCTTTCAGCTTGCAGCTGATTTCTGTTCATGGTGTGCACACTAGAGGTGGAGATGTTTTGATAAAAACATCTACCTTCTACCTTGGGGAATGAGAAAGGTAAAGCCAAGAAATAATGAATGCTAAAAAGATGGGGGAAATATGGCAAGAAAAGAGATAGTGAGGAGAATCCTTAACATGGTCTGCCCACATCTCTGAGCACACTCAGAGCCTGTGTCTGTGAAAGAGACATAAAACAGGCCAGATAAACACAAAGGCATAAAAAGGCACAAAAACTGCTACACAAGAAAAAGAGATTGCAGTTTAGCATGGTCTGAATGTTTTTGTCCTCCCCAATATTCATATGTTGAAATATTAACTTCCAAGGTGGATGGTATTAGCGGGTAGGGCCTTTGGGAGGTGACTAGTAAATGAGGATGGACCTTCATGAATGGTATTGATGCCCTTATAAGGGACTGGGGAGGCCAGAATTCTCCTCTTACAACATGTTGTGGACAGAGCTAAAAGCCACCATCTCTGGACCAGAGAGTGAGTACTCACCAGACACCAACTCTTGGGATTTCCAGCTTCAGAACAGTGAAAAATAAATTTCTTTTAGTTAGAAACCAGTTTATGGTATTTTGTTATAGCAGCCTCAACAGACTAATTTGCAGTTCAAGCCCAACCAATAACAACAAAAAACAAACAAAAAGCCTACCTGCTAAAACAAAAGAAACCATTCAAATTGGAGAAAGATAACTAAGTCCAGTATCACATGTTAATATTCATAATGTCCAGGATAGAATTAAATATCACCCAAAATATAAAGAGCCAAGGACATAAAACACATTCTTAAAACAAAATAAACCCAGTGATGGAGCTAACAGACAAAATTTTTAAACTGTGATAACTTTCTTCAATTAAATAAAATAAAACATTTTCTTAGTGCATGCAAATAGCAGAAAAAAATGGCAGTCTCAGGTAGGAAAGAAATCAAAATATAAAAAATTATACAACTAAAAATAAATTTTCAGAAATAAGTTTTCAGTGTCTAGGATAAAAGTACTAACAGGCATGACAAGGAAAAAAGTCAGCAAACTTGAAGCCAGATTGATAGAAATGATCCAAGGTGAACAACAGAGAGAAAAAGAAAAGTATATTTAGGAAAATAAAAATAAACAACTATTTATTTTAAAAAACACTTGTCACTCGTATGTTTATCACAGCACTATTCTCAATAACAAAGTCATGGAAACCACCTAGCTGTCCATCAGCCATTGATTGGATGAAGAAAATGGGGTGTATATAAGCCATAGAATACTATGCAGCCATAAAAAAGAATAAAATCATGCTCTTTGCAGCAACATGGATGCATCTGGAGGCCATTATCCTAAGAGAAATAACTCCCAAACAGAAAATCAAATACTGTGTTTTCATGGCGTGGAAGCTAAACAGTGGGTACACATGGACATAAAGATGAAAATAAGTGAGAGATGAAAAATTACCTATTGGTACTATGTTCAATCTTTGGGATTACTACAATGGAAGCCCAAACCTTGGTATTGCACTGTATATTCATGTAATGAAACTGCATATGTATTTCTGAATTCAAAATAAAATAAAATAATTTTTGAAAGGAATAAAAATGAAAAGACCTCCGGTGTCATGTTAGATTACATGACAGAGTCAGACATACATGTAATTTGAAAACAGAAGGAGAGGACATGAATAATGCTGCAGAAAATAATACTTGAAATAATAATGCCTTATTTGAGAAAAAAAATGCAGAAATTTATAGCTATAAGATGTTAATCAAGCACCAAAACAGAATCACAAACACAAAGAAGTCCATTATTCCAAGGCTCAAATGTTGAAAGCCACGTATAAGCAGAGAATCTTGAAAACGGCAAGAGAAAAATGATATGTATAAGGTACAATGATTTGATGTGAGGCTGATTTCTCTTTGAAAACATGGAGGCCAGAAGAGAAAAAAGCAGAAACTCTAAAGTGCCAAATGGAAAACCTATTAACGCAGAAATATTTAAGTAATAAAAATGTATTTTTATGAATGAACATGAAATAAAGATATTTGTATATAAAAATGAAAAACTAAGGTAATGCATTTTCAACAAATATGCACTATAAGAAATGCTAAAAGATGCTCACCTCATCAGGATGAAAATAAATGATACCACATGGAAATTCAGATCCTCAGAAAGAATAATTGGAAATGGCAAGTGTCTGGATACACGTAAAAGACAATATGCTTTGTTTTGCCTTTTTCTTCTTAATTCATTTAATAAATTATTTAACTATTTATAACCAAATATGTGTAATACAGCAAAAATCAGGCTCAGAGGAAAATTTATGCTTTAGAAGCCAATATAAGAAAGAAAGAAATATCTGAAATAAATAATCTAAGTTTCATCATATACAAACTCGAAGAAGGGCAAATTATTCCCAAAGCAAGAAGAAGAAAGGATGTAATACGGCGAAAGCAGAAAATAAAATGGAAAACAGAAAAAAAAAGTGGAAAAATCAATGAAGCTAGTTCTTGTTCTAACCTAGTTCTGAGGAAAGCATATCAATAAATTGGCCAGCCATCTAGCCAGGTTTATCAAGAAAAAAAGTGATACAAACTAGCAATATCAGAAATAAAAAAGTGGGGTCGGCCAGGCGCAGTGGCTGAGGCCTGTAGTCTCAGCACTTTGGGAGGCCAAGGTGGGCGGATCACGAGGTCAGGAGTTTGAGACCAGCCTGACCAACATGGTGAAACCCTGTCTATACTAAAAGACAAAAAATAAAAATAAAAAAAAGAAAACCCCCAAAAATTAGCTGGGCATGGTTGCAAGTGCCTGTAATCCCAGCTACTCGGGTGGCTGAGGCAGGAGAATAGCTTGAACCTGGGATGCAGAGGTTGCAGTAAGCCGAGATCACGCCACTGCACTCCAGCCTGGGTGACAGAGCAAGACTCTGTCTAAAAAAGAAAAAAAAGTTGCGGGGGTCACTCCTCCTATAGATCCTTCAGACATTAACAAAAAGAAGAAAAAGAATTTCATTAAGTATGGGCAAATTTTGAACAAGGATTTTGCAAAAAATAATGATTTTATAAATGAGCAATAAACACAAGATATTCAACATCATTGGTCATCAGAAAAATCAAAATTGAAAGTATAACTACAAGTACTGAAAAAGCTATAGAGGAATTGGAACCTTCATATATTACTGGGAGGAATGCAAATTGCTGCAGCCATTTTAGAAAACATTATGGTAATACTATATAAAGTTAAGAATACATTTACCATACAGCCTATCCACTTCATTCCTATTTGCTATCCATGAGAAATAGACACATGTCTATACAAAATCAAGTACATGGATGGTGATAGCATAAAACATTCATAATAGCCGAAAACATACATTAGCTGGTGAATGGATAAATTCACTAGTTATATATTCTTATTATGGACTTACTCAGCAATAAAAAGAGCAAACAATTACTATATATTCATATTACTACAATATGAATATATATCTAGTACATCATGATTACTGCAAGAATTCAAACACTACATAATACATACTGTATGATTATATTTGTATGAAATTTTAGATAAACAAAAGTATGTTGACAGAGAAGATCAGTGGTTGGCTTCTGGAGTGTGGGGAGAAGATCAAGTATAAAGGGGCATGAGAAAACTTACGATGAGGACATTGGTGTATATCTTGATTAAAGTAGAGTTTACACAATTGTAGAAAGTTATGAAAAAATCACTGAACTGTACATTTTAACCTGGTTAACTTAATTGTATGTAAATAATACCTTAATAAATAAAAGGGAGATATATAGATAGAGCCAAAAGAACATTTAGCTTTTGATTGTTGCTATATGAAGCTGCCTGGAGCTACCGCCAACATTCTGAAGCCAGAGATAAATAAGCCTAAAACAACAAACATGAGAACTATAGCAAAAATGCTAAAAATATCACAGTGGAAAGATGAGAAGAATCTTCCTTGTTCCATCATGATACTATTTTGGTGTTATATTAATCTACCTCAGAGCCATCTTTTCTCTCCATTTTTTTTTATTAAAATAGGAAGAAAGGAAGGAAGAAAGGGAGGAAGGAAGGAAGGGAAGCAAAATTGCTAGTGATCATTTTGATGATTGTTTTAACATTTTATACACAGAATGGTGTTTGTATTATGTGAGATAAAGCAAATGAGAGATTACGGCATATATCCATGAGAATTAGAATCCTGTCTCATGTGATCCCATCTAAGCCTCCCAAGTAGCTGGAACTACAGGCATGCAACACCATGCCCAGCTAATTTTTTAAAAAAAATTTTGTAAAGACAGGGTCTCACTCAGTTGCCCAGGCTGATCTCAAACTCCTGGACTCAAGCAATCCTCCCATATCTTGGCCTCACAAATTGCTGGTATTACAGGCATGAGCCACCATGCCCTGCCTTATATATAAAGTTTATATATAAGTATGGAATGTCCCCAGTTATGTGACTCAATTCACTTAAAATTGGGGTTCTGTTATAGTAGGTGGTCAGACAGAAGCAGGGCAGGAAGGGCCCTCTCACCACCAGAAATGTCAGGTGACCATCTGGTGATGGCCAGGTGGTTGTTACACTGTCTCTCTATAGTAATAATTGGTTGCAGCAGGTGCTAGGGAAGGCAGTCTCTCAATAGATAGAAAAAACCTGAAACTGGTAATCAGCATCTTCCTGATAAAATCTCAGGAGTTGGGCAAAGTGAGCGCAGGCATACACACTAAGAGGAAAAATGGTGGAGTTTAACTGGTATGTGACCTTCCTCTAGGAACACTTGACTGGTAAGGGAAGAATGCCTCAAGTGAGCATGTGTACATCAGCAAACACACTGTGCATCCAGCCCCTCCCAAGTGCTGGTAGGTCACTGTGCATGTGGACAGCCTACAGGAAAGGAAGAATCAGGGAAGAGAGGCAACCCCCCAGAAGCATGACAACATATGAAACCCCAAGTCAACAGTCAAACTGCTCCCTTGAATCTCTCAAGTTGCCCGCTTGACCCTCTTCCAAGTATACTTTAGTTCCTTTCATTCCTGCCTTCAAACTTTTAAATAAACTTTCACTTCTGCTTTAAAACTTACCTTGCTCTCTCAGGTCTGCTTTTTACCCCTAGGTCAAATTCTTTCTTTGCAGGAGGCAGGAATTGAGGTTGCTGCAGACCTGCATGGATTTGTCACTGCTAACAGTTGCAAATAATATCTGTAAAGAACAAAATATTATATCATACTTATAGAGTCACTTGTGAGTAAAAATATCTTTTATGTACAAATCTCACTCACAATCCTTGTCATATAAAACACTCAATAATAAATATTTAGTGAGGCCAGGCACAGTGGCTCGCGCCTGTAATCCCAGCACTTTGGGAGGCCAAGGCAGGTGGATCACCTGAGGTCAGGAGTTGGAGACGAACCTGGCCAACATGGCAAAGCCTCGTCTGTACTAAAAATACAGAAATTAGCTAGTGGTGGTAGCGCATACCTGTAATCCCAGCTCCTCGGGAGGCTGAGGCAGGAGAATCGCTTGAACCTGCGAGGCGGAGTTTGCAGTGAGCCAAGATTAAGCCATTGCACTCCAGCCTGGGCGACAGAGCGAGACTCTGTCTCAAAAACAAACAAACAAACGAACATTTAGTGAAGGAATTGCCGTTACATGAAAACTGCCACAAGAATTCCAAATTTGTTACATGTTCAGATTGTCTTTATTGGCCTAACTGTTGAGCATTGTGTAACCTGTAGAAACCCTCTGTGCTTGGTTCTGCAATAAAATAATAACGTAATCATGCATCTTTTGGTTAGAGTGTACCACATATCTACAGCAAATAATGAGTCGTAGGATAATTAAACACTCACACAAAAGGACATTAAATAATGATTCATCTTACAGTTTTAAAATAATACATATCTTAATTAAATTATGAACTACAATTTTCATCTAAGAAATAAATGACTTTAAAGTCATATACTTGTGTTGCTATAAAAATTTTAGCTCTTCTGCATTGACAAACTAATGAGAACTCTATGTCACGTAATGGTGTTTTTAAATGTTTGTACCAGAATGATCATTTCTCTTTTCATGGGCACTATTCTAGATAATGACTCACACGTCAGCTTCAGAAGACTTCATTGTTAAATGAGGCTATTTCTGAATAAATTTTGTGGCATTCTATCTACCACCTTTCTCTTATTAAAGAAAGTGTATTTCCACTTTGTGTCATGACCTTGCTCTATCCATGTCTTTCAAATCACAAGCTTCAGTTTCTGTTTTTTACGTGCACTATTCTTTCCCATTAGAGTGATAAGCTTGTTTTATTTCATCCCAAAGGCAGAGAGAGAACTGTGCTGGTAGCAGTTACTAATAGATTCTTGATAAATGATTAATACACATCATCTCACAGGTAAAAAATGAAGGTTAGAAGGGATATATAAAAAATTTAATCAACTTTCTTACTTTTAAAATAAATTTGACATATACTAAGAATTAGTGGAAAATTATTTTATATTACCTGTTGATATTACTATTCTTATTTATACTTGTCCCTATTATTATTGATACTCAAAAGCCAATTGTTGACTTGAAAGTTTATAATATTTTAATTTTTAACAAGAAAACCAGAGATAATCTATCACTATATTAAATTACCTGTGTGAATTTTTCAACACTATAATGTATCAATATGAATTAGCCATAATATTTAAAAATATATATTGATTTTTTGGATATTTTCTTCATGTGCTATAACTATTTATCACTTTCTCACTTAGATAGCAAGGGAATTCTGACCTTAAATGTCTCAAAGACATCGTTTCATAGCACAAAACAGTACCAAAGAGAAAAACATTGGTTTATGTGTCTCAGAAGCCTAGTTCTTGAAGAGATTCAAGTATAGAATAAGTCCGAATATATTCCTTCTTCAGACAGAGGAAAAGTTCCCAAGGTAGGAAGGAAATAAGTGAAAGAAAAAGGAATCAAAACATGTATGCCTGCCTGAGATACGGAGCTTGATTTCTTCTGAGGGCAAATGCTGGATTGAAGTTGGAAACAATGCATATACACAATAGATTTGAGGGACGTAAGTGTGGAAATAACTGATTACCTCAACGTCCAAATTAAGCAAAACCCATAGTAGAGTTAGTATGTCATGCCTAATATATTAGACCTGTTCATTTTGGTCAGCAACAGAAGCCCAGGAATCCCATGTTAATCCCTTATTTCCCACATTCTCATTTCCATACAGTTGTATGGAAAGAAAAGCAAACTTTACTCCCAACATACATGCAGCATCCACCACATCATATTAAATTGATTTCTTTTTTTTTCCCCAGAGCACTTGTAAATATCTGTGATGCTGTAAATGTAACTTGTCATTTCTCTCAACCTCCTATTCCCTTTGGAATAGAAGATCTTGAGGAGTAGATTATTATCGACGTTACTCTTATTGTTGTTAACAGTTTATTGTTGTATTCCCACCATCTAGAATATTGTTTGGTATGCAGTGAGTGCCCAGGAAACCTATATTGAATGAACATATGAATGAATATAAGTAAATGTGAGACAAATGAAAAATGATAAGTTTATATAAAAGAACTATGGGAGTTTAGAAATCTTAAAGATCATCTAATATTAATTAAAGTTTTAGTAAAGAGGTAGGATTTGAGTTATTCTCCTGAAGGATGGGTGGAGTTTTAACAGCTGAAGAAGTAGAAGAAACAAGTTGTCCAATATGTACTTGTGTGTACCTAACGGGTTGGAGGGAGTAATATACATGAATAATTATGTAGACACACATAATAGTGTAGACAATTTTGCCTGGAGGAAAGTCCTTACTTTATGAAGTTGAAAATGAGCATGGACTGTGAAATTTAACTGACAAGTAAAGGGATACACTTAAAGACCTTTAGCAAAATATCGACATTATCCAAAATTTAAGAGAAGTAAACTGTGAGCAAAATACTGACAAATGAGATATAAAGACAAGAGGCAAGGGGAAAAATTGGAAGTATATTTGTTGAAAGGAAGAAAGGCAAAAAGAAGTTCAGACATTAATAGCTATTATATTATTTTGATAATAAAAGAAAGCCATAATGAGAAATGGTATTGGGCAGTTTTATAAATACTTTCATTTACTTTATTCCACTGAATCCCAATGACACTAGGGAAAGAAAGGAAGGACAGATGTTTTCATTCAAATTTTTAACAAGTAAGAAAATTGAGGTTTGGAAGATGAATGCTAGTTCCAAAATGATTTATTGGTACACCTGGACAATAATTTTATACTTCTGGTACAAAACCTAGTGGTATTCCTTTACATTATCCTTCTATTCACAGTAGTTTAACATCAATATACAGTGATATACAAATGAAATGGAATCCCGGGTAAAGTTAGCAATGGATAGCTGAGATTTTTGCAGGCTGTCATTTATGGTCATCATGGTGTTACTTAGTCAGTTTCATGTTACCTGAAGTTTGCAGTATATAACAATTTATTAGTCATTGTAGTCTGAAAATGCTACCCTTCCAATTTCCTGAAACTGATTTTCCTAGTCCCATGAGTGTGAAGAGGACCTAGAAATGTTTGTTTTCACTAACGTGTAAATAAGTAAGCTCTAAGTTACCAATTGAATTTTAAAATAAATTAACATCTCCCTAAAGTGTCTCTGAAGTAGTAAAATAAACCTCAAACTGAAGTCAATATTGAATAAAATAGTAGCATTTATGAAGATGAACTTTGTGTGCTAAGTGAAACTAAAAGTAATACTTTTGAAAAATTCATTTCCTCAAATACAAGTATACTGCCTGAGTGACTAAAAATGGATAATGTTCAGTGACCTACAATATGTTGGCCTTTGATATTTTTGCATTAATATTTTTAGAAATAAATGCATACTAAGTAGAAAATGTGAGGAAATTATACTTTGATTCTAAAGTACTTGAAATTTATTATAAGAGTTCATTTTTTTCCCAGGTTCCACATTTATAGTTAAACCTAAAAAGTACTTGGAGCAAAACAATACAGATATTTAAGATTTGGGAATATGGGCAACATATTGCTTGAATTAGGATAATGGAGTGTGGAAAATAAGCAATCGATAAGTTATTTCTACCTTTACCATATTACTCTGGTATTTACTGAGAAGTGAAGAAGAATCCAACTATACAGCTCTTTCTACCTCTCCTTAGTTTATCCTCATAGCCAGTCATTATTGCCAAACATGACAGCAAGATTATGGTGTTTCATTTCTCCTTATTTCTGTTTTTCCTCCTTTTCTGCTTGTTTCCTTTGTTATTGTTTTATGTTAATACTTCACTGAGCCAGGTACTTGTTTATGAATTTCTACTTTAACATATTTAATATATTAGTATATACTAATATATAAATGCATTAACTGACACTTTTCAAATTTCTTTTGTCTTGAAAGTGAGATCACCCATAAGAATAAAATTTTTAAAAACCATTAGTAATTCAATTGAAATGGCTAAGTATTTAAAGATTTGGACAGAGCATTCATTCAGTTTCGTTCCTGAGAAAATATCATGCACAGTATTTTTTAATATACCTGGGGAAAAAAAAAGAAAGTTCGGAAGGTAAGAATGGAGGGAGGGAGAGAATGAGAGAGGAGAAAATAATTTAATTCCTCAATTCAAGGGATGTATAATTTAGTTGGGAGTATAACTGGTGACCCAAAATTGACTTATCATATTGTGTACCCTCCAGTTTTATAACAGGACAACAATCAGAACATGGTGGAATCGAGGACATGATATTAAGAATTGACCATAGAAATACAACACCAAATATGTAGTGGGCGAAGAAGACAAGCTAGGAAGACATTTAAGATAAGAGTAGTTGATTGGGTATAAGAAAAGATTTAACAAATTGTGTTGAAAAAGCCATGCTGTGAGTTAATACCATTTACATAATTTGGAGAGGCAGTTAAAGGAGTAAAACTTAGTATTTATTACAGTACTTGAATTAAACAGAATATTGGAATACACGAACATCTTGAAAACTGGAGAAAAATGATGAATAATGTACTGGGAAAATTACTGGATGTGGCAAAGAGATTGTAACGTAAGATAAATGTGTGTATGACCGGCATCAAATGTTTAAATCGGAGTTTGATCTTTTCGAATCTCATCTCTGTAAAAAGAAATGCCCAATATTTAAAACTTGGACTACTCTGATTGTGTCATCCCCAGTTGGTGACAAAGATTAAGTAATTATTATTTTAAGATTCATCTTAGAGAACGTAAGTAAAAATTTAAACTTATGTATGCAATTCTACAGGCTTATTCTAGAGTATATATTTTAAAAATTATTTACAGGGGTATCTGTATGAATGGTCTTAGTGTAACTTTATATGGGGTCCCTGAAAAAAATATTCTTTTGGCAAAAAAAAAAGCACAAAAGATTATGTATGAGAATATGAAAATAAATTAAAACAATTAAAAATGTTGTTTAAAAACATTTCTAAACATTAAATTTGGGAAATATGTCAAAATATTTTTCTCTTGACTAAATATTTTTTCAAATGTATGTGTTATTAAAAAAATACATATATTTTACATTGTTAAACTGAAGTTATCAAATATAAACTGTTTCATGAATATTTAATTTAAATACTCACTATAACTCTTATTAACCCTAAAGTAGGTTTTCCTACTTTTATTATTAATATATCTTAATATAAAACGAATATAATAGCTTAATTTTGAGAATTTGTAGTCCACTTAATTAAAACATACATTAAAAATATTTATAAAATTTATGCATTTGTGACAATCTAAGCAGATTAGTAAAGAGATTATTTCTAAACATACCTGGTATGATAATATTTTATATTACAGGCAACATTCATTTTATAAAGTTAATTGATTGACAAATATCCTGAACAAATTATACTATGTGTAATAAAAATGAAAACATATAATAAAACATTTGGGTAAGACTTTTACCCATTAGTTTTCCCAATGCTTGAATTACGGAAAATATTATATTTAAATAATACAAAGTGTTGCAGAAATATTTGAAAATATTAAGTGTTTGGATTAGCAGTACTAGACTTGGATTTTACAGAGTATTTTAATAAACCATTGGTTCTCTTTATTTGTGAATGCTTTGTCATTTATAAGAATATATACAAGCACAGTGAGCATATTTAAACTCATGTTGATTTTTTTTTTAGCTGGATCTGAGCAGTGTTTGGTGTTCTCTAATGCTAATTATTGAGAGACATAAAGATCTTTATGATCACAATAAAGCCATTAAAATAATTCACAAGGTTTTTTATACTAGACTGTCTACAAATAATATTAGCTCTATTAATTTTCAGGGCCACTGAATATAAGTGATTATGGAGGAATTGCCCTGTCACGACCATGAGTAAATCATGTTCTGTGCTCCACTGGTCAACACCTCTTTAAATTATATTAGAATCTATAAATATGATCTGGACAAAGGATGGAAGCATTTATGGTAAGGTAATGACAGTGTGATGATAAAGCAAAAAAATCCTGAACTGAAAGTTATAAAATCTGTGGCTTAACTGTCATTTCACTGGTTGTAAGTTTGTGAGATACACCACTTACTTTATTGGCTTTCCGTTTCCCCATTTGTAATGCTGAGGGTTATACAGCAATTTCTAATAGACTTTCAAATTCTAAAAACAATTTGCAGTTCTGAAATTATATTTTGTATGCAAATATGAGTATAGACTAATCGAATTAATTAAACTTGCACGTTAACTTACTAAAATTTTAAATTGGAACAGTTAATTTTGTGAAAAAATATAACAAAAATAAAAATAGTCTAGTTTTTTAATAGGATTTAACTTACACTGTGTTTCTTCGCATGGGGAATTACCTTTGAGTTGTTTGTTTTACCTTACTTTCATGATATTATGTCCCCTAGTTTGGTTGGTTTTTGACCTAGCTAGTTATCAATGTGCTTGTTCTTCTGGGCATATAATTCTTACATAAAAGCAGACTTGCTGAAAGTTTAAATAAGAATTGTTCACATGAAACCAGTTATTGGAATGTGGTTTTTATGAATACTTATCACAGTGCAATTGGGATATATAGTCCTTGCAGAAAAATTTTATTTTAAAATATTATGTACAGAGAATAGAGATAATGCACAGAACACCAAAATGTATTTTGTTCTTTTGGAATGTGAGAACTAGGATTTCTATTTGTTTAAAATTTTATTGAAAGAATACAATAAATGCCACACTTCTTTAAATTTAATTATGAACACTTGTGCATCCATATATACAGCAGTATTGTTATCTATATGTAAACATATTTATATACATATGCATGCATATGCTATTTATACAAATATCATTTTTATTTTATATTTCCAAACATCAAAATATTTTTCTATGTTACATATTTATGAGAATTTCTCATAAGAGGCTAAAAATATATGCTGAAATTGTGTCTTGCAGGAAGTCTATTAGTTTTTACTTTAATTTTAAAAGACCTTTAAGTCTCCTCAGTAAAAGAAATCTAGATTCTAATCTGATTATTACCACTTTTTAGCTGTAGGACTAAAGAGCAATTTTCTCTGAACTGCCGAACTTCAAGTATTTCACTTATATCATGTGGTTTATAATAATTCCTTAATAAATATTACCCTTGGTCATGAGCATGCTGAGAGACTAAGCATACAAATGAAAAATGGTCAGACCATATATAAAAGTAGAATTTTGACCTGTACCCTGTGTCAAGTGTTCATAAAACCAAACTCTTATCTAAAATAACCAAGAAGCCAGCCTGCTAAAAGTCAGAATTGCAGGAAGTCAGACTACTGTTTCTAGTAACAATCAAGCAAACTAAATAATGACTTTTGTAACTATTGGCACAAAATGGTTAGAATGTCATTAAGAACTGTTTGCCTTCCTAATTTTTGATCCCACTTCCAATTCTCTGGACCAACCAGAGAAAGCAAAATATGCACTCCTCACCAATAACATAGTATGTCCATCTTTTAGTTGATATCTACAACTTCCGCATGCCAATGGCCTCCAATCTTATATACCTGAAGCCTTATCTGTTTTTTCACTGTAATATTTTCCCATTTCTCTGCCTGCCTTTGAGTCTCTGCCAAAACTCAAGTGAAAGTTGCTGATTCCCTTACTAGAGAGGAAGCTCTGAATAAATCTCCTTTCCTCTTCTCATTTCCTTAGTCTTTGGTTTTGCTTTGCATAACAAGATAATAGTAAAACTCTTGACATCATTCTGCATTACATAGTATATGACAATGTATACACTGAACATGTTGTAGAAAAGCATTTTCACATATGCCTGCTTTTTAAAATTTGAACGTATTTGTTTCTGTAATAACAAGTGGCATATACGCGTAACTGAATCAAAGGATAGTGGGATTTACCTAATATTTTAAAAACACCTTACTCCAATTAATCACCTAGATAGTCCTGTAATTAGTCACCTAGATTGTCCTGTAATTTACCTGGCACTATACTCAGAAATTACAACTGGTGTTCTGACCAGTATAATACAAGTAATAAATTGCCTTTGATTTGTTCATAGAACAGTCAAACTCCAACACCACAGGCGTGTCTGCATGGTTTTCATGTGGCTGCCTCTTATTTGTTAATTTACTGGGTAATATTTTTGAATGCCTACTACCTATGTTCTAGATACTTTGATAAGTAGCTGGTGTTGTCAATAATACAGGAAACTGGGAGCAGCCCACTGCCCAAACCAAATTCATAGGGCTGCTGAGCAGCATGGAAGAGCTGCAGAAAGAGATCAGAACCACCTACTCAGGGAGCAAGAGTGAGATGGAGAGGCTAAAAGGTGACATCATTCATGCTAGAAGACTCGTTCAGGAGTCATTGATGGAAACAGAAATGAAAGAGAATGTCAATTTGTAGCTGCCTTGTTGGTTTTGAAGGTTTTCCATCTTTTTACAAGATGAGAAGTTACAATTCACCTCACAGATGAAACCATTGTTTTCGAAATGGTGAAAAGTTGTTTTTCCTCCCATGTTTTACTTGGTTCTGAACTTAACAGTCTCAAAAGTGGAGAAAAGATTCTGCAATTAATTAGGATTTACATTTTAAGTAGTTAGGAACTATCCAGGATTTTTGTTAAAACATTGATTTAAAACATGTCTGTAAATTTATCTTACAGCAAACTATAATTTGCCTCAAAGACACCAGTGTCTCCCTTTAATCTTCTCTTTTGAATACATTTATGTGACCCACATTGTTCATTTTTCTTTTCATAAGCTAAGATGACAATAAACATTTTGGTTTTAGTGCATACTTAAGCACCCTTTACTTAGTAGCTGATCCTCATTTGCCATACGGTATAAATTCTGCTTAATGTGCTTTCTTTTTTCTTAAGTGTTCACATGACTTTTAGTGCTTTGAAGTCAATATTTAAAATAAGCAAGGCCAGGCGTGGTGGCTCACACCTGTAATCCCCCACTTTGGGAGGCTGAGGCGGGCAGATCACTTGAGGTCAGGAGTTCAAAATCAGCCTGGCCAACATGATGAAACCCCATCTCTACTAAAAAAAAAGAAATAAAAAATAAATAAAAAAATTAGCCAGCATAGTAGTGAACACCTGTAAATCCAGCTACTCGGGAGGCTGAGGCAGGAGAATCACTTGAACCCAGGGAGCAGAAGTTGGAGTGAGCCAACATCGTGCCACTGCACTCCAGCCTGGGTGACAGAGTGAAACTCCATCTAAAAAAAAACCAAAAACCTACTAAACCTAACAAGGACCCTCGAAAATTTTCATACTAAGACTGTAAGTGGATTTTAGTTCTATGTTTATTGTAAGTTGATCAAAATATCTGGAATAAATTGGTCTTTGAGCACAGATATCTATACTTGCCAAAGGATCAGCTCATCCTTCTTCCCCAAAGAAAGCAAAACACATTTGAAGAATTCTTCTGTTTTACATTTCCATTTCTTACCCTCATGCTGGCTATCATAATTATGTCTGCATGTTAAAATTTAAATTAAAAATACAATTTATTTACTTCATTCTTATAATTTACAATAATATAATGGGCCTAAATCTCTGATTTCATTCTCAAATTACCAAAATTTGAATCGGATTTTTACTGAAATGCCTTAAGCATCTATTTTGAGAGGCTTCAGCTAAATTTAGGTTCCAGTACCAGAGGAGCTAGCAACCCTACCCTGACAGAAAATGTAGGGGAGCTGGATATGGATGATTACATTATGGCTTTCAGGATATATTTCTTTTACCTGCCAGACAGCCTAGTGTCTAGTTGTCTGACTTATGATCCGGAGGGGGCCCTCACATGGGAAACTTGTTTACATTGGCAGATGCTCTTGTGGGTCTTGTCTGATTAGTGTCCAGTCTGACCATTCTCCTGGCACTGGGATCCTGATCTTGTTTGCCCCAGGCATCCCGGGGGAAATTGTGGTTCTTCCAATGGAAGGTACAAATTTAATACAATAGAAATTACGTTCAAAGAATTATTACTTACAGATCAGGGGTGGACGGCACCATAAGTCAGGAGGGCCATCCTCTGTGCCTGGGTCACACAAGGCAGGAATGAAGAGTAAGGCAGAGAGAGAGAAAAAGAAAGAACATGGCAACTATGATGGTATATTTAAGGGAATAGGGTGTGGGTCTCTAAAATTCGTGGGTAAATACCTGAATAGTAACTCCATTTAAAGGAAGCCACAGAAAAGTGGGGAACCCAATCTGAGAGGTAGGAAAGATGCCTCTATGTTCTTATCTCTGACCAATGTCCTGGACCATTTGGTTGTGCTGTTCTACTTCTAATGCCTAGGTAGAAATTCTTACTGTGTTCTTGTTACAACACCCACTCACAGATTATTATTGTACATAGTTTGCCTGCATTTACTTCTGATTTCATTCTTTGCATAGTCATTTACTTATTAAATAAATATGTATATATCAGAAATCCCCTCCTGTCCTCATAGGATTTGCATTCTGTTGGAACAAGACAAATATTAAGCAATAAGCAATAAGTACAAAAGGAAATTTGTAGTTTGTTTATAAAAACAGTAGAGAGAATAGAGTAAGGGGGATTGGGAATATTTAGTGAATGTTGGTATTTCAAACAGAGTGTGATAGCAAGGCTAACTGATAATAGGACAAATGAACAAGATCAGTAGCTCATGCCTGTAATTCTTGTGCTTTTGGAGGCTGAGATGGGGGGGTTGATTTAGCCCAGGAATTCGAGACCAGGGCTGAGCACCATAGTGAGATCTCATCTCTCTAAAGAATTAACAAAAACAAAAACAGAAAGCAAACAAAAAACATTAGCTAGGCATGGTGGCACATGACTTTGATTTTAGCTGCTCAAGAGGCTGAGGTGGGCAGAGCCCAGGAGTTTGAGGAGGCTGCAATGTGCCATGATCCTGTCCTGCACTCCAGCCTGTTTCAACACAAAGAGAGAGAGAGAGAGTAAATAAGACATTTGTAGAAGGTAAAAATATTAGACATGTCTCAGGATACAAAATCAGAGTGCAAAAATTACAAGCATTCCCATACACCAACAGTGGACAAGCAGAGAGCCAAATCATGAATGAACTCCCATTCACAATTGCTACAAAGAGAATAAAATACCTAGGAATACAGTGAACAAGGGTGGTAAAGGACATCTTCAAGGAGAACTACAAACCATGCTCAAGGAAATCAGAGAGGACACAAACAAATGGAAAAACAATCCATGTTCAGAGTGCTGAGACCAACTCGGTCAGGGAGACCCTAACCCAGCAGCGCTAGAGGAATTAAAGATGCACACATGGAAATTTAGAGGTGTGGAGTGGGAAATCAGGGGTCTCACAGCCTTCAGAGCTGAGAGCCTTGAACAGAGATTTACCCACGTATTTATTGACAGCAAGCCAGTGATAACCATTGTTTCTATAGATTATAGACTAACTAAAAGTATTCCTTACAGGAAACAAAGGGATGGGCCAAAATAAAGGGATGGATTTGGCTAGTTATCTGCAGCAGGAGCATCTCCTTAAGGCACAGATAGCTCATGCTACTGTTTGCGGTTTAGGAACGACTTTAAGCTGTTTTCCGATCTGGGTGAGAGAGGTGTTCCTTGCCCTCTTTCTGGTAAATGCACAACCTTCCAGTGTGGGTGTCATGGCCATCATGAACATGTCACAGTGCTGCAGAGATTTTGTTTATGGCCAGTTTTGGGGCCAGTTTATGGCCAGATTTTGGGGGCTCATTCCCAACACAGGGATAGGAAGAATTAATACTGTGAAATAGCCATACTGCCCAAAGTAATTTATAGATTCAATGCTATTCCATTAAACTACCATTGACATTCTTCAAAGAATTAGAAAAAAACCACTTTAAAATTCATGTGGAACCAAAAAAAGAGCCTGTATAGGCAAGATTATCCTAAACAAAATGAACAAAGCTGCAGACATCATGCTACACAACTTTAAACTATGCTACAAGGCTACAGTAACCAAAACAGCATGGTAGAAAAACAGATACATAGACCAATGGAACAGAATAGAGATATCAAATAAGACCATACAAATGCAATCATCTTATCTTCAACAAATCTGACAAAAACAACCAATGAGGAAAGAATTCCATATTTAATAAATAGTTCTGGGATAACTGGCTAGCCATATGCAGAAAATTGAAACTGGATGCCTTGCTTATACCTCATACAAAAATTAATTCAAGAAGGATTAAAGACTTAAATGTAAACCAAAAATTATAAAAACCCTAGAATAAAATCTAGGCAATACCATTCAGCACATAGGCAAGTGTAAAGGTTTCATGATGAAAATGTCAAAGCAACTACAACAAAAGAAAAAATTCACAAATAGGATCTAATTAAACTAAGAAGCTTCTGCACAGCAAAAGAAACTACCTATCATCAGAGTGAAGAGACAACCTACGGAATGGGATTAAATGTCTGCTATCTATCCATCTGACAAAGGTCTAATATCCAGAATCTACAAGGAACTTAAATAAATTTACAAGAAATAAACAACCACATGAAAAGGTGGGCAAAGGTCATGAACAAACACTTCTCAAAAAAAGACATTTATGTGGCCAACAACCACATGAAAAAAAAAGTTCAACGTAACTGATCATTAGAGAAATGCAAATCAAAACCACAATGAGATACCATTTCATGCCAGTAAGAATGGCCATTATTAAAAAGTCAAGAAACAACAGATGCTGATGAGGCTGTGGAGAAATATGAATCCTTTTACACTGTTGGTGGGAATGTAAATCTGTTCAACCATTGTGGAAGACAGTGTGGCAATTCCTCAAAGACCTACAACCAGAAATACCATTCAACCCAGCAATCCCATTGCTTGGTATATACCCAAAGGAATATAAATCATTCTAGTATAAAAATACATGCACACATATGTTTATTGCAGCACTCTTCAAAATAGCAAAACGTGGAATTAACCCAAATGCCCATCAATGATAGACTGGATAAAGCAAATATGGTACATATACACCATGGAATACTATGCAGCCATAAAAATGAATGAGATCATGTCCTTTGCAGGGACATGGAGGGAGCTGGAAGACATTATCCTCGGCAAACTAACACAGGAACAGAAAACCAAACACCACATATTCTCACTTATAAATGGGAGCTGAACAATGAGAACACATGAACACAGGGAGGGGAAAAACCCACACTTGGGCCTTGCGGGGGCAGGGTGGCAGGGGGAGAGTGAACATCAGGAAAAATATCTAATGCATGCAGGGCCTAATAGTTACGTGATGGGTTGATAGGTGCAGCAAATCACCATGGAACACATTTACCTATGTAACAAACCTGCACATCCTGCACATGTATCCCAGAACTAAAAATAAAATAAAATTTTAAAAAATGGTAGACATGTGAAAATCTGAGGGAATTGTATTTCAGATAGAGAAAAGAGGCAGAGCAGAACACTTGTTTCAAAAGTGTCCCAGATGGATGTATCCAAGAAACAGAGTGGTAGTCAGTGTGGTCAGGGTGGGGAGAGGAAAGAAGGGGATAGTAGGAAAGAAGTAATGTAAGTAACAATGGGAAAGCCCAGGAGGTCATTTTAAGCATTGAACTTTTAATGTGAATAACATAGGGAGCCACTGCAGGATGTGGAGCAAGGTGACTTAATGTGGCTTACATTTCTTCAGTGTCATCCAGGTGGCTGTATTGAACATATGGGGGCAAGTGTAAAACCAGAATACATTGATGCAGTATGGAGAAGAGCTAAAAGTTACTTTGTCTGCAGAGGAAGTGGTAGATTCGGTGAGATGGAGTAAGATTCTGTGTATATTTTAAGGCAGACAATAGTAATTGCAGCAGATTGGATAAGGAGCAGGAGCCAAAGTGAGAAATTGATTTCTCCAAGATTTTTGTCCTGTGCAACAGAAAGAATAAAGTTTCCAACAAGTGAGGTAAGAAAATATTAGATGATATTTAAATATCAATTTTTAGAGGAATATTGGGAGATTGTTATAGGCATGGTAAGGTTGGACTATCCATTACAACGTAAAATGTGGATGTAGAATAAGTTTTTTGTTTTGTTTTGTTTTGTTTTGTTTTTGAGACAGTCTTGTTCTGTCGCCCCGGCTGGAGTGCAGTGACACAAACTCGGCTCATTGCAACCTCAGCCTCCTGAGTTCAAGCGATTCTCGTGCCTCAGCCTCTCAAATAGCTTGGATTACAGGCACCTGGCACCACATCCGGCTAATTTTTTGTATTTTTAGTAGAGATGAGTTTTCACCATGTTAGCCAGGCTGGTCTCAAACTCCTGAACTCAGGTGATCTGCACACCTTGTCCCAAAGTGCTAGGATTACAGGCGTGCGCCACCACTCTCTGCTAGAGTAAGTATTAATAGATGAATATGTGACTCGGGAGATTGGAGGAGATATTTTTTAAATGTCCTTTGCACATTGGTGACATGTACATCTATGAGGCCAGAGGGAGTCACAAAGGTAGTAAATGTAGGTGAAAGAGAAGAGAATCAAAGACTAATCCCTGAAACACTCCCAAATAAAGAGATTGGGAGATAAAGAGAAAGATAAACAAACTGAGAGATAGGGGCCAAGTAAGATGAAAACTGAATTGACCTGTTAATATCAAAATGTAGGTGACAAGTGGAGCAATTTTCATGACTTGGTATATTTTCAGGTTTGGTTAATTTTGAGCATTTTAAATCTCTTTTAGTTTTCTCTCTGGTGCTTACCACGTATTCAATAATCTGTTTTTCAGTAGACAACAAGAATATGATAAATTTGGATATAATTTCTGTACCACATTATATTTCAGCTGATTACCTTGTTAACAAGAATAGATACTTCTAAGTATCTCTTCCAGCTATATCATACCTTATAGGCAAAAGGGTTTATTATGGGAATATAAGCGGAAGAACTATGTGTAATATTTATTCTTTTCCTTGTCTACCTATTGTCTCGTTCCTAGCAGCTGAAATGCAGGTGATGGTGGTAGCAACCATAACGGATGATGATTTCAAAGTCATTCACAGAGAAAGAATAAGGAGAAATGAATAAAAATTACCTGGCACCATGAATGTCTGTGCCACCTACTCAGATTTTTGCAAAAGGAAGAAAAGTTATTTTATGTCATTTAAATCATTGTTTTTATCCTAAGTAATATTTTTCTCATTTGCAGCTGAGCTGAAATTTAATAGTATAGGGGCCAAACCAAGACTTTTTTTTACTAATACTGCATGGGTGTTAAGGAAAAAAGAAATTTAAAAATTATAGAAAGAAAATTTACATCAAGTATCAGTGAAGTGGGTCATATATGTTGGTTAAATATAGTGAGATATGTAGCTAGAGAAAATAAAACAAAATGGGGAAGAAAAGCCAAGAGTTAGGTATGGTATGGTTTGGCTGGGTCCCCACCCAAAACTCTTCTTGAATGGTAACTCCCACAATTCCCATACGTCATAGGAAGAACTTCGTAGGAGGTGATTGAATTATGGGGGCAGGTCCTTACTGGGCTCTTCTCGTGATAGTGAATGAGTCTCTTGAGATCTGATGGTTTTAAAAGCAGGCGTTTCTCTGCACAAACTCTCTTTTTGGCTTCCACCTCCACATAAGAAGTGACGAGCACCTCTTTGCTTTCCGCCATGATTGTGAGGCCTCCCCAACCTCATGAAACTGTGAGTCCAGTTAAACTTCTTTCTTTTGTAAGTTGCCCAGTCTTGGCTGTGTCTGTATCAACAGTGTGAAAATGGACTAATACAGTAAATTGGTACCAGTAGAGTGAGGTGCTGCTAAAAAGATACCCAAAAATGTGGAAGCGACTTTGGAACTGCAAAACAGGCAGAGGTTAGAACAGTTTGGAGGGTTCAGAAAAAGAGAGAAAAATGTGGAAAAGTTTGGAACTTCCTAGAGACTTGTTGAATGGCTTTGAACAAAATGCTGATAATGATATGGACAATAAAATCCAGGCTGAGGTCCTCTCAAACGGAGATGAGGAACTTGTTGGTAACTGGGGCAAAGGTGACTCTTGTTTTGTTTTAGCAAAGAGACTAACGACATTTTTTTCCTACCCTAGAGATTTGTGGAACTATGAACTTGGGGAGATGATTTAGGGTACCTGGCTGAAGAAATTTCTAAGCAGCAAAGCATTCAAGAGATGACTTAGGTGCTGATAAAGGCATTCAGTTTTATAAAGGAAGCAGAGCTTTTATAAAAGCTTGGAAAATTTGCAGGCTGGCAATGCAATAGGAAAGAAAATCCCATTTTCTGAGAAGAAATTCAAGCCAGCTGCAGAAATTTGCATAAGTAATGAGGAGCCGAATAGTAATTCCAAAGACAATGAGGAAAATGTCCCCAAGGCATGTCAGAGGCCTTCACAGCAGCTCCTCCCATCACAGGCCTTGAGACCTAGGATGAAAAAGTAGTTTTGTGGGCCAGGCCCAGGGCTCCCCTGCTGTGTGCAGCCTAAGGACTTGGTGCCCTGTGTCTCAGCCACTCCAGCTGTGGCTGAAAGGTGCAAACATAGAGCTCAGGCCATGGCTTCAGAGGGTGTAAGCCTCAAGCCTTGGTAGCTTCCACATGGTGCTGAGCCTGACAGTGTACAGAAGTCAAGAACTGGGGTTTGAGAACCTCCGCCTAGATTTCAGAGGATGGATGGAAACACCTGAATGTCCAGGCAGAAGTTTGCTACTGAGGTGGTGCTATCATGGAGAACCTTTGCTAGGGCAGTGCAGTAGGGAAATGTAGGGTCAGAGTTCCCACACAGTCCCTACTGGGGCATTGCCTAGTGGAGCTGTGAGAAGAGAGCCACTGTCCTCCAGACCCCAGAATGGGAGATCCAATGACAGCTTGCACCGTGCACCTGGAAAAGCCATAGACGCTCAATGCCAGCTTATGAAAGCAGCCAGGGAGGGAGGCTGTACCCTGCAAAGCCACAGGGGCGGAACTGCCCAAGACCATGGGAACTCACCTCTTACATCTGCATGACCCAGATGTGAGACATGGAGTCAAAGAAGATCATTTTGGAGCTTTAAGATTTGACTAACCTGCTGGATTTTGGACTTGCATGGGGCCTGTATCTCCTCTGTTTTGCCCATTTTCTCCCATTTGGCATGGCTGTATTGGCCGAATGCCTGTACCCTCATTGTATCTAGGAAGTAACTAACTTGCTTTTGATTTTACAGGCTCATAAGTGGAAGAGACTTGCCTTGTCTCAGATGAGACTTTGGACTGTGGACTTTTGAGTTAATGCTGAAATGAGTTAAGACTTTGAGGGACTATTGGGAAGGCATGATTGTTTTTGAAATGTGAGTACATGAGATTTGGGAGGGGCTTGGGGGTGGAATGATATGGTTGGTTGTCCCCACCCAAATCTCATTTTGAATTGTAGCAGTTCCCACATGTCACGGGAGGAACCTGGTAAGAGGTGATTGATTATGGGGACGGTTCTTTCCAGTGTGTTCTCATGATAGTGAACAAATCTCAGGAGATATGATGATTTTAAAAACAGGAGTTCTGCTGCACAAGTTCTCTTTTTGCCTGCCACCATCCACTTAAGATATGACCTGCTTCTCTTTGCTTTCTGCCATGATTGTGAGGCCTCCGCAGACATGTGGAACTGTGATTCCAATTGAACCTCTTTCTTTTTTAAATTGCCCAGTCTCTGGTATGTCCTTATCAGCAGTGTAAAGATGGACTAATACAGGGCATTCATGACTTACTGTCTCACAATATGGTCCCAAATTGAGTGAATTAGCCTAGTGTTTTTCAAAACATGTTTGCAAGATGATCCTCAGAAAGAGCATCTAGGAAGCCTTGCATCCTTTAATTCCCCTTTGAGGTCAGTATTTCATTGAGCTGAACTGATTATACATGAAGAACACTAAAAATACTATTTTATTTATTTCATCCAACATTTCTCAAGAACCATATTTCCCTTGCTCCCAATTTTTTTTTTTACGTTGTTATTGGGATTTAACACATGCTTTGAAAATCGGACAAACTGAAGTTTTACATAAAGCTATCTTAATAGAAAAAAACTTCACCTTAAAAAATAAAAATGAGTATTGGTTGTATTGATGCAGTAGCTAAAACATCTTTGCAAAAATTACAATATCAAATAAGATTTTATGTTTTAAATTCAGTTCAAGACTTGCTTTCTCATTACTTCCTAGGTTTCTCACTGTCTATTTTCACTCTTTGTTAAAAATAATAAGAATCAAAATATGTGCTTTTCTTCCTGGAAGATTCCTGAAAACCTGTTTTTAAAAAGTGATTCTCTCCTAAGCAGCAAATCAATTTAATACTTTACAAAAAAGTGTCACCAACCAAGCAGTAAAATTACATTTCAACCATGATCAAATAAATGTAGCATAATCAATTAGGTGTTCAAACATCTAAACACAATTTCCAGACTCATAATTTAATTCAGAAAGTGATCTTCAAACTTAAAGGAAGGATGGTAACACTTTCTTGCTTATAAAGTGCATAATGGAGCACTCACGAATATGGGCAAAACTATAGCAATTTTAAAGAGACATTTACTCTCAACCTTTACATTTATAATTTAGCTATGTTTTAGCTGAACATATAGATCATTAACCTTATATAATGATTTATAAAGACACAAATATATACTATATATATAACAATATTATAGAATTCTTTATTTAGCCTGTATTATTATTTCAAAAAGGCGTTGCATTAAACATCCATGATAGCAATTAATTGTAAAAGTCAACTATCACAATTTTTTTATTAAATGTATGAGTTTCATTTATTTCTAAAAAGAAACTAATTATTCAGTTACCAATACAAAAGATTAAGTAAACTACTTATTTAAGACAATTAAATTTACATTTCCAAAATGCTTATTTATTGAGGCCTATATATTAGTCAATAACTTTTTTGAGGAACTGGAAATAAGAGGATGAATAAAATATTGTTTCAACTGTGTGTGACTCAAAACAGATCAGTCACATGCTATTGTATTAGTTAGTTGTTAGGGTTAGTAGTGCCTAGAACAAAATTAACATTATACAAGCTGCGATAATCATCTCATTTTATTGTCATAGTTTTTTTTTATTGTATGTCTTCCCTTTTGGCATGAAAGAAGTATCTGTGTGTCTGTCACAGTTCATGACACATAAGCATTTAATAATATTCAAGGAGCAAGTGGTATTGACTTAGCTCAAATAAGTTTACCTGTAATATTTGATATAAAATATTTTAAAATTGGTTTTCATAATATTAAATGTGATAAAAGAAATTATGTGGTTCTGCATAGGATATGTTATAATGGCTATGTAATAATAGAAAATGGAGTATCTACCAACAATGCTTTGTTTGTTTTGTTGTTTGTTTTGTTGGTTGTTTGATTAGACATCCAGTTTGTCCCAGTAATGGTAAAGAAAAATAGTTGTCTTTGTTGTTCTCCTAAAGTGCTCACTGGGAAGCTCAGTAGTTAACATCTGCCTCACTGAGGCTGATGCCTACATGGTTATGAGGAAAGAAGGAACAAAAATCAAAATTGTTCTTTGATAAAGGATTGCAGAATGTATTTAGGATCATATCCTCAGAGTTTTTTTTGTTGTTACAATAAAAGTGAAAGATCATGTACTATCCCATATCTTTTTGGCATTTAAAGTGGGATTCATGGTTATGTTTATAAAAGTAAAATTTTTAAAGTATAACTGCATTTGCATTGTAAATTTTTAAAACATAATTTGAATGTTAGGATGGGACATTTATTAAAGCATCGTGAAATGTTAATGTTCCAAGGAAATAACTAGTTATGTTATGAGTATCCAACACTAATTTAAATATAAGTGGTAATAGTGAATGTCATTAACAAGTGTGACTTTTAAATGTTATTTTAACCTGGTTAGCATTTATGAAAACAAAGCAGGCATAAAGAAAGCTTCGTTGCATTATAAACTAGAAAGATGGTAGATGTTTTTTAAAAAAGAGGGCATAAGTAAGTCTTTTAGAAAGTATTCCCAGTAGTTCAGATAATCTTTTGTAAGGGAATTTGAATCAACAGCTTATATAAGAAGCTTATGAATTGAAGTAAATGAAAGCAATTCACTTCTCTTAAACTTAACAACACAAAATTGACATGTTTTCCTTTGTTAGCACAATCATCATTAAGAATTTACCAGTCTAAGGCGGAATACCACAGCATTTCACAAAAAAAGAAATATGCAACTACTTCACCAATTAGCCAAGAAACATAGAAAGTCAGTCTTAAACTTCACATTTCAGAGTTTTAAAAATACGGGAATAATATATCTAACTTATCCCTACTTGCACACATGAAGGGAACACACATTAAGATATTTTTCCTGAGAAAGCCACTGGAATTATTCTTAATAACTCCATAAATTTCAAAAAGATACTTTTCTCCTTAATTGAATTAACCACATCAGGCCAATAAACAATTGTTTATAAATTGAAGCAGTATTATTGTAAAGCAATACAAATGTTTTGTTTTGTTTTTCTCCTATTGTTTTCCATCATATTCATAGCTTTTTGTACCAAAATTGCTCAATGAAAATAGTAACATTTTATAACTATAAATTTTATGCCCATCTATCCCTCATCCATAGTCCTATTTGAGAAAAAATATTGTTATTTAGGGGAGAAGCAGTACTTTCAGTAATGATACAACTCAAGTTATCTTATTTCTCTTCGGAATTGCTTCTAATAGCTCAGGTTAACACTGTCACCTATTTTCGGCTGCTCTTCTACCTGATAGGTCAGGTATGCTAGTCTAAATCTGTACTTATCTTATTTCTTGTGAAATATATAGAATTTAAATTTCACTACTCATAACACCTTACAAAATAGAAAATAGACTAATCTTTCCCAAGCACCTTTTAACTGCAATAGGAAACATGTATGTACATTTTTATTTAAATAGGTCAAGGTAAAAATTCACAGTACAGACACATTTGATAAAAAAAATTGAAAAACATGGGATGATGTACTAAATATAATTTCTCAGTCAGTTGGGTATAAAGATCAGAATTGTGTGGGAAAGAAATTCTAGGATAGAAGACTAAAAATTAAATATGTTTGACCGTTGTAAAATAGCAAGTATTTGCTCATACTGATCTATTATCCCCTCTTTGGCATCTATAGAAACTCCCAGGACATTGCCCTCTCTTTTACAATGGGAGCATTGTAGGTTCACAGCTATATGTATTTTGACAGAAGACAGTTCCTGGTGTCAACTTCAATATGCTCTTGATAATGAATGTGAATTATTAATAACTTCTTTGGTGGGCACTGAAAATGGTGGCATCTAGAAAATAGTTTTTCAGTATTTGAATTTGAAGGAAATTCTTCAAAGTTAACCAATAATTCATTTTTTGTTAGATTGGATAACATCCTGAAACAAACACACTAATCTATATCATCCTCTTTAAAGTAACATATTGATAAGTGTTGCTCTAGGTTTCTATTTCAAAAACATAAGAGGAGTCAATATTGACCTGAAGTATTCATCAGAATTACCTATGATGGCTTAAACAAAACACATGTTGTCTGGGCCTTGCTTTGCAGTTCTGATGAATTATGTTCAATAATAGCTTAAAAGCAAACAAACAACAAACCGCAATTCATGATTCTAACATACAATTTCTATTGTATATTTTAGAATCATATCATCATTATGCAGATTGAGAAACAGTGAATGACCCAGTAGTATTAATTCATGTATTGGAATAAAATCATAGACAACTGAAGAACAAAAAGCCACACATTTAGCCATATGACTTTTTTTTTCATTTTTAAACCATAGCTAAATTCTCCATAGACATTAAGCATAATTAGAATTGGAACTTTTCTACCTTGGCTGTCACTATGTTCCTTCACCTAGAGAATACATGGTACACAGTAGGCTCTCTACAATTTTGTTCATAATCACTAAAAACTGGAAACAACCCAAATCTTCAATTGGAGAATAAGTAAATAGTGGCAAATTCATACAATGCAATACTTTTTGGCAACAAAGAATGAATGAACTATTGGTGCATGAAACAGCTTTTATGAATCACAGAAGCATCATGTTAAGTGAATGAAGCCAGACTCAAAAGGTTACACATTGTATGATTCCATTTCTATGGAATTTTCACAAAAACAAAAATATGACTTATCAGTGGTGTCAGGAAATGTGGAGGGAGGTTTGACTACAAGTGGATAGCATGAAGGATTATTTTATGGTGATGACATTATTCTGTATACTCACTATGGTGGCGGTTAAATGAATATATATATATGTTAAATTTATAGAACTTCACACCAAAAAGAGTCAAGTAAACTGTATGTTAGTCTTAAAAATACTATATAACATTTTTGGATTATGTTTCACCATAGAATCCATGTAAATATATAGATTATCTATTTGTCTAAAATGTCCAGAATCACACAACACAAAATATTAGTTTTAATCTGAAGAATGGTGAACTTCTACAAATATAGAGTTACCATGACCTGGAAATTTACTAGAATTACTCTTCTGATGTTCAAATTGAAAAATGAATGACTACTTCTTAGAAGTTTTGAGCTGACACAAGAAGGAAACAGGCATGATGTAATTAATGCTCATTCTATATGTAACTCCCAAGCTTTATTTTCTTGCAGCTTTTTACATTGCTTCCTCTACATTTATGATTACCACTAATATACTCTATAGTCCACATGATAGCATTTGTTGTTTTCTGATATTTTGACTGAGTAATCAAGAGTAGAGATTATTTGATTCAATGCAATAAATATTGAGTGCCTACTAAGTCTTGTTGTAGTCGCGTGTACATATCAGAGATCGTTTGAATGATGAGTCCTTTTTTTTAATCATTCAATTAACAAATATTCAGTTATCAGTTAATATGTGTTATGCACTCTGTTAATCATAAGGTAATCAACAGATATCAAAATAAGTAATGTCGCTGCTATCCTGGTGTTTACACCCTGTTGAGGAATAAACAAAAAAAATTTATAAGAATAAAAAAACATGAAGGGGAAAATAGGGAATGTTATGATGAAATGTAACAAGGGCAATAAACTTGGTTTGCAGATCACAAAAGGTCTTGGAAGATAATATAGGACTCTTTCTAGAATATTAATTTTTAAAAAGTATTCAATATACATATATGCTAATTTGTGCCAGTGTCGAAAACCACATCATACTCATAACCACCCTATAAGATAAAAAGCATATTTTTATTCCTATTTGGGGCCTGGGGAATAAGGTACAGAATTTACCTGTTATACCATAGTCAAAAGAGAAGAGGTAGGCATTAATCTCAGGAAGTCTAGCTCCAGTGTCTGTGTTTGCTACCATTACACTATGCTGCTGCTGCTTTCAGCTATTCTTACGTTAGGGAACAAATATTATCATATTCAGAGGTTTTAAAATTTGTGTCATTACAATTTTCCAAATCTGCAACATATCTGTACAGTGCTAAGTTAGGCCAGTAATAATAGAACATTAGACTAGCTTTAGTTGAAGTGAGAGATGTACTGAACACAAAGCTCATGAAAGGACCATGACATTTTTCAGAATGCTGTATTTTGGAGAGCTAAAATCAATTTTATTCCAAAATTCCAGATTATATATTTTATCAGCCTATTTTTCTAGCTATCTTAAAACCTTTTTATACCTATGTGTGACATAGATCTGACCTCATATTTATCTCTGAACATATATTTATTTGCCCCAATTTGGAGCCATTACAGAAACATCATCTTCATAGCAATGGAAAAAATACACAGAAAACAGTAATGAGAAGACTATTTTTGTTGCCTGCTGTACTTTCTCCATGAGTCCCATCTAAACCTCCTGGAGTACTTTGAGTGTTTCTCATAAATTTTTCTACATTAACAGGTGGACTGTTTCCCCTTCTGCAAAACACTTAACATGTATATTGCCCCCTGCACTCTTCATTAACACTAGGGTGTCATATTTTGCAAATGTACCAGCATGGATGTAGAAGCAAGAAAACCTGCTATATTACTAAAGGTTTGTCATTGAACCTTATGGCATTGGTGCTTCAATAGAGAATAATATTTCCAGGAAATTACACTGATTCAAATTGTAAGCCCATTTTCCAGTGACTTCCTGCCAGGGTTGGTTTATTTCTTTGTTTCTGCTCCTTCTTACATTTTACCACTTTTTTTGTTTTGCTTCTGGCCTTTGCAATAGGTTCCCTCTGATGAGATAGCCATCGTGTTCCTGTGCAAGTTTTATCCTTAGCCTTTCCTTTGGTAACCATATAATTTTTTGAGGTTTAGTGGCTCAAAGAAATAATGTACCCAAATAAAAAGCACTGCACAAACCCACTTATATCCAGAATAGGGGTGTGTGTGTGTGTGTGTGTGTGTGTGTGTGTGTGTCTGTGTGTGTGTATGTGAATCCTTATTTACATACCCTTATTTTTCCAATCCTTTATGGTCTGGTTAAAAATATTATACATTATCTATATTTTGACAATAGTTTTTAGCATAAAAATATGTTCCAGCTTCTGAAGTAAACCCAATAAAGTATACTGTTCTTCTCTGTCCATATCTGAATAAGCTGACTTACAAAACATAGTAAAGATGGAGGCTGATATATCACCATTATTACAAATAAATACCTGGTTGGAAGATATTGTTTATATCTGTCATCACCTTGCAGAATTAGAACAATTTATTCAGTCATAGGCAGCCTTCTCAGTGAGACTTCACGATATAGAGAGGTGCCCCGGTGAGGCTTACCACATAGAGGATCCAGGGGGAAAACGCTAAACAGATTTCCTCTCAAAAGGAAGAAAAAATAGCGAAGCTCATCATATCCAAATAGTTTTTGCTGATTTTTCAATCAGATAAGTGACTGGTTTTCGGCTACCTCATGAGGCTGTTTCCCAAACATTGCCTCTTTCAAATCTTCCTGGGACTCTGGTAAGTTGTTCACATTTTGTTTCCAGCACTCTCTGTAATGGATCAGAACTGTATTCTAATTTAGTTCATACCCAGGCGAAGCTGCATTCAAACCTAGTATTTTCTTCTCACATTGTTCAATATATAAGAATACATGATGCATAGTTGGCTATATACACATATTTAGGAAAATAAAAGTAAAAAGCTCTTCTGCAAGTGTATGTTGTCCTAATGCATGCAATTCTGTGGATTATCAAATTTGTCATAGTGCCTGAATTCACAAAACAAGTTATCATCTGAACGATGAGAAACTATAGAAATATAAATTGCAAGTCCATCAAGGTTTGTCTCTGTGATAGTGCACAATTTGAAACAGCAGTTACCATCTTTTCCATGTTAGACAATTATAGAGGGCGGGTACAGGCATTATCGGGAACTCACCCCATAAGTTACACTCATTTTTCTTGCAATTGTAAGAAAAATCTTACATAAAATTGAGAATAAAAGGCCACATTAAGATGAAATCTATGAAGGTACTTCAACAACTGCAGGCAAACAACATATAGATGAGCCAAATTTGAATATGAAATTATCTTGGTATAAATATCCTAAGGAGAAATGTAAGTTAAAATAGCAAATCTATTTGAAAATTAAAATGCAAAGATCAAAGGAAATGAAGTCTAAGATCATTTACTTTAAAGCTTGAGCATCAAAAGCCCCATATCCACAATCCTAAATTGAATAAAATCCAAGACAATAGTGCCCAATTTCTTGTCTAGCTTACCCTGCCAGGGGTTTCTTTATGCCTGACTGGAATTGGAGCCACCAAAAGTGTCACCAGCCTGGGCTGTTTCTCCTACTGAGTAGGTATAGTTCTTCTGAAATCCTGGCGGTTGTGTTAATTTAATTGCAAATTCTGAGTAGCCCTCACTTTTGGAGTCTAAAGCTTTAAAAGGACACACTGGTTTGTCATAGCAGTGGCCCAAGACCTGTGTAATTTAGAAGATAATTCAATCCTTAGATCCTAAGATAATTATCTCAGGAAAAATTTTGTTTACAATATCCAGTATTCAGTATTTTTAAAGATCGTAGCACAGACTAAGTGTTATTAATTACAACAGAAGGCCAGATGGTCTGCACCTGCTATTCAGAATCCAAGGCTTGTAAAATAAAATGAATTAGAAAGTCTTTAAGCAAGATGTTAATTTTGGTATTTGAATATACTTACTGGATTCCTATAACCAATTACCACAAACTTAGTGGCTTAAAACCATACAACTTTCTCATCTTATAATTCTGGTGGCCTATGGTCTGAAATAGGTCTTATAGTCCTCAAATGAAGGTCTCAGTAAGGCTGTGTTTCTTCTGGAGGTTCTAGAGGAGACTTTGTCACTTCCCTTTTTTAGCTTTTTTAGCTTCTAGAGACTGACCACATTCCTTGGCTCATGGCCCCCTGCTGTCTTCGATGATTGCAACCCCATCACTCTGACCTCTATTTCCGCTATCACTTCTCCATCTGACTTTGATTTTCCTGCCTCCCTCTTTCCCTTATAAAGATCTTTGTGATTAATTGGGTGCACCCAGATAATCCAGGTTAATCTCCCATATCAACATCCTAACATAGTCACATCTGCAAAATCCCTTTGTCATGTAAAGCAATACATTCACAGATTCCAGGGTTTAGGATGTAGACATCTTTAGAGGTCATCCTTCTGTTTGCTTTAACGTTTCTTATCTTATTGAAAAGATATCTGTGATGAGTGTCCCCTCCCATAGGATGTCATTTAAGACACTGCTTTATTTATTCAAAGTATAATTTTCAGTAGAAACAACTTGTTGCCAGGTCTTCTTTGAGGTGTTTTGCTGAAGTCAGAATTTTCAAAACCCAAATTTTCCACTTTTTATTTGATGCCCGTGATTCTGGAGCCACATTATTGTAGAGGGAAAAGTAACAATGTTGGTGTGAAACACAGAGGATTTAAATTAAGACCATAGTAGTAAATAATTCTCATACTTTCTCTCTGATTTAAGTCAGACATACTATGGGTGGTTTAAGTGGTTTAAGTCAAACAATACTGTGTGACTTAATTTTCTTATCCATATAAACTGTTATGAGTGTAAATAACCTAATCCTTACAAAAACACCTAGAATGGTACTTAAATCAGAAAGAGTTCAACAAGATCAAAAAGTTATCAAAAGCATTATTATTGATTTTACTCTACCTCCAATAATTACAAAAAGGGTTAAAGACCTTACACACTGAAAAAAGAATGTTCCTTTTACTATTTCTAGTCTTCCCACTACATGCCACTCATGGGTCCTGCTGCTAGCAACTGAGATTCCTCTATCCCAGCTTGCCCTGGATTGCTGTGCCATGCTTAGAAATCAATGTGTAATTGTGTTGTTTTTAGATACCATGTGCTATCTGTAATATTAAACTTTATCTCAGAACAAAAACCTATTCTTTCCTCTAATTATTTCCTCCCTCCTCAAGCAGGGCTTAGTTTACTTAAATTCCTTCCTAATCTCATTTACTTAGCATAAATATAAAGGTAAGGTCAATCATGTTTCAATGTACGATCAAAAATTCAAAACTTATTGTAATTGGATTTATGTCGCATCACACACGGGATGTCCCAGAATGGGTTCATCTGTGTATGAGTGTGTGGAAAGAATTAGAGAGTGTTTTGTTGAGGCATGTGCTGAAAAATGAGTATTAAGTAATATATCACTCTAATGGCCACTGTTTCTTAGAAAAAACAAATAATAGTTCAGCATCCTTTTGAAACTCATTTCCTCCCACATTCCAAAGATGTGCACTTCAAATGAACTGGCATGTCCAAGTTGCTCCAGTAGGAGTGAAGGTGAGTGTGTATGAAAGCACACTGTGATAGAATCGCTGGCTGTCCAAGACTGGTTCCTACCTGATGCCCTGAGTTGCTGGGATGGACTCCGGACACCCCAGACTCTGAACTGAGTAATCGGGTAAATAATTATCTTACTTGTTTTTATTATGTTTTCTTAAATGTATGTATACCTCACATTTATGTCAATGGTTAATGTAGAAGTGTTTGGGGTCTTTATTTAGAAGGTTTGTGATGTTTTGTGACCAGAAATATTCTGTAGAAATTTAACCTCTTATTTGTATCAATTATCCTGTAGCAAAATTGGTTTTGTTACATGTCGTTTAGCTTAAGAACTTAAAGCTGCAGTTTCCAAGAATCTATCAATGAGGTTAAGTGAGAACTTGCAGTAATAGATTGCTCCAGGGTAACACTTCAAATCTGAGCATTTCACAGTACTTTTAACCTTCCATTCTCAGAGCACCCTGGGGAACCATTAGCATCATTTCCATTTTATAAAAAAGGACATTAAAGTAAATGGTGCCAAGCCCTGGTCAACTTACTCATCCTTGATAGTGAATATAGAATTTACAACCCCCAATTGTCAAGTCTGTAGACTAATAGCTGAGGTGTGGGAGCTTCTTCCTCCAGAGATCCCTGATCTCTCAAGTTTTTTGGTTGAAGTCTGACGTTTATTGTGTGGTAGAACTCCTTTTTCTGGGATTTTGCTAATGCCATAGAAGCAGAGAGCAGTCTTTAGCTTGAGTCTCCTCTCCAAGGTAGGAGCTGGTTTGGGATATCAGGTGGGGATTTGGTAGCTGAACTATTATTTCTAATATACAATACCTATTAGTGCTAACTAGTCTTTTAATTTGTTATTATTTTTCCTCCAAGATTCAGTAACAGAAATATAAGCAACAAGCATTAGAGTAGCTGATGGTTAATGTATATTGTCAGCTGACTGTAACTTCTTATGCTTAGAGATCTTGGCTGTATGAGAACTGTACAATGGGCTTTTTATTATTTTGTTTTGTTCTATCTTCCATTACATTTGATGAACTCCTGATCCCTTCTAATGTTGACTGAAAATCTACAGCTAGAAAAGTCAAATTCCATCTCTAAAAACCAATCAGTTGAGAAAAATGAAAAATTTGACTAACCTGAAAAGTTTCATCTACATAGCAAGGCCATCTTTTTCTAGCCAAGCCTTTTTCTTTCTTCTGCCCATATCCTGTCTTGTCTCTAAAATCTGTTTTCATTAGACATACCCTGATTCTTCATTCTTTCTGTAATTTCAAGAAAGTATATGAGCTTCTGTTACTTAGAAAGTTGGGTCTTCATGCTGAAGGCTATGCTGTATACATGCTAAATAAATTTCTATTCCTTTTATTCTATTAATTACTCTAAGCTCCACTCTTTCTTCCCAGCTTGTCTCATGTCAGTGATTTTTCAATAAATCCTTATGAAGTCAAGAGCCCATGGACCCCACAGTACAGTGCAGCAAGCAGGATGATCAAAGTTGCTTTTCTGTTCTGGAAGCCACAGTTGAAGAGAACACAGGAAACTACTCTCCTGGCAATGGGGTAAGAATTTCTTACCATTCAGGCTCCTCACCTCTCCCTCCGCACTCCAGTTAAGTGGATGGTAAAAATCACTGTCTCAAATGCAATGTTTTGATTAATGAAAAAAAAAAAGGATTTGTGTGACTGTTCTTGGTATAGTGACTCTGGTGTATTTTTGATGACTTGTGCTATGAATACTTGCTATTGAAATAAAGTACAGTATTGAAAATTCTAATTGTCAATGTCCAAAGGATATATAAAAAATTATAGAGGTCTCTTATTCTAAACAATTGATGAAAAGGTTAAATTAAAAGAAGAATATATAGTAGTAATGTTATGGCTAGCCTTGAGAATTATCTGATGAAAACAGTGTTTTCATCCCTTGCAAGACCGAAACTTCATGCTCTAGATTCCTTGCTGCAAACCAGTGGAGACTGCCCCATGTGCCGTCTAGTAGCTAAGGCTCTTCTCTTTTACCATGGCAGCCTAGGTTTAATTCCAAGCCAAGGATTAAGTCTTTTCTGGGTTGATATTTGTGTGGCTTGGCCATTTATTGATTCTTTTCCCTTCCATTGACAGCTTCTGATTTCCTGTCTTAGATTTTTCTTTCTCCGAATCTTGAAAAATGAAAAAACCCCTGCTTTCCACCTTTTTGGAGAAAACTCATGCATCCATGGTTAAATCATAACCTTTGTTAAGACACTTGGAAGAATACCTTTGGCAAAGAATTTCAAAAGCCAAAAGTATCAACTGTTTTCCCTGGCTAACGTTTGATAATAAGAGATTTTAAAGGATTTTTTAAAAAGCTCTATGGTTAAAAGTCAGCTTAATTAAAAGCTGATTTTCAAGATATATATATAATAATATATGCATTAAGATCTTTAATTACTACTTAAATACTATTAATTATTAATTAATTATTAAAAATTAATATTTAAATACCTTAATGCTTTTTCTTTTTGAATATTGTTTTTGAGAATTTTTTTCAATTGACTGAAAGATCTACTTCTGTCTTTGTGTACGCCTGTGTGTTTATACTAGTCATGTGTATCTGATGTTCCACTACCAAAATATATGAGATCTAATGAATTAGCTTTAAAAAGCAAGTGCTTAAATCAAATATTTTACCAGAAAAATGAAAATTATGACTCAAATGTCTGTTAGTTCACATGACTTTAGTAATTTTAAGTAAATAAAGCTAATTTAATGTTATTGGTATAATAAAATAAAAATATCTTCAAGATTTAATTTAGACACTTGGTCTGAACCACTCAGGCAGGCCAGAAACTGTTTTTGCTAAATGTTTTAAGGTCCTAAACCACTTCTGTGACATTTTTAATAATTTTTTGACTTGTCTGTCTTATAGCCATGGCAAGGCCTGGGGAAATGTGGAGTTCTCCCCAGCACAACTGTGCCCTCTGACAATGCTGGTAAGGATTGGACATTATCTGCACCTCTGTCTTTTGTTCTGGGCTCTGCATCTGACACCTAATTAAAATTGCTTACCTATTAAGTTTTTCAGTAAAAAAAAAGGTGTTACTAAGAGTTAACATTGTAATTAATATATGTAATTCAAACTACTAGTATACAGAAAACATTTTTATTTACAAAGAATACAAACGCAAATAGAATGTGTTTGAAAAAAGGGTTATAAGAAGGCAAGGCAATATGGTTTTGGCTAAAGGGAAAGTAATTATAGCTAGTTTAGATATTGTAAGAATAGATTTTTTATGAGATTTTATTAAAATAAGCTTTAGTGTTAATAATACACTGCAAAAGTAAAAGCTAGTTTCTTATTTTGAATACAATGTTTGTGTAAAATTAAGTGACATTAAAAATTTTTGTTTCCTTTTTGAGTAAACTGAAAAAAGAGAGGAAAGAGAGAGACAGATTCAGTTGGCCTTATGCTGCCTTTATTAGGTCTTATTGTTTTGAAAATTGAGTTTCCTCTTTATCAAATAATAAAGGTTTTCACTTATCAGAAACCTTTGAATTATTATTGTGACTAAATGAATCACTATTTTACAGTGACCTGTGGGCTTATTTGTGATACCAAATGTTTTAAACTTTTGATAGTTGACACACATATTAAAATCAAATTCTAAATTGTCTTTTTTACCTCATTAACTTTTAGATTAGTGGGTCCCCTAAAGTCCAAATGAGACCTATGTGGCTGATTTAATAGGTTAAAATCATACAGGAAGCATTGTCAGTTATGAAATTATGTTTTATTCTTTGGATTCTATTTCTATAAATAAATTATTAATATGTGTTCCAAAACTGTATGAGATTTCTGTAATCCTGATGTCTAAGCATAAGTTATCAATATTGACACAGGATTTTTCTTGGTCACTTTGCCAGCTGGGGACCTCCTCGGCTGGTGATATCCCCACCTGGGCCTCGTTCAGCTTTTGGCCTGCCTCAGGAGATGCCTTGTCTATTCGGCCCATCAGGCCACACTTTACGCTGTCCTCTGGCTCAGATGCCAAAGCTGCTGAGACTGTGTGCTTGGTCTTCAGTTGGAGGGGCTGTGTGAGAGCAAGAGTGTTGCAAGCCACTCCCATGGTAGACTCTGGTGTCCAGAGGAGGGGAACATGGTGGTACCAAAGCAAAGGTGCCCATGCCCCCAAAGCCCCAGAGAGGGTGTTACAGCATGCTACTTAGCTCTTTTAGTCCCATTGTCCACAGCTCGACAGACAGCGGAGTGATAACCGCTCTGTTGCCCCTTGCCCCACTCTGGCCTGCAGCTCTCTAGGGCTGCCTCAGCCCCACCACTGCTTCCCGTCATGTGGGGTGGCTGCCCTCCACTGGCAGAGGGCAGAGGGCCACAATGTTACAGCCTTTTGTGTACCCACATTCAGTGGGTCCTGAGTTCTTGTCCTGTGTCCAAGATGAATGAGATAATGCTGACAATCAAAGGGTGAGGAGGGCGGAGAAGAATTTCATTGAGCAACAAAACAGCTCTCAGCAAACAGGGGACATGAGGGTGGTCCCCTCCCCAAAGTCGGGTAGTTTCTCTCTTAGTGTGGGTGGGTCTGGGACTTTTATGGGCTCAGAATGGGAGAGTGTGTGCTGATTGGTTTGTGAGTATACAAAAAAGTTAAAACAAAGGCCCTATTCAAAGGTGGGCATCACAGTGTGAAAAACCACTTAGGAAGTTGAAGAGTGGGGATCAATCAGAGGAAAGCACACTAAATGGGAAGACAGGTTCTCAATCCGGTCCATGGATTTGACTTGTAGTTTGGCTCTCAGGCTTTAAACTATCTTTGGCTTGAAGGTGGGGTTTCACTGGGGACCCACCCCTGTCTGCCTAGGATTTGTCTGCCTCCTGCCACTATCAATATTAATTATGATTATTATGTTAAATTGTTGCATGCCACAGAAATAATCAAGTTTTCTTGTTATGCATCTTTAACCATTGCAAACCTAATACTTTTGTCATTCACAATTATAGTTTTACTTTGATTCTTCTCAAAATCTGGTTTATAAAAACTACAGTTCAAAACTTACTTCTTTAGAGGTGTTCATGAAAGGAACCATGACGTGCTCTTTGAATACAAGTTTCTTGTAACTGTGGAGACTGTGTCATTGGGTTAGAGAAAACAAAAACCAAAATCCAAAAATACTTTCTGGACTCTTGCTAAACAGCTAATGTGTTTGTGAGGATTACCAACTCCAATATCAAATGGATCAAATTGACTATATGGTACTGAAGTAATAGAAAACTGAAATAATTTTTATGACTTGTTTTAAACATTGCTGATTCTTTTTAAACAATTGAGTAAAGTATACTCTTGTGAGAAAAATTTGAAGCATACTTTTTTCTGTGTACCTAATTTCTCCAGAATTTGGAAACTATTTTTGAGTATTCTTATTTTATGGCAGTATAGTTATTTGCATAAACTCAATAGAAATCTGTTTTCTTTTGTTAGAGGACACAATTGAAGACATAGTTTATTTTTCCAAGGCTTTGACTGAACTAGAATGTTTACAGACATGAGTAGATGGTTTTGAATAACTGAAGTTGACTCATAGAGTGGATAAAAGCCCTTTGAAGAAACTGGCCATACCTTGTCTATGCAGTTCCTTTACAGGGTTCCTGACCTGTGGTAATTAAACAATGTCAGTTTCTGACAGGCCCAGGAACCCCCAGTAGTCTTGGGATCTTGAAAAGAGAATAATTTGCTGAAATTCATACAAGTATTTGCAGGCACAGATATATCCTTTGCTGGGATCAAGAGGCTTTTAAAAAGTCAAATCTGAGATCCCTTATAAAAAACGTTCCGACAGAACCAATTTAAAAGCAGTCTATGTAGCATATAATTGGTTTTGCTCCACTTTATGCAAAGAATTAGGCCAGGTATAATAACACTAAAGCTTATTTTGCAAATAAGTTGGTCCTACTATGATTTTGTCTTTGGTTAAAATGAAGGACTGGAGAGAGAAAAGTTATCTTTCAAAAGAAACTATAGTACTCCTGTTAGCAGACTCTGGCCTTGTACAATGTTTTTCGGTTTTTATTCTTTGTCTACAGCTTAACAGGACTGGATCCTGAATTCTTTCCTGGCCACAAGTCTCCAAACTAATGTTTTCAAGTTTATTTTTCTCCTGTTTTTCTGAAATCACTAAACTGTGCTTTTCTTAAAGCCCTGCAAACTGAGGCTAGACATATGTTGCTATTTCTCCTAAATTTTAAGTATATACACACACACATACACACGCATACATACATAAACTACTTTTTGCCTGTCTACTAATGTATGGACTTTGGGTAATAAAGCCTAAATCAGTTTTCCAGGATTGTTTTTCTCTGCATTGCTATGACCTGGCCTTGGTCCTTTTTGTCATTCATTCTTTTATTTTTTTTTTCCTTTTTGTTTCTTTCTTCTTCCTCCTATTTTTATCTGTGGGACAGACTTCACATCCTATTAGTAATAAACCTTCCTAGCTGTGTGGGACCTAACCTTATAGTAATAAACCACCTTAGCAGTGAGGGATCAGAGCAAACTCATGACCAGAGACTCATTTACAACTGCAATGTTATCTCCAAAAGATTTTGAGTGATAGGGTGAGGGGGAAATGTAAAAAGAAAATAAAATATTGGGACCTCAAACTCACTATGCCAAATGAAAACATTAAGGTTGGGAACTGAGTCTTGGTAACAACTGCCTTCTTTTTGTTCCTAAACAGATAACTGTAATTCCACATGCTTACATTATCTCATGTAAAATGTAGATCTACCAAGCACAAGACAAATGCATAGTTAACTTTTCTCCCCACTCTTCTCTTTTCACATGTAAAATGTGTATCCACTGAGTGCTAATCAAAGCCTCACAAAAATGTCATTACTTGTCCCCCTGTCTTTTATTCTTTCCTCCTTTCACTCCTGCCTGCTCTTTCCCCTTTAATTATTGAAGCCCTCAAAACTCTCTGGAAAAAGCACAGGCCACAGATCCTACTGTAACTTGTGTTTCTTTCCCTGGACACATCCTTAACTTTGGCTGAATAAACCTCTAACTTGATTGAGATACCTTTTGGTTTACTGTGTATATTAATTTTATGTATCTTTGTAACTTTTTTATTATAGTACTTGTCAAACACTGTGGCCTCATGACCACTGCACACTCCTAGAAATTATTGAAAACCCAAATAGATGTTGATTATGTTGATTATATTTGTCATTAGTAACTGTGTAAGAAATTAAAACTAAGAAAATACGCTTCCTTAATTTACTTTGTTAAGAAGATTTTTAAATGAGAGAAGTGAGAGAGAAGGCAACTCAACGGGCCAAACAGGTTTATTTACAAGAATAAGACTGTAAGGGGTCCCAATCAGGAATCTAGCTAAGACCCCGATGGCTTGCAAGCTGAGGTTTTTATAGGGGAGGGGTTGGGGAAGTGCTGACAGGTTGGAACTGTAGTGGGCTGAGGAGGTATGTGGTAAGGGCCAGTTAGGCTTTGTTATGGTCAGGGTTTTTATGCTGTCTTAAAGCTATGGGTGAGCTTGACCTTTGCTTTGTTTCTGGGAACACCATCACCAAGGTAGGAAACACAGTCACCAAGATAGAAAAATGACATCGCTATTGTTAATTCTCACACACTTTAATTTTGATTTTTAATTTTTACAAAGTTATTTGTTTTAATTAACAGATATCTTGTATGTTTTGTCATGTACAATAATAATTATATGTTAATACAAATTACATACTCATATAACAATTATATTTTAAAAACAAAAATAAATTAGTGATAAGAAGGGTATTGCTTTACATTTTTGAAAAACTTTAATATCAAGTTCAATGGCAAACTCCTGAATTTCAATATTTGCCTTTGCATTCAATTTATTGTGATATGTTGTTTTGTTTGAGCTATACAAGGCATCCTGGCCTCAGTCAAATATTTGAAAAGAAGAGAAGTTAGGATGTTAATATTCTTCCTAAGAATTGTGGATATTCTCTTAGATACTTTCTGGTGTAGTATCTAATAAGAGTATACACAATTCTTGATTGGTTCCTTGATTTGATAATTACATTATGATTATTTTAACACAAATCTAAAAGCAAATCAATAAACTTTTTGGTACTATTTTATTAAAATATATTGGCCTACTTGCACTTTTAATGAACCTAAGTTGGTTCACTGAATTATGCAGATATTTTAACTATTGACGGTTTTAATTATACAAAATTTAAAAATTACATTTGCTATTAATGCAACCATCCTCATCAGAAAGTCTTTAGGTATTGGGGAGGTGTTAAGTTCCTGTTATCACGTACAAGTTTTACAAGACTCTATATTTTACACACAAAATAGATATATATTTTCATAATATTATTATGACTATTGATTCTTTTAAGTCAGTACTATAGTATTTTACATGTATTATCTAATTAAATCTTCAAACTCACTTCATTCCATTAGAGAAAACGTCTGCTAATATAAAGTTCGAATGACCATATCTTGCTTACTAGTTCCTTTCCAAAGTAGAAACAGGGTTGCATGATTTTAAAAAATAGCTTATTTCACTAAAAATTAAACCACTGTATGACTGTTTTTTCTCAAGACAGTTCCCATACTTTGAAATGTAGAAGGGCATTATAGGTACTCATTTGTCAAAGAGAAGATTAAAAAGATGTACTCAAAGATCAGATATGAATAATATTTTAAATCCTTAGTGCTTTATCAAGGACCATTTTAAATGAAATAGCACAGCCCCCTTTTTTGTGACTGAGAATGAATCGAATTGAAGAATGCAATGACTAGTGGTATAGTTTGTTGCCACTTCTTTTGAGGGAGGGAGGGAGGGAGGAGGAGGGAGGAAGGGAGGGAGGGAAGGAAGGGAAGAAGGGAGGGAGGGAAGGAAAGAAGGAAGGAAGGAAGGAACGAAGATAAACTTTAGTTATCTCAAATAGAAAATGACGTTGCTTGGTCACCCATCTGGTTCATTACTCAAAGTCACCAATAATCTCATAATTTCCATGTTTATCCCCATTCTGCCATCAATAATTATAAACTTTATTGAACTTAAAGTGTGTGCAGACTAAGGAAGTGGAAGTATCATTAAAAATCTTTCTAGAACATTTGCTAATATACATTAATTTAAATTATTTTTGAAATAATCCATTTCCGTTATAATTGAAACATTATATTTGTTATAAATTTATGAATATATAACACTAGAACTCTTTTTGAACTATAAGTTCTTTTATATTGATATATGTGTCTATCTTTAACCCAATTTGATACTAGAAGTTGAGATATTTTATTTGTAAGTCTCTCTGTTATTTTTCAGAGATTTTTCATTCAAAATAGGGTTTAATTATTTCTTACCCAATAAAATATATTTGGAAATAGTGTATAGACATATAAATACTAATTGAAATAACATTATAAATATAATCACTTTGGATAATTATTCATGTTAAACGTAATATTTTCCCAACCAAATGAATGGTATTATTTATATTATTCAAATATTTTTATGTCCTTAAATATGCAATTTGGAATTTTTATTTAGATAGTTACCTTTCTTATCAAATATATTTCTTATTACTTTTAGGTAGTTTCAATGCTGTAATTTAATATACATATTACAAATTTGTATTTGTTATTGTAAAAATAGAAAATAACTTGATTTGTTTTTGTATGTATCTTGTATCCAATGATCTTACTGCATTCCTTCTTAAATTGAGTTTCGTTTGTTTTTTAACTCTACTATTCCTTTTAGGTTCACAATTATATAAAACATATTTCAATTATTTTATTTTTTTGTCTTATTGTAATCCCTATACATTTTTTTAAGAATTGAAAAATAATAGTGCTTTTGGCATCCTATCTTGTTCATTATGTTAACGAAATTGATATTTATATTTCATCTTTAGACTAATTTCAGCTATGTGTTTCTTCTAGAAAGGCTTTTACATTTAAAAAATTTACTTAGAAATTTGATTACAATTACTAATGCATTTTATTAAATACCTTTTTAAAATCTCTTGATGTGATCATAATTTTCTCCTTTTAGTTGTTGATGTAACAAATCAGCACAGTGTCTGATGTTGCACTATCCTTGCATTCTTTGGTAATTTCATCTTTAATTATACTGTATTATTTTCATACAGATTTGTATTTTTGAGTATACATGTTTTCTTTATCAGGATGTGTCTTTATTTCTAGATGGTCTCATAACATCAATAGGAGTGTCTGAAACGTAGTTTTTGTTAGGAATCATTGGCATGAAAGTTTTCCTGTAATTTTCACAAAATATTCTTAAATATAAAACCTACATTTTAGTATTAACAATAAAATATTTATTTATTTTAATTTTAAATCTATATTAGGCTAATTGTTTTACATTTATCTCATTAAATTATTGTACACTCAGACATGCAGACACAACTCCTCGAGTATAATTGTTTTCTATGTTAGTTCAAATAGTTCAAAATGGGTTCCTGTATACTCATTTCAATATTTCATACACACACACACACACACACACACACACACACACACACACACACGAAAATAAACTGCAGAAAGATCAAGATAACCTATTTAATATTAAATAATTTGTTGCTTAGGGGAGCTCAATTTGACCTCATGCATATCTGATTCTCGTACACAGCAAAATTGTTGCACATCATTAACAACCATCAGAGAGATGTTAGCTGTCTTTAATCATTTGTTTTTATCTTCTAATATTTTCCTTTTTCAGGAAGAGTCCTTTACGCCCCCCTAGAAATCATCCTGTTTTACTTTTAAAATTCTCTGTTACTTCTATTTCATACAAATGTTATCATATTACATTTCTGTTTGGAAAACAACAAATAACATCAAATATATTGTTTGGGCAATGCTATTTGTAGACATACACAGTTTAATTCTATTTAAAAATGATGTTTTTCGTTCTTTTTGCTACAATAATTCCTTCAGCTTGATTATTGATATATTTTTTCTTTGTACTGATTTTTGTCTGAAGATATATTCACTAGGTAGAAAGTTTTAAAATAAACAAATTTGCAGGATTTTCTTTGTACCCCTCGCCATACACGTAGGTTCTGGCAAGGTTCTTTTTGAGTATGTAAAGTTCAAGATTTCCTAAAAACTTTCTCTTTCAATTTATACCTCACAATAGGCATTCATTTAGTTCAGAGTAGCTGGTTTTTATAAAACTATTCTCCTGTTTTGAGTGGCAGATTTTCTAGGAAGAATTTTGCATATGAAACACAATGCTTGCCAGCATATAGTCTTCCCAATCCTTTTCCTGTCTGTAGCAAGTTTATAATGTTTTCATAAGTGACTGAGGTCCATAAACGAAATGCCTTTCCATTATCTTTCTGCCTAGTTATTTTCTGGGACTTCCGTTTCCTAATTTAATGTAGTAAGGGAATATTTGATAAGTATTTAAAAAATCTGAAAGAGCTATATTCTTTGTATATCTGGAGTTGGTGATATTAACAAATACCTGTTTTTGTGGTTAGCTCAGCCCCTGGATATGTAGAATAGGTGCATAAAAGAAAGTGTAAAATATAACATTTTCTGTCTGTGTCTGTGCATTTCTCTTCTGTCCTTTTCCAGTTGAGTTCACTAGCCACTAGTAATGTTGTCAGGGAGCAGTATGCCTGGATTTTGATTTATGGTCTTCTCTTTGATTTAACTTATGATTTCATTCCAATTCAGGGTGTACTTTTACACGAATTTGTTTGAAAAGTTAAAAGAAGCATACCAAATGTATTTCGCTTGTCAAATTTAACTTTTGACTATTTCAAGCATATTTTCTAGATTGTAGTTGCCACTTTATGGATAATTTAGGACACAATTGTGTCAAATACCTTACACTTTATTGTGACTTTTTATAGTATTTTGTTTACTTTCTGTAATTTTCTAGGCAGATATTCAAATATTCTACAATAGGAATAATTCCGACTCATTTTACTCAACTGTATTTCTTATTTCCTTAATAAAAGCACTATAGCATATACTCTGTCATATTCCAGATTTTAATTAAAGAACCTAATGGCTTCATTGTTTAGAAATATATGAGCTGCTAATTTAAGATATCTTGTTAACACTGCATTCTTCTATTTCTAGTCTGCTATGAGCTTTTATCAGAAAGATGTGTTCAATTTTTATCATGTCTTTCAGCATAATTCTCCATTATATATTTTTGCAGTGTGTTTGATTAATGGATATCTATTATCAAGACAGTTTTGCCTTGATGGGCAATATTTTGTCTATAGTAGACTTTTTTAAAAAATATGGCATTGAGAAGACTTCCTACCTAAACTGTAGCCTATAAAATAGTTTTCAGTTGTTTGAACACTAATTTGTGAAAAATATAGTTAATTGTCACATTTCAAAGTATATTTATATTCCCAAAATAAAATATTAGCTAATCAGTTTCAACAACATGCTAAAGAATCCAGTTTCTGAGTGGATATAATAGGAGTCAATGTAATAGTGTGTTTTACCTACACACAAAGTCAGTTCTTTGGTTTCCTGTGATGTTGCACTGTATCATTAAAAGGATAATCTTTATTATCAAGTCAAGATAGGTAGGGTAAAGACATATAAGTAACTTGTAGTAATGCATAATTTCAAATATTCTTCTTAAACTATCAGATTCAAGCACTAAAATGATGGAAATATTATTTAATTATGTCTGATTTGTGAAGAATAAAATGTAGCTATACCATAGAGCACTTTGAATCAATAATCCTCAGTTGTTTTAAACAAGAAAACAGAAATTTCTGCTTATAAATTAACAAAGACAGTTGTTAACCTCTTACTGAAAAAAAGAAGGGAAAAAAGCAAATTTTAAAAGATATACATTAATATACATGAAAACATAATTTTCAGATAATAGGTATTAAGGAGCAAATAATACAATCTCTGTAAGAAAGGAAAGAAGCAAAGTGAACCTTGCAATTACCCCAGCTCACTTCCTAAAAGAAATTAATGGTACATGATATTGTAAAGGGGGAATCAAACCAGAGCTGACAGAACTGTTGGACTGAGGAAAAAGAAACTAGAATTCAGAGAAGGCTACATGGATAGATTTTGTAAGGTAGAATACTATGTAGAAGTGAGAGAACTCAACAATCTGGAGAACAATACAAAGCAATGTTTTTGTCTGAGTGCTAAGCTAATCAATGCATGTTTAAAACAAAATTACTCAAGCCTAAGAAAAGAACTAAGAGAAAGCAATAGACAGAAAAAAAAGTTTGGAGTTTCTAGGAGCTAAGATGCATTGCATTTTTGTTTGTTTCTACTACCCAGAATACAAATAAATAATAATACATAGGGCATCATATATAGTACGTAGTTACCACCTTGTTGGGAGGTAGAATCTTTGAGCCTCTTGTGGTTCTCCATATGTTTCTGGATGGTCCAATCGAAGCCCTGAGCACTCTCTTACCTGGGTCATTTCTCAGAGTTTTTTACACAGTTGGTATCCTTGACAGAGGCAAGGTAACATTTCCATCTGCACCAATTCTTTCTGCTCATATAAAAGGGTTGGATACCTCAAACCCAGTGGTCCAAAGCTGCTACGCAAACCCACTGGGTATGTAGGAATTCAACTGGGAACATCACATTACTGCCATCAGACTTGGAGCTATCCCAGGACTGCACACATAAATATACTGATGTTCGTGTTACTTTCTGTGCCATGGAAATAATGTCCTTTGTAATTTGTTTCTTATCCCGGAATTTCCTGTCTTTTGACAGCATGCTTGAAACAGTCACAGACTAATTTACTGGGATGTATCTTAGTTAGTTTTTCAATGCTATAACATAACACAACAGACTGGAAAATTTATAATGCACTTTGGGAGGCCGAGGCGAGTGGATCATGAGGTCAGGAGATCAAGACCATCCTGGCCAACATGGTGAAAGCTCATCTCTACTAAATATACAAACATTAGCTGAGCATGGTAGCACATGCCTGTAATCCCAGCTACTCATGAGGTTGAGAAAAGAGAATTGCTTGAACCAGGGGGTTGGATGTTGCAGTGAGCCGAGGTCACGCCACCACACTCCAGCCTGGTGACAGAGCGAGACTCTGTCTCAACAACAACAACAACAACAACAAAGAATAACATGCTGGCATCCGGTGAGGGTCTTCTTTATCACAACATGGTGGAAGGCATCACATGGTGGAAGATGGAGTAGCAAGAGAAAGAGCAAGAGAGGAGAGCACACTCCCACGATAATGGTATAAGTCCACTCACAAGGGTGTAGCCTGACCTAAACACCTCTTAAAGGTCTCATCGCCAAATACTATCAAAATAGAAATTAAATTTCACATGAGTTTTGAGGAAGACAAATATTCAAACCATACCAGAATGTACCCTTCACAATTTTTGTCAGTTTTAATGACGAAGATTGTATGGTGATAGAGACATAGCTTTCTGGAGGAAGACCAGATTCAGATAAGGGATGACTCTCTGGGATCCAGTAGCAAACGCTCCTACACATGTGGGGAGGGTAAGTATCCTGCATGATCCTTCTTGTTAATAAAGAAGAATTGAGTTAATGAGTAGGAGTTGAGTGCAAGTGACAGGATTGAGATAGCTGTGAAAATAATGCCTTTTTTAATGTGGAAGGGTGGGAGGGGGGATAAGGGATGAAATAGGTCCAGTTTGGTACAATGTACACTATTTAGGTGATCAGTACACTAAAAACCAAGACTTTGCCAATGTGTAATATATCCATGTAACACAACTGCACTTGGACCCTTAAATCTACATTTAAAAAATAAGACAAGTGGACAAACACACAGCCTGCTGACAGAGAGCAAAGAAAAGTAAACCAAATTCAAGCCAAAAATTACCCTAGCTGTACGCTAACAATGTAGTTAATGGACTTGACTAATGATATTTAACTTTGTTTTTGCATTAATAGCAATACAAAAAAATTGTCTTCCAATGGGCAAAAAGTCTGGGAACTCAACCAAAAATATGTCCAAATTATACAGCTCAATGAAGAAAGTAAATCTCAGAGTAACAGACTACAATGTTAAAAAATAAGTAGATATATGCAGCAGAATATACATAGGGGTATGTGTGTGTGTATGTGTGTGTATTCCACATTGCATCGATATATCACAGGTTATTCAACCAATATCATCTATAGGCATTTCCTTGTTTGGTATTAAAAATAAAACTAATTAATAAAAAAAGTAGTGCCTTTTTTTGTAGCTCATTCTCCTTCAGACAGGAGGGCCCTTGTGGAAACTAAAAGTCTCACCTATAGAAAACTTGTGAGTCTCTGGCCTGATATCCTCATTTTATATTCGGTCAACTTTTAGTTGATCATTCACAAAGTTAGAAGGTCCTGACAGGTCTCCTAATAGAATGGAAACATCATATTCAAAATCACTACCACACCTGAATTTAACAGCATTTCAGCTTCACATGAAAATTTGAATTTTTTGTCTGTTGCTACTGCAACAAAGTGTTTAGCAATTTAATCATGCAAATAATTCAGAGTAATTGAAAACAAGTAGAATATGGGGACAGCAATATCAAGAAACTTGCATTCCAGTGGAAAATATAAATAAATATTTTTTTTAAGTTAAAGGCAATAATAAAGACAGGCTCTGTATGGTGAAGCAGTAGAGCGACAGTATACCTAATTAAACTCCTGAAATAGTTAAGATGAGATTCCATGATACCTGTAATGAATATCTTAGTTTTACTAAGATATTTAATTAGGTTTATCACTGTAGCTTTTGACCAAAAAAGGGAAGATGAAAAAATGGTAAGAGAGTATACATAAGCATAATATAATAATAAAAATAATCAGCATTTTGTCTGCAAAACCATATGCAATTTAATGCTGGAGGATTTTTTTAAATGACGCTTTTTTGAGCTGGGGAGACATAAAATGTTGGCAAGCCTTTGTCCTAGTAATCAATTTTTCTATAATGAAGTGCTCAAAATATTTGTAGCTTAAAAAGCAATCACTTCACTACTTGTCAGAATTTTGTGGGTTAGAAGTTCAGGCAGAGATTAGGCACTTATTGTGTTTCTTGTGACATTGATGGATGTCACCAATGTTCTTCTACTGGCAGAAGAGATGTTCTTTAGAGTTCAATACAGCTTCACACAGATGTCTTTAGCCTTGATGAGGTTGGCTGGAAGGATTAGCTCTGCTGAAACTCTGCTGAAATAGTGTCTAAACTGACCCTCCATGAGGGTGATCTCAGAGAAATCAAGCTTCTCACAATCTAGGTCTTGACTCCCAGAGGGAAGGTTTCAAGAGGCTCATGCACTAGCAAGACGCGATCTTATGACCTAGCATTGAAATTACCACAACATTATCTACCATATTATAATAACCAAGAATGTCATCAAATCTAGCTAAGATTCAAAAGGAGAGAAATTAGGGTCCACCTCTCAACAGAAAGAGCAGCAAAAAATTTGCTATCTTTTCTAATCTGCCTACTGGAAAAAAATTTACATATATAACTATAATAAATAAAATACATTATATATAATGATCACTTATACATTATAAATTATTACAGTATACTACACATTATACTATAATTATTACAATTATACATTATAAATTATTATAATATACTATATATTACAATATAATTATATTGTAATATTTTATAACACATAAATGATCATAGTATGTGTAATATGTAATTATATATTACACTATAATTATAATTTATAATATAAAATTTAATAATTTAAATTTCTTCCACTTTAAAAGATACTATCATCCTTTCTTAAGTACCTTAAAAGTCATATCTAATTATGGAACCAGATGCAATACCAGGATCTCAAAACTTTTAAACAGATTCAGGTTTTCTCACTGTTTTCCTCTCAACTTGAAGTCGTGTGAACAAGGAAGTAGTTATCTTCCCCCATATACTCAATATAAAAAGATGTGACAGAGACAGAGTGAATGCAATAAATCCTCCTGTTCAAAAAAGAAAGACATAGGAAGCAATAGTAAGTGATCTACCACATTTCTGAAATCTAGCAAGAATCATGTTTCTAGAGCCTTGAATGGAAAGAATTGCAGGCTCAGGGCTGCTTCCTGGGAATGCTCCTTTACATCTCCTGCCCCTGCCCTCCGAGATCTCAGTTTCTCCGGAGTCCCACTTTTACATAACAAATCACTCATGTTTACAGCTGCATGGTATTTTCAGCCTATGACTTGCCTGTAGAATAAGGACTCTTCTTATTTTGAATTGTCTCTGTGCTTCTGCCAGGAAAAGTGTTTTATAAAAATATTAATTTTTCTGTGACTCTTATCTGGGTTTGGTTCATTAAATAAATGCCGAACCACAAAACTCCGAATTTAGTCCTTATTTGCCTTGGGCTAAGAATCATGAGGTTGTTGGCGGTGTGCTTAAGAGTTTTAGGAAACTTGTTATCTAGTCAAGAATATCTATGGGACACACACTTCAACCTTTCTGAATTCTTAGTTTTAAAGCCTCAAAGTTAAGATAATTTTGCCCCGAAGTTATTTCTCCCTTTAAGAACATTTTTTGGGGCATGTCAAAACAGGCTGTGAAAAAGAAATTATTTTATTTTCAAATCCTTCAATTCTTGATTCCATGATATTTCTTTTCATTGTGCTTGAAAACTAAACAGTTGCTGTCATGGCTCATTTCTTTGTCCTGGCTATTTCATTATTTCTGGCTGAAAGAAAATGGCCAGCACTTCCGACATTTTGACTGAAAATTTCCTCAAGAAAATAAATGAGGTTCATTTTTATATTTGCTACACTACCTTAAGTGACAGTGCTGACCCTACAAAATAAAGATTGTTGACAGAGTGCCTAGCTGTGGCCTCTTTAGCATGGCCTTCTTGGGATAGTTGACTTTCTTAGAGTTGAACTCAGGGCCCTCAGGGTAAGTATTCCTATTGGTTTGCTTGGAATTTCCACAGCTTCTTTTTAATTGGAATTTCCACAGCTTCTTTTAACTAACCTGAAAAGTCCCAGAATTCTAACTTTCACTACATTAAATTTTTCGAATACGTAATTAAGTCGTGCCTATATTCAATGGGAAGGAATTTAGAGTTCACCTAGTAGATGGGAAAAGTACCAAAGAAGTGCAAGTAAGCCTCTGGCTAAGAGCAGGTCTTCCTCCAGGGATCCAGAAACCACACCCAGCACCTCAGAAGCTCGGCCCAGTTCAGTACCAGGATTCAACAATGTACGTATTTGAATAATTCTGAAATATATTTTTATTTGAGTCATCCACAGAGATTTCCAACCAAGTGATTTTTGTGAGAAATAGGTACCAACTTATATTTCACACAGGTTAAAATGTATTACCCCTATACAGAATTAAATATTAAATATGGACTACTTTGGTGAGTACAACTCTAACAATTTTAGCTTAGAAGAAAGTGCATCCCTTATTACTTTGTTTCATATAAATGTTATTTAAAATTAAATTAATTTTTTGCTCCTAATAAAATACTCATACATGGTGAATATTCTTTGTCTTAAGTGCTTGGGACCAGAAGTATTTTTGAGTTTTTTGGATTTGGGAATATTTGCATATGCATAAAGTGATGTCTTGGGGATGGGATCCAAGTCTGAACACAAAAATTCATTTATGTCTTATATACACATAGTCTGAAGGTAGTGTCATACAGTATTTCAAATAATTTTGTGCATGAAACCCAGCACATGAGTACAAGTTTTGACTGAAACCCAGCACATAAAGTGTGGTTTTTCTACTGTGGCATCATGTTGGTGCACAAAAAAATTCTGATTTGGGAGCATATCAGTGTTTAGATTTTTGAATAAGCAATGCTCAAGCTTTATATACCCAGGTGCTGTCTTAAGGTTTCAAATATTTACCCATGTAGTCTTCACATATGGGTTGGTACAATTAGTGTATACATCATACAATTCATGAAAATGAGGAACAAAATAGTGTATCGCAAATATTTCATAGTTGTGCAAAGATTGATGAGTTGTAAGGACAGTATTTTTGTAGAAAGCAATATTCTAACAAAATATACTTTTCACTTACACTATGTAACATATGTTTATGGGTATTGGAATTTAATGTAATTTTTACTTAAAATTTTCCTAGCGATATTAAATAAGAACAAATATAAAAGCATAAGCCCTCCTATTTTTCTTTCAGATCTAATTCAGTTCCATTAAAACTGCTATTTAGTCTTGTAGTAAGGCAAGATTTCTAAGGTTTATTTAAATTTAGAAGAGCTTATAAGATAATTTAAGATATACATGATATTGAGAGTCATGGTAAAATGTATAATGCTTTGAATAGCTAATAGTTTTCTTGCAGAAATGGCGTGTGCTGCAGTTTGTTGAGAAAGACAATTTAATCTAAAAAAATACTCAAGTATGTATTTAACTGGGGAATATAACATCAATACAGTTCACCATCTGATTTATTGTATGCAAGCTTAAGGTCAAACTTATTTAATATTATTTTTCTTCTGAGAATGAGCCTGCACTAGATGAGAATGAAAATTAGCATGTTTTCCCATTGTCTAATTGTATATTTTCTCCTCATTAAGTAATCTGGCAAGGTCGAAGTTTTACAATAAACAACATGTCTTTCTCTTAGAGGTAGCTTTTGTCTCTGGGTCTAATATTGTGACAGAAAATCTGCTGTTGCTGTATACACATCTTAGATGGGTGAAGAGTTGAATTAGCTTATTTTGGGCCATTCTTTCATTTACATAATATTTTTCTAACAAAATATTTGATGGCACTGAGAATAATAGAGAATTCCATATAAATGAGGTACGAATATTTTATAAAATATCATGTTATTACAATTATTTTAAGCTACCTAGGATTTATGTGTGCATATAGATATGTGTGTGTGTGTATGTGTACATGTGTGTGTATATGTATGTGTATATATAACATACGTATAACACACATATATATACATACACACACATATACCCTTAGCATCCCACCAGATTCTAAGATAACGCCTTTTGGGGGCAGGTAGTTTATATGGGACATGGCCTCAGGAAGTAAAACTCAGGAAGCAAAGAAAATGAGGCATGGGAAGGAGAAAGGCAGATAAAAAGTGCATTAATGAATTAATGGACTTACTATTGATGTGGGCTACTGGGATTTAATCCTTTTGGGGATATGCAAAACCATATGGAATATTTTTCAGAATAGTGTTGAAAGAGAACAGGAAAGCTGGGCCTTTTTTAAAAAAACAATTATCTTGTGCATTGGTTCAGAGTCACCCCAGGAGATATTAACTCCTGGAATATTGACCTCAATCTTTTCATTTTGTAGGTGAATGTGGTTAAGCAAGCTTATAAAAGTAGCAGGTGGGAAACTGACATTATGCTGAGAAATATCTTGGAGAACATGTGGGCTGAAAGGATATGGGGCAGGATATTGATGACAGGGTTTGCTACAGTGAGAGCCCCAGATCTTCTCATTCTCTGCACTGAACCCACTCTCTTGGTGATGCTTCTGGGCAAAGGCTTGCCATAATCTTAAAAAAAATCATTAAAAATTAAAGGGTCAGAAGAACAAGCTATTTTACTTATTATCATTTTCCTTCTATACCACTAATTTTATATTCTCTTCACCCTCAACAAAGAACTTCAATTTGTCTATATTTCCTTCTCAGTGGGGTGACAGGAACCTTCATTAACAATGAATCTGAATCCTTTACTTTTCAAAGTACAATTTTTTTCAGTTGCCTATTTACATTTTTTTTTTTTCTGAGCATGGAGGCACCCAAAGATGTCCTAGTAAACTCCTCAATATCCAGATACTTTCCGCACTGCCTCCATTATGTAGCAGTAACTATATTGCTCCCCTATGATCAAGGTTTATTACCCTAGAAATATAGTAATTTCTTATTTTGTCTGTTAGTCTAATAACATGAGTAGCCCAAAATAATCAGATGACAGACATAGTTTTAAAGTTCAGTGGAATTCTTATTGTACCCCATCTATACTTGGGGCCATAATTATGATCGGGTTTAAATTCTGGGGACAAGAAAAAAAAATTCTCCAAGTGGTTGGTGACAACAAAGATTGACAGTGGTCAATCCTCCTCTCCCTAGTTCTGATATTCATGAACTAAGAACACAGGATCATTAAATGGCCATTGGTTCAACAATATACCATGTTTTAGAAGACAACTTATTCATATAGATTGTTGTCACCAAGTTGTTGCTTTAGTTAGGCTTTAAAGAAGTGATTTCAATATCTCTAATTTGCTAATTAGAAGTACTAGCATCAGAAGGGCCGGGCGCGGTGGCTCACGCCTGTAATCCCAGTCCTTTGGAAGGCCGAGGCGGGCGAATCACGAGGTCAGGAGATCTAGACCATCCTGGCTAACACGGTGAAACTCCTTCTCTACTAAAAATACAAAAAGTTAGCCAGGCGCGGTGGCGGGCACCTGTAGTCCCAGCTGCTGGGGAGGCTGAGGCAGGAGAATGGCGTGAACCTGGGAGGCGGAGCTTGCAGTGAGCCGAGATCGCTCCACTGCACTCCAGCCTGGGCGACAGAGCAAGACTCCGTCGCAAAAAAAAAAAAAAAAAAGAAGTACTAGCATCAGAAAACCCCCATTGGTCCATATACATGCCACATCCTCAGGACCACTGTCCTGTCCGGAGCTAGCCCAGGGCTCTGAAAAAACAGCCATGTCATTTGTTACTGCCACAAGTTTATGAATATCCTATCTCAAATTTTTTTGTTGTTGTGGTTCACCTACATGACATGATCAAGTGTGCTCCTCAAAGAGCAGAATTTCCTCTCACCACTAACTTTTAGTGCCACCTTCAGTGGAGATGTAATGAGCGAACACTTTAGCCATGAAAACACATCAAACTAACCAGTTTGTGAAACAGATCTAGGGTATTTCTTACTCCCTTAGCCACAGCTGAAGATAAGAAACTATACTTGAAGTCTGTACATAGATGTGAGCTGAGGAAGAAGTGTCAGTTCAAAAGAGATAAATAACAAGGGAATCTGAGCTCCTGTGCATTTAGCTTAATTATGTTATCTAAATTGTTAACTCTAGCCTATTGTGGACCTAATTCTATCTATAATATTTCTGTCATATGAGAGATTTATGCTGCACCTGCCTAATTTTTTAAGTTGCTCGTTCTGAAAATTTCCAGCTCATAACAGGCATCTCAAGCTGCACATTCACTATTCCAGGTTAAGTGTTTAGTTTCTATTAACATTCAAAATTTTTAGGAATTTTGACATACTCCTCAAATGGGGAGTATGTCTATGCTGCAAAAGACACAGAACTCCAAGGATCTGTCCTGCAGCTCTCCAACTGGGACTTTCTAGAGACCCAATACATGATCTTTATCTACTCTTAATTCTCTAGCATCACTAGATCTGCTGAGGGGCAAAGTAACCTTAAAAACAACCTGATCTTGCTACAGAGCCGTGGCACGCAGTGGCACTAGTATTTCAATTCCCTGATAAATAGGTCAGAGCAGTATGGCCAAATGAGGCAGATCCTGTCTCCAAAATCCAAAGTGGTTCACCAGCTACTATGCATCTCTTGTAATGATGGGAAGTGCAGGGTGCAGTAAGTTGTTATCTCAGAATGAATGTCAGAAAACATCCAGGTCACCGGAATTCTGCAAGCTTCACTAATTATCATTCACTGTCAGCTCCGGCTCACAGAAGACAGGAAGCGCGGAGCTTCTCCCTGCACTTAGTATTGCTTTTCTTATTGTTTGATTGATGCAAGTCAACTCAATGTCCTTCTGGCTTAAGTCTGACACAGTAAATTCATTCTAATCTTCCCAGTTTACTGAGTCTCCTTATCCTTTCTACATTTATATGTCAAATGTAATTCTTGTCTTCACTATTTCCAAATTTAAGAAGAAATCCCAGAAACTGCTGGCTTTAGTAGTTTTTTTTTTTTAATGTTTTCTTCCTACCATTATGACTCAATTTCACTATATAGGCTATGCTGGGATTTACTTAGGGTTATATATTAAGAGGTAATCAGCAGAGCTAGGCACAGATATTGAAAAAAACAAGATTTATCTTGTAAGACTTCCATTTCAGGTAAGCTCTTTCATGGTCTCCATGTAACTTAAGCCACTGTCCTCTAGCAAGAAGGCAGAGATCTATTCTGCTTTTCTGGAGGCTTTGGTAAAATCTAAAGTTTAATATTCTTATGTACATCAATTCAAATATTGTATACAAAAAAAGTCAAGCATAATGAAAATAAAAAAATGTTAAGAGATGAGAGTTAAAGTGTTGGATAAGGAAGACAAAATATCCCTCAATATATTATCAATTAAATATGCAAATTGATAAAGTATAACATGTTTTAGGTAGAATGTTCAATGCTGGGAGAAAATCGAGCAATATCTATACACCTATAGGGTTCTCAGAGAAAGAAAATGAGATAGAAGTATGATTTCAACTGTCATTAAGGTTTGAAAAATAGATATACTAACATTGCTTGAAGTCAAAAAGTATACTTTCTTTGAGCTTCAGCCAATCATTAGCTGAGAGCAGAACTTTATTAAAAGGGCAGAAATTTGAAATCTGTTTTAAAAGAAAAATAATAGTAAATATTGGGGTGATTTTAATTGTAAAAATTTAATGGTATACATATTTATAATTAGGAAAAGCTGCAAACATAACTAATAAAGATCAACATGCGTTATTTAAATAGAAACTAAATGAAGTAAAGATATCAAAGTATCAAAGCAATCAACTTGAATCGAGACTCTATCAGCAGAGAGGTCATAGAGAAGGAAAATAAATTTGTACTAATTTTTCTACTCAGTACAGGGAGTCATTAGACATTTACTTCAGTTGCTGAATCAAGAATAAATATTTCACTTTATCTTCAAACATATGTTTTTAAATAAATTGTCTTAAAGGCAAGCACTACCACAAGTAAAACAAATTCAAACCTTCCAAATTATAAAAAGGCAACAAATATTAACCTTCAAAACCTCTAAATATAAGTAATACTCTATATCTAATATATTGTAAAGGAAACATTACAAAGACAATGTGTCCTAAAATACTGTGAGAAAACTAAGTCCAAACATATCTAACTTAGGTATATGTGTATCAAATAACTCATCTATCAAAATAAACAGGCCTTAAAACTGGATCAGATACATACCTAAAACACAGATTGAAGGATTACATATTATCTTGTTTTCAAGATAAGAGCCATCCATTCTTTCCCTCCTGTATGTAAATCTATCCTCATTGAAAGATGGAGTTCATTCATGCCCTCCCTTTTTCTGTGCATATTTTGATGAATAAAATAGAACAGATGTGATGCTGGAGGATTTTTGAGGCTAGATCATAATAAACTTGGCAGCTTCTATCGAATCTTTTGGTATGTACACAATGAGGAAGCCAGTCACCATATAAAATGTTTTAATGTTTGGAGACTTCTGCTCTGTGAGAAACAGCAAGACAGTTACACGAGGAAGCTAAGCGGAGAAAAACACTGATGTTGGACCAACTCTCTCCTCACTCATCATTTCAGCCCAAATAGCAGACATGTGAGTGATGAACCCTTCAGTCATACTCTATCCCAACTCTCATTCATTTTGCTCACTTCTATATACCTAATGCTTAAAACTGCTACAATGAGAAGCCCTCAATGACCATATATTTAATAACTTAATTTTAGAAATTGTAACGGCCCAATTTTAAAAATTGTAACTGTAAAAGCATTTAATATAGATAATCAAAAAGTCAAAGAAAATTATTAATCCACAATTAGAGATGTTAGTAGTTTCCTATCGATTTTTATGTTGTGTATATATAGGTATTTTACATAATTGATTTACATTATTAATTTTGCTACATTCTTTTTACTTATTGTTTAAATTACTAACATATATTATATCAGTATCTGTTCTACAACTCATTTTAATTATTCTACAACATAATATGAAGTTATATTTATTGAGAGCCTGCCAGCTACTACCTACTGTGCTGGGACTGATTATATACTGCTACAGAAAACAGAAATGGTCCCTGCTGTTGCAGAGTTTTAATCTAGTATGAGACACAATCAGTAAATGTTGCTTGGGTTTCCTGGAAACAAGCCTCCAAGATAGACCTTATTTTACAAGTAGGCTTATCAAAGGAGTGAATTGGAGTCAATACCTGCAGAAGACAGTAAGAAAGCAGGGTTAGGCAGGGACAAATCAAGTCCTGGTATTTTATAGAAAAAAATTTACTAACCATGGTTTAATACCTCTGGTTTACTTTAAATGTAATTATTGGAGAAGTTTGATTAATCTGTAAAAGTTGATATATCAAAAAATATTATAAAATCCAATCACAAAATAAAAATATAACCACGTCAATCCTATGTAACTTCTATTAGTGTTTTACAATATATTTGTAGGCTGTTTTTTCTATGCAGTTTATATAGTGGAGATCACTCCATCAATCAATAAATATTTACTGGAGTTCTACTATATACAAGGAAATTTTCTAGAACTTGTAGAACAGTGAACAAAACCAAAAAGTTATTGGTCTCATGAAATTTACAATATAAAGGAAGAATTTTCTAGTATTTTAATGATAATTAATTTCACAAACTATCATTTCTACTATTTATTTAGCCATAACCTTATTGGAAATACTACTTGTTTTCAAGTTCTGTTATTATGAAGAGCTCTAAGATTAGATGTCTTGAAAATAAATCTTTTCTTAATTTTAACTTTCTTAATGATGTCTTGTAGAAAAACATTAAAACTAGAATTATAAGTTTAAAGGACTTAGGCATTTCACACATTTTATAATTGGCAAATCAATTTTCAAAACATTTTTATGCAGTTATATGTGTATAATAGAAGCAGTGTTTAAGGGTTAACACACAAAGTCTGTTTAGGACAAACATCTCAATATAAAAATAACTAGAGAGTTTTTTAAAATTATGATCCTACAGATATGACAAAAAATTGTTTAGAATATCTGATGCCACACTGTAATAAGACTTAGATAGACAGATGAGAGAGAGAGAACAAACGAAAGGAAGAAAGGGGGAAGGAAGATAGAGAAAGAAAGAAAGAAAAAGGAAGAAGAAAGGAAGGAAGGAAGGAAAGAAAAGGAAAGAAAGAAAAGAAAGGAAAGAAAAAGAAAGAGAGAGAAAGAAAGAAAAGAAAGAAAGAAAGAAAGAAAGAAAGAAAGAAAGAAAGAAAGAAAGAAAGAAAAAGAAAGATGTACTTATTCTATAATTGATCCAAAGAGATAGGCTTTGTGTATTGGGCCCTATACTGCTACACTGCAGGCCAAGATTCATTAGCACACAAGCCCACTGCACCAAACTCAAAAAGTTGTACACATCCAATTATTTTTAAAATAGCCAAAAGGAGCAGATGTTTAGCCATTTACGCTTTGCATAAAACATGGAACTGCACACCAAATTTGCTAGTTAGCTATTTTTAGCACTGAGGCCATTAAAACTCCAAGCCACAACTGTCCTTCAGAGCTCTTTGACTCAGAGACTCCTGCTATGCTGCTGAACTGTATCACTTAGACACTTAAGTCCCCTCTCTAATGCCTCCCTCCCCTGGAGTTCTTTTGCCCTCCTTCTCCACTAAGCAGCCTCTTTACCAACTTCTGCGTGAGTAACTTCTCCTGCAAGCAATGTCAAAGTAGCACCCAATGAGGCTTGCTTGTGATACTGCCACCTAGTGGTTACCTCTTTTCCCCTACTCAGGCCCCAGCTCCCTCAAACTTCCTACAGCATGTATACATAATTATATGTATATGTAAATAAGTCTATACAAATTTACTTGTATATGTTTCAACAGAATATTCATAACATATTTTGTATATAGCAGTTTGGATATGTATCCAAATGTATATTTGGGTTATGTCTGTGTGTATACACACACACATACACACACAAACACACACACATACACACACACACGAGAGAGAGAGAGAGAAGGAAAGAGGCACAAGGATTGTAAAGTACAACTGAGACAACTCAGCATTCTCTTCACTAAGGTAATTATAACCCTTAGTTTCTGTATTTTCGTGTGTATATTCTTCTCCCTTTGATTTCTGATGTTTTCTTTATAACATAGAATATGAAAAAGAATGATCCATTTTCAAGAATTACTTTTACAAAAGTACTATTGGAGAAATCTTCATCTTTGTTTATGTTCTTGCTGAAGGCATTATTTAGGTAACATTGATTTCTAAAGGACTTTTTTTTCTCCATTATCCTCTGGAAAAATATTTACTGAAAAATTTATTAGATAATAGGACTGACCCTGGGCTACTGTAGCTTTCTATTTATTTCTCTATCTAAGCACTGGCATTTGTCTTGGTTTTGTGCCTGTATTATTTTTGCCATTATCGATGTTCTCCGCTAGGCATGCTTTTTTGTTTGTTTGTTTTTTGTATGTTGGTAAATAGAGGAACATTTGATTCTGCTTCCTATGGCAAAATAAAGAACTTCTTTATAAAGATCCCAGAAAAAAAATAGAGCACTAGTTAAAGTTGGGTCACTTCTCATAGAGAAATTATCACCAGCAATATTTTCCATTGATATCTAGAATAGCTAGTCCTTTATAAACTACGTATAATAATTGCAGCAGATACTATGAAAATTTACTAGTCCATTTAAAAACAAATGGCAAACTCCATGCAAGGGATTTTTGTTTGTCTATTTTCCATCTATTCTATTAGTGCTCAGATATTTAAGTATTTCTAGTGATATATGTGCAGAACAAATCATACTAATTCCAAGAAAATTTGATATCCTTTGCTATTAAGCAAGGACAAATAATTCAAACATAATGTACTACTTAAATTACTATATAATTTACTTACTTTAAATAGTAAAATCATCAAATAAAAGATAGTTACTGTCTAACCAAATTCAAAAAAATGTAATGTGTATATATCAGTTTGTTTTCATGCTGCTGATAAAGACATACCCAAGACTGAGCAATTTACAACAGAAAGAGGTTTACTGGACTTATAGATCCACATGGCTGTGGAGGTCTCACAATCATGGCAGAAGGTGAAAGGCATGTCTCACATGGCCACAGACGAGAGAAGAGGGCTTGTGCAGGGAAGCTTCCCTTTTTAAAACCATCAGATCTCATGAGACCTATTCACTGTCATAAGAACAACATGGGAAAGACCTGCCCCTATGATTCAATTACCTACCATGAGTCCCTCCCACAACACATTGTGATTCAAGATGAGATTTGGGTGGGGACACAGCCAAACCATATAATTCCGCCCCAGTCCCTCCCAAATATCATGTACTCACATTTCAAAACCAATCATGCCTTCTCAACAGTCCCCCAAAATCTTTACTCATTTCAACATTTACTCTGAAGTCCATAGTCCAAAGTTTCATTTGAGACAAGGCAATTCCCTTCCACCTAAGAGCCTATAAAATCAAAAGTAAGATAGTTATTTCCTAGACACAACAGGAGTACAGGCATTGGGTAAATACAACCATTCCAAATGAGAGATATTGGCCAAAACAAAGGGGTTACAGGCCCCATGCAAGTCTAAAAACCCAGTGAGGCAGTAAAATGTTAAAGCTCCAAAATGATTTCTGTTGACCCCATCCAGGTCATGCTGATGCAAGAGGTGAGTTCCCATTGTCTTGGGTAGCTCCACTCCTATGGGTCTGCAGGTTACAGGCTCCATCCTGGCTGCTTTCACAGGCTTGTGTTGAGTGTGTGTGGCTTTTCCAGGAGAAATATGCAAGCTGTTGGTGGATCCATCATTCTGGGGTCAGGTGGATGGTGGCCCTCTTCTCACAGCTCCACTAGGCAGTACCCCAGTAGGGACTCTGTGTGGGGGCTCCAACCCCTCATTTCTCTTCTGCACTCCCCTAGCAGAAGTTCTCCATGAGAGCCCCACCTCTGCAGCAAACTTCTGCCTGGACATCCAGGCATTTCCATCATTCTCTGAAGTCCAGGCAGAGGTTCACAAACCCCAATTCTTAACTTCTGTGCAATGGCAGGCTCAACGCCATGTGGAAGCTGCCAAGGCTTGAGGCTTGCACCCTCTGAAGCCATGGCCTGTGCCCTACGTTGGCCCCTTTCAGCCATGGCTGGAGTGGATGGGACGCAGGGCACCAAGTCCGTAGGCTGCACACAGCATGGAGACCCTAAGCCCGACCCAAGAAACCATTTTTTTCTACTAGGCCTCCAGGCATGTGATAGGAGGGGCTGCCTTGAAGACCTCTGACATGCCCTAGAGACATTTTTCCCATTGTCTTGGGGATTAACATTTAGCTCCTTGTTACTTATGCAAATTTCTGCAGCCAGCTTGAATTTCTCCTCAGAAAATGGGATTTTCTTTCCCATCACATTGTCAGGCTGCAAATTTTCTGAACTTGTATGTTCTGCTTCTCTTATAAAACTGAATGCCTTTAACAGCACACAAGTCACCTCTTAAATGTTTTGCTGCTTAGAAATTTCTTCTGCCAGAAACCCTAAATTATCTCTCTCAAATTCAAAGTTCCACAAATCTCTAGGGCAGCAGCAAAATGTCAAGAGTCTCTTTGCTAAGACATAACAAGAGTCACCTTTGCTCCAGTTTCCAACAGGTTCCTTATCTCCATCTGAGACCACCTCAGCCTGGACTTTATTGTCCATATTGTAGTCAGCATTTTGGTCAAAGCCATTCAGCAAGTCTCTAGGGAGCTCCAAACTTTTCCACATTTTCCTGTCTTCTTCTGAGCCCTCCAAACTGTTCCAACCTCTGCCTGTTACCCAGCTCCAAAGTCTCTTCCATATTTTCAGGTATCTTTTCAGCAGCGCGTTACTCCCAGTACAAATTTACTGTATTACTCTATTTTCACACTGCTGATAAGGACATACTCAAGGCTGGCCAATTTACAAAAGAAAGAGGTTTATTGGACTTACAGTTCCATGTGGCTAGGGAGGGTTCACACTCATGGCAGAAGGTGAAAGACACATCTCACATGGCGGCGGGCAAGAGAAGAGATCTTGTGCAGGGGAACTCCTTTTTTAAAAACCATCATATCTTGTGAGATTTACTCACTATTACTAGAACAGCACGGAAAAGACCTGCCCCCGTGATTCAAATACTTCCCTCCAACTCTCTCCTGCAACACATTGTGATTCAAGATGAGATTTGGGTGGGAACATAGCTAAACCATATCAGAGTATATACTTCAGGTCTGAAACTGCTAAGCTAACAGTGGTGAATAAGGAAGATTTGTTTCTCCTCTCATTAACTTGCAAAATAAAACTAAATAACCAGATAATTTCACTTAGTGGTGAAATTATAGAGAGCTTCTTAGAATGGGTGGAGGAAAGAAGAAGTCCCATTTAGGGGGACATTTGATTAGAGAAGTAAGTGATAAAAAGGATAGAGTCATGCAACAATTTGGGGAAATAGCATTCTAGGTAAAGAAATCCCTAGCACAGTGGCTTAAATAAGATAGAAGTTTGTTTCTAGCTCACCTCCAAGATTTGCAGTAAAGACCTTGTTGTGTGGCTGTGTCATTCTCAGTACCAGGCCCCCAGTGTTGTTCCAGTTTTCACCATTTCATAGCTAGGGTAAAGGGTAAAAGAGAGAACAGAAGAGCAGTCATTATGGAAATGTCAGACATGAAAGTGATATATATTATCTCGGTTTACATGACACTGGTCTGGATTTGATCAAAATTCAATAAAGAGGCCAGAAATATAGTTTGCAGCTTCCAGGCATGTTATCAGAAACAATTCAGTTGGTTATATTACAGAAAGAAAGAAGGAAGGGATGGATATAGAGATATTGTTATCAGTCTCTGCACAGGCTTCAAGTTGAATACAAACTTGTATTTTTTTGGAATATAAAAAGGCCAGAAAAGCTGAAACACATCCAGCCTTAAAAGAAAGAGTCAAGGTTGCTGAGTCCTACAGAGTGTAGATAATTTTGGGCCATGTAAGCCATTATAAAAATGTGGATTTTATTCAAAGGCAAAGAGGAAGTAATTGAAGTGTTAAGCATGAGAGTGACAGATATCATTTATCATTTAAAAATATCAAATTGATTCTGTTGTAAGGAATAGATTCTTGGTGTGAATGACTGGATAGATGCAACACAATTTGAATCTCAGCCCATGCTTCTGGAACTAGGATGATGGTGGATATGAGAATTATTATGATTTGGTTGCATTTTGCAGACAGAGCTAACGGTTCTTCCTAATAAATTGGATTTAGAGAACAAAGGAGAGAGGAGGAATCAAGGATGGCATACTTGACTTTGGAGTAAGAAACTGAAGACACAGTGATACCATTTATTGAGAGAGAGAATATTGTCAGAAAAACAGTTTTACTGAAGCCTGGCAGTGGTGAGAAAGCCACATAGTATGTGTTGGGCATGCTGAGTTCAGAATACCTATCAGACATACAAATAAGATTGTCAATAACAGTTGGATATAGAGGTCTAAGCTGAGAAAGGATGTTAGTATATGCAGTACTTAGAAATCCTCAATACATGCATTGTCTATAAAGAAAGAGAACATAGAAGAGAGAAGAGAGGTAAAGATTGAACCCCACAATATGTCAAAATCAGCAATAAGTCAAATACGGAAGAGTCCATAAGATAGACAAAGAGGAAGTAACAGTCAGGAGGAAGGAATCCCAGAATACGTTGGCATTATGGAAAGGGAAAAAAATGCCAAGATGGATAGTGTTAAATCATTATCAGAACCACTGCTTATATATAATCTCTGAGAAATCACACAAAATTGGAAAGTTATAAGAAAACAAATATATCAAGTCAGGCTTCCTGAAAACAGGCACTGAGAGTCTGCTATCTGTATGTAGAGTTTTTGTGGGGGGCGTTCTCTTAGAAATAACACCTATGAGGAAATGGAAAGAGGGAGCAGTTAGACTGTGATTCAGTTGAGGCATGAAATTAAAGAAAGAAAGAGAAATAAAATTACAAAGAGAAATAAGCTTTCTTGTGTTAGGCTGACTTGTCCCAGAGGCAGCAACAGGCACAGCCCAGACCCTGGAAAATTCTTGATAATACTATCTAAGAAGCCAGGACACAAAGGAATGTGCTCTGGAGACTCTCCCAGCATTCCCTCAACATAGCGAGGAGAAAAACAAATTTTCCTTTCTCTTATGGTATGAGTTTATAGATTCCTGCTCTCTGTAACTAGTGACTTCAAGTATTCTGTTTAACCTAAGCAGTGGAGTGAAGGTCATAAACCATCTGTGCAGGCCTGAGATAAGGCCACCTGGGCACCATAGTGAAAGTTATGGGATAAGCCTGTGCCTAGGCATAACCTAGATAACAGCCATCTGGGTTGCCTGGCAATGGTCATATGTAATTCCGAGTTATGCACCTGTCACAATTTGATTCACTGCCTTTGTTCTGCCTCTGTATCCTTGCTTTCACTTCATGCCACTGTAAGCCTGACTCAAGCTAGCCCACCCCCTTTTTAAAGTGTGTATAAATGTCAAGTGCTGTCTTTGTTCTGGGCCCAGTTTTTTGGATGTTATGTCCACTGGGTCTGAGTGCACTCAATAAAGATCCTCCTACTTTACCATGAGGTTTCTCTTGTCCTCCCGATTCCTGCAACACAGTGGCAACAGAGACCTTAGGCAATCTCACAAGGAAATTTGGAACTGGAATGGATTCACAAAGTTATCTCAGTTGAGGTGATGGGACCATCTTTTTCTTTCCTTAAGTAACATTGATCAGATATTTGTTACAGGCTGCCCTCAGGCAGAGGGCATAAACTTGAGAATGGCAATTGCCTTTAGGCTAGAACAACCCCTGAAGAGGGATTTACTTGTAGAGTTGTCAGAAGCCAATATACCCAATACATAGTAGAAATATTTTCTTCATTCTGAACAGGAAGCAGTTGGGGAATTTAGACCCAAATTTTCCTTCGAGGAAGAAATTGTTGTTGCAGTTACTTAGAATGCTTTTAGAAGAAAGCAGACAATCTAAGTTTTCAGTATCAGGAGGGATTAACTTAGGTTCAGGAAGTTTTATCACCTCAACTCATACCATTCCAGAGATACCCATAGCCAATAATTGAATGTGGTTGTGTTAGAGAGTCAGTATTTCTAGTAGAATATGGGAAATCTCAGATGGGTCATTTCAGCTCCAACTGTGCCTGTACAGTGGCGGAGACTGTCAGGATTGCGTTCCAACTCCACTTCTTCCAGTACCCAGTCTGACTTCTTTCTTCCTTCTGCTCCCTGAGAAACATTCTGCACTCTAAACTCTGAATCAGAAACCCTTTCCTACAAAGATCATAAATGGGTGCCAGGAGTTGTCTAAGAGTACAGGCAATGAGACAAAGCTTTGGAATGGAATCACTCACCATCTGGCTGGAAACAAAGACCCACTCACTGGTGTCAGTGAAACACATACAGTCCCTGAGATGAGGTAGCAGTACTATTGTTGAAATATTCACAGGTGTTGAATTAGAATATTTTATTATACTGACAGAAAGGGATGTGCTATCTGGTGCAATGTGTCAAGTATTTAAAAATTACAGATTAAAGATAAACTATGCAAAGTGAAAAGATTATGGGAGGACTGCCATTACCCTCACATCCTATTGTTCACATCCTTGTGTTATCCCTTCCCTTTCAGTGTAGATGGGACCTGTCACTTGCTTCTAAATATAGAATATGGCAAAGGTGAGAATATGCACATGATTACATGTATGTAATCATGTGATCTGTTTCATAAGATTGTAGCTGTCAAATTGCTACAGTCTCTCACTTTCATGATGTGAGGAAGCAAGTGGCTATGTTAGTAAACCTCATACAGCAAGGCCTGCAGGTGAGCCCTGGGAGCTGAAGGCATCCTTCTTCCAAGAGACAGTAAACATATTTGAAGCTCTCAGTACTACATCTGTAAGGAACTGAATGCTACTAACAACCATGCAAACAGGGAAATAGATCCTGTTCCAGTCAAGCTTCCAGCTGAGATTGCAGTGGAGCTTATATCTTGATTGCTAGCCTTGGAATACCCTAAAAAGGGAAACAAGCTAAGCCACGGCTGGATTCTTGACCCACAGAGGCTGTAAGAAAAAAAAATGTTGTTTTAAACTATATGCTAAGTCTGAGATAATATTGTCACACAGCAAAAGAAAGTTAATGCAGACAAAGGAATCACAGCTTTATTGCAAATCTAGATTAGATTGACACATTAGGGAAAGATAATACAAATCTAAGAGAGATGAGCTGTTAATTGAAAGCCTACCATGAAAACCAGGTTTTCTCATTGGTAACATACAGAGAGCCTGTTATGTCTTTCAAGAGGAGGGCAGAGAAAGTTGAGTATGAAATCAAATACTGATCAGAAAAGTTAGGCTCCAAGGAAGGTTTATGTCATAACCAAAGCAGATTACTATGCCAATAACAGAGTTTTGAATTGGAACAAATGGGACCCTGACACATGAATGGAAAAATCTGGGTTTATGACTCTAAATTCTTAAATTTTTATATTTTAATAAAAACTCTGAATCTGCCAAAGAAGACTATCACTCTCTATTAAGAGCTAGAATTGGCCAAGCACGGGGGCACACACCTGTAATCCCAGCACTTACGAAGGCCAAGGCGGGCAGATTGCTTGAGCTCAGGAGTTCAAGATGAGCCTGGGTAACATGGTGAAACCCTGTCTCTAAAAAAAGAATAGAAAAATTAGCAGGGCGTGGTGACCCATGCCTGTAGTCCCAGCTGCCCAAGAGCTGGAGGTGGATTGCCTGAGCCCAGGAGTTTCAGGCTGCAGTGAGCTGTGATTGTTCCACTGCACTCATGCCTGGGTGACAGAGTGAGAACCTGTCTCAATTAAGGAAAAAAATAAAAGAACTTTAATTATCACTTTACTTGAATGTGTGAGTAAATTATTTGGAGCACTGTCCCATGATTGATGAATTAACACCTAGCAATAATCTTAGGGAATAATCCAAACTTGCTGTCAGGATGACTCCATGAAACATAGAAAAAATATTGATCTCCACACTATGGAGTGTCAAAGTGTCAGAAATTATCTGGAAGCAGATAATGATTGGAGTAAAGGACACAAGAAAGTGGGAGAACCAGAATGGATATCATAACTAAGACACAAAAACCCACCAGATGATTATGTTCCAAGTAAGGTCCAGAGCATACACCATGTTAGAAAGCCAAAAAGGAGGTCTGGTGAGAGAAACACCAGCATCACTGAGAAGTTCAGGAGTGGTTCTGCTGTGCTAAAATTTAACACAATGGACAAGTGCAAAATTAAAGTAAATATAGGTGTCACAACAGTGTCCTGCCATTTCTCTAGAATTTGGTCCCTCAAATCCTAGCTGAACTTATTGTCCTGCAATGACTTTAAAATTTTGTTTGTTGCTGTCATTTGACCTTGTTCAGCATTTATGCTTTTCAGTGAGAAGTTTAGTATGATACAAAGCTACTGTATCATCAAGAGAATATTAAGTTTTTAATTGATCATTTAAATAGAGCATCTGTCACATAATGTAAGAGTTTTATAAATTTACTTAATGCTGAAAGTTACATCTGGGTCATATCTACCATTGGTTTTCTATATTGTTTTTCTCACATGTTCTGTTTCTTTTTGCTCTGCCTTTTCCCATTACTAAGATAAAATCCCATTTCTATTATTTTACAATGGAAATAAAAGTGTATACTAATAATTTAACAAAGTGTAATGTTAATTCTAAAATGCTAAGTGTAGTCATTCTTTTCCCACTTGTGTTATTATTTTTATTTATTTGTAATGTAATAAATTATAACATCACTTATTATTTGTTTTAGACTGGTAATATTTTTCAGCATCTCTGATCTTCCTTGTTGAATTATTTTCTTTCTTCTTGAATTTAGTATTTTACTATAATTGCTAGTTTACTCTCAATATATGCTTGTTGGAAAACATCATTATTTAGTGTTATTCTTTAAAAATATTTTCACTAAGTATAGCAGTTTTTTATTTTTTTTAAACATTTTGAAGATGCTGTTTCAAGATCTTCTGTGTTCTAATTTCTTTCAAGACATCATTTGTCAGTTCAATTATTATCCCATTTTAGGTCTTCTACTTTTTTTTTTTGCTTTAGCTTTGGTGTTGTTCTTTTCATTTTTTACGCTAGGTATTTAGATGTTTATATCCTGAGTTTTTTTCTCTCTCTCTCTAATTTTGTGTTTTCTAATTCAAATGATTAGTATTGTTCATCAATCTTGCAATATTTTTAAGTCTTCAATGTCTAAATGTTTTGTCTAACCACTTATTATTATTTTCTCCATTCTCCTTCTGTTTCTGCAATTAGAACTTACTCAGTTTTTTATGTCTCCTAACATTTTTCATATTTTCCATCTCCTTTTCTGAGTATCAATCCTCTTGTTGTTATTTAATGTTAAATTCCAGTTCAGTTAATCTCTCTTTATTTGTGCTTAATATATTTAGTGTGTATACAGTTTTTAATCTTTATTTTTGAGCATTATATAGGTTTTAATTTAAAATCTTAGGTTTTCATTACTAGAAATTATATTACTTTAAGCAGTACACTGGGTAGTTTTTAATATATATTTCATTTTATTCATTTAACTATATTATTTTTATGTTATATCTGAACATCCCAATACATGCAGCTTTGTGAAGCTATTTTTCAGTTTGTTTTTCTGCTGAATTTTGTTCATGAAAGTTTATTTCCTTATGTGTTTTATGAATTTTGATTGGGAACTTATGTTCCTCAGAACTTTGGCTAGAAATACACATTTGAGATTGGCCTAGAATTTCATCTACATTTTAAGGGTTCTTTTATGTGAATATACTTCATCGAATCTTCAATTTTTTCTTATTTTTTCCACAGTCTTTTAAGTTTTGCCTTTTAATATGTACTAACTATAGGCCTAACTTTAAGCAACCTGTGAAATGATAAGAAATTATAAAGGACAGATGCAGTGGCTCACATGTTTAATCCCAATGCTTTGGGAGGGAGGCTGAGGTGAGAGGATTGCTGAAGGCTAGAAATTTGAGACCAGCCTGGACAACATATCGAGATCCTGTCTTTACCAACATAAGTTTAAAAAAATTATTAAAAAATGTTTTAACTCCTTCCTTTTGAGGCCCACTAGGACTGGCAGTTGACAACAAACAATTAAGGGTCCCTAGCTTAAATCAATAAATAATCCACTTGTATCAAACCCAAGAAGATGCCATCCTATAGCATTGTGACTAAATAAATGCTTCTTTTAAGTCTCAAAGCTTCAGGATTATAAGTTATACAGCAAATGCCATAAGATGCCAAAATGTATCATAATTATGGTGCTGTTACAAGAAAAACCTAAAATAGGTGAAATTTTCTTTGGGCCTGGGCTTTGGACAGATACACAAAAAATTGCAGAAAAACTGTTAGCAAAGTCTGGCAAAGAAGTGGGCAATCATTTAGTGGAGCCTCAAAATGTGGTAAGAAAAGTGCTATAGCAGGTAGAAAAAGTGTTGACCCTGACAGTTTTAACTGATGCTGGCAAATAAACAATTTGTGTTGATTGCACTTGAAAATTAACTCTTAGGCCTGCAAAATGGTGGAGTAGGAAGCTCCAAACTCTTGTTCTTCCAGAAACAACACTGAAAACAGCAGAAACAGTAAGAACCAACTTTGTCAGAATTCTAGAAGCAGTTAAGGGTTTTCAGGAAGAAGTTGAATACCTGAATAGATCAATAACAAGTTCTGAAATTGAGGCAGTAATAAATAGCGTACCAACTAAAAAAGCCCAGGACCAGATACATTTACAGCTGAATTCTACCAGAAATACAGAAAGGAGCTGATACCATAACTTCTGAAACAATTCCACACAACTGAAAAGGAGGGACTCCTCCCTAACACATTCTATGAGGCCAGCATCATCCTAATACCAAAACATGGCAGAAATACAACAAAAAGGAAAACTTCATGCCAGTATCCCTGATGAACATCGATGCATAAAATCTCAATAAAATACTGACAAACCGAATCCAGTAGCACATCAAAAAGCTTATCCAGTACAATCAAGTTGACTTCATTCCCATGATGCAAGGTTGGTTCAACATACACAAATCAATAAACATAATCCATCACATAAACAGATCTAAAGACAAAAACCACATGATTATCTCAATAGACTGCAGAAAAAGCCATCAATAAAATTCAACATCCCTTCATGTTAAAACTCTCAACAAACTATTGAAGGAACATACCTCAAAATAATAAGAGCCATTTATGACAAACCCACAGCCAATATCATACTGAATGAGAAAAAATGAGAAAAAACTGGAAGCATTCTCCTTGAAAACTGGCACAAAACAAGGATGCCTTCTCTCACCACTCCTATTCAACATAGTATTGGAAGTTCTGGCCAGGGCAATTAGGCAAGAGAAAAGAATAAAGAGTATTCAAATAGGAAAGGAGGAAGTAAAAATGTCTTTGCTTGTAGCCAACATGATCTTATATCTAGAAAACCTCATCGTCTCGCCAAAAAGCTCTTAAGCCAATAAAAAACCTCAGCAAAGTCTCAGGATATAAAATCAATGTGCAGAAGTCACAGGCATTCTTATACACCAAAAACAGGCAAGCAGAGAGCCGAATCATGATGAACTATCATTCATAATTGCTACAAAGAGAATAAAATACCAGAAATATAGCTAACAAGGGAAGCAAAGGACCTCTTCAAGGAGAACTACAAATCTCTGCTCAAGGAAACCAGAAAGGACATAAACAAATGGAAAACATTCTATGCTTATGAATAGGAAGCATAGAACCAACCTTGCATCATGGGAATGAAGAATCAACATTGTGAAGATGGCCACACTCCCCAAAGTATTTTATAGATTGAATGCTATTCCCCATTAAACTACCATTGCCATTCTTCACAGCATTAGAAAAAAAACTATTTTTATATTGAACCAACCTTGCATCATGGGAATGAAGAATCAACATTGTGAAGATGGCCATACTCCCCAAAGTAGTTTATAGGTTGCATCCTATTCCCCATTAAACTACCATTGACATTCTGCATAGCATTAGAAAAAAAAGTATTTTAAAATTCACATGGAGCCACAAAAGAGTTTGTATAGCCAAGACAATCCTAAGTAAAAAGAACAAATCTGAAGATATCACCCTACTGGACTTCAAACTATACTGTAAGTCTACAATAAATAAAACCGCATGATACTGGTACCAAAACAGACACATAGACCAATGGAATAGAATAGAAAGCTCAGAAATAAGATCACACTTCTACAACTATCTGATCTTTGACAAACCTGACAAAAACAACCAATGAAGAAAGGATTCTCTATTTAATAAATGGTGCTGGGAGAACTGACTGTTCATTTACAGAAAATTAAAACTGGACCTTTTCCTCATAAGTTATACAAAAATTAACTCAAGATGGATTAAAGACTTAAATGTAAAACCCAAAACTATAAAAACTCTAGAAGAAAATCTAGGCAATACCATTCAGGACATAGGTAGGGGCAAATATTTCATGATGAAAATGTCAAAAGCAATTGCACAAAAGCCAAAATTGACAAATATGATCTAATTAAGCTAAAGAGCTTCTGTACAACAAAAGAAACTATCATCAGAGTGATCGGGCAATTTACAGAGAGGGAGAAAATCTTTGCAATCTATCCATCTGTCAAAGGTCTAATACCCAGAATATACAAAGAACTCAAATTTACAAGAAAAAAAACCCCTAGTATAAAATGGGCAAAGGATATGAACAGACACTTCTCCAAATAAGATATTCATGCAGCCAAAAAAACATATGAAAAAGAATCAACATCACTGATAATTACAGACATGTAAATCAAAACCGCAATGAGATACAGTCTCACGCCAGTCAGAATGGCCATTATTAAAACGTCAAGAAACAACAGATGCTGGTGAGGTTGATTAGAAACAGGAATGCTTTTACACTGTTGGTGGGAATGTAAATTAGTTCAACCATTGTGGAAGACAGTATGGTGATTCCTCAAAGATCTAGAACCAGAAATAACATGTGACCCAGCAAAGGAATATAAATCATTCTATTACAGAGATCCATGCACACATATGTTCACTGAAGCACTATACACAATAGCAAGGACATGGCATCAGCTCAAATCCCCATCAATGATAGACTTGATAAAGAAAATGTAGTAAATACAAAACATGAATATTATTCAGCCATAAAAAGGAATGAGATCATGTCCTTAGCAGAGACAATGGTTGGAGCTGGAAGCCATTATCTGCAGCAAACTAATGCAAGAACAGAAAACCAAACACCACATATTCTCACTTATAAGTAGGAGCTGAACGATGAGATCACATGGACACAGGGAGAGCAAAATCACACACTGGAGCCTGTCAGGAGTAGAGTGGGAGGAGGGAGAGTATTAGGAAAAATAGCTAATGCATGCTGGGCTTAATACCTAGGCAATGGGTTGATAGGTGCAGCAAACCACTATGGCACAATTCTGCCTATGTAACAAACCTGCACTTCCAGCCCATGCATCCCAGAACTAAAACTAAAAAAAAAAAAAAAAAAAATTAAAAAGAAGAGCAAAAAGAGAAAAGTCTTTGAAAATGTGTGAGCAAAGCATAAGTATCCTATGTGACAGTATTAAGTATACAAATATTTGAATTTTGGGATTCCTGGAAGATGAAAAGAGAAGAAAATGAACAAAGCTTATTAAAAGAAATGCTGGCTGGAAAATTCCAAAATCTTGAAGGGGATGTGGCTATCCACATTTACAAAGATTGAAAGTTCCCAAGAAAGACAAACCCAAATATGAATAATCCAAGGTACACTATATTCAAACTATCAAAAGTCAAAGACAAAGAAAGAATCTTGAGAGTAGCAAAAGAAAAGAGATTTGCCACATATAAAGGAACCTTTGTAAGGTTAGCAGCAGACTTCTCAACAGAAACCCTGCAAACCAGCAAAAGTAGGAGGATATATTCAAAGTGCTAAAAGAACAAAAACAAAAACAAAAACCTGCCAAGTACATATACTATACCCAGCAAAACTATTCTTCAGAATAAAGGAGATATAAAAACATTCACTGACAAACAAAAGCTGAAGGAGTTCATCACCAGGAGATCTGTCTTATAAAAAGAAAATGCTAAAGGGAGTTCTATTTAAAACAAAAGGATGCTAAGTAACGACATGAAAACATAAAAAAGCACAAAATTTACTGACAAAGGTAAACATATAGTCTAACTCAGAATACTCTAATATTGTACTGGTGATGTGTAAGTCATTTTTAACTTTATAAAAGTATAATAGTTAAAAGACAAAAGTGTTAAAAATAATTATACCTATACTAATTTGTTAATGAATACACAATAATGAAAGATGAAAAGTATGACATTATTATCAAGTGTGTGTGTGTGGAAAGAAATCAGAGTAAAGTTTTGCATTTGATTGAAGTTATTAGTTTAAATTAGAAATGCATAATTTTAAGATGTTTTATAAAAACCCTATAGTAACTATAAAGAAGAAAAACCACTAATAGATACACAAATTACAAAGAGAAAGTATCAAAGTATATCACTAAATAAAATCATTCTATCATTAAAAGGTTAACTGAATTTAAGGAGTAGATAAATTTATTCCACTTAATGGGTAGAGATGGACAATTTCTAACCTATTTAAAAATTGGTAAAATTCATGTGGACTTTTTTATTTTCCTTTGTTTCTCTGCTTTTGGTAGCTACAATTTTCTCCATTCTTAATTTTAGAGATATTTATTATTTTCTGTTAGTAATTAGTGTTGCATCCTCTTCACTCTAGATACTCTATTTTTTTCTCCTAGGATTTAAAAAATTGTCTTGATTTGGAATTAGCCTTAAGGAAAATATTGATAGAATGATATACTAATGCAAGAGATACATTCTCATATTCTCAATATTTCATAAACTTTATTATTCTTAGATACAATTGATTATAAATATATTCTGACTAAATATAAACCATAATAAAGTCTTAAGATACTGAAAACTACATTTCTATTCACAAGAGTTTCTGCCAAAAATCCTTTTGATCTATTATTTCTTTAAAAAATCCCATCACTGATTTCTAGTCTTTTCCTTTTCTTTGCACATATATTAGCAGATTACCTTGTTGTGTAACCATAGGGTTACTGCTTTATTTTGTTTAGTGATTATTATTAAAATTATTTATAAAATTACGTATATGTGCATGCACATTAAGATGCCTTCATAAATAATGGCCCAAATAAGTTAAATGTAATAATTAATTGCTCCTATAAATATTTGAAGCCTTAATAACAGCATACAATTAACATGTATGACATTTTATACTCAAGATAATTTTCAAACAGTGCCATTTTCTGAAAATGTTAGGCATATGGACACAGAAATTGTTCATGAATACCAGTGCATATGCTATGCTTTGTTGATGCTTTTTTCAAAGCTTAACAGGGGCTTGCAAAAAGCTTTTAGAAAAAAAAATTATACTGTATTGTTAGCCACCCTTTTGTCCTTGTCCACTGCAGTTGTCTTAGGGCATTCTATTGTTCTCTTTTTATTATTTGTAATGTAAGCAAAACAAATTAGGTCTGAATAGCAGCTCCGTATTTTATCAAACCTTACTCAAAAAGTAAATGTTACAGTCTCATATTTAGTTGAATTGTTTATATGGATACATTTATTAAGATGGCTCTAAATAGTTTCATAATCTGAAAAGAAAAATACTACTCATCAAACAGTATAATACTCTATTTTTTAATTTTTAATTCATTTCTCATAGAATAAGCCTACCCAATTTAGTTAACATACAGTGAAAATCCACATGTAAAAATCAAGTAGATATTTATGCAAATAAACCTGCATGAGACAAATGTGGGTTGTTAGTTTAGTCTTTTATAAACAAATACAAAACCTGAAGTAAAATAATTCTCAATAATTATTTAAAGTTAATTTCTCATTAAGTAAATACATTGAAAATGTTAAAAAGTAATACAGAAAAGTAAAGTAACACAGGCAACATAATTTCAACTACTTAAAGTTAATAATTGTTAAAACCATTTCTTTTCTTCTGGTATTCTGCCTATAAACATAGTTTACATGATTGCAATAATACAGTTGAAGCTTATTTTTAACATGACATAAGCAAGTATGCAAATATTTTATCAGTCACATAATTATTCAATTAATGTTTTGTTTTAGGCTGCATTTATTTATTAATAGTATAGATACACTATGACTTAATTTTGAAGGGTAATATCATTTTATCTGAGTTCTAATTAGCACTTTCTTTTCTGTTGCACACTGCTTTCTCCATTTGCTCCAAAAGATTACATTAAAATAAGTGTCTGTGGACATCTGACCATTTTTACTTCTGATAATGTTTTCCAGGGTGAAATTGTAAGAAATTATTATGGCTGATATACACAAACAATAAAATCAGCATTATTTGTATTTAACTTCTAGACATTATTACATTTTCTGAAAAAAGCAGTTTAAGTCTGGAACAAAAATGATTGGGTATGGGGGCACTTAAGTTAGAATTTGTGAATGTCATTCGCTCTGCCCCAAAGAGAGGGTAACAAGACTGGTTGATGCTGTCTTGTGAGATGGGTCCATTGCCCTACCATAAGTTAATGAAAATTCTGTTATGATCACTGAAGCTGGCTTTGCTTTGATTCTACAGTCATCTATCTATAACTTACCTAGCTTTAACTTCAAATATAATATTCAATTTAGAGCATATAGTTCCTTAACTAGTCAATAAAAGTATTCTGATCTACATTTCTCAGTGAAATTATTGGACTACAGTTCTCTTTTATTCACCATGTCTTGTGATCATGTTGGTCTGAATTATCTTCACACCTTGATCAATTTCCATGAAAAACCAAATTCTTTGTTTCTAAAAACACCAGACTTCGTTCTACATTGTTAGGTAGAGACCGGAATTATTTAGTGAGCAATGAAATATTTTTCTGAAATAAAGTTATTTGCTTCATATACAGACTGGGAGTAAAAAATAAAATAACTTTAAAAGTTTTTAAAACAGTGAGTCAAAAGCCAAAGCATTCCTTTTTACGTTTCTTAGCAATGCTTCTTTTAGACCATGACATCTGGTAATGTATCTCTAAAGTGTCTGATTACATCTCCACTAACTAACTTGGTCTTCTCATTCTTAACTTACACCTTCCAGTTCTAAACGGATCCATGAATGTGAATTCTATGGCACAAACTTGCTTATATTAGACAGACTTGGTATATGACGTCAATAGGATCAAATCTCTAATTATCTACCAAACTTATCGTGGGGAGAAAAGCAGAGTGTTGGGAGAGAAGCTGATGGACATAATGTGAAAGAGTCTTGGAACACTTCTGGGGTCCAGGGTCTAAAAACCCTCGTGGTCTTTGGAATGTATCCAGACTTGCCAGCTCCTTGCTTCTAGCATTCCCATTATCTCAAGTAGCCATATGTTTCAAAGAAAATGCTAAATTGTCACAGCTGTAGCTCATTCACTTGATACACTGCTTCCTTTCAACCCCCACATCCTCACCACCTGTTTCTTTGTTTGATTGCCAATAAATAGCGTGGGCTCCCAGAGCTGGGACCTTCGGAAACTCCATACTAGCATTGGCCTCCTGGTCCCACTTTCTCTGTTGTTTTTTCTCATTCCATTGACTCCAATGGACTTTGTAGCCCCCATGGCCTGGTGTTGGGTCTGATCACCCCAACACTTATTGTTTAGATAACCAGAAGTTCAGTAAAAAAGAAGTTTACTATTTGCTAGAATTTTGGCAAGTTACTTTCAATCTGATAGGTTTGAAAACTGGCCACATTATTTAAAATTTTTTAACTTCACAATTATTTCTGATAATTGCACCTAGTCAAAAATATTGAACATAACATTTACTGATCAAATATGTAGCTTACATGGGAGCATTAAAAAAATCTGTTTCATTTAATGTACATTTTACCCAGGAACACATTTTTTCTTAAAAAATAAGAGGCTGCCAAGCATGATTTACATTAGAATTCCATAAACCTCATAATTATAGTAGTTTTAGAACGTACTGTTAAAACATGCCTTCATAGTTTAGCAAAGCATATCTTTTAAAATGTCAAACATTTGCTAAAATTACTGAAAGCTATTTATATGCCCTTGTGCACTGCTGCTTTTGGATAAAACTAGCATTGAAACAAGCCAATGTAGATAGTAATATCTGAAAATGCTTTATATCTGTAGTGTTGAAAATGAGTTAAATACCTTTATGTTTTCCAAAAGTGACCTTTAGGATTCAGAGGAAATGAGTTATTTTTACTGCGTTCTGCCAATTGGCAACATTTATGAACAGGAGACTAAGTGCCATTTAAAGCTTCAGAAGGATACCTTAATATGCATAACTTTCTTAAGGCCACAAATGTAGGGCAAGCTGATCATCAAGTGATTCTTTTTTTTTTTTTTTTTTTTTTTTTTTTGAGATGGAGTCTAGCTCTGTCTCCCAGGCTGGAGTGTAGTGGTGCCATCTCGGCTCACCGCAAGCTCCACCACCTGGGTTCACACCATTCTCCTGCCTCAGCCTACTGAGTAGCTGGGACTACAGGCGCCCGCCATCATGCCCGGCTAATTTTGTTTGTACTTTTAGTAGAGAGGGGGTTTCACTGTGTTAGCCAGGACAGTCTCGATCATCTGACCTTGTGATCCTCCTGCCTCGGCCTCCCAAAGTTCTGGGATTACAGGCATGAGCCACTGTGCCTGGCCCATCAAGTGATTCTTATTCAAAACTTCTCTTATTTCCACTCTTACCTACTAGACTCACTTGTGAACCTTGACCTATATCAATAAAGCAACATTGCAGCTTAGCTTAGCTCTTCATAACATACAAACATTTACAAATAAATCTCCAGTGTGGGCAACATAAATATAGAGAAAAAGTTTCACCCACCTGGCAATGTTTCTCCAAATGTTGAGAATTTTCATTTAATTTGATGAGTATATTGAAAAGATCTTTCCCAGTTAGAAAATCAAAATAACTCAATGTGAATTCAATAATTCATTTATATTTTGTGAACATATTTTTCTCCTATGAGTTTAAGAATATAAGAGCTTAGATGCTGCGTTCTTGCTTTGAGATGAGCAGTGAGTACATAGAATATTTAAGTTTATTTTTCTCTAAACAAAAAGACACATTTATGATGGACAACTAACTATATATGGTAGAAATACGTTTTTTCTCAAATTCCCTTAGGCGATCTCCATATTTTCTTTTTCTTTTTTTTTTTTTTTTGAGATGGAGTCTCGCTCTTTCACCCAGGCCGGCCTGCCCTGGCGCTATCTCGGCTCACTGCAAGCTCCACGTCCCGAGTTCACGCCATTCTTGTGCCTCAGCCTCCCCAGTAGCTGGGAATACAGGCGCCCACCACCGCTCTCGGCTAATTTTTTGTATTTTTAGTAGAGATGGGGTTTCACCGTGTTAGCCAGGATGGTCTAGATCTCCTGACCTTGTGATCTGCCCGCCTCGGCCTCCCAAAGTGCTGGGATTGCAGGCGTGAGCCACCGCGCCCGGCAGGGATCTCCATATTTTCTATATGTGAAACTTTGTAGCCAGGAAATAAAAAAATAGCTCAAGGAAAGATGTGGCAATTGGACCTGAAGATGCAGTATTATGTACCTTCTTTGTTGAAGAAAGGAAGGTAAAGAGGGATTATTTCTATTCTAGTTTTATTTTACTGTTACTAGACTGCTATTTGTACTGATATTCTGTAAAATGGCACATATGCTAAGAAAAAATGATTATTTTTGTATTACATGATTCTAGTGCATCATCAACAATGTCGCATCACTGTGTAGAATAATAGCTGACCTTAGAAAACAAAACCAACATAATGTCTGTGATCAGCATCTGGACATTTATAAATGTCGGTCTTGATCTCAAATATCTTTATTCATGGTAGATTATATACCTCCTAATTTTTGATTAGAGAAAGATGATCTTGTGAATACATTAGAATTTAAAGCCCTGAATTTATATTCAGCATGATTACAACAAATAGATATACTTTGTGCATACGTTTATAAATGCTGTGGAAAGATAGTATGATAAAAGTTTTAGGTTTTGGAAAAATACTCATACTTGTTTCTGCTGTATGATTCTAGGGATGTCAATTACTTAACAGTTTATAGATAAATGAACACATCAATATTAAAATTGAAAGACTGTACATGACTAAATGAGACAAGAGCAAAATGTACTAAACCCTCTGTCTGGTACATAGCTCTAAATAAATGTTAGCTCTTTTAATGTTCTCATGTGATTGAGAAAGTGGACAAATATTAAAGTTAGTCCTCCATACAAAATTTGCTCATTTCCTTTACCTTCTCTGTGAGTGATATAACAATTATATCTCATTAATTTTTAGGTATTTTGGTGAATTATCAATATTCTGAAGACCAAAAAACTATACATTTAGCAAATGCTATAGAGAGATTACAGATAACATAATGTAATGAGGCTCAATAATGCAACTACTGACTTTTACTAAGTATTTAAATTAAGTAAACCATAAAGCTTCATTAAATAATTACAACTTACCACTTTTCCTTTTTATATGTTCCCATCGAACTCTCTAGTTCAACTCAGATATTTTTTTCAAAGACTTTATTCCAGTTGCTCCATCTCATCTCTAAATTTTCATATGTCTAGAACAAATTTTAGGCTATAATTTATAATTATCAAAATTATTCAATGAAGTTTTGAACTCCCTCTTATCTCACAAATGTTCTGTTTTACTTGGGCAAGTCATTTGAACTTTCTCAGAATATAAAACTTGGGCTTAGGGTAGAAATGTCTCTTATTTGTTCTGGTTTCAAAATTTTTTGCTCAGTATGAAGGGATTCTGCTCACACATTTAAAGAGTGTGACTTTGGCAATTCCAAGACTAATCTTGACCATCAAAGACACTGGCTGGAAGGGTCTAAAATCTTTTCTGACATTATGTTTCTGACATATCAGTAGGTCAGAACTATATTATTTCCCTATGAAGAATAAAATTTATGCCCAGTCTTCTTAAGATGAGTCTGAAAAGTATTATTTAAATTGTTTTCTTTATTCTAAATGAATGGAGATTAAAATACAACCTAATGTACCATTAATTTACATCCTTTTTAATAATAATGATAATAAAACTACAACTTTTTTTTACTCATCCTGCGTTGTGAATTATACATAGTGCTTTACATATGTTGTTTCATTTATCCCCATAGGCCACACTGACTGCTACCATTTTCTGAGGGTTAAAAATAAAGCAACCAACATGGCGCATGTATACATATGTAACAAACGTGCATGTTGTGCACATGTAGCCTAGAACTTAAAGTATAATAATAAAAAAACAAAAAACAAACAAACAAAACAAACAAAATAAAGCAACCATAGTAAGAGTTCTTTATATAATTTATTTCTGGCAATTACCCAAGAGGCAGCCACTGTGTACCTATTACCATACATATTATTTCTTACCCTGATGAACAAGGACAATGCAGCATATATTTAACATGAAATTTTAAAAATGGGGAAATAAGCACATGAAATAAGGAACTTATTGAAGAGTACAAATTAGATGATTTTGAATGAATTAAAATTTTTATTGGGAAATTATAAATATTTAGTGATTAATAATAACAAATATTTAGGGTTGAGGTGGAGCAAGATGGCTATACAGAAACCTCCAGTGATCCCAGCAACATCAACCTGAACAACTATCCACACAAGAAGGCACCTTTGTAAGAACGAAAAATCAAGTAAGAGATCACAGCACCTGGTTTTAACACTGTATCAAGGAAAGAAGCACTGAAGAGGGTGGGAAATCCAGTCTTGAATTGTCTATGCCACCCCTCCCCGTCTCCTGGAAGCACAGCCTGGCATAAAGAAAGAACCTGGGTGCTTGGGAAAAGAAGAGTAAGGTGACTGTGCAGCTTTGCATTGGAACTCAGTGATGCTCTGTCACACTGGAAAGCAACACAAAGCTGAACTCAGCTGGTGCTCACAGACAGAGCATTTAGACCAGCGTTAGCAAGAGGGGAATCGTCCATCCATCCCAGTGGTTGGAACTCGAGTTCTGGGTAGCCATAAAGTGCTAAAGTACTTAGTGTGTTAAAGTACTTAGTATGCTAAAGTGCTTTGGAGTGCTAAGTTAATTGAAAGGCAGTCTCTAGTCCACAATGACTGCAATTCCTGGACAAGTTGTAGGTCCTGTGCTGTGCTCAGAGCCAGTGGATTGGGGTGGATGTGACCAGTAAGACGCCAGACAGCACAGCCAAGGGAGGACTTACTCCACCACTCCCTGACTTCTAAACAGCATAGTTTGCAGCTTCAAGAGAAACTCCTTCTGCTAAAGGAAAAGAGAAGGAAGAGTAAGAACTTTTCTCTCATAACCTGTGTACCAGCTCAGCCACAGTGCATTAAAGTGCCAAGCAGAGGCTTGAAGTCTCCATTCAAGAATGAAGTCCCCATTCATACAGGCCCTAGCTCCCGTATGACATTTTTAGACCTTCTTTAGACCAGAAGAGAACTCTCTTCACTGAAGGGAGACCCAGTCCTGGCAGGATTCATCACCAGCTGACTAAGGAGCCCTTGGGCCTTAAATAAAGATCAGCAGTAGACAGGCTGTAATTGTCATGGGCCTTGGGTGAGGCCCAGTACTGTGCTTGCTTCAGGTGTGACCCAACACATTCCCAGCTGTAGTGGCCACAGGGACAGATGTTTGCTTGAGGAAAGGAGAGACAAGAGTTAAAAGAACTTTGTCTTGCAACCTGAGAACTAGCTCAGACACAATAAAATAAAGCACCAAGCATAGCCTTAAAAGTCCTCAATTTCAGGCCTTAGTTCCTGGATGGCATTTGTAGACCCGCCCTGGGTCAGAAGGGAAACTGCTATCCTGAAGGGAGAGTCCCAGGCCTGGCAGCCTTCATTACGTGCTTACTAATGGGTCCCTGGGCCTTGGAAAACATCAGCAGTAGCCAAGCAGTAGTAACTGTGAGCCTGGGGTGGTGGTGACCACAGGGAGAGACACCAGGTTGAGGTAAAAAAGAAGAAAACATAAAAAGGACTTTGTCTTGCAACTTGATTACCAGCCACAGTAAAATAAAGCATCAGCCGGACTCCCATAACTCTTGATTCCAGGCCCTAGCTCCCGGATAGAATCTGTAGACCCACCCTGAGCTGAAAGGGAACCTGCTCCCATGAAGGGAAAGACCCAGTCTTGGCAGGATTCATCAATTGCTGACTAATGAGTCCTTGGGCTTTGAATAAACATTAGTGACAACCAGACAGCAGTTGCCATGGGCCTTGGGTGTGACCTCATGAATTCTCAGTTGTGATAGTCATGGGGAGAGACTCCTTTTGCTTGAGGAAAAGAGAGGAAAGAGTAAAAAGAACTTGGTCTTGAAATTTGGGTACAGCTCCGTCCCCACAAAACAAAACATGAAGTAGATTCATAAAGCCTCTGTTTCCAGGCACTAGTTCCTGGAGAGCATTTGTAGACCCATCCTTGGTCAGAAGGGAATCTTCTGCCATGCAGGGAAAGGTCCAGTACTGGCATCTACTCCAGTCTGTTTCCGTGATATCCATCCTCATGATAAATTGATGCAGCTTTTTTTTTTTTCATTGCTTTATAACGTTTAGGTCAGCTATTGCTTGGTCAGAAGGGAATCTTCTGCCATGTAGGGAAAGGCCCAGTACTGGCATCCTCTACTCCAGTCTGTTTCCGTGATATCCATGCTCATGATAAATTGATGCAGCTTTTTTTTTTCATTGCTTTATAACGTTTAGGTCAGCTATTGCCCTTGAATCTATTTTGAGTCTGTTCATAATAGAGTCAAAATAGAGTCAGGCCACAAGTCAAGGGCAAAACTTAGTCACTCAATTTTATATTAAGTGTATTTTTATTGTGAATGTGTTTTATTTATTTTCTCATTAAAAAGTAATTGTTAGTTCACTATCCCTAATACATGTAACAGAAAACATGAAAGTCCCCAGCGGTAGCTCAGAAAGATCAGTCATAGCTTTACTCATATGATTTTCAATTTTAAAACATGTTTTATTAAGTGAACATACAAATACAGTGTATAAAATTTTACCTATGAATATATATTTGAGTACTTACTGAGGCCAGACACTGCTGCATTTATGAATATTAACTCATTTATTTATCATAAACTCAAGAGGTGTATACTTGTGTTTTGTCCATAAATTACTCCCCATTCCGGACTAATTGCGTTTGCTTAACCATCATCATTTCCACCTTCTCTTTCTTCTCCCATTCCACTGTGGATCATTTAATTCTCCTGGGAAATAAAGCTGTCTAGGTCTTCCTCTCTTCTCTTTCTAAGTTGTTGTTACTGCTCAAATTCTGCATAGTATCTCTTTCAATGTCTTACTGCTCATTTTTCAAGTTTTCTCCCACCTCAATTGCTAGCATGACTCAAAAAATTCCAGCCCTTGCATATAAAAAATTTAGAATTTGAAAGTCTTTTTGCTCTTCAGCAGCAAGAAAATTTTGCTTTAGAAGCCAAAAACAACATAGACTGGTCTTCCCCTTTGGATTTCTGCTGTAAATTACCCCGATTATACTTGAGTAATAGGAATGACTTTAACGCTCATTCAGAAATAAAACACAAAAGAGTCAGGAAAAACATCACAAAGATTAGTATTTCAATATATCTTATTACATAGGTATTCCATGTACCAATAAAAATATAATGAAAATAGGTCGGGCGCTGTGGCTCACACCTGTAATCCCCACGCTTTGGGAGGCCAAGGCGAGCAGATCACCTGAGGTCAGGACTTCGAGACCAGCCTGACCAATATGATGAAACCCCATCTCTACTAAAAATACAAAAATTAGCCGGGCATGGTGGCATGCACCTGTAATCCCAGCTATTCGGGAGGCTGAGACAGAATTGCTTGAACCCGGGAGGCAGAGGTTGTGGTGAGCCGAGATGGCACCATTGCACTCCAGTCTGAGAAACAAGAGCAAAATTCCATCTCAAAAAAAAAAAATAAGAATAATAATAAATAATGACAATAGTTGTAAATATATTAGCCATGTGCCTATTATATTTACTAACATTATTTTATTTAAATTCTCCTGTAACTTCCTTTTCTTTTAGTTTTTTTAAATTTTAATACAATTTCTTCTTTGTGCTTTTTTATAACACCTATGTCAGCTATTACATTATGCTTGACCTTATAGCTTGACCCTGTTTTGACTTATATAAACTTTGACTTGAAAATTAAACCAAGCATTTCACATATGTCATTATACTAGAGTACTGTAATTTTTAAATTTTTGGAGGATTCACAATGAAGGGTACATCATAGTGTGGATTGCATTTACCAATCCTCTAATAAATTTGAATTTACTCATAGTTAAGTACTTTCCACAGCTCATAGCCAAAGAAAAGTTCATGGTTCTTAACCTTCTTCTGCTTTATGTATAACCTCGCTTCTCATCCGTTGCTTTTGTTTGTGATAATATATTATTCTTCCTTCTTCATATACTATTCAGAAGTCAATACTATTAACTGCATACCACATTCTAAAAACAGGAGTCACATTGAAGTACATTTATCCTAGAATAAAGAACAAAAGTGGAAGTTCCAGCAAAGTTTTTTTCTTGTTTCTTAAATTTGGGTTATAAGCAAATTATTAATTTTAAATAAGTGGTATAATTAAACCCGTCTGTCAAACAGAAGCATTATTATTTTGTGGGCTATGTTATAATAAAAGATGATAATAAAAATAATAATATAATAACACAAATATCAAGATACATTATTCTGCCTAGGGCTATTGTTCACCAATACTGTTCAGAGAAAAAGATATTTTCTTTTCTGCAACATACGTGTTTGTGTTGGCTCCCTTTACTACTTAAGGATCGTCTCTGAACAAACATAATTTATTGTTATAAGCATTCAGATGAGGATAAAAGAGAAACAATGTCATTTGTGGCAGCGTCTTGTTTTCATTTTTTTATTTTATTCTTTAAAAGCACTTAAGTTATATTTCCTATCTCACATCTCCATTATCCAAAAACCTGGACAGCTCTAGTGCTATAGCACATTGCTTCCTTTGGCATTTAAAGTAGCTTGTTTCCTCATATTTGCTTTGTTAGTGAGTTTACATTTTCCATGCCTCATCTGGGTCTTCATCTTGGGTTGAGCATATATCCTTTCAAAGAGATTTGTACTTGCTTCTGCCAGGTACCCTGGACTACTTAGTTTCTTAGTAGTAGTTTCTCTGGTTGAGATGCCCTGGAATTCACAGAGAATGTAAATTTGAAGGCCAAACTGGTATAATAAAGAGGGAGTCATTTATTGGCTCGCATTATGGGGGATTTTAAGAAGCTGACTTGCTTCAGGTAAGGAATTCTACGTCTCCATCAGTCTGCTTTGCTTCCTATAAATTGGTTTTATTCTTAATGAGGCTTTTACTGGGATACTGAAGATTTTTTGTTAGACTGGGCATAGCAATATCCTCTAAAGGAGTCATAATCCTTGAACAATGATTATCCAGGAGAATATGGTACCATGACTGAATTGTGTGGCATGTGTGTCATAAATGAAGGCAAGGCCATGGAATCGACAACCTCATGAGCTCCGTTGATAGAAAAAAAGCATGTATACATAGTGGATGCTGGCAGTGTTTCCAGGTAAGGGGATAGTATAAGGTAGATAAGGCCACCAGGTAGCCCATGAGAACAAACACCCAGTCGAAGCCTCTGCATTCTAGTACTGACTCCACTTTCCAAAGTCATTTGTGAGATCAAACTTAATACTTGGCGAGAGATCTTTTAAGAGTGATGGAAATGTCCTAAAACCAGATCACATGGTTGTTTAACTCTTTAAATGTACTAAAAGTGTTAAATTTGTCCTAACAACAGATGAATTTATGGTATATAAATTATATTTCATTAAATCTATTTTAAAAACAAGGAACAATTCTAAAGAAAATCATCTCTCCACCCCAGCTTCCTGAGTTTCCTCATTCCCCCATTTACCCTGAGCCTCGGTGATTTATATTTAGATGTTAGTTTAATTCTCCGGGATGTTCATTTTCATTCTCATCCATCCAGATATCTCTATTAGTCAAAATTATTAGACTGGTTGGCCTTTCCAGTAGATTTCTCCCTTTTTAATTATGTATCAAATAATTTTCTTAATATTGCTAGAATATCTATGGTGACACTTTTATGTTCCAGAAAGGATATAGAATTTCTTTGATAATTTTCATTTTTGATTATGTTAATTAAGTTTATTGAGAAAAATTAAATTGAATGCATAGGTTTAGACTTGTGTCTTGAATCATAACTCCATTATTCTTTTAATAAATATCTTGATTAAAGGTCTATGCAGCATCTGTTACCATAATTGATAACCGTATGCATTTGCTAGAGCTACCATAAAAAGTATCAGAAATTGGGTGGGTTAGACAACAGAAATTTATTTTTTCCCGCTTCTGGAGACTTGAAGGCCCAGATAAGTGTTGTCAAAATTTTGTTTTCTGAGGATCATGAAGGATCGATCTTCTCCAGGCTTCTCTCCTTGGCCATTTTCATCTTGTGTCTTCATGTCATCTTATTTCCATGTATGTTTTGTATACAAATTATCTTCCTCTAAGGATTCTAGTTATATTGGATTAAGACCTACCCTAATGGCTTTATTTCACCTTAACTACTTCTTTTAAAACTCTATAGTCAAATACAGTTTACATTCTGAATTACGCGGGGCTAGGACTTCAACATACGAATTTTAGAAAGAGCACATTTAGCCCATGACAATACTTTCCTCTTTTTAAAACAAATTTTAATCAGTGATATTATTTCAATAACTGATAGGCTGGATTAAAGATGTGCCAAAATATAGTGAAGAATCTTACTTAGTGGGAAATCTCTACTTCTGACCAAAATCAATATTTTGATTACCTGCAGAAGTTCCAATACCAATATTATACTTTGCTTTTATATGTCTATTTGCCTTCTTTCTCACATTATCTCTTACAAAAGAAATACTAAATTAGAAGCAATTAATAAAATATATTTAAAACCTGTTTATCTCTCTACACGTTAGTATGCATTCATATTTTAAGCCATTCTAGTGATACAAAAAAAATCTTATGCCAGATCTTGGACTCCAACCTTGAAAGGCACTAAATGCTGCAGTGTGCATGTGACATGCCATAACTGTTTTAAGTTTTAAATCTAACAGCAAAATGTAGACTGACACTGTGACTGTTGAGTGTGAAAAGAACATGATCTTGTAGGCAGCTTTTATTCCTTTTTGCTGGCTGCTGCCACTGCTGTCAGATTTTCTAACTAACTGAGATCTATGGCGTGAACCTCTCACTGATACCTAAGGGAATTTCCAAAGTAACCACAAAAAACACAATCGCAAAGAGCAATCAGCTCCCCCGATTCATGCAAGGAACTACTTTAAATAATCAAATGCCCTCTTTTAGGAGACTTTTCTCTAGCTATAAATCAGATGCAAAGAGACTTTGAAATACATATGCACCACATTTATCCATAAAATCGGAACAGCTTATACTGCAGAGAGATAAAATTAGTGATTTTACTACTATTTATCAATTCATTATGAGGTCTCTAATAGGGGGAAGAAGTCACATTTTAACCAAATCTATTTAATTTAAAATGACTAGTAGAACATATTATAAAGATAAAATACTTAAGTCCAATAAGAGGAAATTCGCTATTTAAGTTAATATAAATTCCTGAATTTTTCTTACATATATGATAAAATCTATTACCTTGGGGTGTTCAGTTACACTTGGTGGCTGCAGTTACCACAAATTCATCAGTATTATAGTGAATCATAAAATAGGAGGAAGAAGCAGAATCAACAGTCACTGGACTATTAGATTAAAATATGGCTTTTTTACAGACTCTGGAAGATTCCACATCAAGGGTTATATAATCTCTTGTGCATTAAAACAAACAAACAAAAAAACCCTGTAGTCAAAAAATTTAACTTAAATAAAAATGTAATTATGGCAGAAAACAAATGGAATTAGTATTGGTGATATAATGTCATACAAATTATTGCAGATTATCTCATTCTTAGCTGTGTGATTAACAGTTGGATGAATTTTATATGCAGTTTATTTTACATAAAACATGAAAAATAAACTACAAAGTTTGTTGTTCATAATGAAAAGATCACATATATGAGCACCCACTTGCTTCATTAACTTTCTTGATTTCTTCGCATAATTCAAAACTCGCAGCCCTTAATTTGTGATTATGCTACCTTGACACTAACCTACTTTTTAAAATGATGTAACAAGACTACAAATGCCACCTATAAATAGGAAAAGAAAAAAAGCACAAACTAAATGGAGCTCACAATCATATAATGCCACATAAACTATTCAAATATAGTGTTCTTCATATTTACTCTTATGCCTGAAAAAGTTCCATGTGAATAAAACATCGTTTTATTATGTTCTATTTTCTATTACTTAATGCAGCATTTTAACGACATTTGCATAGTGTTTTACAGAATTACATGTCACTTTCATACTATTTCACGATGTTACTTAGGTTTTGTTATGCTTTTTTGCCTAATAAGGATTTAAAATCTCAGAGAGGCTAAGTAAATTGCTTGATATTGTATAGCCAGTAAAGATCGCTTTTTTTGTCTGCTCCTTGAAGACACTTCTCTTTTCAGTACTGTTTTATCTTCTTGTAGGCAAACCTCATGACTAATTCATTTATAGTCACTAGGTCTGCTCTCTCCAACCATATCTCAATTCCTTGCAATAAAGCTTTAACTTCAATACTTACAATGTCATTATTCTCATGAAGACCACTAATGACATATTTGTAGTTAAATTCAAAAATTAATTCTTTTTTTAAATAATTTTACATCTTTCCACATTTAACACTGTTGGTAACTCCTTTCCCTTGATTTACATGGTCTTACAAACTCCTTACATTTTTCTTAAATCTGATTACTCCTTTCTGGTCTTGCTGCTTTATCTTCCGCTTTGTGAGGATTAGTTTATCCCAGAGTTCTGCCTTTTTGTCTCTTTATTCTACATATTCTCCATAAGAATTATATTTTCTTTTAAGACTTCAGTTTCTATGTGCTCAGCACCCCAGAATTCAGAGTCCTCTTGTGAGTTCCATACTTTATATTTAAATATAATTTACATTTGTTGTTCTTTTATTTTGTAAGAAAACATATAAAGTATCACATGTGTAAAAAACAAGTGCAAATATCATATATGTGTAGCTCGATGTTTTTTTCAAAGACTGAACACAGTTGTGTTACCACAATCCAGATCAGGAAAGGGATTATTATAACACTGCAGAACTCCTGAAGCCCTTTTCAGTCACCACCCACCAAAGCAAATTCCCATTCTGACTTTTATTACCATATATTAGCATTACCTAACAGTATATTTATATAGATAAAATCTATATACCTTTTTTGTATATTTTTTCATATACTTTTTTGTATATTCCTGTGATAGTCATACCTATGATTTGTATAACAATGTCATATTTATTTTTCTGAGAATTTGGTTTTACTCACATATTTTTAAATTAATTCAGCTGTTGAAGGTCATTTTTACTGGAGAAAAAATTAAGATTGTTTCCAGGTTTGAGGCATTATTTATACATTTCCTCCAAATATTAATTTGTGTGTTTTTTTGGTGCAAATATCCATGCATTTCTGTTAGGATTTATCTAAGAATGAAATTGGAGGGTAATAGTGTATGTATAGGTTCACATTTAGAAGTTACTAAAAAAGGCTTTTTAAAGCATTGTATCAGCATACAATTTTTTTTAAAAAAATCTCAAACTCAAAATTGTATTTTATTTTCCGAGAGATTGGTCCTCCTAAGGAGAGTTTCAACAGATGTTGATCTCCAGACTGCTCGGATTACACATAGAACATGGAGCTTTCTCCTCAGTGTCTTCAAGTTATTTGTCACTGCACTCATTTTGACAGCTGAGCTAAATCTCCTTATGGCCTTGTTGAAACACCAAGGAGAAGAAAACTGTATCCTGCAAACTTGCCACAATGGTAGCTTGCTTTTAATCACAAATTTGCTAGTGTTGCTTCATTTAGTCAAAGGCTCAATGATCTGGAATCAGCATCAAGGAGTGATCAATATTGATGAGCCCTCAGAAGGTTTCATGACATCAGCCTATGAAGTTGCAATCCTTTCATATTCTTCCTGACTGGCAGAAATACTAGGGATTTCTGAGAGAAACTAATAAGCATTTCATAAACATGTGGGCTTTGCATAAGGAGTTTGTGTAGAGATTTACATTTTACCCCATACACATGTATGTGTAAGCAAAGAATTAGTCTGCCCATAATCTGGGAAAATTCAGGGTCAGAGTACTGCATTATTTTATTCTATTCTTTTAGATTATCTTTCAAAGAGGATTAGCCTTCCTCTATATTTAGTTTTTGAGGTTTTCTTAAAGAAATAATTTAATAGTATTCTGACATTTTCTGAATATAGTAAAGGGCAAATCATTAATTTATCATACTACTATTTTTAAATAATATAAAATAGTGTTTTTATAGACTTCTTATGAAGTTATTTCCCTGAAATGAACACAGAAGTATGCAGGTTTTTATTTTAGTCATCATTAGAAAAAAACTCTTTGCATCCATAGGTAATTATGATCCATGGAGTTATTCATTAATCATCTAGACAATGAGATAGTCTTGAATCTGCTATAAAATAGTTAAAGGTGTTTCATTTAATCATTATTCAACACATATTTACCTAAAACCAGTTATATTTCAGGTATAGAATTATCCTAGGAAGGGCTCAGTATCTTGTGTAATAGATAAAAAGTAAATAAGAAAAGATTCATGAAAAAATAATAAATTGAATTATTCTATTATGTTAAGAAAATTGTTAAACTTCTTTGAACAGAGCATTAAATTTGATATTTAAAGACAAGAAAAGGATTGTCAGTTTTAGACTAATGAACACATATACAACCAGATAATGTGTACGATAGTTTTTAACCCATGTAATTCAGACAGAACAGTGTGAATAACATTGTAATTATAAATCAAGATAAATTTGGAGGGAAGGAAAGAAAGATGGATGAACAGAAGGAAAAAAGGAAGGAAGAAATAGAGAACTCAAGGAAGAGATCAGTTGGATATTAGTGAAGTCCTGTATAAAAGAAACTGTAAGAACTAAATTAGAATAATACCAATTAAAATGAGAAACTGACCAAATTTTTATAAAACTTACAAAGAAATAATTGGCATAATTAAGGCAATAGTTTTATATGTAATATAAAACAGGTAACTGTCAAATTTGTTTCTGAAATTTGAAAACTGAAAGAATGAGGGGACTTTAGTAAAATATTAAAAGCCATTTTTGGTAAAGATGAAGAATTTTGTTTTACACAAATTGTCATTTCTTACAAAGGGAGTGTGGGAAATAGGACTTACTGTGTCCTAAATTATTCCGTCCTTTCTTCTTTATTGTTAATACCTGTAAATTGCTTCTAATCAGATGGTTTTATAGATGTAAAGAGAAAGAAGTAATCAAAAAATTGTAAGAAAAATCAAACAAGACCACTTGTTAGGATGTGTTTCAGGAGTCCTGCCGTTCAAAAATGTCCTTATTTGCCTAACTGCTGAATAAGATATTCTAAGAGAAAAAATAGGTTTTTCTCTTCTAATAAGCAAACTTAGTAGTGTTCCACATACCATTATTTTCATCCTGAAAGAGATTTTTATTTAGCAGATATCAATCACTTTTTGTGTTCTGTCCCAACTTTCAATTCAGGACTTTATTTTAAATGTCATTGTACTGCACTTCTTTTACTTTTATGAATTTAATACAAATACAGTCAATGATGCTGTTTTGCATCATCAAATATAACAACAAAACTGATGAAGGATTTTGAGATCCTATGAAAAGTAACAACCTTTTACTGACTTAGAAATAAACTAATAGGGAAAAGGAGGATTTTACAAGTTCATGAAATAAGGTTTAGAAAAGATAGTTCAAATTCAACAGAGTGCAATCAGTTACAAAATTTACCTATTTATATGCAGTGAATCCAGTGTTTCCTAAGATTTATCTGTATAATGCTCCTCATATAATTGCCAGTAGTCACTGTCTGTATTTCCAATGTTTTCATTTTTTCATGTAAATTTTGGTTATCTTCAAAAAGTCTATGCTAATTTTTGTGAAGCAATTCTTTCCTCTCATTTTTATGGCCTTTCTCCTTTCCCTCATAACTTACAGGTCTCATAGTCATAAACATTGTTTATATAGATCTGTGGACAGAAATTGGTTTGCATTAGAATAAAATTAATGAATAGTGATGACAAGGAGAAAAGAGACAATGAACATTTAAAATTTAAGTTTTAAAGATAATTTATTATAAAAGATTGACAAGAACAGGAGGAGATAGTAGATCTAGTATAACTTTGGCCACAAATACAGAAGATAACTAAAACCAAAACGCAACGATTACATTTCATTCTTCTTACTCATATTTAAGCATCATTAAGATCCATAATAAATTCTTATTAAACACTTGTTATATTTAAAGATAAGTTTTACTCTGAAAGAGATAACAATTATATCTAAAATGTTTCCTCAAACCCTCACCATATATAGTCTTGTTTCATCTGAATAAATAACAACTTCATCTTTCCAGTTTCTCATTCCAAAACTTGAGTTATTCTTGAAGACTGAGTCTCAGTTTTCCCTAAATACAATTTTTAATATTTCCAAAAGTATTCTTTGATATAAATCCTATTGTTTTCTTATTTGAATTTCATATTACACGTTTATGTAATTGGAATTTCTAACTTTTGTGTTTAACTAATTTTTTTGGATGTATCTGTGTTTATGATTTTGTATGGGGGACACATTGAATTTTGTTTTTTAACATTTTGATACTTACATTTTAATATTTTTAAAAACATAGAACCATAAAGAAGAGTCCTTTAAACATCCAAGGCAAATTTATAGAGATATTGTACCAATTTCTGCAGTAATTTGAGAAAATATGTCTTTATATTATGTTTTATTTATAACAGTTCACTGATATTACATAAATACACCACACATTGCACATTCACCACATAGTTGTGTTCTAAATGTGGCAGAGAGAATTCTAAGACAGCCCATAGGATTCCTGTCTTGTGCCATATTTCCTGATTGTAGATGGGGATTTGTGAATATGTTGGGATAGTCTTTCCCTTGATTCAATTATGTTATTTAAGACCCTGTAATAATAGACTGGAGTGAGATCCCCCTGTTGTAATTAAAGAATCCAGCTGCTATATCATGAGAACGCTCTGTGCCGAGGACCTGAGGGAGGCTTCTACTAGCTGAGAGAGATCCTTGGCTAACATCCAGTGACAAAACAGGAACCTCAATTCTACAACCACAAGGAACTGAATTCTGCCAACAACTTGAAGTAACTTGAAAGAGGATACATGTACTTAGGTGAAAGTGCAACCCTGGCTGACTCCTAGATTTTGACCTGAAAAGATGCTAAGCAAAAGATGCTACTATGCTGTGCCTGGACTCATAAAAACAGAGGGATAACAAACATTATATTGTTTTCAGCTGCTAAAATTGTTTTAACTAGTTAACCAACAATATAAATATAAATATACATAGTAACTATAAATTACGTAAATATAAATATAAATTTACATAATAGATAAATATAAATATACATACAAAATATGTATATATGTATACATAAATATAGATTTACATAATAAATATAAATATAAATTACATAAATATAAATGTAAATAAAACTAATTACACAACACTACATTTTGTTGCTATGTTAAGTAGTGTTTGATTTTCATTACATTTTAATGCTACTTTAATGTAATATGTTTTTTAACTTCTTACAATCAAGTTGGCAGCGATTTGGACCGATGTGTATTTAAGCCAGGTCACAGGCTAGGCTGACAGTCAGCAGGTACACATTACAGTTCCACTATCTTTTTTCGGCCAGCATTCATTCTGCTTGGTTTATGCATCCATATGAATTGGTTGGTACCTATACTATATTGTTTGTAAAGTATCTTGGATAACTTCTAGTCACAAGGATGTGAGTATAATATAAAAATTGTATTCACAAATCGCTGCCAGCTTGATTGTAAGAAGTTAAAAGACATATTACATTAAAGTAGCATTAAAATGTAATGAAAATCAAACACTACTTAACATAGCAACATAGGCATGGGCAAGGACTTGATGTCTAAAACACCAAAAGCAATGGCAACAAAAGACAAAATTGACAAATGGGATCTAATTAAACTAAAGACCTTCTGCACAGCAAAAGAAACTACCATCAGAGTGAACAGGCAACCTACAAAATGGGAGAAAATTTTCGCAACCTACTCATCTGACAAAGGGCTAATATCCAGAATCTACAATGAACTCAAACAAATTTACAAGAAAAAAACAAACAACCCCATCAAAAAGTGGGCGAAGGACATGAACAGACACTTCTCAAAAGAAGACATTTATGCAGCCAAAAAACACATGAAAAAATGCTCATCACCACTGGCCATCAGAGAAATGCAAATCAAAACCACAATGAGATACCATCTCACACCAGTTAGAATGGAAATCATTAAAAAGTCAGGAAACAACAGGTGCTGGAGAGGATGTGGAGAAATAGGAACAATTTTACACTGTTGGTGGGACTGTAAACTAGTTCAACCATCGTGGAAGTCAGTGTGGCGATACCTCAGGGATCTAGAACTGGAAATACCATTTGACCCAGCCATCCCATTACTGGGTATATACCCAAAGGACTGTAAATCATGCTGCTATAAAGACACATGCACACGTATGTTTATTGCGGCATTATTCACAATAGCAAAGACTTGGAAGCAACCCCAATGTCCAACAATGATAGACTGGATTAAGAAAATGTGGCACATATACACCATGGAATACTATGCAGCCATAAAAAATGATGAGTTCATGTCCTTTGTAGGGACATGGATGAAATTGGAAATCATCATTCTCAGTAAACTATCGCAAGAACAAAAAACCAAACACCGCATATTCTCACTCATAGGTGGGAATTGAACAATGAGATCACATGGACACAGGAAGAGGAATATCACACTCTGGGGACTGTTGTGGGGTGGGGGGAGGGGGGAGGGATAGCATCGGGAGATATACCTAATGCTAGATGATGAGTTAGTGAGTGCAGCGCACCAGCATGGCACATGTATACATATGTAACTAACCTGCACAATGTGCACATGTACCCTAAAACTTAAAGTATAATTAAAAAAAAAGAAAAAAAATTGTGAATACAAACAAAAAAAAACAGCACAAATTATATTTTGACCAGTGCATTTGTTCAAGGAGATTTATATTATGCAGCGCTTCACTCATAAGTATGATTCATTCCGTATCCCAATATATTCAGAAATGTCAACATTAGGATTGAAAGATTTGTCTTAATTAGGGAATATCTTTGATAAATTGCTGTTAACTGAGAACTACTAAACACATTTCCAAAAACATAATAATATTTACAAAATGTACCTAGAAGTTACCTTTCACTAGGCAATCAGTCTATGGTTTTAAAGTACTTAAAATTAAAAATAGACCATTTATATATGGCAATCTACAATATGGAAGTAGAATTTTGAAACTCATGTCATTTAAACACAAACTGCATGTATTCTGGAAAGTAAGAAGCACTGCTCCTAGATCATAGGAATAAAGAGCATGATTTTCAACATGCTACACAGTGGAATGTAAAGAATTATAGTTATTATGTTACCCTTGATCAAACAACACATCAAAACATAAATAATGCTCAAGGAATGCTTCAAAAATTGCTTAACATCAATATATTAGAAAATGAATTGCATCCTTTCCATTTCTCACTCAGTCTTTGAGTAACAATTGATTCCTGGAAATCTTGAAGTCCAGATCAGAAATGATATACAGCGGCACCCTAGGAGAAACTTACAGGATCTATCTCACTTAACATCTAATGTAATTTATTTTACTTATTTGAATTTTACATTCATCTATAAAATGAAGTTCGAGCCCACAAAAAATTCTTTAAGTGGGATCCTGATAGAAACAACATGAACTCTTTTTTTAGTATAGGACATTCTCTCTCTATGTGTCTCACTCCTTCCTCTATTTATCTATTTCCTCAATATTATTAATATAGACTAAGAAAAGAAAAAGATATATATTCAATTTTACTTTGAGAGAGCTTGATAAAAATAAATAAAAACATAAAAATTTATATTTTATTAAAATAGATTGAAGGAAATTACATTTTCTAAAAATACCCATTAAAATTTTTGTTCTTTGGTTTGACAGAGAGTATATGTTTGTAAAAATAGTGGGGAGAAAGCTCCACAAATCTGTGTTTTTGAAAGCACAGAACACAATAGAACTTTAAGGCAGTTCTACATGCTTGGGAAATTTATAATTTATTTGTTCTACATTTCCAAAAAGGAAAAAAGCAATCTAAATTTAAGATAAAAATTGTATATCTTTGAATATATTATTTCTTTCTTCCTACTGCATTTTTATTGGTTTTTGTGAATTTATTTTGTCTTTGAATCCAATTAGTGTGACTCTATTAGTCAGAAACTTCTTTGTAAGTTGTAAGTTTTCTATATGATTTGTTACCATATCTGGTCATAAATTCATCAAGAAAAGATAGTGTCATGCTAATAGATCCTAAGGTTACGAATTGCATTATCCTTCACAGTTTTCAGTGCAGAGTTCAGTTTCTCATGAGGTATATCTATACTACAGAGAATTCTAATAATAGATTTTTAAAAATGAAGTCCATTAAATAAATCAAAGAACAAATTGATAGAGAATTGTTCTCTGTCTCAACGACTTTATGAAGTCAGTGTTTGCCCCAAATTTTTATCCAAATTTTCATAAAATAATAAAAATAACTGATTTTTTAGAAATTTAAGGCAGAACCCATAGTAGTTTATTAAAAACTAGAACTTTATTGGGTTACTGCATATCTTTAAAAATGTGAACTTTACATTATCAAATATTTTTAAAGAAAAACATCAAATATATCTTTTATAGAAAAAGTGATGCTTTAAGAAGATATTCTACATTTTCCCTGGGTTTCTGTGTCCTGATACATTATTATGTAATTAAATGAATATAATATATATCTAATATATATATATCTTAAGTTTGATAAGCAAGTGAATTTTTGAGAGATCGTAGAATTGTATCAATATGTTATACCAATCCTATCATAATTACAACTTCGTTGGCAGTGCAGTACCATAAAAAACATCGATTTTTTCTAATAAAATTTTTCACATTGCTCTTAATATGATTCAGATATTGTTATAAATATATTGTCTACATCTATCCATTTAATCATCACAAGAGCAGTATGTTAGCTATGATAAATCTTCATTCTGCGGATGAAGTAACTGAGAAACAATATCCCAAGGGCACACAGTATTATCAGAACCAGAATTAGGATCCTGGCCATTCCCCTCAAGAGTCTGTGCTCTCAAACACTATGCTAGGCTGCTACTTTGGGACTGTCACATTTTAACTCTGACATTTAAGGCGAGTTACTTTAAGTTTCTTGTGTCATTTCTCTTTCTGGATCTGTAAAATAGGGCAGTAATGGCTTCCGTTTGGTGCTATTCAGAAGAATGTCATATGTGTGTGTATCAAGATTAAGATGAGTATAATAAAGTTAAAAAGTGCCTCATACACTGTGACTATTATATTTTTGTCTTTGATTCCACCGCTAGTAAAATAAGTTTTCTCAAAAAAAAAAAAGAAAAACAATAAAGAGTTGTTGACCTGTCAATTCCCATGATTCTGTTAGTACACATTATTATTATGTTTCTTTCTTTAAAATGTCAAGATACACTTATGATGTGAATGTTTAAACTTTGAAGTCTTTCACTTGTCTGACTAATTAAAAACATAAAATGTGGCATTTCTAACACATTTGGAGGATGGAAACAAAATAATGCACATTTATGTAGGTCTCTATCTGAAGACTTTTGAGGCTACTTTTAAAAAACAAGTTAAAAATGATTTTCATAGTTAAAGACTTCTGAAAAAAGAACTACTGTTTAGAAAACTCATTTTCTGTAAGCATTGTTTTTTCTACAAATATATTAAGAAAAGCAAATGTTAAGTATAATTTGCAGAATTACAGATAAATACACATTTCAAAATAAAAGGCTTATTGCATTGGATATAGATCTGCAAACATACAATTTGACCAGGCATTTTTCAGTCAATCCTGATTAAATAACAACATTTTTAGTACCATCTTTCTTTACTTTGAAAATTGATACTATGAATTCGGATCTTTATATGAAGAAGACGCCCCATATTATTTGCTCTTTTAAATATGATGCTTGGTAAAATGTGAAACATGTAAACTGCCTTATTGGATATTTGCATGGAAAACTAGGAAACCACAGTTTGCATGGTTATTTTGAACTGAAGTAAAGAAGTTTAAGATTGTTTCTTGATTTTTTTTTTTTAATTAACACACATGCCCTTATTTCTCTTCTTAACAGTACTAAATTTTCAAACTTTAAGGTTCGAGTAGAATTGACTCTCCTATTCCAAGGCCAGGGTAGATTCTCAGTCGGTTGCCCATAATGATTTGTTGAGTTTGACAAATGACATAAGTTATTCCAACTTGAATGTATATCATATTATTTACTAGAAATATGATTAAATACATTAGCTTTCTCCAACTGACTTGGAAACATAAAATATGAGGCTGAGATCTATTTCATTCTTAAAACTTCCAAGAAGCCCCTCCTGGAGTTGAAAGTGAGGTCAATATTACATCACAGGAAGATATTAGAGAGAGAGAGGGAAAGAGAGAGAGAGAACAAATTTACAACAAAATGTTGGTAGTCCTTTTGCATTCCAGACGAAGCTTCAACTGATACCTACAGTATCCCTGGCCTCTCAAATTTATGATTTAGTATAGTGCATTTGAAACAGTCTGTGTTAGGTTTATAACCAATAACATACATTAAATTAACTGATAAGCATTCCTTGTTTTTTTTTTTTCTCCCTGGACAAAGAACTGTCTTATTAGAAATGACCTTCAACACAGTCCTTGATAGAGCCATCGATTATTAGAGGATTACAGTAATGGGCTATAAGTTTAATTACTTGACAAATATTTTATTTTCCCCAAATTTAATTTGAGCCCTTGTCTATTATCATTAGAACCGTCAATAGTAAATGAAAGCAGTGAGATGCCTCATTTACGGTTTTGATGATCATGAAAGGACTGATAGGGCAGAACAAAAATGATACAGCTACTGCTCTCATAATATGCTTTACATACATAGATACGTTGTTAAAAATAGTGTGCAGGCTTTTTACTATTAGTAGCACTGTGCCTCAACTATGAAACAGGGAGAACATTTTTCAAACTGGCTGAGGAATGTTAGGACAATATTAAATATTATATAATTATTGCAAAATGGGTTTTACCTTGAATTCCAAGCTCTCCTCGATATAAGTGCAGACTTGTCATGTAAGTTATTCTTCAATTAAGTCCTATTTCCCTTCACTTACCATACCCTAGTAGCACTTCTTAAGAAATCCCCAGAAATTGGCAAAATTAAAAGACAGTTTTTTGCTCATAACAAAAGGTGAGACAAGACAATTGGGTGTCAGAGAAAATAAAATTATTCACTTGGATTTCAGGACACCTGCCTGCTGCACAGAATCTGATCAAGTTGGCTTGATGATTTTTATCCAGACCTTTGGGCCTTAGCCCTATAATTTTCTTCTCTGGAGCACTAGAATAGTCTAAGGTACTTTCAGGCTCAAAATTCTGTGATCTGAGAGTGCATCAATAGGTGCTTTCTTCAGCTCAGTTTTTAGATTTGAACTTGATTTTCTGCCTGTTCAAATATTTTTCATGCTAGTTTAAAGGATTCACAGTTCTCAGAGAAAGTGAGATCCTCAATAGATTCACGGAAATCACAGGGCTGTTCATTTACAGCACTAATGGGTGACATTCACTGGCAGAAAAACCTAATCCCAGAAATAAAGAACATTTTTGGCACTTTCTCAGCTTATTTGCATCAAATTGCTCAGCCATAATCTGCTTTTCCAAGCATCATTTTCTGTTGGACTGAATGCCAGATTCAGGATATATAAAGGAATTACCTATACTAAACACCAAGAAGATTAAGAACAAAAACAAAAGCAAAAAAAAAAAAAAAGAGAAAGAAGACAAATAATTTGTTTACTTTGTATATTCTCATTACATAATTTTAATTCATCTATGTATGCACCTGAATGTAAAAGCATAACCATGTTTTTATTTAAAATAAGATGAAAATGCTAAGTCCTGGGCCAGACACTTCATTAAACACAATATATACTCTATCTTAATGCTCACATGGATTCAGGATACAAGTTTGTTAATATTTTCATTTTATCAGTTAAGAATTATTGAGTGTCCAATGTGGTTAGGGTCACAGAGCTTGTTAGTGGAAGAACACTGTTCAAGCATAGCTCTATACATTCCCAAAACTCATGTTCTCTCTGCAATATCTAGCCGTCCCGGCGGGTAAAATGTGATGTTACAAATCCAGTGACAGCAAGGTATGTTCTTCCTGATATTTGCTTCATATTTTGTGATGACTTATTATGCTGCATGGCAAACAGGACTGGGATTTCACGCAGCAGAATTGGGGATATAGAATCACAGTCACATATATTGTTATTTCAAGGGAGGTCAATAGAATACCTCAAGTTCTATGCTCCTTTGTCAGTTGAAAATATTGTTCTCATATTTCATTTTTCTTGTCACAAAAAGTAGGTGCTTTTTGAATAGGAGTATTAGAACAGCTTGCAACACTGGAATTGAGGTAAAAAAAATGCAGGAGTTAATGTTTAACAGATACCAGGTTTTTGTACGCAGGTGATTATATGTATGCACACTACAACATCTATGAATACTTGTGCTATACATTTGGAAAAATTAGAATATTATTATTTTAATCAATAGAGAACTAATCTGTAAAAATCTAAATGTATTGGCCATTGATGCTGTTGAAATTTATATTTTTTGCATTGACTGACAGACCAAACTGTGATCTTTGCATATTAAATTACTTGTAGAACATTTAAAATGCTAACCTAAGGAAGTGCTTTATTTATAAGTACAATCACAATCACTTGATCTTCCAGCTTTTCAGACAGGTTACGGCATATCGTTTACTGTTGTTATTTGAACTTCGCTTAATTTTTTGCATTGTTCATAAAAATAAAGTAATTTATTCAGAGGTTCAATCTAAACTATTCTACTCTAGGGAGAAAATGTTCCATAAGTTCTAAAAATACAATCTAAATACTTCTTGTACTCTCATTTTTATTAGCCTTTGTGTAGCCTGAAATCTAATTCAATTTGACCTTCAGGCTCATAAACTTCTTTTGATCATCTTTATCATTATATTTTTTGAAGTTTATTATGGCAATTTAGAATTGAGCTTTGATTGCAAAATAGCTGGTGTATGTAGTTATTATTTTAGTGTGGGAAGAAAAATAACTATTTTTTGTGTATTTTTAAGATGACCCAGAAAATTATACCTAACCATCAAGTCAATTAAAGAAAATGTATCATTCAAGTTATAAAATGTGCTTTAAAACAATTTAAGTTATAAAATATGCTTTAAAACAATCAAGTTATAGAACAATTCAAGCTATAAAACAATTCAAGTTATAAAATATGCTTTAAAACAATTTTCAGCATATTAATAGTTTAATTTTTACCATTAAAGTAATAACATTTTTATCATTAAATATGTAGTGAATCAATTCCCTTTTTCTGTTTCTCATTATCATTAATAAATGTTGATTTATGTGCTGACATAATTGTTTAGTAATTAGGTGAAATTATCAAAATAACTATTAACATTACCAATGTTTTATGATGTATTTCAGAGAGATCAATTGCATGACAATAATCTCCAAATGAACACAGCTTAAAAACTTGTATCTCCTTTACTCCTGAACACGTAATTGAAAAATAAAAGGAAATGTTTATTTTTTGTTCTTTTGAGACAGAGTCTTACCCTGTCACACAGGCTGAAAGAGGGTGGCATGATCACAGCTCATTGCAACCTTGAACTCCTGAATTCAAGTCATCCTTCTGCCTTGGCCTCTCAAAGTGCTGGGATTAAAGATGTGAGGCACTGCACCCAGCCAAAGATAATGTATTAAAATAAAAACCTACCTCACTGAGGATCAGAAACTCTAAAAATGCTAGTTGTAGTGTTCCTTTTCATTACTTGAAGACTTTTGGAAAATAATCACAAACCTTTAACGTGTTTATCTTTCTTCATCTATAAAATGCAGAATCTATGAAACCTGGTGACACCAAGTGTTACATAAGTAGATTATATATAATTTTCCATCGATCTACTGTAAATTGGTACTCAGTTAAATTTTATTACTGGCATTATCCAGTGGAGAAATAAAAAGTTAAAACTATAGCAAAAATGTTCAATAGACTTTTAGTTTATCGGAGGTTCACTGTAGATTATTAGGGTAAATAATTTAACTTGTATTATAATTTTCCAATAATAAAATATATTTGTTAAAATGACATAAAAGTTCTATAGATTTGAAGGCAACTCAATAGAAACCAAGTCATAGTATTTGAAGGTTGAGGAGGACTGGAAGGTAAAAAAAACTGATTCTGTTGGCATAAGTTTAGATGATGTCTTATTATTGTAGTCCAAAAATATGACGGCTACTTGATATTTTTACAATGTTTAAAAAACAAGTTAATTGAGACTCATATAACTTATTACATTTATTTCATATCTTCTTATGAACTATTCTACAGCAGAAGATTTGCAACATATTTTGTGTTAAAAATAAAAACTACCAAATAGTGCTCCTTCATCTTTCTATTAAAAAAATACAAATCCCCATGTTTCTTGACCCACTTACTTTTTCATTATCTTCTTTTTAATAGAGAAAGTACCTCTCTTCCTATCAAAGGATATTTATCTGTTTTGAATTATTTCACATTTCTCTCACAGTTTTTACTCAAGAATCAGCATTTATATCTTCATTCTTTCTTTCCGTGAACATATATAGCCATGGTCCAACAACTCCTATATTAAAAAAATCCTGTGCTGACTTCAAGTCTCTTTCAACTATTATAATATTTATCTTCTTTTATAAATAAAAATGTAGAAAACATTGTCTGTATATTTGCTTTTACCTTTGTCACCCTTTATGCTGTTCGTATCCAATTTATTCTAATATAACTTTCCTTCTTACCATTCGAGGCTACTCTTGTCAATGTTAACTATAAATGCCTTGTGTTAAAATCCTGGAATTGTCTCATTCTTCATCATTCTTGACCTTTTATCACCCGCCGCTCCAAAGCTGTTAAAAATGTTATAATTCTTAAAATTATTTCTTCCTTTCTCTTCTGACACCACAGTTACTGATTTTTTCTCCAAGCTGTCTACTATATTCTTCCTTTTGATCCAAACTATAACTACTAGAGTTCTTCAGATTCTGTCATAAGTCTTCTGATTTCTCTATACTTTCTCATTTAATCATGACATTTATTTCCATAGATTTAAAATCATATAAAGTAAGAGTTTCATACCTGTCTATTGTCTTCTTATGCTTATACTCAATGCCTATGTGACACTGACACTTTGATTTCATAGAAGTATGACATAACTAACTCACTCTCATTTTTTCCTTTCCTTATTGTATCTATCTCTGTTTCCCCAATTTCTTCACCCTTATTACATGTCATTTTCTCCTTTACCCACTCTGATGGGGTCACTCAGATTTTGCACAATATGGTCCCTCTTCCTGAAATTGTAAGCTCACAAATTCATCTCATGGCTGGGTCCTTCTTATATTTTGTTTTCAACTTACACATTTTTCCCCAGAGAATTTCCTCAACCATCTAATGTAAGGCTAGCTTCTCCTGTTATTTTCATTCTTAGACCTATTTCCTTCATTACAAAGTATATTTAATATCCCCAGTATCATTTAATTGCTGATTGTCTGTATTTCCTATAAAGCATTATACTCCTTGAGATCAAATGCCATTAACTTTTTCATCATTATATACTTAGTATCTAGAATGAAATAATGAATAAATTAATGAATAAACCAGAATTTCCATTCAAAGTTTTCTGAGTCCAAAACCTATAGATTTTCACTATACTAGATCACCTTCTGATCCCTCAACACAGTAACAACAATGTCAAAATCATGACTTTTTACAATGACCTTAAAACAAAACAAGTTTTAAAAAGAATTTGACACATAAAGAACTCGTATGCAATTAGCTGTGCATTGTCCCAGGATCTGCAATTGATATGTTAGCTTTTGTAATATTAGAATACACAAACAGTTCATGTATACATAATTTTCCAGTCTTATAAAATTGTTTCTAGATGTAACTGAAGGAAACAAATGAATCTCATTTTTCTCTTAGTATAGTGTGGAAAATAAATAAATATTTGTTTTCATATTAACAGCTTACCTAAACAGGTAGTAAAAATTGATTTAAAAGTCAAGTTTTCTGCATGAAGAAAATTAATTATAGCATGTTTCTGACTTTGAGGCACATGTTGACATATTTTATATTTGGTTTTTAATAAGAAATGAAAATGAGAATGGGGAATCGAATCATGCTTAAAGGAGTCTGCTTCCATTGTTAGACAAAGCAGTTCTAACTGTTGGTAACCATGAAAAATCCAAAAGCACAAAAAATGATTGTGCAGAAAGAATTTGAAGCTCATTGAAAGGTACACATCAATTTATAGATCACTCTCAATAGTTCTCAACATGGGTCTTCTAGTGCAACCAGGAATTTCCAACTTTCCATTAAAGCCCTCAAAACAAACACACAAATAAACAAGAAACAATTAAATACTACCTCCATTTAATCAAAGCAGTAGAATTTAAACTCCATCCCTTCTTCTGCCAGATTTCTGGCAAAAAGTATAGGCACTTTGTTCTTTTTTTTTTTAAATTTTATTATTATTATACTTTAAGTTTTAGGGTACATGTGCACAACGTGCAGGTTTGTTACATACGTATACATGTGCCATGTTGGTGTGCTGCACCCATTAACTCGTCATTTAGCATTAGGTATATCTCCTAATGCTATCCCTCCCCCCTCTCCCCACCCCACAACAGTCCCTGGTGTGTGATGTTCCTCTTCCTGTGTCCATGTGTTCTCATTATTCATTTCCCACCTGTAAGTGAGAACATGCGGTGTTTGGTTTTTTGTCCTTGCAATAGTTTGCTGAGAATAATGGTTTCCAGTTTTATCCATGTCCCTACAAAGGACATGAACTCATCATTTTTTATGGCTGCATAGTATTCCATGGTGTATATGTGCCACATTTTCTTAATGCAGTCTATCGTTGTTGGACATTTAGGTTGGTTCCAAGTCTTTGCTATTGTGAATAGTGCCGCTATAAACATACGTGTGCATGTGTCTTTATAGCAGCATGATTTATAATCCTTTGGGTATATACCCAGTAATGGGATGGCTGGGTCAAATGGTATTTCTAGTTCTAGATCCCTGAGGAATTTCCACACTGACTTCCACAATGGTTGAACTAGTTTACAGTCCCACCAACAGTGTAAAATTGTTCCTATTTCTCCACATCCTCTCCAGCACCTGTTGTTTCCTGACTTTTTAATGATTTCCATTCTAACTGGTGTGAGATGGTATCTCATTGTGGTTTTGATTTGCATTTCTCTGATGGCCAATGATGATGAGCATTTTTTCATGTGTTTTTACAAGAAAAAAACAAACAATCCCATCAAAAAGTGGGCGAAGGATATGAACAGACACTTCTCAAAAGAAGACATTTATGCAGCCAGAAAACAGTTTGTTCTTTACTTCATTGTATAAATGTGACTTGTGAGTCACCATTTACTGGAAGCTGAGAGAAATTATGTATTCAAATAATGTATGACTGTATTTCAACTGAAGTAGCGGTAATTTTTGGCTTACAGGCATTGGTGTAAAATGCTACATTTGAATTGTTATCTTTTTAAAACTATCTGTTCTTGAATATTTTAAATGTAGTTGTAAGGGAGCTTACTTAGTGACTCTCAGATTACAAAGTTCTCAATTCCGATTCACTTACTCACTGTTATATTTGATGTATCTATTTACCATGTATTCATTATAGTAATCCATTGAACAAACATAGACATAAAATCTAACCACAACACAATGATATACGTTTCTTTCACAATTAATGCAATGTGTTTAGTTAGATGTGGAAAAGTCTTAAGGGTGACACTGTGCTCAGGACAATAAAAGGACTTCAGTGAGGAAATAATATTTGAGTAGAATTATAAATAAAAAAATTTTCATAAATTAGGATGTTTTTATTAAAATTAACTACATGTATTTTTCTTTTTTTAAAAAAATTGTATACCATTGATATTTTCTTTACTTTATCGTTTGACAATTGAGGTCTCCAGTTATGTGCTGTAGGTACTTAATTAATCACGAGTGCATAAAATACACTTGAGGAAAGGATTTCTTGTCTAAGTTTAATGTATGATAAGTCAATGAGATTATCTCTATTCATAATTGTGTTTGTTCTTCATCAGTAGTGAATAGCCTGTGTGAGGTAAGAAAAAGTTTTCATTTGAATTTTTATTAGACTTTGTCTCTGATTGTGTAATAATGAAATAGCTGAGTTGAGAGCCTTAGAACAAATACGTACTTGTAGCTCCCCCTACACACAAATGTCTCCTCCCCAACTAAAAAAAGATGCCCATGAAAAAGCCTTCCAAAGTCAGTAGAAAGAGGTTTGAGGAAATGGTTTTGAACTATTGTAATAGTACATAATTTTGTTCTCCTTTAAAAAATATTTTGGTAAGTTCAATGACTTATAAATGAGTTGTATGTATATCTTTCTAACTCTCAATTCCACTGTAAAATAAAGACAGAAAATATGTGCCTTATAAGACAAAAATAATCATTTAAAAAAATCTAAACCTAGAGCTGCTCCAATGAAAACCTGCCCTTCTCTCGAATCAGTATCAGAAAAAAATAGCTGAAATAAACTTCTTCAAAGTAGAAAATAACAAAAAAAAATTCTAGAAAATATTTTCCAAGTATATTTGTCAGATGTTGAAATTTATCAATGGGCTAATGTAGCTAATTTGCAAATACCTATTTTACAAATATTTTATCTTGGAATGCTTTCATAATAATATTGTCTTAAATATTAATATATGGCAGTACCTTGGTTCCAGGCCTATCCTGCCAGCTCAGCATTCACATGTGCCGAGATCAGGGACCCCTTCCCTGGTATAATCATCTTTCTAAAGACAGTCTTTTACTTCTTGACTGGCTGCTTCAGTGGCTTCTCAATATCATTTAGTGTAGTAAAACACTCTTTCTGTCTTGAAACACATCTTTCCTAGATGTATCAAGATGCTTTTTACTGCAAGTAACACAGACAAAATTAATATTGGATTAAACTGTGAAGCTATTTACTTAGATAATACAATGACATCTGGAAAGTTTCTGAGATTCATTCATTGATTCAATAATCAAGTACCTGGTGTGATCTATATTTGAACCCTTCCAGCCTCAGTGTATTACAGCATCTTTATTCACATTTGTAAGATGGCTTATGGCAATAGCAAATTGCATGTGCCGCCTTGGCAACATCTAAAGGGAGAAAGAAGAAAGCCTCCCCCTGCTTTTCCTCCATCCAATTACTTCTAAAGAGGTTACAGGTATAGTTTATGCTACTTGAAAGGGAACATTTTATTATTTTTTGAGAACTGTTCTACATATTCTAGTTTAAATTGTGCAATACTTAGGTCAAGATATAAATCATGAAAATTGTGTTTCCCTCTCTAGTTTAAGGCTTAAATAATAATAATAATAAATCCTGTTTCTCCTATATTCTAGGTAGGGAGATTTGGAGGTAGGGAGCCACTCAAAATTCAGAAGTCCTGATAAATTTTAGTTTATCTGTTAACCAATATTCAAAAAAATAATAATCAATTCAAATAAAAAATGAGACTAAAAGGGAAATATTTCTAATGTAAACTGATTCATTAGCAAATGGCCCACTATGTGAAATAAGGATCTGCTGAATTCTCTATGCCTTTCTTGGAAAAAAAAACAAAATTTCTGTAATATTTAGGATATTTCAGCAGTGGGCAAATGTCTAAATATTACAGAAATTTTATTTTGTTTTTATAATCTGGGGCTCACTAGCCCTAAAGTCTCCTTGCTCTCATCATAGCCCATTTTGTTATTTTAATCCTCTGAAATATTTTAACATGTGAACTCTCAAATTTAACACGAATATTCCAGCCAAGTTGAATGACTTTTCTTCTTTATAATGCAAGGCTTTGAGCCAAGGCTGAATTAGAGGACAGAAGAAGGAAATTGAATTACCAGAGCCCAGCAAAATCAAGCTCAATGCTTATACCACCAAGCTTTGTCTATTTCAAACAGAATATAATTTAACCTTATTTCTTAAGCTAAGATTATTTTCTGCTTGCTCAAAATCATGGACGATCCATTATTCATGCATATGTTCTTTCTATTTAGTTGAAATTGATCTTGATATGGCTTTATATATGATTTACTTTCTAGGTATATATGAAAATATTCACTAACCTGTAATTCGAGTCTCAAATCAGTTTCCCTAGTCCTAAAAAAACCAAGGAATAATTAAAAAATAAAGTAGTGAAACATGGTCTAGCAATTCAGGCATTTTCCTGTATGTAAAGGGCTGGTTGTTTTAGAGATGCAGCTGCTTTTGAAGTTTGAAGTTCCTGCTTGAGTCCACTGCAAGGATGCTCCCTTAAGCTTGCCAAGCTGTGCCAGATGTCAGTCATGTCTCCTGAGAAAAAGATTTGGCCAGTTTCTTCAACCCCTGAATTGTCAGCCAGCTGTATGCTGTGGCTACAGCCAGCCCTGTTACTCTATTGGCTGATGGGTGCACAGAAGGCACCTCAGACATATGCACATACTTATTCTAAGGAGGAACATGTTTGCCAACTCCTCTGTAGTCTATTCCCTAATGAACTCAGCTGGAACTTGCTTTGAACATTTTTTTGGCTCTCTTTTGCTCATCTAGCTTAAGACTTAAAACGTGAATTCAGCTTTTAAAACCAGTTACCTGTAACTTTCCCCTGGTATAACCCTAGTTTGAATTTGAATTCCAAATAAATAGCGGACAGTTACGGAAGATGATGGGATGGTGAATAATTATTAAGTGAGTAGTGTTTCTTAGATATATTACTTCACCAGATATTGAAGAAAATTATTTGGTAAAAGAGCTTTAAAAGAGATATATCTCAAAAAGAATGCAAAGTAATGAGGAAAAGATGGAGAAAAAATTATTAGTAGATGGAGAAAGAGAGAGAGAGAAAGATTCTACATTGAAATTAAATCAATTTTCTCCTCTTAGTCAAAACTGAAACTATATTTATGTGGAGGTATAGTTTCCTTGACTTTTTTGGGACTCTTTTTCTTTGGAATTGGGAAAATGGGAATTGAGATGGGTAGAAGAAGCCATGACAAGCTAACCTTCACTTCCTTCTAGAGGTTAGACAATACATATTAATATTAATAACTAATACTAATAAATAATTATTTTAATGTCACCTTTTTCTAGGAAACTGTCTTAGTCTGTTTGTGTTACTATAACAAAATGTCATAAACTGGATAGTTTAGAAACAACAGAAATTTATTTCTCACAGTACTGGAAACTGCAAGTGCATGATCAAGTCCCTAGCAGTTCATCGTCTGGTGAGAGACTCTTCCTGGTTGTATTAGCCTGTTATCACACTGCTATAAGTAAATACCTGAGATTGGGTAATTTATATAGAAAAGAGGATTAATTGGTTTGTGGTTCTGTGGGTTGTATAGGAAGCATAGCAGCTTCTGCCTCTGGGGAGGACTCAGGAAGCTTCAAATCAAGCTGGAAGGCAAAGGGGGTGTGAGGTGTCTCACATGGCAGAAGCAGGAGCAAGAAGAGTTGGGGAGATGCCACACACTTTTAAACAACCAGATCTCATGAGAACTCACACATCATCATGAAAACAGCACCAAGGAGATAGTGCTAAACCACTCATGAGAAACCACCCTCTTGATCCAATCACCTCCCACCAGGCCCACCTCCAAAACTTGGGATTACATTCAATATGAGATTTGGGCAGGGACACAGACCCAAACCATATCGCTAGTTCACAGATGATACCTACAAGTTGTGTCCTCAATGTTGGGTATCTTAGCTCCTTCAGGCCTCCTTAGAATGGTACTAATTTTATTTAGAGGGCTCTAGACTCATTATCCAATCACTTCCCAAAGGCTTAAGCTCTTAATACCATCACCTTGTGGTTCCTATCCAACCCACAGAACCACAGGATTTCAAATCATAAATTTGGGGGTAGTGAGAGTACACAAACATTCAGATCATGGAAAAACGCATGGCTATCTGGAATAATGGTCAACATACTAAGACTTAGTTAATTATGAATGGAAGATTTCTTTCTGATCTACCTATATAATAACTCAGATATCCCATTCCATCTGGGGGCAATATTCCAAATCATAGACATAGCGTCTTAGGGGAAAATAATCTTGTGAATCTTAATCAAATAAATAATTCTAAATGTAAACTATTATATCATAAATTATTTTAAGCTTCACTATTTAGCATTAATAAAAGTGTAAATTTATTTTTCCTTAATTCTTTTTTTAAAAATAAACTTCATCAATTGGAACATTGGTGAATAATTATATTTTCAGTCCATTCCTTTCTTAGGTCTTAGTATAGAAAAAAAAATGGTTTGTGATCAGCCTGGGTCAGATAGTGAGACCCCTTCTCTACTAAAAATACAAAAATTAGCTAGATGTAGTGGTAGTTGCCTATAGTCCCTTGGGGAGTTAGCTAAGGTGGAAGGATTGCTTGAGCTTGGGAGGTCAAGGCTGCAGTGAGCCATGTTCATACCACTGAACTCCAGCCTAGATGACAAGGTGAGATCCTGTATCAAAAAAAAAAAAAAAAAAGGTAGAAACCATAAGTGATTTTTTTTTCCTTAAGCAGCTATTTTTGACTTTTTTTTCTTTTTGTTGTAATTCCCTAAAACCCTGTTAAAACATTTTTTTTCAATGTCCCTTCAGGAAATTTTATTATAAGTATACTGAATATCTGTTTATGTACTGTATGTATTAATATATCTATACTCTATGAGCAAAAAGAACAAATATTATACTCTATTTAATTCAATGTATAGTTAAGAGTGACTAGAAAATTAAAGTGGAGACATTACAACGAATGCCTCAGAAATAAAAAGGATTATAAGGGACTATTATGAACAATTATGTGTCAAGAAATTAGACAACATAGAAGAAATAGATATATCCCCAGAAAAATACAACCTGCCAAGATTAAATCAAGAATTGCGGCACTATTCACAATAGCAAAGACTTGGAACCAACCAAAATGTCCAACAATGATAGACTGGATTAAGAAAATATGGCACATATACACCAGGGAATACTATGCAGCCATAAAAAATGATGAGTTCATGTCCTTTGTAGGGACATGGATGAAGCTGGAAACCATAATTCTCAGCAAACTATCGCAAGGACAAAAAACCAAACACCCCATGTTCTTACTCATAGGTGGGAATTGAACAATGAGAACACATGGACACAGGAAGGGGAACATCACACACAGGGGACTGTTGTGGGTGGGGGGAGGGAGGAGGGATAGCATTAGGTGACATACCTAATGCTAAATAACAAGTTAATGGGTGCAGCACACCAACATGGCACATGTATACATATGTAACAAACCTGCACGTTGTGCACATGTACCCTAAAACTTAAAGTATAATAATCATAATAATAAAATAAAAATAAAAAAGAATAAATACAAAGTCTGAACAGAACTAATAACAAATAAATAGATTAAAGAAGTAATTAAAAACCTCCCAACAAAGACAACCCAGGGCCAGATGGCTTCATAGCTGAATTCTACCAAACATTCAAAGAAAGTTATTACCAATACTTCTTAAGCTCTTCCAAAAACAAAGCTAGAGGAAATATTTCCAAACACGTTTTATGAGGCCAACATCTCCTTAATCTATAAACCAAAGACATCACAAGAAAATAAAACTATAAGCCAATAGCTCTGATGAACATCCATTGTAAAAATCCTGAATGGAGTATTAGCAAACTGAATTTGAAAACACATCAAAAAGATTATACGTAATTGTCATGTGGAATTTATGCCTGGCAAACAAGGCAAGTTTAACATGCAAACCAATGTGATACATCACATTAATGGAATGTGAGAATACAAACTACATGATCATCTCAATCAATGCAGGAAAAGCATTTGACAAAGTTCAGCCCTTTTCTTGATTTAAAAAAAAAAACAAAACTTGTAACAGTTTTGGTATAGGAGAAAATTTTCTTAACAGAATAAAATCTATTTATGAAAAACCCACAGCTAACATCATAATGAATGAGAACAACTGAAAGTTTTCTTACTGAGTTCCCACATAAGGCAGAGATTCTCAGTCTCACCACTTCCATCAACATAGTATTGGAAGGATTAGTCAGAGAAATCAGATAATAAAAGGAAATAAAAGGCATCCAAATCAGAAAAAGGAAATAAAATTACTTCTGTTTGTGAATAACATAATCCTATATGTAAAAATCCTCAAATATTTAACAAAAACTTGTTAAAACCACTTAACAAATTCAGCAAAGTTGCATGTTACAAAATCAACATGGAAAAATCAGTAGCAGTTCTATGCACAAAAAATGACTTAACTGAAAAAGAAATCAAGAACACAGTATCACATATAATCACATAAAAACATCATCAAATAAACTTAACCAAGAAGGGAAAAGATTTGTACACTGTAAGCTATAAACCTTTAATGACAGAAATTGAAGAAGACACAAATAAATGGAAAGGTATCCTGTGTTCATGAATGGGAAGAATCAATATTGTTAAAATGTCCATACCAGCCATACAGATTTATGGAATCCTTATTAAAATTGCAATGGCATTCTTCACAGAAATAGAAGAAACAGTCTTCAAATTCATAGGGAACCACAAAAAAATAAGAAAACTTGAAGAGCCAAAAAAAGAAAAATTGGAAGCATCACACTACCTGATGTAAAATTATATTACAAAGTGATAGTAACTGCAAAAGTATGATACTGCATATAAACAGAAATATAGAACAATGGAAATAAATAGAGAATCAAGAAAAAATTCAAACATATATTATGGTCAACTAATTTTTAGCAAGAACACCAAGAGAACACCAAGGGGAATAGTTAGTCTCTTCAATAAATGATGCTTGGAAAACTGGATTTCCATATGCAAAATAATAAAATTGGACTTTTATTTTAAACCACACCCAAAGATCAACCCAAAATGGATAAAAGAGCTAGAGGTAAGACTTAAAATAATAAAACTTCTAGAAGACAACTTAGGAGAAAACTCCTTGACATTGACCTTGGCATTGGTTTATTGAAAATCACATCAAAAGTTCAGGCTATAAAAGCAAAATTAAATAAATAGGACTACATCAAATTAAAAAGCTTCTACACAGCAAAGGAAGCAGCCAACAAAATAAAAAAGTAACCTATGGACTGAGGAAAAATAATTGTAAATCACATATCTGGTAAGAGGTTAATATCCAAAATATATATATATATATAAACATTTACAGCTCAATAGCAGAAAAATAAATAACCCAGTTAAAAAATGGGCAAAGAATCTGAACAGACATTTCTTCAAAGAAGACATACAAATGGCCAATAGGCATACGTAAAGGTGCCCAAAATCACTAATCATAGGGAATTGTAAATTAAAACCACTGTGAGCTATCACCTCACACCCATAATGATGAGTATTGGTGAGAGTGTAGAGAGAAAGGAACCTTAGTGCACTGTTGGTGGGAATGTAGATCGGTACAGCCATTATGAAAAACAGAATGGAAGTTCCTAAATAAATTAAAAATACAATAGCATATGACCCAGCAATCCCTTTTTTGGGTATATACTAAAAGGAGTTGAAATCACCTCCTTTTAAAAAGATCTGCTTTCCCGTGTGCATAGCAAGATTATTCAAAATAGCCAAAACATAGAAACATATTAAATGCTCATTGATGGACAAATGGATAAAGCAAATGATCAGCCTTAAAAAAGTAGATCTTGCCGTTTGCCATATCATGAATGCACCTGAAGGACATTAGGCTAAGTAAAGTAAGCCAGACACAGAAAGAAAAATATTGCGTGATCTCACTTATCTGTGGAATATTTTTTTAAAAGAGCCTAAAAACACTGATACAGAGTTTGAAACAGTGGTTACCACAAGTGGTGGGGGCAGAAAATAGGGAGATGTAGGTCAAAGGATACCAAACTGCAGATATGTAAGATAAACAAGACTAGAGATCTACTGTACAGCGTTAGAATTAAGGTTAATGAAATAGTATTTTATGAGGAATTTTTATTATATAAAGTATAGTTTAGCTGCTCTTCTCACAAAATAAGTAGTGTGAGTTGTTAGATATGTTAATCTACCTCTCTGTAGTAACCATTTTACTATGTATCCTGTAACATCATATTGTAAAGCTCAAGTATAGACAGTAAAAATTGATATTAAAAAAGTGACTAATATATAGAACAACAAAATATAATTTTGTTAAAAGCAAAATTAAAACGTAAAAGATAGTAACAACAAACATCTTTATAACTGAATTTGCTGCATAATGTTAATATAGTAAATTCAAGTAGAAAATAGCATTCAGAATTTACAAAAATGAAGTCAGTTTGTAAATTGCAGCATAAATTCCACTATTTAAAAAAGTTTGTATGTAATTAGAAGAATATAAAAACATAAATTTAAAACTCCATATAGTTACTATCAGGGATATTAAAAAATAATTCAAAATAGTACTCAACAACTCAGTTGATAACTTAGAGATAACTAAGATAAACTACTTCCCCACAGAAATTTAGAAATACTTTGTCCCCCTAGGTAGAATTTGTGTGAACAGCCTGTAAAACAAGACTGCTGAGTCAAAGTTAAAGGTGGGTATTTAAAAAGCCATATTGCTGATAGCCCTGAAAGGACAAATTGCTTTTGAAATGGAAAATCCTTGACCAGCCAAATGGGATTTTTCCCCTTTCTCTTTATGAGCGGGAAAAGAAAGAAAGAAGCCCTTTCACAACTAAACTATATATTGGTGCTGAGTGATGGATTTGTGGACTCCTAGTCATTTCTCAAAGTGAAACAGAATCAATCAGCTCTTTTGTTATGAGGAAAGATTTATAGACATTTGATTAACTTTAAGAGGCTCAGCTCAATCTGAGGGCCACAGATAGTCTTTGATTTGTTGAATGTAGGGCTTCTAATAGAATATGATAATTTATTCCTCATCAATAATTTCAGAAAACTACTTAATAGTTGTCTAACAGCCTATGTACTGTCCAAACAATACATGTGAAAATGATATAATTTTACTAATAAGAAAATGTACTACATTTGTGAAAAGGATCATCAAATTCCTTGTAATGTTGGTCTTAGTTGGAGTCTTTTATGCTACAGTTATAGAAGTGTGTATGGGACAAAATATACCCAAGAATTGCTTACAAATTCTCCTTAAAAAAATAATGGGAGGCCGAGGCGGGCAGATCATGAGGTCAGGAGATTGAGACCATCCTGGCTAACACGGTGAAACCCCGTCTCTACTAAAAATACGAAAAATTACCCGGGCGTGGTGGTGGGCACCTGTAGTCCCAGATGCTCGGGAAGCTGAGGCAGGAGAATGGCGTGAAGTTCTACCCGGGAGGCAGAAGTTGTAGTGAGCCAAGATCCTGCCACTGCACTCCAGCCTGGGCGACAGAGCGAGACTCCATCTCAAAAAAAAAAAAAAAAAAAGAAAAGAAAAAGAAAAAGGTAAAATTATGAAAGTAAATACATAAAATAGCATTTTCTTAAATGATATTTAATAAAAGCTATGACAAAAAGCATTAATTTCTATTTTATTAATTTTATTAATATGCATTTATTAGTACCTGTCCTTGATAAAGCCTCAGGGAGTAGGAAGGTGTTGAATCACAGTATAGCTTGAAAATCTTTTTCAGTGCTCAAACTGTTAACCATGTATTTAGCCTATGGAGAAACAGTTGTTTGGGATAACTTTCCCAAATAACAAAGTAAATGAAAAAAAAATCCGAGCTAACATTTCCCACAATAATCTAGATTCCTAGATTCTGCTTGCTCTCCAGCTCATCCAGTATCTCCACTTAAAGAATAAATGTAACGCTGCATATTTTAATTATCCCTCATCCTGCCCGGTGTCTATCAACTTCTGAGGTTTTAAGATGATTTCTGGTCCAAGTCATACTTCTGAACTATCACTAATAAACTGGGTAAATATTATCAACATATTTAAGCACTGTATTCCTCAGTGAATCTGAGGAATACAATGCTTGTGTTTTTCAAGAAAGTGAACTAAATTATCATAAAATTTCTCCCCGATATCTTTTTAATCTTATGTGAAGCGTTCCCTTTGCACTCAGGCAGACAAAAACTCACCTTCTTCTATGAACCCTTTCAACTTGGTACAAAGAGCCATTTGTGACTATTGTGCCATTATTATTAATAATATGTCTCTTCAGTAAATTATAGACAAAAAGCAGGACCATCTTCCCTTGAGCCACAGTTCCTGATAAACCATAGGCATCCTGAGGCTTTGCTCAATAAATATATGGTTGTCTTAGTCACTCTCACTCCCCGAATGTGGATATCTCTTATTTTACAAAGTGCATTTCCATAAAATAGTTCAAAGAGTTAATATATATAACTATTTTGAAGACTAATTTTTATATTAATATTGCAAAATAAATCAAAAATCAAAAATGTGTATAAGAACAAATAAAAGTCTAACATGATCTGAAATGGAAAAATCTCTGCAACAATAAGGTACTGGAAAAGAGCCATGTTTGAACAAGTTTAAGAGAGCTAGTTTAGATGAAGGGAAAAGAAACTTCCCATATTAGGAAAGGGCAAGAAAGAAAGAGTAAAGAGTTAAAAAACTGTGAAATTGGTTGCAAAATAGCCTCAGAGTGTTTTAAAATAATAACAGCAATTTTGAATCAGGTTTTGTATGAATGAGGAGCTAAGCTACTACCGAGTGAGAAGATAGGGTGATAATACTTTATTTTATATTCATGAGCAGAGGCCAGTAACATTATTTGTTTCGACAAGCAGGATGTAAGGTAATTAATAAGAAAAATGTTAAAATAGCCCATCTCTAGGACTCAGTTTCTTGACTATCACTAAGGTATTTCATTTCTGTGTTCAATGATACAATAGATGTTTTTACTCCCATATCTCCTAACATTATGTGGATAATTAACTGTCATAGAATTTGTTTGCCATATCTACATTACCTTCCTTGATATGGAGAATAGTTCCCAAGCAAAATGAGGATTTTTAAAAAAGAATAATAGGAAAAACATGTACTAAATCCAAGTAATTTGTATCCATTATTTTAATTCCAAGACTAACAAGTAAAAACGATTATTATAGATTTTTGTTATTATTTGTGTTGATTTTCATTTTTATGAACTAAATATTTGAGCAGGATATTTTGAAATTATTTTTATAAACAGTAATATAAAATAGATGAGAATTTACTACAGTTCGTGTACATTTCTTGTGAAACACCAAGATAACTTTTGTTTTAAAGTTTACATTGTAAACTTCTGTCAGCCAGTGAAGTCAGTTTTTAATGGTCATATGTTGTTGAAAACATTACAGATGAGAGGGATCTGTAAGAGAGATGTAGTGTTCAAAAAGAATTTTAATCATGAGAAAAAACACCTGCCCACCCCGTTCTCCATGATTATATTCTTAAGGCCAAATAGCTTTGGGCAATCACAGGGGTTGATGCTGGTTTTTTTGTTTTTGTTTTTTGTTTTTGTGTTTTGAGACGGTGTCTCGCTCTGTCCCCCAGGCCAGAGTGTAGTGGCAGGATCTCGGCTCACTGCAACCTCCACCCCCCAGATTCAAGCGATTCTTCTGCTCCAGCCTCCCGAGTAGCTGGGATTACAGGTGCACACCACCACACTTGGCTAATTTTTTATACTTTTTGGTAGAGATGAGTTTCACCATGTTGACCAGGCTGGTCTCAAACTCCTGACCTCAAGTGATCCACCTGCCTAAGCCTCCCAAAGTGCTGGGATTACAGGCAAGAGCACTGAGCCAGCCAAAATGCTATTGTCTATCTTTCATGGCCAGCTAATTGTAAAAGCATTCCTGATATCTTTACTTTCTCTGATAGAAAAAGTCTTCATTGTTATGTAAAATGTAAGTAGTTCTGCACTTGTTTGTGAATTATCGAATGAGTCCAGAACTCTGGTTTTTACATTAATAAAGTTTGTCCTCATGTAAATTTATAAGGAACTGTAAGTATTAAAATGAGAGCAATGAGGAATAAGTAATAAATAGTGAAATTTAAAATATTTTAATTTATTTCCCTAAGTCTGGATATTTTCTGACACCTAAAAGTCATGCCGTCATTGGTGTTTTCTAAGATGCTACTGGACAAATAATTGTTGAATTCTGTTAAATTACACTGGGGCCCCAAGAACAATAATTATAAGAGATAATGGCTTGTGGTACTGGAAGCATTTGAAGAGGTTATTAGAGAATCAGATTTCTATTTCGACTTAATCTTTAAGTATTTGGTAGTATGTGTTATATATTAATTAATCTGAACATTTATAGGGCATTATATGCATTTTTCCTATTCTAATATCTGCCTGAAATATATTTAATAAACTCTGAGAAACTGTAACTGAACCTCTAACATTTACTTATATACAGACTATCTGAAATGTTATATGACATACCATGTCAAAGGCAGAATTAATCCATTGCTGTTATATATTTCCCACTTGACATTTTTTCATGCTCCTAATCACAACTTTTACAGAGTTATTTGTTTAGACATCAATGACCTCTGCAACAATAATCTGAGCCATTTGAAATCATCTCCACTTGTAATTGTGTCATTATTCAAAGTATTTATTAATATAACTTATGGGATGTTTATTAATATAACTTATGGGATAACTTATGTATTTTGACATAATTATAAACTTACTCATTTGCTTTATAATTCTCTCATCCTTTCTTTTCCCCTCCCTCCCTCCTTCCCCCTTCCCCTCTATTTGTTTGAGTGTATAGACACACACACACACACACACACACACACACACACACACACACACACATTCATTATCCCAGATATCTATTTATTTTTATTTTAGTTTACTTTCAGGGGTTCATGTGTAGGTAAATTGCACGTTACTGAGGTTTGGTTTACAGATTATTTCACCACCCAAGTAATAAACAAAATACCCCATTCATAGTTTTTCAATCCCTACCCTCCTACCTCCCTCCACCCTCAAGTAGCTCTGGTGTCTGTGGTGTCTGTTGTTCTCTTCTTTGTGTCCATATATACTCAATGTTTAGCTTCCATTTATAAGTGAGAACACGTGGTGTTTGGTTTTCTGTTTCTGTTTTTTTAGACACACACACACTTTTATGTGTGTGTGTTTTACATTTATCTAGAATTTATTAATATACATCCTGATCATCCTGATAAGCACTACAAATATGATATAAAAATACAAAATACGCTTCTGCCTATTCAAGCAACTCATTGGTATGACAAGGTCTGAAATGCATTTTGCTTTTTTTTTTCAACTTTTATATTAGCTTGAGGGGGTACATGTGCAAGTTTGTTACCCTGGTGTATTGCATGATGCTGAAGTTTGGGGTATGAATGTATGAAAAATCCCATCACCCAGGTACTGAGGATCATACCCAACAGTTAATTTTTCAACCCTTGTCTCCCTTCTCAACTCACCCTTCAAGTAGTCCCCAGTGTCCATCGTTGCCATCTCTATGTTTGTGAATACCCAATGTTTAGCTCCCACTTATAAATGAGAACCTGCAGAACCTGCAGATTTTCTGTTTCTGAGTTATTTTAATTAGGATAATGACCTCCAGCTGTATCCGTGTTGTTGTAGAGAAAATTTTCTCCTCCTTTTTAATAACTGTGTAGTATCGTATGGTGTATAAGTACCATATTTTTGTTATCCAATCTACCATTGATGGGCACCTAGATTTATTCCATGCCTTTGCTATTGTGAATAGCACTGCAATGAACATATGAGTGCATGTGTCTTTTTGGTATAATGTATTTTCCTTTTGGCATATACTTAGTAATGAGATTGCTGGGTTGAATACTATTTCTGTTTTTTAAGTTCTTTGATAAATGTCCAAACTTCTTTCTATGGTTGTGGAAATAATTTACATTCCTACCAGCAGTGTATAAAACATTCACTTTTCTCCACAGCCTCACCAGTATCTGTTGTTTTTTGACCTTTTAGTACTAGCCATTCTGATATGGGGAAGATGATATCTCATTGTGGTTTTGATTAGAATTTCTCTAATGATTAGTGATGAAGAGCATTTTTTCATAATTTGTTGACTGTATGTCTTCTTTTGAAAAGCATCTGTTCATGTATTTTGACTACTTTTTAACAGGGTTATTAAACTAGATCAGTGAGTTTTTTTAGCTAGCTGATCTGTTTAAGTGCCTTATAGATTCTGTTGATCCGTTTAAGTTCCTTATAGATTCTAGATATTAGACTTTTGTTAGATGCATAGTTTGTGAATAGTTTGGGAATGCATAGTTTTCTCCCTTTCATTAAGTTGTCTGTTTACTCTGTTGATAATTTATTTTTCTGTGCAGAAACACTTTAGTTTAATTAGGTCCCACTTGGTAATTTTCTTTGCAAATGCAATAAGGACTTTAAATGAAATGATTTGGAGGTTTTGCAATACCAGAACAAGATGGCCAAGAGCCAATTTAGGGATAATATGCATTTTTGATCCTTTAAGTTAAATTTCAGGCTGCACATTTTTTTTCTTAGAAATATTACTTGTTATTCTGCCCATTCTCCTAGCTGTCTAGTTACTGATGTCCATCTTGGTCTCTGTCTTTACCAAAGGAAAAATAAGCATGCTACCATGTGAAAATTCAAAAAGTTGTTGATTTCTTACTTGAGGTATTCCAAATGCCATTGTTTTTACTATGCAGCATGTCATCTATATCAAGTTATATTCAAAACTGATGTTTAAATTATAAAAGAAATAAATTAAATATTTTATCTGTATAAAATGACAAGAAAAACTATTCATATCTTGGACTTTGCCTATATGCTTTCCATACCCTCTCTCTTCCTCTACCAAGAGTAATTTATCATACACACCCCATATATCCTAAATATTTTATTGTTTTAATCTTATATAATTATGCTGTATGAGATCTTCTGTCACATACTATTTTATGATCAGTTACACATTTGATTTTTTAAAAACTTTTTTCCTAGTGCAATTTTTTTAAACATTTTAATTTACAACCTAAATGGCACCAATTTTTCTGTGGCTTTACTTTGGTGACTTCTAGTTACATACCTCTCAAGAGTAAGAGCCTTATATTTGAACTGGTTGAATCAACCAATGTTAGCCAAATTTCCAAACCAGGGGCTTTAGAAAAACCTGAATATACCCTTTCTTTTATTTATGAAGAACATCACAAGTTGTAAATCTATACGTTTCAAATGTAGGCAATGTAAAACTAATATATAAATGGGAATAAAATATTTTATCAGAATTGACATTGTTGAAAGTTTTTAAATAAAAAAAATTCTCAGATTATCTGGCCTCTTCTGGCCAGAATGTTCCCACTTTAGAAACTTTTAAGAAATATTTCTGTTAGTTTTTGATTTCCCAAGAGGATTGGAAATGCACTAAAAGGAAAATGAATCAGAATAAATCAGCTCACTCACAAGAAATACTCCTGGGTAATGATGAAAATATCCAACACATTATTTCAAAGTGACAAAACTCAGGAGGAACTGAAGAAATAACTCAAAAGTGATAGTTACTTTGACTCAGTTCCACATGGAATCTACATGCATACAACTCCCATCCTTTCCAGTGTATTTGTCTGGAAACAATCACTATTAAAATTATTTTGTACATTACTTTACAGTATAAATTATTTTATGCATATAGTGTGTTATTATATGTACAGTTACATATAGTACCATGTATTTTGTGTATTACAGTGCTCAGAACAAGACAAGAAAAGATTTTCTTGGTGCATGAACAGAACACATTTTGTAAGACATTTTTATCTCCGAGAAATGGAGAAATTTCAATCCTGTGTCTATAGTCATTATTTGCTTATTCTCTCCTTTTTTAGTTCCAGTAGCTCCTGCTGGAACTACTTTTTCTTTTCCTAGTTTGCTAGCTCCTTCTCCTCTCCTTCTTCCTCCCTTAGCTAAGAATAGAGACCAGGTGTTCTACTTGACCTAGAACCGGTCTGCACAGCTTAACCCTTTGACTCTGGGTTGCAGTGGAAGCAGGAGTAAAGAGATCTAAACTCTTCAGTCAGGGGCTTCTGGCCTGAAGCCACAGATGGTTCCAGTTAACGTCTCCATGTAGCAGCATCAGTCTTTCTACTGGCAATAATCCCTGTCTGCAGCCAGTGGTCTGACCTCACAGTGGTGGTGGCGGCAGCTCCATGCTATGACCTCTCTTCCAGGTCAGGCAGGCTGCTGTTGGGACCACATAGACACACAACTTCCACATCTGTATGCTGGGTTTCTAACCTTATATTTTTTAGATTAACCTATATTCATTCAATTTGCTGTCTTAAGTATAGTCCATGTTTATTTTCTTCTAATCTAATCTTAGGGTATTTAACATATAATATTCATATTTTAACCCTAGTTATATCTCCATTGATATCTACAGTGTTTCAAGGAAACCTTTTGGAATTAAAAGATCATAACCAGGAAGATGCAGCACTGATGTCGCTGATGACTCAAAAGTGCACGTATTTATTCTTCTTTTGAAAAAAAAAAAGTGAGAAACGTCAGTGTTCCAGCATTGGTGCTAGTTTATCATTTGCCTATGGAAAAATTCTAGCCCTTTTTTGTAGTTTATATTCATTTTTATTATTAATTGACATTTTAGAATTGTATACACTTATTTAAGGGATAAAATGTAATATTATGGTGTATGTATACAATGTAGAATTATTAAATCAAGCTAACTAAAATATCCATTACCTCAAATACTTACAATTTTTTGTGGTGAGAACCCTTAAAATGTACTATTTTGGCAATTTTGAAATAAACAATACATTTTTATTAACTATAGTCACCATGCTGCATTATAGATCTCAAAAAACGTATTCCTCCCGTCTAACTGAAACTTTGTCCCCTTTGACCAATATCTCCCCATTCTCCCTACCCTCCAGCTTCTGGTAACCACCATTCTATCCTCTGCTTCTGTGAATTTTATTGTTTTAGATTCCACATGTGAGTGAAATCATACGGTATTTGTTTTTCTGTGCCTGGCATACTTCACTTCATGTGATGTCCTTCAAGTTAATCCATGTTGTCACAAGTGACAGAACTTCCTTTTGTAAAGCTGCATAGTATTCCACTGTGTGTGTGTGTGTGTGTGTGTGTGTGTGTGTGTGTGTATACCTATATGGATAGGTACACTACATTTTCTTTATCCATATATTGGTGGACACTTAGGTTTATTTCATATCTTGGCTATTGTGAATAATGCTGCAATGAAGATGGGGGAGCACATATGTCTCTGACACACTGATTTTATTTCCTTTGGATATATACTCAGAAGTAGGATTCTTGGATCATGTAGCAGTTCTATTTGTCATTTCTTAAGTAACCTCCCTTCAGTTTTTCATAATAACTGTACTACTTTACATTTTTACCAAGAACATCTCTCAAAACTCACATAATTTTGTGGAAACTAAACAACTTCCTCCTGAACGAATTTTGGGTAAAAAACAAAATTTAGGCAGAAATTTAAAAAAAAAAAACCTTTTGAAAGAAATAAAAACAGCAACAATATACTAAAAATACTAAAAATCTCTGGGATGCAGGTAAAGCAGTGTTAAGAGGAAAGTTTGTAGTGCTACAAGTCTATATCAAGAAAATGGATAGATCTCAAATTAACAATTTAACATTGCAGAGGAACTAGCAGAAGAAAAGAAGTAACTAAAATCAGTAGAACTGAACAAAGTTGAACTTTGTAATGCTGAGCATTTTTTAATATACCTGTTGAGCATTTGTATGTCATCTTTGAAAAGCGTGTATTCAAGTCCTCGGCCTATTTCTACATTTTATATTTTTTGTTTTTCATGGGCAGCTCCTATCAATATTTTACTATGTATTCTCTTTTCTTCCATATTTTAAAATATTGTTTCTATTTTACTCATTGCTTAGCTTAACTATTTTTAATGCTTTCTGACTCAGAATAACAATTATTTAACCCTTCCTGTACTCTTTCTGACCTAATTAAACATATACATTTTCTCTTACCTCATTTTCCCAATAGAGTCATGTCATAATTTTGAATAAATTAATAAATTATGTTATTATTGTTATTAAATTATATTCACAACGATGTAGTTTGTTATAAGTACTATCATTTGTCTAAAATAACTTTTTTGTTTTTCCTACTGTATAAGCGGTAGTCTCCATTTTTGTTTATGTCTCCATATACATTTGTCTGTTATTAAAGCATCTCCAAACTTTTCCCCAGAGGAGAAAGTTTACTCACACTCATAATCTACCAATTATATCTGTATTCATTCTTGGAGCTATTCCTCCTTGAACACTCTATGCTGTTTCCCTGTAGAATCGATAGTAGCTAATATACACAGCTTTTCATCTGGGGCTCTCTTTTCACCATCAAGCTGGGAGTGACAATTATTCCTCTTCTGTATGTGACATTGTGACTTGAATCCCATGTATTATGCTTTCTTAATTCAATTTCCACCTTTTTTCTAATTAAATGTTAATCAGTCATTTCTCAGTGAAAGTACAAGTAAAGTACAAGTGAAGTAAATTTTTGAAGAACTTACAAGTCTGACACTGTTTAGCTTTTTTTTCTTCCATTTTTATGCTTCATTAGGGTAGCTATAGCTTGGAATTCTTTCCCTGTAATTTTTCTTCTCGTTTTCTAGTATCTAATATTTATGGTAAGAGATTTGATATTCTTATAATACTTGGTTCTTCATATGCTTAAAAACATTTTTGGGGGCGTTTACAATCTTGTCTTGGCTCTCAGTGTTCCAGTGATTTACAATGACACTGAGTGTTGCTTTTATTGTTTTTATTTATTTTCTTCGGAATTTGCGATTTTTAAATCGGAGTACAACTTATTTCTTGGAAATTTCTTGAGTCATTTCTGTAAGAACATATTACTCTTCTGTCCTATTCTCCTTTTCCAGGAAAACGTTACTTAAAATATTTGACTGAAATTTGGAATGAGTTTCTGCATTTTTGATGTTTTTCATCCACTCCCCTATTTTTAATTTCTTGATAGATTTGTTCTACATTTTATGAACATTCTGTAATTATATTTTACATTTATCATTGACAGTTTCTCTTCATCCTTCTATCATATTTTTTAACATATAAAAACTCTTCCTTGTTCTTTGAATGCTCCTTTCTAACACCTCATGTTTTTATTCCAAGTATAAAATAGAATAATCTGTTTTTCTGTAACTTGTTGACGATTTCAGTTACAGGTATTTGAAATTTGTTCAGCTTCCTGTATCTTCTCTGTCACCTCTGAATTCCTGCATTCTGTTTATTTATTTCAATCTGTCTTTGGTGTTACAGACTGCCCTCGAATGCCCCCTAATCTGCAGCTATTCACTTCCAAGAACAAGGCCCTGAGAAGCAGACTTGAGCTTTCCGTGCATGAGCAGGCCTGGCTCAATTTGTGGCCCTCACTCTTGGGTGAACTGACTGCCTGGTTGCTGAGGAGACTCTGAGTTCTCTGTTTCTCTCTGCCCTCCTGTCAAATGGTTGCATGATTGGCACAAGTGTTTTAGAGCTAACTGGGAGAAAAAGAGGGAATGCTTCATTCAGATCTCCAACAGAAGATGTTCATTTAATCTGCCTGTTTCAGTGTAGAACTCCTGCCCTCTGGTGTGAATGGTGTTCCCATGCCCATAGATTTGTATTTTCTGAGAATAAGCCAAAAGTTTTGTTGTTGCTCCTTTATGGGTAAACGGACAATCATGTAGCTCCATAGCATGATATTTAGTGTTCTGTCTTGTTTACTAATTCCCACCTCTATCTGCATAATCTGTCTCAGAAGTGTTACTAATTCTAGTTTTCTATGATTTTGTCCTGCAAGCATCTTCGGCTTTGGGCTTCTCCGTTTATTCATAAATGTTATCTTTTTGGGGGTATGCTAAATAAGCTATCACTAATTCTGCTGTCTTTCAAATTTGTTGGTATGGCTTTTCTTACTGTTCTCTTTGCTACTGAGGTTCTTTGCCCTTGTTTATGATTTTTATCATTATATTAGAGTTTCAGGGACAGCAGAAAGATAGCGTTTTGAAAAATAGAAGTAGGCCGGGCGCCATGGTTTACGTCTGTAATCCCAACACTTTGGGAGGCCGAGGCGGGTGGATAACCTGAGGTCAGGAGTTCGAGACAAGCCTGACCAACATGGTGAAACCCGGTCTGTACTAAAAATACAAGAAATTAGCCAGACGTGGTGGCAGGAGCCTGTAATCCTAGCTACTCGGGAGGCTGAGGCAGGAGAATTACTTGAATCTGGGAGGCAGAAGTTGCAGTGAGCCGAGATCGTGCCACTGTACTCCAGCCTGGGAAACAAAGCAAGACTCCATCTCAAAAAAAAAAAAAAAAAGAAAGAAAAAGAAATAGAAGTAAAACACTGGGCTTCCCAAGGCAAGTCTTCATCGCCTTTACCACATATCCTCCTTCTGTTTTATAAAGCTGAGAAGAAAACTTTCAAGAACCCAAAGTTTTGCTTTAATTAGATGATCAAGACAGGAGGATAAGGGACATGTACCTGGAGGAACAACACATTCTAGCTGTGTTGTCTCAGCAACTTTAACACATCCTCCATAGGGCGTCCAGCCAAAGCATTTGTGAGACAGATTGTGAGCCAGGCTAACCAAGAAGGCTGCCACTCCTCATGAGTGTTGTTAATAGACTTTTCGATTTTCAGAGCAGTGTTATATTTATAAAATTAAAAATATAGAAAATATAGTACAGAGAGTCTCCATACATCTCTTACCCATTTTTTCTCTTTTTAACATATTTTGTTAATATAGTGCATTTATTGAGATTAATGAGCCAATGTGAGCTGTTGTTGTTAACTAAAGTCCTTATTTAATTCAGATTTCCTTTGATTTTACCTGATGTCTTTGTTCTTATCCAGAATCCCATCCAAGACACTATATTATGTATAGTTATTATATCTCCTTAACTTCCTCTTGACTGTGGCAGTTTCTCAGAATTTCCTTGTTTCTGATGAACTTGATACTTTTGATTGGTCATGTTGTATGATAACCCACTGAAATTTGCTGATGTTTTTCACATGGTTAGACTGGAGTTATGGATTTTGAAGATGAAGATTACAGTAGTGAAGTGCATTTTAATCACATTAGCCCAAGGACACATATTATCAATGTGATTTACCACTGTTGGTATTGACCTTGATCATCTTAGCAGTTGTTGAGGTTCACCACTGTAAAGTTAATTATTTTTCTTTACAAACTACACTCTTTGAAAGGACATTAGTATGCACAGCTCATACTTAAGTAGTTGGGAGTCATGCTCCCCTTAAGGATGAAGTATCTATATAAGTTATTTGAAATGTTTCTGCATAAAAGAAATGTACATATCAACATAAACTCATGAATATTTATTTTAAACTTGGAGTGATAATCTAACAGTACTTTATTTGGTTAAATTATTCGAACATTACAGGCTGCTTTCTGTGCCATCTTGGATCTAACTGCATAAATAGTTCTTTTGTTTTCTTTGTTTTATTCTGATTTGCTTTTGCATAACACATCCTCATTTTCTGGCATTGCAAGATGTTCCAGGTTTATCTTGCATATGTCTTGCCCCAGCCTAGAATCATCCATTTCCTCAAGGAACCTTGGTTCCTATTGGAGATTTGCATTAATCCATCATTTAAAAATGATATCACAATAAAATACATATTTTATCAGAAAATGTTAAAACAAATTTATTGAGTGTTAATTTTTAAGTACATAAGTCCTTTTAAAATTTAGTGTTCACAGTTGATAAAATTAACGTATCCTCCTTAAAGAATTTGACAGAAGGAGATAGGGCAAAACATCCATCACTAAATAACCTTATGTGAAAAAGGCAGTACACAAATGTATATATACAGTACTATATTGCATAAAAAATTTTATATGTGTCTGCATGTTTTTACAAAATGCCTATGAAAGCATATACTCATGACTTGTAACATTGGTTACTTCTGCAGAGAAAAAAATGGTAGTTATGGGGAGAGGTGTTAGAGCAAAAATTATTTTATTCTATATGATTTTTTACAATTTTTTTCATGTACCTGTGTACCTATTGAAAATGAACTAATCAATTAAAATAAGATATACCTAGCAGTATTATTTTGTGAATATGATATTGACTAACCTATAATCACTACTGTACACATATTACTGGAGTTGAGCTATGGTTTGAGAAGTCTAAAGAGAAATATGACATACAGAATCACAAAAGTATAAAAGGAGAGAAATTTAAAAGTCTAAATACTTTGGATCTTATAGACCTAGTTGGTATCTTTGATGCTACTCTTCATAAATAATAAAATTCTCATTAATTTCATGCTTTGTTTTCATGTAGTTGAAGTAAGATGTAATTCTACTTTGTTAAAATATTTGAAAAATATTTTGAGAAAAACGGTGATGAAAATGTGCTCTCTTCAATAAACAGAGGAAGACAGACACTATATACATATTTCATTCTTGTGGACTACACTGATGAAGAATTCCTTTATTGAAATCGAAGAAGGGAATGGCTGCGAACAGATGAGCAATTATGAATGCCTAGGGTCAAAGAAAATATTATGTTTCTCAACTATCCCAATTAAAAATAGAATACCATCTTGAAGAACACTTTTCTAAGACCATCTTAATAGAATTCAGTTGAGAATGTGTGCCACTGTACACTGGCTGCTTAAAGAAATCCCTGTGATAATACTCAAACCGAGTAATAGATTTTTCATCTCATTTTGGTTTTTCTTTCTTTGATAGTCAGCTGCTAGTCACTATTGTAGTATTACCAAAGCTCTGCTCAATCAGAAAATTGAGAAATTTTCAGCCATTGTGCAATGTTCCTGGGTGCCAAGTCTCCAGTGAATTCTCCAAATTACTCCTGGCTTTCTGACACATTTATTTATTCAGACAAAAAACTCATTGTGGTCTTGTTGAAATTAAGAAAAAAAAACCCATTATTAAGAACATTTTCTAATTCACAAAAATAGATAAAATTATATTTATATCTTAGAAAATACTTCCAGCCCTATTGCATGTGTGAATTCATCTGTGACACAGAAAAAAAACCCAGAATATAAGAAGCATAAGCATATTTTTAGAAATGCAAATAAATCACACACTATATTAATTATTGAGCTTAAATTGTCACAATTACTTTGTGCATATCAATTGTAAATATTTAATTAGAAATATAAGACTTATAGAGAAAAGTACATCTAAAAAAAGTAAATCAAAACTATGTAGCTCAAAGAATTATCACAATTTAAATACATCCATGTACTCACCACTCAATTAAAAAATATATAATATTACTTAACACCAGAAGCCCCTTTCTTAAACCTCTCAATAACCATTATCTGTATTATCCTCAGTATTATCTGTTTTTGACCTTAATAAATAGAATAATGAAATATGCACTCATAATTTCATTCAATATTATGTTTGTGAGACACATCAGTGTTTTTTATATAATTATACTTTATTCATATCTCATTATTTGATAGCAACTTCTGGTATGACTATATAAGAAGTTAATATTAATCTGTATAGCTGATGTATATTTTGGTTGATTTTATGTTTGGTCACTACAAAGAAAAAATATCCTGTAAATGTGATGTCAAAGTGATTTCCCAAGTGATTCTGTCAATTTACACTCCCCCTTCTATAACAGGTCCCTTTGCTCTATATCCTCAAACTTGATCGGTATTTTCTGTCTTTTTATTTTTGTGACATTGTGTGGTTTCTCTTTGCAAATTTATTTTCCATTTTCTTTATGATTGAGGCTGAGCAATGATTTGTCCACTGGCCACTGGGATATTATCTTTGCTGAAACGAATGTTCAAAACCGTTCTGCAATTACTTATTCTTTTTATTAGTTTTGTCTTTCCTTCATCACCAGCTTCCCTACTCAAGCACACAAAAATTTTACTTCACATTTATTTCTATAATGCTTGTAGAGTTAAACTGAAGATTTAAGCCTTTGCTCCATTTCAAGTTAATTTCATTTATTTATTTATTTTATTTTTATTATACTTTAAGTTTTGGGATACATGTGCAGAACATGCAGGTTTGTTACACAGGTATACATGTGCATGGCGGTTTGCTTTACCCATCAACCCATCATCTACATTAGGTATTTCTTCTAGTGCTATCCCTCCCCTAGACCCCCACCCACTGACAGTCCCTGGTGTATGATGTTCCCCTCCCTGTGCTCATATGATTTTATTGTTCAACTCCCACTTATGAGTGAGAATATGCAGTGTTTGGTTTTCTGTTCCTGTGTTAGTTCGCTGCGAATGATGGTTTCCAGATTCATCCATGTCCCCGCAAAGGACATGAACTCATTCTTTTTTATGGCTGCATAGTATTCCATGGCATATATGTGCCACATTTTCTTTATCCAGTCTATCATTGATGGACATTTGGGTTGGTTCCAAGCCTTTGCTATTGTGAATAGTGTCCATGTGTCTTTATAATAGAATGATTTATAATCCTTTTGAGTATATACCCAGTAATGGGATTGCTGGGTCAAATAGTAGTTTTAGTCCTAGATCTTTGAAGAATCGTCACACTGTCTTCCACAATGGTTGAACTAATTTACATTCCCACCAACAATGTAAAATTGTTCCTATTTCTCCACATCCCTTCCAACATCTGTTGTTTCCTGACTTTTAAATGATCACCATTGTAACTGGCGTGAGATTGTATCTCATTGTCGATTTGATTGGCATTTCTCTGATGACCAGTGATGATTAACTTTTTTTTTCATATGTTTTTGGCCACATAAATGTCTTCTTTTGAAAAGTGGCTATTCATATCCTTCACCCACATTTTGATGGGGTTGTTTTTTTTCATGTAAATTTGTTTAAGTTCCTTGTAGATTCTGAATATTAGCCCTTTGTCAGATGGATAGATTGCAAAAATTTTCTCCCATTCTGTAGGTTGCCTGTTCACTCTAATTATAGCTTCTTTTGCTGTACAGGAGCTCTTTAGTTAATTAGATCCCATTTGTCTATTTTGGCTTTTGTTGCAATTGCTTTTGGTGTTTTAGTCATGAAGTCTTTGCCCATGCCTATGTCCTGAATGGTATTGCCTAGGTTTTCTTCTAGGAATTTTATGGTTTTAAGTCTTACATTTAAATCTTTAATCCATCTTGAATTAATTTTTGTATAAGGTGTAAGAAAGGGGTCTAGTTTCAGTTTTCTGCATATGGCTGGCCAGTTTTTCCAACACCATTTGTTAAATAGGGAATCCTTTCCCCATTGCTTGTTTTTTGTCAGGTTTGTCAAAGAGCAGATGGATGTAAATGTGTGGTGTTATTTCTGAGGCCTCTATTGCATTCCGTTGGTCTATATATCTCTTCTGGTACCAGTACCATGCTATATTGGTAATTGTAGCCTTGTAGTATAGTTTGAAATCAGGTAGCATGATGCCTTTAGTTTTGTTCTTTTTGTTTAGGATTGTCTTGACTATATGGACTTTTTTGTTGTTGTTGTTGTTGTTCCGTGTGAAATTTAAAGTAGTTTTTTTTTGTCTTTTTTTTTCCTTTATTATTATTATTATTATACTTTAAGGTTTAGGGTACATGTGCACAATGTGCAGGTTAGTTACATATGTATACATGTGCCATGCTGGTGTGCTGCACCATTAACTCGTCATTTAGCATTAGGCATATCTCCTAATGCCATCCCTCCCCCCTCCCCCCACCCCACAACAGTCCCCAGAGTGTGATGTTCCCCTTCCTGTGTCAATGTGTTCTCATTGTTCAATTCCCATCTATGAGTGAGAACATGCAGTGTTGGGTTTTTTGTCCTTGCAATAGTTTACTGAGAATGATGATTTCCAGTTTCACCCATGTCCCTACAAAGGACATGAACTCATCATTTTTTATGGCTGCATAGTATTCCATGGTGTATATGTGCCACATTTTCTTAATCCAGTCTATCATTGTTGGACATTTGGGTTGGTTCCAGGTCTTTGCTATTGTGAATAGTGCCGCAATAAACATATGTGTGCATGTGTCTTTATAGCAGCATGATTTATAGTCCTTTGGGTATATACCCAGTAATGGGATGGCTGGGTCAAATGGAATTTCCAGTTCTAGATCCCTGAGGAATCGCCACACTGACTTCCACAATGGTTGAACTAGTTTACAGTCCCACCAATAGTGTAAAAGTGTTCCTATTTCTCCACATCCTCTCCAGCACCTGTTGTTTCCTGACTTTTTAATGATTGCCATTCTAACTGGTGTGAGATGGTATCTCATTGTGGTTTTGATTTGCATTTCTCTGACGGCCAGTGATGATGAGCATTTTTTCATGTGTCTTTTGGCTGCATAAATGTCTTCTTTTGAGAAGTGTCTGTTTATGTCCTTCGCCCACTTTTTGATGGGGTTGTTTGCTTTTTTCTTGTAAATTTGTTTGAGTTCATTGTAGATTCCGGATATTAGCCCTTTGTCAGATGAGTAGGTTGTGAAAATTTTCTCCCATTTTGTAGGTTGCCTGTTCACTCTGATGGTAGATTCTTTTGCTGTGCAGAAGCTCTTTAGTTTAATTAGATCCCATTTGTCAATTTTGGCTTTTGTTGCCATTGCTTTTGGTGTTTTAGACATGAAGTCCTTGCCCATGCCTATGTCCTGAATGGTAATGCCTAGGTTTTCTTCTAGGGTTTTTATGGTTTTAGGTCTAACGTTTAAGTCTTTAATCCATCTTGAATTAATTTTTATATAAGGTGTAAGGAAGGGATCCAGTTTCAGCTTTCTACATATGGCTAGCTAGTTTTCCCAGCACCATTTATTAAATAGGGAATCCTTTCCCCATTGCTTGTTTTTCTCAGGTTTGTCAAAGATCAGATGGTTGTAGATGTGTGGTATTATTTCTGAGGGCTCTGTTCTGTTCCATTGGTCTATATCTCTGTTTTGGTACCAGTACCATGCTGTTTTGGTTACTGTTGCCTTGTAGTATAGTTTGAAGTCAGGTAGCGTGATGCCTCCAGCTTTGTTCTTTTGGCTTAAGATTGTCTTGGCAATGCGGGCTCTTTTTTTGTTCCATATGAACTCTAAAGTAGTTTTTTCCAATTTTGTGAAGAAATTCATTGGTAGTTTGATGTGGACGGCATTGAATCTATAAATTACCTTGGGCAGTATGGTCATTTTCATGATATTGATTCTTCCTATCAATGAGCATGGAATGTTCTTCCATATGTTTGTGTCCTCTTTTATTTCGTTGAGCAGTGGTTTGTAGTTCTCCTTGAAGAGGTCCTTCACATCCCTTGTAAGTTGGATTCCTAGGTATTTTATTCTCTTTGAAGCAATTGTGAATGGGAGTTCACTCATGATTTGGCTCTCTGTTTGTCTCTTATTGGTGTATATGAATGCTTGTGATCTTTGCACATTCATTTTGTATCCTTTTTCTTTATGGAGTGGGCAGACAGCTGATGGGATAACTTCATTAAACACTGTCTTGAGTCCTCACAGCTCAAGCACTATAGGTTTTTTACAGTTCTCATCTCCTTAGTCAAGGCTAATCCCTGTGGACAGGTGATAGGAGCCAGCTTCTTCACCTCTAGTTTCTTAATATGCCTTTATCATCTCTAAGATCATTTGGTTCACAATAGGTTAATGGGAGTGTTGGGACAATGGTGTCACACTTCAGGATACCACTTAGCACAGACATTTTCAAATAATGCAGGACTCATAAAGAAAAAGAAAATCTGTTTGAGGATAGAATAGGAGACATAATCTGTGATGGTCTTCTAAATTAGCTGTATCCCATAAACCCAGATTCACCAGTTTTCTATCTATCATAATATGGAAAGAAGAGTTTTCAGAAACAGTGGACATATATTCTACACAAAATACATTGGTGTGTAATTGACCAGCAGGCAAGTTTTACCTAAAACTCCGGTTCCCACTACCACATACTTAATGATCTGCACCTGGGCCACTCTGGATGCTGCTGTAGGCACTAAGGACCAAGCTGCCAGGCTGGTTAAGTTCAAAGCTCAAAGCTTCTCATTTATACTGTTACTTTCCAGGCCAGTTGTTTAAGGACTAGCTCCTTCCCAGTTAATAGTGTATGTTCGAGAGGGAAAACCTTAACTAAGAACACCTTTCCTAAAATCCTTTACTAGCTATCTAACACTGGGAGTTGACTTTGCATGTCTTTGGGATAGTTCCTTCATCTATCCAATAGTATCATATAGTAAATATGATTATGGATACAAAATAAGATTATATATGTGCAATGTCAAAAATAGTGCTTTGGTTGAAATAAGTGTTCAAGAGATTTAAAATTTTATGAATTTGGCATTACTATGAATTTTTAATTTGTTTTCCCCAATTCCTGACCTGAAATATCTATCATTATTGTTGTTCTCCTGGAATTTAGTTGCAACATCCCCTGAAAAAAATTAGCAGCCATTAATCATAGGTTATCTATCTGTGGTCACTTGTCCTTTTTACATAACAGAGAAACATTTTTATCCTCTTTGTTCAAGGAAGGGTCATGATGATTAAGGTGACATTACCTCAGCTTACAATGAAACCATACCTCTTAGAGAACTCTATTTAAGATTTCAGAGCCAAAACTGAGATTCAGTTTTCCAGAAATAAATAATCAGTATGACAGTTCTCAGACAGCAACCGATTTTTCATAAGATTATATTCATCTATTACTGGGATATTGTTCCCAGATTAAATAATAAGAATAAATTGTTTACAGTTTATTTTGCTTAAAAAGAGAGATTATTTCTATGAGGTTCAGTTTAGATTTTGAGGAGTGGCAAGTTTTTTGACCATTCATTACTTATGAACAGATTTCAATATTATAGTGACAGTATTCTAAGCTAGAATAGCAATGACACACAACTTGACTTTTATAGAGGGCAAACGTATCACAAAAATGCTAACAAATCCATAACGTGTAAGCATTCAAAACACCAAAGAGCGAAAAAAATGTATTCTAATCAAGCCTGTCCAGATCAGTCAAGAAAGTATATAATGAAATTTCTTATCATTATTTACGCTTTCTTTGGACTGCACTTAGCATGATAAATCTGTATTTTTTATGTGTAAAACCCAGCCTGGTCAGGACATATGCCCTATTCTATGGGCAAAGAGTAACCTACTGCTACTGAAATAACTAACGTTCTAAATATTCAGCACTGTATTAAATGGTTTGTGACCCGTTCAGACTAAAAAGAAAGAAAAAGAAAGAGAAGAATACGAAAAAAAAAAGGAAAAACATTGTAGTTTAAAATTATTCTAATTAAATTAAATACAATTCTCCAGTTTTACATATCATTATTTATAAATTAAAGCATAAATTTTAGCTTTTTTCTCCAAATATTTTTATTTTAAAAACCATTCATAGAAAAAAGGTACCTACTAAGATGTGTGTGTGTGTGTTTGTGTGTATGTGTGTGTGTGTATGTGTGTGTGTGTTTGTGGTATAGATTCTAGGAGTCCCAGATAAAAGTGAACTATGACATAGGTGATTTTGCCTTAGAATGTGTGGTTAATTGTTGGTCAATTGATGTCGATTCTCCTTCATGAGAGCAGCACAATTTATTTTTATTCTAAGTATTGTAAAGCCTAGTGTTCTAGCCTAGTCCAGACATGTTGCTTTACCCTTTAGCATAAGTGGCGAGAATCAGATTCTGTTACTTATATCCAAGGTACTAAAACTAATACAAAATCTACCAGAATTTTATTGTCCACATAGATTCCCTTACAATATAGAAGTCAGGAAATTCTGACACAAAGAGGAGGATTTTATAAGCCTGAATATTATAATAATTTCTTTACACTATGCCAAGTTGTAATATCTGGATTTCTGTAGCAGTGCGCATAACAAATGAAACCAAAAAGTCTTAACATTTCAGGGTACATTTTCTTGATATTGCTTGATTTAGAGCATCAGCAATAAGTTCAGCAATGTACATTGAGTATATCACATTATCTAAATTGTATATGTTACTGCCCAGAGGTGTGTGAACAATTGTTTGTTAATCTAAAGCAATTAGTTTGGATGCAAAAATGAACTGTAGAAACAGCAACAAAAATCTCTCATGTTTGTAACTTGTGCTTTGAAGAGAAAATAGCAGTGTAGAGAATGGTAGGATTCAAAAGTCTTTTTCCTATTTAGTCAAATTCTATTTGACTCTAAGTATTTTTATGAACTGTTAAACTCTCTGTAGCCTGCAAATCAATAGTCTTCAACTATTTCTTTTTAAATAAATAAAAATCAATACAGAATTAAGTAAATTGCCTAGAGAAATTGCAGGAAAATTATTTTCTCTCCAATTATCTGACCAATTGCAAAGGCATTGTTTAACTACAGTTATCATGTCATTCAGTTATCTGGATATTGTTAAGAGATAGCAAGAATGATTGAAAAAAGTAATACATTTGGAATTAGAATTCTAGATGTAGTATTATGCAACATCTAATCCTCGTCTTCTCATGGAATAAATGAGCATAATATGTCATTCAAGTGAGTGTAAAAGTATTGGGTACATTATAAATGCACATACATTTGGCAGGGCTTGAGATGTGAAGTCATGTGTAACCAGTTGCATAAAATGTCTAGGATCATTTGTAAAATAAAACAATAAAAAGATTAAATAATTCTTTTGCCTAAAACCAACCCTCAGTCTAGACTCTTGAACTATTAGAATAAAAAGTAACCATTTAATTGTTTGCATAATATACTGATTTTATTTTTATAATTTATTTGTATTTATTGTTTTATTATGGTAAGAACACTTAATGTGAGAGCTATCTTCAGTATAATTTTAAGTGCACAGTATTGCTAAGCATAGGCACAATGTTGTACAGAGGGCCTGTAGAAATTATCCATCTTGCCTAACTGAAACTTTATGTTCCCTGAATAGCAACTCCCTGTTTGCCCTTCCCCTCAGCCCTGGAAACCACCATTCTGTTCTCTGTTCCCATTAGTCTATTTTAGATATCTCATATAAGTGCACTCATGTAGTATTAGTCCACCTGAGGTTGATTTATTTCACTTTCCATAATGTCCCCCAAGTTCATCCATGTTGTCTCATATGGCAGAATTCCTTTTTGTTCAAGGCTGAACAGTATTTCACTGTATGTGTATCTATATTTCTTGACCTATTCATATGTTGAATTTGTAGATTGTTTCCATAACTTGACTATGGTAAATAATGCTACAATGAAGATGGAAGCACATATATCTTTTCAAGAAACAGTTTTCAATTGTTTTGGATTAATACCCAAAAGTGGGATTTTTGGAACATACGGTAGCTCTATTTTTAATTTTTGAGGAATTGCCATGCTATTTTCCACATCAACCACACCATTCTACATTTCCACCAACAGTGTACCAGGGTTCCAATTTCTCCACCTTCTTACCATCACATGTTCTCCTTCCGTTTCTCTCTTCCTCATTCTCTCTCTCTCTCATAATAGCTATGCCAACAGATGTGAGATGAAATCTCATTGTGATTTTAATTTGTATTTTCCTGATGACTAGTCATGTTCACCCTATTTCCATATACCAGTTGGCCATTTGTATGTCTTCCTTTTTAGAGAAATACTGTTCAAGTACTTGGCTCATTTTTTTAATGCGGTTATTGGTGTTTTTGCTATTGTTTTGTAGCAGTTCCTTACATATTTTGGATAATCTCATATCAGATGTATGGTTTAAAAATATTTTCATTATTTAGGTTATATGTTGTTGATTGTTTCCTTTGCTGTTCAGAAGACTTTTACTTTGATATAGTTGAATTTATTTGTCAAATTTTACTTTTGTTACTGGTGCTTTTTGTGAAATATCCAGGAAATCATTACCAGGCCCAATGTCGTGTGGCTTTTTCCTGAATTACAGGTTGTAATTTAATTTAGCTTCTTTTAAAAAAATAAACACTGGGTAAGGTAATGTGTTGGAAGAAATCACATCTGTTTGAAGACTTACTATTATTTTCATATCAATGAAAATCATTACTTGAGTGACGGTATCATTCATATCCCAAACCTCAGTGTCATGTAATATACCCATGCAACAAATCTGCACATGGACCCCTTGAATTTAAAATACAAGTTGAAATTATTTTTAAAAATCATTAGAAATCTGATAAGGCCTAAAAAATGAAATCCTCATTTACATTTAAATGATTGATTAGAATATTCAGAAAGAATATGATTCTGAAAAAGTTTATAAAATATATTAACTACTGCGGAAAATGTATTCTAACTTAATATATACAGATAAGAATAAAACACACACATATATATGCACATATATATTTATATGTCTAAACTTACCTCTTCCCTGCAATGATAAGTAAAATATTTAAATAATCGGGGTAGCTAATTTTATAAATAAATATCTCAAAATACCAAATTGTTTAATTAGTATAATTTTGGCAGGTCCTAGTATAGAAACTAATATCAGTCCACTTTGGTGTAATGTCTATACATTCTCTATAATATTCAAATATAAGATAACGGTTATTTATTTTTAATGACTTTGACATGTTTGATGGTGGAAGCATGAAGATCCTACTCCCCTGTATACAAGCATTTAAAGTCCCCTTATATTATCATAACTTATATTAAGAACACCTGAAATGACAGGTAGAACAATATGATATTAATAGTTTATCCTAGTTATTGTTTATATCCATGTCAAATGTCTGAATGAACAACTGCTTGAATTAATGATTATCATAACCAAAAATCTAATATTTTCCTTCTATCTTTAGTTTCCTTAGTCCACTTTAGGTAATTGCTATTCTGGCTTTAAGTATTCGTTTTTGCAAAATGTCCTATTTATCTCCCTGTCTTCTTCATTATATTGTTCATTATGCTCCCATATTGTTCATCATTTTTTTGAAAAATCAAGTGTATGATTATTTCATTTTCCTTCTTAAATTTCTCAATGGAATGCCATTGCCCTCAAGTTAAAAATCATACCTTCAACCTATCTTAAAGCATATGGCTTCTACCTTTTCAGCTTTATTTTGAGCCATTCTCCTTCTCATTCTCCATGATATTTTATTCTTTATTTCTATGATGCACTGCATTATCTGATGACTTAAACACATCTATTCTCTTATCTTTCCCTGACACATTTTCCCTCCCTTATGCCCTGCCCTCCACACAGAGATTAGCTGAACCAGTTTGTTTCTTCTTTTTCAGTTTACAACTCACTCCTTCACACTCTACACCACTGTAAAACCCTTCCCCATGCATTGCCATACTACACTATATTTTCCCTATTCAATTCACTTGTCTAAATTATTTACTTAATTTTTGCCTTATCTTGGTGGTGTTAGACTTTATAAACTTACCATTTTCTTATCAACTATCAGAGTACCTAGAACATAATTTATGCCTAACTAATATTTTTTAAATTGAACTGAAGGCTGTAGGGAGCTGCTGAAGGTTATAAACAATATACAGACATAGTAAGTGAACTGAAAATAGAAGATACACACTTGTATTCATTTACAACTTCTTCTGTGTCTCTTTTTAATATAGAAACTAGAAAACATAAACCAACTCTTACAGACTCTTTAGTTGGAGTTCGGATGCAAATTAAATCTCATCAATTGACAGAATTCATAACATATTTGAATGCAAAAAAGGACAAACAGATATATTTTTTCCTGCTTTAAAATGTTCTAATGAGCCAAATCACAGATGCTGTTTCTTGAGACTATTTTGATGATAGAGTTTGTACTTAGCATTTATATATCAAGTTTCTTTTTTCTTGGACAGCAAGAGAAAGATATGGGAGAAGAGGAGGAGTGGCTGTCTATTTCAGTTTGATTTTCCTGAACTTAAGCAATTGCAGTTTGTTTGTTCTTGCCTTGAATTCACTAGTTATAAGAATAGCCTATTGAATCCCTTTCTCCAGCGCTCAAAGATTGTATCAATTATATTCTTATATTAATAATTTTACCCTAAAATATTAACAGTAGTTGCTTTTTTTCTGATCTCATTTTGAATGGTGCAATATTGGAGTCAGAAGTGGTTGTAGACACTTAAAGAAGAAAATTAATTTTATTATTTGATTGGGTATCATTAAGGAAATTATCCTCTGGTTATTGTTGGAAAATGGGACACTAGTAGATCATGGCATATGCAAAATAGTTGTTGAAATTATATTATCTGGTTACCTGGAATGAAGAACCAATTAACGTAACTCTCCAAAAAAAACAAATGTTTGCTGCAATGAGACATATTAATGGTAACACAAATTGTGCATGGTCTGCCTCCTTCAATTTGTATTACAAAGAGTAGAGAATAAACACAAAACTGAAATTAATGGCTCAAAGCACAAAAAGCGAGGGAAATTCAACTCTCCAAAATAATTTATTTCTGGTAATTGCAGGACTGTTTTTTCACACAGCATATTCTAGATCTGATACTTTGAGTTGATGACTTACCATATGTTTTATTTTATTTTATTTTATTATTTCCTTCTTTCTTTCTTTCTTTCTTTTTTTTTTTGAGACGGAGCCTCACTCTGTTGCCAGGCTGGAGTGCAGTGGCACAATCTCGGCTCACTACAAGCTCCACCTCCCAGGTTCAAGGGATTCTTCTGTCTCAGCCTCCCAAGTAGCTGGGACCACAGGCGTGTGCCACCATGCCTGGCTAATTTTTTTGTATTTTTAGCAGAGTCGGGGTTTCACCGTGTTAGCCAGGATGGTCTCTACCTCCTGACCTCGTGATCCACCCGCCTTGGCCTTCCAAAGTGCTGGGGTTACAAGAGTGAGCCACCACGCCCAGCCCTTTATTTATTTATTTATTTATTTATTTATTTATTTATTTATTTTATAGAGATGGGGTCTCACTATTTTGCCCAGGCTGGTCTTGAATTCCTGGGCACAAGCCGTCCTCCCTCGTCTGCTTCCCAAAGTGCTAGGACTAGAGGCGTAAGCCACTGAACCTGGCCAAGTTACCATATACGTTTAATTCATATTCTTGTCATATCTGTTGTTTCAAATTAGGAAACTTCTGGAATAAAGTGGAACTATGAGAACTGGAATGAGATCTTTAGATGAATTTAGATACCATGGGTACAATTATGTGACAGACTTGTGTAATGGGCTAGTCTTGGCTTATTTAGAAACAATGTAGTGACTGCTCCTCAGGGTGTTAACTTGCAAGGGAATGCCAGTTGACCTCACACTGCATGCAAATTGTTCCAATTGCCATTACATCCATATGTCAGCCCAGATCTCAATATATTTTCAGTGAGACAAGTGCAAAATCCTACCTGAAAGAAGTTTCTTATATCAATAATATTGTAGCATTATTGTAACTTATAGCTGAGTAATATTTGTAGAAATAGATTTTTTCATTTGTTACAACCATAAAAAAGAAACATATTTTAGATGAGGCAAAAATATCTATCTATAAGGGTGTATTAAAAACAATGTTCTCCATTCAAGGAATTAATTTGATTATCTTCAGATAGTTTTGAAGATTACTCAAATGGTTGACTGAAATCTGGTCTACTTGAGATTAGAAGACCAGAAATTCCTTTTATATTCTAATAAAGAAAATGCAAAAGATTAATAAAACAAAATAAAATGTTCATGTAGATTATCATAAAAGGAATCTTCTCACCTTAACTATATACTTCAGGAGAGCCTAACAGATAATTCTGTAAGGTGACAAAAAGTAGACCGGAGAAGAGAATACCCACATCCTTAAAAAGATCGGCAATGGCTAGACTCATAGTCTATGAAAGATACTAGAAGAAAAACATGATTTTGAAACAGCAGAAGCTAAAAGGCAACCTATGATTACCAGATACTTTTCTGTAAAAATCCAGCCATGCTGACTGGTTATCAGAGTGGTTTGATATAGTAAGATCTTTGGAAGGTGGTTAATCAGTCATGGGATTCCTAGGGGCAAAATATACAACCAGTCTTTACAAATCCTATTTGACATATATATATATATATATAGTATATTTACATATTTAATATATTAATATGTTTATATATTCATACACACACACACACACAAGCAAAATCAGAGATGCTGAGTTTTTTGAGACAATTTTGATGATGGAGCCTATACGTATATATACATGACTAAAGTCTTCAGCCATATATATGTCTAAAGTTATATATATATAGGTGTGTGTGTGTATATATATATTTTATATATATATAACTTTAACTTAATAAATAAGGTCCAGATATTACCCACTACAATAGAGTGAGTAAAATCCTCCTCTGCAAACAGACGTGAATTAGTTCACAAAGAAAGAATAGACCCAGGACTCAAAGAAAGATTGCATGACAGTACACAAAGATATACGGCAAGTATTCCTTCTGTCATTTGCTAGTGGCACTCAGAATCATTTCAAGGATATAATATATGGAGGGAAGGAGTATACTGAGATGTTTGTATAGCTACTCGTCACTGGCTCTGAGGCATCGTTAACTCCTGGATGCACAGAATTCTACTGTCATTCATGGGTTACAGAGGGCCCCTGGAGTCCCGTGATAAAAGCGATGTTTGCCAATTTCCATCACACAGTGGACCCAGAATATCCATGGGTTCACCCTGTGCTTATTTCACCAGCTCCTGAATCATAAAGTTGCCAGGCCAGTGGAACTCAAAATCTGATGCATGTTTCTGTTTAAGATAATTAAAAAAAAAATACTGAGATTTGCCCTGATGAAGCAAAAGCAACAGTTCATAACCTGCTGGTAATTTAACACAAATAAAAACAGTGGCACTGACAGTACTAGAAAATCATCATATTCTTCTCTGTCTTGCATTTACAGCACACACATACACATACACACTCACACACTCATACACACACACACAAATGACAGCTTTACTTAAAAACGTCCTAATGAAGTAGTACAAATTGTTATTTTATTAACTCCTCACCATATGTGACAAAATTGAGAGTATGTTAAAAAGTATTTTTGCTGAATATCAATGTTCACTAAATTCCCTAGAGAAAAAGCACTTATGCACCTCTTTCAGTTACAAGCTGAACTAACTACTTATTTTGTGGAAAAAAGGTTTTCACTTGAAAGAATTGCTGGAACAAAAATTATAGTAGTCAAGATTTAGGCATTGGGCTGATATTTCCTAGAAAATAAATAAAGCAAGTTTGTCTTTTCAAATAACGGAGAGCATTTGTTGCCAATGATAACATTCTAGCTTTCAAGTGGAAAATTAGAATTTCACAAAGCTTGTATCTGCCACCAAGAGCTTGACAATTTCCCAATACTTCAAGTCTTTTCAAATAAGATTCATGGTGGTATTTATGAATGAGATATTTGATGTTGCATAATAAAATGTGTCAGAATTGGAATGGTTTGCACAACACCATGAGTTAATATTTTCCAAATGATCAGTGCATGATGTTACAAAATCATGCAAGTATAAAAGATTCATTCAAAGTTCAAATGAGCTAATGTAAAAGAGTATGAAATTTATAAATAAGGTTTCAGGTTCCACATTGCAACTAACCTTTAAAAAACTACCTCTTTTTAAGTTTTGTTGTAGTATTAAAGAAATAGAGACATAATTATCTGAAAAAGCTATTAATATATGCCCTTTTCTAGTAACAAGTCTGTGTAAGACCAGACAGACTTCACATAATTTAACCCAAACAGCATGTAACTGATTATGAAAATTTAAATGTGTTCTATTAGTCCAGATATTAAAGAGATATGGAAAATTGTAAAACAATGCTGTTCTCACTATTTTACGCAATTATAGTCAGATTTTTCAGATAAAATTATGCATGATAAGCCTCTTATAATGGCTTACTATTGTTCATTTTCAATGAATTAACAAATATATATTTGAAATTTTTTTATTTTAGTATCTAATATCTAATACAATAAATATCAATAGGTTTTATACATACAAACAAAACCTGTTTGGCATTCTCAATAGCTTTTATAGAGTGTTAAGTGACTGTAGGCCAAAAATGAAGCATTTCTTTTTCTGTGCAGAAGCTCTTTGGTTTAATCACATTTGTCAATTTTTGCTTTTGTTGCAATTGCTTTTGGCATCTTCATCATAAAGTCTTTGCCCATGCCTGTGTCCTGAATGGTATTGCCTAGATTTTCTTCTAGAGTTTTTATAGTTTTGGGTTTTACACTTAAGTCTTACATCCATCTTGACTTGATTTTTTATATGGTATAAGGAGGAGATCAAGGTTCTTGAAACTGGCCTTCTATACTAAATAACAAATTCAAACTAATAACGCCAGTAAGTCTTATCAGTTTTATTTTCAACTTATCTCTAGAATTCAACCCTTTCTTACCATCACCACTGATACATCTCAGGTGTAAGTTTCTGTCATTTCTTATCTAGATTTTATGCACTTCCTGAGTGATCATCTTCAACTTACTGTTCTTTTTAGTAAATTAATAATTATAGCAGGTGAGTTTCTTGTTAAAATATATCAGATAATGTTCCGCTTGTTCAAATTTCCGGTTATTTTCTTTATGTGGGAATGGTATTTAAGAGCATTAGATTAAGGAGGAGTAAATATAAGACTCATATGGGTAAAATTCCTTACAAATATGTACCTTTCTAGAAACCAAGATTCAATATGTTGACTTGAGTTCCCTGGAGTGATCTCAAGAGTCTGCTAGGTTGCGTAAACAAAGCCTAAACTAAATATTGGACTAAATTTAATAACTTTGAAATTGTTGAATTTTCTAGGTCTACTATGGAGGGGAAAATCTTAGGTTGCAGAAAATAGGTTTCTTAGGTCAAATCTATTATGGGCAAACTGCTTAGTGAATCCTACAAAGTACTAGAGGATGTTCCATTATCTAGGCTGAGGGGGTACCAGCAACTTTGAAGCCTTTTGTGGTGCCTCACCTTTGTAGGTCAGAGACGACGTGTGGGATCCTGGGATGGAATTCTATTCCATCATCTCAGTAGAAATGACGTGATTATCCTGGAGGAGTAGAAGCTGATTTGTTTTAACTGTCTGAGATTACATGAGAACAAGAATCACGGTAAGCCACAGGGTTAAAATAGTTGCAAAGTACTATTTAATGAGCGATCTCCAGTGATGGCTAACTAATCACGGGGTATCTAAAAATAAATATATACCAGGTTAAGGTGTTGCTTGACATACATCAAAGGAAAAATTTAAGAAGCATAATTCATGGTAGTGGGAATTTATGTCTTTAACACAGTTTTTAGCACTAAACTAGTTTCCAGACCTGGTCCCTAGATTGAAGAGGAGACTGTGTCTTTTCAAGGAAAGACCCTGCTTCATAGTCACATGTGTATTCCATAAATATTCCTTTGATTATCCTCCATTTTCTGGGTAACTGTAGATTTGGAAAACATTAATAGCTGTATTTGTATTAGACATTAGCTCTGAGCATGCATTGACCATGAGAGACTCAAAATGCCACTGAGGTCTAGGAGTGACAATGGAGACAAAGAAATCAGAGATTAAATAGAGAGCTCAAGTCCATATAACACTACTTCTAGTTGAATTATGAACCCATTGATAGCTGCTGGACTCACATGAGGGTTCCTATGATAGTAAAGGCTTAATAGAAACCCCTGTAACTTCCCACCCTCACTTTAAATTAAAGGCATTGGTTTAACTCCTTTTGGAGGAAACATCAAAGATTAATGCCACTGAAAATTCTGAGAGATGAAGAAGTGATGACTCCCTTCTTAGGCCCATTGCCCAAAGGAAGTAATTTGTGGGGCAGAGAACGATAATAAATTATTAGAACTATAATTAGATGGTGATGCCAATCAGCTACAATTCAAGACCTGTTACCCCTTTTAAAGTAAATCTACAAACACTTAGAGAATATAGCTTCTAACTCACTAATAAATGAAATCTGAAGCAGGCTGCATTTGTAGAATGAGCAGTAACATTTATTACATTACCTCTCTTTGTCACATCATAGTTCAGAAGAATTTTATTAATCTTGTTAGCTATCTTAGACTAGAATTTTCCAAAAGAAGCCAAAAATTTGAGTGTAGTGTTTATTTGGATGTTATTCCAGGAAACCAAAAAAAATGGGGCAGGTCATCAACTATATCTTATCCAATATCAAAAAATAATCACACTGGGCCTTTAGTTTATAATATTGTAATAATTGGACCTATCTTAGTCTTATATAGCAAAATGCCTTAGAACTAAGTAACTTATAAACAACAGAAATACATTGCTTATAGTTCTAGAGGATGAGGAGTTCAGATTTGGTGCCTGAAATAGGGCCTCTTTCTCATAAACAGCATTTCTAATTGTGTCTTCACTTGGTGAAAGAGAAAAAGAATCTCCCTTGAATCTTTTTATTATAAGGGTGCTAATCCCATTTATGAGGGCTCTGCCCTCATGACTTAATGACCTCCTAAAAGACCCCACCTCTTAATATTATCACACTGGGGATTCGGTTTCCACATATGAATTTTGGGAGAACACAAACATTCAGACCATAGAAGGACTTTATGAGCAGAAAAATTATAACAAGCACACTTGAATATTTATGAATATTATGCTTATAGAGATTGGAAAATAAGTGCTTATCATAGAAGTATTTAAAGCTAGAGTAGTCTGTTGCATTTCAGGAAGTCCTTTATAAAAATGAGAGATAAATTGCTATGCTTTGCATTGCCCATCGTGAATAAAGAGGCACACTACTTGGTTGCAGTGTTTGCTGTATGGAATTCCTTTTAAGCCTCAGTAGGAAAAGAATAGTAGAGATCCCTAAAGGCTTGCATAAGGCCATACTCTTTTCTGCCATTTAAAAAACAGCTCCTGACTAGGTACTCAGCAATGGTAAAAACTGAATTCCTGACCATAGGACATCAAATGAATCTCTGACTGCGATGCCTAATCATGAACCTGAAGTGTTTGACACATGAAACCATAAAATGAGATTTGTATAACAATATTCCAATAAAAAATGTATGTGACGTATCCACCAAATAAACCTAGCAGATATGGAAGGCACGAGTAAATTGCAGGCCTATGGCATCAGCTCTCGTAGCTTTACTGTCTCTTCTTCAACTGAACTTCGTGGAGAATACCCTATGACTAATGGAAAAGGAAATGCAAAGATTTGGTTGATAGAGATCCATAGCATGAAAGCATTGCTTTGAAGGGGACAATTGTTGTAATACAATTATAGCCAGGGATGACTCTGAAAGATGGCAGGAAACAGGAATTTTGACAGCGGGCAGAATTGTAGGCTTTAAATGTAATTTTTCATTGTGTTACTGATGATCTGAGATACAGATTTACACTCACTCATGAGCGGTGGCCAACGGGTTGGTCAGGTTGTCAGATTCTTAGGAAGAAAAAAAATTAGAATATTAATGACAAGAAATTTTAGGTGTATAATATATGATTGCACTTATTGGGCTAGGCCAAAATAATTATGCACTGTTTAGATCCCTACTAGAGAGCATCAACAGTCTAACAGACTAACTGTTCAGGTAGAAGAGATGATATTGGATGTTTGTTATGTTTGTCAGTTAGTGTTTTTCACAATGCCCTCAGTTTTTGTACAATGGGCCCATGTAAAAAGTTGCTATTTTTGTTACAGTTATGCATAGACATAGAAAATGGTCTTACCATCACAACAGTTTATTAGACAACAATAGAAACCACATAGAAGCTTTAATACGGTAGCATCACCTGTAGAAATTTGCAACTATCTGATGCCAGATTGATAACACTGAAGTTTCCCCTTTATGGAGAGAGCTTTCCTTTGTCCTCACTGGGACATATACTCTAAGTTAGTATTTGCCTTCTCTGGCCAAAGCCTGCCTGTCAGCACCTCTATTTGTGGCCTTATGGACAGACAGATATTCCACACAATATCACTTCTAACCAGGGGAAATTTTATTACAACTTAAATGTAGCAAAAAACTTATTCCTTAGTTATTCACAGGCATTTCTGCATTTTATATCACATGGAAGCACTGATTTGATAAAATGATTATGTAACTCCTACAGGCTCAATTATATTGATGACTGGGAGACAAATGTAAGTTTGGGTTGCTGTCCTGCAGAATGTGTTATGTGCCTTTAGCGCTAATTATATGGTGTATTCTTTTCCACATCCAGATGCATCAGCTGGGAACCAAGAGAATATGTGGGAGTGGTCATTCTCACTATCGTACTTCATAACCAATTAAAAAACTATTTAGAAATGTCAACTGAAGCTAAACATGTCTTTAATTCCATTCCTAGTTATTTACCCAACAGAAGTGCACAATAAGGTAACAAGCAAATATTCATTAGAATATTTTTGGCATCATTGTTATGTAATACACAAGTGGACCTCAAGGAGAGATATCTGATGTTTATTCTGAATGAAAAGGTATGCCCATGTCAAACTCTAGAAAATTTTCAAAGAAAACATTCATCTCAATAGTTTAAACTTTAAATCTCACTGTTAGACTATAATATCTGCAGAGGACATACTTTTTGCAAACTCTGCAATAACTTTTTCAATGGAAAATTATGTTTTTGTTGCATTTATAGTTCACTTCATTAATTTGTTAAGCACAAACTTTGTTTACATTAAATACAAACAATAAACCAATTTTTTCACTCACTATTTGGCATTTACATCTTGTATATTACTACAACCTCAAAAATTAGGAGTGACTCAGATTCTTATTCAACTTTTGAAATGTGCAGAAATAGGCTATCAGTGGCTTAAAAGATGAACCATAAAATCTAGGTTAGGTAGAAGATAAATTAAAAAAAAAAAGGGACTCGTGGATAAGGCGATTATAAATTAATGGGTTGGAGGACCTAATGCAACCAAAGAATATTGTCATCAAACAGTGAGATAAAACAGTTTTGAAGAAAGAAGAGAATCTTGGGGTTTTAACCAAGGTCCAGGGGCATAGATTGGAATTTGTACCATGTGCTATTATTGCCTCAAACAAAATCTTTATTCTTTTTTTAACCTTTATTTTAAGTTTAGTGGTACATGTGCAGGTTTGTAATATAGGTAAACTTGTATCATGGTGGTTCGCTGGACGGATTATTTTGTCACCCAGGGTTTAAGCCTAGTACCCATTAGTTATTTTTTCCTGATCTTTTATTGATCTCTACACATGGAAGTCTACTTTCTTTGAACCCTTGTAACCATGTGACTTAGAGTCTTATTTCGTTCTGCAATACACACCTGCCCTGTGTATAGGGTAAGCTAGAAATACCTCAGTTAATCTCTGGAAGCATCCTTCAACCAGTGATATTCACAATGTTGGTAAATAAATGCCATAGCTTTCTTACCCCTTATTTGATTTGTCATAACTCAGAAATATTTAAAATTGTCTTGTGACATTTCCTAAAGAAATTAAGCTGCAGCTACATACGGTATAAAAACAATTAATGAAAACGTTTTTGTCTTTTTTCCATTTTCTGCCTTATTCATTTCTCTATAACTATTTCCTAAAATTACTTCCTAAAAAAACTATTCAGACACAAATCTCTGTCTCAGTTTCTGCTTCTAAGGAATTCCAAACTAGTATAGAGGTTTTCTCTAAGAATGGTGAAGATGATTAGGTATGAGAATGTCAAAGAATTTAAAGCCAAGATTATTCATTAGGTAAACTGTGATAATTTTGAGGTTATTTTGAATGACTACGAGAGTCAAGATGAGGAAGAAACTGGTGAATCTGATAGCAAAGTCTGGATTTTTTTTTTCTTTTTCAGACACAGTCTCGCTCTGTCGCCCAGGCTGGAGTGAAGTGGCACAGTCTGGACTCACTGCAAGCTCCACCTCCCGGGTTCACACCACTCTCCTGCCTCAGCCTCCGGAGTAGCTGAGACTACAGGTGCCCGCCACCACGCCTGCCTAAATTTTTGTATTTTTAGTAGAGACGAGATTTCACCGGGTTAGCCAGGATGGTCTCGATCTCCTAATCTCGTGATCCGCCTGCCTAATTTTTTGTATTTTTAGTAGAGACGAGGTTTCACCGGGTTAGCCAGGACGGTCTCGATCTCCTGACCTCGTGATCCGCCCGCCTTGGCTGCCCGAAGTGCTGGGATTACAGGCGTGAGCCACCGCGCCCGGCCGATATTTTTATTTATAAGAGTAAATAATAATAATAAAGAATGGTTACAGGCATGAGCCTCAAAAGTCATAAATTTTCATTTGTTTTATGGAAGTGTAAGAAAGGTATTCTGAGAGTGGGGGATAAATAGAATGCTACTGATTGCACTCCCTCAAAGCAAGAGTCACAGTAGTCTGGAATCAAGAACCAAAAGGGAAATATCATCTTGAGAATAAGACAAAACTTTTGTGGCTTTTTTTTTGTGTGGGGGTGGGGTGGGGCGGGGATGAATGCATCTAATAAAGCCTCATTCAAGAGGGTGAGGGTGTAGGTAAGTTTCTTGTGCATTGAAGGAACATATTTCAGAAATTCTATAGTGAAAAAGAATAAGAGCGAGGGCAAGAATGTAGAATATCTGAGGGAAGAGGACATGTTTGTACATACACATAAAATGGGTATATTCAGCTCCCTACTTGTTTAACACGATCTCTCTGTTGAAATCCAATATTTTGTAGTTTTAAAAAGGGCGTAATAAATGAAAGTAATTTATTGTCATAATACTGCTAATACTGCTACATAACAACAAAAAATTATAGTGGCTTGCAGAAAAAATGTTTCTTGATCTCACATTTGAAATATTTATAGGTGTGTGTGTGTGTATATATATATATAGAGAGAGAGAGAGAGGAAGAGAGAGAGAAAGTATAAGTTATAACAGTAAAATAGCTTGGTTTATTGTTTGTATTTAATGTAAACAAAGTCTACGCTTAACAAATTAATGAAGTGAACTGGAAGTGATACAAAAACACAATTTTCCATTGAAAAGATTATTGCAGTTTGTAAAAAAAATTCTTAAAATCTTATATATATATATATATATATATATATATATATATATATATATGTAGAGAGAGAGAGAGAGAGCTAAACAAGTAGGGAGCTGAATATAGCCACTTTATCTATCTATCTATCTATCTATCTATCTATCTATCTATCTATCTATCTATCTGAGATCGCTATTCCAGGCTAACATATGCACTCTTATTTTATTGACCTCTTGTATTCTTTAGGTAAAGTCCAAATGCCTTAGCTGTAATATAAATTCCATTATGGTTTAAGGTTCTTATCCTTTAAGGCATTCTTTCTAGTTTTGACATTTACTACTCCACCTCTAACACTCTGCTCTAGCTCACCTGTTCTTAACCTAGGATACATCTTTGAATCACTGAACACATTATTTTTTTCTGAAATATCTGAGGAAACCTGACATGTACTGAATTTGACTTTCAGTTGCCCAGAAGCAGATACAAAATACATTTATATTTTGAACAAGTTTTGCAGATGATTGTGGTAATAAACCTTGATTTATCAGTTTTTCATGCTTTTCTTCTTGTCTGAAATGTGCTTCTTTCTTAAGTCCTTAACCAATTCATCTCAACATATTGTGCTGAACTAAGTTATAATCTCCTGCAGGAAATTGTCCATTGCCACTTGTATGTGAATTTTGTCCATTTTATGTGTCATTAGTCTTCTTATGCTAAACCCTATTATGAGTACATTGTAAAGTCTGCTTGCCTTTATACTATGAGGCAGCTGTGGGAAGGGACTGTGTCTAAGTTTGAATTTTCAAAGTAAGGAAATTTATATGGTGCTTGGTGGACATTGGGTGTGGTGGCTCACGCCTGTAATCCCAGCACTTTGGGAGGCCGTGGCGGGCAGATGACTTGAGGTCAGGAGTTCAAGACCAGCCTAACCAACATGGTGAAACCCTGTCTTTACTAAAAATAAAAAAATTAGCTGGGCGTGGTGGCAGGTGCCTGTAATCTCAGCTACTCGGGGGGCTGAGGCAGGAGAATCACTTGAAACCGGGAAGCAAAGATTGCAGTGAGCCGAGATTGCGCCTCTGCACTCCAGCCTGGGTGACAGAGGAAGAATCTGTCTCAAAAAAAAAAAATAATAAAAATAAAAATAAAAGTTATCATAATATAATAAATAAGTAGAGACATGAATTACACAGAATGGAAATAAGTTTATCAGTTCAGTGTCAGCTTGTTGGAAACGTATCTATTTATAAGTGTCTTACCAAGGGATACAAAAATTTCTGAAAATAAAGAGATTCAAATAATTGCTAGGATTTTGTTAATTTTATCTTTTTAGATACATTTATGGAATTTTCTGAAATACTAGGGTAGGGCACAAACTCTCTCTCTCTCTCTCTCTCTCTCTCTCTATATATATATATATACATATACGCCAGAATGTGTGTATTTTTGTGTGTGTGTGTAAGCTGATGAAAAAATTAAAATTGATTTTATCTTAAGTTAAATAAGTTTGTTTTTATAAAGTTTCCCCTAATTTTCAGGCAATTTTTGGTTTAACTAAAGTTATTCATGATGGATAGTTTAAGTTATGATAAAATTTACTCTCTTTAGCCATTAGGAATAAGTAAGAAACTGGTAGTATCTAAATACTTCATTACTTTTTTGAACATTTAGTTCTATGTGTTGTAGATCTTTTATGAAACATGGCAACAAGTAAAACAAGTGTTTACATCATCAGGAATCCTTCTTTCTATCAAAAATTCTTTTCCATCTCTATTGAGAACTGTAGTCAAAAGTGTTTGAATTTAGTTCTAAATAATTTTAAGTAGCTTTCAGATGGCTATAACTAAATGTAAGCAACTTTACTTCTCTAGAGTTTCTACCTGAGTAATCATATTTAAATTATAAATATGGTTATAATTTTCAAAGATTCAGTTGTCATTAATAATGAGTTGGCAAAACTTCGGAAATATGCTTCTGTTAAAAATGTGAACAAAATATAACTCTGTTACTCATTTAGTAAACAATGCCCTGTTGAAATCCAAAAAATATTTTTTAAGTTTTAAAAAGGGCCTAATAATTAGAAGTAATTTATTGTTATAATACTACTACACAACAACATAAAAATTCTATCGGCTTGCAGAAAAAATGTTTCTTGCTCTTGCATTTAAAATCACCTGGAATCAGGAGATCCTGCTCATCTTGGCTGGATTTATTGGTTACTGATTAGTCTATACTGGGTTTGGGTAGGACCAATATGGCAACTCCCCTCAACTTGTATTTTATCGTCCAATAGGTTCTCGTGGTGTCTTAATTAATGTTCTCTAGAGAAACGGAATCAGTTGGATGTGTACATGTACATATGCAGAGAAAACAATTTATTCTAAGGAATTGGCTCGCATGATTATGGAGGATGCCAAGTTCAAAATCTGCAGGTTAGGCTTGTAGTCTGAAGAGCCAGTGGAGGTCCTGCTGCAGCTTCTCATGGCCCTCAAGTTGACGCATAATGTTCACACATAAGAATAGGGAAGGCATAGGAACGCAAGAGAAAATACGCAAAACTTCTTCAGGCATAGTCTCAGAACTGGTATTATCATTTCTGCTACAATCTCTGTGATAAAGTAAGTCACAAAATCAGCCCAAGTTGAAGGAATGAAGGACACTAATTCTTCAATATGATGAATGGCAAAGTCATATCGTAAAGTACGTGGACACAGAAAGAGGGAAACAATTGAGGCTGTTAATGCAATCAGTCTAAAACAATTTTTTAAATCTTTTTCATCTTGGGTATAATTTTATTTTAACAGACACTTTTTTATTGCCTAATTTTATCACACACTTAGATAAATAATTCTTAGATGAATAACAGCTGTTTTCTTTCTTTCTTTCTTTCTTTTTTTTTTTTTTTTTTAGATGGAGTCTCGCTCTGTCGCCCAGGCTGGAGTGCAGTGGCGCGATCTCGGCTCACTGCAAGCTCCGCCTCCAGGGTTCACGCCGTTCTGCCTCAGCCTCCCGGGTAGCTGGGACTACAAGCGCCCGCTACCAAGCCCGGCTAATTTTTTGTATTTTTTTTAGTAGAGACGGGGTTTCACCGTGTTAGCCAGGATGTTCTCGATCTCCTGACCTCGTGATCCGCCCGCCTCGGCCTCCCAAAGTGCTGGGATTACAGGCGTGAGCCACCGCGCCCGGCCAACACCTGTTTTCTTACAGGTAAATTCACATAAGATTTGTTAGATTTGAACTTAAAAGATATCTGTTTTTACTTTAAAATGATTAACCACCATATTATAAACATGCCAAATTTGCAAAAGTTGGAATTTTTAATTGCTATAGCAAAGAAGCCGGATGTTTAGTTACTAGCAATAATTTTGTGAGCCTTAGAGTATTTAGTGCTAAGCTGATTGAGCATTTATAAACTTTATGCCTTTATTTAAAGCCAGGTCCCCAATGCTTAAAGATTGTTTGACTCAAACAACGAGCATTTAAATTTCAAGTTTTTGCCTTGAAATGATGTTGTTTATTTTATAGAAGGAAAGGGTTATAAATTTCCATACAAATAATGCCAAAGTAAATTTACAAAATTGAAGTATTTAAAAAACTCATATAAATGTTGACAGCAATTATTTTAGGTTAAGAGAAATTGTAGTAATCATTTAGCTTATGGCCTAGCACAACAATTTTTTTTTTTGGCGGGGGGGGAAAAGTCTCACTTTGTTGCCCAGGCTGGAGTACAGTGGCGTGATCTGCACTCATTACAACCTCCGCCTCCCAGGCTCAAGTGATTCTCCTGCCTCAGCCTCCCAAGTAGCTGGGATTACAAGCGCCTGCCACCACGCCCAGCTAATTTTTGTATTTTTAGTAGAGATGGGGTTTCACCATGTTGATCAGGCTGGTCTCGAACTCCTGACCTCAAGAAATCCACCTGTCTTGGCCTTCCAAAGTGCTGGGATTACAGACGTGAGCCAATGCACCCAGCCCTAGCACAACAATATTTGAAAAATTATGTAAAAGCAAGAAAATATAAAATAAATACACAAAACATGTGAGGAGATTTTCTGATGATGTCTGAAAATGAAAACTATGTAACTAGAAGAAAAGTTAATAATTGTTATAAAGCATGTATTTAAAAATTTAAAATATCTGTTGGAAGTGTTTATGTGATTTTATTATATTTTAAGATTTCATTAGTCATGATGAGTTACATTCTCTCGGGATTATTTCCATCCATATGAACACACACACTCACACTCTCATATAGAGAAATGTCTTCAGTTTTACAATCTTTTAAACTTCAAAACAAAAATTGAGATTTTATCAACAGATGGTAAAATGAAACAGATTGGACTTTCTTCTTCCAATAACTGTTGAAATTCATACAAAGGCAAAAAAAAAAAGATATCAAACAGCCAAATAAACAAGAGCATAACTGCATGCTGTGAAATTAAAAAAAAAAAATCAGAGCTAAGAAAAAAAATAATATTCTGGCATAGACTGTCCCCAGCTGTGAACAGAAGATGGAGTACTGAGTGAGAAAGGAAGGTAAATAAACACTCAGGATTGTCAGAAATTCCTTGCTACTTGGAGCAAAGTAGAATAGAGGTGGGGGGTGATATAAGAACAAATTATGCCTTTCTCTCCTCTATGATTCTTTTCTGAGTTCTGGTGGGGTCTGTTAGTGGAAATATCAGCTGAAAAGAGTAATACCAAATAGGCAGCATCTACAAAGACAAGGGTTGCCCATAAAAGAAGCATAAGAATTAGGCTGCAGATATTCATTCATTCATTCATTTATTCATACAACATAGCATTACTGAGTGCTTTCTAAACTGTAGCAACTATTCCAGACATTAACACTCCTCATAAAAATGTTCCAGCACAAGCCTCTAATCTTACGTAGTTTAAACTCTAGTGTGTGAGAGATATACAGCATAAGAATATAGAACATAAAATTATTTCATGTCATGATAAATGATTGAACTATATCATTAAGAATAATGTGATGGAGAGTAACTGGGGCGAGAAAATGGGCACCATTAGACAGGGTAGCCAGGTTTCTCTATGGAAAAGATATTTGAATTATAGCCTGAATGATGAGGAGGAACCAGGTGGGCAAAAATCAGGAGGGAGAGTTATCCAAGCAGAAGCCAGAAGACGAACAAAGGACCTGAGCAGCAAACAGGTTCATCATGTTTCCTGTCAAGATTGGTCTGTGCAAGGGTAAAACCGAGAGAAAATAAGCTTAGAGATAGGTAACAATCCAGCTGATGCATGCCACAGAAGAGTTAGAGTTTTATTTGAAGTGGACTTGGAAGACACAGGAATATTAAAAATTGGAGAGTGATATGATGTATTTTGCATTTTTAAAAGGTCATTTTGAAAGCTGTGTGGAAAATGGGTTTCAGAATAAAGATGAATGAAAGCACAAAGGTCAGTTCAAAGACTATGTCAGAAGTCCACATGAGTGAAGATGAGAGGTTGTAAAACTGATAACACTGACTATGGAGGAAGTTGCAGACTGGGGAAAATTTTTAGTGTTTGTGGATAGAGTGGACAGAAGGTGGATAAAAATAGGATAGAATCTGAAATCCAGGTTATATCTCCAACTATATAAAATGCATTTCTAACTCTATGCAGAGGACCCGAAACAGGATATTGAATTTCAAAAGACAAAATGAAGCTAAGGTGCCACAACAAAAGCTTCAGAAGGTCCCATTTGAGCTCTCCCTCATCTTCAATCCCCCTGTGGAGGATGCTACAGGAGCAGTAGAAGCAACAGAAGGTGTTGAATCCTTCTTCTACCAGCTATTGAAAGACAGAAAGAGAGAATGTGGCCAAAGACCACCAAAGAACATGCTCTTCCATGAGACCAGATTCAAGCACATGGCACAGGAAATAAAGGACATGATGGAACACATCTCACTGGGCCTGGTGAGACTGGCAGAGGCAGGGGCTCAACAACCTGTTCTTCAAGCTGTCTCAGTAATAGGCTTCCTGCTTCCTACTTCTTGTCTTTTTGGAGATCCCTTTGATCCTAATTATTCCTCAGCCTCATCTTCTGGCCTTTTATAAAATGTGTGAGCCCTTTAATATGCTTTAAATAAATTGACTTGTACTTGTCAACCATGTTAGTTTTGTTGCTGCCATTGTTCACAAAGAAATATCCAACTGATATATTAAAAAGCAAGAATAACTGGCACTCTAACATAGAAAAATCCAGTCATGAGAATGGAAAAACAGGAAATAATAAATATATAAAGAATATTAAGAGGCTATGATCACCTGAAAACTTGAGATAATTAAGAAACAAAAGGCATACCAGATCCAAAACTTATTAATTAAACAATGCCAATTAAAATATTTGTGATTGACATACTAACAAATGAGTTAATCAATGAGTTAATCAACAGGCAGATAAATGAAACAGACTAGCAGTACAGAAACACAATACAATACATTTGGGAATTTGATGGCATCACATTTCACATTAGATAAAAAAATAGATTATTCTGTAAACAGGGTATAAAATTATTTCTCTAAGAATTAAATCAGATAAATAAATACATGACTCTATAGACAGATATACATCTGAGGTGAATTAAAATTTAAAATATAACAAAAATATAAAACTCTAATGTTATTACTTTTTTACTTATAGCACAAATCTGTTCTACAGAGTGACAATGTAAACATAGTTAAATGACAAACCACAGAAATTTAGATGTTTATAAAATAAACAAGTAAAATGTTTAAATAACAATTGCAATATATAAAAATTTATTCATAAATAATAAAAATAAGCTAAATTTATAAACAGACGTTTCTAAGTAGAAGACACAAGAATATGCAAATGTGTTTGGCTGTGCTATTATTTATGGAAACACAACAGTGGATTACTGTCTTGTGGTGCCAAGTGTGACAATAGCAATTGATGGTAATGCTGTAGTTTAACTTTATGTCTTACACACTGCTGGTATGAGTATAAACAATTACAACTATATTGAAGAACAATTTTACGGTACCCAGAAAATTGAAGATAGACCTACCCTGTGGCATAGGATATATAGGAATATATATCCAGGGGGAACATCTTGTTCAAAAGTGCATAAAATGTTTATTGCCACTTATAAAGAGTGTTTATGGCAGTGTTGTTTAAAATAGTGCAAAATTGATAATATAAAAGTCCATCCAGGAGGGTATAGATAAATAACACCATCATCAGTGGAATAATAATAATAATAATAATAATAATAGCATTTAGTCCAATTAAACAATTGCATTTCTAAAAAATTGCATTGTTTACTTGTATTAAGTTATTTCATTGTTATAAATCCCTGAAAAGAAAGCAGGTATTATTAATCCCATTCTGAAGATAAGAAAACTGATACAGAATTTAATTATGCAAATTTTTTAAGAGCACAAAACTAGTAAAAAACAGAGCCATGATTCAAGTTATTCTCAATATGCTACAAACCTGTACAGCTTGTTTCTTTACTAAATACTGTAGACAATTGTAACACAATGGTAATATTTGTGTATCTAAGCATGTCTAAACATAGGAAAGGTACAGTGAAAATATGGTATAGTCTTATGGGACTACTGTCATTTGTGCAGTCCATCACTGGCTGAAATTTTGTTATACAGTACATGACTGTTTATTTGAAGCTAATCAACCCTGAATATCATGAAAAGAGAGAGCTGATACTACAGAATGGAGGCAGGGAAGAATATATGCAGAATTAAAAGGTGTCCATCAGTGTGTGTTTGTGCTCCCATACTTAGTAAGATGAAAAATTGTAGCAATCATGGCCGGATAAAAACAAGATGACCAGAGCTCAGAATCCCATTGCATAAAGTTCTGGGTAGCTCTACTTGGCAAACAATCTAAAGCAGACATATTGTCTCCCTTTTTAAACCATTTATTTTTATTTCTTAATTATTAATTATAACAACCTATTAGTATGTAAAATGAATTAGCCCTATATCTGTTATATGTATGGTAAATTACTTTTCCCAAAGTATGTGTGATTAATATTTGTCTGATGTTCCAAGCTACCTCATGTGTTCTTGTTCTTTACATCCCTTGGAGGGAAGCTCTACTGTATTGTCACCTTGGTGCATCTGTAACTTAAATAATAAACCTCACAGATCCACATCCCAGTTTTCTGGATTCCTAGTACAATGGAGATATTGAGAAGTACACTTTCAATACATCCTATGATTTTCCAAAACTTTCAACATTTACTTAACCAGCTGAAGAAGTTTCTCTAAGATTGGTTGTATTAGTCTATTTTCACACTGCTATAAGGAAATTCCCAAGACTGGGTAATTTACGAAGGGAGAGGTTTAATTGACTCACAGTTTCACATGGCTGGGGAGGCCTCAGGAAACTTACAATCATGGAGAAAGGTGAAGGGGAAGCAAGAGCCTTCTTCACATGGTAGCAGGAGAAAAGGAGTGTATGTAGGAGGAAATGTCAAACACTTAGAAAACCATCAGCTCTCATGAGAACTCACTCACTATCACGAGAACAGCAGGGGGTAAACTGCCTCCATCATACAATCACCACCCTCCAGGTTCTACCCTTGACACGTGGGGATTATGGGGATTACAATTCAAGATGAGATGTGGGCGGAACACAGAGCCAAGCCATATAATTGGTCTACCCCTTATAACAGAGTGCTTCAAGCTTTCTTAGGGAAGAGCCAGAATTAAGAGGGAAACCTTGTCTTACTTCAGTATCAGAGGTGATTGTTATATTAATAAAAGCTGTTTGTGTGTTGGTGATATACTAGCCCTGTATTGATGTATTTATTCCACATTGTCGTGATAATTTTGAAAGATATCAGGTAGCCATTGACAAAATAAGAGAGATTTGGAGATTATTAAATAGTTTCCATATTATAAGAATAACTCAAATTTCCTTGTTATAATGCATATGAGTCTTGGATGAAATACTTAGCATTTTGAATAGTTTTATTGATATATAATTTACTTACCATAAAACACACTTATTGTTCTACACAATTCAATGATTTTTGAGTATATTTACAGCATGTATCATAACAGTCTAATTTTAAAATATTTTCATTGTCCTAGAAATAAATGACATGCCCATTTGTAGTCCCTCTTCATGCTCACTACCAGCCGTAGGCCACCAAAAATCTTTTTTCTTTATAGATTTTCCTTTCCTGGACATTTTGTCTAAATAAAATCTTACAAAATGCACAATATTATGGTTTTTTGTGTCTGGCTTTTTTCACTTACTGTTATGTTTTTGAGGTTTTTACTGTGAAAGGAAAATAAATACCAGGACCCCCAAAATCACTGAGCGAAAGGGAAAAATCAAGCTGAGAACTGCATAGGGCAAACCTGCCTCCCATTTTACCCCTAAATAAGATAGCTACAAACACAAAAAAGCCACATACCTCTCTCACAATTTGCCCACAGGGCAATTCCTCCTGGACAAAGGACACAAAGAACTCAAAGTCGTCCCTCTGTTCACGTGAGACAAACACATTATCTGATTGCTCCCTTTGTCCTATTGTTTCACTAAACCAGACTAAGGCATAAGTGACTACTTCTGTAAATTGCATAATCAGTGAAAGACTAATCAGAAACTCAAAAGAATGCAACCGTTTGTCGTTTATCTACCTATGACCCAGAAGTCCCCTCCCCTCTTCGAGTTGTCCCGCCTTTCGGGACCCAATATCTGTCCATCTTACATATCTTGATTGATGTCTCATGCTTCCCTAAAATGTGTAAAACCAAGCTGGGCCTCTACTACCTTGGACACATGTGGTCAGGATGTCCTGAGGCTGTGTCATGGGTGCATCCTTAATGTTGGTCAAAAAAAATCTTTCTAAATTAACCGAGACCTGTCTCAGATATTTGGGGTTCACAATACTTGACACTTAAGAAACAAAGAAACAAAGTAAACTACACTATAATATTGGCAGCCTTTGAAATGCTCAAAGCACAAAACATTTTATAATTAAGCGGAACAAAATTTAATTTGCATTTTATTTTTCATGATGGAATTTTATAATTTCATGAGAACACCAGCATGAAGAAGAGCATGCTGCTGTTATTTATCAACTGGCAATCCATCCCACTCAGGAAATTATGTCATTTCCTTTTATGGAATGTTTCCAAGTTCTAGAATCCACTAAGCATATTCAGTAGAAAAGTACAGGCATTTACAAAATGAAACCTGGTAAATACTTTAGGTTCAAAAAACTTAAAAACTAACTGCACCCTAAAATATCCAGGTTTCATAACTTATATGGGAAGTAAAGAACAACTTTCTACGTCTACATAGTGTTGTAATACTGATGTTTGAAAGAGTGCTAAAATCTGTCAAAAAATCTTCAAAATGCAGCACTCTCCCAGTTCCTTTTTGGTGTTTGTGTGGAAGAGTATATTTTCTGTAATTTTTAACAGAGTTTCAGGTTGAAGCTATTAACTATAAAACCTAGAATGCATTTGGAATGGTAAGAAAATGAAACAGAAGACACCTATGCTGGAATCATTTACTCTTTTAAGATGTTCCCCAAGTTAACATCAATAGAATTAACTCTAAAACTACCTTAGTTCCATATCTTAGTTTCCCTGATGTACATACTGAAATGCCTTAAGACCTGGGTATTTCTGTTCAGCTCCCTGGCCGTGATCTGAGTGGTGCCAGCAATTGAGAAAGAATAGCTGTGTAATGAGCCCAGGCAGGAGGGATAGACCTGCTGGGGAGCTCAGTCTTGTCAGATTATCGTGTTAGAGCTAGGCTAAGCAGAGCCAAGCCACTGCCCTTGTGAGACCATGTGAACTTGGGCATGAAGCCAGTATTTCATAGTGATTATTGCCGGATGGTCTGCAGACAAACTTGGATAACTCAGTATTTCTCCTGTCTTCTGCTTGCCTGTAATTCTCAGAATAACTATAGAATGTGCTGGTAATGCAAAACCCTGACCTAAGGCGAAATTGTCCCAAATAGTCCAAGCCTTCTTCCTCTTCCTCATAGGGGATGTAACACCTCAATTTAGAGAGAAACATCCTGGGACAGCCCAAGCTTTGTTCTTCTCACCTCTGGAAGCAAGGTATCCTTCAAAGCTTTGTGCAGTGAGTCCTGTGACCGCTGTGTTATATAAGCAGGCTGCCTTTCCATGTTCCTCAGCTGTGGTACAATTGGGCCATGCACAGTCAAAACTCAATCCACCCCAGGCAGTTTTTTTGAGCCTTGGGGGACCAGCCCACAATGGATTGTAGGCTTTTTTTGGCCCCTTGCTGCCTATCTGTAAGCAGTAAATCTCCTTTATATAACTTGTTGCATGTAAGTGTGTTTGTCTCACCAGACTTAGGCAATTGGTGAAACTGCAGCCCAGGATGCATTGGATGGAAGTGTTCTGACTCCTGTTCCTGGTGGTTGGCATGGTGATGATATTTGCTATCTTCCACTCAGTGAGTGTCCTTTCTTAAAATTGGTTACTAGTGAACCGGCTTCACAGTTATGATGGATTGAAAGCCTGTAACCTGTACTCTTGTTTTCTGGTCCCAGCATTAAGATAGAAAAATATAAAGCATTTAGAAAAAGAATCAGGAATACGTAAAAAAGTCAGAAAGAAGCACAATCAAATAAACATACAAGAACAAATTCAAATAGCATGCATTAATTTTAATTCATGAAATATTCTGTGGAAAAGTGTCAGAATGGTTTATTGTCTCAAATCAAAAAAGTATAATACAAATTGTGTTAAATTAATTAGAATTGTTTTCTGTTATGATTCAAGCAAAAGTTAATGCAAGTGCATAAATTAATATAATCACAGTTGTCAATTATCACCCCAAGATTCCTAAAGATAAGGATTGTCTCTATAAGCCAATTATCATAATATATGCCAAGATAGGAATTTAGCATCTATTAGGTAATAAATGCAGTAGTCTATTGCTATTTTTGAAAAATCAAGTTTTTATCTCGCTTTCAGAAATGTGGACATTAGCCTCTACAAACTGTCAAATATATTTAAGCAGTGACTGTGCTACTCTGACAAAAGAGAAGCTACTACATCTGTGTTAATAACTACCAGTACAAAATGTGCTAGTTCAACTGAATAATCTTGTTAATGGAATCTGAAGAACATTAGCCAAAAATTATAAAACTTTTCTTCAGGTAATAGAAGGCAACAGGGGCAAATACATATGGCATATAACTAGCATGTTTCAAACTATGGAAAGAAACTATAAATAAGGAAAACCAACTATAAGAAAATGTCTAAACTTTGTATAAATCTCTTTCATACATTTTGTCTCTCTGAAGGAAAAGAAGCAAGCAAATTAGAGTCATTTGGATGGCTAATTAACATTTTGATTTTGATTTGTAGTTGCCCATTCTTCTTTCAAAAAATACTTATAAGGGCCATTTATGCGGCACAGGAGTTTGACATTATAATACAAACCTCTACATATTCAAGGAACTTACACACTGGCATGAAAGGTAGGCAAAACCATCATAAAATGTGAGTATAGAAAGCAGTGAAATAAGATACTTATAGAAGACTATAAACAAAAGTGTCATACTATTGGAGAAGGTTTGATTTAGGGCTGGTTTCCAAAATAAAAACTGTGGTAAGTTTGAAATAACTAAATGTATTCAATCTAGAGCAATGATAGATTTTGTGTTTTCTGATTTTGTGTTAAAATGTTCTTTGTTTCATGTAATTAGGTTAATTATGAATGATGACATTTTAATAGACTTACCTGGAGCAATAAAATGTTGGCAGCCTTCTTTCAACCCCCTTCCTGGGAAATACTGATTTGGCATAGAGTGTGTGCCAGCTAATACCAAAACTCATCTTTTCCCAGGAAACTCAAAGTATGTAAGTACCTGTGTGAAAGGATTTCTGAGTTTGAGTTGAAGAATAAATTATTAAACACTTTAAACTTTTAGGAGTCAAGAATCTTTGTAGAGGGTAATGTTTGCCCAGGATCTCAGAGCTTAGCAAACACAGAAGGATGGCTGGACTCAATTCAAAGACATCACAAAAAGAATCTTTGTTATCAAGGATCATCATTATTCCCCTCCCACCACCAATGGGACAGCTTGGAAAACAACAATGGAATAGACTGTCATCCTCAAAGCTCACCCTAGTGGAGACAAAATGGCTTAGAAGTATATGTACAGTCCTGGCTCTGCTGGTTCAATTTATGATAATATGCAAATAGACTTGTGTTTTCAGAAATATAATGTGAATTTTACAAAATTCAAGCTAACATACCATAAAAAGAAAGAAGACAGGGTCTGCAAGGCATTTTGATGGGTCTTCTAGAGGAACTGGGAAATGGGAATTAATGTCATTATGATTGTACAACTGGCTTTCTTATTGCTATAAATGATTTTTACATATTTTTTCTGCAATTCTTCCAACTGATAACCTTGCCTTCCGCTTGCTGAGAAAATAGAAGCCACATTTAGAAAATACTTTCATCTGAAAATTCTAGAATTTATGGACCTACCTTGATTTCAAACTTTGCCCTCTACGTTCTCTCCTGTTATAGAAGAGATTGTTGCTTCAATCAAACACATATTACCCTCTCCTTACCTCAGCCCCACCTGGAGCTCAGGATCCTACTTACCCATAATTTCTTAAGGATATCAATTCTATTACACTCCATTTACACCTACCTAAATGTGTGTGTGTGTGTGTTTTCATTCTTAAGTCAATCATTCCCCTTAAAAGCATTCTCTAGTATCTCTAGCATTATAAAAATAAAACAAAATGAAAAAAAAAAAACTATAACTCACATTCCCTTCCGGCTTCTCTGATTCTCTTCACAAAATAACTCATCTGATAGGCTGCTCGCCTCATCCCCTAGCCTCAACCCAATCTACTAGAGCAAGGTTTTGGCCCTATTTTGCTGAAACCACTCTTTTACAGGTCATGGATAACTACTGTGAATATATTTTCCAATTTTCATTGAACAGTCTTGGCTTACCCCTGTTGCACTAGCTAATTGTTAATGATTGACTTTTCAGTCTCAAAGTTTCCAAGATATACAATAAGTTATGTATATTACTCCACTAACAGCATCCATATCATCACATACAGTTTACTTTGGACCATAAATCAGTAGCAGCCTGCAAATATAATCTATCTCATGTTCTTTCAAAATTTTCTTTTCTTTGTTTCTGTGACATTACATTCTTCTGGTGGATCAATAGCAGTAATGCTTACCAAATCTTCCAAGTACTTCACTACATTTCCAAAACATTTTCAGTTATGCATATGATTCTAGCCAATTAAATGTGGAAAGAATATGAGTCTCTTACATGCTCAGTGAAAAATCATATAATATCACTCTTTATTATTTTTTAATAGAAAGTTGCATGTTCCAAATAGTGCATCTATGAGATATTTCAGCATCTATGAGTCTAGTCCCTGTGTGATTTTATATTTCATAATCCCCACTGACCCTGCTGGGACAGAAACCATGAGTGAAAAACAAGCTTTTGTAATATTGAACCCTGAAATATCAGAGCCCTTGGTTACAGAAACATACCCTAGCCTATCCTGAATAGTATACCTACCTTAATATTTTCTCATTCTCAGTTTTCATCCTGGCTCTGATGCCTTTGCCTGACTTTAAATACATCACATTACCATATTAAAGCAGTCTATTTTCTTTGAACACTTACTATTGCTTATCTATTTGTTTGTTTGAGTGATTCTTTAACCCCTCACTAGAATGTAAACTTCCTAAGAGTTTGAAATGTATTTGCATTGTTTACCACTGTTATCACTAACCTTAGATTATTGCCTGCCACGAAGTAGTTGCTTATTATTTTCAACTAAATGAAAGTACACTGTGGATGGAAAATTGAGACATGTAACACATTAAATTTAGAAAATTTCTATTTTTGTAGCTATTTTGTATTTTAAAAAATTCTTGAAAATATCCAGCCCTTGAAATTATGATTAACGGGCCAATTGTTTTCAGTTCAGAAATGTTTCCTTCTAATGTGAATCAATGTAGATAATTATTCAGTTCCATTTGTCTTAACCCATTTTTCAGGAATATGAGTTAACAGTGTTTATATAAAGCTATCTTGAACATATTTTGTCTGAGTTGCAAAATGTCTGAAAATGTATTTATCCTCTGTCACAATATGGACAACTTGACTAAATTTAATATGTCTAAGTCACAACTCTTTTCTTTCCAATTGTTGCACTTTGTTCTATCAGTGTCCATTATTTTGCATTAGTACAGAAAATACTGAGATCAATATGATTTTTATTATCCTAAAGTAACCTCATATTGTTAATATTCTTACTTAAAATATATTTTATGTGTAACTTTTGAAAATTCAAAAACATTTCTATCTAAATATGGATGCTTTTCATTAAGTTTGAGAGATGAACTGATATAAATGCCCAATAATAAGAACAGGCTGCTTTTTTAAGAAAAAAATATTTTTCATATATTGTATCTTTTATGTGCCTTCTAATCTGTTTTTAACTTAGAAATCATTATTATATGTGGGCCTAATCTTCATTTTTCTTCATATTTTAATATTTTATCTTTCTGTCATATACATTTATGTGTATAAGGGATTCTTTTTTTTTGGAGGGGTCTCCTCAGTCCTTGATTCACTTGTGTTTATTTCCAACAGCCATTCCTTTTACTAAATGTATTGATCTTAAGTCAGTAATTACATTGTTTAATACAAAAACTTGAATTTTATGTTTGTATTTAACTTTGATAATTGAAGGCTTTGTTATAATTCACAGATATAAGCAAGCTTTGCAATTTTTAAAAGATGAATCAGGTTTCCTAAAATGTCACAATTTTTTAGTCAGTAAATTTAGGAAAGGCAGTGCTTCAATTATTCAGAACATGTTAGTCGTCTCCTTTTCTACCACAGATTATTTTCATAATACTTGATGTTTACATTTTTCTCATCAGTGCAAGAAAAGAACTTCACTTAGGTGAAGTTGACACAGAGTTTTTAGAAATTGATGCCTGCTGTTTCTATGTATGCTTATACCCATATATTTCTTGGAGATATATGATAAAAATGGCCCCCGGAATGGAGATGGTGATTAAAAAAACAAAGCAAACAACAAAGTCAAGACACACAAACACAAAGTAGTTTGTAACTGCAGTGTTTCATCAGTCTTGTGTGGAAATAATGCTGTCCTATTATTAGTAGTAAGCGATGTTTTGTTTGTTCTGTTTTTCTTTCTGCTTATTTGCACAGATATTCAGGAGCCAGTGCCTCTTTGCCATATCTGATTTTCTGGTTGGTGGGGCCATTTAAAAAGAAACATATTCCAAGGCCTCAGAGTATTGTGTTTTCTGTATAAAAGAGGCAAAGGAGAGAAAGTTTCAGTCGGTGCTTATCCACAGTTCTGAAAACCATTCTTATTTTACAACCTTAATCTGTCAACTAAAAGTTAATAAGGCGATAGATTCTCTGCCTCATCTCCAGGCAGGCAGCCATCTTTAAAAAAGATGATTATCAGACCTCAGGAACTTTGGTTCTTCAGCCTTTGTCTATTAGACATCCTTCCCGGTTTTTAGCTGAGAAACATTTTCATAGTCTATTTACTTTCTATTTATATATTAAATGCTTATATTAAGAGCAAGGGTTTACATCGTATTTTACTCCTAAAGACAGCATAATTTTCCTTACTTGCAAGCAAGGTCATGACAGAGTTTTCAGGACGGAGTTTCCTATTTCAAGAGGCTGTCCCATTATGATACTCTTTCTTTCATTTTAATCCCTTTTTTTTTCATTTTTATATGTATTTGTCATTCTGCTTCTCTTATCTTCCTCAATGTGAATTCTAGTGGGTTCTACTGGGATAGTCTCTATTTTGTGAAGAAATTAAATTTGGGGGAGTATTGGGATCTTGTACCAGGTCAGGGAACACTGAGAAACATGTAAGAAGAGGAATTGGTAGTGAGTCAGACTTTCAGTGGAGCTTGGTTTACTTGTGATTTGAAGTATTCTATAATTGCAAAATACAACTAGTTTCTGAAAATATTTTTTAACAGTTGTATAGTTTTCTCTAACCCTTATGTGATACTTTAAGCCTTATGTCACACAGGACTTGGGAATTTTCCCCCAGTGGGTCATGGATTCCTATGGTGACTTAAAACACCGTAGACAGTCACTGTTTATAAAAGAAGCTTGATTGTCTTAAGTACAAAGGGCTTAAGAAAGTTTAAAACACAAGAGCATCGTGAGCTCAGCTCAGCCAGGTGGGCCTGGCTTTGAGATGGCTGTTTCCTTGAGGTCAGGACAGCTTCAGCAAGGCACAGGCACAGCGGTGGAATGTTCTGACTTCAGGGTTCTCGCTGCAGCACATGTGCAGGGTGAGGCAAATGCAGCTAGCATAAGGAAACCAAGATCTTATCATAGAGAAGAATCTTCCCCTATACAGGCTCCTGCTACTTTAAAGGGATGAAGTAAATATTATATTTGCTGGATTAACATTTTTTAAATAGCAGGTATGTAGCCTGTGATTCTAAACAGCAATTAAGTTTCACTTGTAAAGAGGACAAAGGATCCACAGAAAAATGGACAAGAGACTTGAACAGATATTTCACAGATGAAACGGAAATGACCAATAAATATGTAAAGTAATTTTTAATATCTTTGCTAGTCAAGGAAATGCAAATCAAGACCACAAAAATAATATTCTATACCTATTTTCTTGGCAAAAATTTAAATGTTAAAGAAATGGTCAAGAATGATGATTTACAGATTGCTGATGGAATTCTAAATTGGTGCAAATGCTCTAAAAGAGTTTAGCATTGCCTTTTAAATACGATCATTTCACAGTTCATATATTGTATGATTCAGGAATCCTTTTCCTTGGCATAATAGTAGTAAGAGGTATGTGTATTAGAGTTCCTAGTCTTCTTCCTTTCTCAATAATTTACAGACTTATTTTATATATTCCAGATGCAAGTCCTTTGGTTGTTATAGGCACTGCAAATATTAATAACTTCTCAAACTCTTTACTTGTCTTTTCCCTTTTAATTGTTTTTTAAATGAACAAATATCTTTATTAGTAGTATAATAATAAAATTTATTATTTTGTGGATAATGTTTTTGTGTGTTTTAAAACAAATATTTAACAACCTAAGACACTGAAGATATTATATATGTAATATGTAATTATATAAATTAAAATTTATGTGATTTTCAACAAATTACATATAATTTATGGTTTTATTTGTTCATTTAGTTCTATAATCTACCAAGAACTGATTTTGTGGCATACTTAGAGATAAGTCAAATTTTATTTTTCTGCAAATATTTAATTGATAGAACACTACATTAAATAAATTTCTTTACTCATATTAAATACATATAGTTCCAGGCTTCTAAGTAATCATCCTTATTATTTTCACAATATTTCAATATTCTTTCAGTGGGTGCCCTAAAGGTTACAACATATATCCTTATCTTATAAAGTCTAGCATATGTTAGAACATTCACTAAATACTTTTGAGCATTGTAACTTTATTCACTTCCTCCCCTCTGAAGTATTCTCAGTTTAATTTTATATGATATTTTACATAAAAAAGCAGCACAAAAGATATAACTTTTTAAAATATAATCAATCTTTTTTATTAGATTTTCTATCACATTTCATTGTTCCATGTTTTTTCTCTTCTTCCCACTCTTATCTTTCAGTTGCTTCAGCACACATTTTTTTCTCATACATATGAGTCCTTACATATAGAGTCTTTTTCTGTTTCCTTTCTTGGAAACTTTACATTTAATTTTTAAGAGGTTTTTAGAGGTTATTTTCAGTATTGGCTCCTCTATGTTTTTCCCTGCCTTTCACTAAGAAACATAATATTCTTCTCAGATACCCTTACCAAACCCCATCACATTTCCACGATAATAAATATTACATTGTATTTAGTCATGTATTTCTTACAATTGTCCCCTCCCTAGGTATTGGTTATGAAATGTGTGCTTTATGTTTGTAACTCGAATGTCTTACACATAACAATTATTTAGTAAATATTGGTTAGATCCATAAGTAAATTAATTCTCTGCTACCAATAATGTCCAGCACTACAAAATATATCAACCAAATCCAGCAATTAACAATGTAAAATTCACAATATAGCATTCTATCCAAAACTGTAAATATGAAAAGGACTGGTATAATATGCCCCAAGAATAGAAAAAAAAAATACAAATATGTAGAGATAAAATTAACAGAGAAACATTTAAACATGTTACTCTAAATATTATAAATATGCTTAATGATTTAAGTAAAAGATTAATATAATAAGGTTAAATATAAAGAGTATTAAAAATAAAAATTTTGGAGATAGAAATTTTAATTAATTTAATAAAAAGTTCACCAGATGAGATTTATGATAAATAAATTTCAGGAGAAGAAAATAAATCAGTGCACCAAAGCCACAGAAATGGTAACTATTCAAATACAACACAAAGAGAGACAAAATATTTTAAAATAATGAAAAGATCATTATAGATGAAGAAGATAATATCAAGCAATCTCTAGAAGTAGGTTGGTTGAGGGAACGTAAAAGTATTTGAAGAAAAAAATTACCAAATATTTTCTAAATTGAACAACAATCTAAATTTACAAACTCAAGAAAATCAATAATTCCCAAGATATATAAACGTAAAAAAATCAAACCAAGGTACAATATATTCAAATTTCCAAAAATCAGTGATTAAATTTTAAAATTAAAGGGAAGGGGGGAGAACAATTTGTTCTGAGTAACATTGTGCAATGCTTCCTCAGACTTCTCTGAATTCACACAAACCAACAGACATAGTACAGACCAAGGGAAAAATGAAACCAAACTGTCCACTTAGAATTCTATGTCCAGGAAAAAATTCAAAAATGAAAGTAAATTTTAAAAAGACAGCACAGAGAATACGTATCACAATTAGATCTGCATAACAAGAAATGTTGCAGGAAGTTGTTCATACTGTAAGAAAATGATACCAGATATATATTCTGTTCTACACAAATGAATGAAGTGTTTCAAAATCATTGAAACAGAAAGAGTGATAACAGTTAAACCAACACTTCAAGGTATCATCTATGGACAGGTTAGCAAAGTTCAGAATAAAGGCAAACCAAATTTTCCATGAACTAATTCCTATGGTAAGTAGATTTCAAAGCAGAAGAGCACTTCTTTATCAGAAGTAACAGGAAAAAACAATAGATAAGAATGGCTGCCATTGTATAATTCTCTAAGGATTCCATAAATGTTAGCTACCAAATATCAGAGAAGTCCCTCATTTTCTCTTTCCCTTTTACCTTACTTTATGTTGGCATATTTCTGGTCTTAGACCAGCAAATCCTACAAATAATCACTATGCTAGCCTTAGACTACACAGTTGGCTTCTGTTGGTAATTTATTATAACTGTCATTTTAGGACAAAATGAAAAGAAACTGTATATTTCCTTTAAGATGATCTGATTTTTATGAATTAAATGTACATGCACAAACCCATTGTTTTAGTCAATATAATGTTTTATATTTATTACAGAGAAGAATTAGTTCTGGAACAATTGGGTTCCACTCTTAACCAAAAATTATATTTTAACTGTTTCTCTAAATGGAAACACAGGAATTTTCAAAATCAATATACTGACTATACAGTGAATTGTGTATGCAAAACAGTTTATAAAGCATTTAAGATGCTCCAACTTCTGAAAACGATACTTTATGTGGCTAACAACTAGGTTTATTCTTAAGGAATAAGCGTTTGATTTGGCTCGGCTTTCCCCTCCTTTTTAAAATTTAGCTCATTATGTTGTCATGTGAAGAATAAAAATGAATCACTTCTCGGCCTTTTGACTAAGATCAAGTGGAGAATAAAAATGAAAAATTTTAATTCCTTTTAAATATTTCCGAATGATTTATAATTAAAATTGCTTTTTTCCTGAACTATAAAATATTAAATTGATCTTTTCAGGGTTAGCAGTAACTAATGTTTTTATTCTACTTTGGTGCATGATATTTTTATCAAACTGCTTAAGAAAATATTTTATGAGTTTGTAAAGAAATATTTGCACAGATAGACATTTATTTTTAAAAGTCATCTAATTTTTCCCTGTAGCTTTTTTTCTAACTGACCAAAAGAAAGCAAAAGAAAATTAGAGAAAAGGTGATAGAGTTGTTCTTGCTGATGGCATCGGTGACCTGTCTGGAGCGGCTGCTGCAGCCGGGGAGGCACAGCGGGGCCTGCACGCTCCACAGAGTTGGCAGGAGCTGGGAAGAGGCGGAAGCCGAGCCCCTTCTGAGTTGGCAGGGCAGGAGCTCTATCCCACCTGCAGCCTCCCACCTGAGGCTGTGGACCTGGGCATCCCTGTACTCCTGGGGGCCAGGAACAGGCAGGAGCCTCACGCTTCCTGGGCGCAGCTGCAGCCGTCCAGGCAATGGCTGTGGACCCAAGCATCTCTACACTCTTAGGGGCCCAAAAAGGCCTTCCCTCTCCGAGCAGGCTCAGAAATACCTGCTCTCACTCCCTGCCTTCTCCTGGCTCCTGGCACCTGCTCCACAGGCTCAGAAATGCCTGCCCCCACTGCCTGGCCTCTCCCCGCTCCTGGCGCCTGCTCCACAGGCTTGGAACTGCCTGCTCCCTCAGCCTGGCCTCCTCCTGCTCCGTGTCCACTTCAATCTTGGAGCAAAATTGAGGCGGAGCCCAGGAGCTGTTGCAACCCGGCTGGATGTGCGTAAGCTTGAGGCAGGGCTGACATGCCAGCCCCCTGCGCCTCAGCCCTCTCCAGATGTTGGGTGCCAACAGGCACAGAAGGGAGGCTGAAGGGGTGTTGAGGGTGGCTCAGCGCTGGACTGCAGCTGCCCCTTGGCACAAATAACCTGGGCAACCGCAGGAGTCAGACAGGCTGCTGGGTAGAAAGTGGGGGTCCCCAGTGAAGCCCCACCTTCAAGTGATGGACAGCCTGAAGCCTAGGGTCTGGGCTGATGGACCAGAATGGGAACTTACGATGTCTTTTCTGGGCTCACCCATGCTGCCCATGAACCCATCAGCACACACTCCGCCCCGCCCCCTCGAAGCCCAACAACCCTGCCCACCCGCAGCCAGACTCAGAGGCAACTGGCAACTTGCCTGTGGAGAGGAACTACCCACTTCAGGGTCTCCTCTCCACTGAAAGCTGAACACTTGTTGGGGCACCCTGCCTGCACAGAGGAGCTACCCAATGCAGGTCTCCTCTGAGCTGTTCTGTCCCTTAATAAAGCTCCTCTTCAGCTTGCTCGCCCTCCACTTGTCTGCATACCTCACTCTTCCCGGACGCGGGACAAGAACTTGAGCCCTGCCAAATGGCGGGGCTAAAAGAGCTATAACACAAACAAGGCTGAAACATGACCCTTGCTCACCATGTTGCGGGTGATGAGAAGGAGGGAAAAAAGGGGAGAGAACAGCTGCAGAGACAGTCCAGACCTAGAAGTTTCTTGAGAGAGCCCAGACCTACGAGTTCCCTGAGCCAGGGCTGTGATACCCTTTTTGGGGCTGTGCGGTTCCTGAAGTCTCCAAGTTTCCGGGCTGCCCAAGTTTCCGGGTGTCACCGCATTCCCGGTGCCAGCTGTGGAAGCTGCTTGCAGTACACCTGGTCAAGCTGTAGCCTCACAAAGAGCCAGTGCCGGGAGCTGCCAGCCCCGCTGCAGCCAGTGTGCCTGACTGTGTGCGGTGGCTGGACCCCATGCTTCCTTGCGCACACAGCCCTCGCTGCTCCACTAGCTCTTGGTAGGCATGGGATTCAGGCTGGGAGTGCGAGCTAAGGGCAGCCTGCCAGACCAAGTGGGTGGAACGAACCTAGCTGGCACGAACAAAACTTGGGCAAAGGCACCACCGACCACAGAGATTTCTAGCCAGAAAAGCGTCACCCCATGAATCACAGGACATTGTTACTCTGGCTGGTTTTCTACTCCACATCTCTTGCCCAGCCATATAACCACTCAAGATACCTGCATTAGTCCATTTTTGCATTGCTTTAAAGAAATACCTGAGGTTGGGTAATTTATAAAGAAATAAATAGTTATTTGTCTCATGGTACTTCAGGCTGCACAAAAAGTACAGTACAGGCATCTGCTTCTAATGAGGATCTCAGGTAACTTATAATCAGGGCAGAAGGCAAAGGAGGAGCCTTCAAATCACATGGCAAGTAAAGAAGCAAGAGAGAAGGGCGGAAAATGTGCCACACTCTTTTAAACAACCAAATCTCACATTTTTAAAACAATCAGTTGTTGTTTTAAACAAATCAGAGCAAAAAATCACTCAATACTGCCAGGAGGGCACCAAGTCATTCATCAGAGATCTGTCTGCAAGACCCAAACACCTCGCACTAGGCCCCACCTCCAACACTGAAGATCACATTTCAACATGAGATTCGGAGGAAACACACATGGAAACCGTATCTACATCTTAACAATAGAGAACAAGTTGGAGCATGACAATCCACCACTAATATCCTCTACTACAGATCACCTTCTATACCTAGGATTGACTAAAAACTTTAAAACAATAGGTAAATTGGTAGACAATTAGAGCAAAGGTAGATAACATCCATTGAATGAAGTACTTACAAGATGGTCAGCAAAGATAGCCTAACAGATAGAAAAATCAATAAAGGCAGTGGTGAAAGAGATGTGCATTGATCTTCAGCAAAGGATATGTAAACGATCAGATTAGCAAATTGGTTCACCATACATTAAACACTGCCTATTTCTATGATAAAGAGAATATGACAATAACCGAATGGCAAGTTTTGTTCTGATTATTTTGGTTTGCACATATTTAGTACATACAACTAAGGAAGAAAATATACTTTGCAATAATATACTAATGATATACAACTTCGAAACCTTGAATTTTGAAGTTTTCTAATGTACATATTCATTCTAACTCAATTTTCTCTGCAAGCTAATCAATTATTAGCACTTCAAAATATCCTTGCCTTTTGAAGTGATTTATATGCTCACTCTCACCACTTGCCACTCCATAATAAGTTTATCAGGAGGCATAAAAAAACATAATCAAACTAATCAAATAACAATGATGGCTATTTCATTATAAATCATTTACTAGTATGTCAAATACTACGTGTATATTATGTTATTTTAATCTTAAATCTCTTAAGATACATTTCAGAAAAATATTTTCCCCTGTATTATTGCAATTACTTCTCTTATCTTTAGTTGGTCAATCATTCCTTAATGTAAATTCAAGAAGTATTTAGCTTAAATCCATATTGGGTTTACATAGCTCTTATTAATGTGGAATACTACTACACCAGGACATCAAATTAGTAGAATAAAATAAAATTGTGATTAATCATGTTTTTTAAAAATATTAAGTCTCTGCTTTTTAAATTATTTTTACAAATAAAATAATTATATTTATTTATTTATTATTTTTTATTACTATGTGTACACAATAGTTGTATAAAAATATGGGGTATATGTGACACTTTGATACAGGTATACAATGCATAATGACCAAATCAGGGTAATTATAGCAATCATCATCTCCAGCATGTATCACTATTTTTTGTGTTAGGAACATTCCAATTCCACTCTTTTAGTAATTTTTAAATATATGTAAGTTATTGTTAACTATAGTCACCCTATTGTGCTAAATCTTATTCACTCTGTCTAACTATATTTTTACACCCATCAACAATCCCTATTTTATCCCCTGCTTCCTTTCACCCTTCCTAGCCTCTGGTAACCATCAATCTTCCCTTTATCTCCAAGAGTTCAATTTTAAAAATTTAGCTCCCACATGTAAGTGAGAACATGTTAATTTTTTTTTCTGTGCCTAGCTTATTTCACTTAACATAATGGCCTCCAGTTCTATCCACGTTGCTGCAAGTCATGGAATTTCATCCTTTTTATGGCTGAATTATATTCCACTGTATATATGTACGTCATTTTCTTTTTTTTTTTTTTTTTTTTTTTTTGAGACGGAGGCTTGCTCTGTGCCCTGGCTGGAGCGCAGTGGCACAATCTTGGCTCACTGCAAGCTGTGCCCCCCGGGTTCACGCCATTCTCCTGCCTCAGCCTCCCGAGTAGCTGGGAGTACAGGCATCTGCCACCATGCCCGGCTAATTTTTTGTATTTTTAGTAGAGACGGGGTTTCATCGTGTTAGCCAGGATGGTCTTGATCTCCTGACCTCGTGATCTGCCTGCCTTGGCCTCGCAAAGTGCTGGGGTTACAGGTGTGAGCCACCATGCCAGGCCGTGTACCTCATTTTCTTGTCCATTCATCTGTTGATGGACACTTATGTTGTTGATTTCATATCTTGGTTATTATGAACAATGCTGCAATAAACATGGCATGCAAATGTCTCTCGGATATACTGGTATTCTTTATTTTGGTTATATACGTAGCAATGACATGCTGTATCATGTGATAGTTGTATTTTTTAGTTTAGTGTTTTTTTTAATTCAGACAAAATGTCAAGTATAAATGATAAACTTAGAGTTTCTAATTTTTCTCATTATTTTTAATGAAGTCAGTGATCACTTATTAAATAAACCATTAGACTGAAACTCAAATTTGTATCAATCTGCTAATTTTCAGTTGCTGGTAAATATTAGCCAGTTGACATATTTTTGTTAATTTTATTGGTAAAATATATTTTACATCATTTTGACTAATATATAAATACATAGATATTTCAAAAAATATTTTCTGTTACAAGGCTTAATCAGCAATTTTTCTCAAAAGTTATGGAGTTCACTCATGGACCTGCTATAAATATTTCAGTTCACACAAAGTGAATATTAGCACTTCAAAACACCCTTGCTTTCTGAAGTGATTTATACCCTTACTCTCACCCCTTGCAACTCCATGATAAGTTTATTAGGAGGAATAAGAAAGGAGTTCACTCTTAAGGTCTGTATTTTTTTGTGTGATCTTAGGTGTTTATATTATATAATAAAAATGACTCTTAGTTTTTCTTTTCTTTTTTAAAAATTTAGGTTTATTGAGGTATAATGTCAATACTGTAAAATTCAGCCTTTTTAGATACAGTTTGATGAGTTTTAGCAAACACAGAGTTATGTAACCCCTAACCTAACTGACAAACACTTTCATTACCCAAAAATTTCCCTCATGCCCCTTTGTTGTCAGTTTTCTACACTGACCAGCCAGCCATTGGCAACCACTGATCTGTCCCTCTAGCTTCCAGTTTCTGTGGCTTTACCTTTTCCAAAATGTCACAGAAGTGAACTGACTGCATATAGTCCTTTGTGTCTGGGTTATTTCACTCAGCATAATGCTATTGAGATTTATTTATGTAATTTTATATGTCAGCAATTTATATCTTTTTTTATTATTTAGTAGTATTCTTTTGTACATAGATACCACAATTTGTTTATCTCTTTACTAGCTGATCGACATTTAGGTTGTTCATTAGTTTGGACTATTACAAATAAAATTGCTCTCAACATTTGGGTATGACTTTCTGTAAACATATTGTTCATTTCTCCTGGGTGAAGTGGAATTGTTGAGGCTCTCCTTAGGTATATGTTTAACTTTATAATAATCTGCAAGTTTTCCAAAATGGCTGTACCATTTTCCAATCCTATTAGTTCCTCTCCACACCAGCACTTTTTATTGTATGTTTTTTTTTTTTTTTTTTTTTTTTTGAGACAGAGTCTCGCTCTGTCGCCCAGGCCGGACTGCGGACTGCAGTGGCGCAATCTCGGCTCACTGCAAGCTCCGCTTCCCGGGTTCACGCCATTCTCCTGCCTCAGCCTCCCGAGTAGCTGGGACTACAGGCGCCCGCCACCGCGCCCGGCTAATTTTTTGTATTTTTAGTAGAGACGGGGTTTCACCTTGTTAGCCAGGATGGTCTCGATCTCCTGACCTCATGATCCACCCGCCTCGGCCTCCCAAAGTGCTGGGATTACAGGCGTGAGCCACCGCGCCCGGCCTTATTGTATGTTTTTAATTTTATCCATACTTCTTAGTGTGTTGGCTTTTATTTTATTCATTTATTTTATTTATTTCTCTGATAACCTATGATATTAAATGCCATTTCGTGTTATTTCCCATTTGTACATATTTTTTGACAAAAAGTCTGTTCACACATTTGCCCATGTTTTAACTGAGTTGTCTTCTTGAGTTGTAAGAGGTTTTTACATTTTGGATAAAAGGCATTTAACAAATATGTGATTTGCAAATATTTTCTCTCAGTTGCAGCTAGTCTCTTCATTTTTCTTTAGATAGTGTATTTCAAATACCAGTAGTTTTTAAATTTTGATGAAATAAAATTTTTCATTGTTTTCTTTTGTGGTTTGTGCATTTTCTGTCTTATACCAGAACACTTTGCCAAACCCAATGTTACAATAATGTTCTTCTGTGTTTTTGTATAGAAGTTTATAGTTTTAGCTCTTACATTTAAATCTATGATACAGAACCATCTGAATCTAGTCAAGCTGATTTCATAATAAAACAAGCTAACAAAAATCAACATTATCCAGATAATTTTAACAGGCATGAGAGACTCACAATATAATATTTAAATTGTCCAGGATACAATCCAAAGTTATTCACCTACAAAAAGCCAAGAAACTGTGAAAAATTCTCAAGGCAAAATGAAATCAAGAGATTTCAACCTTAAGATGACTCAGATGGAAATATCAAACAAAGACTTTACATTTCAGAAATTTGACATTTTTAACTGTGTTTATATAAGAAAAATTAAATTCATTCAATAAATATTATTTTCCTACATCGCTACACCTATATCTTCTCTGGTGACCAAATTCATTGTATGAAATGGCATGCACAGACATATAAGAATGGAGTAGTATTAGGTTGTTGCAAAAGTAATTGCGGTTTTTGCTATTGAAGCTAGTGGCAAAAACCGCAATTTCTTTTGCACCAACCTAATAGAAGCAACAAGGAAGAAAAAGTCATTTGTATGTGCCACCAGAAAAGAACTTTGCTTTCCTGTATCCATCATGTAGATTAAAACTATACATAAATATCTACACATTTATGAAAGTGAGTCAATTATGCAGATAAGTGGCAGGTATAAAACTTTTTTTTTCAATTAGTTCCCAGTAAAAGAGATATTCAAAATTGTAATTATTCTTGAAGAATTGCCTTAATTATTCAGTTAGCACTTGTACAGATATCCTTAAAAAAATTAGTATAAACTATAATGCCAACGGTTTTCAAACTTTTTGCTCACGAAGCACCTAAAAGAATTTGCAAAACCATGTGCTCACTTGCACATTTTCTGATGTAAATTTTTCATCAGAAATTGAAAGAGTGGCAAAGGATGCAATTTTCTAAAATTTATATATAAAAGCATTACCTCATTTTTCCAATGCCTGATGGAATAGTAATTTAATAGTCATTATAATTTGTTTTAAAAATATGAGAACAAAACATTTTTTATTATTGGGAAAGTTTACATTCTTTTTCCTTCTTCTTGAAGTTACCTTCTTTCACCTCACAAAATTTTGGTACCTTAATATATTTTCATGCTTGAAAGTCTGTATTGATGATCTATTGTATTTCTCTGAAATAAAATATTTGTTATTTGAATTTTAATTTTTTAAACCTCTACGACTAAAAGCCTCTATGTATTAAAAACATTTTTCCCTTTGGGTTGAGTTATTATTATAACTTTTCTTAAATAAATGATAACAACTTAAACAAATCATGAATTGTCATGAATGCTTATAAATAAAAAACCTTTTTCATTTTAAAATTGATATATAATAGTTGTACATGTTTGTAGATACATGAAATATTTTGATCCTGTACACAATGTGTAATTATCAAATCCAAATAATTGAAATAACCATCACCTCAAACCTTTTTCTTTGTATTAGGAACACTACAAATTTTCTCTTTTAACTATTTTGAAATATACACAAATTTTTGTTAACTACAATTTTCTCCTATACTATTAAATACTAGAACCTAGTCATTTTAGCTAGCTGTATTTCTGTAATCCTTAAACAATTCTTTTCATTCCACCTACCCCTTTTCCTCCAGTCTATGGTTACCAGCATTCTACTCACTATCTCCATGAGATATACTATTTTAGCTATCAAATATTAAAGAAAACATGTGATATTTGTCTTTCTCTACCTGTCTTATTTCACTTAACATAATGACTTTCAAGCAAGAGGATATATTACATGGTTTTTCTTATTTTTTTATTTAATGATTAATCTACTACTGTGTACTCTCTCTTCACTAATATATGAATGATGACATACGCATAATGTTACCCTGCTCTTTCCTGTCTTTGAGAGCACTTCTTATTATAATAACGTCTTTATATAAACAATGAAATTAAACATGGACCCAGTAACAGATTACTCTGAGTTATAGAACTATATATCCATCATGAAATTCTAGCGGTATCATAAAACATAAAAATATGTTTCATTTTTATATACTCACTATGATACACTGAATTATAGCTCTGTCATTCATCTTTTCTAACGCTCATACCGTTTATGAAACATGCAATTATCAGATTTATTTTCTACATAGTGTGGGCTTCTTTTCTGATTTTTTATAAATGCTGTAAATCATGATTTTTATATAGAAAGGCCATATAAGTGTATACTAGAATACAAAAATCCCTCCTCATCTTCCAAAATTTACAAGGGATATAAAATAAATAAATATTGTGGGAACGGATGAGTTCAGTTTACAGTCTCAAAAAGATAAATTGAATTCATGGCTATTTGAATATCTTAAATTGTTTTATTCACATTGAATCCCACTGAAATCTGAAGAGACTTATAAAATAATAAAAAATTTCTCGGAGAAGATAATAAACTATATAGGTGCCGATATACAAATATGATTTTCCCCTACAGCACACACCACATACAAACAAAATAATAATGCCATTCAACAGCAATACCTAGAAGCCACTGGGCATATTTATTAATGTAATTTTCCTCTGGGGATTGCCTGCTCCCTGTAAAACAAAAATAACAACTTGAAAGGACACTTTAGGCATTAAGCTCATTTGGGACTGACTTAGGCAGGTCAAAACACGTATGTATCAAATGTTAAGTTCAGTTTAGGTTCAACCTGAAATATCAATTACTTAATGGAAAAGAAAAAAGTTCTAGAATAAATTAATTTATGAGCTTCCTAGAATTATAGAAAACAAAACATATCAACTCGTTATAGATGCCTAGATGGTAATTTTAATTTGCTCACTTGCTTACCAGAGATCTAACTTCAAAAATTTACTAAAAGTACAGTTAGTAGGAAAGTTTATACTGTTAAACACCTACACTGAGAATTTAGAAAGATCTTAAATTAATGACCTAACATTGCACCTAGGAAATAGAAAAACAAGAATAAGCTAATCCCAAAGCTAATAGAAGAAAATAAATAACGAAAACCAGAGCAGAAGTGAATAAGATTGAGACCCAAAAATTCAAAGTATCAAGAAATCCAAAAGTTGTTTCTTTCAAAGGAAACCAAGATCAACAGATAGTTAGCTGGATTAACAGAAAAAAAGAAAATATATCCAAATAAGCACCATCAGAAACAACAAAAGTGACATTACAACCAATCCCACAGAAATAAAAAAAATTCTCAGAAAGTTTCTATGCACATCCACTAGAAAATCTGGAAGAAATGAATATATTATTGGAAACACAAACCTCCCAAGTTAGAATAAGGAAGAAATAGAAAGCCTGAACATATTGAGATCATGTATTGAATCAGTAATATAAAAAAACTTATGAATCAGAAAATAAAAAAGCCCTAGACAAAATGAATTCACAAGTGAATTCTGCCAGATACACAAAAAGTTTTGAAACCAATTCTGCTGAAATTATTCCAAAAACTAGAGAAAGAGATGCTTCTGTAATTCATTCTATGAAGCTAGCATCACCCTGATACCAAAAGCTGAAAAAGGCACAACCAAAAAAGAAAATTACAAGCCAATATCCCTAATGGACATAGACACATATATTCTCAAGAAAACACTGGTGAACTGAATTCATCAGTATATCAAAAAGTTAATTCATCATAATCAAGTAAGCTTTATTCCTGGGATGCGAGCCTGGTTCAACATATGCAAATCAATAAATGTGATTTACCACATAAAGTTAAAAACAAAAATCATATGATCATGTCAATAGATTCAGGGAAGTCTTCCAATAAAATCCAACATCCCTTCATGATAAAAACCCTTAACAAACTAAACACTGAAGGAGCATTCCTCAAAATAATAAGAGCCAACTATGACAAGCCCAGAGCCAACAGCATACTGAATGGGCAAAAGCTGGAAGCATTCCCCTCGAGAACAGGAACAAGATGAGGATGGCCACTCTCACCACTCCTATTCATCCAAACAGGAAAAGGGGAAGTCAAACTATCTGTCTTCAACGGCAATATGATTCTATACTTAGGAAACCATACAGACTCCACCAAAAGTTTTTTAGAACTGATAAATGACTTCGTTAAAGTTTCAGGAGAAAAAATCAGCAGTATTTCTACACTGACAGCATTCAAACTGAGAGCCAAATCAAGAACACAATTCCCTTTATAATAGCCAAACAAATACATAAAATATCTGGGAATACGTCTAACCAAACACATAAAAGATATCTACAAGGATAACTGGAAACAACTGCTTAAAGAAATCACAGATGACACAAATAGAAAAACATTCCATTCTAATGTATTGGAAGAATCAATATTGTTAAAATGGCCACACTGCCCAAAGCAATTTATAGATTCAAAGCTATTTCAATCAAACTCATTTTGAACATCATTTTTTCACAGAATTAGGGGAAAAAACTATTCTAAAATTCATATAAAGCTACAAAAGAGCCCAAAGAGACAAAACAATCCTAAGTGAAATGAACAAAGCTGGAGGCATACACTACCCAAATTCAAACTATACTACAAAGCTATAGTTACCAAAACAGCATGGTACTGCTACAAGAACAGACACACAGACCAATGAAACAGTGTTGAGATCCCAGAAATGAAGTTATGTACCTGCAGTGGTCTGATCTTTGACAAAGTTGACAAAAATAAACAACTGGGGAACGACTTCTTATTTAATAAATGCTATTGGGATAACTGGCTGGTCATATGTAGAAGAAACTGGACTCCTACCTTTCACCATATAAAAAATAAACTCAAGATGAATCAAAGATTTAAATGTAAGACCTAAAAGTGTAAAAATCCTAGAAGAAGACCTTGGAGATACTATTCTCGACATCAGCTTTGGAAAATAATTCATGGTTAGAACCTCAAAAGTCATTGTAAAAACAAAACAAAATGAAACAAAAACGTACTATTGGGACCTAATTAAACTAAAGAGCTTCTGCACAGCCAAAGAAACACTCAACAGAGTAAGCAGACACCGTACAGAATAAAAGAAAATATTCACAAACCATGCATCCGACAAAGGTCTAATATCCAGAATCTATAAGAAACTTAAATCAACAAGCTAAAACTAGATAACTCCATTCAAAAGTGGGCAAGGAACGTGAACAGGCACTTCTCAAAAGAAAACATACAAGCTGCCAACAAACATGAAAAAAATGCTCAACATCACTAGTCATTAGAGAGTTGCAAAACAAAACCAGTGAGATACCATCTCACACTAGTCAGAATGTCTATTTAAAAATCAAAACACAAGCTGGGCACGGGGGCTCATGCCTGTAATCCCAGCACTTTGGGAGGCCGAGGTGGGCGAATCATGAGGTCAAGAGATTTATACTATCCTGGCCAACATGGTGAAACCGTGTCTCTACTAAAAATACAAAAATTAGCTGGGGGTGGTGGCATGCACCTGTAGTCGCAGCTACTGGGGAGGCTGGGGCATGAGGATCACTTGAACCTGGGAGGTGGAGGTTGCAGTGAGCTGAGATTATGCCACTGCACTCCAGCCTAGTGACAGAGCGAGACTCCATCTCAAAAAACAGCAACAAAAAATTAAAACACAGATGTTAGCAAAACTGTGAAGAAAATGAAATGCTTGTACACTGTTGGTGGGAATGTAAGTTAGTTCAACCACTGTGGAAAACAGCTTGAAGGTTTCTTGAAAACTTAAAACACAAAACTTAAAAGGGATTGTGTTTGGATTGGGGATTCCAAAATATGGGATGTAGGGAGGAGGGAAAGGATTTAAAAACTATCTGTTGGGTACTATGTTTAGTACCTGGGTGTCGAGATCATTTTGTACCCTAAACGTCAGCATTAAAATCTTGATTTTAGCCTCCAGATTTTAGCCTATCATTTGACACAGCAATCCCATCACTGGGTATACACCCAAAGGAAAATAAATCATTCTATCAAAAGGACACATGCATTCATATGTTTATTGCAGCACTATTTAAACATGCATTTATTTGTTTATGATGCAAAGACATGGAATAAACCTAGGTTCCCTTCCATGGTGGATTGTATAAAAAAAAATGGTATATATAAACCTTGCAGTACTATGCACCAAAAAAATGAATGAATTCATGTCCTTTTCAGTAACATGGATGTAGCTGGAAGCCATTATTCTAAGCGAATTAATGCAGGAACAGAAAATCAAATACCACATGTTCTCTCCTGTAAACTGGAGCTAAACATTGGGTACCCAGGGACACAAAGACGGGAAAAATAGACATTGGGGATTCCAAAATATGGGATGTAGGGAGGAGGGAAAGGATTTAAAAACTATCTATTGGGTACTATGTTTAGTACCTGGGTGTCGAGATCATTTGTACCCTAAACGTCAGCATTATGCAACATACCAGTGTAACAAGCCTGCACATGTAGACCCCGAATTTAAAAGTTGAAATACTTTTTAAAAGTCTATTTTATCATCACACAATGACCCAGTGGATTTTGCCATAAGAAAAAAAAGCGAAAGTAAAAAAAAGCAAGGTCTTTAGACGTAGAAATCAGAATGATATAAAGAAGGAAAAGAGATTTATACTAATATAGAACCTTTTTAGTCATGAATTTAATACATGATACCTAGGTTATAAAGTTACTTTTGTGTCCACCCAATATTTATATACTGTATCCCTAACCCACAGTTGGCTGTATTTGAAGACAGAGCCTCAAAGGAAGTAATTCAGGTTTGGTGTCCCTGTAAGTGGAGACACTAGAGAGCTTAGCTTCTCTCCACGCAGCCCCCCACCACACAAAACACGTAGAAAAGCTTATGTGAGGACACAGTGAGAAAGGTGCCATCTGTAAGTTAGGAATAGTCCTCACTAGAAATCAAATCAACTGAAATCTTGATTTTAGCCTCCAGAACTTTGAGAAATAAATTTCTGTTGTTTAATCTACCCAGTCTACAGTGTTTTGTTATGGCATCCTGAGCTAATACAATCATGTACTTCAGCTCGAGGAGAATCTGTATATTTATTATTTCCAGTAAACATTGATATATGTTCAAAACATAACTTTATATTATAGAAATATTTGAAAAAATTTAAATCTATCCAGTAAATTAAATTATATATATTCATTTTATATTAGTTCATTTTTACAATGCTATAAAAAACTACCAGAGATTGGATAATACATGAAGAAAAGAAGTTTAATTGACTCACAGTTCCAGAAGCATGACTGGGAGGACTCAAGAAACTTAGAATCATGGGGGGAGGTGAAGGGGAAGCAAAAGCCTTCTTCACATGGCAGCAGGAGAGAGAGAGAAGGAAGAAGTACCACATGCTTTTAAACCATCACATCCTCGTAAGAACTCACTCACAATTATCAGAACAGCAAGGGAGAAATCCATCCCCATTATCCAATCACCTCTCCCCAGGCCCCTCCTCTAATTCAACATGAGATTTGGGTAGGGACACAAATCCAAACCATATCAATTTTATATATATATATAAGATATATATATATGATATATATATGAGATATATATATGATATATATCATATATATAATATATAACGTCATCCCAAAATCAGCCATCACTTACTACTCAAAAATGCCTTAGTCTAAGTTTACAGAAAGTGAAAAATTGAATCTTTTCTAAAGGCACTTACTTCATACTTGAGAACACAAATTTAGATCTTTCTTTGGAGGTAAAATGATAAAATAAAGGGAAAGCATAAATAAGATTCATTCTAATTTTTTGAAAGCAAAGAACTTGGAATGCCCTTTGTAGATAGCAAAGGATCTGTGAAGAACATTAAGGAGAGGAGTAATGATAAATCTGTGCCTTAAGATTTCTCTAACTTTAAAGAAAATAATGGATTGAGGCAGATATGGAGGGAAGTAAACCCAAGACCAGAGCCATATTAGTAAGCTAGAACCATAATAAAATCTATATGAGAGATAATAAAGGCTTGACACCATGCAATTGCTATCCGATTAAAAAAGAAGTCTTTATAATATTTTGTTGTAGAATTCATTTAATTGGTTTTATACCTAAATGAGAGTACACCAAAATAAATGTTTTTGTATATAATGTGACTAGAAAAATTCTGAAACTAAAATAATAGCAAAATAGGGGAAAATATATACAATTAAATTTTAAATTTTAAAATTATTGATTTTGAATTGTCAGATGTAAAATTGTACATATTCATTACCTAAAAGATATATAGGATTGAAGGTGAGGCTGGAGAAAACACTATTTTAGAGAAACCAATTTGGGTTTCCTCTGCAGAAGACTGAGAATACAAGATGAACACTCACTATATCAACCAGCAATATCTTCAGTGTGATACAAAAAAAGAAAAAATAAACTTTATAAATGATTCATATGTATTAGGTACCCATTCCTTCAAAACAAATAAACCCAAAGTTAGTGATGTAATGCAATAAACCGATTGTAGTCTCTGTGGGCCATGGATTCACAGAGAGCACACGAGGATGGCTTATATCTGCATGACAGTGTCTGTGGCTCAGTAGTAATACTTGAACACTGAGGCTGGAGTAATATGAAATCTCACTCATTCACATGTCTAGCAGATAATATTGATGATCACCTGGAGGCCTAGGTCAGACATAACACCAATACTTGGCCCAAGTCTATTCCATATAGCCTGACTTTTTTTCACATTGTTGTGATTGGACTATAAGGCACACTTCCTATAACAAAGAGAAGTGAGAGAAAGAGAGTTGTCTGGGAGCCATAGTGCCTTTTATGACCTAGTTTTGGAAATAAAGCAGCAATATTTTATTGGCTTTAGCTTGAAAAGTCCACCAAGGTTCAACATTATATTCCACCATTTGATTGAGGAATATCAACAACACACTCTAAAAAATTTGAATATGAAACAGACAATAATGAAGACGGGACTAGAAATAGATGTTATTATTTAAAAAGGAAAACAATTTAAAACATGAGAATAAAGTGTGGTTCTTTGAAAAAAGTCAATAAAATTGATAATCCTTTAGGCAACGTAACTAGGAAAAAAGAGTAAAGAAATTTCCAATATCAGGAAAGAAATGGAGGACTTTGCTGAAGACCCTACAGCCATTACATAATAATAAAAAATAGAGGAGAGGGAAATTGACAATGTTGATCAAACTTTCAGTTATATGATGATTAACTTCTGGGGCTCCAATGTAGAGCAAGGTTACTATAGCTAACAACACTGTATAGTACACTAGAAATGTGTTAAGAGAGTAGATCTTGAATGTTCTCATCACACACATAAAAAAAGGAACTATATGAGATGGATAGGTTAATTGGCTTAATTGTGGCAATCATTTCACAATATATATGTGTATCAAATTATCACATTGTACCTCTTAAATATGTACAATTTGTATTTGTCAATTTTACCTCAATAAAGCTGGAAAAAAATAAATAACTATGAAAAAAACTAAACTTGTGATTTTGAAAAATTTATTGGACCAATTCCTTGAAATAAACAAACTGCCAAAGCTCACTCAAGAACAAATAGATAAGCTGAATAGCTCAAGATCTAATAAAATTAAACTAAGTAAACTAAAGACCCAGATGGCTATACTGGGAAGTATTCCAAATATTTAAAAATGAATAATACCAAATTCACAAAATTGTTTCCAGAAAAAATAAAAGGACCACATCCAAACTTATCTTATGAGGTCAGAATTATCCTGACACCAATACCAACAGCATTACAAGAATGGTTAACTGAAGACCAAACATGTCTTATAAATACAGACACATTCTTCATAGAACATTGCCAAATTGTATCCAGCAATAATAAAGAATTCTACGTAACAACCAAGAAATGGTGTCCTAGGAATACAAAGACAGTTCACCAATAGAAAATAAATGTAAGACATTTTTGATGAAACCAGGCTAAAAGCCATATGATCATCTCAATAAAAGAAGCACTTCACAGATTTTAGTATCCATACATGATAAACACTTCCAGCAAACTAGGAATAACAGGGAATCCATATAACCCTATAAAACGATATCTACAAAATTCTACTGCTGATTCCATATATAATTATGAAAAATTGAATATACCCCTTCTAAGATCAGTAACAGACAAGGGTGTCAATTCTCACCACTCCTACTAGACACTATACGGAAAGTCCCAGGTAAGACAATACGGAAATAAAAAGAAAAAAAGTTTACAGTAGTTGAAAGGGATGAAATAAAACTGTCTCTATCTTCAGATGAAATGAGTGATTTTAGAGAAAATCTGAAGGAATCATAAAAATGTTTTAAAAGATTCTTGAACTAATAAGTGAATTGAAAAAAGTTTCAAGATTCAAAGTCAATATTCAAAAATAAACTATTTCTATATACTATAAATATACAATTTGAAATTGAATGATAAAAAATATCATTTGCAATAGCATCAAAAACATAAAATAGTTACATATGTAACAAAATATGAGAAAAACCTGTTTGCTGAAAACTACAATATGAAATAATAAAATAAATTTTAAACTGTCTAAATGAATTCCAGCAGAATAATTTGCAATATCTTTTGTAGATATTTATAAATTGATTTTTAAAATTACATGAAAAAGTGAAATAAATAGAATAGTCAAAACATCCTGAAAAAGAACAAAGCAGTAGACAACTCACTACTTTTCCTTAAGAATTATTATAAAACTACAGTAATCCTGATTGTTTAATGTTGGCAAGAGATAGACACAGACATCAGTGGAATACTATAGAGAGCCCAGAAATTGATCTCCGTAAATATGGTCAATTGATATTTGAAAAAGGTGCCATGGCAAGTCAACGGAGAAATAATACTCCCTTTAACAAATAGTGCTGGAACAACTGGATATCCATGTACATAAAACTGAACTTTGTTCCACACATCACATAATATACAAATATTAACTCGAATGGATCATAGACCTAACTCTAAATCCTAAAACTATAAAACTTCTAAAGAAAACATAGGAGAAAATCTGTGTCTTTGGATTAAGTAAGGTTTCTTTTAGATAGACCAACAAAAGCACAATCCTACAAAAGAAAAAGACAAATAAGATTTCATCAAAATTAAAAAAATGTGATCCATGAAAAACAGTAAGAAAATGTAAAGACAAGTCACCAGTTAGTTTAAAATAGAACACCTAACAATGAACTTGTACTAAGAATATACAAAGGACTCTCAATATTCAGCAATTAGAAAGCATAAAAGCATAATTTTGAAAAATGTGTGAAGTACTGATAAGGATCCATATCAACCGAGTGTCTTATGCCTCTCTTGTGGAAATGGAAAATGGCACAGCCCCTTTGGAAAACAGTTTGCCAGTTTCTCATAAAATGAAACATACTATTATCATACAAGTATTCTCAGCAATTGCACTTGTAGTATTTGCCTATGAGAAATGAAATGAAAACTTATTTACATAAAAACATGTATGAAAGTATTATAGCACCTTCACTCATAATCACCAAAAAATCAAAATGGCCCAAATATTTCACAGCTGGTGAATGGATGAACAACCCCTGGTATATCCAGACAAAGGAATACTGTTCAGCATTTAATAGACTTATGTCCAATGAACTAGTGATACACACAACAATACAGATGGATCTCAAATGTGTATTGCTACTTCAAAAACCTGGGCTCAACAGACTTTATACTTTATGATTCCATTTACATGGCTTTCTGAACCAGTAAAACTAGAGGAACAGAAAACAAGTCAGTTGTCTCCAGAGAACTGAGGATAGGTGACTAAAACAAGCCAAGAGAACTTTTAAATTTATAGAATTGTTTGTTGTAGATTTTGATTGTAGTGGTGGTTACATGACAACATGTGCTTGCCTAAACTCATAAAACTGTGTAACATAAAGAGTTAATTTTACTCTATAAACTATAACACAGAAAAAAAATGCAAAGCTACTGGCATCCAAGCAATATAATCCAAGCTATATAAAAATGAATGACTTAATTTTTAAAATTTCACTGTGCTTAAATTAAGCAAAATACCCTCAATAATCTGAAAACCAAAATAAATTTGTTATATTTTTATGACATTATTCACTTAACAGGGTGTTTTTTAGCTTCCAATTGCTGTGTAACTAATTATCATAAGCATAGTGGTAGAAAACAGCTCCACTTATTAGTTCACAGGTGAGAAGCTCAGCATATCTTGGGTCTTCAGTGGAAATCTGAATACTGGTGAGGCTGTTTCTTCTGGATGCCCTGGGGGAATGATCCACTTCCAAGTTGATCTTTTTTGTTTCCAGAATTCTGTCTGTGGCTTGACTCTTTTGGATTCTAATCCATCATGACAGCCTACATGAATCTATTAAATGTTTGCTAGAAGTTAAGTTAGTTTTCTTTCCCCTTATCCACTTCTATAGCAGATTTCTCTTCTTCCTGCTTTGCCAGTGAAAATAGTAGCTACAGGTCCTTGAGTTAAATATATATGTCATTATAATCTCTGCTCTAATTAGTTTCAAAGATATTATTTTTTATTTTACTCCATTTATTATTTTTTATGAGGAGCGTGACAGTTTTTTTTGTTCCCTTTTTCTTCTTTTTTGTGAATTTATATATTCTAATCAGAGTGCATAGCCCACTATTAGGTAAAGTTTTAAATCAGAAAGCAAAACAAAACCAAAACATGTTTCTCAGAGAGACTGTAATGAGTTTTCTGACACTGAATAATAAGTTATAGTAAAAATATTATCCACATTTTGAGTGCCTATTCTGTGTCAGTCACTGTTGTAAGCATTTGTATTAACTCATGCTCCAACTCTTATACTACTTGTCAAAGGAGGAAAAGATGTTACATATTTTTCTCAGTGTTATATGGTTTTTAAGTAGTAGAATTTATAGTTGAACATATTCAATCTAATTCCTGAGAGCAGTTTATCTGTGCAGATTCTGCTTAATCAAAATCTGATAGTTTAAACAGTGAATGCATTTCATAGTCAAATCTACAACACTGAACCATATTTGGTTATTTTGTTTAAAAATATGGAAAGAAGTATATCTTTAAATAACTATATTTAGTTAAAAACATATAAAAGCAATCTCAGGTAAATATGTTCTCATGGGTTTATGATTCTGTATCTTTAATAATACTGTCACAAAGCGGAAATATTTATCTACAGTCAACAGAAATCCTGTTAAGCATTTGTATGTGCCTGTATTCCTTAATTTCAACTCACCTTTATCTAATAACTAAATGTACAGCAAAGTCTGCACTGAAATTCCCTCCAAAAACCTTGTACCAATAGGATGTCATGCCACTATCATCTCTGTAAATCCCAGAATCCAAAAATGTCATTTTTTAAAGGTCATTTTAGATCTGTCTTTCTGGATAGATGTGTATTCTTTCTTGAAAAGGCCAAGTTAAGTATCTTTATTAAAATTATAGTTACTCCATTTCTTTCTTCAATGCTCATATACAAAACATGGTCAAACTAGCCACATGAAAAGCTTAGGTATTTTTGTCAAACTTGAAGCATGTAATATATAAGAAACTGTTTCATAATTTATTATTTTATAATTTACAAGAATTCTTTCTTTTAGAATATTGACAAAGATCATTGTATATATTTATATATTTATGGGGTACAATGTCATGCTATGACACATGTATACAATATGGAATTAATGAATCACGCTTATTAACATATCTATCACCTCAAATGCTCATCACTTATTCCTCCTAACTGAAACATTGTACCCTTTGACCAATATCTCCTCATTCCCCCCTAGCCCCAGCCACTGGTAACCACCGTTCTGCTCTCTGCTTCTGTGAATTTGTTTTAGATTCCACATACAAGTGAGAACATGCAATAATTGTCTTTATATGCCTGGATTGCCTTTGTGGGCCTGCCTTTCACTTAGCATTATGTCCTCCAGGTTCATCCATGTTGCTCTCGAATGACAGAATTTCCCTTTTAATTAAAACTGAATAATATTTATTGTGTATATATACACAATTTCTTTATTCATTCATGAACACATTGTTTGGTTCCATATATTGGCTATGGTAAAGAATGTTGCATTAAACATGGAAGTGTAGATATCGCTCTGATATGATTTCAAATCCTTTGGATTTTTACCCATATGTAGGGATCTGGGTAAAAAATGATCCATAATGTAGTTTTTTGAGAAAATTCTATTTAAGTTTTTCATAATGGCTGTACTAATTTACAACCCTGCCAAAAGTGTGCCAGGGTTCCCTTTTCTCCATGTCCTCCCCAACACCTGTTATCTTTCATTTCTTTGATAACAGCCATTCTGACAGGTGTGAGGAGATATCTGATTATAACAGGTTTATATTTAAGTATTTAATTCATTTTGACTTGATTTTTGTATATGATAATGAGATATGGGTCCAAGTACATTTTTTCGCACATTGATATCCAGTATTCTGTTAATGCAGTGTATCATATTTATAGATTTGTGTATGTTAAATTATCCTTGCATCCCTGGGGTAAATCCCTCTTGACATGACAAATGATCTTTTTAATATGCTATTGAATTGAGTTTGCTAGTATTACATGAATTCTTATGTAACTTTCTTGTGAAACCCAAGCTTCACATGCTATATTGCAATATGCCATAAATCCAACAACTAAGATGTTTAATAAGGTATCAGTACTCAATAATAAATTCCAAAATTTCACCAAAATTATTATTTAATGAGTATTTTCATTTTCTACTCTTAAAGTTGTAAGTTTACATTTAGGAAATACATGAAGCAAAAAAAAAAAAAAAATCATTCCTGGATTCTAACTATTCAGAGCTTTGGATAGCCTTGATTATGAATGGATGATCACTTTATTCTCTAAGATTCACAGTACTTAATGACATTAATGTATTTAAAATATTTTCATAGCATAAGCAATCATTTTATTCAGGAAACTAATTTTTTTATTATACTTTAAGTTCTAGGGTAAATGTCCACAACATTCAGGTTTGTTACATAAGTATACATGTGCCATGTTGTTTTGCTGCACCCATCAACTCGTTATTTACATTAGGTATTTCTCCTAATGCTATCCCGACCCCAGCCCCCCAACCCCCAACAGGTCCCAGTGTGTGATGTTCCCTGCCCTGTGTACATGTGTTCTCATTGTTCAACTCCCACCTATGAGTGAGAACACGCGGTGTTTTGTTTTCTGTCCTTGTGAGAGTTTGCTTAGAATGATGGTTTCCAGCTTCATCCATGTCCCTGCAAAGGACATGAACTGATCCTTTTTTATGGCTGCATAGTATTCCATGGTATATATGTGCCACATTTTCTTAATCCAGTCTATCATTGATGGACATTTGGGTTGGTTCTAAGTCTTTGCTCTTGTGAATAGTGTCACAGTAAACATACGTATGTATGTGTCTTTATAGTAGTATGATTTATAATCCTTTGGGTATATACCCAGTAATAGGATCACTGGGTCAAAGGGTATTTCTGGTTTCTAGATCCTTGAGGAATGGCCACATTGTCTTCCACAATGGTTGAACTAATTTACACTCCCACCAACAGTGTAAAAATGTTCCTATTTCTCCACATCCTCTCCAGCATCTATTGTTTCCTGACTTTTTAATGATCACCATTCTAACTGGTGTGAGATGGTATCTCATTGTAGTTTTGATTTGCATTTCTGTGATGACAGTGATGACGAGCATTTTTTCATATGTTTATTGGCTGCATAAATGTCTTCTTTTGAGAAGTGTCTGTTCATATCCTTTGCCCACTTTTTGATGGAGTTCTTTGCTTTTTTTCTTATAAATTTGTTTAAGTTATTTGTAGATTCTGGGTATTAGCCCTTTGTCAGATGGGTAGATTGCAAAAATTTTCTCCCATTCTGTAGGTTGCCTGTTCATTCTGATGATAGTTTCTTTTGCTGTGCATAAGCTCTTTAGTTTAATTAGATCCCATTTGTCTATTTTGGCTTTTATTGCCATTGCTTTTGGTGTTTTAGTCATGAAGTCTTTGCCCATGCCTATGTCCTGAATGGTATTGCCTAGGTTTTCTTCTAGGTCTTGTCTTCTAGGTCTTCTATGGTGTTAGGTCTTACTTTTAAGTCTCTAAACCATCTTGAGTTAATTTTTGTGTACAGTGTAAGGAAGGGATCCAGTCTCAGCTTTCTACATATGGCTAGCCAGTTTTCCCAGCACCATCCATCAAATAGGGAAACTTTTCCCTATTGCTTGTTTTTGCCAGATTTGTCAAAGATCAGATGGTTGTAGATGTGTGGTGTTATTTCTGAGGCCTCTGTTCTGTTCCATTGGTCTGTATCTCTGTTTTGATAGCAGTACCACGCTGTTTTGGTTACAGTAGCCTTGTAGTATAGTTTGAAGTCAGGTAGCGTGATGCCTCTAGCTTTGTTCTTTTGGCTTAGGATTGTCTTGGCTATGCGGGCTGTTTTTTGGTTCCACATGAACTTTAAAGTAGTTTTTTTCCCAATTCTGTGAACAAAGTCATTGGTAGCTTGATGGGGATGGCATTGAATCTATAAATTACCTTGGACAGTATGGCCATTTTCACGATATTGATTCTTCCTATCCATTCACATGGAATGTTCTTCCATTTGTTTGTGTCCTCTTTTATTTCGTTGAGCAGTGGTTTGTAACTCTCCTTGAAGAGGTCCTTCACATCCCTTGTAAGTTGGATTACTAGGTATTTTATTCTTTTTGTATAATTGTGAATGGGAGTTCACTCATGATTTGGCTCTCTGTTTATTATTGGCATATAGAAATACTTGTGATTTTTGCACATTGATTTTGTTTTCTGAGACTTTGCTGAAATTGGTTATCAGCTTAAGGAGATTTTGGGCTGAGATGATGGGGTTTTCTATATATATAATCACGTCATCAGAAAACTAATTTTTTGAAGGAATTCAGTGAAGAAAATCATTAAGTTGTTTAGGTTTACATATGATGAATACCTTTGTCTACTTTACATTCTAATCAATTCAACATTGTTTCCTAGGCACGGCTTTCTATTCTCAAGTGTATCCATTAGGCTAGACCTAAAAATATAATTGAAATAATATGTGTAATATATGTGGTAAGCAGAATTCCAAGATTGTCAGCTAAGAGTCTCAGCCTCTGGTTATTAAAACACTAAAGAAGCTACTACTCTAAAGGGAATTTTCCAGTATAATTAATGTTACTAAGTTTTTTTGTTTCACAGATTATCTGTGTACACCTAAATGAGCCCTTTATAAGCAGAATGTTCTTCAAGTAGCAACAGGGGGAAAAATTGGAAAGATTCAAACATAAGAAGGATTTAAGAATTTGATATGATGTTGCTAGCCTTAAAGATGAAAGACGTCCATGCAAAAATTGGAATCTCCTACATGCTGAGAACAATCCCTTCAGACAGCCGATAGAAAAATAAGACATTTAATTCTATCAGTGCGTTTTAATGGATAGGAGATATAACATAACTATTAAACATTTTTTCAATTTGGAGAGCTGAGGGGGTGGATCACGTGAGGTCAGGAGTTTGAGACCAGCCTGGCCAACATGGTGAAACCCCATCTCTACTAATAATACAAAAATTAGCCTGGCCTGGTGGCAGGCACCTGTAATCCCAGTTACTCGGGAGGCTGAGGCAGGAGAATCGCTTGAACCCGGGAGGCAGAGGTTGCAGTGAGATGAGATTGCGTCACTGCACTCCAGTCTGGGCGACAGAGCGAGACTCTGTTTCAAACAAACAAAAACATTTGCCAGTTCTTTTTTGAAAACTTTATTGTAATTTTGTACCTAGTGTGTTCTTCTCTTCCAATTATTATCTTGAATACTACTGAGGTGGAATCATAGATTCTAATTAGGTTTAGCAGGAATGTTCTAGATGCAATGGCAGTAATTCTCTATCATTCATCATCTCTGTTGCAAATTATATATTTAAAGCATACTAATCAATTTATCTTATGTATTATGAATATTACACCTATAAATCAGAAACTTAGGTATTTATGTTTTACTACTAAATTAAATTATACAAAAATTATTTATTCTGTAACTGGAACCTGCCAGACATTCTAGCAGGCACTGGTTTTTTAATGTTCAGCACAAAAGATAGGGTTCATTATGATTTTCAATAAAGTTATTATAAACATAAATATAAATAAATTATTTTGTAAAACCTTATGGAGAAAAAATCTATACTGCTGTGAAAATACGTAACATTAAATTATTTATAATTTAGGATTTCAGGACAAAGCTCCTCTGAAGAAGTAAATTATTGAGCTGAAATTGGATAGATTAAATATAGTTGTATAGATTAAAAAGGGGTGGAAATTTTTTCAGACAAAAAAAATGTGTTCAAAGCTTGGTGACAGCAGAAAGCACAATAGTTTCTTTAAGAAATTGGAGAAAGTCTATTGGACCAAAATGGAAAGGCGTACCTGAGAATAAGCTTCAGATTTATAAGCAACAGCCTGATCACAGAACATTGAAGTTTTTGTTAAGTATTTTTGATATTCTTCTGAAACAAAATTGAAGTTTTCAAGTCAGAATTATTTTGATAATATCAAACTGGAATTCTGGAAAGACTGCTTTTCTGGTGATTTGAGTCTCTATTAAAGGGGTGGCTAGAGAAGTGAAAGATGAGTAGAAAGGAATTAAAGTATTCTAGGTGAGAGATGTCTAATTACACCAAGGTAGTGATACTAGAAATAGAAAAAGACTACTTGAGCTTCGGAGGTATTTGGAAATAAAATAAATATGACTTTTGACAAATTTAATAGAAAAACTCAGGGATATAGAAACCATAATAATTTTTTAGATTGCTTTTTAAAATAACTGGGTCTTTGGTGTGTCATTTGCTGAGGCAGATAACAAGAGAGAATTCTATTGGGTAAGAAATATTATGACGTTGTTTGGGACATGTTTGATTTGCTGTTTTATTTGGAACATCTAGATAAAAATATCAAGTAGTGAATTGGGTGTATTATTCAAGAACTTTAGAAAAGAGTTGAAAGTTGGAGATATAAATCTGGACATCATTGGTGCATATACAATATTGGGACTGGTTATATAAGTGAGAAAATAGAGTTAGGGAGAGGGCATATGGAGACATGAGGGCCTGGGACTTTCTGTTGTGATGTCCCCAATGTTTAATGTCAGAATAAATGATGAGATTTAAATAGATCTGTCAAAAAGGTGGGAGAAATTCCAGGGAGAGTGTCGTCATGGAAACTAAGGAAAGATCATATTTCAGAAAGAAGCAGAGGCTCAACATTGTCAAATATTGCTGAGAGTTCAAGTGAGATAAAGACTAAATTACAGCATGAGATGAAGAAAACAGATTCACTGTAGGTCATAGAAAAAGCTATGTTCCATAGGATGATGGTGGTGGTAAATGGGTTGAGGATTGTTTGTAGAAAGAGAAAGACTTCACTGACTATTGATTCTATTTTTTGTAGTTGGTTCTGAAAGTCTGCAAAGAAACTGAGCAGTAGCCGAAGTGAAATATGTGTTATGATGATTTTCTTCTTTCCTTTTTTAAAGATAAGCAGAACTTCGAAATTATCAAATGTTTTTGGAAAGGATTTAGAGATCCCATTAAAAAAGAGATTGAATATAGAGAATAATGAAATAATAATTGGTTCTTCAATTTTATTGAGAATGGAAGTGAAGAAAATTACAGATAGAGAGGGAAGAAGCATTTTCTTAACTATCATAGAAGGAAAGGAATAAAATACTCAAGTGGAAGGAGACAGATTGGGAAGTTAGCTACATTGTTAGAGAGTTTTGTTCTGATGTTGTATAATGGCAATACTGCATTTGAAAAGAGATGAAAATGATTCAGATATTCTGGGATAACAGTCTATTTTAGATTGTGGATCATAAATGCAAACTGATAACAATTTACCCTCATATGTGAAATTTTTCCAGCTGTCCTTTTCTATGTCAATACCATCACAGACTGGAAAATGAAAAAGAAAGGATCAAAGAAATTGAGAATTTGGGTAGTGATGTTGTAATCATGAACAGTAGCTCTAAGCTGGATAGAGAAGCTTAGTAAAGCAGAGGGCTTATAGCTAGAAAGACATAAAATGTATATTTCCAGAATTCCCAATGAAATAGAACAGTAATAGTGAACATAGTTCAATAAGAAAAGTAGAAAAGGAATCATTGCATTCACAGAACAGAATGTTTGATTTCATAATAGTAAAGACCATTAGGTTTGACATGAAAATATTGGTTGCTTTAATCAATATCTATTCAGTACACTTATGAGTACAGAAGTCATATTGTAGTGGGCTTAAGAGTTGAAGTTGATGATGTAGAAACTGCAAGTTTTTAAGTCCTGTCAGAGAGTTTAAAGATAAGTTGTCTTAATGAAAGGTTTTTAGAACTAGGAAGACATAAACGTGTTTGGGGGCTAAAATTTATAAGATAGTAGCGATAGAAATATCAAAAATAGATTAAAAGCATAGACCGATGTTCTCTGAGGAGGGAAAATATAATGAATAAAAATCACAAATGATCATTTTAGCCTTGCCAAAGAATGATGTAAAATCCTTCTCCAGAAGCACACACAGGAAAGAAAGTGAGGAAAATAAATACACAAATGGTACAGACATGGAGGTGGAGAAGAAAAAAGTGAAAAGAAGTTATCAAACATAAATTCTCATTTCAGGGAGTCGAACTGAGATTCTCTGTGGAAGGTGGGAAGCTCAAATATATGACTGGCAGCTTGAAATTTTTTATAAAGTGAGATGTTTTCTATTTACTTTCACGTCATGTTGATATCTATCTGGGAAACAGGAGATTTGGATACCAGCTGTACCTCTGAGGTACAATGGGCCAAAACCCTTAATACTTATTTTTTTAATGTTTGTAGATTCAAGGAGTGCATGTGCAGGTTTGTTACATGGATATATTGTGTAGTGGAGGGGTTTGGGCTCCTAGTGAAGACATTACCTGAATAAAGAACATTGTACCCAATAGGTAATTTTCAACCCTCATTTCCCTCCCATCTTCCCAACTTTTGGTATCCCAAGTATCTATTTCCCTCTGTATTCCCCATGTGTACCTGTTCTTTATATTCTACTTTATAATTGAGAACTTGCAGTGTTTGATTTTCTGTTTCTGAGTTATTTTACTTGTGATAATGGCCTCCAGCTCCATCTGTGTTTCTGCAAGAGACAGGATTTCATTTTGTCATTATTTCAAAAAGACACCTGCATGTGTATGTTTATTACAGCATTATTCACATTAGCAAAATCATGAAATCAACCAGAGTGACCATCCACAGATGACTGGATAAAGAAAATATGGTATCTATGCACCATGGAATAATAAACAGTGGTTAAAAAAACTGGTACTTGCTGTTGTCTAAATGCTGAGAACAACCCCTTCAGACAGCCAATAAAGCAAAATAAAATATTCAATTATATCAGTGTGCTGCAGTGGATAGTAGACATAAAATAACTCTTAAAAATTTTTCATTTTGGTAGGCTGAGGTGGGTGGATTACATGAGGTCAGGAGTTTGAGACCAGCCTGGCCAACATGGCAAAACTCCATCTGTACCAAAAATACAAAAGTTAGCTGGGTCTGGTGGTGGGTGTCTGTAATCCCAGCTACTCGGGATTATAATAAACAGTGATCAAAAACTGTTTGTTAGTCCATAGTGTATAGATACCGTATTTTTTAATCCAATTATCTGTGGTTGGAGACTTGTGAATAGTGCTGTAATAAACATAAGCATGCAGGTGTCTTTTTGAAATAACGACTTGTTTTTCATTTGGTAGATACCTAATAGTGGGGTTGCCGGGTTGAATGATATTTCTACTTTTGACTCTTTGAGAAATTGCCATACTATTTTCCATAGAGGCTATACTAATAGTGTGTAAGTGTTCTCTTTTCTTTGCAACCTTTCCAACATCTGTTGTTTCTTGACTTGTTACTTTCATGACCAGATTTCATCGCTTCTGGTATTTGAAGAATCTAGGCAGAAAGGAAAGCACTGATGTGAGATGCGGCATGCCCATCTCCTGTGTGGAATGTCTACATAAGGTGCAGGCAGTTAAACTAAGAATTTAAACTAGTTTAAGTCTTGCCCTACACCAAAGGCAAGAAAAGTAGTATTCATAAACATTTCCCTTTGACCCACACCCTGGACCTTGGCTTTTGAATCACAATTACCATGATATCAAGAAACGGCAACTGAAGTTGGTTCCAAGGAAAACTGAGCCCAGGGAAAAAGAGAGGAGTTACTCTAAAGTTTAAACAGAAGGCCTAAGTCACCCATCCCTTGCTTCTTTTCCCTAGGATGTAAGTGTAAATTCATTAGAGTATTTGGAGATGGAGTTATCAACATAGTAATGTACTAAGTTCTGGCAGTACATTGCATTAAGTGCTAAGATGATGTAATTTCTGTGTGCTTTGGAAATACAAAGGAGAAATGTTTAATGTATGTTTTGGCATAGGTTGCTTAGCAAAGTCTTCCTGAAGAAAGTGCTTAAATAGAAAGAAATCTATTTATAAAAGTTTATTTTCTTGTTTTATCATATTAAATTAGAATCTCTAAGGGAATATCTTGACCCGTCTTATTCACTATTTTATCTCCACTAGATAACTCTGTGTGTTTAACACATAGTAACTGCTCAATCAATGAGTAGTGATTAATAAGAGTTAAAGAAAGAGTTAAAACAAAATTTAAAACAAATGTTAAATACATTATGATGACAATATTCATTTAATAGATGAGAAAATAGTAGCGTCTGACACGTAGGACTTAACATGTGTAAAGCACTACTCTAAGTGATGTAAATATTAACTAATTTAACCCTTGTAACAACCATACAAGGGAGGCACTATTATTATCATCTTCATTTGATAGTTTTAAGAGCTGAGGCACAGAAAGCTTAAATGACTTTCCCAATATAAGCATATGAACAGTCTCTTCACTCTGCTTTTTGCCTCTCTTTTCCACCACATGACATCTCATTTCTCAGAACATCTCCATGTAGCTTAGGCTTCTCACTACATGGTGGTCTCAAGTGGTCACGTTTCTCATCTGGTAGCTGCCTTCTGAAAAAGGCCAAGGCAGAAGTTCTAGTACTCATCCAGAGCACAGTATGGCTTTCACTGTACTTTATTAGTCAAAGTGGTCACTGGCCAGCCCAGATTCAAGAGAAGGGGAAACCAGACACCTTCAATGCATATCAAAGAAGTTTCTGCCAATTTTAATCTGCAACAAGAGAATAAGAACTTGCTCTATATTACATGGCTATTTTCTTCAAGTACACTGCTCTTCTCAATATTCTACACATCTAGGACACATTTCCCATCAGAGACAAATATTTGAATACCTGACTGTAGGGAATTATGTAATTATATAATTAATACCATTCCCTGTTTTGGGGAGAAAATCTTGCATTTCTTACATTCTCTACCTTTCAATTCCTATGTGTCCTTTTCTTACTCAAAGCCTCACTCTCTACAACTGGGTAACTCATGTTATCAAACTAATACTGTCTTCATTGTGCTTATGATATTTTGTGTATGTGTGTACATATATAAAGATATAGATAGATAATAGAGAGAGGAGAAAGAGAGAGATATATTTATATGTATAAATGTTTATATTGATTACAAATATGTATATATATGTTTTTACACGTGTGTATGCTTGCACGTTACATATATAATCAAGGTAATAAAATTTTATACATACTTCCATACATCTTGTTTTCATTTTATGCAATAATACTTTTTGGAAAACTATGCACTTTATGTTATATTTATTATTAATTATTTTTAAAAGCTACATAATACTCCATGTTGTGGACATACCATAAATTATTCAAACATAATCTTACATTAAAATTTAAAAATATATACCAATATAAAAACATTAAACATTGCTCTAAGTTTTCCAGAGCTTTTAAAAAAATAAATTTAAGAAGGGAAAATGCAGTTTTGTTACATGGATATTGCATAGTGGTGTACTCTGGGCTTTCAGTGTAACCATAGCTGGTGTAATGTATATTGCACCTATTAAGTAATTTCTCACCCATCTCCCTCCTACCATTCCACCCTTCCAAGTCCCAAGGGTCTATTATTCCACACTGTCTATGTGTACACATTGTAGCTTCTACTTATAAGTGAGAATATGTGATATCTGACTTCATGTTTCTGAGTTGTTTCACTTAATATAATGGGCTCGAGTTCCATCAATGTTGCTTCAAAAGACATGATTTTATTATTTCTTGGAGCATTCCACTGTATTCCAAGGTGTGAGTATATTTATTTATTTATATTTATGTATGAAGATGTCCACATTAAGATGTCAACAATCACTAGAGCCTGCGAGTATGTTACCTTGTGTGGCAAAATAATTTTGCAGATGGAATTAAGGTTGCTAATCAGCTGACCTCATAATAGATTAATTCTCAATTATCCACATGGGCCCAGTGTAATCACAAGGGTCATTAAAAGTAGAAAGAGAAGCAGATGAAAAGAGTTTGAAGGAGATGTGACTATGGAAGAAAGGCACAGAGAGATGTAACATGGCTGGCTTTGCATAGCACCTATGGGGTTACAAGCCAGGGAATGTGGAAGGCCAGTAGGAGTTAGAAAAGTAGAGAAACTGATTCTTCCCTAGAGCCTCCAAAACAATATGTAGGTCATGCCAAAGTTCATTAATTTTAACCCAATAAGACCCCTTTCAGACTCCTGATCCACAGTATTGAAAGGTAATAGATGTGTGTTGCTTTAAGCCTCTAAATTTCTGGTAACTTGTTAAGGCAGCAATAAGAATTCAATGCAATACACCAATACTTACTGGCCTTTTTATTTTTCTGAAACATATTCACAAGAGTAGGATTGCAGGGTCAGAACGTTTTTTAATTTCTTGACTGATTAGTTTGACTTTGCTTCCAAAAACTTTAAGAATTTTGGACTGACATATTTCTCTGCAGAATTGTGTTGAAAAAGCTAGGTCACATGTCTTTCACTGACATTGTAAAACATGACCCATAAGATCTGAAGTTGATTAAATATGATTAGAATAAGAATTCTAGCTTCTGAGACAGACTTTTCAGACAAGTGTTTACCAACTTGTATTAAGCATGTGACAATTCATCATTTTTCTGGAGAGATAAATTCACTACCATTGTACGATATTTGAGAATGTAATAAACACATTTTAAAAAGAAAATTTAAGTTAACATAGCTTTTTGTAACTTTGCATAATATGAATTTTAAGAAACTTGAAACTCAATGCTTATTTAACTTTAAAATATGAAAATACTTTAATTATCAAAAGTATGTTTACTATTGTTAAATTTTACATTTGGACAGTTTTTAACAATGATCAAAGCTGAAGGCATGACACTTCCTGATTTAAAAATATAGCTACAGTCATCCAAATAACATGGTGCTGGAATAAAAACAGACATAGTCTCCTGGAATAGAACACAGAGCCTAGAAATGAATCCATGCATTATGCTCAATGACTCTTCAATGTGTGTGTCAAGAACACATCATGTGGAAAAGACAGTCTCTTCTGTAAATGGTGCTAGGAAAACTGGAGATCCACATTGCAAAAGAATGAAATTGGAGCCTTATCTTGCCCCATATACAAAAACCACTCAAAATGGACTAAACACCTAAACCTAAGATCTGAAACCATAAAACTACTAGAAGAAAACATAATGAATGGTCTTCTTGACAGTAGTCTGGGCAATGATTCTTTTTTTTCTTTTATATGATCCCAAAAACACTGGCAACAAAATAAAAAACAGACATGAGATTTTATCAGATCCAAAAGCTGTATAGCAAAGGAAAAAAAAAAAAAACAGAGTGAAAAGGCAACCCATGAAGAGAGAACATACTTGCAAACCATATATCTGATAAAGTGTTAATTTCCAAAATGTATAAGGAACTCAAAAAACTCAATAGCATAAATAAATAAATAAATAAATAAATAAATAAATAAATAAATAAATCCTGTCTCGGTTCATTCAGGTTTCTATAACAAAATACTATAGATTGAGTGGCTCAAAAACAACAGAAATGTACTTCTCACCATTCTGGAGACTGAGAAGTCCAATATCAAGACTCTGGCAAATTCAGTGTCTAGTGAAGGCCAGTCTTTTCCTTGTGTTCTCACATGGCAAAAGGAATAATGAAGTTCCCTGGAGCCTCTTTTTTAAAGGCACTAATCTCATTCATAAGGGATTTACTCCCAGGACCCTATTACCTCCTAAAGGCCCCACCTGCTAATACCATCCCCTGGGAAGTTAGGATTTTGACGTATAAATTTGAGGGGTACACATATATTCAGCCCATAGCAAACCTGATTTCAAACTGAGCTGATAACCTGAAGAGACATTTCTCAAAAGAAGACATATAAATGGCCAACAGGTATATGAAAAAGTGCCTAATACCATTAATCGTCAGATAAATGCTAATTAAACCACAATTAGATATCCCCTCATACCTGTCAGAATAGTTATTACCAAAATGATGAATGATACTCGTTGATGAAGGTGTGGAGGAAAGGGAATGCTTGTACACTCTTGAGGAAAGTATAACTTGCTCAGTCATTATGAAAAACAGTATAGAGGTCTCTATAAAAATTAAATATAGGTTAACCATATGATTCAGCAATCACACTTCTGTTTGTGTATCCAAAGGAAATGAAATGAGTATTTCAAAGAGGTATCTGCACCCCATGTTTATTGCAGCATTATTCACAATAACTAAGATAGAAACAACCTAAATGTCTATCAGTTGAAGTTATAAAGAAAATGTGATATATATAGTATTTATATCTAAATAATGGAATGTTATTTACCCTTAAAGAGAAGAATATCTTGTCATTTGCAACAATATAGATAAAGCTAGAAGGCATTATGCTAAGTGAAATAAGCTAGACACAGAAAGAGAAATACTGCATGATCTCACTTATATGTGAAATCTAAAAACATTGAACTCATAAGAGCAGAGAGTAGAGTGGTGGTTGGCAGGAATGAGGGTGAGGAAAATGGGGAAATGGTGGTGAAAGAGTACAAATATCCAATAACGCAGAATAAATGAGTTTTGGGCTCTAATATATATCATGATTATATACATTATATACATCATATCTATTATGACCATATATAGTTAATAGTACTGTATTGTACACTTGAAATTTGTTAAGAGGGTGTAACTTAAGTATTCTCACCACACAAACAAAATCATAACTATGTGAGTTCATGGATTTGTTAATTAGTTTGTGGCAATAATTTCACAATGTATACATATATCAGATCATTCCGTTGTCTGTACTGTGTACACTTTAAATATATACAATTTTTATTTGTCAAGATACCTCAATAAAGGTGGAAAATATACTTTACTTATAAACAATTTTCTATTTTTTGTGTATTTGTAAGAATAAAATATGAAATGTATATACTTTACACAAATAAAAATTATTAATAAGTTTTAAAGTGGCAAATTTAAAAATAATTATGTAATTATGTAAGTACATCATTTTTAACATTGTGAATTGCATTTTGGGGGAAATTGAGACAACCCTAAGAGTCTTTTATCATTGTGGCAAGGTATTTCTCTTTTAGTCTCCAAAATGTAAATGTTGTATAATGTTGTATTCTTATTTCACCAAATCATTTTGGAATTTGCAAAAATGCCTCTCATGGCCCAGACAACATTTAATACATTTTACAGTTGATACGTGGCATGTTTTGGCTCTGTGTCCCCACCCAAATCTCATCTTGTAGCTCCCATAATTCCCACTTGTTGTGGGAGGGACCTGGTGGGAGATAATTGAATCATGAGGCCAGGCCTTTCTCGTGTTGTTCTTGTAATATCGAATGAGTCTCAGGAGGTCTGATAGATTTAAAAAGGGGAATTTCCCTGCACAAGCGCTCCTCTCTTTGCCTCCCGCCATCATGTAAGATATGCCTTACTCCTCCTTGCCTTCCACCATGATTGTGAGGCTTCCCCAGACACCTGGAACCTTAAGTCCAATTAAACCTTTTTCTTTTGTAAATTGCTCAGTCTCAGATTGTGTTTATCCACAGTGTGAAAATGGACTAATACAATACGTTTAGCATGTGTCTTCTTATTTCCATTTAGTTTGACCATATCATATCACCTGAATGTGATAGACTCATTGGATGGATTTTTTTTGGTACTGTTATCAGCTTATTAACCAAAACATCTTTTGGTATGCAAATTAAAAATTATGCAAATTTTATGTCAGGTATGCTAGATCTAGTTAGGACCAAGGAAATTAATATAGTTTAAATAATTAGTATATATACTATGTCATTATGTATAGTTAATATGCATTGTTATTTTCTGTGGGACATTGACATTAAATCATGAAATTTACTGAAATTTATCTACCCTTTAAACAATAGACAGTAATAAGCATTAATTTAATACTTAGTAAAACGATGACAGCCTTTATTTCTGGTAATAATTACAAGTAGAGTTATATCATATAATACACATGTGGTTCTGTATGTCTAGTGAGTTTCTTTATAAACCAGAAAAAATATTATTAGCCTGTATCTTCCTTGATAATGATTTTAGGAGAAAAGTAAAAAGGTAATGAATTTAAATTATTTAATATTAAGTGCAAATTTTAGGTGACAGAAGGATAAATATATAAAAATTGGAGGATCTTTGTGCGGGAAATGACTTTTATGCTAGAGATAACATAAAATCAATGATGCACGCATAGTTAAAAGTTTAAAGGAACTTTTACTTTCTTCAAATTTCTTCAAATATGAAGAAAATAATTATGTAATTTTTAGTGTTTCCAGAGAAAACCAATATGCAGGTAAGGGTATGATTAAACTATTTTTGCTCATGCAGATTATATGAATAAATAGCATATCATGCTATCAAAGCACAATAGTTTCCATGGACACCAGATTTAATGACTAGGTCGGAAAATTAGGTTCCCAAATCCGTAAGTTACATTTCTAATAGAGTTCTGACTGATATTTCAATTTATAAATTTGTCTTATTTAGTTTTTAAAAAAGCCATAAATATTGGAGGAAGGTTTTTTACTGACGTATTTTAATTGTATGTTTTAAAATTACATGTGTGGTACATGTCTATGTGTGACATGTCCATATGTGTGAATAAAACATGTTATTAGATGGTTGGACTTTTCAACATATCACTGAAATAGGTATTGAAGCCATAAAATACTACAATATTTGGTACTAAAATCAATATGCGCTTTTGAAAACAATATTGCTACATAGCTTCTCTTCTTATATTAATTCAAAATTCCATCATTCTTAAAAAGTCTTATAGTTCTAAATCAACATATTCAATTAAATATGAGGATATAATCTGATATTTAATTATATTACTTTCTAAAACATAAATAAAATATGAGTTTTTTAGAGTTAATATTTAAATATAATGAAAATAAAATATTTATTTAGTTATTTAGTAATTTTTAGTTAAAAGATACTTTGACATCAAATCTAACTATTTTTATATGAGGTGGAAAAAACTGAAGACTCAACAAGGTCATGTGCTTTGTCCAAGGTGAACAAATAAAAATTGATTTAATATGATCTCATTAATTTTGTAAATGAATCTTTTTTTAAGCAAATGACATATAAGAAATACTGGATGAATAATGAGTTTAGAGAATTGTTATTCTCTCTAGAATGTGTTTGTGTATGTATGTGTTTCTGCATATATACATTTTTAAATTGTATTCATACATATGGATATAATTTAAAATTGAATTGGATGTTCATCCAAAGCTGCATGTATACAATGATTATATGGCATCAGATATAGCTCTTTTAATTGAATTCATTATTTTTAAACTAACTCCATAGCTTATTGAAACATGAACATTATTTATTTATGGTATTTATAGAAAATTCTACAGGACCTGATATTGTCATTTGATTTTGTTGTGATTTATTAACTTTTTGATAAATATTTTATGAGATATTTATTTCTAAAGCTAGTAGAGTGTTACGAGTTAGGGAGTGTCTGTTTAGCAATGTCCGTGTCCACACACATTGGACAGCATTTGTATTCAGGTTACATTGACTGAAGAATGCAGGATCATGAAAAAGCACACACTAATCCTTAATTAAATTTCTTATACAGCTCAAACCAATATTTATATGTCATCCTCAAAGCACAAAGGACGTGAAACTAAGTCCTCCAGAATCCTAGCCTTAGAAAACCGAGCATTCATACTTAGGAGAAAATGTAAAGCATATTTAGGAATTAAATCAAAATATGTTTTCTGCCTCTTAACTGTTTTAAGCAAAAACAAAAAACCTTCAAATGTGGTTCATAGACTAAAAAACAAGACAGAGGCATCAACAAACAAATTAGCCAGTATCTGAAAGTCCTAACATATGAGCCAAGAATGAAAATCACATCACTACATGAAATTTTCTTGTGTCTAATTATTTAAGAATATCTGTCTTAATGAACACCAAATGTTTAAGCAAATAATATTTTCAATTAGGCCGGGCGCAGTGGCTCATGCCTGTAATCCCGGCTCTTTGGGAGGCTGAGGTAGGCAGATCACCTGAGGTCAGGAGTTTGAGACCAGCCTGTCCAACATGGTGAAACACACCGTCTCTACTAAAAATACAAAAAAAAAAAAAAAAAAAAAAAAAAAAAAAAAGTTAGCCGGGCATGGTGGCGCATGCCTGTAATCCCAGCTACTCGGGAGGCTGAGGGAGGAAAATCACTTGAAACCGGGAGGCGGAGGTTGCAGTGAGCTGAGATCGCGCCACTGCACTCCAGCCTGGGCAACAAGAGAGAAACTCCGACTCAAAAAAAAAAAAATACACACACACACACACACACACACACACACACACACACACGCACACGCACAATTAGCCGGGAGTGGTGGCAGACGCCTGTAATAGCTACTCTGGAGTCAAGCAGGAGAATCCCTCGAAACCGGGAGGCGGAGGTTGCAGCGAGCTGAGATCGCACCTCTGCACTCCATCCTGAGTAACAGAGCGAGACTCTGTCTCAAATATATATATACATATACACACACAGACACACAATATATATATACACACACAAATATATATACACATATATATATACACAAATATATATATGCACAAATATGTATATACACAAATATATATATTCAATTAAATTAAGGTGTGAGGAATAATTAATAGAATCATAATACTAAAAATTCCAAAAGCAACCACCATAAAACCTCAAAAAAAAAAGTTAGTATGTGGTCATTGTCATTAACCAAGACTACTCATGTTATCATTTATTATTTTATTTTTATTTATTCTTAATAGTATTATTTTTAAGAGTATGCTGGTTAAAGGACACAAAATTTCAGCTGGACAGAAAGAAAAAAATTCAAAAGATCTATTGTGCAATATGGTGCCTATAGTCGATATATTGTATATTTGAAAATTGCCAAGAGAGCAGATTTTAAGTGTTTTATCACAAAAAAGTATGTGAAATAATACACATATTAATTGGCTGGATTTAGCCATTCCACAATGTATATATTATGAAAAGATCATAAATATATAAATCTTTTACTTGCCAACTCAAATAAATAAAATAGTAAAAAAATACAAAAAGGATAAATATTCTGTATTTTTGATGCATTAAATTGTGGTAAAATATTCTATTTGAATAAAATTATTGAAGCATATATGAGATGTCTTCTGCTGCTAAACACAGAGCCAAGAATATTGTAGGTTCTTAATCAAATACTAGCAAAAGAAAGAAATTATGAAGGAATGTTTACATTATTTGGGGAGTAGTAGAAAATTCAGTGGGAGGATGATGATTATCAGTCACTCTCTTTCTTCTCTCCACAAATGGAGGGTAAACTTCGCTACAATTATGTGAAGTTTAGAACCTCGGTAGGTACATACAGTTATTCAAGGGGTAGAATGGCATTTTGCTTATGCCCTATCATCATGCATATATACAGCAGCAGAATGTAACACTGACCAAAGAAGTACAAAAAGAAGGAGATTAATGGCAAACCAAGATTGGAAACATAGCATCCTGCAGGAAAATAGTCAAGCACCCTTAACAATGCCCTGTAGATATTTTCCTATACACAGTGTTGGCGCACACATGCTAGTAGCTGCCTAACACTTCAGAATGAAGAATGTGACTGCAGGATGAAGCAGCTGATTCTGGGAGAGTGGCCAAAGGGAAATAAAATTTCCCTCATGGGAATTATTGCTAGTGCAGTCCCAGATGCAAAAAGAATTGCTTAGCTAAAACTTTTCTTAGAGCCAGTCTTTTTCCATTTCCCTATAAATGCAATTTTCTACATTAAATGCATATATACACATTCAGTAATATTGTAACTACATGTGAGTGAGCTTTTCTTCTGAAAAAAGTAGAAAATATACAGCCTGTCCAAATTTCCAGTGTGCAAATTCTACTTCTCAAGAAAAAAAAACTGTGCTCATAAAGAAATATGTGCTGTTGTTTATTATCTAAATCTTTTGTGTGCTTGAAGTATGTGTGCCCTTTTAATTACTGACTTTGGTAAAACATTATCATTAAAAAATAATATAACATGGCCAGAGATGTAGAGAATTTAAATTTGTTTCTGAACTCCAACCTCTGATTAGTGTCAAGATACTGTCTGTGACACAGTGCATTCATATTAACTGGATGCAAGGTATTTAATTTTGAAATAAGTACTTGCTGTCAGATAAAAGTGTATAAATGTGACATATTCAGGCTATAGGCCTGATGGGCCATTTGCAGTGAGAGAGAAAGCTTACAAGCATTAGAGTCAGCCTTTCTCTGAGAAATGAGGGCAGGGTAATACATATCTGTCCTGAGAAAAGCTCTGAGACGTGGTAGACGGCTAATGCTCACACTCTATCTAATTGCTAAATAAGATGACTTTTTTGTTTGGAATCTGTATGTAAATATCTTTCCTGACAGTCTCAGACAATGTGTTGTTGTTTTACCTAGTCCTCCAAGACTCCACATGACTCATGAAAGAATGTTAGATTCTTGCCTGAAACTAGTTATGGTTATCATAGTAAATAAATTAATGAAAAATTATGTGCTATAGGTAATGAAAAGAGCTATGCAATGTATGCAGGCCTGCTTCCACTCAAATCTACATAGAATTGATGGTTTAATGTATATTATTTAATTCAAACATAAATATAAATTTTATTGTATGTTAAAAATAAGAGGGAGTTTATAGTCATAAATATGAATAAATAAAGTATGTATCTTATCAGTGTAGAATATAAAGCACATCATAACAAAACATAATGCCATGAGGGGATTAAAGACATGAAGATGAACAAATTACAACCATTTTTTATGATTACTTAGATTCTATGTTCTGCAAGAGTACAAGTAGCACACTAGGACTTCAGTAGAAATATTTCCCATATACATAATACAAACACAATTGAATATCTTCTGCTGCCATGTAACTAACTATATTATGGACTTATTTTAAATAAAACACAATTTATTACAAAAACTTTTTCATTTTTTATTTGGCAAATACCAAAAAATATAAACAATTATGTTGAGAAAAATGTTCCCAAATCTGGCCAGTCTGATAATATAAAATTGTTTCAAACACAAATTAAAGAGAGCTATATACCAAAAGCATATGACAAAAAAATGCAATAATGCCAGTGGTTAAATTTCTGTTTTTAAAGCTATAGATTCATGTCCTAATTCAAAGTTTTAAATTTGCTAATTTTTCAATGTATCATCTTCAACTAACCTAAACCACATATCAGCTTCTACTGAGCTATTTGTTTTATGCCAGATAGATTTAATAATTTATTTTAAATTAAAATAATACACTTTTACTCTGAATGATCCTTCACAATTCACCAGCACCTTTACATACATTTTATCATTTGACCTTCGCAACAGCCATTGTCTGTCAATTTGATTATGGAAACTGAAATCTGAGGCCTGAAGTACACAACTTTTATGCTCCAGCCATAGTACATGGTTTGGCTCTTGGTGCCCACCCAAATCTCATCTTGAATTGTAATCCCCAAGTGTTGAGGAAGAGACCTGTAATCTCCATGTGTCGAAGGAGGAAGGTGATTGGATCATGGGGGGTTGTTGCACCCATGCTGTTCTCATGATAGTCAGTTCTCACAAGATCTGATAGTTTTATAAGTGTTCGAACGTTCCTCCTTCATTCTCTTTACTGCCACTTTGTGAAGAAAGTGCTTGCTTCCCCTTTGCCTTCTGCCATGTTTATAAGTTTCCTGAGGACTCCCCAGCCATGTTGACCTGTGAGTCAATCAAACTTCTTTCCTTTATAAATCACCTAGTCTCAAGTATTTCCTTTTAGCAGTGTGAAAAGGGACTAATACTGTTAATTTGTACCAGTAGTGGGGTACTGCTGTAAAGATACAGAAAATGTGGAAGCAACTTTGTTACAAGGTAATGGGCAGAGGTTGGAACAATTTGGAGGGCTCAGAATAAGATAGGAAGATGTGGGAAAGTTTGTAACTTCCTAGAGACTTGTTGAATGGTTTTGACCAAAATGTTGATAGTGATATGGACAATGAAGTCCATGCTGAGGTGGTCTCAGATGGAGATGAGAAACTTACTAGGAAGTGGAGCAAAAGACACTCTTGCTATGCTTTAGAAAAGAGACTGCATCATTTTGCCCCTGCCCTAGAGATCTGTGGAACTTTTAACTTGAGAGAGATAATCTGAAATCAGAACTTATGTTTATAAGGGAAGTAGAGCATAAAAGTTTGGAAAGTTTGCAGCCTGACAATGTGATAGAAAACAAAAACCATTTTGCTGAGGAGAAATTCAAGCCTGCTGCAGAAAGTTGCATAAGTAGTGAGGAGCCAAATGTTAATCACCAAGACAATGGGGAAAATGTCTCCATGACATATCAGGGACATTCACAGCAGCCCCTCCCACCACAGGCCTGGAGATCTAGAAGGAAAAATTGGTTTCTTGGGTGGGGCCCAGGGCCCTGCTGCTGTGTGCAGCCTAGGAACCAGTTCCCTGCATCCCAGCTGCTCTAACTCCAGCAGTGGCTAAAAAGGACCAAGGTACAGCTCAGGTCATGGCTTCAGAGGGTGTAAGCCCCAAGCCGTGGCAGCTTCCATGTGGTGTTGGGCCTGCAGGTGCATAGAATTCAAGAATTCAGGTTTGGGAATCTCTGCCTAGATTTCACAGGATGTGTGGAAACACCTGGATGTCTAGGCAGAAGTCTGCTGCAGGGGTAGGGCCCTCATGGAGAACCTCTGCTAGGGCAGTGCAGAAGGGCAATGTGGAGTGCAAGCCCCAATACAGAGTCCCCACTGGGGCACTGAATAGTGAAACTGTAAGAAGAGGGCCACTGTCATCCAGACCCCAGAATGGTAGGTTTGCTGACAGCTTTCACCTTGTGCCTGCAAAAGCCACAGACACTCAAAGCTAGCCCATGAAAGCAGAGAGGAGGGAAGATGCACCCTGCAAAGCCACAAGGACAGAGCCACCCAAGGCTATGTGAGCCCACCTCTTGCATCAGCGTGACCTGGATGCGAGACATGGAGTCAAAGAAGATCATTTTAGAGCTTTAAGATTTAATGACTGCCCACTGGATTTTAGACTTCCATGGGGCCTGTAGCCTCTTTGTTATGGTGAGTTTCTCCCATTTGGAACAGGAGTATTTACCCAATGCCTGTATGCCTATTGTATCTAGAAATTAACTAATTTGCTTTTGATTTTACAGGCTTATAGGTGGAAGGGACTTGCTTTGTCTCAGAGGAGACTTTGGACTGTGAACTTTTGAGTTAATGCTGAAATGAGTTCAGACATTGGGGGACCATTGGGAAGGCATGATTGGTTTTGAAATGTGAGGACTCGAGATGTGGGAGAGGCCAGGGGCAGAATGATATGGTTTGGCTCTGAGTCTGCACCCAAATCTATCTCAAATCGTAATTCCCACGTGTGGAAGGAGGGACCTGTAATCCTCACATGTAAAGAGAAGGAGGCGATTGGCTCATTGGGGCAGTTTCTCCCATGCTGTTCACTTTATAGTGAGTGAGTTCTCAGGTGATCTGATGGTTTTCTAAGCGTTGGAAGCTCTTCCTTTGTTTTTCTCTCTCCTGCCACCTTGTGAAGAAGGTGCTTGCTTCGTCTTCCTCTTTCACCATGATTGTAAGTTTCCTGAGGCCTCCCCAGACATGTGGAACTGTGAGTCGATTAAAACTTTTTCCTTTATAAATTACCCAGTGTCAGGTATTTCTTTATAGCAGTGTGAAAATAAACTAATACACACAGTCTCTCAATCTCTCTCTCACACACTCTCTGTCTCTAACACACACACACATACACATACACACACACTTACTTTTGCACAGAAATGACAAAAATGAAAAAGTCTTCCAGGCTTAAACAACAATCATTAATTTTTCTCACATACGCTTGTGGTAAATCTTTCTAATTCAAATTTTGATAGCCTGTTAAACAATTTATGGAGTAAAAGAGCAGTTGCCAAGCCCCACACCCACTGCTGAATGCTATCCAGGCAGGGTTGGGTAAGATTGAAACCAAGTGATAGTAATACAGCCTGACTATAAGACCCCTGTCTAGAGTGGAGTGGAGATCCAGGACCACTAGTCTGACCAGGGCCTTGATTCTTAGGGAACAAGGAACCAGTTTTGAAGTGCCATGTCTCTTCCATCTGACCAACACAGACAAAGCATTTGAGCTTTTTACTGAATGGTCTATTTTTCAGACATAAAAGATGAGAAATATTTGAAACATTACAGATGCTTATAATATCTTAGATAAGCTTTCTCCTTGCTTCTCTCTAAAAGTTAGACTCTCCTTTGAAGAAATGTGTGTATAATTTACTGATTTTCCTGAATGCCACAAGAAAAATCTACTTAAAAACTCTCACCATTTCACTCCCTCACTTTGTGTTTCTCAGAAAGCTTTTGCCATCAATACTAATATTTACTCTATATTTTATGTTTGCTCTGACAAGTATAACAGAAAGTACTGTGATTGCATAATGAATTCTATTCTTTTTGAATGTTGGTATACAATAGCATAAATTTTGATAAGCCAAAAGGTGATTCTTGTCTCAGAGAGAAGCCTACTTGTTCTCTGATTATCATATTTTGTACATAAACATAACTTCTTACAAAGTAAAATTCCTTCATCTATGAACTTAGTTAAGAGTGTTGAGTGCCAACTATTTCTCAAAGACTACCACTAAATGACTTAGTAAGATTTTTATCCAGAAACTGATGTAGATGCTTAAAATATTTGTGGTGACTTATATTAGTCATTATAAAATTTAAGATGTATATGCTAATTCATATGGCAACATTATTGATGAAAACAAAATATTGAGGTATGAAGAACGTTTTTTTTTTTATGTTGAAGAGATAGCAAATTGTCCACTGGATTCCTTTCTTCCTCTCTCCTTTCATTTAGTAATTAAAAACACCTGTCTTTGAGTTTTAGCTGTATGCATGTTGTTCCAACTATATCCTACATTGTATAGCTTTTCTTTCATTAGCTGTGGCCATGTGAATAAGTTCTGACCAAAAGAATGCAAGCAAAAATAATGTGTACAAATTTAGGTATGTATTAGTTGAAGGAGGTGTATATATTTTATATATGTATATATACTCAATGCCTGTTCATTATTTATTGCATGTTAGTTTAAAAAATGCTGACTTTGGGACTCTCTAGATTATAAAGAGACAACTTTCTCTAAGGTGAATATAGAGGATATATACCCGAGACTGGATAATTTACAAAAGAAAGAGGTTTAAATCATGGCAGAAGCCAAGGAGGCGCAAGTCACATCTTATGTGGATGGCGGGAGGCAAAGAGAGACTTTGTGCAGGGCAATTCCCATTTTTAAAGCCATTGGATCTCATGGGACCCATTCACTAACACGAGAACAGCACGGGAAAGACCCACTGATAATTCAATCATCTTCCACCAGGTCCCTCCCACAACATGTGGGAATTATGGGAGCTATAGGGTGAGATTTGGCTGGGGAAACAGAGCTAAACCATATCAGGATTATTGGCACTTTTAAATTAGCTTGGCTATTAAATCATTGATAGCTGTACATGCATGTTAGGTATATATATGCCATGAGTAGATAGTTGTATATACCCACATACACACCGAGAGAAATACACACGTGGGGGAAAGGAGGATTTTTTTTAAATTTTTATTTTTTAAAGGGCACATGTTTTCACAAATTTTAGTATTGAGTTTGGAGTCACAAGCTTAATATTTTCAAACTATCCTGCACAAATAGTATGTAATGGTTTCCTTAGGCTCCTCACTGGCGTTAAATAACATTTGCATGCATTTTGTTGGTATTCCTATGGAATGTCTATTTTAAACATTTAAAACAGAATTGTTGTTTAGAGGAACCAAGTTTATTGCATTGCACAATCTTCAGCTATATTTCATATGCTACCAAAGGGATCAGGAAACAATAAAATCCATGTTTTACTATATTGAGAAGTTTATATTCCCAACGGTAAAATGAGAATTTCTGGTACATATTTGATAAAAACTGCAGAACTAGTAACATTTTGCTCTTAAGAAGTGAAAACACAATGATTCTTTTTTAAAGGCAATATGATATAAATAAATTTTAATTTTGTGGGGACTATACCAATTGCACTGATGACAACACTACTGCCAAAAAAAAGACTCAATGAAAAATACAAGGACCGTATGCATGAGTCACTTATTCTCAATACACACTTTTGATGACAATCATTATCTTTTTTGGTGGTTGTTGGGGTAAGTATAATCAGAACCATATTTTGAACAAGTTTAACAGTTGATCCCTACACATCTATAGATTTAAAAATTAGCATAATTTATCATATATCATTTGCTAATAAGCAGTGTTTTGGCATTGATGTGCCCCCTGAATTTTACAGTGCTTGAGCGAAATCCAGCTGTATAAACTTCTAGGTATATTGTGGTCTATTCCAAGCTTGTGCTTGCAATAACTAATAGGTAGATTGAGTCAATATACATTTAATTTGCTTAAAATTGTTCCTGGTACCTTGCTAACAGTATATATACACACATACACATAGGCTAATAATGTTATTATCAGAGACTTTTGAAAAAAATTTCTCTATGCAGGAAATTTGATGTCAAGCCAGAGTAAAATGAAATGCTGTAGGAGGAAGCTAGAAGATTTAGGGAGAAATTTGAAGCTGTTAAGAAAGAATCTGAAGTTGAGCAAATGTTTGTGTGTTTCTCTCTCTCTCTGTTTTCCACTCTTAAATGCTGTCTTTGTATTTTCTCATGTGAATGATGTGGCAAGACAGGCTGAGAAGGCATCGCACTTATACGTTTATGGGCAATCAGGATGGGTCTCAGGGAAGACAGAACATACTTTATACACAGACTCTTATCTGAAATTTTGGAAAGTGAGATAAAAATAATGCCAATTTTGGCCGGGCACAGTGGCTCATGCCTGTAATCCCAGCACTTTGGGAGGCCGAGGCAAGCGGACCACCTGAGGTCAGGAGTTCGAGACCAGCCTGACCAACATGGAGAAACCCCGTCTCTACTAAAGAACACAAAAAATTAGCTGGGTGTGATGGTGCATGCCTGTAATCTCAGCTACTCAGGAGTCTGAGGCAGGAGAATCCCCAGAACCTGGGAGGCAGACGTTGCAGTGAGCTGAGATCGTGCCATTGCACTCCAGCCTGGGAAACAAGAGCGAAACTTGTCTCAAAAACAAACAAACAAACAAACAAAAACAGCCAGTTTTTCTTTCAAGCATGAGTGGTAAGAGAAAAATGAAACAAGTATTATAACTGCTTAAATTTCTTTATTTTAGGCTTAAAGCTGAGGGGGCTCACAGGTGGTCACAAAAATTGGACTAAGACGGCAAAGTGCATTATAAGATGTGTAATTATATTTTTCCTATTTTTAGTGGTATAAAATGCATAATATAGGTATCTAAATCTAAAGCTAATGAATGTTTATATTCATATACATCTGTGTGATCACACTCAGATTTAGATCTAGATCATTTCCATCACATCTGAGTGTTCTCTCATATCCTGTGTCATTCAATACCTTTGCCCAAGGGTAACAGCTATTCTGACTCCTATCACCACTGATTTGTTAGTTTCACCAGCCCTTAAATTTCATGTATATGGGGATACATGGTACATATAATTTGGTATTTAGTTTCTTTTATACACTTCGACCTGTAATTTTTTTAATTATTTTAAGCATCTGTTAGTCATTTTAGAATATAAACAGTTAGCTCTCATCCATGGGCCCCAACTAATCTCACTAAAATCAGTGTTCATGTTTTTAAGGATAGGTAAACATAATCCAAATCTGAGTCTTGAAGTATATAATGATTATAATTCTTTTCTATTTATATTTCCCTTGGAGATAATGTTTACCTACATTTTTCATTTGCTTTGCTTTCCATGTGCCTGTCACTAATTTGTTTCCAAACTTTCCCTACTAAGTGTCAAGTTTCTCCTAAAACATTTAGACCTGGGATATAACAGGAGTTTCATCTTCTTGGAGCTATTTTCCCTGGAGACATCAGTTCTGCCCCAGTCTTGTCAGGTATTAATACAGACCATGAACTTGTCCAGCAGGTGCTCTCTGTAAATATCAGTTGAAGTCCTGATATACTAGAACAGAAGAAGGAGAAAATGATACGGGAAGAAAAAAAAGGAATGTCAGGAGAAGAAAATGAAGGCCAGATATAAAAGGAAAGAAATGAAGGAAATAAGGAAGGGGGAAATAAAAAAGGAAGGGAAGAGAAGAGAATGAAGGAAGTAAACCATAAAAATCTCATCCTGGTGAATCTTATTTCATCATTGCTGCATTTATCCTCCCATTTTGTAATAAGATATGGGGAACTCATGACACAAAGAGTATTATGCCCTGCAAGAAATATTCAATATTGACTTTGTTTCTTACTCCTACCTCAGCCCAAAAACAGATATAACATTAATTGAGATACCACCTTGCTATGCGTGAAATACAGTGCATATATTGTACTCATTAATATTAGAACATATTTATTTTTATTTTCAACTTGTATTTTATGTTCTGGGTTACATGTGCAGGATCTGCAGGTTTGTTACATAGGGAAATGTGTGCCATGGTGTTTGTTGCACTGATCAAACCATCTTCTAAGTATTAAGCCCAGGATACATTAGCTATTCTTCCTGATGCTCTCTCCGCTGATAGGCCCCAGTGTGTGTTGTTCTCCCTCCTGTGTCCGTGTGTTTTTGTCATTCAGCTCACACTTATAAGTAAGAACATGCAGTGTTCAGTTTTCTGTTCCTGTGACAGTTTGCTGAGGATAATGGCTTCCAGCTCCATCCATGTTCTTGCAAAGGACATGTTCTCATTCTTTTTTACGGCTGCAGAGTATTCCATGGTGTATATGCACAACATTTCCTTTATCCAGTCTATCATTTATGGGCATTTGGGTTGATTCCATGTCTTTGCTATTGTGAAGAGTGCTGCAATGAATATATGCGTTCATGTATCTTTATAAGGGAATTATTTATATTCCTCTGGGTATACACTCAGTAATGGGCTTCTGGGTAAAATGGTATTTCTGCTTCTAGATCTTTGAGGAATCGCCACACTGTCTTCCACAATGGTTGAACTAACTTACATTCCCAACAGTGTAAAAGCGTTTCTTTTTCTCTGCATCCTTGCCAGCATCTATTGTTTCTTGACATTTTAATAATTGCCATTCTTACTGGCATGAGATGGTATCTCACTGTGGTTTCGATGTGCATTTCTCTAATAATCAGTGATGTTGAGCTTTTTTTCATGTACTTGTGGTCACATGAATGTCTTCTTTTGACAATTGTCTGTTCATGCTCTTTGCCTACTTTTTAATGGGATTGCCTGTTTTTTCCTGTAAATTTGTTTAAATTCATGGTAGACTCTGTATATTAGACCTTTATCAGATGGATAAATTGCAAAACTTTTTCCCCCAAATGCTCATCAATGATAGACTGGATAAAGAAAATGTGGTACATATACCCATGAATATTACGCAGCCATAAAAAGGAACCAGATCAGGTAGTTTGCAGGGACATGGATGGAGCTAGAAACCATTATTCTCAGCAAAGTAATGCAGCAACCGAAAAACAAACACCACATGTTCTTACTTATAAGTGGGAGCTGAACAACGAGAACACATGGACACAGGGAGGGGAACAACACACACTGGGGCCTATCAGGGGAGGGCAGGGGGTGGAGAGCATCAGGAAAAATAGCTAATGCATGCCAGTCTTAATACCTAGGTGATGGATTGATGGGTGCAGCAAACTACCATGGCACACATTTACCTATGTAACAAACCTGCATATCTGGCAAATGTACCACAGAACTTAAAATAAAATGAAATAAAAAAATTTTCTCCCACTCTGTAGGTTGTCTGTTCACTCTGGTGAAAGTTTCTTTTGCTGTGCAGAAGTGGAACAGAATAGAGAACTCAGAAATATGACCGCACTCTTACAACCACCTGATCTTTGACCAACCTGACAAAAACATGCAATAGGGAAAGAATTCCTTGTTTAATAAAGGTCCTGGGAGAACTGGCTAGCCATATGCAGAAAATTGGAACTGGACCTCTTTTTTTCACCTTATATAAAAATTAACTCAAGATAGATTAAAGACTTAAATGTAAAACCCAAAACTATAAAAACCTTAGAAGACACTCTAGGTAATACCATTCAGGACACAGACACTAGCAAAGATTTCATGACAAAAACATCACAAGCAATTGCAACAACAAAAAAATGACACATGGGATGTTAAACTAAGGGACATATTTCAAATTATCCAGACAATTAGTTCCTGAGTCATAGAAATCTCAATACCCAGGTTAGCCAGTGCTATGAATGTCACAGGCTTCTCCATTTTAACATATTTCTATTGTCTTAGTTTTGTACTGCTAGGATAGTTCAGTTTGTGAATTCTAAACTCACATCAGCTATGGCTTCAGTAGCAAATTTTTATTAATGGCCCACTGCTGATCAATCCACAAACTGATAGAAAAGGGAAAAAAAAAAAACAAGTAAATGATGTGAAAAAATAAGCATTTCAAAATTACTCTTAAATTCTATCTACAAGTTGATTTTTAATTTCAAAAAGCTCTTTAACTATTTTTTTCTAACATTCTGTAGCCATTTTTAGAAATGTGTTTATATTTTGCAAAAAATTGAAGAGAAATTACCAACAGAGTAAACCAGCAGCCTAATGAATGGGAGAAAATATTCACATCTGAAAGAAGTCTAATATCCAGAATCTACAAGGAACTTAAACAAATCAATAAGCAAAAGCCCAATTAAAAAATGGGCAAAGGACATGAACAGACACTTCTTAAAAGAATAAATATAAGCAAACAACAAGCATATGAAAAAATGCTCAACATCACTAATCATCATAGAAATACAAATCAAAACCACAACGAGTTACTATCTCACATCAGTCAGAATGGCTATTATTAAAAAACAAAACAAAACAAAACAAAAAAGACAACCGATGTTGGAAAGGCTATGGAGAAAAGGGAACACTTACACACTGTTGGTGGGAATGTAAGTTAGTTCAGCCTCTGAGGAAAGCATCTTGAAGACTTCTCAAAGAACTTACAATAGAAGTACTATTTGGCCCAGCAATCCTACTATTGGGTATATACCCAAAGGAAAATAATTTATTTTGTCAAAAAGACATATGCACCTGTATATTCATTACAGCACTATTCACTATAGCAAAGACATGGAATCAGCCTTGGTGCCCAACAAAAGTAGATTGGATAAAGAAAATGTGGTACATTTACACCATAGAATACTATGCAGCCATAAAAAAGAATAAAATCATGTCCTTTGCAGCAATGTGGATGGAGCTAGAGGCCATTACACTAAGTGACAGAACTCAAGAACAGAAAACCATATACCACATGCTCTCACTTATAATTAGGAGCTAAACTTTATGTTCTCATGGACATAAAGATATAAACAATAGTCACTGGGACCACTGTATGGGAGAGGGAAGAAGGTGTGGGCTGAAGAACCATCTGTTGGGTACCATGCTTACTGCCTGGGTGATGAAATCACTGGGACCTCAAACCTCAGAATCACTCAATTTACCCATGTAGCAAACTGGCACATGTACACTTTAACCTATAATAAAAGTTGAAATTAATAATAAAGCAGAATTCTAAAATATATATATGTCCACCCAATCAAAATCATATTTTTCATAAAATTACACATAGTAAAAATAAATGGATATTTTTGAAAAAATTATTCTTACATTTATATCATTCATAAAATCTACTATAAAATATAATAAACATTGAACATGTGAAACATACCTTATGCTAATAATTTCTACTTGTATTTCTGTGCTGGTCACTAATGTTATCTACTGGTTTGTTAAATAGTTTTTGTCTTGATACATACTAATTTGGGCTAATAATTTCTTTGTCAGGACTTACATACAATCTTTTGGCCAATTCAGTTAATTAACCTGCCACCTAAGTAAAATAATGAAAGTCAGCTTATACAATGACAACTGTGGCTTTGACTATATCACACTAAATTGCATATATGACTGCTTTTATACTTTTCAATTATTCTGTCATTGTGTACAAAAAAGAGTTTGAAAAAGCCTTTTCCTAGACAGCAAAGACTGTTTATCTGTTTATAATAACAATGATGAATACCAGTGCTTTGGAAAACATCGCATTCATCTTTCAACTGTCATTTCCTAGCACGGTGCTTAATACACAGTAGGGAAACACACTTCTTTGCTGAATTAATAATTATTTTTTCAATAAAGAAAATAATTAGACCTGTACGTTTTCTGGACAGAGATGTAAATAAGAACAATTGAATTTTGTAAGAAAAAGTTAATAGATATTGTCTCCTAACAATCCTTATAATAGCATAGTCCTTTAGTTTTTCATCATTTGGGTTACTCCTTTCTACAACAGACCATACTTTGAAATATATTGGCTTTAAAAATGATGACCATTTTATTTATCTCACAAATCTTCAAATGGGGCAGGACTCCACTGGGGCATCCCATCTCTGATGATATCACTAGAGGAGGCTCAAATATACCTTGGTAGTCCACTTCCAAGGTGGTGTATCCACACAGTTGGAAAAGCACTGATTGGATTTAAGCATGCCTGTGATATTATTATTCACACTTTGAAAATACCATACCAGCTTCGGTAAAAAGAATGAATTGAAGGAAGAAATTAATACCTGCAGCCACATAAGTTAGGGCGCTGTACCTATGAAATGAATAATATTAACTTAAGCTAAGCTGATATCAGCGAAGATACAACAAAGTAAACAGATATAATGGGTATTTAGGAGGTGACATAAGCTGAAATTTTAGTGAATTGGATAAGGGGGTGAAGTAATAGATAATTTCTTCTACAATTTGATAGATGGTAGTATTATGCACTGATTAAAGAATATAGGAAAGTGACTAATTTGCAGGAAGGAGAGTGATGATCAATTTGTTTGACATCCTGCATGTAAGGTACCTAGGCACCTTTGAACTACCCATGAGTTGTTGAGTAGGCTGTCACTTAGATTTTTTTGTTCTCTGATGATCTCAAGAAAGATACACTAGCTGTAGAGGTTCCAGCAAAATAGGTATTTTCAATTTTCTGAAAACCTTTTATTTCCTGGGAAATGTATAAACCTGCCCAAGAATTTTAATATTTTGGAAATAAAATAATTTTCAAAATATAATGTTGTAAACAACATTCAGAGAAAGAAGGTAAAGAGGTAAATTAGCCTTTATTATACATGGCCATGAGTTCATCTAAGTAACAGGATTTTGACTACTATAGGAGAGAAGAAAACCCTAGATATTGGGTGACAGCGATCATGTTTTTTAAAGGGATATTTTATTTAAAATATGAAGAAGCTGATAAACTGCTTTACAGCAAAATTGTGCTTAAAATATTCAGATTTGGCAGACAGGAACAGTATCATTCTTGCTGGGAAAATGGCTCTATAAATGTTGATAAATGTTTGCTCATCCACTCTCCATTTTCAGGGGTGAATGCAGTATGCCACTCTGCTGTATAAATGCATAGGAGAAAAAAATAGTATGTGTTGGAAAGCTTTTTACATCACTTATTTCCAGTTACCCTTCTCTAAGGACACAGTATGAGATTCTGCCATTAAACTATAATAAGCGCTGTCTTATTTGATTTGGAAGATAATGAGTTTTCATCAAATTTTTGCTTATAAATCTTTTCTAGAACATATAATATTTAGCAAATAGCACCAACTGACATTTGAGTTGTGTTTTCTATCTAACTTATTTGATTCTTGGTTCTCACAGCAGTGCTACTACCTACACTGAAACTCAGAAAATAGGACCCAAGAAGGCAAAATATTTGCCCAAGGTTTGAATGCCCACTTGGTGAATTCAGACTTGGTGTGTTATTTAATATGTCACAACTGACAAAACATAGATAATCCCAATTAATGATGTTGCTTTTACTAATTTCAAAGTCAGAAGATAAGTTCATCTTTTAATTTATATTCAGTGTCTTGGAGTGTTAGTAGCAAATGCTTGGAAGATAAGTGAAGTCATATTATGAGAGTGTTTAATTCCAAGATTAATTTCTTTTTTTTTTATCCTGAAGTAAGTGGAAGCAATTGTATACTTGTAGTAAGAAAGTTAAAATAAAATTGGCACTTTAGGAAATAAGTTTGCATATGGGTGTAGATAAGTTATAATATTCATGACAATTATCTTTCAAACAGCAGTAATGTCAATAAAAAGGTTGATAGACATCACGTAAGGAAAATGAAGGACCCAATGAATAACTATATTCCTTGAATAAATATCTGAGGAAATAAACATTGATAGGGGGAAACACTTCCAGAATACTAGAATAAAGTCTCTTAAAAATCAGCTTTTAATAAAAGCAACAATAACACTGTAAAGAAAGTCAAAAACGTTTTCAGAATTCTGGAAATCAAAGGATCCAACAATATGAAGAATATTTATGTAAGATAAATGGCTGAATCTAAGTAACAAGAGCAGGCTCTATAGCACTTTGATTTGACTTAATCTCATTCCCCTCTGCTAGCTCCCTTGCAGACTTGAATACCTACAGTCCAATAAGTGCATTAGCTGTCAAAATCTGGAGCCTAGGAGCCACTGGAAGAGGCAAAAAGGGTCTGGCCTTCCACAAATATCAGATCACCAGAGAATCAACACTATTTGGTTTGCTTGTTAGCTTGCTAAAAAGCTTCACTCTTAGGGCTTATCTTTATTTGACGTGAATCAAAACTTGCTCTATGTAAACAGCCTTATTACCAGAGTGCTTATTAGAAATTGAGAAAATTCTTTCATATTTTAGCTTCCTAAGCTGTTATTATCAATTATACCTAACAAGAGGCTGACCAAAAAACTGAAAAAAAGGAAGTAAGAAATGAGATGTCCATAGTGGGTTTTATAAACCTCCAATTTATTTCTGGGAATTGGGAATGCCACACGTATGCACAGCTATGTTTGCATGCCCAGGAAAGACCCAAGAATATCCTAATCTTTCAATTCTGGCTGACTCTGAGGCTCTGGAGAAATAATAAGTTAAGTCTAAGGCAGAGTTGAAAACTGTCTACTGGAATGAAGAAAATATATCTCAAATCCACAGAGCCCCTAGGTTCTGATACATATGAGTTCAAGCCATTTAAGGAAATCTCTGTCCAATCATTAGCTGTCTATGGAGCTAATCAAACATTGACTTAAGTGACTACACATAAAAAAAAAAACACAACTTACAAAATTAGACCGGGAAGGTCAAATCAAATACACAGCAGTAGCAATGACAACAAAAATAAAAACAAAGAAAGAAATAGCAACAAGAGACTTTGAGGAGGCTGGCAGGGGAATCTAATTTCCACTGTTGTTATATCATATTATTTTAAATGTCAAATCTTGAGCAAACTATTGTTATACATGCAAAGAAACAGAAAATTATGATCCATTCACAGTGATAAAAAGTAGTCAATATAAACTGCCTCTGAGGAAGACCAGATGTCAGACTTCACAGGCAAATACTACAAATACTATGAATTAGCTATTTATAAATACATTCAAAGAATGTTAAAAAAACATCTAAAAAATTAAAGGAATATATGAGAATGATTGTTTACCAAAAAATGAGTATAAATAAAAAGATAGAAAATATAAATATAACCAAACAAATGTGAAGGTGAGAAGTACAGCAAATGAAATTTACAAATTCACTAGAGGAGTTTAAAAGCAGTTTTGAACTAGCTGAGGAAGGAATTTGTGAAAATGAAGACAAGCCAGTTGAGATTATCCAGTCTCAGAAAAAAAAAATTCAAGAAAATGAACAGCATTAGAGATCTGTACATATCATCAAGCATACCAACATTAGCATATTGAGAGGCTCATAAAGTGTCAGAAAGATTATTTGGATACAAAATGGCCACTTATTTCTCAAATTTGGTGAAAAATATTAATCTAAATATACAAGACATGGGACAAGCTCAAAGAAATGCAAACACAGACACATCATAAAAATGTTGAAAAATAAAGACAAAAACCTTGAAAGCAGCAAGAAAAAAACAACTTGTCATATACAAATAAACCCCAATAAGAATAACAGCTAATCTTCTCATCAGAATCACTGGGAGACAGAAGGAAATAGAATGGTATGTCAGGGCTCTTCAGAGAATCAGAATATATATACTTAACAAATGTATTACAAAGTATTATTTATGTAGATTAAACAGGTTTATTATATAGAAGTAACTCATGTGATTATGGAAGATGGAAACTTCAAAATTTACAGTGTGGGCTTGCAGCCTTGAGACCCAGGAGAGCTGATGGAGCCAAGTCCAAAGAAAGTCCGCTGAAGACTTTTTCTCATGCTTGAGGAGTCCAGCCTTTGTGTTATTTTCAAGACTTCAACTGATTGGATGAGGCCCATTCACATTATGGAGGGCAATCTACTTTGCTGAGATTTTATTGTTTTAAATGTTAATCTCAACCCCAAACACTCTCCAACTTGACACATAAAATTAACCATCACAAGTCCACCCTTTGTCAACTTGGCACCCATATGCCTCTTCTTAAACCATACTTGATCTCCAAAATAACAACAGTAACAAGGTTATACTTTCACTTAACATGATAAAACTATTCTGTGTACAACTGAACATGCAGGACTCCATCCCCCAAAGAGGATACAAAGTATTTGGTTGATGTTTACCCTTCTCTTTTATAGTTTATAACTGAAATACTGCAATGTAAAATTAATAATAGATAAATACTATATGAGTTCAGTACATCTTATGTTACATGATTAAGGAATAACATAGTAAAAGAAATATAATTCCTACACACATATTCACAACAAAGGTGAAATACTCATGGCAATTAGAATAATTAATTCTCTAACTGGTCACATGGTTGTAGCTGGTATTCATAACTACTTTATTCCACTATCCACCCCATATTCCCTTTGGCTTCAACAAGCACCTTAGTTAATTGTGGTTCTTTATCTGGTGCAGTGATGCACACCTTCATTCTTGAAGGGTCCAGGCCATGAGTAATCTTGTCTGGGATTGTGTTTTTGTAGTTTTCAAACTAGCTTTAATCACAGAGTGTGGTAATACTAAGATACCTTAGTTTCTGTATTCAAGACATACTTTTTGAAGGTACTTTTCTTTACCTCCATTGTCCAATTTCTCCCTGGTAGTCCAGAAAAATCATCCCAGAAAGCACAGTAATGCCCTTATTTGCCTATTAATTTGGAAGCATGAATAGTTCAAAATGGTTAGGTTGTAGTATCAACTTTCAGTTCAGTAGAATTATCATTGTGTTCCCTGGTAGTAACCTTCCTTCTTTTGGAATTAATACTGCTAGTGCACTAGAGCATAAGATTACATGAATAGGAAGCAAAATTTTTTATAGTTGGACACTAGCAAATAGTGTGTGGTGTCACTCCCATTTCCACTCCTTGATTCTTGGAATTGTGAACTCTGTCTATGGTAGAAACAGCACCATGCATTGGATGCCGATTTAGAGCATACGCAGCCTCCAAGAGAACCTTGCCTCAGTCCTGCAAGGTGTTGCCATCTAGATGGCACTGTAACTGAGTTTTCAAAAGGCTATTCCACCATTCTATAGGCAGCTGCTTCAGAATGATAGGAAACACAGTAAGACCAGTGAAACCCATTGCTACATTCCTTTTTCTGTGAAGTGAGGTCCTTGATCAGAAGTAATGCTGAGTGGAATACCAAAATGGTGGATATGACATTCTGTAAGTCCACGAATGGTTGTTTTGACAAAAGCATTTCAAGCAGAGAAGACAAATCTGTACCCAGAGTAAGTGTCTATTCTAGCAAGAACAAAACAATGCCCCTTCCAAGACGAAAGTGGTCCAATGTAATCAACCTGCCACCAGGTAGCTGGCTGATCACCCTGGGGAATGGTGCAATATGGGTGGTGGTGGGGGAAATGGGGGGGTCAGTGTTGGTCTCTGCTACTGGCAGATTAGGTACACAGAAATGGCTATAGCCAGGTCAGCCTTAGTGAGTGGGAGTCTATATTGCTGAGCCTATGCATAAACTCTATCCCTGCTGCCATGACTGCTTGTTTCACGAGCCCATGGGGCAAAGACAGAGGCAGTTACAGGAAGAGGTTGCAGGAATTCACAGAATAGGTCATCTTATCCACTTGATTGCTAAAAATCCTCCTCTGGTGTGGTCACCCTTTGGTGGGCATTGAAATAAAACACACACATCTTTATGTGTTTCACCATGCAGAGAGGCCTATCCACATAACTCTTTTCTTTTCTTGAGACATGGTCTTGCTCTGTTGCCCAGGCAGGAGTGCAGTGGTTTGACCATACCGTAGCTCACTGCAGCCTCCAACTCCCAGGTCCAAGCAATCCTCTCTGCTCAGCCTCCAAAGTAGCTGCAACTACAGGCATGTACCACCACACCTGGCTAATTTTTGTGTTTTTTGTAGAGTTAGGATCTCATCATGTTGCCTGGCTGGTCTCAAAGCCCTGGGCTTAAGCAGTCTTTTCATCTCTGCCTCCCAAAAGTGCTGGATTTACAGGCGTGAGCCACTGTGCTGTAATTATTCACATATCTCTTCCCCAGATTTTCATGTCACTAATTTTCCAGTCAAGTTCCTTTCAACTCCCTGGCCATCCAGATACACCACTGGCCACAGTTTATGATTCAGTATATAATTGCACATCTTTCCATTTGAAGGAAAAATTGCCATTTTTTCTTTGATCAAATTCCTTCAAATGAACAACCAGGTGCATTATCAAATTTCTGCTGACTGGGACAATTACATGGCTATTTTTCAGGGATGTCCCAGAAAGGGGCTGTAGTGCCGCACCTTCCACTATTATGTGGTGCTGCATATCATGGAGGACCATTTGTAAACCACACCTAAGTCTTCTCTTTCTCTGTCAACTGATCATAAGGAGCTTTCCATGAGACCACAGGTAAGGGTTAGAAGAGAAAAGGTAGTTTAGCAGAAGTGGGGGACCATGGACATTTGGGTCACTTTTTCATGTAAATTACTTGTGCCTTCAGTGACTGCTTAGGTCTGATCTTATAGATACCAATTCCATTTGATGATTAAATGCTGCTGTGCATGTCCAATTTTATGGGTTGGTAAGTCAGTAAACACCTAATTTATGATGGGCAACTTAGGACCCTTGGTAATTTGGTGGCCCATGGTCAATCTTTCAGTTTCTACAAAGGCCCAACAGCAGGCCAAAAAATATTTAACAGAAGGTGAGTAGCTATCCCCAGAGGGTCACAGGGCTTTGCTTCAAAATTTTAAATGCCTGCATGGCAGTCATCTGACAGGGAACTGCCCAAAGCTCCACACAGCATTTTTATCTGCTACTAACACTTCAGGCACCATTAGATCAGCAGAATCATGTGGCCTAAGTGACAGAACATCTTGCACAGCAGACTGGACCTGTCATAGATGCTTTTTTTGTTCTGGGCCCCACTCAAAACTAGCAGCTTTTTGGGTTACTTAGTAAGTGGCCCAGAGTAACACATCCAAATGAGAAATATGTTGCTTTCAAAATCCAAAGAGTCTCACTAGACCACAGAGGCTCACTAGAATCATGCTGTGTCTGTTTTTGGCTGTAGGAGGTGCCAGCTGCAACAACTTATCCTTCACTTTAGAAGAGATATCTCAATATGCCCCCACACCACCCCACAATGCTGGACTCCAGGAAATTTCACTGAGGTAGAAGTCCCCTGAACTTTTGTTATATTTAATTCCCACCTCTGGCAGGTAAACATAAATAAGTCTAAAATAGTTGCTACTTCTTCCTCGCTAGATTCAATCAGCATGGTGTTATCATTACATATGAGAATATGTATGATATATGTATTGGTCTGTGCAATAGATGAGTGCTATATATTGTGAAAGAGAAAGTTGATCAAGAATCTGCCAATTAATTATGGCATAGTGCTGTAGAGTTTATACAACCCTTGGGTTTAACAGCAAAGGTGTATTGTTGGATTTCCTAGCTGAAAGTAAAATGCTTCTTATCATCTTTATTAATAGGGATGAAAAATACCAACAACAATTTGCCAAGTCAATAGCTGCATACCAGGTACTAGAAGTTGTGTTATTTGCTCAAGCAATAAAACCAGATCTGGTACAGCAGCTCCAATTGGTGTTACCATCTGATTAGTTTAGATAACCCTCTGTCATTCTCCAAGATCCATCTGTCTTCCACACAGGCTATATAGGCCAGTCAAATGGGAATGTGGTGGGAATCACCACTCCTGCATCCTTCAAGTCTTTGACAGTGGCACTAATACCTGAGTGGCACTTGAATCCCTTTATATCCCTCCAGAAATACGGTGTTATTTTTGGTTTAATATTTTTCTAGAAGGAAGTTCTTGTGTCTTCCACGTGGCCTTTCCCACCATAATAGCTCTTATTCCACATGTCAGGAAAACAATGTCGGGATCCTGCAAATTGTTGAATATGTCTATTTCAAGTATGCATTCCAAAACTGAAGAAATAATCACAGAATTGATTTGGGGATCCATTAGGTCCCCTCTTTTCTGCTTAGTGGGCCCATATACATGAATTTACCTAAGGGAAAATGTTATTGATCACTTGACCTCCATAAGAACATACTCTGACTAGTGGACCACAGTGATGTTTTGGGTCTCTTGGAATTAGTGTCAGTTCAGAACCAGTGTTTAGCAGTCCCTGAAAGATCTGATTATTTTCTTTTCCCCAATGAACAGTTACCTTGCAAAAGGCCATGAGTCCTTTTGGGAAGTCTGGGAAAAATATTAACAATATAAATTTTTGACAGTGTACCAGAATCCTTTCTCAAAGGGACCCAGCTGCCACTTTATTCAAGAGATTCTGGGTCTGTAAACTAGCTCAAGTCTTGGAATTGATTGAGAGGTAGTAACACTCTGTCTTTATGATTCTGGTTAGGCTTTTGTTCACTTAACCTAGTAAGTTTCTGCTTGTACAGATCAGATAAGAATTTAATAGGCTTTCCATCTACTTTACTTTTGGTAACACAATAATCAACAAGCTAACACTGCAGGTCGGTGCAAATTATTTTGATTACTGCTTTGACTCTGCTGTTCATTATGGTAACTGTGCCCATCTTGCCTTTGGCAGCTGAGTGTTGCCACATGGCCTCCCTTACCCTGGGATCTAATTATCCTCAATGCATTTAAGCTTCCCAATTCAGTGACTACAGTTCCCACTGTAAGTTCTGTTCTACAGGAAAGAAAGACCACCGAGCACTTAAAGGATGCTGGGGCTCCCCTTACATATGTATTTCTTGCAATGGTGGTGAAATGTGTGTCTTCTAGACCTCTCAGCTTGAGTGAGTAGGTCTTAAATGGCAAATCCACTCTACCATTCCAATATCCCTAAGCCTTTGAATCTTTTCATCTATAGTAAACCCAGGCATATCTGGCATTTCTAGCTCTCTCATTCTGTGTCACTTTATGGTACATGTTTCAGCCAACCAATGAAGCATACTGTTAAGAGTTGTTTCTAACTTCTCAAGCCACAACATTAAATGTAGATTTTCTACTTAGTAGGCCCATATCCATGAATTTGGCCTGATCCAATTTTATATTCTATTATGTCACACTCATATATTCCCTGGATTTCTGTCTGTATTGATTAGATAACTTAAGTGGTTTTTTTGGAGGGGTATGTAGTGCACTTTCTCATAGGTCACACTTTGCACCTCACCTTTGAGCATCTACCAGGACTTGAATCTAGTTTTAGGTCTAGAAGCAAAGAGGGATGGTGAAGGTGGGACCTAAGGAGAATCAGCATTGTCTTACAAGGCAACTGTATCAGGGGAGGCACTTAGAGTTTCCTCAGACAATGCGGGGTTAATCCACTCAGAAGACTGAGAGGCAACTTTTATTAGAGGTAGAGAGGCTGATTTTGCTGGCAAGGAAGACTCATCAGAATTTAGAAACTCAAGGTCCCTGGGTTCACGACAGTCTTCCCACATTTCCTGGTTTTAACTTTCAAGATTCCATTCCTTCCTATCCATGCCCTTACTTTAATAGTAGCCATCTTGTGGGGCTGAGATTTCTATTTGCATTCTAATTCAGCCACTCACAAGGTGATATTCTGGGTTTGGTTTTCAGTAATCTCAGTCATATGGCTACAAGAGATATGGGTTTCTTTTAGGGCCAATATAGAAGATTGTATCTTTGTATGGTGCTTAAGCTGGGAATTCAAGTCTCTGAACTAATTCTTCTCTATATATATTTTGTCTAGGGAAATTAGGAGCAAAGAGCCTATCTAATTATACTAGTTATTCAGGCAAAAATATTTGAAAGTTTCATGTACATGGTTGCTCAGATCCTTGTTTTAGATAAGTGTTTAATTAGGGGTATCCAATGGTAATATTCATGTATTTCTGTGGCCAGATTACACCCTTAGCTATCTGTACTCTTTACTACTGGAAGTAGGGTTATTGGGTCTTTAAATACAATCAAATTAAAAAGCCAAATTCAGAAACCTCTGAAGTAATTCAGAAAATTCATCATTAAGATTCTGTTCCTACAGAACAACTTTTAGTACCTGAATTCATCTATATTAGCCATAGTTCTACAAAGAAACAATATAACTTTGTTATAAAGAATTGGCTCACACAATTATGAAGGCTGAAAAGTCCAAAATCTTCAGTATGGGCTGGAAGGCTTGAAACCCACCCAAGAAAACTGATGGTGCAGATGGAGCTGGGAATTCAAGTCTCTGAGCTTATTCTTCTCTTTCTCTCCATTTTTTCTAGAAAAACTAGGAGCAAGGACTACTCCAAAGAGCAGTCTACTGAATAATTTTTCTCTTACTTAGTGTATTTTTCTGTTCTCATGCCGCTAATAAGGGCATACCTGAGACTGCATAATTTATTTTTAACAAAGAGGTTTTATGGACTCACAGTTCCACATGGCTGAGGAGGCCTCACAATCATAGCAGAAGGTGAAGGAGGAGCAAAGGCACATCTTACATGATGGCAGGCAAGAGAGAAGTGCCAAGCAAAAAGGGGGAAATCCCCTTATAAAACCATTAGATCTCATGAGAACTCACTCATTATTATGAGAAAAGCATGGAGGCAAGTGCACCATGATTCAACTACCTCCCACCAGATCCCTCCCATGACACGTGGGAATTATGGGAACTACAATTCAAATGAGATTTGGGTAGGGACACAGCCAAACTATATCATGTTTTCCTTGGCCCCTCCCAAATCTCATGCCCTCACATTTCAAAATACAATCATGCCCTTCCAGTAATCCCCTAAAATCTTAACTCACTCCAGCATTAACCCAAAGGTCCAAGACCAAAGTCTTATCTGAGACAAGGCAAGTCTTTTCTTCCTATGAGCCAGTAAAATCAAAAGCAAGTTAATTACTTTCCAGATACAATGAAGGTACAGGCATTGAGTAAATACACCCATGCCAAATGGGAGAAATTGACCAAAACAGAGGGGCTACAGGCCCCATGTTAAGTCCAAAATCCAGTGGGGCAGTCAAATCTTAAGGCTCCAAAATGATCTCCTTTGACCCCATGTCTCACATCAAGGTCATGCTGATGCAAGAGGTGGGTTCCCATGGTCTTAGGCAGCTCCACGTCCATGAGTTTGAAGGATACAGCCCCAATCCTAGCTGCTTTCACAGTTGGCATTGAGTGTCTGTAGCTTTTCCAGGTGTGTGGTGCAAGCTGTTGGTGGATCTACCATTCTAGCATCTGGAGGATGGTAGGCCTCTTCTCATAGCTCCATTACTCAATGCTCCAGTGGGGACTGTTTGTGGAGGCTCCATTCCACATTTCCTTTCCAAACTGCCTTAGCAGAGGTTCTCCATGAGAGCTACACCCCTAAAGCAAACTTCTGCCTGGACTTCTAGGTGTTTCCATACATCCTCTGAAATCTAGGCAGAAGTTCCCAAACCTCAATTCTTGACTTCTGCACACCCACAGGCTCAACACTACATGGAAGCTGCCAAGGCTTGGGGCTTATACCTTCTGAAGCTTTGACCTGAGCTGTACTTTGGCCTCTTTTAGCCAGAGCTAGAGTAACTGGGATGCAGGACACCAAGCCTAAGGTTGCACACAGCAGGGCTTCCCTGGTCCCAACCCAGGAAACCATTTTTTCCTCCTAGGCCTCTGGGTCTGTAATGGGAGGGGCTGCTGTGAAGGTCTCTGGCATGCCCTGGAGACATTTGCCCCATTGTCTTGATGATTAGCATCTGGCTCCTTGTTACTTACGCAAATTTCTTCAGCCAGCTTGAATTTCTCCCCAGAAAATGGATTTTTCTTTTCTACTGCATTGTCAGGCTGAAAATTTTTCAAAATTTTATGTTCTGCTTCCTCTTGAACACTTTGCTGCTTAGAAGTTTCTTTCCCCAGACACCCTAACATCTCTTTCAAGTTCAAAGTTCCACAGATTTCTGGGGCAGGGGCAAAATACTGCCAGTCTCTTTGCATAGCAAGAACGACCTTTACTCCAGTTCCCAACAAGTTCCCCATCTTCATCTGATACCACCTTGGCCTGGACCTTATTATTCATATCACTATCAGAATTTTGGTCAAAGCCATTCAACAAGTCTTTAGGAAGCTCCAAACTTTCCCACATCTTCCTGAATTCTTCTGAGCCTTCCAAAGTGTTCCAACTTCTGCCTATTACCCAGTTCCAAAGTTACTTCCACATATTCAGGTATCTTTACAGCAGTTCCCCACTACCAGGTTCCAATTTACTGCATTAGTTTGTTCTCATGCTGCTAATGAAGACATATCCAAGACTGGGTAATTTATAAAGAAAAAGATGTTTAATGGACTCACAGTTTCACATGGCTGGGGAGGCCTCACAATCGTGGCAGAAGGCAAAGGAGGAGCAACGGCACATCTTACATGGTGGCAGGCAAGAGAGAAGTGTCAAGCAAAAGGGAGAAAAGTCCCTTATTAAGCCATCATATCTCATGAGAACTCATTATCACGAGCACAGCATGAGGGAAACCACGCCCATGATTCAATTAACTCCCACTGGGTCCCTTCCATAACATGTGGGGATTATGGGAGCTACAATTCAAGATGAGATTTGGGTGGGGACAGAGTCAAACCATATCAGTTGGGGAAGTTTTCTTTGAATTCTCTTCAAGGCTTCAATTGATTGGGTGAGGCAGTCTACCCACCTTATTGAAAGTAGCCTTCTTTACCCAAAATTTCCAGATTTAAATGTTAATCTCATCCAAAAATCACCCTTAAATTTACATGTAAACTTAAATTGCTGAAAGAAGAAAAAGGTCAACAGAGAGTCTTCTATGAAGCAGAATTATATTTCCCAAATGAAGACAAAACATACGTATTCTCAGATAAACTAAACTGAGGGAATTTGCTGTTTGCAAAGTTGCCCTATAGAAAACAACAAAAGGAGTCTTTCAGGGTAAACTGTAAGGACATTAGTAACTTGAATACACACAAAAAGATACAGAGCACCAATACAAGTAACTACAGAAGTAAATACTAGAATAAAAAAAATTTTGAGACAAGGTCTGGCTCTATTGCCCAGGTTGGTGTGCAGTGACACAATCTCAGCTGACTGCAAACTCTGCCTCCCAGGCTCAAGCCATCCTCCTTCTTCAGCCTCCAGAGTAGATGGGACTATAGGTGCATGTCACCATGCCAGGCTAATTTTTGTGTTGTTGTTTTTTTTTTTTTTTGTAAAGATGAGGTTTCACCATGTTGCCCAGGATGGTCTTGAAATCATGAGCTCAAGTCATATGCTCCCTTCAGCCACCCAAAGTGTTGAGATTACAGGCATGAGCCACCATACCTGGCCCTAAGTTTTTGTATATTATTGAAATAAGGTTGGTATACATCTGAAATGGATTGTTTTAAATTAGAATTTTGATTTTAATACCCACCAAGAAATAACTCCAAAATATTAAACAAGTGTAATAAAAATATACAAGAAATACCTATTTAACACAAAAGAAGACTGTTTTGGAGGAAGATAGGAAATAAATGGCATAACTCATATACAAAACAAAGAACATAATGGCAGAGGTAAATTCTACCATATCATTAATTACATTAAATATAAATGAACTTAACACTTCGATCACATATGGATAACATTTTATATTTACTAAATAGTTAGCTCTTTTTGTACTGCCACGAAATGGTCTGCAGGAAAATGCTAAGTAAGATATTCATGTACATATGAGTGTGCACAATAAATTAAAATGTGCATTTTTGAAATAACTCATGTGCATATATGTGTATCTGTGTATTTTATAAAGATATACAAGAATTATATCTATTGTAAACCCTAGAATGAAGAGTCAAGGGCTTTACTCTATAACTTTTTGTAGTGGTTAATATTTCTACCCATGCATAGGTAGTGTATTATAATTGTATTTGTTTCTTATAAGAGAACCCATTTCATAATAATAAAATAATGAATGTTCTCAAAATGTGATAAAAAAGTAAACCTTTCTTTAATTCCCATCTAAATTATCTGCCTATTCAAAGTAGATACTTGGTTAGAGCTATTAGCCTCTACATTCCTCAGCAGCAGTTAAAAGTAAAATTTGAATAGATTATGTAATGAATATGATACTGTAATTCTGAAATGTGGCTGGTTGCAGCTCCTATAAGACACTGCAGTGATTTCAGGATCAGATGAAATGAAAATCTGGAGACAAAATTGAAGTATGAATGTCATCTATCGATGCATTTAATGTTTTTAAAAACATTATGCTTTTAAAAAACAAACCATTTATGCAGCTTACTTTCCCAGAATTAAAATTCACTTCCTAGAATTAAAATCCCAGTCTACAGCTAGGACTGCATTTTCACTTGTTGGTCTTGTTTGTAGAAAAAATAGGTCAACACTCAGTAAAAGTAAATATGAAAAATAAAGAAAGAAGACCTAAAATAATTTAAAAAATCCTTTTGAGTCCAATTTCTGTTGATAAAACTAGGAATAAGCAGCAATTAATTTCCCAACTGATGAAAACTATGGCCAAGCCTGTAGCAGTGGAAAGCTGCGCCTCACCAGTCAATAACAGCTGCTAAAAATGAAAGAGTAGGAATGAAAGAAAAACTTTCATTGTTTTACATGCTCTGAATGTCATTAAATTCACTCTTAATATTTTATTAAGCATTAAAGCTTATATATTTATGTACAATTCAAAATATTTGCTATTTTAGAAATTTAATAGCAACATAAACCTCAGGGGTACTGTATATTTTGGGGTGAGTTATTGTGATGTTAAAGCATTGTCTCTTCACAGCAGGGAGGCAGGTTGCGATCCCACTGACAAGTTTTTTCCTTTAAAACCTTCACAGTGGTATTGACTGGTCTCACCAAATTAGCCAGGCAGAGAGCTATGTCAGTCATGGTAACAGCTGAAATAAGGAGCTAAGAAGTGCCATGTCTATTCAATTCATGTGTATAATAAATGTGCCTTTGTACAAGAAAGATGATTCAATAAGATGAAATGTGGAGAAAAAAACTGCCGGAGAATAAGAAAACTGTCTACTTTGGAAACCTTAATGAATATGCCAGCAAACATTTATCTTACACTTTTCATGTTTGTGCCACATGATGCCTGAGAGTTTTGATCCCTGAAACCACACATTTTTAGTAGAATACACTTCGAACATAACCGAGATTAAGGTAGACTAGGATAACCACTCTCTCTGAAAAGGATATTAGGAATTCACTACACGCTTCATTATATTCACTTAAGTTAATCATTATGATATAATCACAGGCATTGCCATTTAATTCATTCTCTTAAAAGAGCAAGCTCTTATAAGTACATTGCTGCTGCTCCTCATGAATTAGCCTCTGCAGAGCTGTTGAATTGTCATTTGCGAGTCACTGACATTGTCATGAAGAGGGCGAGTACAACTATTGCTCTATATATTCTGCACTGTAAATTATCCATGATCAGTACCAAATGATGCTCTTTGCTTATTTAATTATTATCTTATGCAGTACAATGAGTTATGTGTTAGACTGGCTTAGTCATTTGTTTAAATTTACTAGGTGAAGAGAGTGGAATAATTAACATGATTTTATTCAAACAGATTTAATTTTACAGAACAAAAGTGTACTTCATCATTTCTCTAAGTCATTTCTTTTACTTCTCATGAATTGGTTAAATAATATTCAATAGAAAAACTATTGTGGATAATACAAAATACATCACCTCCCCCAAAAAATGCTTTTTTGAATTAAGAAGCATATTCAAAATATTATATTTGGGAAAAATTGTCAAAAAATGTAATAAGTGGACACTATTTACAAGTAATAGAAAAAGTTCACATTTTTTTCCATTTCTCAGTAGTTATACTATCTTGGCACATACCTGCACCATTGATTTTTATCTCCCTTTCTATTGAATTATGGCTTCAAGATTCAGTACACTGATAGGAAAAGATACAGATATGTTCTGCCTTCTCATATATGGGGACGTAGAATTCAGTTTACTTGGTTAACAATAAAATGGAAGATTCTTGTTTATAATTGACACATTTTAAGATATAATTATCTATGAGTTTGTGTGTATTTTCATTTTATTATAGAAATAAATCTTCGTTCAGTATTGTGTATTAGCCTAATATAATTTAAAATGTATCATTTTAACCCAAATTTTATACACATAACAACTGGCCACAATAAAACTAGATTTTACTCTAGAAGTAAGTAAGGGAAACATAGTTAAAATATAGAGTTCCTAACCCAAAATAATGGGTACCCTGAATAATCTGACTAATTTCTTTGAGACAGCATCTCAATACCATTTTACTTTTAGTAAGTGTTTTCTCGGTCCATTAACTTGAATCTAATTTTCTTGGTCCTGTGTTAGAGAGAATTCTGTTCCCTCCACCTTCAAGCTTGTCTGGTTTTTATTTGATCCTACTTAGGGTTTGGTATAGCTATCTTTGAATAAAAATGGGCAACACTTTATGATCAATGCAGCAATTGATAAAAAGCGTTAAGTCACAATTTTACCACAAATGTATAAATGTGTTAACTGGTGGAAATAATGAAATTTCATTCAAAAATCAGTAAAATATCTTACATAAATATATTTTTTTGTTATTCATCCTTTTGTGATGCATCATCAGCACTAGAGTCCAATGTCTTTGGGTTTTTAAAAGAATTTCTTGTCTAAATTTTGTTGATTTGGGGAGTAAGAATTTTTTATCTTCTTTCCAAAGTTATTAATTTAACTAGATTTATGTGTATTTTGTATAGATATATTTAAATAAGAATCCTGGGGTTGTTTATGCAAGCATATTTAATATCCTCACATTATGTGAATCCTTTACAGAGTTTGCTTCTTAAAAAAATTCAGGCAAATATTTTCCTACTGCAGAAAACAAACACATACACACACATATTTTCAGATTCTAGGATCTGATTCTAGAATTATGACAAATCTAGATTTGTCATATATTCTGTGTCCACATACTTTCTCTTCATATTTATTCTTACTACAATAAGAACACAACTTAAAATCTACTCTCTTCACAAATTCGTTTCAGTGCACAATACAGTATTGTCAACTATAGGCACCGTGTTGTACTGCAGACCTCTGGCATGATTAAAACTTGCATGCTTAAAACTTTGTACCTGTTGAACAACTTCCTGGGTCTCCCTGCTGTCATCCCTACAAACCACAGTTCTACTCTCTTTTTCTATAAGTTTGAGTATTTTAGATGCTCATAAAAGTGGAATCATGCAGTATCTGCTCTCTTGTGACTGACTTAACTTAGTGTAACATCCTGCAGATTCATTTATGTTGTTTCATATGGCAAGATTTCCTTCTTTTTAAAAGTTGAATAATATTTAATTGTATATTTACACATTTTTATGCATTCATTCATTAATGAAAGTGGAGGTTGTTTCTATATCTTAGCTATTGTGATTAATGCTGCAATTAACATAAGAGTGCGGGTATTTCTTCGAGATCCTGATATCAACTATTTTGGATATATATATAGATGAATAAAGAATCACACAAATGGGGAATCTGCCTTGAAAATTTTTAAAATATTTGAAGGTATAAAACAAATACATATAAATAAACATAAATCAGATAAGTTATAATTGATAGTAACTAGGTCACAAAAAACAAATTTAGTAGAAATCATGCTTCACAAATTTATTATGATTACTATTTTAATATTTACTAAGGATAAGTCATCATCCAGTGAAAGATACTAAGAAATATCATTTAAAGGTGTTTTATCTAACAGTATTAATAAAACTCAAAAGGAAATGAAATTCTCACTGGCAGTTTTGTCATCAAGGATTTATTCAGTCAATATTTATTTAATAGTTATAATGTGGTAGCCTCTAGGGTCTGAATCATTTTCCCCTGTACTAATGAAGTAGCCAGACTTCAACATACCCCCTGTGATCCCTGCCTGCTGGTATCCATTTTCCTATATAATGCTCAACCATATTGTCCCAGTGTTGTGCTTGGTGAATAGGATACTGCAGAAGTAATGGTATATTCAATAAACAGGTTATAATGCACTGCGGCTTCTGTCTTGAAATCATTTTCTCTTGTGCATCCTTTGCTCTAGTGGGAGACATAATATGAGCAGTCATGCATAGACCCGTGTTGCAAGGAACTAGAGCATCTTGCTAACAGCCTTGGGAGTGTGCTTGGAAGAGGATCCTCCAGACTGTCAAGGCTTCAGGTGGCCAAAGCCACAGCTGATGTCTCCTTTGCAGCCTCAAGCAAGACTGAGCCAGAATCAATCAGCTAAGCAGGTCTCAGGCCATTGACACATAGAACTTTTAAAATAATAAATGTTTGTTGTTTTAATCCGCACGTTTGTGGTAATTTGCTGTGCAACAATAAATAATGAATGCTTGGGTACCCAAAAGTGGTATGCTGCTATAACAAAAACAGGATTGGTTTTGGAACTGGAAAGAGGGCTTTGCAGCAAGGGTTGGTGAAAGACGAAAGTAATTTGAAGAAACTGCTACTTGAACCCTCCTGGACTCTGACAAGGCTGTGAGTGAGGGCGTCTAGTAAATAAGGTAAATACTACAGTAAATTGAGGGAAGGATAAGCTTTTCTATGTAACATAATTAAGTTTAGCAACACTGTTTCCTGAAATTATGTGAAAAGTAGAAAATGTCTCAAATGAACTGGGTGATGTAGATAATAAGAATGCCAACCAAAGTATTGAACTGACCATGCTCCCCGGTTTCTTCTTGCTGTTTATAAAAAAGTGCAAGAAAATAGAGCTACACTAAGGAAGAGCTAATAAAAATAAGAGAGTCATGATTAACAGTTTGGAAAATTCTCAGCATTCCCAGGTGGCAAACGATGCTAACATTAAGAATAGCTTCCAAGCAAGGATCGCATCCAGGGAATGGCCAGGAAAACAGAAGCCAAGATTGTGTCAACGGTGTGACTCTAAAATCTTTCTTTAGACCACTAAAGAACTAAAGAAGCATTCAGTCAGATAAACGGCCTGAAAAGATTAGGAGTACACCTCAGAGATTCTATCAAACAACAGTAGAGCTCATAAGCAGTTTAAGGACATGGTCCCTCAACCACCTTAGAAGGAGCTCAAGGTCTCAATGTACAAAAGGGATTATGCTGAAGAATTGTAGCCTAGTGGAAATAATTTTTAACTAGGGGAGCTTCTGCTTCCTCAACCAGAGGTGACATTTGGCAATGTCTAGAAACATTTTGGGTTATCACAATTTGGGGAGGTGCTACTATTATCTAAGGGCAGAGACCACAGATGCTGCCAAACACTTTGTAATGTGTTTACAAAAAATGCACACATACATCAAAAAATATTCAGCTCAAAACCTAAACACCAATAGTGCTGAAGTTGGGAAATCCTGTCTAATGGAGTGAATTGTAATAAGATTTTCAGGAGAATAATATACATAAATACATATTTTTTTCACAGAAATATCATAAGCTTAGACTGAAATGGAAGAAGCAGTACAAAATTTTAAAAAGGAATTTGGATTCCCAAAATTCTATAAGCAGGCAGCTGGTGAGAAAATTACTCAGTTACAAACACATGCTCCCTTTTATGAAAAAAGATGGATGAATCAAACAATACTAAAAGCCCAGAGAAGGCAGAATCATGGGGAGTTTTTCACAGGATTTAGAACACAATCAAGATAATCCCAACATTTATTCCATTGAATTTCAAAATTGCAATGGGTTAGTGACTCCTTTATGCACCTCGTTTCCTCTTTTATGAGCAGAAACCTTTAATTAGCTGTCCTATTCCGGTCTTTTCCTTGTATGTTGGATGTATTGAGGTTAGATAACTTGTCTCGGTAGTTTATTAAGTAAAGAGAGAATACTTATACAACTATACCTAGTGAAACTCCACTCAAATAGCCTCATCTCTACCTGGATCTAATTTAGATAAAAAGATCGTGAATTTTGAGCTGATCCTATAGTGGAGGCCTTGGAGGTTTTTGGAGTCTCTGAGAAAAAGTGAACTTATTTTGCATATGAGTGATATTAATGATTAGGGGACAGAGGGTGGACTGTGGCAGTCAACTTTTAAGATGACCCTGAATATTTCTACCTCTGTTTTTCACAGCCTTGTGCATTTACCTCCATGTAATATCAAGGTTGATTTGTGTATTATCTATTGTGTCATAAACTATTACCCCCATCTTTGTAGCCTATAAAAACACATAATTTTATCTTAGTGTTTCTATAGGTCAGGAAGCTTCAGGACCTACCATAAGTCTGTAATCTAAGTGTCAGTCTGGGCTGTGGGCTCATGTAAAGTCTTGACTTAGGGAAGTGCCATTTCCAAACTGACTCACATGATAAATGGCATGACTCAATCCCTCAAGGGTTGTTCAACTGAGTGTTTTAGTTCCTTCCTGGTTATTCCTCTATTTCCTTGCCATGTAGGTCTTATGTGATCGCAACAAAGTGGATTGCTAGGCTGAGAAGTTATACTAAGTAGTGGTTAACACTTCACAATAGAACACGTAGACTAGAATGACACTCCTGTCACTTACTAGCTGTGTCTTGTAGAGTAAGTTACCTAACTTCTTTATGCCTTAATTTTATAATCTGAAAAATAGTGATACTATGTGTACATACCTCAAAGAGTTGTTATGAAGATTAAAGGTGTTAATGCAGGTAAGGTGCTAACACCAGTGTAATACTCCATTCTCACACTGCTATAAAAAGCTACTTGTGACTGGGTAATTTATAAAGAAAAGAAGTTTATCTGGCTCATGATTCCTCAGGCTATACAGGAGGCAAGGCTGGGGAGGACTCATGAAACGTACAATCATGGTGGAAGGCAAAGGGGAAGCAGACATGTCTTATATGGCTGGAGCAGGAGGAAGAGAGAGGAGGGGGAGGTGCAAAACACTTTTAAACAACCAGATTTTGGGATAACTCACTCACTACCATGAGAACAGCACCAAAGGGGAAATCTGCCCCTATGATCCAATCACCTCCAACCAGGCCCCACCTCCAACATTGGGGATTACAATTTGACATGATATATGGCTAGGGACACAGACCAAATTATATCAACCAGTAACTGACGGTGATCAGTATGTAGGTGCTAACTGTTATTGCAATTAGTAAAGGAAGAGAGAATGATTAATGCAATAAATTAATTTTTTAAAAATCATACTTTGTTAATTGCGAAAAATACCACAGATTATAGACATGAATGCATGAGTTGTTATAAAATGTAAAATGGTAAACAAACTACAGTCTCAATATTCTTTCTTGTTCATCTTTCTTTCAAATCAGCAGATAATTAATTTAAGAATTTAAACCACAGAAGCGCATTATTTAAGTAATCTTCCTATTACTAGCTATTTTAAAAAGATAAAAAAGTCTTCACATCTATCATATATTCATTTATATAAAGTCTTTACTGCTTAAGTCCCAGAGCATACATCTTTCATAGTTTGACAACAGAAAACTCCTGGGAAAGAGAATATAAGTAAAATAAAGTAAAATTGTAGTTAAGTAGACAATCAAACTCATGTATCATCATAAACAAGAAAATTATCTCTAGACTGTATTATAAAACTGGTAATAGTGATTTCCTATTAAAATAATATAAAACAAATTAGGTTTTTATGTGGTGAAGCAAAGTTTTTAGATGATTAAGTTACTCATGAGATGTATATAGACTAACTCTAATGACTCACAAAATTCAGAAGCTGTTTACTTTTATTGATAATTAGCCTATTATATAATTTACTAATAACATATAATATTCAAATATTATGCTATATACCCAAAACAATTATTCTCAAATTTAATTACAGGACTAGTAACTTAAGCACAATATCTTGTACCTTGCTGAATATTATTTTAAAAACTTTGTTCTAGTATATACTCATTATCTCAAGAAAGACATTGCATATTAGTAGATACTTATTACCTAAGATAAAAGGATAATAAAATGGTCTTCTATTCTTTTGGCATTATTTTTAGGTATTTATTTTGTTAGTTATTAGCCAGAATGAAAAATGTCTAAGAGGAACAAAGCAAATCCAGAAAGAAGTAATCTACCATCAATACTTACTGTCTGAGTTTAAACTTTCTGATTTTTCCAAAGCATACCAGAAGCACATGGGCTGTTGATCTAAATTACAGGGTTTACAATAAGTCAATTTACAATTATTGCTATGATAGTGTCCTCCTCTTTTGGGTTCCCAGGATACTTATTGGTCAAAGTCTAGTTACCCTATATGAAAACACAAATTTACCTCCACTGTTGCAAGAGTCTCATAGTCTTCTTCTGACTGACATGTGGCCACCAGAAGTCCTGCATCGCTGTATACATGTTGTCACTTGGTAATCATGAGGAATTGGTTCCAGGACCTCCCTGTGGATACCAAAATCCATAAATGCTCAAGTCTCTTACTTAATGTCATATATTTGCACATAACTTACATCCTGGTGTATACTTTAAATCATCTCTAGATCATGTATAATACTGAATACAAGAAAAAATGCCTGTACATGTTCAGTACAGACACAATCATCAGTTTTATTCACCCAATATTTTTGATCTGTGGTTGGTTGGATCTGCAGATGCAGGACCCACGAATATGGAGGGCAGACGTACATATATATAAAACCTCTGTATGTATAATATGTATATTATTATATAGTATAAATAATATATTATTATGTTATATGTTACACAATTATTATAATATATAATGTGTATATTGCTTTACATTTCATTATTCATTAATTCTTTTAAAATACCAAGAACTCCTTATTTCCAAGTAGTAAAATGCTTTGCTGACTAGAATTCTGAATCTCTGCCAAGAACAAATTTTCCAAATCAAAGCTTCCCATGCTAAGTCAGGACTGTTAACTGTAAAGTATTCAAACCTATGGCACTATGTGTATGTGCATGAATGTATGGCTGGTATATAAATAAAAGTGGCATATAAATATATATAACAATTTGACATTTTCAAAGATCTTTAATGTCATTAAATTATTGATATTTCAGACAATATATCTGTAATTATATCTCAACAAATGGTTTACATTGGACTGTCATTAAGGATTAGTCTTAGTGTCTAATAGTTAATAGTAATAAATCTGATTGGTTCTCTGGAGGGTTTCATAAACTCTCCTTGGCTAACTAGTTAATTCAGAGTAAATGTAGTTGTTTTATTTTTGAAATTAGCCAGATCGACATTCTTACACAAATCTAATAATGGTATCATAAAATAATGATAAAGAACAAGAAAGTAAAAAGAATCAATACTATAATAAACAGCAATTGACAATTAAAGAACGTAGTACAAAATAGGGCATGAAACAAATCTGTTTACACAAAATCCTAGAATAATAGTTTTCAACATTTAAATTTGTTAATTATTTCAAAATGGATAAAGCCTATTAACTAGCTGTTCTCACCTTCCAATTCAAAGGATATATTAAAACTGAGAACAAATTTTTGAAGAAATACTCATAACATGGGGTTTTTTTATTTATCTTTTACTTCCAACTGACAAATAATAATTTGTCATAAATACTTATTTATGGGTACATTGTGGTGTTTTGACACATGTATACATTGTATAATAACCAAATAAGCTTCATTAGCATATCCATTACCTCCAACATTTATTTCTTTGTGCTGAAAACATTTAATACTCTCTTCTAGTTATTTTGAGATATACAATATATTATTGTTAACTATAGTCACCCTACTGTGCCATAGAAACTAATTCCTTCTATCTAACTGTTAATTTGTACCTTTTGACTGACCTCTCCCCAACACCCTCACCCACATCCTCTCCAGTCTTTGGTAACCGTTGTTATTCTACTCTCCACTTCTATGAGATCAACTTTTTTTTGATTCCACATATAAGTCATATCATGCAGTATTTATCTTTTTGTGTCTTTCAAACAACTCATAGCAAAAAAACAAATAACCCAATTTTATAAATGGCCAAAGGACCTGAATAGATATTTCTCCCAAAAGAAGTCATACAAATGACCAACAGGTATATGAAAAGGTATATGGATAAAAAGGTCTGTCCATGCTGTGGTACCTGACAAGATTTCCTTCTTCATAAAGGCTGAATAGTATTCCATTATGTATATATATCACATTTTCTTCATCTACTCTTTTGTAGATGGATATTTAGATCCCATTTCTTGGCTGTATGTGTATTAAAGATGGGAATGCAGATATCTCTTCAACATACTAATTTCATTTCCTTTGGATATGTACCCATAAGTGGGTTGCTGAATCAAATGGCAGCTCTATTTTTAATTTTTTGAGGAACATCTGTACTGTTGTCCCTAACGGCTGTACTAGTTTACAATCTCGAAAGAATGTATAAGGGTTCTCTTTTCTCCATATCGTCAACAACACTTGTTTTCTTTTGACTTTTTGAGAATAGCCATTTTAAAAGGTATGAGGTGATATCTCATTGTGGTTTTGATTTGCATTTCCCTGAGTATTAATCATACTGAGTACCTTTTCATATGCCTGGTGTCATTTGAATGACTCCTTTTTGGAGAAATGTCTATCAAGTCCTTTGGCTATTTTTAAAATTGGGTTATTTGTTTTCTTGTTGTTGAGTTGTTTGAATGCCTTAACATTTGGGGTATTAGCATCTTATCAGATGTATGGTGTCTTAGTTCATTCTGCTATAACAAAATACCACAGACTAGCCAGTTTGTAAACAATAAAAATGTATTTTTCATAGCTCTGGAGGCTGAAAAGTCCAAGATCAAAGTGTCAGCAGATTCAATTTCTGGTCAAGTCTGCTTTCTACTTCCCAGATGAAACCATGTTGGGGCATCCTTTAGAAGGGAGAATGCTGTGTTCTCACATAGCAGAAGGAAGGGAAAAACACTGTGTGAAGACTTTTTATGAGGCATTAATTCATTCATAATGTGGATCCTTTATGACTCACCACCTCACAAAGTCCCCATGTTCCAATACTGCTACATTGGAGATTGGGTTTCAACATAAATTTTGGATGTGACACAAATATTCAAACCATAGTATGTGGCTTGCATGTATTTTATTCCATTTAGTAGGTTTCCTTCATACTTTGCTTCTATTGAGGTACAAGTTTTTTGTTTTTTGTTTTTTGTTTTTTTTTTTGAGACAGTTGTCTTGCTCTGTCACCTAGGCTGGAGTGCAGTGGCACAATCAGAACTCACTGCAGCCTTGAACTCTTAGGTTCACAATAGCTGGGAGTACAGACATGCAACACCATGCCTGATAGTTTTTCATATTGATGTAAGGCCACTTATTTATTTTTACTTTTGTTGCTTATGCTTTTGGTGTCATATTCAATAAATCGTTGTGAAAACTGATGTCAAGGATATTTGTCCTAAGTTTTCTTTGTGAAGTTTTATTATTTCATGTCTTAGATGTGTCTTTAGTCAACTTTGAGTTAATTTTCTTGAGTGGTATGTCATAAGAGTCTAATTTAATTCTTCTCCACTGGAATTTACAGTTCTCTCACTAACATTTATTGAAGACGCTGTCTTTGTCCCATTGCATGTTCTTAGTGCCATTGTCACAGATCAGTTGATCCTAAAGGTGTGGATTGGTTTTTGGCACTATATTCTGTTCCATTTATGTCTATGTTTATTTTCATGCCAGTACCATGCTTTAGTTACTATAGTTTTGTAGTAGGTTTTGAGTTCAGGTAGTGTAAGATCTCCAACTTTTTTTCTTTGTGCTCAGCATTGCTTTGGCCATTAGGAGACATTTGTGTTTTCACAGAGGATGTAGGATTGCTTTTTGTGTTTCTGTGGAAAATATTATTGCAATTTTGATAGGGATTGCAGTAAATCTGCAGATAACCTTGGCTGGTATGGATATTTAACAATATTAATTCTTCCAATCCATGAACGCAGGATAACTTTCCATTTATTTGTGTCTTCTTCGATTTCTTTCATCACTGTTTTATAGCTGTCAGTGTAGAGATCTTTCATCTCCTTGATTAAATGTATTCCTGAGGTTTTTTCTAGGCTACTGTAGTTGGAATTGTTTTCTGGATTTATTTTTCAAATCATTGATTGTTAGTTTATACAAATGTTGCTTATTTTTGTTGATTTTTGTATCACGCAGCTTTACTGAATTTATTAGTTCTCACAATTTAACAGTTGTTTGGTGGATGCTTTAACATTTTCTATATATAGTATCATTTTATCTGCCAACAGAGAAAACTTAGTTTCTTTCTTTTCTATTTAGATGCCTTTTAATTCATTTTTCTGGCCTAACTGCACTATCTGGGCTTTCCAGTACTATGTCAAATAGAAGTGGTGACAGTGAGCATCCTTGTTTCGTTCCTGATCTTACGAAAAGGTTTTTAGCTTTTTTATTGTTGAGTATGTTAACTGTGAGTTTGATATATGGCCTTTATTGTGTTGAGGAACGTTACAACTGTACCTAAATTGTTGAGAGTTTTTATCATAAAAGAATGTTCAATTCTGCCAAATTTTTTTTTGCATTAATTGAATTGGTCATGTGGCTTCTGTCCTTCATTTTGTTCACATTGTATATCATATTTATTGATTTGTGTATATTAAACCATCCTTGCATCCAACAAGTAAAGACCTCTGATCATGGTAGATAATACTTTAATGTGCTATTTATTTTACTTGATAGTTTTTGTCGAGAATTTTGAATCTATGTTCATCAGGGATATTGGCCTGATGAACATAGATTAAAGATAATTTTCTTTCTTGTGGTATCCTTGTCTGACTTTGGTAGGAAAATCATAGTTTCTTCATAAAATTCGTATGGAAGTATTCCCTGTTCTTGAATTTTCTGGAGGAGCTTGAGAATTATTGGTAGTAATTCATTAAACATTTGGTGGAATTCAATCATAAAGCCAAATGGTCCCCAGCTTTTATTTGATGAGAGACTTTTCATTAATAATTCAATTTCCTTACTTATTGTTGTTCTGTTTATATTTTCTATTTATTTATGATTCAGTCTTGGTAGATTGTATGTTTCCAGGAATGTATCAATTTCTTCTAAGTTACTCAGTTTTTCAGAGTATAATATTTCAGAGTAGTCTCTTACAATTGTATCTTGTGACACTGGTGGTAGTGTCTCTTCTTTCATTTCTACTTTTATTTACTTGAGGCTTCTCATTTTTAAAATTAAGTCTACTTAAAATTTGCCAATTTTGTTTATCTTTAAAGAAAACAGAAACTCTTAGTTATGTTGCTATTGTTTTTCTAGTCACTATTTTAATTTTTTCTGCTTTGATATTTATGATCCCTTCCTTCTACTAACTTTGGGTTTAGTTTGTTATTTTTTGATCTCTTGAGGTAAAACTTTTAAGTTTATTTGACATCTTTTTTCATGTTTTGATGTAAGGACCTAGTGCTATCATCTTCCCTCCTAGGGCTGTTTTTGCTGTATCCTATGGGTTTAGTACGTTGTGTTCCCATTTTCATTTGTCTAAAAATATTTTCTGTTTTTTGATTTATTCTGTGATTTTTTTTTGTTCAGGAATATGTTTAATATCAACATATTTGTGATTTTTTCAAAATGTATCCTGTTATTGAGTTCAAGTTTAATACTATTGTGGTCAGAAAAGATACTTGATATGATTTCAATCTTCTTAAATTTCTTAAAACTGATTTTGTGGCCTAATATATGGTTCATTTTGGTGAATATTTTATACGTATTTAAGAAGAAATTTGTATTCTGCTCTTGTTGGATAAGATGGTTGGTTTATGTCTTTTAGACCAATTTGGTTTAAAGTGTAGTCCAAGTCCACAGTTTCCTTGATGGCTAATTTAGCCACTGTTAAAAGTGGGGTACTGAAATTCCCAACTATTATTGCATTATTGTCTATCTCTCCTTTGTGATCTATTAAGATTTGCTTCATATAATTAGGTACTCTGATATTGGGTGCAAATATTTTATAATTGTTATATTCTGCTAATGAATTGACTGACCCTTTATTGTTATAACATTACCCTTTATGCCTCTTTCTACCATTTTTGAATTAAAGCTTAGTTTGTCTGATAAGTATAACTACCCTAACTACCCCTATTCTTTTTGGGGTTCATTTTTATATCTATTTTATATCTATTTATTTATATCTATTTTCCAACCCTTCAGTTTTAGTCTAGCTGTGTCACTAAAGCTGAAGTGAATCATGAATCCTTCATAGGGCATATAAAATTGAGGCTTGTTTTTTGTTGTTGTTTGTTCTTACCATTTGGCCACTCTGTCTTTTGATTGAAGAATTTAAACCCTTTTATATTAAGGAAATTATTTATAGGTAAGTCCTTACTACTGCTATTTTGTTTATAGTTTTCTGGTTGTTTTGTTGATCTTTTGTTCCTTTCTTTCTATGTCTTCCTCTATGGTTTAATGATTTTCTGTAATATGTTTGATTTCTTTGTCTTTATCTTTTATCTATGTTGGATAGATTTTTGCTTTTTGGGTTACCATGAGGCTTACATAAATCATTTATATATGTAACAAGCTATTTTAGGCTGTTAAGTTTGATCATATATAAAAACTCTAAACTTTTACTCCCCAACATACATTTTATGTCACAATTTATAAATTTTTATATTGTTTATCCACTAAGAAGTTATTGCAGCTACAGTAATTTTTAATACTGTTCTACATTTTAACCTTTATACTGGAGATATACATGATTTATACACTACTATTTCAATATTAAAGTATTCTAAAATTTGACTATGTACTTACTATTACCACTGAGCTTATACTTTTATATTTTCATGTTACTAATTAGCTTCCTTTTGTTTCAGCTTGAAGATCTCCCTTTAGCATTTCTCATAAAGCAGGTCTAGTAGGGTAAACTCCCTGAGCTTTTATTGTCTAGAAAAGTCTTTATCTCTCTTTCATTTCTGAACAACAGCTATGCAGTTTGTGATATTATCGGTTGGCATGTTTTTTTTTTTTTTATTAGTACTTTGAATGTATCGTCCTTATCTGCCTTTGCACTGAAAAATTTCTGCTGAGAAATCCTCTGGTAACCTTATGGTTATTCATATATATGGAACAATCATTTTTCTCTGTTGCATTCACAATTCTTTGTCTTTAATTTTTGATAGTTTAATTATAATATGCCTCGGTGTAGTCTTCATTGGCTTGATTATGATTAGAAAAATTTTAGCTTTCTATATCTCTATATTTATATCTTTCCCCAGATTTGAAATTTTTTTAATTACTATTTTTTAAAGAAGCTTTCAATCCCTTTCTCTCTTTCTTCTGCTTCTCGAGATGTGAAAGTTAGCTTTCTTGATGCTGTCCCATATATCTCATAGGGTTTCTTTACCCCTTTTTATTTTATTTCTTCTTTCTCCTTTGATTATATATTTTCAAATAAATTGTCTTTGAATTCAAAGATTCTTTCTTCTGGTTGATTAGTTTCACTGATGACAGTCTTTATTACATTTTTCATTTAACTCATTATTTTCAGCTCTAAAATTTGTTTGGTTCTTTATTAAAAAAAAATTAACCTGTTAAATTTTTCATTTTATTCGTTTACTGTTTCCTGGATGTCATTAAATTGTTTCCCTGTGCCCTCTTAGAGTTCACTGAGCTTCCTGAAAATAATTATTTTAAACTTTTTGTGAGACAATTTGAAGGTTTCAATTTTGTGGTGGGGAGGGCGGGGTCATTCACTAGGAAATTATTGTGTTCTTTTGGTGGTATATTCCCTTAGTTTTTCATATTTTTTTGCCTTGCCTTGATGTTGCGCATATGATAGAGCAGTCACTTCTTCCAGACTTTACATACTCTTTTCAGTGGGCAAAGATCTTCCCCTATGAGTGGGCTTGAGAGTGCTGGCTGTAAGCAGTGCAGCAGTTTAGGTTCTAGTGAGGACACGGAAGCATAGTTCTTATGCAGTTCTGTCAGCTGAGGTCACTGTTGGCTAAGATTGCAGGGATCCTCAGCAGCAAAGTGTTTAGGTATCCCTGGTGGCAGCAAAGGCAGTTGAGGTTTAAAATGGCAAAGGTTGCTAGGGTGCTCCTGCTACCTTTTTCTGCCACTGGAGAAGTCATGACCAAGGGGATCCCTTTTGGCACTGAAACCAACTTCTGGGCACGTTTGCAGTGGCAGCAGCATCATCATTGTCTGCTTCATGGTGCCAGTGAAGTGGCCATGGAGCCAAGGTCTGAAGCACAGGCACATGGGGATGAACCAAGGCTCCAGAGTCTGGGTGGTGGTGGCACCAGTGCCTGGGGCACAGGTCTTCCTGTTGCTACTTTGGTAATGATGTCCAAGGCATAGTGCTTGTGGAACAACCAAGAGGTTGTGTTCTGAAACATGGGCATACCCAGAGCTACAGAAGATCTGAGGTCTCTGATGTATTCTAACTTGCAGCAGCAGTGACTTTGGTGTTCCGCAAGTGGGCACAGCATGCCAGCAGCCATGGAGCTGGGATCTGGAGTGTGGATATGCAAGAAGCTATGTGAGTATGAGTCTGAGGTCTTGAGAAACTAGCTTGCTGTGGCAGTGGCTCTGATATCAGAGATGTGAGCACTCATGGAGCACCTGTGGAGCCAGCGTGCATTGTGCAAGTGTACACAGGAATAAAGTCCTGTAACCCGGGCTCCAAGATTGAGGGTGGAGCTACACTAGAGCAGCAGTGACTTCTGTGTCTGAGGTGTGAATGCATGTGATATGACCACAGAGTGGGGTCCCAGAACACAGGCAAATGTGGAGCAGCCATGAAGCCTGGTTCTGAGGTATGGCCATGCATGGAGCAACCATGGTTTCAGGGTATGGGGGCAGTGTTGGGAAGGGTGGCAAAACAGTGTCTTCTTCATGGGAGGGTGGTGGGAAGCAACTGCATCTCTGTTTCCTGGTGGTTTGTGATGAGGATGGTTGTTGGTTACCTCAGTGGCAAAAGCTGATGATGTCCTCTATTAAGCAGACCACTGTGGACTTCAGTGGCTATCTCCATGTGGCTGATATTGATAACCTCCATACTTTTTCTTTGTTCCTAGACATTTCCACACATCTCATGTCTGCCAGTCTTTCCAGCCACCATTTCTGTGCAGTGATTCTGGGCTTTTTTGCTCCGTAATGTTGCAACCAGTTCTTAAATGGACCCTTTATTTCTCCCAAGATTATTATCGTTCATGGATAATTACATATTTGTTATTTTGGGGGCAATATGTCTTGTATTATCTACTCCACCATCTTGCTCGTTGTTTTTTTCTTTTTCTTTTAGAGATGGGGTCTCGCTCTGTCATCTAGACTGGAGTACAGTGGTGCGATCATAGCTCACTGTAACCTCAGACTCCAAGGCTCAAGGGATCCTGCCACGTCAGGCTCCTGAGTATCTTTGACTACTGGTGTGTGCTACCATCCCTGGCTAATTTATTAAACTATTATAGAAACAGAGTCTCATCATGTTGCCCACACTGGTCTTGAACTCCTGGCCTCAAGTGACTCTCCTGCCTTGGCCTCCCAAAATGCTGGGATTATAGGCATGAGCTGCTGTGCCTGGCCAGAGTTTCTAATTCTTCATATGACACACAATTTTTCTTGCTGGCATGACTACAACATCAATGACCCTTAAATCTGCCAGGCAAATGTATTGTGTTTCTTGAATCTTTTCACTTATTTACTTACATTGATGACTGCCTTATACCTTATCCTTTTTCCTCAAACCTTCATCATGTCTAACCTTATCTGCAATCTTAGTATCCATATAGCTTTCTGACTGAGAGAATAAAAAGGAAAACCAAAAGACAATTTTTAGTTTGATCACTCACCTACCCATATCAGTGTGCATGCTCTGTTTCCCCTCCTAGTACTCCAGGGCTTACACTGTTCATAGCCTTGGCCAAGACTAATCCCTCCATTTTGCAGTAAATTGTTTTTACCCTTGAATAATCGAGAACATTTCCCCCAGAAATTCTGCTTATTTTATAAAAATTATTGGTTTTTCTCTCTTCACTGGATCATCTCTATGAAAATACAATGTATTATTTTTTTCTGTATTATATTTTTCTCTTGGCCTTTGTATTAGTCCATCTTTACACTGCTAAAGACATACACAAGACTGGGTAATTTACAAAAAAAAAAAAAAAAAAAGAGGTGTAATTGTACTCACCATTCCACATGGCTGGGGAGGACTCACAATCATGGCAGAAGGGAAGGAGGAGCAAATCACATTTTACAATGGCAGCAGGAAAAAAGAGAGCTTGTGTAAAGAAACTCATGTTTTTAAAACCATCAGATCTCATGAGACTCGTTCACTCTCACGAGAACAGCACAGGAAAGACCCACCACCATAATTCTGGCACCTCCCACTGGATTCTTCCCATTACATTTGGGAATTGTGGAAGTTACAAATCAAGATGAGATTTGGGTGGGGACACAGCCAAACTATATTATTCCACCCCAAATATCATGTCCTCACATTTCAAAACCAATCATGCCTTCCAAAGAGTACGCTAAAGTCTTAAATTATTTCACCATTAACTCAAAAGTCCACAGTCCAAACTCTATCTCAGACAAAGCAAGTCCCTTCCACCTATGAGCCTATAAAATCAAAAGTAAGTTAGTTACTTCCTAGATACAATGGGAGTATAGGCATTGGGTAAATGTAGCCATTCCAAATGGGAGAAATTGGGCAAAACCAAAGGGCTATAGGTCCCATGTAAGTCTGAAACCCAGCAGGGCAGTCAAGTCTTAAAGCTTCAAAATTTTCTCCTTTGATTCCATGTCTCACAGCCAGGTCATGCTGATGCAAGTAGGAGTTCCCATGGTCTTGGATAGCTCTGCCCCATAGCTTTGCAAGGTACAGCCTCCTTCCTGGCTGCTTTCACAGACTGGCATTGAGTGTCTGTGGCTTTTCCAGTTGCATGGTGCAACCTGTCACTGGATCTACCATTCTGGGGTCTGGAGGATGGTGGCCCTCTTCTCACAGCTTCACTAGGCAGGGCCCCAGTAGAAATTCTGTGTGGGGGTTCCAACCCCACATTTCCCTACCACACTGCCCTTGCAGAGGTCCTCCATGAGAGCCCTGCCCCTGCAGCAAACTTCTTCCTGGACATTCAAGCATTTCCAAACATCCTCTGAAATCTACATTGGCCCCTTACAGCCACGGCTGGAGCAGCTGGGACACAGGGCACCAATTCCCTAGGCTGCACACAGCATGGGGATACTGGGCCTGGTGCACAAAACCACTATTTCCTCCCAGGCCTCCAGGCCTGTGATGGGATGGGCTGCCATGAAGGACTCTGACATGCCCTGGAGACATTTTCTCCATTGTTTTGGGGATTAATATTCAGCTCCTTGTTACTTACACAAATTTCTGCTGCCAATTTGAATTTCTCCTCAAAAAATAGAATTTTCTTTTCTATTGCCTTTTCAGGCTGCAAGTTTTCTGACCTTTTATGCTCTGCTTCCCTTATAAAACTGAATTCCTTTAATAGCACTAAAGTCAACTCCTGGATGCTTTGCTGCTTAGAAATTTCTTCAGCCAGATAGCCTAAATCATCTCTCTCAAGTTCAACGTTCCACACATCTCTAGGGCAGGGGCAAAACGCTGCCAGTCTCTTTGCTAAAACATAACAAGAGTCACCTTTGCTCCAGTTCTCAACAAGTTCCTCATCTCCTTCTGAGACCACCTCAGCCAGAGTTTAATTGTCCATATCATTATCAGCATTTTGGTCAAAGCCATTCAACAAGTCTCTAGGGGCTTCCAAACTTTCCCACATTTTCCGATCTTCTGAGCCCTCCAAACTGTTCCAAACTCTGCCTGTTACCCCGTTCTAAAGTTACTTCCACATTTTTGGGTAGCTTTTCAGAAGCGCCCCACTCTACTGGTAACAATTTACTGTATTCATCCATTTTTACACTGCTGATAAAGACATAGCCAAGACTGGGTAATTTACAAAAGAAGGAGGTTTAATTGGACTCACAGTTCCATGTGGCTGGGGAGGCCTCACAATCATGGCAGAAGGCAAGAAACAGAAAGTCACATTTTTCGATGGCAGCAGGTAAAAAGAGAGCTCGTGCAGATAAACTCCCGTTTTTAAAACCATCAGATCTTGTGAGACTCATTCACCATTATGAGAAGATCACAATAAAGACCCACTCCCATAATTCAGTTACCTCCCACTGGGTTCCTCCCATGACATTTAGGAATTGTGGGAGTTACAATTCAAGATGAGATTTGGGTGGGGACACAGCCGAACCATATCAGCCTTATTATTCAAGCCAGCTACAACCCAATTTTTATCTCTCCACTACTTCCAAACTCCCCATAAGTTTTATCTATACTTTTTGTTTCTAGTTCTTTGTATTTTATTCTCTATGCTATTGATCCCAAACAGGGCTTCTATATCTCTTCAGCAAAATAGTTCCAGTAAAATTCAGCAACGTTATCTTGCATTGGAGCTTAGGTGACAGTAACACCTAGCAGGAGCTGAAACTCTGATGGGCCTGTCCAGCAGAAGCAGAAGTCATCTAGATCCTAGTAAAGTGAGAAAAGGATGGGGAGAAATACCCATTTCCTTCTGCTTTCCAGTTTTCTTGCAAATGGAAAATTTCCACATATTGACCACCCCCTACTGGAGAAAACCATATTTCAATGACTTAATTCTTCGTTATGTCTTGCCTTATCTGCAACCTCCGTGTTATGCTTTCTTTTTTCTTTTTGAGACAGAGTCTCACTCTGTCACCAGGATGGAGTGCAGTATTGCGATCTCAGCTCACTGCAAACTCTGCCCTCCGGGTTCAAGCAATTCTTCCGCCTCAGCCTCCAGAGTATCTGGGACTACAGGTTTGTGCCACCACACCCAGCTAATTTTTGTATTTTTAGTAGAAACAGGGTTTCACCATGTTGGCCAGGATGGTCTCAATCTTTTGACCTCGTGATCCACCCGCCTTGGCCTCCCAAAGTGCTGGGATTACAGGCATGAACCACCATGCCCGGCCTGTGTTATGCTTCTTAATATGTAACCTGAGAGACATTGTTCTGGTGAATGGGTCAGGCCTCATGTGAAAACAGAACCTCTTTGGGTAAATGCAGCCAATCTGGGATGCACAACAATGGAAGAGTGGATCTAAATAGATACAGGCCTCAGGACATGTGAAATAGGCATTAAATTAATATCCAGTGATTCAGTAAGTCATCCAAAAATCTAAGACAGGTTGGAAAATATTATGTAATCTCTTTAATACATATTCATTCTACTAAACTGAAATTAACTGAAGATAGGGACACATTCCCTGTTTATATTTAATAAAAATAATAGACAATTATAATTATCATATATTACGTATTTATATTGTATGTATATACAGGTAATCTTCAAAAATGTTTCTAAAATAAAAAAACAAAAATTAAATTTAGCTTAGAAATAATAACTTTTTAGCATCCACCTATGCTCCACGCATGCATTATTCATAAAATGAAAATAACCAATTGAGCAGTTTTTCCAGTTTAGCACTTAGACCTTGATATCAAGTTCTTACCACTTAAATAATAAAAAAGTCAAGACAATCAAAAGTATATTTCTCTATAAGGCACAGTTTGTATATTTCTCTATAAAGCACAGTTTATTTCCTACAGGATTTAAAAGATAAATGCATAATTATCAGTCTGTTACTGAGCACAGAATAGATAAAATGTGATTTATGTCAACATAAAGGTGGGAGGGGAAACCAGAACTGTATAGGAGCAGAGTTTTGTATGCTATTGAAATTTAGCTGGAATTAATTAGAACTAGATTATTATAAGTTTGGAATGTTAAATGTAATCTACCTGGTAACAAGTATCCAGTAACAAGCAACCAGGTAGATTACCTTTAACATTTCAAACTTATAATAATCTAATTCTCATTACCAGGTAGATTACATTTAACATTCCAAACTTATAATAATCTAATTCTAATTAATACCAACTAAATTTCAATACCATACAAAACTCTGCTCCTATACAGTTCCATGTATATGTATATATATATATGTGACTGCAATAAGAAAAATTCCAAAAAAAATCATCTTTTAGTCTCAGCCTTTTTTACTTAGAGGCTAGCAATTCCTGAAGCAAGATTGATTCTTTCTCAATAGCCTGGAAGTCTCACATGGGCCCTTGTTTCTCCTCACTTGGGTAATGCGTTTAATCCTGAATCAATCACATCGATCCTGGGAACTGAGTGTTCTGAGTGGATAGGCTGACACTTATGATCAAATTTGTAGCCAAAAACTGAAATTCTACTAAATTTCAGTTTAGTAGAATGAATATGTATTAAAGAGATTACATAATATTTTCCAACCTGTCTTACATTTTCGGATGACTTACTGAATCACCAGATTTGTAGCAGAGTACATCCACTGCTGCAAATATTTATTATATACCAATAATTAAACATAAAACTGTAAGTTATAGAAAAATAAAATTTTAAGAAAAATTGAAAATTGTTACAGGGTTTTACAATTATAATGATAAAGATATGTTTGTATCTCATTAATTAATCTTTTGAAAAATTAGATTTTTAAAAATACAACATTATATTTGGTAAACATGCTGTCTCATCTCTTAATTGAGGTAACTTCATAAGATAGGGATGGGTAAATGTTAATTAACAATAATTGTATGGTGCTTAATAAACTTTAGGAGTTTATTGTATTGCTTAGTTACAGAAATAAGACATTTGTCTTTACTTTTTTAAATGGTTCCTGCTTTATGACATATTCTTTAAACAAATGCATTCTCATCACAACATCTCATTCTCCCTCACCCCTTTAGATTTAAGGAAACTCAGCCTCAGAAGGGCACTGGTTTTCTGGAAAATGTCTTGCTAAAGCAGAAAACTGAAACTGGACCCCTTCCTTACACCTTATACAAAAATTAACTCAAGATGGATTAAAGACTTAAACGTAAGACCTAAAACCATTAAAATCCTAGAAGAAAACCTAGGCAATACCATTCAGGACATAGGCATGGGCAAGGACTTCATGTCCAAAACACCAAAAGCAATGACAACAAAAGCCAAAATTGACAAATAGAATCTAATTAAACTCTTTTGCACAGAAAAAAAAAAAACTACCATCAGAGTGAACAGGCAACCTACAAAATGGGAGAAAATTTTTGCAATCCATCCATCTGACAAAGGGCTAATATCCAGAATCCACAAATAACTTAAACAAATTTACAAGAAAAAAAACCATCAAAAAGTGGGCAAAGGATATGAACAGACACTTCTCAAAAGAAGACATTTATGCAGTCAATAAACATATGAAAAAACGCTTATCATCTCTGGTCATTAGAGAAATGCAAATCAAAACCACAATGAGATACCATCTCATGCCAGTTAGAATGGTATCATTAAAAAGTCAGGAAACAACAGATGCTAGGGAGGATGTGGAGAAATAGGAACACTTTTACACTGCTGATGGGAGTGTAAATTAGTTCAACCATTGTGGAAGACAGTGTGGCAATTCCTCAAGGATCTAGAACTAGAAATACCATTTGACCCAGCAATCCCATTACTGGGTATATACCCAAAGAATTATAAATCATTCTACTATAAAGAAATATGCACATGTATGTTTATTGTGGCACTATTCACAATAGCAAAGACTTGGAACCAACCCAAATGTCCATCAATGATAGATTGGATAAAGAAAATTGGGACATATACACCATGGAATACTATGCATCCATAAAAAAGGATGAGTTCATGTCCTTGCAGGGACATGGGTGAAGCTGGAAACCATCATTCTCAACAAACTAACACAAGAACAGAAAACCAAACACCGCATGTTCTCACTCATAAGTGGGAGTTGAACAATTAGAACAAATGGACACAGGGAGGGGAACATCACCCACTGGGGCCTGTTGGGGGATAGGAGTCTAGAGGAGGGATAGTATTAGGAGAAATACCTAATGTAGGTGACGGGTTGATGGGTGCAGCAGACCACCATGGCACATGTATACCTATGTAACAAACCTGCACATTCTGCATATGTACCCCAGAACTTAAAGTATAATAAAAAAAAGTCCACTCAGTTTTTAAACACTAATTATTAAGTAAGTGAATATAATCATCGTTGTTCAAATTCAATTGGAATATCCAAAGCACAAAAAGGGAATCTACTTGCAGCTTGTTGGGGTAACAGTTTTGTTTACAAGATGACCTTCCAGATAATGCACTTAATTTGTGTTTTCAGTTTCACGGTGAGAACTTTCAAGGTCTGAAAACAGAAGTAAGTTTAGAATTTTACAAGTTGGAAGGGGAAGAGATATACAGGCAGAAATGATGTTGACATCCTCCAAATCATACTATGTTGTAATGTACTGGAGTATTGTTCAAGTTAAAGTAAGATTGCTGAGATCCTTTACACATTCCAGAAAAGGATATGCCTCTGGACATGATGCTATAATGAATGGCAAAATGCATTTGAATAACTGATGTGAAACAAAGTTTCTAAAAGGTAAATTACTAAGTTAGCAGACAGAAAGTTTTGCTCAAGGTGTTCACATATTATAAGTGCCACTGTCAGATAAATGCAAATGTAACTTTCAAGGGATAATTCTGAAAATTGTGTGACAGCTTTTAGAGGAAAACAATGATTTATCCAACACCAGAGCAGCACAATTTACTATTGGGGTATCCTAGAAGGAGTAGTTACAATATGTTGTTTTTAATTTGTTGCCTGCTTCTCCCTGGAGGATTTTGACCTAAAATATTTTCATTAAAGACGTTACACTAGTGAACTCAATTTATAAAATGACTACTTTTTAAGCCAGGTCTTTTCAAGGTCTGTATGTTTTTGGTCAGTTATCCCCAGTAGTGTTCTAGGATAATATGCAGCTTGAGAACTGATAATGCAGTCTTTTTGCTACCATATAGCCAATTACGATAAGTTAGGATGATTGAGGCTGTTAATCATAAAGGCCCTGTAGCTAGAATGATGAGCAATAGTTTTAATCTTCATAGTGTTTTTTCTGATAAATGCACATTTATCTCATACTTATTTAGCCAGCACAATAAACAGTACTCTTGTTGTATGAAAAATTGAATGCAGCTTTAAACTACTTAGCTTCTTCTCCTGAGGTAATTGACACTGTGGGAGTCTCTAGTTTGCATGCATTATCATTAGCCTGGTTATCAGGACATGGTTTGCAGGCAAACAGTTATATCCTGGGAGAAACTGAGGTATAGAAAAAATCTAATTATGGGTTGCATAGCTACTAATAGCCCACTTTGCTAGAATGCTCACTTTACTAGAATGTCTTCAAATATTTCATTAGTTGGTTGACTTTGGCAATTTCAATATCATTAGGAGCAGAACAAATTTCTCTAGCCTTTTGCTAGAGGAAAAATAAAATTGGCAAACACAAGCCCAAGGAATATTGACAAACATGCTTCATATTGACTTTTTTTAATGGTTTTTTTGCCCTTTGTCTAAAGTTTCCTGAAATTTTCTAATTCTGAAAGCCTGAAATATACAAAAAAAAAAGTTTATTTGACATCACTTCTCTCCAAACTACTGTTATAAATACTTTCCCAATCCATCACTTAAAATACAGTATACTAATTGAAGAATCCAGTTCTAGGGAATCTGTTGGGAATCTGTGTAAAACTTAAATGAACCCTCTTAAAACTTGCTTCTTCTATCTTGAACTTTTACTCCTCTTTCACTTTAACTTTCCTTTCGCTCAAACATAGAGAAAGTTGAGAGCCACTGCTCCCCACATTCAAGGACGGATGTCATTTAATTCTAATCAACACATATTTTGCATTTATCTCATTTTATTTTTTTGCAATAAGTCCTACATAAACAAGAGTGTACAAACCACATATAGAGAATCAATAAAAACCTACTTAACAGTAACATTGGTTTAAAAAAATTGTCCCAAGATCTTAGAAGACTCCTGTGTAGATTACATGTTCTTCTCTTCTCCTTAGATATAATCCGTATACTAACTTATCTGATAAAATTATCTTCATATATATATAATTCTTGAAAAAAATAGTATATTTTTTTCTGCTTTTCAAGTTTACAGGAATGGAATTATACTGGATATATTAATTTCTGAGCTACATCCGAGTTGATGCACAATGCTGTGCTTCATTCAATTTCATTGCTGTAATAATCCACTGCATAAACACATCAATTATTTTTCAGTTCTCCCAGGGCTGGCTATATAATTTGTGAAGCCCTGTTCAAAATGACAGTATGAAACCCCTAGTTCCATAGTATTAAAAAATTTAAGATGGAAACAGCAGAGCCTTAAACCAAGTAGAGGATGCCGAAGTATGGGCCCCTGAAAGTCCACACGGGTCACATGCTCATGAAGTTAATGCGGATTCCATTGTTGATTTACATGTGAATTATTATTTTTTTTAATTACCAACACAGCTGCTAAATTTCTCCTGGAATACCTGTTCCTTGGAGAGTTTCTCTAGATGCTAGAGTTTGTGTGCCAAAAGGTAGGCCCTTGAAATTTAGTAGCTAATGAAAGGTTATTTATCAAACTGCTTAGTACAAGTTACATTTTCAACACAATAGATGAGATCTCTCTAATTTCATTTAATTACCAGTCTAGGTCATTAAGATTTTAATTTCCTTATTAATAAAAAATGATTAACCTTCCTTTTACAGCATGTTGTGATGCTAATTAGGATTGGAATTTCATTGACTCCATCAATGTAAAGAAAACTGGCGTCTTGACAATATGTGTTTTCTAATCATTGAACATTGTATATATATATCTCCATTTTTCATCTTTTAAATTTATTACAATTATATTTTACAGTTTTCTATATAGAATTCTTGGAATTTTTAAAATATTTCCCCTTAGCACTTGATAACTTTCATTTAAGACTCTTCTGTAGGTTGCCTGTTCATTCTGATGATAGTTTCTTTTGTTGCACAGAAGCTCTTTAGTTTAATTAGATCTTATTTGTCAATTTTGGCTTTTGTTGCAATTTAGTTTTAGTTATTTTCAGTATAATGTTTGTTTGAATAACAGCCTGCTAAATAATAAAAAATGAAGGTTTTCTTGCTATTATCACTTTTTTCAATAATAATCTATATATGCTGCCTCTATATTCTGAATCCTCTATTTTCTGATTACACGACCTTGCAGTCTCACTTTTATTTGCTAATCTATTAAAATTTAGTTCTTCTGAGAAATAATTAAGCACCTAATACTAATGTTAGCTAAATTTGAATCTTTTAAACTTGGTTTCTCTTTGACATCTCTCCATTTTACTTTCCTTTTTAAAGCCACTTTTCCCTCATGGTAGCAGGTAACAGTGCGTATTCCTGATTTGTTTCTTTCCTTTCAACATGATTCCAGAGAGTCACCTCACCGATGAAAGCACTGTTCTTTAAATTTTGCCTTGTTTTCCTTTTTTAAAAAAAAAAATTGGTAGTTGAATTCAGTATTTCCATAGCTGTAAATATCAAATCTTACAAATAACTCTCAATTTGATGTTGAAAATGTCACTTTGTAACCTAGAATTTAGTTTTCAGGTATTTGCCAAATCCATACTTCTTACCACACAAAATGTCACACAATTTGATGATGACTAAAATCACGTTTCCCCATGCGATTCCTCGTGTAGTTAATGGTACGAGTATTGTCAAAAATGTACTGTTAAGGTACTCAGTTGTCAGGAAACAGCTTTTTGAGTGGCCCTAAGACTCTGAACTGGCTTGCAGTATCTTCCTGATTTTGTCAGTGAAGTTCTAATTTCCATCCCATGAGCAGTAGTTCATTTATTTATGATTTTATTTACGATTTTTTTTTAGTGCCTTCATAGTAGATGCATTTTTTTTTTTTTTTGAGACAGAGTTTCGCTCTTTTGCCCAGGCTGGAGTACAGTGGCATGATCTCGGCACACTGCAACCTCCACCTTCCGGTTTCAAGCGATTCTCCTGCCTCAGCCTCCCGATTTGCTCCTGTCACCATGCCCGGCTAATTTTTTTTGTATTTTTAGTAGAGACAGGGTTTCACCACATTGGCCAGGCTGGTCTCAAACTCCTGACCTTGTGATCCACCTGCCTCAGCCTTCCAAAGTGCTGGGATTACAGGCATCAGCCACCGCACCCGGCCAGTAGATGCATTTTTAAAACAAATTTTTGTAATTATTAAACATAAAATAAATTTCAAAAATAATTTCAAATCAGTCTGTATTCTCAAATTTTGTACACTCTCCCAGTCTCAGTGTCCAATTGAGAGGATGCCTCACTTCTCGGCACATACTCTCAGCATTTAGCTCTCATGTACATTTTTACATTAGTTGTCTTGTCCAACTATTATGAATAGATCGTATGAATTTAAGAATCTGAAATTTTAGCAAAACACATCATGAAAAGCAATCGCAGGTTTTACATTGTTTAGGTTGTATAATAAGACAGGAAATATTTATGGAAAGTTTCTTACATTCCAGGGACTCTGTGAGACATTTTTCATTTATTAATTTATAAAATTTTCACTCAAATTGTAATGAGTCCCTAATTATAGACAGAAAAACTGAAGTTTAAATAATTTAGGTAATTTTTCCATGATTACTCGAAGTGGCTGAGCCACTTAGTTCAGAATTTAAAGATTCAAAACCTGTGAATTTAAATATTCTTCATTGTGGCTTCGTTTCCCACATTAAAAAATGCATGGCGTAAGGCCATAGCTTTATCTAATTCAATAAAACAGTTAAAAAGAAATATTGTCCAGACAGCTGTGAAACCAGATTCCCTCAGTTTGTGAATCCCAAAAGAACTCCCCAATACTGACTGAAGTAGCTTTGAGCACAAAAATTCCAGGCTATGAATCTCGATATAAAACTCAACTTCTTTGTTTGTTTCTAAAACATGTATTTAATATTTATATCCCATATGGTTTCCCGCTTGTATCTAAAATCTGCCATAATCTTTTTATTACCCTTTCACTAGTGTTCTATTTGGGAATAAGTGAGTCATAGCTAGATTATTTGAATAGCAGCAATATTTTTAATTACTATATACTTTTTATCATTGATAGTAAAGGATTAGCTATTTTAATAATGAATTAAAATTTGTGCCCAAAATAGAATACTGTTTATTATTTGCAATGATAAGATAAAAGATGCATATTAAAAGATTGATAATCTCCAAATACCAAAATAATAGAGAAGATGAAAGCAGAAATTTTATTATTTTATATATCAAAAAAAAGAGGAAATAACAAGGAGCAAATCAAATTTGAAAGCATATAAACAGAATAAATAAATAAAGTCAATGATTTCTTTTTATTTTGACTTAAACATGCTAATGTAGGCTATACTATTATTATTTATCACTATCTCTTCCTCTTTCTGTGAGAAAATTATGCTTACCTGTCTTATTGACTGACCTCAAGATTGGTCATGTTCCTGGACCAAACTGAGGGTTGGGCTGCTAATTCTAGCAGCCCAATAATGAGATGCAGATGAACTGGGGAGGAAGAGAGTTTTTATTTCTGCAGCTGGTTACAGGGAGAAGGTCTGGAAAATATCACCAGACAAACTCAAAATTACAAAGTTTTCCAGAGCTTATATACCTTCTAAGCTATACGTCTACATGTAAGTGTGCATTAATTTAAAGGCATAAGTGATTAACTTCTCATGTATAACTAAGGTCTCAGTCCTGAAGACCTTCGTCTGGAGTCTCAGTAAATTTACTTAATCTAAATGGGTCCAGGTGCTGGGTGATTACCCTTATCTTGTTTCCTGCCAATTCATGGGAGTATAAGGAGTTCCTTCAGAGTATCAGTAAACTTGTTTGTGAAGGCCTAGGGAGTTTCTTCAGACTCCCAATACAACTTGTTTAATCCTAAATGGGTCCTGTTAAGAATTCCCTTATCTTGTCATGCTTCAAGGCCCAGGAAAGGCATAGGCAAAAATCTTGGTGGGCTTTTGTTACATTACAGCCTTTGTATAATGGCACTGGCTCTCTCTGCTTTTAATATTTAACTTAGCCACTCAGTCAGTACTAAAACAATTGTTATGGAGGCCTGCATTAGTGAGACCTGGCCTGCCACAAAGTGACTTGCTTTACCATTGAAAGGTAAGCAATACTGGTATGTCGAAGCCGACTTAGGAGTCAGCAGATGGCCGGCCATGTTTTCTTTTCCTTCTTCCACTCAGAAGGGTAATGTTCGTGAAGTATGGCTGATCTGCATCCTGGATGAAGGTGATATGAACAGAACCACACTGCCCCATTATGGACATTTTGAGACAGCCACCTGGGAGAGGGTCCCGGGAGAATCTCTAACCTCGGGAAGTTCGCACCCTTTGCAGCAAAGAGGAGCCTGGCCCCTCCTCTTCCAGGGCGGAACCTCGGATTTGAACGGCGGGCAGAAGCCCTTTAGCAGACGGGCAGAGGGACTTTGGCCTTATGAGAGCCCCTGTTTCCCCTTTGTTTTTCCCCTTTGCACCCAATAAAACCCTCCTTTACTCACCCTTTAAGCGGTCTGCGAGCCTGAATTTTTGTGGCCGTGGGGCGGACAAGAACCCCGTCTTTAGCTGAACTAAGGTAAAGTCCTGCAACATTTTTCGTACTCAACGTGGGGGCTCCAGAAGCAGTGAGTGAAATGGGGACTGAAAACCTCTCACTGTTGTTACTAAGCCTTTTGATTCTCAGACGTCTGAGGGTGGGGAAACCATGCCCCCACCTGTGTAGCTCCCGGGCATTTTCATGGCTTTTTCCTTCCTTTTTCTGGGACGGGACCAGTGAGCAGAAGCTCCCAGTCGTTTCCCGCTCTCTGCTCGCGCGGGACGCACGGCCCAATGGTCCGATACAGCCAGCTGGCTGGTTCCCAGCCACTCAGGGCTGCCCCAGGCCTCCCCTTTTCTGGCCAAAGGGTTTAACTCTATCGGACAGTAATTAAGCTTAAACTTGTCTCTCTGGTGGATGAACCACTTTCAGAAGAATAAGAGGTTCTTCCCCAGGCACTTTTCCTTTCCCTTCTCTACCTCATCAACGAGTTAACTTTTAAAATATTTGTTTTTCTTTTAGAAGATGTTTTACTAGGCTAGCGCCCCCGACCCCCAAACACTCCCAACTATCGCGGTATTCTCTGCAAACTTTTGGTTGTGAAATCAAGCCGCCATCTTGCTTTACATCCTGAGGGCTTGGCTGGTAACTGCTTGGCAAGGCTTTGTTTAGCAATCTTGCCTGAAGTGATGAGCCCTGAGGTTCCATATGCTAGCCCTGTCTCTTGAAGCACCCCACCCAGCGGCTGGGTTTTCTTCTGCCTGTGTGTATACTGTGTGTGATGTCTACAAAAAGAGCTCTAATTAATTTGGCCTAAAGAAAGACAAGTGCCTGGATCAAATATTTTTTTAAGGGAAGGTAAAAGCTGTGGTACCTTTCAGTTCACATGACTTTAATCTTTAAGAAATAAAAACAGCCCTAAAAGGGACAGGATTATTTGACATGTTTAGGTGCCTGGGATTGCCAAAGCAGGTCAGAGGCAAGGTTTGCTAAGTGTTTTGAGGTTATAAACTGCGTTTTGGGTTTTGAGAACCATTTGACTTGCTGGCTTCACAACTGGTAAGGCCTGGGGACATATGGAACTAACCATACCCTTAATTAAGAAGGCAACCTTGGATGCACTTAGCACTCAATTAAAGCAACTTACAAAGTTTTACCTTAAAGTTAAAAATTGCTAGGAGTTAATTGAAACTACTGGAAGTAAATTTACATGCAAGGTGTGTAAGAACAGTAAAATGTGTTTTTTAGTAAAAGGTTATAGGAAGGCCTTAAAATGTAAACTTTTGCTTAGGGTTAAAGGATTGTTTAGAGTTAAATGAGATAGCTGAAGGTTCAAATAAGTGGTGGAAGAATTGTGGAAATTAATCTTGTAGAAGAGGTTCTCTGTGTGAACATATTGACTAAATTCAGAAAAGGATAGTATGTGGTTTTTCTGTAAATTGGGCATTGAAATAAAAGCATAACAAGGTTTTCCTGAGATGGTAATCTGCTCTTTGGCAAAAGTTGTAAAGGGTTATAAAAGGTTTTTGCTTCTTTAAAATTTCTGAGTCTTCATTTTGGCAAAATAAATAATTTATGGTAATCTGGAATTCTATTTCATAATATCAAGTGTTTTAAACCTCAAACATTTAACAGCCTTCTCAAAATCAAACTTCAGTTTCAAATTTGTCTTTCCTGGCACCTGGCTTTTTTAATACTTCAGAGGGCCCATGAAGTGTCCAGAAAAGAGAGGTAAACAGGATTATTTGACATGTTTAGGTGCATGGGATTGTCAAAATAATGTTCAATCTTCTTTAGGTTATATCTTGATGAATAATGCTAATATATATTCCAAAATTGTATGGGATTTCTAAAATTCTAATGTCTCAGTGTATGCTATCACAATTAAGGTTGCTATGTTAAGTTATTGTAAACCACAGAGAAAACCAAAGTTCCTTGTCAATTGTGTTTCTAACTGTAACTACCCTGGACATTTTGCTATTCACAGACAATTGTTTTGTTTTAATCCCTTTCAAATATGGTTTATAATGAGCTATAGAATTTTAACAGGTGCTCTCAAACACATGCTTCTGATAACTTTAGAGACTGTACATTGGAATGAAGGAAGATGTACAGGACTCATGAAGAGCTGAAATGCTCATGAATATCAAGCAAAACAAGAATGAACTAAATGGACTGAACTCAGAAAGCTGAAGCAAACTTTTTGACTTTTGCTTGGAATATTGCTGATCCTTGCTTGGTTTTTCAGAGTCAAGGAAACTTATTTTGAACTATTTACAGCCTTTAATAATTGAATAAGGTATACTATGAACAAAATTTAAAACATGTTTGTTTCTCTCTGCCTGGTTCCTCTAGAATTTGGAAACTCTGAGTATTTTTAACTTATCACAATATAGTCATTTGCTTCAGTGCAATAAGAATCTATTTTTCTTTTGCAACAGGACACAATTGGAGAAACTGGTTATTTTACCAAGGCTTTGACTGGAAGGGTATGCTTCCCTTTAAGGAGTCAATCTCAACTTGCAAAGCCAATAAAAGCCCAGTGGGGAAACTGTCCTCATACCCTTGTCTACACAGTCCCTGTACAGGGCTCCTGACCTGTGGTCAGTAAAGAATGTCACTTTCTAACACGTCTAGGAGGTCCAAGATTGTTATGGAACCTTAAGAGGAAAGAATCACTCAACTCACAGGTATCTGAGGATCAACCCATGGCTGGGCTCAGCTGTAAAAGGTCTTATCTGAGATTCCTTGAGGAAGAAAGTTCCATCAAAGCCAATCCAAAAAACCTATGTAAAAATAATTATTCTTGCTGCACTTTATGCAAATAATCAGGCCAAGTGTAAAACTAAAGTCTATTCTGCAAACCACTCAGTCCTATGATGATTTGTTTTTCAACAAACATGAGGACTGGAGAGAGAGAGATCATGTTTCAAAACTTATATTTGTCATTAAATTCTAAACTCACTAGTTGTTTTTAAATTTTTGCCTACATTTTGGACTAATCCTGCTTGTTCCTGTGAACCAACTAGCAATCTCCAGCTGCAGCTTAGAAAGAACAAGAGGGATGGGTAATGTAAAAATCTGGATCGATATCCTAGTTCTGAGCAATTATCCTGCAAATCCTGCCAGGTGATGGGAATAAATAGGATGCCCATCATGTGAAGGTTTATTTTTGGGGAAGGTAAGACCAAGAAAGCTAACCAAAGCCAAGCACCGTGCACCCAAATCTTGGCAAGCATAACTATAGCTACCAATTATCTGGGTGTGTCACAAGACATCCTTTCCCTTCCCTTGTTGAAGGAGGACTCAGTTCCACAGTTTTAACTTCGGAACTTTAACTCAGTTCCACAGTTTTAGCATTCGGCTTATGATAAGGAGTCCATGCAACCCCCAACTCCGAGACACATTTTTGTCCAGGACTCAATTCCAAGCTTTGGGTCAAAGCACTAGGCAAGAAAACTGGATCTGAGGAATCCAAAGGAAAACGATAATGGAAGTTAAAAGGCACAGCGCAGGTGTGCGTGACTGATTGATGCCAATTAAGCCGACCCCGAGCTTCCTGTTTCATGGATAAAGGCCACGTTAATATCCATGGCATAAATGAGGTCTAGGGAATTCCAAGGCTACTGACAGTCAGGGGGAGAGAAGCATAGGTGAGAGCGGGTAATCCCCTTTATCTAGGCCCTCCCTGCTTCATGAGTGCAGGCCATTTTGGCACTCATGGTGGCACCTGCCAAGGTCACCAGGACTTGGGGATGCAATGATGGAAGAGGGAAAGAGGACACTCTTCCCTCTTTCCCTCACGTACTCTGGTATCTGCTAGGAAGAGAAGGGAACCAGGGACGCCTGCTTATCTCTTTCTAGATGGGTAGCCATTCATCTTCAGTCTGTACCCCTTTCGAATGCATCTTAAACCCTTGGGACTCATTTTAAAAACTCTTGCTTTTTCCTTTCTTCTCCTCAGTTCTCTCTTCACTGATAGGTAATTGTGTCTCTGTACTACAGGACACTTCCCTCAGATGCATCCTCCAAATTAGAAAGAGTTAATTTCCCACACCTTAAACTGCTTGGCTTAGGACTGGGCTCCGGAGAAGGGAACCCAGAAGCCCAACATGCTGGCAAAAGGGTAAAGTGTTTTTTTTTGTTTTGTTTTGTTTTTTAACCAGTGGAGCTTTTGGCCTCTTTCTCTCTGTGCAATCTGGTAAAAGGCCTCCGAATTTTTGAGCTGTCCTTACCCCTCCCCTTGTTTCATTTTGATACATGTTTTCTAATAACCAGGTTTTTCTGTTCTTGCCTTCAGGCCATCAGATTCCAAACAGTCATGCAACCAGAGCCTTTGATGATGGCCCCTTCTACTGTGAACCCTTGGATAGGCTTCTGAGGGAGCTCTGAGTGCTGTTTCCCCAAAACAGTGCCTCTGTCAGCAGGAAGCAGTTAAGATCTGTCTTTGTCCTTATCCTTAATCTAACGGCAGTTACATTTAGAGGAGGGAATGAGACAACCAGGTGGGAGGGGGTCCCTGGAGAAACTCTAACCCACCTGCCCACTGTTGTGGTGCCTCAGGAAGTTCATGCCCTTCGCAGCAAGGAGGAGCCTGGCCCCACTGTTTCCTAGGTAGAACCTGGGATTTGAATGGCGGGCAGGAAGCGCTCTAGCTGAGGGACTCTGGCCTTGCAAGAGTCCCTGTTTTCCCTTTTTATTCCCCTTTTCACCCAATAAAACCGTGCTTTCCTCACCCTTTAAACCATCTGTGAGCCTAAATTTTCGTGGCCGTGGGATGGACAAGAACTCCTTCTTTAGCTGAACTGAGGAAAATTCCTGCAACAATTTGATCATGAGTTAGAAATAAACCACTGTTGTACAACATTTAGATTGTTGAATTTTTACTGACACACAATTTATTTTATCCAGAATGATAGAATGCTAGCTAGAGAAGTTTTTTATTCAGACCAGGGAATACTATCAAAAGAATATTCTATAGATAATTTTAAGAATTATATTTAATCCCCTTTGAATTCAGTTAACTCACATGTACCAGCTATTATGTGCCCAACTCTGTTAGGATGGTGATTCAGCAGAAAAAAAAGATTAAAACTTTTCTCCTCATGGAACTTACATTCTAGTGGAAGAAGAAAAGCAAACCATTACTTACATTTTATTAAGTCTTAGAACTTGATATGTATTATGGAAATAAAGCAAGAAGAGTTAATGGAGAGTTCATCTGTACAGAAGTGTGATGGTTGATTTAGGTGTCAACACGGCTGGATTAAAGGATATCCAGATAGGATATCCAGGTACAGCATTAATTATTCTCAATGTTTAAGAGGCACTGAACCCATCCTCTTCTGCTGCAAGGGAAACCCAAGTGGTTTGCTGTTTCGTAAGAATGATTGGGATGCTCCAGGTGTGTCTGTGAGGGTACGTCTGAAGGAGATTGATGTGTTAATCCGTGGGCTGAGTAGGGAAGATCTGCCTTCAATGATAGTGGGTACAATCCAAACAGCTGGGGGCCAGGATGAAACAAAAAGGTAGGCGGAGGGTAAATTTTTGCTCCCTCTCTCCCAGAGCTGCAGTGCCCTTCCTCTCTCGCCCTTTGTAAGGTACGTGGATGTGCTTTGGTCAGGCATATGCCAAGGTAAACATCCAGGCCAAAGTGACTCAGTGAGTTTGGAGTGCAGATGCATGACTCTACTTGTTATATAACCTTGTTTGTGTAACCTCTACTTGTTTGTGTAAGCTCATGCTTGGCTAGGAGCCACTGTCGTTTGTAAAAGGTATAACTGCCCTGCTGACACTGTGCACAGGGCTCTCACATGTGCCCAGAGAAAGAGAGAAAGCCAGAGTTGTCTGTCTCGCAGACAGACAGGGTGGAGCCAGGGCACGGCTCTTTCTTGTGCCTGGGGAGAGAGAGTAACGCTACTGATCCCTGTGAGGGAGACCTGGTTGCCTTGAAGGCGGGCAGGTGGGGTCCAGGAATTGGTTTGTGCCTAGAGGGAAAGAGTTAAGCTGCTGACCCTGACCTTGCAGGCCAGAGAGTGCAGCTGCAGGCATGGGGGCAGCAGGAGCCACAGAGCTGGCTGCTGGGAGGGGTGCAGCCAGAGCAGACAGCCAAGATAAAGGCGGACAGTGTGAGAGACTGCTAATGAGAGAGCTGCTGAATAAAACTACATTTCACCTCCCTAATGCCCCCTAAGTGTTCTTTCAGCTACTTGCCACCCATCTACCCACTCCCTTCGGACCTCAGTGTGGGCGTAGTTGTGATTGACACCCTTGGATGTGAGAACTCCAGCCTTTGAGCTCTGGGACTCACACCAGTGGCCCCCTAGGCTCCCAGGCCTTCAGCTTTGGACTGAAAGTTTAATATTGACTTCTTTGTTATAAGGCCTTTGGACCTGGGCTGAGCTGTGTTACCAGCTTTCCCGGTTTTCCTGCTTTGCAGACAGCCTATCATGAGACTTTTTCAGCCTCCATAATGAAGTGAGCCCATTCTCCTAATAGATTCTTTTTCATCTTTCTCTATATATAGTCTATTGTTTCTGTCTCTCAATAAAATCCTGAGTAAAACAGGAGGTTAAACTTTAAAATAAAGTACTCAGGGAATGTGTCAGTGTTAAGGTAACAATTTCGCAAAAGCTTAAATAAGGCGAAGGAGCAAGACTCGAGGGTATCTTGGTGATGAGAAGTCTAGGCAGAAAGGACAGCCTGGACAAAGATCCTGAGCTGTGAACATAACCACAGAAAGGAAAACAATGAGGCTGTACCAGAGTGAGTGAGAGGAGTCAAAGCAGGAGATGAGGTTCCAGAGGGGCAACGTTATTTAGATCATATAAGCTTTCTCATTTTGTCTTTACTGAGGGAAATTGGCAGTCACTGGAGTGTTTAAACAGAACTGCAGCAAGATGCAGTCAACATTTGCTGTTGTACTGTCAGTATTCTGAGTATAGAATCCAGCTGACCTGTTGGAAGGCTTTAGCTCTAGTCCAGGAAAGAAATGATAGTGACTTCAACAGGGTAGTAACAGAATTCTCTTTTTTTTTTTTTTGAGACAGAGTTTCGCTCTTTTTGCCCAGGCTGGAGTGCAATGGTGTGATCTTCGCTCCCTGCAACCTCCACCTCCCAGGTTCAAGCAATTCTCCTGCCGCTGGGATTACAGGTGCCTGCCACCATGACCAGCTAATTTTTTGTATTTTTAGTAGAGACGGGGTTTCACCATGTTGGTCAGGATGGTCTCGATCTCTTGACCTCGTGATCTGCCTGCCTCAGCTGCCCAAAGTGCTGGGATTACAGGCGTGAGCCACCACGCCCGGCTGGGTAGTAGCAGAATTCTTTTGGTTGAATTCTGAATATAATTTAAAGATAGAGCCAATTGGATATGATGGCTGATTAGGAAGAGAATGTGATTTAAAAGAAGGTGTTAAGGATGACTCAAATCATTGCCTTAGTGACTGGAAAATGGAATTGGTGTTAACTTAGAAAAATCTAGAGGAGTTAATGATTTTGGGGGAAGGGTGACAATCAGGAATCCATTACATTAATGGGCACATTAACTTTGAGTTGTCTCTTAGAGATCCAAGTAAGTTCTACGTATGATCTGGAGTTGATGGAAATTGACCAGGCTGCAGATAAAAATTTAGGAATCATATAGATTGCTTTTAAAGCCATAAGGTGGGGCGGGGCATTTCCAAGGAAATGAGAGTTGAGGTCTGATTTTATACTGACTTGTATTATAATTTTTGCTAAGGGAGTGAGAAAGATAGGATTATAATCAGTTTTAGAAGTCCTGTTAGGATAGAAATGTTTACTACACTTAGAGGTATAAATGTGTTGCTCGTCAGAGCCATTATCTATAATGCATGATATATTCAAAGTGAAGCAAACTATATGCAGTATGTGTTCTTTTTTTCTTATCAAGATTATGTTATCTCAGTATTTTATAGGTAAGTCAATAGACGTGGTCACTTACCTGAGTTATATTCCTTAACTCCCTCAGAGAATGATCAAAACATTAAAAAATTAGTATGCAGCAGTTTATTTATTAAAAATAAATGTATGATAAACGTAAGTAAAAATAAGAAACGTTACCAACACATTTGAAATGAGAAAAGGATTACAACTATATTTAAATACTTTGTGAATTATATTACTCTAGTTCTGGATAAAATGTTTATTGTGATGATAATGTTAAATTCTAAAAGCAATTTAAGAAAAGAAATGAGAAAATACTAACAACAATAGAAAAGTAGAAGAAATTATCAAACAATATACTCTAAATTATGGTTTTTATAGGGGAGATTTATAAAATTTTAGTTCTATTTGGTTTCTATAGGGAGAATTCAGAATATCATCAGGTAACATAATGTATACAAAACACAGAAGAAATTTATATATATATAAATTTTGGTATATATAATTTTTATATGTATATATGTATACATATATATAGAAGATAGAGCCAATTGGATATGATGACTGATTAGGAAGAATATATATATTATATATATGTGTGTATATATATGTGTGTGTATATATATGTATATGTATATATATGTATATATGTATATATGTATATATACACATATACACGTATATATGTGTATATATATGTGTATATATATACACATATATACGTGTACACATATATACGTGTATATATATATACACGTATATATGTGTATAAATATATATCCTTTTCCAAATCCACAAAAATACATCTCACTTCCTTCCAAAAATAAAAGCAAACACAAAAATATCAAGGTACAGATAGAAATAAACATACATGATAGCTTGCATAGCAACTGTTAGATGTTCCACTGAACATGAATAATTTCACAAATACCCAATATCAGATGAGGTCACTCTGTAATGCTGATGGAAAACAAATAAACAATCAAAATTTATCTGTAATCACTTCTGAGCACAAACAGAAAACACTGTCTAAGGAACAAAAAATGCCAAATAGCTCCATTTCCAGGCTTCCATGAGTGCCTACTGCTTTTTAACAAATCACAGTTTTAGTCTTGCTCTTTTGTTTTCATCCTTCTAGAAAACAGTGATTAATATACTAACCCAGATTCCCTTAAGGTTTTGCTCAGCTTGACTAAAGTTTAGACAGGCTTCTTTCTCACTATAGGTCCCTGATCTCACTTTTCTCAGAGCATTTACTTCAGAAAATTTGCTACTTTATATTCTTTTTTTGCCCCATTGAGACATAAATCTTCTCTTAGTCTCTTACCAGTGCTATAACCCTGAAGTGTCTTTCTTAAGGATCTGAGAGCAATTAAGAAAGACAGCACCCCTATCTCCCTGTCCCTGTTGGAGAGTAAAAGCCTAATTTCACTAATTAGCAAACACAGGTGGCCTAATCACCTTGACCAATTTCCTGCCTAGTGTCCTCCAGTACTTTTAGATAGATCACCTCAGCATTAAAAATAACCTTCCATCTTTTGTTTCAGTGGAATGGAGTTCTCACACTCTCTTCCAATGCAATAGTCTTAACCCAAATTGCAACGGTATCTGATAAAGTCTTTCTTGCCTGTTTAACTATGACAGATGTAAATTTTTATTTTCTGGACGATACTTAATAGTACAATTACCGCTGCTTCTTACCTGCACTCAATCCTAAAGTACCTGGTTCCTTGGATCATCCCAAAATCTTCTAATACAACCCCAAATCCTCTAAGAAGCACTTGCTAATATCCTCTTGGTAAGATGCCTGCTTTGTTAGACCACTGATTTGTTTCTGGTAAACTTGGCTGGTGAGCAGTAGGACAAATGTCACCTATAAATACAGGGGTGTGAATTCTAAATTAATCAAGGAAATATGAATCCAAAGTCATTAAAAAGTCTCCAATAAATCAAAATTAAATGTAACTTGTGGAGAAATTAAATAATAGTTCTTGACGAAACTGTTAAAATGCAATATAAACACAAACATACTCTACAATTTTTCAGGTTTCATTAAATTACCAGATAAACATAAAATTAAATGATTCTTATGCATACACATTTACAGCATCATTAGAAAATAAGGAAAAACTATTGTGTAATACTGCAAAGTGTTTAAAATCATTTTCTTACAAGGGCATGCCTTTTAAGCTGAGACTTGAAAGGCAAGTAGAAATTAGACAAGAAAAGGCCTATGAGTTTAATAAAATTTAAGTGGAAGAGCTAAATGAGTTGGGGCATAAAATTTGATGAGTCCAGGTTTACAAGAAATGCTCAGATGACTTGATGTGTGAATTCTCTCAAATATTCAAAAATCAAATAATAATAATCCTTCACCATTTATTTCAGAGAATACAGGAGAAGGGAACAATTGCATCTCATACCTTGATACCTGGACATAGACATCACAGGAACAGATAGATGAACATCAATACCCTTTATGAACATAAACATATAAGCATTAATATTATACTAGCAAACCAAATTCAAGACCATATACAAAATAATTCTATGTCAAGTACAAGTACAGTGTATCCAAGGAGTACTGGTTCTTTTACAATCTGAGAATCAATCAATGTAATAGCCATATTAATACAAAGGGCACAGAAACTAAATGCATAATAATCTTAATGCATAAAAATAGACTAAATCAAATATTCATATAAGTAAAAAAATTAACAAACTAGAAAAAGCAGAAAAATTTATTATCTGATAAATAACATTTACAAAAACCTCACAGCAAACATTATATATACTGATGAAAAACAGGATACATTCTCCCTGAGATCGAGAATAAGGAAAGAATGTCTGCTTTTACCACTTCTATTCAACAGTGTCCTGGAGACTCTACTTTGTACAATAAGGCATAAATTAATTAATTAAAACTGTCTTTATTCCCAGATAACTTGATAATATGAAGAAATATTATATCAAGGAATCCAAAAATAACTATTAGTTCCAAAAAACAAGTTTGGTAAGATTGAAAGATTCAAAATTAGTATGAAAATAAATTGTATTTCTATAACCCAGTAACAAGAAAACAGCAAAAAAATTGGGGAAGCAATTCCACTCACACTAGCTCCAAAAAGGAAAGAAAAATGCATAAATTTAACAAAAAATTGTAAGTCTACAATCAGAACCACAAAACATTGCTGAAATTAAATATTTAAATAAATGGAGAAACATTCCATGTTCCTAAACTGGAAGACACAATATTATCAAGATGACAATTTTCATATTTAATTTTAATTTTTTCCCCTTCCTACAAAAAACCAGCAGTCTCCTCAGTCTCCTTTTAAAATCTGCCAAGTTGATGCTCATATTTATATAGAAATCCAATGCACTTAGAATAGCAAAAAACAATATTGTAAAAGAAGAACAAAGCTGGAGGACTTAAACATCTTGATTTCAAAACTTACTATGAAACTATAGCAATAAATGCAGTATGTGGTACTGGCATAAAGATAGACATATACATCAGTGTAATAGAATTGAGATCCAGAAATAAACCATTGCTTTTATTGATTTTTCAACAAATGTTTCAAAATACTTAACTGTGGAAAATAGTCTTTTCAATAAATTGTGTGTTCAAGTAAATGTTTACATTAAAACAGACTGAATTTATACTTTTAACCCATACCATAATAAACAATGAAACACAGACCTAAAACATATACAAAACAATACAGGAGAAAATTTTGTGACCATAAATTAGGCTACAAGCTCTAACATATGACATCAAAAGCATGTTCCATCAAAAATGATAAATTTGAAATTATCAAAATAAATATTATTCAAAAGACTCCATTAAGAAAATGAAGACAGGCCACATTGAGGAAAAGTATTTTCATATGTCTGATAAAGAACTTAATCAGAATGTATAAAGAATTTCATAACACTAAAACTATGAAAACAACTCAGTTTTAAAATAGGAAAAATTTAAATAGATATTTTACCAAAAAAAATCAATAGCTAATAAACACGTTAAAACATTCAACATTTTTAGAGAAATGCAAATTAAACCTCCAATGAGATGTCACTATATGCCACTAAATGGCTGTAATTAGAGACAGGCAATAATGTGTTTTCAAGGATGTAGAGAAGTCAGGACCATCACATATTATTGGTGAGAATATAAAATGGTATAGTTGCTTTGGGAAACATTTTGGCAAGTTCTTAAATGTTAAACATAAATTTACCATTTGACACAACAGTTACACTACTAGGAATTTACTCAAAAGTAAAAAACCATACTCATGCAGGTATGTGCACAGTATTCGTAACAGCATTTTTATATCCAAAAACTGGAAAAAATCCAGATGACAAATAAAAAATGAATGAATGGATAAACAACTGTGGTATATCCATATAAGGAGATACTTTTCAGCAATACAAAGTAACAACTGATGCCTCCAGCTTTGTTCTTTTGCTTAGGATTGTCCAAAGCTCCTTTTGGGCATCATACTACCTGACTTTAAACTACACTATAAGACTACAGTAACAAAAACAGCATGGTACTGGTACAAAAACAGGCAAATAGACCAAAGAAACAGAATAAAGAACTCAGAAATAAAACCACACATCTACAGCCATCTGATCTTCTACAAACCTCGCAAAACAAGCAATGGGGAAAGGATTCCCTACTTAACAAATGGTGCTGAGAGAACTGGCTATCCATATGCAGAAAATGGAAACTGGACCCCTTCCCTCTACCTATACAAAAAATTAACTCAAGATGTATTAAAGACTTAAATGTAAAGCCCCAAACTATAGCAACCCTAGAAGAAAATCTAGGCAATACCATTCAGGACATTAGCATGGGCAAAGATTTTATGGTGAAATCTCCAAAAGCAATTGCAGCAAAAGAAAACATTGACAAATGGGATCTAATTAAACTAAAAAGCTTCCGCACAGCACAATAAACTGTCATCAGAGTGAATGGACAACCTAGAGAATGGGAGAAAAATTTTGCAATCTGTCTGACAAAGGTGTAACATCCAGAATCTACAAGGAACTTAAGCAAATTTACAAGAAAGAAACAACCCCATTAAAAAATGGGGAAAAAACATGAACAGACAATTTTCAAGAAAAGACATACATATGACCAATGAACATATGAAAAAAAAGCTCAACACCACTGATTATTACAGCAAGGCAAATCAAAACCACAATGAGATACCATTTCGTGCCAGTCAGAATGGCGATTATTAAAATGTCAAGAGACAAGACTATACTTTCATTTCTGTAGTTTGTTACTAGAGAAGTTTCTCTGAAGGTGTAGAGCACCAGAACACATGGACACAGGGAGGGGAATATCACACACTGGGGCCTGTAGGGGGGTGGGGCGCTAAGGGAGGGATAGCATTAGGAGAAATACCTAATGTAGGTGACAGGTTGATGGGTGCAGCAAACCACCATGGCATGTGTATACCCATGTAACAAAACTGCATATTCTGCTCGTGTACCCCAGAACTTAAAGTATAATAAAAAATAAAAATAAAAAATAGCATGCTTACAAAATTGAGACAATTTCATAAAGGTCCTCTGTCATCATTTTAGTTGACAGAATTCATTATATTTTCTTTCCTCAAAACATATCATCAAGTATGATACGGCAGGTATGCTTTTAAAAAAGGGAGGGAGAAAGGAAAAGACAGGAGGAAATAAGATTTTAAAAAGTGGAGTTGGGAGGAGAATAGAGGGGAAGAAAGAAGGATGAGAGAAGAGGACAGAAAGGGAAACAGGAAGAGGAAGAGGGTCTAAGGGGAAAAGAAGTAAAAAGCATGCCTATGAATGGTTAGTGCTGTCTTACTATACAGGATTAAAAAGATGAAGTATTGCTTCTTGGCCTTTGGCTAAGATAAAGTATAAAAGCTGAAGTAGTTGCAAAAGGGAAACAATGGTTGAAACTGTTTCTGTGCAAAATGTTTTGTTTTAAATAAAGGAGTTTAAGTTAAAATGTCAAGAGACAACAGATGCTGGCGAGATTGCGGAGAAATAGGAACGGTTCTACACTGTTGGTGGGAATGTCAATTAGTTCAACCATTGTGGAAGACAGTGTGGTGATTCCTCAAAGATTTAGAACCAGAAATACCATGTGACCCAGCAATTCCATTACCAGGTCTAAACCCAAAGGAATATAAATCATTCTGTAATGAAGATACATGCACACATATGTTCATTGCAGCACAGTTCACAATAGCAAAGACATGGAATCAACCCAAATGCCCATCAGTGATAGACTGGATAAAGAAAATGTGGTATATATACATGATGGGATACTATGCAGCCATAAACAGGAGTGAGATCATGTCCTTTGCAGGGACAAAGATGAAGCTGGAAGCCATTAACCTCAGCAAACGAACACAGGAACAGAAAACCAAACACTGCAGGTTCTTACTTATAAGTTGAACAATGAGAACACATGGAAACAGGGAGGGGAATAACACACACTGGGACCTGTTGGAGGAGTGCAACAGGGGAGGAGCATTAGGAAAAAGAGCTAATGTATGCTGGGCTTAATACCTAGGTGATGGGTTGATAGGTGGCAGCAAACCACCAAGGCACACGTTTACGTATGTGACAAACCTACACATCCTGCACATACACCTGGAACTTAGAAAATAAAATAAAATAAAATGATAAAACAATTCAAAAAAAAAAGAGCAACAACTGATACCTTCTGCAACATAGATAAACCTCAAAATTAGGCTAAGTGAAAGAAGTCAGATGCAAAAAACTATATATTGTTTAATTCAAATTATTTAAATTGTCCAAAAAAGGCAAATTTACAGTGATGGAAAGAAAGATCAAAGGCAGTATAAGGCTAAGGGTGTGTGGGAGGGTAGATGCATGATTGCCAGGCAAAGTTTTGGGGTAACTGAAGTGTTCTGACGTTGGGTTGTGGTGAAGATTGAACAATAGTACAATTTTAATAAAAACAAAGATAATAGGGGAGAAGCCGGTTCCTTTATTGAGATACCTCACTAAGGAGGTCATAATGGAGTTAGGACCTGTAGGATGGGAGGGATACAAGCTACGTGAGAGTATGGAGGCAAGGATTCAGGTTGTCAAATAACCTGGGTTAGCTTCCCAAGTAAAGACAAAGATCCTGAGAAGATTTTACAAGAGCAAAAGAAAGAAGATACCAGAGAATGCCCTTCTGATCACTGGGGGCCTCTGGTAGGGAATTTTGTCTCTAACTTATTAGGCAGCCTTTTATTATCTGCTTCTAGCAAGGGGGCTTTATAGGCATGCACATGGCCACACATTCAGAGGGGCTGGGGTTTGTTTAATTATTTGCTTTCGCCGTCTTGAAATTCTGAATACGTTTATCTTTGAACTTGGATTTTGTAAGTGAAACCCAAAGGGGTGATGGAGAATTCATGTTGGTAGAGAGAGAAGCATAATATGATGTTCTACCATTATTAATTACCACTCATTTACCTACAATGTTTTCAATGCCCCATGAGCACAGAATTCCAGTGGAACCACAATGCTTGGGAGTTCAGTGAGAGTCAAAATGAGTATTATTCAAAATAACAGAGTTATGTCTATGCCTGAACATGGAGAATGTGAATGCTGACAGCCCAACAGCCCTGAGATGGCACACTTTCTATTTGAACCACAACTTTCTTTGAATGCAGAAAGAAGGCAAAGATGTTCTAAGAAACACAAACAATAAGAAACTATATCATAAACTTTCTTATTCATGTTACTTTCCTGTATTAGCCAGTGAATTACACTGAATACGATAGAGAAGGAAAGGCAAAGATAGGACAGTCCTTTTCTCTGGGCCCTTTTATTTCATCAGTAAGCAGACTGTGGAGTGTTGGTAGTGTGTGGGCACAGCACAAAGTAAGACAGTTGAGTTAGTTTCCTGCAGCATTTTCACTCTTCTGGTAATAACAAAATACATATGCATATATGAGCTACAAAATAGAAATAGTGGAATTTCCTTGATTCCATAACTGAGTGAAATGTTCTCATATTTGCATTTTGAAACTGACATTATGCCATGTAAAGATGAACAGCAAACTTCATGGCAATAAAGTAAAACTTTAATTTTTTCATTACTTAGAATAACATTAGTTAGCAAATTAAAAATGTAACAAATTTAGAGTTTGTAGAAAATGAGAAAAAAGCTAACAATTTTGTTATCTTTATTGTCACATTTTACCATACATTACTAATAAAAAAAATCCATGATTTTTATTTTGTATTAAGCCTTGCAAACTAAATGGCTAGTTATAATTGCTGAGAGATTTTACCAAACTTACTATTCTGAGGAGGTTGGAGGTTTAAATATTCTACCTTGCCTAGATGCTATACTTTTCCCTGGTTTAGGTGTATGATCAGAGGTGAGATTTGCTTGTGTGAGTTATTATGAGACAGTGTTTAATTCCTTAGATTTATAATGTGCCTTCAACTTGAAAAGCTAAATCTGGGCTTGCAAATTTTGCCAATAAATAATTGTCATTGTCCTGTCTTTGCTGTGAAATTGACTAAGACTTTTGAGAGCAGCCTTCTGGGCAATCAAAACCAAACTGCTGCTTGCTCACTCCCACATCCCACAGTTATTTTGGTATAAGCATATATGGCAGATTTTCACTGAAAAAATACAACAATACAGTCATTCTTCAGTACGCATGAGGGATTGTTTCCATGACGCCCACACATAAAATCTGCAGATGCTCAAGTCTCATATAAAACAGTGTAATATTTGCATATAACCTATGCATATCCTCCTGCATACTTTAAATCATCTCCAGATTTCTGATAAGAACTAGTACAAGGTGAACACTATGGAAATAGTTGTATTTTCAAATTTGTATTATTTGTATTGTATTATTTTTATTGTCATATTTTTATTTTTTTCCAAATATTTTTGATTCACACTTTGTTGAATTCATGGATGTGGAACCTGCAAATGTGGAGGACCAACTGTATTGCTTGTTGAAAATTTGAGTTCATTATATTTACTAGATTAGGGATTTTGTTTGTTTGTTTCTTTTTTTTTTTCATGTCAGGGGTTATTTTCTTAATTTCTTTTCTCTTTTTTAACTTGTATTTCAGATTCAGGATGTACATGTGCAAGTTGGCTCCTGGGTATATTGTACGATGTCGAGGTCTGTGGTATAAATAATCCCATCACCGGGTACTGGGAATATTGCCCAACAGTTTTTCAACATTTACCCCCACCTCTCTTCTCCCACCACTATAGTAGTCTCTCATCTTTATGTCCATGAATAGCCAATGTTTAGCTCCCATTTATAAGTGAGAACATACTGTATTTGGTTTTCTGTTCCTGTGTTAATTTGCTTAGGAAAATGGCCTCTAACTGCATCTATGTTGCTGCAAAGATCAGCATTTCATTCATTTTTGTGGCTGCATAGTATTCCATGGTGTTTGGGCAAAAGACATGAACAGACATTTCTCAAAAGAAGACATACACATGGCCAACAGACATGTGAAAAAATGCTTATCATCACTAACTATCAGAGAAATTCTAATCAAAACCACAATGAGATACCATCTAACATCAGTCAGAGTGGCTACTATTAAAAAGTCAATATACAACAAATGTTGGTAAGGCTGTGGAGAAAAGGGAATGCTTAATTTTTTATTTATCCTACACTGTTGGTGGGAATGCAAATTGGTTCAGCCACTGTGGAAAACAATTTGGAGATTTCTCAAAGAACTTAAAATGGAACTACCATTCAACCCAGCAATCTCATTACTGGGTATATGCCCAAAGAAAACCAATCATTCTACCAAAAAGACTTGCACTCATATGTTCATCACAGCACTATTTATAATAGCAAAGATGGAATCAACCTAGGTGCACATCAATGGTGGATGAAATAAAGAAAATATGGTATGTTTACTGAATCATAGAAGTAAATTATCTTCATCACTACTGGCTACAAAATCACAGAAAACAAATAAATAAAATACAAACAGTAACAAGACCATTGACAGCATTGATCAAGCTTATAAAAATTACCTATTTGTGTCCTCTTTAAAAATTACCAAAACATCACCGGGAGCAGTGACTTATGCCTGTAATCCTAGCACTTTGGGAGGCCATGGCGGGCAGATTGCCAGAGCTCAGAAGTTTGAGACCAACCTGGGCAACATGGCAAAACGCTGTTTCTACTAGAAATACAAAAAAATTACTGGCCGTAATGGCATGTGCCTGCAGTCCCAGCTACTTGGGAGGCCAAGCACGAGAATCGCTTGAACCTGGGAGGCGGAGGTTGAAGTGAGCCAAGATCATGCCACTGCACTCCAGCCTGGGTGACAGAGCGAGACTCTGTCTCAAAAAAATAAAAAATAAAAGAAAGAAAGAAAGAAAGAAAGAAAAAATTACCACAACACTACAAGAGAAGAAAAAGTCAGGCAAAGATTTAGACAAACTCCAGCAAGAGCAAAAAATATGTATTTTTTTCTCTAAATAAATAAAAGAAGAAGTAATAACTGAAAGACAGCAGTGTGCTGAGCTACCAAAAGACATTGCTAAATTTGTACATGATATTGCAATGAAAAGGATTAGGGCAGCAATGAAATTGTCAAAGGGAACAATTTACTAGGAGTAAAACTGCTTGAGTCATAGACCATCTTGTTTAGTAATCAAAAGCACACGCAACAAAATAAAATAAAACATAAAAAACACACACTCAAAAGCATAAAGAGAGTTAAGAAGTCATGAAGCATTTGAAAATAGCAACCAGATTTAAGAATTTTTTTAAAAAAATCATAGGATTTTTAGACTTGGGAGGAACCAACCTTCTATCTTTCCAGCATTCTTACTTAATTACTTCAATTGCAGAAGATCCTAGTAATTCCGAGATCCAATACAGATGTGGTTGCTTTAATACCTCCCTCACTAACATAACCTTCCTATTTTCATTCCTTCGACAGAATTACCAGGGCCTATTACTTTAACCATTATCTTGACAAAGCCTTCTAATTTATTTATTATTTTTATTTTGTCTCCTCTGAAATGCAACTTACCAATCCTAGATAAATCCAGCTATCTGACTTCTTCATATCTGCGATAGATATTATAATGTTTAATGTATTATAAGACTGTAGAGATAAGTGCTGTAATAAATCTGTGTAACTCCAATTGTTTTCATCACTTAGATTTCTTTGTTTCCTTAGGAATTTTTCTATTTTTTTATTTTTTATTATTTTTTATTTTAATATTATATTTTATTTTTCTAATAGTTTTTTTATCTGCATCTTCTAATTTCCTGATTAAATTGTCAAAGAAAAAAAGGGGCAGAGAGTGTTAAATAGGCTAGGAAAACTTTATTTAAGCCTGTTAAAATAGAGGAGAGAATTGAAGTTAACTCTGCAGAAACAAAAGGCATGAGGGTCCCTAAGCGCTGGGATGAGATAGAGGAAAATACTGAAGAACATCAGGCAGGAGATTCGTGAATGTGATTGGGCCATCTGATTTGCTAAATGGTGTTTCCTAAAGCTAGGCTCCTACTTTTTCACAGAGAATGAGATACTGGGGCAAAGTGGTGCCTCCCAGGTTCTTGAAAAAGACTTTCCTAGTATGTAAACTGGCAAGAGGCTTGGTTCTCTTTAGAGCCAATTTTACTTAAATATTTTATCAAATCACAGTCCTCTAGTCTTAATTTCCTACTTCTACACCCACCCATAATTTTTCTCTGCATCACTTATATAAGCCTTATTTTATAATAAAAAGCAATGGCCCTTTTGTTTCCCCTATTATATTTGATATTTCAATATCATTTTGAGGCACTGAATATACCATTTGCCTTGTTATTTACTTAACTACCATAATACTGTATTTTTTTCATTCTACACTAGCAGATCAGACACTTTTTGTTTTTTTCACAGAAGGTTTTACTCTGTCTTTTCCCAAATGCTCATGTTATAAGAACCATGTCCTTAACACTTATTATTTTCTTTTCCTCTGCTTATACTCTCTAGCATGTTGCATTCATGCCTGTTATCATTCATGGGCTAATAGATTCTAACTACATATTTACTCCCATATCTTTCTCCTGAGTTTCAGACCATACATAAAAATTATCTCACTATGGACATACATGTGGCACAAAACTAACCCATTTAAAACTGAACTCATAACCTTTGTCCATTCACCCTCAAAATTATCTTTCCATTTCTCTCCATTGTTTTTTAGACGGCAACATTTATCTAACAGAAATCTGAGAGTCGAGGATTTACATCACCCTTGACTCCTTTCTCCTTCACTTATTTCACCTCAAATACCAAGACATGTAGTTTCTAAATGCTCTACTCCCTTAAATCTGTCAATTTTTCTCTATTTTGAGTATTGATTTTCTCCTTTAGGTCCATCCAGATTACTGTAATAGCCTGTCTGTATTTAAGTTTGTACCCCTCTTGGAAATTATTTACCTAGCATTATGTAATCTGGCTATTTTATTTACTTCAAAACTTTTGATACAGTGTTTCTTATTTCAAAAACTTTATGAAATAGTTAAGCAATTACTACTACTTACCACTTCAGGCAAATGCTCCTTAATCAACACGAACTTCTGTACTAGATTTGTATCTATCTTAATTGTCTTTTAGTTCTTCAGACATTAAAGGTCTCATAGCCTTGAGTTTTGATATTTTCCTTTTCTTCTGCCTGAAATACACTGTCTACTCCCTCCCTTTACCCCACCTCTCACTGGGCCTATTAGTTAGCTGTGCTGCAATGGCAAACGTTCAACAACAGATATATTTTTAACTCACTCATTTTGCATGCTGCCTTTATGGGTCAGCTACTATGACTTTACTAAAGTGTAAAGTATTTTAATCATTATTGCTTTTCCTACAACTCGACTAAAAGATTCATTTTCAGGCATTTTTGTCTTGATGGAATTTTTTGTTTTTTTGTCAGTACCTTGAAGACTATGTTAGGATCAGTATGAAATGCTGAACTTAATGAACATCTTAGTATTCAGGCTACCCTTGATGCCTATTATATAGATTTAATGTATAATACATATATATAGTAGATCTTTATTTTTATGGTTTTTTTGCATTACATGTTATAATTTTCATTAAGAAAAAGAAAAGCTGAAGGTAGATCAGCATATAAAAATCATCTCTTTTTTGCAGAATTGACAGTAGTACCTTTATTAACTTTTAAAAGATTACGGCAAGTATATTTCCTCCTAATAAGGTCAAAAGAAATCCAGAACATCTAAAATAAAGACTTGATTAAGTATGTTTTAAATTACTTCTTTTTATTATTATTTTACTGCATTCCCAAGGACACAGTGTAAAGTGAATTGAAGTGAAAAAATTTGAGTGATCAATATCATCATAACCCAAATTACTTTGAATCATTTGCTCATCTCTAACTATTATGAGCAACTTGAGTTGACATTTTCTATATCAATTAACATTATACTGAATATACTTCAATTTAATTTTCTCTAAATAACTTTTTTATATGCTACATGGAACAAGATCTTGCTATGTACCCTTCATTTCCAGTTTATATGCTTCAGTTGAAAGATAATTTGATTGCTTTTCTTTTGTGTCAGTTAGGGTCTTATTATAAGTTTTTCACATAAATATGAAACTCGAAATTGAGTTTATAATTCCCTATGTAGAATTACTTGGACTAACAATGTGATTTTTTTAGTGAATATGAATATTTACCTCTCTTACAAGACATAAAAGGAAAGGAAGCCCTGAAAGTCAAAAATGCAACTTGCAGATAACCATCCTAAGATCTCTGCACCATCCCCCAAAACTAGGTGAAAATTTTTTAGTCTCAGCCTTAATTTATTCTCTTGGAATATTCTAGTAGATGGATAAGTTATTTTTCTACATCTAGACATGCTATGTTTCAGTTGATTTCTTACAACTGGAGTGATATTTCTGACTTATAATGTGATGTTATCCCTTCATTAAAGCTATTCATGGTTTCTTATCACAAACCTGTAAGCTTTTCAGTCTCCAAATCCCTACATCATCATTCTTGCTATATTGCATTATTTGTTCTTACGTCAAAATGTCTTGATTTCTACTCCTCCACACAGCATCTTCTTTATATCAGGAATGACTTTTATATATTTTTTTGAACTGGTGATACTTTTTGTCATTTTTTATGACTCAGTCTCTTGGATTGTTACGTACCTTCTTTCATCATGAATTTTATAGCTTATCAATGTATATTTATTTTTAAAAACTACAAGGTGTTAGATAACATGTCAAGTCTTGGATAAATAATAACAGATGTGGTCACTCCAAACTTGTTATGAAATACAATAATCAAGAAATGCCTCTTATAAATATAAGTACATAACTGGTGAATAAGGCTATAAATAAGAGGAATGTGGAACCATGATACAATATAAATTAGGGAAATTATCAAGGCAGTGAGTTCAGGAAAGCCTTTCCAGGAAAATAATAATTAAACTAAAAACTAAAAGATGAGTAGGAGTTGACTATGTAAAAGAAGAAGCAGAGACCATTCCAGCAGAAGGACTAGCATATGCAGAGACCATCTGGTAGAATTTTACTTGAGAGATAAGAGATTTTGAAATTGAATAAATACAGCCAGAGGGAACAAGCGTGAAAGGCTACAGCATTTGTGAGGTTCAGACCAGTTCATGGATTTGAAGAGTTAAATGTTTATCTTAAGAATAAAGAGACACTGTTAACATATTTTAGGTAGATTAACAAATTAGGAGAGTTGCTTTTTGAATAATTTTTCGTGATGGTATTCAGATAACTAATTGTAGGACACAAAGAATGAGTCAGTGGTTTTGATTTCAAATGCTTCACACTAGAGGGGCATTTTGGAAATTTGCAAAGGCAGTTTACACAATGATTGGGGTTCGCTAGTAAAAGTTAGTGAATGAGAGGCAGCAGTGTTAGATCACAGAGCTCAGTTCTACACAGGAAAATATTGTCCTTCCAGAAATTAACATACTTTGAATAATGTGTTTTTATTTATCTAGATAAGAGCACAAGTGTATTTTACATAAAGCCAAAAGTGGTTTTTTTGTGTAGTTTTAATACACCAAATATTATATGCAAATAGTTTTGATATCATTTAATTTTACATAAATGTAACTGGTGTAAATCAAGGAAAGTTGTATTTTGCTGTATTCAAAATAAAACAAGAATTAATCATGATTGTAAAAAAATTTATTGCTGACAGGAGTAACCTAATGATGTCAATACACATGCTAATGATACACCAATAAAACATGCCTGTATAAATGTACTTTTATATCTGTTACATTTATTATAATTCTAAATACATATTAATATTCTACTTTAGTAATTATTTCACAAGGTAAAACAAGTTGAAAAGTATCAACAATACTCAATTGAACATTGAAACTGAGTTGTTTAATATTGTTAATACATTAGCAGTTACCCTGTGGCAACACAGTTTTGTTTTTCTATTGAAGCAGACATCTTCAGTATTAAAGAATTTGCCAAGGAACACTGCTAGTAAACTGAAAAAGATATTTTACAGAATAAATTTAAAGTTTGTATTAAATGTAAAGTTTGTAATATCGTCAATGTGAAGTTTATAATGTCTTTTATTTAGTACATAAAGTCCCGTTTTTGTTTTTGCTTCATAGTACAAATTATTAAAAACTAAGAAACCACACACTACCATGAAAATAATAAAACCATTCCTGTAAGAGGCTATGAGGCTGGGTCTGGTGGCTCATGCCTGTAATCCCAGCACTTTGGGAGGCCAAGGCGGGCGGATCATGAGGTCAAGAGATCGAGACCATCCTGGCCAACATGGTGAAACCCTGTCTCTACTAAAAATACAAAAACTAGCTGGGCATGGTGGCGCACGCCTGTTGTCCCAGCTACTTAGGAGGCTGAGCCAGGAGAATTGCTTGAACCCAGCTACTGGAGAATCTGAGGCAGGAGAATCACTTGAACCCGGGAGGTGGAGTTTGTGGTGAGCCGAGATCGCACCACTGCACTCCAGCCTGGTGACAGAGTGAGACTCCGTTTTTGTTTGTTTGTTTGTGTTTGTTTTGTTGTTGTTGTTTTTTAAAAAAAGAGGCTATAAGTATAAAGGAATAAAGGGCCAAAAAAATTTTTAAATAAAATTTCCACTGGCAATACCACTGTTTCAAAAAAAAAATTCATGAAGTGAAAATGTTACAAATCGTCTGTATGATTAAAAGCAATCAAGAAAAATTTCCACTGCCAGTGAGTAAAGAACAAATCCATTTGCAAATGTCTTGTTATTATATCCATCTTTTTAAAGATGTGTCTTGAAGTCACTTTTCCATATAGCTTCTGCCACATTTTTCTCCTCTCTTTGACAGATAAATTCTCTTAAAATGTTGTCCATGCTCTTTGGCTGCCCAGGACCCAGAACTTTTTTCTCTTCTCTTCTCTCTTTGTATAATTACTCATTTAGTCTTCTCATATAGCCCCATGGCTTAAAATACGTATATGTATATGTATATGTATATGTATATGTATATGTATATGTATATGTATATGTATTCAGAATCTGACCACTTCTTACTCCACTGGTACCACATTGGTCTAAGTCACCCTGACAATTTTAGTAGACTCATAATTAGTATTTCTACTTCTACCCTTGCCACCTCGATGCTATACTCTATTCTCAACACAGTAATTATCTGTAAACTAATTCCCAGACCATGTCACTCTTCTGTTCATAATCCTCTTCATCTTACTTATAGTAAAGGTCAAGCACAAGATTTTACCTGAAGCTTCAGAAATCCTCTCTGACTTCATCTGGTAGACATTCAAATTGTTACTCACATCGCTGTCTTTGAACTCAATAGGTCACCTTGAAGCTTTTGGGCTTGACTTTTTTTTCTTCCTGAGGGATCCTTCCTTTAGATACTTCCTTTAGATAATACCTCCCTTTTCTCCTTTCAAGGCTTCGGTCAGTTGCTCTGTCTGCTGTGACTCTCCTTGCATCTTCTATCTTCCTCATCTTTTTAATTTTTCTCCATAGGACATAATTTCTGAAGTGTCATGTAATTTATTTACTCTGATGGAAAGTAAGTTCAATGAAGAGAGTAAATGTATCTATTTTCTTTCTTACATTAGTTCTAGCTAACACACAATAATTGTTCTATATTTAACAAATGAATAAAAAACAATAAAGCAATTAGTGTTAAAACTAATTACTTATGTAAAGTTCTTATGGTAGGAAAAAGCATTAGGAGTAGTATCATATTCAACATTACTATCAGTAAGTAAAAATATTTGTTAATATTTATATCTTAAAATATTTCCTTAAAAAGTATTTATTTTCCATTACAGCTCAGAGAACACCAATTGTAGGCAATTCATAGCATATGTTTATAGCCAGTATTCAGAAAGAAAAAAGAAAAGAGCATCAGGCATTTTAGAAATTTCCTGTGTTGTTTATAGACCAATATTTAGGTGTCGAAAATCTCAGAGAAGAACTTTATAAATCAATAGAGTGTTTCAATGGAATTAAAAAGAATAGCTTGGTTAATAGGTCATTCCTCAACTGTGTAGTAACAAGATAAATTTAAATATATTATCCCACGTAGAAAAGGATTATCTGAAGAAAATCATTTTAATAGGCTTTATACTAGTCCGTTTTGTATGGCTATCACAGAATACCACAGAATGGATAAGTTACAAAGGACAGAAATTTACTTCTCACAGTTCTGGAGGCTGAGAACAAAATCAAGGAACAGACAGATTAAATGCTGTTCTTCTGCTTCCAAGATGGCACCTTGAACCCTGCATCTTCCATGAGGGGAGGAATGTCATGTCCTCACATGGCAGAAGAGAAGACCCACTCCTGAAAGCCCCTTTCCCTTTTTATGGCAGCATTAATCTATTAATTAAGACAGAGTCCTTGTGACCCAAACACCTCCCAAAAGGCCCCATCTCCTATCACTGTTGCACTGGAATTTAACTTTTTAACACATAAATTTTGGGGAACCCATCCAGACCATAGTGAATTTATTCCCTTTTTTGAAATATTATAAATATTTTAATAAATCAATTAAATTATATCCATTAAAATAGTAATGATTATACCCTTCAGATATCTTTGTAAAACTAGATGTTTTCCCCATATATTACAATAAAATAAATAGTACGTATTCAAAGTGAAGAAATGATCATTAGACCTGTCAATACAAAAATTAACCTTGTTAGAATTTTTAGTATGTATATTTAGCAAAATCAACTAAAATTAAGATAAAGATGCCGGTTGAGAAAGATATTATTCAACTTTGGGATGGTTTTATTTTAAAAATACTTTTAAGTGTCTATAAACTTGTAATAGTGATTGACAGAGTGATCCATTTAAAAATATATGTGTATGTGGAGACTTCTCATTTCAACTCCAAGATACAAAGAGCCCCAATATACAAAGATCATTACTCTCACTCTCATTACAAGACAAAAGCTCAACAAGTTGAGCGACAACTCTTCTTGGATGCATACACAAATTAAAACACAGGGCAACCTGCTATATTAAAAACTGCTGAGGCAAGTGGATACAGAGAAATACACCTTACTGGGAGCAGAAGCTCACTGCTATAGCCAATGCTGGTCTACTGAATGAAACGGTGGCTCACAAGTGAGAGAACTGCAAGACACAGATTCCATGTAAGAGAGGGTGTCTAGTCAAATCCAAAGACAGCAGGGGACACACAAGCAAAAACAATAGAGGAAATTTAAGTCTTGGACATTTACAATTACAATAAACATGGAGTGCTTAACTCACCAAGATAAACATAAAATCTTGGGCTAAATGCATATTTACTTCAATCTCTATTACCCAATACATCATGTATGGCTTGCAACAAAAAATGATCAAGTATCCTGAAAGGCAAGATAACAAGACAATCTGAAGACATATGGCAAGCATTAGAAGCAGAATCAAATAAGGCATAGGTTTTAGAATTATCAGACTGGGATTTTAAAATATAATATGCGAAGAGCCCTAATGGAAAAAGTGGACAATATACAAGAAAAAATGGGTAGTACATGAAAAGAGATGGCAACTTTAAGAAAAAAATCAAAGAGAAATTTAAAAATTAAAAATTGTACCAAATAAATAATGTTTTGATGGGCACACAAACAGACTGGACACAGTTGAAACAAAAATCAGTGAGCTTGAAGATAGGTCAGAAACTTCTCAACTGAATGCAAAGAGAATAAAAAATAAAAATTTGGAACAGAATATCCAAGAAGACACAACTACAAAAGTTGTAACATACATACACATGATGGAATTAGACAAAATATTTGAAAAAAAATAACAGCTAGAAATTTTCCAAAATTGCTTACAGGTACCAAACCACACACCCAGGAAAGTCAAAAGTCAGAAAATACCAAGCAGAATACATACCAAAAAAAATCTATACCTAGACATATCACAATTCACAGAAAACAAAAGCCAAAGAGACAATCTTTAAAGAAGACAGAGAAGGGAAAACAAATAAACAACAAAACCTCTCACCTTTTTCCAGAAACCTTTACAGGATTAAGGATGAGAATTGCAGTATAATTATTTTCAGAAATCAGGCAAAGAAGAGAATGGAGTAAAATATTTAAAGGGTTGGTGTGAAAAGCACCTATCTACTATATTACTGTATCCAGCAAAATTATCTTTCAAAAATGAAGAAGAAATAAATTTTTTTCAGGTAAATAAAAATATAGATAATTTGTCACCAGTAGATGTGCCTTGTAAGAAATAGGAAAATAATTTTTTTTTTTTTTGAGATAGGGTGACACCCAGACTGGAGTTGCAGTGGTGTAATCTTGGTTCATTGCAACCTCTGCCTCCAGGTTCAAGCAATTGTCCTGTCTCAGCCTCCTGAGTAACTGGGATTACAGATGTGTGCCACCACGCCCTGCAAATTTTTGTATTTTTAGTAGAGACAGGGTTTCTCCATGTTGGCCAGGCTGGTCTTGAACTTCTGACCTCAGGTGATCCACCCACCTCAGCCTCCCAAAGTGCTGGGATTACAGGCGTGAGCCACCACACCTGGCCAAGAATTTTTTTTAAAGACATGGATGGAAATTCATGTTGACCAGAAACTTGTAAAGAAAGAAAGGACTTTAAATAGGTAATAAATAAAACTGTTGTAAAATATTCTAATTTTTTCCTTAATTGATCTAATAAATAACTGCTGGCTTGCAATATTGAACGATTTTTATTTATGAACAAGTAAAATTAATAAAAGCCAGCCATATAATACTCTGGTAGAAGACACCTTGACTGCATGTGAAGTGGAATAGTGCTTTTTGAAAGTAGACTTATATTAGTGTAAATTAATACTACAAACCCTAGGGCAACCACAAAAAATTTTTTAAATGAACTACCTAATATATCAAGAGAGGAGAAAAAATGATATCATATAAAATGCTCAACTAAAACCAGAGAAAGTAGAAAAATGAGATTAATAAAGGATAAGTGCAATGAATAGAAAACATTTATAAATATAGTAGATAATAATTCAACTGTGTTGATAATCACTTTAAATGTGAATGGTCTGTATACACCAATTGAAAGATTGAGGCTGACCACAGAGTGATCAAAGACCCAAATAGATAGTGTCTATAACATTTTAAAAATAAGTACACAGATAGATGAAAAGCAAAGGGATGGAAAAATATACACCATTATTACACACAGTAAAAGAAAGCTGGAGTAGCTATACAGCTTGAGCATCCTTAATCCCAAAATCTAAAATCTGAAATACTCCCAAATCTGAAATTTTTGAAGGCAAACATGATGTCAGAAGTAAAAAGTTCCACACCTGACCTCATGTGATGGGCCACAATTAAAATATTTTTTCTTTGATAAAACAATTTAAAATGTTATCTAAAATTTACCTTTAGGCTATGTGTATAAAGTATATACAAAGTATAAATGAGTTTCATGTTTAGACTTGGTTGTCATTCCAATATATCTCATTATGTATATGCAAATATTCCAAAATCCAAAATCACCTAAAATCAAAAACACTTCCAGTCCTAAATATTTTGATAAGTTATACTCAACCTGTATTTCAGAAAAGGAGACAGCAGAGCAAGGAAATTATCAGGGATAAAGAAGGGTATTGCACAGTGATAAAAGGGTCAGTTTTCCAAGATGAGCCAATCTATAAAGGGTCTCTAAAACTAGAGCATCAAAATAAGTGAAGCAAAAACCTAAGAGAATCACAGGGAGGAATAAAAAGTCTGCCATTATATTTAGAGACTTCAAGGTATCTCTATTAGTAATTGACAGATCCAACAGGTAGGAAATCAGTAAGGATATAGTTGAACTAAAAATCACCATCAATCACCTGGCTCTAATTGACATTTACTCCATGCAACTGCAGAATACATTTTCTTGTTAAGGTCACATGAAACATTCACCACAATAGGCCACATCTTGGGTCATAAAACACACCACAGAGAATTAAAAGAATATAAATAATTCAAGTATGCTCTCAGATGACAATGTAATTAAATGAGACATCAGTAACTGATGGGTATGGATATTTGGAAAATTCAAAAATATTTTAATATTGAACAACACACTTCTACATAACATGTGAGTCAAAGAAGAAATCTCAAGAAAAATTAAAAATAGTTTGAACTAAATACAAACAGGAATACAACTTAACATTTGTGGAATTCATCAAAGGCAATTTTGAAAAAAATTTATAGCTTTAAATGCATGTTTAGAAAAGAAGAAAAATCTAAAATCAATAATGTAACTTTACATTTCAATAAACTAGAAAAAGAGGAGCAACATTAGCCTCAAGCAGACAGAAGAGAATAAATTGAAATATAATAGCCAAAATAAACTTGAAGCAAGAAAACAGGAGGAAAAATTAATGAAACTAAAAGCTTTTGATTTTATTTTTAATTATTCATTTATAATTAACACATGATTATTCATATTTCAATGCATGTATAATGATCAAATCAGAATAATTACTACCTCTATTACTTTGAAAACTTATTTATTTATACTGTTAACATTCAAAATCTACTCTTCTAGGTATCTTAAAATGTACACTAGATTATTTGCTACCCTACTGTATAATAGAGAACCAAAACTTATTATATTCGTCTAATGGTAACTTTGTATCTTTTAACCAACCTCTCCCAGTCCTTTCTCCCTGCCACAACTGAGCCATATCTATACATGTTTTTCAAAAGAAGACATACAAATGGCCAACAGGCATATTAAAAAATAATGCTTAACATTAGAGAAATGCAAATTAAAACAACAAGGAGGTATCATCCTATACCAGTCAAATTAATATTATTAAAAAGTCAAACAATAACAAACAGTGAGGATGTGGAGAAAAGAGAATGCTTATATACTGTTGGTAGAAATATAAATTAGTCCAACCTCTATGGAAAACAATATGGAGATTTCCCAAAGAACTAAAAATAGAACTACCATTTGTTCCAGCAATCCTACTACTAGGTATATACCCAAATAAAAGACATCATTATATTAAAAAGTTACCTGCATTTGTGGGTTTATCATGTAACTATTCACAATAGCAGAGATATGGAATCAACTTCAGTGTCCCTCAATGGATGACTGGATAAATAAAATGTAGTATACACATATAATGGAATACTATGCAGCCATAAAAAAGAATGCAATCATGTCTTTTGCAGCAACATGGATGGAACTAGAGGCCATTATCTTAAGTAAACAACTCAGACACAAAAAGACAAATAATATTCTCACACATAAGTGGGAGCTAAATAATGTGTACACATGGATGTAGCATGTGGAATAATAGTGGAGACTCAGAAGCGAGGGGAGCAGGATGGGAGTGGATGATGAGAAATTATTTAATGGGTATAGTGTATGATACTCGGTATGACACCCCGAGAGCCTTGACTTCACCACTATGCCATTTATCCATGTTAACAAAATTACACTTGCATCCCATAGATGTATACAAATAAAGAATAATCTTATAAAAATTATACCAATTATTTACAATCTCTTCCAGAAAACAGAAACAGAACATTTTCTAACTCATTTTATACAACTGGCATTACACTAACACCAAAACCAGATAAATATAAGAAAACTATAGATTAATATCTCTCATCAACATAGATGCTAAATTCTGAACAAAATATTAGGAAATCAAATCTAACAATGTTTAAAAATAATCATATGCCATAGCAAAATGGGATTTATATTCATATGCATGGTTGGTTCAACATTCAGAAATCAACATAATACATGTCAGTAGCTAAAGGAAAAAAATCATGATATGATCATATCAATTGATACAGAACAAGTATTTGACCAAATTTAACAACTATTCATAATTACAAATCTCAGCAATGTAGGAAGAAAGGCACTTTCTTAACATGAAAAAAACATCTGCAAACAAACCTAAAGTAATAAATTTAATGAAGGGAAACTAGATATTTTCCCAGTAAGATCAGGAACAAGGCAAAGCTCCTGCCTTACCATTCTTATTTAACATTATGCTGGACATCCTAGCTAATGCAATAAGACCAAAAACAGACACATTAGGAGAAATAAAACTGTCTTTATTAATAGAAGACATGATTGTCTATATAGAATATTCCAAAGGCATGATCAAAAAGAATCTCCTGGATCTAATAAGCAATTATAACAAGTTTGCAAAATACAAGATTAATATACAAAAGTCAATTACAATCTTATTGGAGTTTAAAATTTAAAGTACCGTGCTATTTACATTAGCACAAAAAATCAATTACTTAGGAATAAACCTAACAAAATACCTTAAAATATATATGAAAACCACAAAATTCTAATGAAAGTAAGAAAATAAAATCTAAATGAATAAAGAAATAGACCATGTTCTTGGATAAGAAGACTCAATCTTGTTTAGATGTCAGTTCTTTTCAAATTGATCTATAGATTCAGTGAAACGCCAGTCAAAATTTCAGCAAATTACTATTTTTAAGATATTGACATAATGATTTTAAAGTTTTATGAAAAAACAAAAAATCCAGAATAGCCAACACAGTATTAAAGGAGAAAAAAAATGTAAGGGAATTGACACCACACAACTTCAAGTCTTACTATAAAGCTGCAGTATTCAAGTCAGTGGGAGTTGATAAAATAATGGACAAATAGATCCGCAGAAAAAAACTGGAGGACAGAAATATATCCACACAAATAGAGTCAACTGATTACTGAAAAAGGAGCAAAGACAATTAAATGGGGAGAGTATAATCTTTTAAACAAATACTGATGGAACAACATAATGTCCACTGTGTGTGTGCGCGCGCGCACACACACACGCGCGCACACACACACACACACACACACAGAAATCTAGGAACTGGCCTTACTCCTTTCACAGAAAGTTAATCAAAATAGGATCATAGACCCTAATGTAAAACACAAAACTATAAAAGTTCTAGAATGAGGCTGTTGAGAAAATAAGAAAGCATGAGAAGCCACAAACTGGGAGAAAATACAGTTTTTTTTCTACAACTGTAGGAGATTGGTTCCATGATCCCCAAGGACACCAAACTCAGTTGATGCTCAAGTTCTGTACATAAAATGACAGGTTCAGCATCTGCAGATGCAGAGGCCAACTGTATTTGCAAAACATATACCTGATAAATGACAACGTATAAATATGTTTTGAAACTGATCATCTACAGGTCACATCTATCAGACTTCCAAAATAACTGTGTGGGGAAGGTCTTATGATTCATGGTTTATAGACTGTCCCCAAGTAAGAGTCTTATTGTGAATGAGTCCCTGGAATCTTACTATGAGTTCCTCAAACTGTTGATGTACTGACTAATATACCACTGATATTGAAAAGGACACTGATATATTTCTGAATCATGAAGTTTTACTAATTTTCTTGCAGGTAAAACATTTTAGCCTGTATGTTGTCATCTGAAACCAATGATTGTAGCCTCTGTATTGTATTCTCAAATTAAAAAAAAAAAAAAAAAAACAGAAAAAAAACAATAACCTTTGAAATGAGTCCCCTTCTTTTCTCCTAAACTTTCCTCTAAAAGCATTCCAACTTGTAACAGACTTTGGAGCATGCTCAACTTTGTTGGTGTGTCTTCTCAGGTTGATCCTCACATTTGGCTTCCAATAAACCTTTGCCAAATTATTTCTGCTTCAACAGCCTTAATTTTGTTCAACAGAATTATACTACTCATTTGCAAGACAAATCATTTTTTCATTTCAAAACATTATATTTTACCTCATAATGTTATTTCTATCTCAAGATTATTCATATCCCCCCACAAATGTCTCACTTTCTCTTTTTATATAAAAATCACTTTAGCCTGTGATTGCTCATCCTAGCACCCACAACTCTACTTATTCTATTTTTCATTAATTCTTTAATGTAGTGGTACCTAATCTTCTTAGCTCTTTTAAATTTGGACAGATTAATATAGGTAAATGCAAGCACCTGATAGTGATTTCATGATATTATTTTCACGTTTGGGTATATATTATTTTAAATTTCATTCCTTCCTTATTTAGCAGCAGAGGCACTGTATTAATTTATTTTGAATATTATACTTGTGCATAGATTATAAGATTTATGAATTGCATGGCAGCTAGTAAAGGAACATTAAAAATATATATTACTAAAATAAGAGACCTTATCTAGTAAGGCTGAGGACATTTAGGAGACCATAATTTAGATCTTGTCACTTCTGGGTTTAGAAAACCTACAATCCCTCCCCTAACACTTACATAATATGATATGATGTGATGTATTTCTCCTCTTTCACCTTTTCTCATGTCATCTTTGCCATCTCTAATTATATTCTATTAACACTGGTCTTCTTTCTGTTAAGTAAATGCTCTCAATGTGTTTCTGCCCTAGAGCTTTGTACTGCTTTCCCCTAAGTTATGAATGTTCTTTCTCCATGACATTTTGGTTTTGCTCTCCTCACCGAAAAGTTCTCTGACCACTCAATATGAAGTTAGGACTTTGTCTCATATAATGTATCTTCTATGTTTAGAGTAGTAGGCCTTCATAAATATTTAACAAAAAATGAATAAGTGATTGAATTAAAGATTTTTTATGGAAACTGAAGAGAAGGAAGTTGAGGCCCAACAATGGCCACAATAATTCCTGAGGGAGCAGAACAATGACGTGATTAAGAGAGGATTTCTGGTAAAGCAGCTTTTAGACTGGATTTTCCAGTACTCCTGGGTATCCTGGAGTATTGCTCTTCTTTAATGCTTTCAAATTTGTCACAAAGTGGTTAGAATCAGAATTCTTTCTGCTTTTTTCAACTCAGAATTCTCAGGTCTACACATAATCTTGTTTTATGATTTAATATAGTTACAGGTATCTGAAGCATGTTGCCTTTATTAATGGACACAAAACTAGCTGTCAAGATATAAACCTGTAAATCAGCATTTCATCAACAATAACTGTTAATGAAAACATGAAATTGTTGGTTTGACAATAGATCAGAGTCCAACATATTTATAGATAAAAAAGGAAGAGGGGTGGAGGTGGAAGAACAATCCAATTATTTCCAGTATGAGAAATAACAAAATAATCTTATTGGATGCAAAGTATTTTATCATAAAATTGGTAATTAACACAATATCAAATTCTGATTTTAATGCAAATTCTCAAATTATATATGAAGTTAAATTTCTTTCTGTTGAATAGACATTTGATAAAAACAAAATAGTGGGGAAAAAGAAGGTGAATAAGAGCTTGTAAAGATAACCATTCAAAACATTTTTTGAAGGACAAAATTTAAAATGGCAAAATGTCAGTGGGATCATAGATAAACAGGAAAATATATGAGAAAAAAATTTCAGACAGCTCAAATTTTAAAACCTTGAACAAAGGATAAAATATTCAAAACATAATGCCAAGAGTAGGTCATTTACCTGTCAACATACAATAAAATAAATGCTAGATGGATTTAAAAGGTAAGTAAAACCTCAAATATGCTAGCTGAATAGATAAGCAAATATTTATCTCTTGTTCAATTTTAAATGTTTACATTAAAGTAAATTTAGAAGTTATAAATAAAACTGATAGCATGTAATAAAAATTAAAATAGCCTATATACTGATAATAATTATATAAGAAAATTAAAGTAGAAATCAGGAGAAATATTTTCACATATATAAAAATATCAGCTTAAATAACCTGACTATATAAAGAACACCAGTATTTTAAAGGAATAAGAAAAAATACCAATAAAAATGGGCATATGATTTAAATAGCCAAATGTCAGAGGCAAAATTTAAATTCATAAAATTTAACTGCACTAAAAATCCAGAAAATATGAAATAATAAAACTATGTAACAACATTTTTACATATAAATTCATTATATTAATAAAGAATTATAATGCCCGTGATTGTGGAGGATGTGATGAAATGTGTGCTTTTATACTGTACTATTTTTGTTAGCCATTTATGTAAAATATTATGACATTTCTGAAGAAAATTTAGCACTATAACTTAAACATTTTAAATTTTATACATTTTAATTTGGTAATTCAACTTGAAAGATTTTCCTAAGGGAACATTTAGAGATGAGATCAGAATTTTATGTACTATAAAATCCGCTATCCTGTTTTTATGAAGAAAAAATTAGCCTAAGTATTCTTCTCTTTGAAAACTATTAGACGGGTAATATTCATTACACAAAGTTCAATATTATTTAGCTGTTAGAAAACATATGTTTGAAGAAAATGATATAAGAAAATGCTTATGTAATGTTATTCAGTTAAAAATTCAGTATACAAATTTAATTTTACAAGAATAATTTTGCATGCTTGTGCATGTTTGGCATACAGAAAAGGTAGGAAAAAAAAAAGGTCAAAAGACAGTGAATACCAAAGATTCAGGGTAGTTTTCATTTGGATGTTACATTCCTGGTCATTTTTAAAAATAGCTTTTGTTGACACATGTTGTATTTTCTAAGCATTCTATCCTATTTTTCATACTCAGAAAAACAATAAAAGAAGCCATCTAATCACACTTAGCTTGAAGAAAAGAATAAGAGAGGAGAAAAAGAGAGAAAAAATGACAAATCATAAATTTTTAAATAAGCCAACTCCAATATTATAAATAGTATTGAAAAAATCAATAATCAGTTAATTTGCATTTGGTAGTGGAGGGGAAAGCATTTGCAGGAAAGTTCCATATTCCTGGTGTCTGTGCAATGCTCTGGTTCTACGCATATGTGAACCTGAATGCTTAAGCAAAAATCAAAGCATTCATTGACATATACTTCTCCCATATCATTCTGCCCCCTTCCCCATTTTTAAAAGATAGGTAGATGACTGCAATAAAATCTTCAAGTCTCCTGTTCTCTGTCCCTTTAACCTAGAGCTCTCCTGAAGTATGTTGATGGCAATTGAGTTCAATGTTCTCTCTCCTTTGGGTCCTGTCCTGGTTCTCCACCTCTCTGGGTTTAAATGTAACTCAAAGAAAAGTCTCAGTCAATTAGAAAGAGAGAGAGAAACAGGAAACGAAAGACTGAAGTTCTTAGGAGACCAAATGTCACCACTCAAAAACATGCAAGTTAGGCCAGGTGTGGTGGCTCACGTCTGTAATCCCAGCGCTTTGGGAGGCCAAGGCAGGAAGATAGCTTGAGACCAGGAGTTGGAGATCAGCCTGGGCAACATGTTGAGACATGTTTCTACAATAACTTTAATTTATTTTATTAAGAAACAAAAAAAAAATCTAGTTTAGTGAAAAACCCAAAACCACTCTAGATATTTTAATCAGAATTTCATATAGGAGAGTATGGGATTATAAAAATCATTGTATGAGCTACAGGAAAAAAAAAAGTCTTTAGACTGGAACTCCTGAAGTAATATTCAGAACATAGCAGAAATAAACTTCCAAGGAGCTAATATCACTGGCACAATCAAAAAGGGAAATAAGAAGGCTGGAATTAAAGTAAAATAATATAATAAGTAAAATGGTGATTAAACAACAAAATCAACCACTGTGGAGAAATTTTCAAGTGTCCCCTTTTTAAAAGCCCTAGCTTCCTGAGATTCTTCATGGGCCATAAGAATTAGATCTATAGTCATTTGTCTGGTTAATAGATCAGATATAAAAGATACTAAAACTTTTAGTTCCCTGAGGGGATCAACTGGTTGCAGCTCAGAGTAGGTCCCTAGGTTAAGCCCCAGGTTGCCAGAAAGATTGGAGTGTTATCTCTCTATGTATTTATATTTCAAAAGGGTTGAGAGTCCAGAACACTAAGTCATAAAAGTAGAGGGACCGAAGAGGTGGAGTTACAGTTTAGCCCCATTCCATTTCCAAGGAGATCCTTTTAGGAAGAGAAGGGGACAGCTGCCTCCTTTTCCTTTGTAAGGAGGGACAAATAATATTTCTTTACCCTTCACCTATGGAGTGTCTAGATACTGGGGTAGGAAAGGTTTTCACTGACTCCATTGCATCATGCTAGGGGTAAACAATGGCACAATGAGGAAACCAGTACACTTATTATTTAGTATGAAGGTTAATAAGAAATCTGACTCTGACTCAGAATATATCTTGTGTGTATTCAGTATAAAATTATAAAGATGAATATTTAAAACCCCATAATCACCAATGCAACAATCAACAATTCAAAAATCAGGAATCTAAGACAGCCACAAAACTGGAGACTAGACACTGAAATATTTTTGATGCAAAACTTTATATCATCACAAGCTTAACTGCTAGAAAAAGAATAATCACAGAAAATTGGGCTGTGATTCATTTCCACCACATAAATCTTATATAAGCGCACCCAATTTGTAGAAACGAATTGCCACATAGAATACTAGCTAACAGGCAGTCTGGAAACATGTTTTTTGTTGTTGTTGTTCTCTTATTTTCACATGGCAGAACACATGAGTGAATGCTGATATTTGGTAAACATCTTCAAACCCTTCACACCAGTTCTCCTCTACTATTAAGTTTTATATCCATTCTTTTTTTTTTTTAGATGGAGTTTCACTCTTGTTGCCTAGACTGGAGTGCAATGGCATGATCTTGGCTCACTGCAACCTCCATCTCCCAGGTTCACTTGATTCTCCTAACTCAGCCTCCCAAGTAGCTGGGATTACGGGCATGTGCCACCACGCCCGGCTAATTTTGTATTTTTAGTAGAGACGGGGTTTCTCCATGTTGGTCAGGCTGGTCTCAAACTCCCGACCTCAGGTGATCTGCCCACCTCAGCCTCCCAAAGTGCTGGGATTACAGGCGTGAGCCACCGTGCCCGGCTATATATCCATTCTTTTTTTTTTTTTTTTTTTTTTTGAGACGGAGTCTCGCTCTGTCGCCCAGGCTGGAGTGCAGTGGCGGGATCTTGGCTCACTGCAAGCTCCGCCTCCCGGGTTCACGCCATTCTCCTGCCTCAGCCTCCCAAGTAGCTGGGACTACAGGCGCCCGCCACTACGCCCGGCTAATTTTTTGTATTTTTAGTAGAGACGGGGTTTCACCGTTTTAGCCGGGATGGTCTCGATCTCCTGACCTCGTGATCCGCCCCCCTCGGCCTCCCAAAGTGCTGGGATTACAGGCGTGAGCCACCGCGCCCGGCCTATATATCCATTCTTAACAAAGCTCTGCCCCCGTCCAATCCATTGAAGCTTAGCATTTGATTACCTAAACATATTAGATGGCCAGGAAAAGATAATAATATAAAATGCATTTTTCTCCAGAATAATTGTATACTCTTTGATTTATCTGTGATGATTTCTTTGTCCTTTTTAAAATATTTTTATATTTTTGTTTTCCATGTTTCGCTGGAAAGCATAACTTGGGTGGTATGTAGAGAATGCAGTATTATACAAAAATATATAATAAAATTATATTGGTGTAAAATAATAAACACTCAAAATATGTTTCTATGTTCTTCAGGATCTGAAAATAATATAAAAGCAGGATGAAGACTTTTGAGCAGTTGTGATATAGGAATGGCTTGTTAACCACTTCAAGTTAAACATACTCAATGGTTCCTTTGGAAACTGAAAAAAAATGTCCTTTCTTTACTCTGCAAAATGTAAATCATGTATGTCTTAATGTATTTACAAACCTTAGAAAAAAATGATATTTAGAAAGTGACCATGTTCCAGGCAAACCCTATATTATAGAAAGACATAGCCTTCAATTATGGGTACATGATAAAATATTTAATAAAAATAAAGAAACTGTAATCATGATCTTTTCTCCTGCCATATTCTGATCTTCTTATAAAGTATGAGTTTTTCTGCAGTAGAAGGGAAAGGGGAAAAAATACCTGATTTATATTTCCTGCAAAAAATAGATGCTATAATGAGAAAAGAAAAACTTAAAAGAAGAAATACAAGAAAACGAGAAAAATAATAACGGACAGAAAATGTATTAATACCAATAAGAATGAAATAACCAAGTATAGGGCCCATTTAAGAAAACACCCAGAATTTTTTTTTAAAAAAATCAAAAATTCTCACAAGCATTCTGAAAAAATAGACTGTTAAATGTTTAAGACTTAATTCCATAAGGCTAGTTTTGAAGTAGTTTTAATGCTTTCTTGGAAAATGATGAGGAATTTAATGAAGGAAATGAAGATGTGGACAGGAATATGGCCAAGAATGGAGAAAGAATTTTGCCTGAATCTCCAGGACCATGCTACAAGACGCTTGCCTCTCTTCCTGCCTTCCATTCGAACCACCAAGCTTCAAGAAATCAAATATTTCACAGTTCGTTTTTTCAAATCCAAAAAAAATTGCCTCACTCTTAATAGTTTGTGGAAACTAGGAATATGCATTGGCCTAGATACCCTTTAAATAGCCAGTAAAAGAAAGGTTTGGGTTGCAGTATCAAGGGTCAAAGATTAAAATAAATCTCCAAAATCTCCTCTCACTACTATAACAAAGGCAAAGAGAGGATGCCCAGATTTGAATTCGATTGTCACTATTAAGCTGAACAGAGTGATATATCATAATGTAACAAAACAAATCTTAAGCTATGTGACCCCCCTAATGTAATGATGCAGTGTAGTACTTAACAGTCTTTACCATATATTAAAAGACCTACACTATGTCTTGTAAATAAACACACACACACACACACACACACACACACACGTTATGTGCCACATAATGACATCTTGGTCAATGATGCACTGCATAAGATAATAATGGAGCTGAAAATTTCCTATCACTTAGGAACATCACAGCTGTGATAACTTCATAGTGCAACATATTACTCATCTGTTTGTGCAGTGGCTCATGCTTGTGTCCCAGCACTTTGGGAGTTCAAGGCCAGAGGATTACTTGAGGCTAGGGGTTTGAGACCAGCCTAGGAAACATAGCAAAACCTCATCTCTATAAAAACTATTTAAAAATTAGCCGGGCCTGGTGGTGCATACCTGTAGTCTCAGCTACTTGGGAGAGAGGCAAAGGTAGGAAGATTGCTTAAGTCCAGGAGATCAAGGCTGCAGTGAGCTATGATTATACCACTGCACTCTCAGCCTGGGCAGCAGAGTGAGACCCTGTCTCAAAAACAAAAACAAAATATAACACATATGATCATGTACAGTACATAATACTTGATAATGATAATAAGTGACTATGTTACTGGATTATGTATTCATTATCATATACTCTTTATCATTATTTTAGAGTGTGCTACTTTTTTTTTCTTCTGAGACAGAGTCTTACTCTGTCACCCAGGCTGGAGTGCAGTGGCATGATCTCAGCTCACTGCAACCTCTGCCTCCCAGGTTCAAACAATTCTCCTGTCTCAGCATCCCAAATAGCTGGGACTACAGGCACATGCCACCATGCCTGGCTAATTTTTTTGTATTTTTAGTAGAGCTGGGGTTTTACCATATTGGTCAGGCTGGTCTTGAACTCCTGACCTCAAGTGATCCATCCACCTAGGCCTCAAAGTGCTGGGATTACAGGCGTGAGCCACCACACCAGCTCTACTTTTAAAAACTTTATTGTGAAAAAGTGTGTCATGTTACCCCAGCAGCAGCCTTATGCATCTCATGTTTATCTCATCTCTGGATTCCATCATTTTCTCTTGTGCTTGATTTAATCTTTTCTAGTTTTGTTTATCAGGGCCCCTAAACTAAAAAATCCACTGTTAATGTTGCCAGTAAGAGGTCAAGTTGAGTGACTGACTTGGACACAAAATTTAAAATGATTAAGGGCGATGAAGTGATTACTCACCAGTCAGACATGTCCCATTCCACCATAGCAATGATCTTGAAGAACTAGAACAAGGAGATTAACAAAATTTCAGAAGGGCCTATATTAGATATGGAGAAACTTCTAAAGTCCTCGGTTGAAGACCTGACAGAGAAATGTGTCCGTTTCAGCACCATGATGATCATGGCCAAAAGAAAAATTTTGCTATGTTGAAGAAAAGACTCACCCCAACTACTATGTTGAATTTACTTCCAGCTCTGAGTGGTTCAAAGAATTCAAGAACCACTATTTACTACATAATATAAAAGTGTGTGGTGAGTCTGCAAGTGCTGATGTGAAGGTAGCTGAAGAACTTTTTGAAACTAGATAAGCTGATTGTGAAGGAAAATTACTTGCCAGAGCAGATCTTCCAGTACGTGATGAGAGCTCCCTATTCTGGAAACAAATGCCTGAAAGGACTTTCACCCATAAAGAGTCCAAGTCAATGCCAGGTTTCAAGACTTTAAAGACAAGATAGCAGTCTGTTTGAGGGAAATGTTGCAGGATACAAATTGAAGCCCTTTGTGCTCTGGCACAGTGGGAAATCCAGGGCCTTCAAGCATATCAGTAAGAACACACTGTCAGTGTACTACAGCAGCAATAAGAAATCATGGATGACTGGGGATCTGTTCCAAGATGGCCGAATAGGAACAGCTCCAGTCTGCAGCTCCGAGCGTGATTGATGCAGAAGACGGGTGATTTCTGCATTTCCAACTGAGGTACCTGGTTCATCTCACTGGGACTGGTTGGACAGTGGGTGCGGCCCACAGATGGTGAGCTGAAGCAGGGCAGGGCGTTGCCTCACCCGGGAAGTGCAAGGGGTCGGGGGATTTCCCTTTCCTAGCCAAGGGAAGCCGTGACAGACTGTACCTGGGAAAACGGGGCACTCCTGCCCAACTACTGCACTTTTCCCAAGGTCTTAGCAACCAGCAGACCAGGAGATTCTCTCTTTTGCCTGGCTCAGCAGGTCCCAAGCCCATGGAGCCTTGCTCACTACTAGCACAGCAGACTGAGATCGAAATGCAAGGTGGTAGCCTGGCTGGGGGAGGGTCGTCTGCCATTGCTGAGGCTTGAGTAGGTAAACAAAGTGGCCAGGAAGCTCAAACTGGGCACAGCCCACTGCCAGCTAAGCAATGCCTACTGCCTCTATAGACTCCACCTCTGTGGGCAGGGCACAGCTGAACAAAAGGCAGCAGACAGCTTCTGCAGACTTAAGCATCCCTGTCTGGCAGCTCTGAAGAGAGCAGTGGTTCTCCCAGCACAGCCTTTGAGCTCTGAGAACGGACAGACTGCCTCCTTAAGTGGGTCCCTGACCCCCATGTAGCCTGACTGGGAGACACCTCCCAGTAGGGGCTGAAAGACACCTCATATAGGTGGGTGACCCTCTGGGATGAAGCTTCCAGAGGAAGAATCAGGCAGCAATATTTGCTGTTCTGCAATATTTGCTGTTCTGCAATATTTGCTGTTCTGCAGCCTCCACTGGTGATACCCAGGCAAACAGGGTCTGGAGTGGACCTCCAGCAAACTCCAACAGACCTGCAGCTGAGGAATCTGACTGTTAGAAGGAAAACTAACAAACAGAAAGGAATAGCAACAACATCAACAAAAAGGACATCTACCCAAAACCCCATCTGTAGGTCACCAACATCAAAGACCAAAGGTAGATAAAACCACAAAGATGGGGAGAAACCAGAATAGTAAAGCTGAAAATTCTAAAAACCAGAGCACCTCTTCTCCTCCAAAGGATCACAGCTCCTTACCAGCAATGGAACAAAGCTGGACGAAGAACGACTTTGATGAGTTGACAGAAGTAGGCTTCAGAAGGTCGGTAATAACAAACTTCTCCGAGCTAAAGGAACATATTCAAACCCATCTCAAGGAAGGTAAAAACCTTGAAAAAAGGTTAGATGAATGGCTAACTAGAATAAACAGTGTAGAGAAGACTTTAAATGACCTGATGGAGCTGAAAACCATGGCATGAGAACTTCGTGACACATGCACAAGTTTCAATAGCTGATTCAATCAAGTGGAAGAAAGGGTATCAGTGATTGAAGATCAAATTAATGAAATAAAGTGAGAAGACAAGGGTAGAGAAAAAAGAGTAAAAAGAAACAAACAAAGCCTCCAAAATATATGGGACTATGTGAAAAGACCAAATCTACGTTAGATAGGTGTACCTGAAAGTGATGGTGAGAATGGAACCAAGTTGGAAAACACTCTTCAGGATATTATCCAGGAGAACTTCCCCAACCTAGCAAGGCAGGCAAACATTCAAATCCAGGAAATACAGAGAACACCACAAAGATACTCTTCGAGAACAGCAACCCCAAGACACATAATTGTCAGATTCACCAAGGTTGAAATGAAGGAAAAAATGTTAAGGGCAGCCAGAGAGAAAGGTCAGGTTACCCACAAAGGGAAGCCCATCAGACTAACAGCAGATCTCTCGGCAGAAACCCTACAAGCCAGAAGAGAGTGGGCACCAATATTCAACATTCTTAAAGAAAATAATTTTCAACCCAGAATTTCATATCCAGACAAACTAAGCTTCATAAGTGAAGGAGAAATAAAATCCTTTACAGACAAGCAAATGCTGAGAGATTTTGTCACCACCAGGCCTGCCTTACAAGAGCTCCTGAAGGAAGCACTAAACATGGAAAAAATCAACTGGTACCAGCCACTGCAAAAACATGCCAAATTGTAGAGACCATTGATGCTATGAACAAACTGCATCAATTAATGGGCAAAATAACCAGCTAACATCATAATGACAGGATCAAATTCACACATAACAATATTAAGCTTAAATGTAAATGGGCTAAATGCTCCAATTAAAAGACTCAGACTGGAAAATTGGATAAAGAGTCAAGACCCATCAGTATACTGTATTCAGGAGGCTGATCTCACATGCAGAGACTCACACAGGCTTAAAATAAAGGGATGGAGAAAGACCTACCAAGCAAATGGAAAGCAAAAAAAAAAAAAAAAAAAAAAAAAAAAAAAAAAAGCAGGGGTTGCAATCCTAGTCTCTGATAAAACAAACTTTAACCGACAAAGATCAAAAGAAACAAAGAAGACCGTTACACAATTGTAAAGGGATCAATTCAACAAGAAGAGCTAACTATCATAATTATATATGAACCCAATACAGGAGCACCCAGATTCATAAAGCAAGTCCTTAGAGACCTAGAAAGAGAATTAGACTCCCACACAATAGTCTCTCTAATAATGAGAGACTTTAACATCCCCTTGTCAATATTAGACAGATCACCGAGACAGAAGGTTAACAAAGATATCCAGGACTTGAACTCAGCTCTGCACCAAGCAGACCTAATAGACACCTACAGAACTCTCCACCCCAAATCAACAGAATATACATTCTTCTCAGCACCACATCTCACTTATTCTAAAATTGCCCACATATTGGAAGTAAAGCACTCCTCAGAAAATGTAAAAGAACAGAAATCACAACAAACTATCTCTCTGACTACAGTGCAATCAAATTAGAACTCAGTATTAAGAAACTCACTCAAAACCACTCAACTACACGGAAACCCAACAATCTGCTCCTGAATAACTACTGGGTACATAACGAAATGAAGGCAGAAATAAAGATGTTCTTTGAAACCAATGAGAACAAAGACAAAACATACCAGAATTTCAGGGACACATTTAAAGCAGTGTGTAGAGGGAAATTTATAGCACTAAATGCCCACAAGAGAAAACAGGAAAGATCTAAAATCGACACCTAATATCACAATTAAAAGAACTAGAGAAGGGGAACATCACGCACCACGGTCTGTTGTGGGGTGGGGAGAGTGGGGAGGGATAGCATTAGGAGATATACCTAATGTTAAATGACGAGTTAATGGGTGCAGCACACCAACATGGCACATGTATACACATGTAACTAACCTGCACATTGTGCACATGTACCCTAAAACTTAAAATATAATAAAAATTAAAAATAAAAATTAAAAAATAAAATAAAATAAAAATATTCACACACACCAAATAAAAAAAAAAAGAACTAGAGAAGCAAAAGCAAACAAATTCAAAAGCTAGCAGAAGGCAAGAAATAACTAAGAGCAGAGTGGAACTGAAAGAGGTAGAGATATAAAAAAAAAAAACCTTCAAAAAAATCAATGAATCCAGGAGCTGAGTTTTTGAAAAGATCAACACAGTTGATAGACTGCTAGCAGTCTAATAAAGAAGAGAGAGAAGAATCAAATAGACACAATAATAAATGATAAAGGGGATACCGCTACCAATCCCACAGAAATACAAACTGCCATCAGAGAATACTATAAATACCTCTATGCAAATAAAGTAGAAAATCTAGAAGAAATGGATAAATTCCTCGACACATACACCCTCCCAAGACTAAACCATGAAAAAGTTGAATCTCTGAATAGACCAATAACAGGCTCTGAAATTGAGGCAATAATTAATAGCCCACCAACCAAAAAAAGTCCAGGACCAGCCAGATTCACAGCCAAATTCTACCAGAGGTACAAAGAGGAGCTGGTACCATTATTTCCAAAACTATTCCAATCAATAGAAAAAGAGGGAATCCTCCCTAACTCATTTTATGAGGCCAGCATCATCCTGATATCAAAGCCTGGCACAGACACAACAAAAAAAGAATTTTAGACCAATATCCCTGATGAACATCGATGCAAAAATCCTCAATAAAATACCAGCAAACGGAATCCAGCAGCACATCAAAAAGTTTATCCCCCACGATCAAGTCTGCTTCATCCGTGGGATGCAAGGCCAGTTCAACATATGCAAGACAATAAATGTAATCCATCACATAAACAAAACCAACGACAAAAACCACATGATTATCTCAATAGATGCAGAAAAGGCCTTTGAAAAAAATTCAACAGCTCTTCATGCTAAAAACTCTCAATAAACTACGTATTGATAGAATGTATCTCAAAATAATAAGAGCTATTTATGACAAACCGACAGCCAGTATCATATTGAATGGGCAGAAACTGGAAGCATTCCCTTTCAAAACTGGCACAAGAGAGGGATGCCCTCTCTCACCAGTCCTATTCAACATAGTGTTGGAAGTTCTGGCCAGGGCAATCAAGCAAGAGAAAGAAATAAAGTGTATTCAATTAGGAAAAGAGGAAGTCAAATTGTCCCTGTTTGCAGATGACATGATTGTATATTTAGAAAACCCCATCATCTCAGCCCAAAATCACCTTAAGCTGATAAACAACTTCAGCAAAGTCTCAGGATACAAAATCAACGTGCAGAAATCACAAGCATTCCCATGTACCAATAATAGTCAAACAGAGGGCCAAATCATGAGTGAACTCTCATTCACAATAGTTACAAAGAGAAAAAATACCTAGGAATTCAACTTAGAAGGGACCTGGAGGACCTCTTCAAGGAGAACTACAAACCACTGCCCAACGAAATAAAAGAGAACACAAATGGAAGAACATTCCATGCTCATGGATAGGAAGAATCAACATCGTGAAAATGGCCATACTGCCCAAGATAATTTATAGATTCAATGCCATCCCCATCAAGCTACCAATGACTTTCTTCACAGAATTGGAAAAAACTACTTTAAAGTTCATATGGAACTGAAAAAGAGCCCGCATTACCAAGTCAATCCTAAGCAAAAAGAACAAAGCTGGAGGCATCACGCTACCTGACTTCAAATTATACTACAAGGCCACAATAACCAAACCAGCATGGTACTGGTACCAAAACAGATATAGATATAGATATACATATATATAGATAGATAGATATAGATAGATATAGATATATATATACACACCAATGGAACAGAACAGAGGCCTCAAAAATAACACCACACATTTACAACCATCTGATCTTTGCCAAACCTGACAAAAACAAGAAATGGGGAAAGGATTCCCCATTTAATAAATGGTGGTTGGAAAACTGCCTAGCCATATGTAGAAAGCTGAAACTGGAACCCTTCCTTACATCCTATACAAAACTTAATTCAAGATGGATTAAAGACTTAAATGTTAGACCTAAAACTATAAAATTCCTAGAAGAAAACCTAGGCAATACCATTGAGGACATAGGCATGGGCAAGGACTTCATGACTAAAACACCAAAAGCAATGGCAACAAAAGCTAAAATAGACAAATGGGATCTAATTAAACTAAAGAGCTTCTGCACAGCAAAAGAAATTACCATCAGAGTGAACAGGCAACCTACAGAATGGGAGAAAATTTTTGCAATCTACCCATCTGATAAATGGCTAATATCCAGAATCTACAAAGAACTCAAACAAATTTCCAAGAAAAAAACAAACAACCCCATTAAAAAGTGGGCAAAGGATATGAACAGAAACTTCTCAAAAGAAGACATTTATGCAACCAACAGACACATGAAAAATGCTCATCATCACTGGCCATCAGAGAAATGCAAATCCAAACCACAATGAGATACCATCTCATGCCGGTTAGAAGGGTGATCATTAAAATGTCAGGAAACAACAGATGCTGGAGGGGATGTGGAGAAATAGGAACACTTTTACACTGTTGGTGGGAGTGTAAACTAGTTCAACCATTGTGGAAGGCAGTGTGGCAGTTCCTCAAGGATCTAGAACAAGAAATACCATTTGACCCAGCAATTCCATTACTGGGTATATACCCAAAGGATTATAAATCATGCTATTATAAAGACACATGCACATGTATGTTTATTGTGGCACTATTCACAATAGCAAAGACTTGGAACCAACCTAAATGCCCATCAATGATGGACTAGATTAAGAAAATTTGGCACATATACACCATGGAATACTATGCAGCCATTAAAAAAGATGAGTTCATGCCCTTTGCAGGGACATGGATGAAGTTGGAAACCATCATTCTCAGCAAACTATCACAAAGACAGAAAACCAAACACCACGTGTTCTCACTCATAGGTGGGAATTGAACAACTAGAACACATGGACACAGGGCGGGGAACATCACACACCAGGGCTTGTCAGGGAGTGGTGGGAGCTGGGAGAGATATAACTTTAGGAGAAATACCTAATGTAAATGATGAGTTGATGGGTAGAGCAAACCAACATGACACATGTGTACCTATGTATCAAACCTTCACATTGTGCACATGTACCCTAGAACTTAAAGTATAATTTTAAAAAATTAAAAAAAAAGAACTCATGGATGACTGGGTTTCTCTTTCAAGATGCCCTCCTGAATTGCTATGCCAACCAAATTGAGAAGTGCTGTTTGGAGTAAAATTTACCTTTTAATATTTTGCTTATTGTAGATGTTGCTCCCATACATCCTCCTTTTATTGGTGAGCTTCATTCCAATATCAAAGTGGTGGTTCTCCCCACAAACATCACCTCTTTGATCCAACCTATGGAACAAGGAGTTGTAGCTGCTGTTTTAAGGCCTACAACCTCAGGAGGATCTTTTCTCAGACTGTTGCTGCCACTGAGGAAGAAGACACTGAAGCAATTCTGAAAGGACTACAACATCTATGACTGCATCAGGAAACTTACTTGTGCTTGGGGTGATGTCGCCAAGGAGTTTACTAATGGCATCCGGAAGAAGACATTCAAGATGTTTGTCCACGAGTACAAAGGATTTGCCAAAGATAAGGAGATTGCAAAAAATCAACAAGGCTGTAGTTGAGATGGCAAACAATTTCAACTTGAGTGTGCCTGAGGATGACATCAAGGAGCTTCTGAACGTGGTTCCTGAGGAATTAACTAAGGAGGAGTTGGTGGAACTGGGATAGAAACAAATAGCTGAAGAAAAGTCAAGAAAAAATGAAATTGCAAGAGAAGAAAAATAAGAGCCCTAAAGAAAATTCACAGTGAAGGGTTTAGTAGAAGCTTTCACAGACCTCAACGAGCTCCTTGAAAGATTTGAAAGCATGAGTCTTAATTCTGAAAGGTTTTCACTAATAGAGAGGAATGTTCCTGGTGTATTATCTACTTGCAGGCAAATATATGATAAAAAAAATTAAACTGAACAAACTACCGTAGACATATTTCTAAAAAGAGTTGATACCTCTCAAGAGAAGCTTGAGGCGGGTCCAGGTTCTTTAGGAGGAGTTCCAGAAGAAGGCATTGTTATCATAGTAGATGACAGCTCCATGTGTGTTATTGCCCCTGAAGACCCTTCAGTGGGAAAAGACGTGGAGGTGGAAGGCAGTGATACGGATGATCCTGACCCTGCATAGGCCTAGACTAATACATGTGTTTATGTTTTAGTTTGAAAAGGAAAAGTTTTAAAAGTGAAAAAAAAATTGAAAATACAAAAAGTTTATAAAATAAGGAAATTTTAAAAAATTTTGTACAGCTATACAATGTTTGTGTTTTAGGCAATGTTATTAGAATAGAGTCAAAATTAAAAAAATAAAAAAGTTATAAAGTAAAAATGTTACAGTAAGCTAAGGTTAATTTATCATTGATGAAATAATTTTTAAGTAAAATGAGTGTAGCCTAAGTGTATAATGTTAATTAAGTCTACAGTACTGGACAGTAATGTCCTGGGCCTTCAAATTCACTCGCCACTCACTCACTGACTCACTCACAGCAACTTCTAGTCCAGCTCCCTTCATGGTAAGCATCCTATACAGGTGTGCCATTTAAAAAAGATTTTATACTATAATTTTATTGTACCTTTGTATGCATAGATATGCTCAGATACACAAATGCTTACATCATGTTACAAATGCCTACAGTATTCAGTGCAGTGACATGCTATACAGGTTTGTAGTCTAGGAGCAAGAGGCTATACCATCTAGCTTAGAGATGTAGTAGGCTGTATCAAACAGCTTTGTGATAAGTATACTCTATGATGTTTACACAATGACCAAATCACCTAAAGATGAATCTCTCAGAATGTATCCTCCTTAAGTAACACATAACTTTATGTATATCTACGTGTACACTTATATATAGCAGTCATGTATTCACATACAGTGCATATATACAGCCATGTGTCAAAGTATATAATATATAATGCATATATATACACAAACATACACACACATGCCGGGTCAGGCACTGCTTAAAGTATATTATCCCTATATATCATAACTTCCAAGCACATTGAGCTTCAGGAAGGTTAAATTGTTGTCCAAATTCATATGGTTAATAATTTGTGTTTAGGTGTTAAAAGTCTGTACTATTTCTATTTAACAACATTGAGTCTTCCACACTGTAGTTCATTTAAAAAAGTGCAGATATAATAGAAGAAAATATATCAAATCTAAAACCAAAAAAATCCCACATACCAGGAATAAAATTTCTTACCAAGTTCCATAGTAGAATAAGATATTTATATTGATACACATTTTTGTGATTTATTTCAAATATATATATTTGAATCTAATCCTAAGAACAAACATAAAAAGGCAAATCTAAAAGTAAGTACATTAATTTCAGGTTTGTTTTAGCCTTTTCTTCTATATTAAGAATCATGTAATAATTTAACAGCTTCTGAGGAGTTTTGAAAGTAAACTTTAGACCTAGTTTGTATCCCAGTAAGTTGTCATTATGTGAGTTCTGAAAAAGTCACAAATACGTTAAGTATTGAAAATTGAAACAATTCAACAAAACAAAGTTTTATGAAATAAACACTTATAAATCCAATCTAGAAAATGGTTGGAGAGCAAAATTCAAAATTGAGAACATATAAGAACACAGGATTGAAAATTTGTGTATAATAAGCCTGATAATGACAGTGAAAACAATTTGATATGGGTGTAATCTCAAATATTTAGTATTTGATTTCTTTAGATATCAGAATAAAATTTTTAAAATATTTTTAAAGTTGGCCTATATTATTAAAACAAATAAGAAAAGAATTTGAAAAAAAGCAACGTTGAAGACTAGAATAAATAAAAGAGCAACAAATTTAAACCTGTTCTGTTCTTGTCTTGATAATTTGACAACTCTAGTTTTAATATGGTTTTGATAAATTTTATGACTAATTTACCTTCTACCTAAACATTGAAAATTTCAGAGAAAACTGAAATATATTTCGTCTAATGCCTTAAACAAAATGAAAAATAAGAATATATAAAACAAATAATATATTATTTGATAAGTTAGATAGTAAATTCATAGTCAGTTACATCATTACAACAAAAGATTGGAATCTAGTTTTTCTGTTAGATTTTTTTTTGAGGTAGAGAGATGGCAGAAGAATATGAATATTTCAACATCTATATATTTTTCTTTACCTATTATATATTCCAATTATCAGATATTGGAGCAGGTTTTGAAATTTCTCCCAGATTATATTGTGCAGTTAACTGCTCAGAGTATCATTCAACTTCTATCTGTAATAAAAATAGCAATAAAAATGTACCATGTTTTAAATTTCAACTTACTAGAATATGATAATCAAACACTGAATTAAATATCATTATACATTTTAATAGATTTTGTTTATAAATTTTAAATGTATTGAATCAATTGTTTTAAGCATTTAATCAGTTTTCTCCAAATGCAAGAATAATTAACTAAAATGTGGAAAATTTTGTTGTTCTTCTGTGAGAGACAAACAACAGCTTGTAAGTTTAGCACATTTTGCAACCAGTAAAATTGTCATATTTCAGTAAAATATGTTGATGATTTTCAAAAAAATTATCTTTAGCAGTTTACTTTTTTCAGTCTCCCAGTTAAATGGTAAGAAAAAAAGATAAATGATTATTAAAAACAGTCACTTTTTCAACATAGGATTAAGCAACTCCTCACAATCATTAACATTTTTTGTCTTTTTAAGGAACATAATTTTTGATTTAGTAAAATTAATCCCCCATCCCCCTTCACTATCACTTTTTCAAGGAGTCCAAGTAATTTTCAGATTGCACAGCCAGATTTAAGGAACCACCAAACTAACTAATTTTTGTGAGCAATTAGGAGCCTGCATAATCATAGCTATGCCTAGATTAAATATTCATATTTGGATGCCAACCATCATGATTAAGTTAATATGTCACCTTTGCTAGCGTTACCATGGCAATATTACAATTAAAATTATCCAAGTTAAAACTAATAACCTCAATATGCAATTAGCTAACATCTACTGCTACAAATGTATTATAATGTACTGATTCAGAAAACCGCTGAAATGTAAAGATTTTTTTCTCTTTTCTCCTCCTCTCTCATTCCTCCAGGAAAAAGACACAAAGAGCAAATCTAGAGAAAAGGAAAGTCGTTGATTATTACTAAGCATTCTATTGGCAAACATTTTAAACAGATGTCACAAAAAAATTGTCACAACTAAAACAGGGAGGATCCCTTAAAAACAAACTTTAAAGCAACTTTCTTTGTCATGCATTCCTTTATCTTTCCATTTTATTCACTGTAAATTTCTTCTTTAGTCCTGAGCACAATTGGCAATATAAGAAGTCTGTCTCATTTTGCCTTATCTAAATACCCATTTTATGTTATTGTACACATCCCTCTCTCCTTTGTTTCCCTGTTTATAACTGGTACTCTGATGCTTGCTTCTAGTATCAGAAGGACTATGATGATAATAGCATCAGAAGTGGGATGATAGCAATGAGTTTCTCTGTTTGAATGCCATCATATCTACTACCTTAGTTGGATCACTTCTTAAAGTATTTTCTGAGACAAGACTTAAGATAGTTTATTTGAGATCTTGAGACATATAAATAATGAATTAGTAAAAGTAAGCTAAACTGTAAGGTGTATGGTAATGATCCATTTTCCAATGAGGAAAATTGAGGCTCTATTAATTAGTGACTCTCAGAGATAACATGTAAAATATGTCTTAGAATGAGCCTAACTTATCCATTCCATAAGTGAGGGTCGCCTCAGAGGTGTCACCTTTTTCTGCCTCTTGAGTATGCCTGTGTTTATCCCAGCAAGTACTCTCTACTAGAGAAAGTTCTTAGGCAGAGACGAAAAACACCCAGATGCCCTTGTTATGAGTAGCCATTAGTTCTAGACAAACTTAGGTGGGTCAATAAGATATGGAGCAGAAAATCAGTGGGATCTGCTCTCTACTTGATTCAAGGCTCCAAGCCAGACTCTAGATTTAAAATAGTCGACAAGACAGACACTAATTCCTCATGGTGTTTATGGAATTTCTGGTTGTTGACAATACAAGTTTAGACAATTTTTTAATTGACAGATAAAATCTTATATATTTATTATGCACAACATGATGTTTTAAAGTATGTGGAGTGGTGAAGACTAGCTAATTAACAAAATCATTACCTGACTGAAATACAATGACTTGATTGCATTTGATACACTTGTGTAACAACGAATATGTTTTCTTAAGGTTATGATTTTTCAGAATAAGAGAATCATGCTGTTCCCACTATTCTTCCCCACCAAGGCTATGTGGAAGTTCTATAATGTGCTGTCACAGGCCACCAAGACCTTTAATCTTGTGGTCCTATGAACCACCTCAGCTCTATCTAGAGACACACATTCTCTCTGTGCTTGTATGGTTTTTTATTACCCCAGTCTCTCAGCCCACACCCCAAGGTGGTAGCACAATGTGAACAAACATAAAGCTTCCCCTTAGTCTATTGTACTTCCTAAATTCTTGTGATATATTTTTAGTGGTTGTAGAATTAATTTATGCTCTTATTGATCACATAATATCGTATGCTGTAATTACTTTATGATACAGGAGTTTCACATAGTGAAAGTCCATTTAAACAACACACAAATCAAGAGTATTATCAGCAACTCAGAAGCTTTCTGATGTCCCCACCTGTTCTCTGCTCAACCCCAAGGCAGTCATTATCCTGTTTTTCATCACTGTAAATTACTTGTGCCTGCATTGGGACATATTATGAATGAAATCAAACAATATTCACTGCTTGATGTGGGACTCCTTTTCCTATACATTATACTTATTTTTATAAGTAACAGTAGATCATTATTTATGATTACTTTCAGATAGCCTATTTTATAAATTAACTATCATTTTAAAATAATAATGGAAATTTAGTTTACTTCTAGTTCTTGGCTACTGAAAATAGTGCTTCTATGATAATTACTGCATCTTTGGCAAATATATGTATGCATTTCTTCTTCACATATAGCTAAGAGTGGAATTACCAGATCTTTCATTATTTGTTCAACTTTACTGAACACTGTTAAAAAACTTTGCAAAGTGATTTTATCAGTTTTATTTTTAAATTGAATATTCTGTTAGTTACTGCTAAATAAAATTGCAATTGATTGTTTTATATTGACCTTGCTATATCATGTATCTATCTATTTTAATAGATGTCTGTTGATTATTTTGGACTTTCTACATACACAATCATGTTGACAGCAAGTGCTTATAATTTATTTCTTTCATTCCAATTCTCATTTACTTTTTATCTTATTGCACTGGTTAGAACAGTTAATTTAATGTAGGATAAAAATGTTGGATGAGAATTGTTATAATAGGCAATTTATACTAACACTAATCTTGAAAACACTTTCAGTATTTTGTTAAATACGTTGCTTGGTCAAGGGTTTTTCTTAGGTACTCATGAAAAGGAGGTTGACTTTTTCTCTAGTCTTCTCAGCACCCATTTTTGTAAAGAATGGGTGCTAAATTTTATCAGCAAATGTTTTTGTGTCTACAAAGATACTCTGTATTATATTATCTTTCTAGAGCTTCCATAACAAATTATCACAAACTTGGTGGCTTAAAACAATAGAAGTTTATTATTTCATAATTCTAGGGTCCAGAAGTTTCCTGAAATCAAGGTATCATCAGGGCCGTATATCCTCAAAAGGTCTAGAGGAGAATCCTTCCTTGCCTCTTACAGCTTTGGGTGGCTCCTAGTATATCTTGACTTCTGGCTTTATACTCCAATTTCTGCCTTCATCTTCACATGAATTTTTCCTCTGTGTTTCTTTCTTAAATCTCCCTCTGCTTATCTCTTACAAGGTATGTGTCATTCGATTTAGGGCCCACCTAGATAATCCAGTTTGTTTCTCTCACCATCCTGAACTTAATCATTTGTTTTCTTGTATCCAGTAATAGTCACAGATTCTATGAATCTTGCATGGATACTTTTTGGAGCTTTAATTTTGGGGCACTACATATTTATATGATCTCTCTCTGTCTCTCTCTCTCTGTCTCTCTTTGGTGCACATGTACTTTTTCTTTTTCAGACAGACTCTTGCTGTGTTGCCCAGGATGGAGCATTATGGCACCATCATAGCCCATGCAGCATTAAATTCCTGGGCTCAAGTAATCGTCCCATATCAGCCTATTGAGTAGCTAATTTTTTTTGGTAGAGATGGAGATCTCACTATTTTGCCCAGGCTAGTCTCAAACTCTTAGTCTCAAGCAATCCTCCCACCTCAGTCTCCCAAAGTGATAGGATTAATAATGTAATAGGATTAATAAGTAATAGGATTAATGAATTATATATAAACCAACTTTACACTTCAAAGATGAATCCAACTTTATATGATGTATTGTACTTTCATATATTACTGGATTTGGTTAATAATTTTTGTTTAGTTTTTTTGCATTTATAATAATGAGAGATATTGTGCTGTAATCTTCCTTCTATTATAATGCTTCCTTGTTAATTTTATACTGGCATCATTAAACAAGTTTGTAGTGTTCTTTTTTTTGAGTATCTGGAAGAGTTGTTCAAAGTTTTGTTGTATTTTTTTTCCTAGAATATTTTGGATTGTTCAGTAAATAAATCTCTTTGATTCTGGAAGTTTATATCGGTAAATATATTCATTATAAATCTAATTAATATATTTAATAGTAATGAGATTTTAGTTTCATCTTGTGTCACTTTTGGTAATTTGTATGTTTCTAGGAAGTGGTCCATTTCAGTCACTGTCAAATTAGTCGACATAAAGTTGTTAATGGTATATTTTAATATATTCTTAATATCTGAATAATTTGTAATGAGGAGCCCCTCTTTTTGTAACACTGGTAGTGCATATTTTGTCTATATTTTTCCTTTACTCGTCTTAGAAGTACAAACATTTTATTGTTTCAAAGAACTGCTTCTAGCTTTGCTGGTTTATTTCAACATAGTTTAATTTTTTCATTTATTTATGCTTTTATCTTCAGCATGTTCTTTATTCTTATTTCTTTGGTTTAACATACTATTTGTGTTCTAATGTCTTGAGATGAATATTCATGCATCCTACCTCTAATATATCCACTTAAGACCATAATTTTCTCTCTAACCACTCCATTAACACAGTTTTAATCATATTTCCCAAGTCTGTGCATCTTTTATGTTTATTCAGTTTTAAAATGTTCTAATTTCCATTGTATTTCTACTTTGACCAATGAATTATTTAAGAGTGTGTATCTTAACTGAAACTGAGTATTTACTTATCATTGTTCTTGTTATTTATGTACTATGATTTCAACTGTAGTCAGAAAATCTACTCTGAATTATGTACATCGTTTGAGAAACGCCAGGTCCTGCTTTGTGATCCAGAAAAGACCAATTTTGTTAAACGATCTTTGACTAGATGAAAGAAAGATGTATTTTGGTCATTGCTGAATGCTCTGTTTTATTAATCTATATCAATGACATAAATATTCTTAATCAAATTTGTGACAACTTTTATATCCTTACTTAAATTTTCCTGCTCTTTTGATAATTAATTGAAAGGTAGGTGCTAATATCATCCATTATGAATGTAGAGTAGGCCTACATTTGAACTTTGCTGAATGTGTTCATATCTAGTGAAACCATGTTATTAGATTTTACAAATCTAGAATTTCGTGACTTTTTGTGTAATGGTACTCTAATCATTGTAAATTATCTGTTTTTGTTTCTAATAATTATAGCTTAAAACTTGCTTTGCCTGAAATTTACTTAAATTTGTCAAAAGTATTTAAAGCCACTGCTTGGATGGAGCAAAAGTCATATTCGTGCACATTGCATTGACCATGACAGCTAATATGGCAAGATCAACATCATGGATATAAGAAGTATAATATCATCATAAAGCTTAAGGAAAAAGAGTATAAATATTTGCTAAAAATATTATAATCTACATCATCATTCTTTTAATTTTTCTGTGTCTTATAAATTTTTTCTTGTTATCAGCATATCTTTTATTTTGCTTTGTTTGAAAAAATCATTTCTTTTAATTGAAGTATCAGTTTCCTTAAATGACAAATGTATATATTACCATGTTATACCATGTTGTACCTTTTATAAGGTTGGACAAATTATGACATTAAGCATCCTGGGTATTAACCATAATTCTCAACAAAATGATAAATTCAAAACTATTTAAATTATTAGGGCTGGGCACTGTGGCTCACACCTGTAATTCCAGTGCTTTGGGATGCCAAGAGGGAAAGATCACTTGAGGCCAGGAGTTTGAGATCAGCCTGAGCAGTATAGTGAGACCCTCATCTCAACCAGAAAAAAAAAAATTAAAAATTACCTTGGCATGGTGGCATGCACCTGTAGTCTTAGCTATTTGGGAGGCTAAGGTGGGACCATTGCTTGAGCCTAGGAGTTCAAGGCTGTAGTGAACTATAATCACCCCATTGCACTCCAGCCTGAGCGACAGAGCAAGATCTGGTCTCAATAAATACATAAAATATATAAATAAAAATATTATAATTACTGATTAGGTAGTTATAAAGATTTTTATTAGTTTGAAGTGCAATTTTATATAAAACCAAAACCACATATTCTAAGGAAACAATCCTGTGTATTTTGCAAATGTGTACAGTGATGCAACAACACCAAAATTAGTTTTTAGAACATTTCTCCTCCCCAAATGTTACCCTATGCCCCTTGATTGTGTTCTATTTTTCTTTTGTATGTATGAATGAATTTTATTGCCTAGTATTTTGTTAATGATTTTTCATCTTCATGAAAGATATTAGACTCTATTTTCTTTTTGTTTGATGTCATTCACTGGCTTTGATATCAGGGTAACATTTTTCTCTTAAGCTGAGAAGCTTCTTTCTCTATTAGTATTTGAAAATAGTAATTAGGGAAGATTGGAAAAAATTCATATATAAAAGATTTGAAAAATTCACCAGTGATACAGTTAGAACTAGATTTTACTTTGTGGGGTGCTTTTGAGTTAAGTAATTAAATTGATTTAATTGATATAGGACTATTTAAGTCTTCTCTCTCTTCTTGAAGCAGTTGTTGCAACGTTAATTATCATAAAAACTTTTTTTAACATATTTATTTACCAACTAATGGCCATTGGCTCTGTAGTGAGGTCCTCACTTTTATTCTGATATCAGTAAAATAACTGATATTTAGTCAAACTTTTGTTTAATTTATTAATGTTTCTTAAAGAACCATTTTGAGTTTCACTGGTATATGTTTGTCTTATTAATTGCTTCTGTTTCTTTTTTATCAATTTCTAACTTGATCTTTATTATTTCCTTTCTTCTATCTGCTTATCTTAGGGTTTAATTTGTTCTTCTTTCTTAAAATTTTTATGATGAAGCTTAGAGTACTGACTTCAAGCTACTGTTATTCATAATAGAAACATTAAATGCTGTAAGTTTCCAAGTTGTCTTTACTTACTTAATTCAACATATTTTTCTAATTTCTTCTATTTTTTTACCTGTGGTTTATTTACAAATGTTTTAATTTCCATATATCTGTGGATTTCCTAAATTTCCTCCTGTCATTAATTTGTAATTCAAATCCATTGTGGTCAGAGATCATAAAATTTAAATCCTTCAAATTTAATAGAACTTATTTTATGACAGCATGTGGTTTATATTTGTTAATGGACCATGCTCACTTGAACAACTATACATCCTGAAGTTGTTAGAATATTTTATAGTTGTTAATTAGGTCAGTTTAGTTTTAAATGTTGCTCTAATCTCTTATGCCCTTAGAAATATATTATCTTCTTGTTCTTTTAGTTATGAAATAAAGCTATTGAAATATGAGATTATAATTATCCATAATTCTCTTTTCTACTCTATGAGGTTTACTTCAAGAATTTTGGTACTCTGTAATTAGTTGCATATGCATTTATAAATGTTATATCATCCTTCAATATGTATTCATTTACCATTAAGAATTTTCTTTTTAAATTAATATTTCATATTTTAAAATTTGTTTTGTCTGTCATCAATATATTCTAGCTCTTTTATGCTTACCGTTTGAATAGTATGTATTTTCCACTTTTTGCTGTATATACATGGATTTGAAAGTAATTTAGATCTCTTTTATACTTTCTTTTTATTGAATTACTAAGATTATTCATATGTTACAAAAGTGATATAGCTAGATTTGGAACCGAAATTTTGCAATATGATTTTTTAAAAAAAATTATTTTGTCTCAAATGTTTAAGGTGATGAATACACCAATTATCTTGATTTGGTAGTTACAAAATGTATACATGTATTGAAACATCAAATTGTATACCATAAATATGTACAATTTTTTGCCAATTAGAAATACAACTTTTTAAAAGTGTATTTTTTCTCTAGTTAATTTCTGTATGTGATAATGTGTGTTTTAGTACTGGCTTTGAGATTATATTATAGCTTGAAAGCTGCATTTTATATCTTAAATAGTTTTAAAGTTCTTCTAAATTTGGAAGTTTAACCATAAAAAAGTCACTCTGCTATAAATTGAAATTTGTCGCTGTCAAACATTGTTATAGTATTTCCTATGTGTAAAACATAAACAATAGATATATTAGTAATAAGGGATTAGATAGTGTATATGTTTTGTTTTACACATGTAATAAACAAAATATATTTTTCTATTGATTGAAAACATTCTACTAAAGCTTATTTTGTTAGTCTGTTCTCACATTGCTATAATGAACTACCTGAGGCTGAGTAATTTATAAAGAAAAGAGGTTTAATTTGCTGAGGGTTCCACAGGCTGACAGGAAGCATGGCTGGGAGGCATCAGAAAACTTACAATCATGGCAGAAGGAAAAGAGGAAGGAGGCAGGACTTACATGGCTGGAGCAGGAAGATGAGAGAGAGAGGAGGAGGTGCCACACACTTAAACAGCCAGATCTCATAAGAACTCACTATCACAAGGACAGCAAGGGGAAAATTCACCCCCAAGATCCAATCACCTCCCACCAGGCCCCTCCTCCAACACTGGGGGTTACAATTCAACATGAGATTTGGGTGGGGACACAAATCCAAACCATATCACATATTCTAATTATTAATCTGTTGAACATTGGGCCCAATATTCTTTTTGATAAAATAATAATTAAGCTATTCTTTCTATGACCATGTCTCAGAAAAAAAAGAGACCAACAAAGGAAAGAAAATAAGTATCCCTGATTTGAAGTTAAATCTAACCCTCATCTTAGCTACAGGTCGTAAGGGATAGCACTTAAAAATGACTGAAATGAATTTCCACATTGGGGCTACTGCTTTATTACATCCATTCTGGGATAATGGAACTTGAAACCTAACCCTACTTTACTAACTTTATGTATAATGATTAGGACTATGAAATCAAAACATAGACTGGTAACTATCTCTATTGTGAATTATCTGTATCCATAGTGGGAAAATAATGCTCTTAAGCTAAAAAAAAAAATTTGTTCTAAATCAAAGGTTGTGAGAAATCATAAAATTTGGTCTCTGTTTCCATTTTCATCTTTTTCTCTCCCTCAGATTTGTCCAATTGGCTTCTTGCACTCTCTCAGTGCCAGGGTAATTTGCTTGAAACACAAAAGTGAGCCAAGGAGAATGAAAGGTAGATAAATGTAGTTAGCCCCAAAGCCATTTTACAACATTGCTGCTCTTCTCAGTTCCAGAAATTTAAGGTGAAGGATTAATTTCTTCATGATAATGAGCAAAACTAGATGGCTCCTAAAATTTCAGAAAATATTCCCTTCCTAGTGAGGCCAGTGCTTTTTCATCAGAAAGCAAGATACAATTCCAGCTAGGTTATGTACTAATTCTGGTAGGCAGAATGACTCCAAGAAAAAAACCTACATGCTAATCCCTGGAATCTTGGAAAATATGATTAGATTTGTAGGCTTAAAAATGGGGAGATTATCCTGGATTATCTATCATTCATGCTAGCCCAAACTAATCAGATGGGTTCTCAAAAGCAGATAACTTTCTTGGCTGGAGTCAGAGAGATGCAGCAGAAAGAAAAGTCAAAGAAATTTGGAATGAGAAGGAGTCAACCCATTATTACTGATTTTAAAATGGATGGGGCAAAAATGTCTTAAGAGTCTAAGAAAGGCTCCAGCTGGCAATCATCAAGGAAATGGAACCTAAGTTCCACAACTGCACATGGAACTGAATCTGGCCAACAATAGAAACGAAGCAGATTTGGCAGTAGGGCTTTCAGAAGGAAACACAATTTTGTGAGGCTCTAAGTAGACAGCCCAGCAAGTCTCTCTGCAACCCTACTTCTTACCTATGAAACTGTAAGAAAATAAATGCATGTTTTAAGTGACAAAGTTTGTGAAAATTGATTACAGCAGCACCAGAAAACAAATACGCTTACTTTATGACCTCTTAATAATAAATCCCTGAACTTCATAATATCTTGATAACAGGGAAATTAATATGCCAATCTAAATAAAATTGGAAGTATATTAGTAACAAGTTAAACACTTAGCAATATAATTGATATGTAATACATTTTTCAATAGTTAAACATACATTTAAATAAATGTTTCTACATCATGATTTTCATCAGATTGTACTGACATAGCTTGGATGTATGTCCCCTCCAAATCTCATGTTGAAATGTAATCCCCAACGTTGGAGGTAGGGCCTGCTGTGAGGTGTTTGGGTCATTGGGGTAGATTCCCTCATGAATGGCTTGTCTTTCCCACAGTAATGAATTCATGCCAGATCTGCTTGTTTAATAAGTATCCCTCTCCCTCTCTTGCTCCTGTCTTGCCATTTGACAGGACTGCTTCCTTCTGCCATAAGTAAAACTCCCTGAGGACTCATCAGAAGCTGAGCAGATGCAGACACCATTCTTCCTGTATAGCCTGTAGAACCACAAGCCAATTAAACCTTCTTTCCTTATAAATTACCCAGCCTGAAGTATTTCTTCATAGCAATAAAGTATCCTAATACAGAAAATTGCTACTGGTAAGCTCAGTGTTGCTATACAAATACCTAAAGGTGTAGATGTGGCTTTGGAACTGGGTAACAGGTAGAGGTTTGAAGAATTTTGAGGGATCAGAAGAAAGTGGAAGGATGAGGGAAAGTTCTTAGTGAATAAATACATGGTTGTGGCCAAAATGCTGACAGAAATATGGACAGTGAATGCTAGACTGATGAGGTCTCAGATGGAAATAAGGAAGTTATTGGGAACTAGGGTCACCCTCATTATGCCCTTGCAAAGAACTTGGCTGCATTGTATTTGTTCCCTAGGGAACCTGCAGAAGTTTGAACTTAAAATTGATGACCTAGGGTATCTGACTAACAGCAAAGCATTCAAGATGTTATCTGGCTACTTCTAATAGGCTATAATCAGATATGACAGCAAAGAAATGACTTAAAGTTGGAACTTATATTTAAAGGAGAAGTAGAGCTTAAGTGTTTGAGAAATTTTGCAGCAGAGTTATGTGGCAGAAAAAATAAAGCATTTTCAGGAGAGAAATAGAGGCAGGCTGGGAGCAACCACTTGCTAGAGAAATTAGCATGACTGAAAGGGAGCCAAGGGCTAACACTTAGGACAATGGAGAAAAACCTAAAGGCATTTCAGGTTTTTCACCAGAGATCATTGATGCAGCCCCTCCCATCACAGGCCCAGAAGCCTAGGAAGAAAGAATGTTTTCAAGGGCCAGGCCCAGGGCGCCACTGCCTGCTTAGCCTCAGCGCACTGATCCTCACATTCCAGAAGCTCCAACTCCAGCCATGGCTCAGAGGTCCTCAGGTACAGCTCAGACTGCTGCTTTATAGAGCCAAGTCACTGTAAGCCTTGGCAGTTTTCACGTGGTGTTAAGCCTGATGGTGTGTGAAAGTGAAGAAGCCTTGGCAGCTTCTCCCTAGATTTCAGAGGAAGTATGGAAAAGCCTGGGTGTCTGAGGAGAAGCCTGCCATAAGGATGGAGCTCCCACAGAGAAATTTTTCCAGGGCAGTGCCTAGGGAAAATTAGGGTTTGGAGCCCCCACAGAGAGTTCCCACCAGGACACTGCTAGTGGAACTGGAGGAAGACAGCCACTACCCACCAGACCCAAGAAGGGTAGAGCCACTGGCAGCTTGCACCCTAAGCCTGGAAAAACCACAGGCACTCAACTCCAACCCATAAGAACAGGCTGGGGCAGGGACTTCACCATGCAAAGCCTTAGGGGCAGAGCTGCCCAGGGGCCTTGGGAGCCTACCCCTCACACCAGTGTGCCCCAGATGTGGGACTTGGAGTCAAAGGAGATTAGTTTGGAACTTTAAGATTTAATGTCTGCCCTGCTGGGTTTCAGATGTGTGTGGGGCCTATTGCCCCTTCTTTCTGTCCAATATCCCCTTTTGGAATGGAAATGTTTACCCAATGCTTGTATCACTATTGCATCTTGGAAGTAAATAACTTGTTTTTTATTTTACATGCTCATAGGCAGAAGGAACTTGATTTGATTATCAGATGACTTTGAACTTTGTACTGTAAGACTTAAAGAGAAAATAAACATGAAATGCAGCTGGCAATTAAAGACAGGTTTTCTTTAGATAAAACCTGAGAGGTGCTTCTGGCTGATTTCGGTCAGGCGCACTTTCTCTTACAGACTAAGAGTATATCAGTTTTAGGGTAAGGGGGCTTATCAGAAGCTTGGAATGTTTATGTGTGTGGAGAAATTTATGGTGGGGTTGGAATCTTTCTGGGAGGAGGGGAGGTTATCTTGGGGCAGACATCTTTCCGGCCTAGAGAGGGGCTTGGATGGGGGTTGTCTCAGGGCTAGCATCTTCCCTGCCGGAGGGGGATTTATCTCAGGGCTAGCATGTCGCTGGTCGGGGAGGAGTTTGGAATGTTTCTGGTTGGAGATGTTATTTTTGGTTAATGGTCATGCTGACATTAGCCATTAGGCTACTGCCCTTTGGATTTAGGCAGTTTTTTATTAAGGTGAACTTTAGAATGAGGGGCTTGTCCAAGACGGCGATGCTCCTGCTCTGTCAGGTACTTTTGAGCAATGCTGGGATGAGTTAAGACTTTCAGGGACTGTTGGGAAGGCATGATTGTATTTTGCAAGGTGAGAAGAACATGAGATTCAGGGAGATAGGGAGGAATAATATAGTTTGGATGTCTGTCCTCTCCAAATTTTATGGTGAAATGTAATCTCCAGTGTTGGAGGTGGGGCCTGGTGGGAGGTGTTTGGGTCATAGGGGCACAAGCCTCATGAATGGCTTGGTGCCCTCCCCACAGCAATTAGTTCATGTGAGATTGGTTGTTTACAAAGGAGCCTAGCACCTCCCTTTCTGTCTCTTACTCTCTTGCTATGTGACATGCCTGTTCCTCTTTGCCTTCCATCTTGAAAACAAAAACTCCCTGAGGCCTTATCAGAAGTCAAGCAGATGCTAGTGCAATGCTTCCTGTACAGCCTGCAGAACCATGAGCCAATTAAACCTCCGTTTTAAATAAATTACCCAGCCTCAGCTATTTCTTTATAGCAATTCAGAAATGGCCTAATACATGTAGCAAACAGAAATTTGAGTATGAAGTGGCTGAAAATGAACAATTATGAACTACCACATCCAAAATAAATTTCTGATTTTTTTATTGAAGAATGATTAATGTTGTGACATAGAATGTTTCTGAATCTTGTATTTCTGCTAAAAAAAATTATCTTCCCCAATCAGGAAACTATTCTTCTTACAGAAAGAAGTAGAAGAAAATATACTCAATGTTATGAAATAAATCACCCTATATATGTAATTGTAGAACTGAGATTAGAGACAGGTACATAGTAATATGAATGAAGGAAAAGTCATTCCTTATGAATAAATAAATAATGTATGGCATTTTGTCAGATTCATTGCCAAAATCAAACATGCTCTGTTCATACAAATGATAAAAAATATACTAAACTTTGACACATGGGTCAACAGAAATCTAGAAAGTGGACTTGATAATAAAAACCTAAAAACATCATTTTGCTTGACAGTTGCGCAGAACATAAGAAAAGTAAGCAGCTACTAAACAAAACAAACAAAAAAGAAAAATAGAAAGTAAAATAAACTTTTCAGTTAGCCACATTTTCAATATTTCTCTAAAGATGGAAGATATAAAGGTCTTAGAAATATACTTTACATCTTTTAAAGATTATATGTGTTTATTTTAAGTAAATTCTGTGTTAAAAATAACATAAAAATTGCAAAACAATGATTTAGTTATTTTCTTTTAAACATCCTCTGAGTTCATAAAATTCTGAATTAAAGAATCTTTCAAGTGTTGTTACACTGAGAGATTAGGCCCAGGGGCATCTTCTTTGATGACTTTAACTCAGATTAGAAAGATATTCTAAAGAATCTTATTTCATTGAGCCTTGTTTCTGTTTTGTATTGTGCTAAATGTTAAAATGCCTAAAACTATATTACCTATAATGTTGACACATGTATTTCAAGTTTATGATACATTTTTAATGCTTTCAAAAGTCTATTGGTGTCATTTGAAGAGCCATGCTTGAAATTATTATATATACAATAATAAATAGTATATAAAATATAGTTTATTATATGTAATCTAATAATATATAATACGTATATATTTATTTATTTAAAAGTTCAATATTTTAAATTAATTAATTTAGTGTTGAATTAAACAATATCGTTAAGATATTTTATTAAGGCCTGTCTTACAATTTTAGAAGGTCAGCAACTTTGCATACTTCTATCAGTTGATATACATCTCCAAAAAATTCTACTTGAAAAAAAAATTTTCAGCTACAAATATCAGGTAGTAAAAAGACTAACATTAAACTCTCCAGTACACAAAGGCTTTCTCAGATGCATTAGTCATGGGCTAATGTAGAAGTTACATGCAATTTTTGAAAGTGTGAAATAATGAATTTCAAAGCTCCTTTCTCTTCATTATCCAGTGTGGCAGTATCTCATATTTGAGAATGAAAGCGCTGATATCAAGTCTTATGGAAAGCAAGCTTTCAATAAGCATTGCTTTATTCATGCAAAAATTATTTTGTGCTAAACTTATTTTAGCTTATGAAATATAAGTTAAAGGAATTAACATTCAATCAAACTATTAATGGTCTATCAGAAGGAAGAGAAACAATGTTAAACTAAAAATCATTTTTTTAATAGATTGCTTTTGAGTTTTGGTTGCTAAAAGTAGACCATAAGCAGAAGTTTAATATTATCTTAGTCAATTTGTGTTGCTGCAACAAAATACCTTAGACTGTGTGGCTTCTAACAACAGAAATTTATTTCTCACAATTTTGAAGGCTGGAAATTTAAAATCAGGATGCCATTGTGGTCGAGTTCTGGTAAGGGCCAACTTCCTGGTTCATAGACGACCATCTTCTATCTGTGTTCCCACATGGCAGAAGGCAAGGAATAGAGGAGCTCTCTTGGGTCTCCTTTACAAGGGCACTGTTCTCTTTCATGAAAGATTGTATTTTTATGACCTAATTATCTCCCAAAGCTCCCATCTTCTGATACCATCACATTAAAGGGCTAGCATATCAATGTGTAAATTTTGGGGAGACACAAACATTTGGTCCTTAGCAAAAAAAAAAAAAAAAATTAAATGTGTGTAGTGTTATTTTCTTGTGAAATGGGAGACCTTTATCAACTAAGATAGACCCTAAGGTTAAAAAAAAGTTACCTATGGGTCAAGGGTTCAAGGCCTCGCAGGCATGGCAAATTTCTAAATTCTCACTAAACTCCCTAACAATAGGAGAGATCAGACAAATTATCCTAAGTGTGATTTACAACGTGGACCACTAAAACTCTGATTTGACAGAAAACTGGCCCCACAAATATTCTTCCCTGATAAGTAATTTGGACCTTAAGCCAGTGTCAGCCAGTTTACAGAGGCTGCACGCAAACCATCATTGTATTTTATAGTTCACCTTTTGATGTAAAGAGCCATATTCCACATCATTTTATTGCTAAACCAACTCTAAAGTGAAAATGAGATGTATGGTACATGCATGTTTATCCATTATTCATGCACACTGCTCCTCTCATAAATATGTATAGCTTTTCCCCCAAAGCTTCTGAAAATATGTGATGCAGGCCCTGTGTGACATAAAACCCAACTTTTCTTTCCATTCTTCAAAAAGAGAACACCTACGGTGCACAGTGGAAACTTTTTCTTCCAGGCTTGCAAACCTATATTGCAAAAAAGCTCCCTTTTCTACTATATAGCCATCCTGGTGGTCTTTTGGGCAACAGCTTCCTTTGTATTTTCCATCCATATATGCTCTAGTAATACTCTCGTTATCATCAGATCTTTCCTCTCCATTTTCTTATGTATATTATATGTAAGACTATTTGCTTCATTGTGACAGTTCTTTATTCCATGTTAATAAAAACAGTAAAACTTTCTCTCTGAACACTTTTACTTCATTAACATGCCCATATTGATTTTGACACATTCATTCTTGATGAGAAATGTCAGGTTTTCCATCAGATTAAAAATAATTTTGTTCAATTCCATTGGTCTGTGTATCCATTTCCCTGTGACCAACTGATCTGCAATTAAATTGACAAAAAATAAACGATGGGGCAAGGACACCCTATTCAATAAATGGCACCAGGAAAATTAGGTAGCCATATGCAAAAGAATGAAATGACCCTTGTTTTTCACCATGTACAAAAATTAACTCGAGATGCATTAAAAAACTTAAATGTAAGACCTGAAACTATAAAATTCCTAGAAGAAAACCTAGGAAACATTCTTCTGTTCATTGGCCTAGGCAAGGAATTTATGATTCCTAAACCCCAAAAGCAAATGCAACAAAAACAAAATAGGTAATTGCGAGATAAACTAAAAAGCTTCTGCACAGCGAAATAAACAATCAACAGAATAAACAACCTACAGAATGGGAGAAAATATTTGTAAATTATGCCTCTGACAAAGGACTAATATCCAGAATCTATAAGGAAGGAAAACAACTCAAGAAGAAAAAAGCAAACAACCCCATTAAAAGCAGCACAAAGTACCCAAATAGATATTCCTCAAAAGAAGAAATGTAAGCAGGAGCCAACAAACATACTAAAAAAAGATGCTCAATATCATGAATCATCAGAGAAATACAAATTAAAGGCACAATGAGATATCATCTTACACCAGTCAGAATGGCTTTTACTAAAAAGTAAAAGAACAATAGATGTTGGCATGGATACAGAGAAAAGGGAATGCTCATACATTGTTGGTGGGAATGTAAATTTGTTCAACTTTTATGGAAAATAGTATAGTGATTTCTCAAAGAACTAAAAATAGATCTGCCATTCAACCCAGAAATCCTAGGTGTCCTTTTGATATGATTTATACTCCTTTTACTCAAAGGAAAATCATTTACTCAAAGACATCATTATATCAAAGGATACCTGTACTCGTATGTTCATCGCAGTACTATTCACAATAGCAAAGTCATGGAACCAACCTAAGTGTCCATCAACAGTTAACTAGAAAAAGAAAATGTCATATCTATATATATATATATCACATGTGATATCACATGTGATATATATGTACACAAACATATATATATACAATGTGTATATATGCATATATGTGTGTATACACACACTATGAATACTACAGAGCCATAAAAAAAATAAAATTATGTCCTTTGCAGCAAGATGGATAGAGCTGGAGACCATTAACTTAAGTGAACAAACTCAAAAATAGTAAACCAAATACTACATGTTTTCACTTATAAGTGAGGACTATAAGTAGGAGCTAAAGAATGTGTACATATGGACATGACAATGAAAATAGATACTGGGGACTCCAAAAGGGCGGGAGAGGGGAGAGGGTTGAAAATTACATATTGGGTACAATGTTCGCTATCTGGGTAATGGGATACTAGAAGGCCGATCTTCACCAGTATGCAATATGCCCATATAACAAATAAGAACATGTACCTCTTTAATCTAAAATTTAAAAATTAAAAATAATAAAGGGAATTTTGAATTATTTACTTATGCCTCATTATTTTCACTGAAATTTCTAAAATTTATTTTAATTTATTGAATTTAGGAAAAAACCCTTAAGTGTCATATCAAAAGATTCGTATAGCAATTTATAATTCTGATTTAATGCAACTTTAGGTGCCTTAAACTATATAAATTTTAAGCTAAAGGAAATCTTTTAAATTTCTAGGTAATTTTTTCAAATGCACAAACAATTAAATTTATTTAAAATTATATTTATTTTATTTTTGATTTTAGAATACTTGAATATCAAAAATTAAGTCCAGCTTGGTGGCACACAACTATAGGCTTAGCTACTCAGGAGGATGAGGCAGGATCACTTGAGCCTAGGAGTTCAAGTCTGCAGTAAGCTATGATCACGCCACTGCACTCCAGCCTGTGTCACAAAGCAAGATCTTGTCTCAAAAAGAGTTAATTAATTAATTAAGCCACTACCTATATTTCAGCTTTCTTTTTTGTTGCTGTTGATTTTTTTTTTTTTTTTTTTGAGACGGAGTCTCACTCTGTAGCCCAGGCTGGAGTGCAGAGGTAGGATCTCGGCTCACTGCAACCTCTGTCTCCCAGGTTCAAGTGATTCTCATTCCTCAGCCTCCCAAGTAGCTGGGGTTACAGGTGCGCACTACCACACCTGGCTAATTTTTGTGTTTTTACTAGAGGCAGGGTTTCACCATGTTGGCCAGGCTTGTCTCGAACTCCTGACCTCAAGTGATGCCCCTGTCTCAGCCTCCCAAAGTGATGGGATTACAGGCATGAGCCACCATGCCCAGCATATTTCAGCTTTCTGAAGGTTTGTTTCATTTGCAAAGGTTTCTCAAGTAAATTTCCATCCAGAATGAAAAATGATTTCAGCATTTTTCTGTATTAGTCTTCCATTAATAACAGCTTCCATTAATAACAGCTCTCTTTCCCGCTTATGTGAAAATAAATTTGTTTTCTTCTTTTAGGAAAGAATCACTTAAAAATTATATTTCCCTGCCTCCCATCCAGTGTACTATAGATGATGTAACAAAACAATTTGGGATAATTCTGTTCTTTCTTCTTAGAAAGTTATACTGTGAAGCCAAGATTTTTATGCTAGTCAGGTCAGCTTTGTGGTTAACATCTTGGATTGTCACCGCTAGCTGGCTGAGTGTCACATGTTGATGGCAGAATTCCAGTGTGACATCTGACAGTTTGAGGAAAAAAACACTGAAAATTATTTACACAGACAAACAAAATGTACCAGTACACTCTCTGAACATTTTGTTTTAGTTTATGTTTCAAAACAGTGTTGGTCTCATTACACGGTATTACACTAACCACTAAAAAAATGTAAAGATAAATTCTTACATTTATCTTAAAATTAATGGTTTTTCATTTCTAACTTATTCTCTCTTGACCCTCTGAATAAGGAGGTATAGGTAGTATTTTATGCACTTGATGGATGAGCAAACTTAAACTCTAGGACTACTCAAAATGAAGGCAGGGGGCCAGTTTTCATCCCTAAACTGATGTTTAACAGTCTAAATAGAGATAGTGCAGTAATCGAGAGTAAATTTTTTTAAAACTTTAGAACCACTTGTCAGAGTAATTTCATATCTACTTAATCTTATAAAGAAAATGTGGTTTGTATTTTCTATGCCTTTTTATTTGTTTCATTTTTCTGGTCATTCTTTCATTGTATTTTACGAAAGTTTTAGTTTGTGATGAATGGAGAAAACTGATACCTCACAAGGGATAGTTTAAGAAGCAGAGTTCTCGAAAGTTTTTAATGTAACCAAGGTCATTTGTTTGTTCATTTCACTTAGGTACTCCAGAACAATATACAGATTTACAAGGTAAATAAATAAAAGCAATTCTTAAACTGACACCAGGAAGCTGAGATTTACTCGGTCTTATCTGAAGCACGGACATAGGAATTTGAAAAAACAAAACAAAAAGCTCCTGATAACAAACCAATGTAAAATAGCTGGAACCTGCGAATCAAGGTCTTAGGTTCCAGGATAACCTAGTCCTATTCCCTTTAAAGTTCCCTAAAAGAGTTTACAATGGTGACTAGGCAATTTCTCCTCCCTCAAAAGTGAGCTTCTAAGAGGGGTCACACCGGAGAAATGGTGCTTGGCAGGTGGAGACTCCATGGCAACAGTTACCATGGTGGAGGAACACCTCCAACAATGGCTGGCATAGTGTAAGAAAGGGAATGCAGAATATTTTATTGCTGTGATGGTTACACTGTAAGTGCCTCTGTGCATCTCTAGGGAGGAATCGTGGAGCTGCTCCCATCACATTTCCTTTAATTTTGGCACATTGCTTCACAACTTTTTTTTTTTTTGGTTTGGTTTCATAGTAACCCCAAATGAAAGCACCAAAAGTCTACTTTGAACAGTTACACTCAGCAGTCAATTCTTCATCATTCAGCCGAGCTCAAGTTCCAAGAAAATAATTTGAAAGTTGTGTCCCTCAGAAGCACTATTAATTTAACAAAGAATTTTTACAAGAAAAGGAATTTGCAATACTCCAAAAAACTAGCATTTTCATTAAAGATGTTCACTATAACACATGTCCAAATGGTTGTCTGTGTGGCTGCATACTTCCCAAAGGTTTAAGACTATGTATTTGTATCTGAACAGCACTTGTGTCACCCTGAATGAAACAAATGGGGTAAAGTTATTACATATCAAGAATTATTTGTTATTATAAATTCACATTAAATTGCAATAAGATTTTGCTTGTTTTTTTATATTTAATAAGGAAAATATAACTGATTATGAATATCTGAATGTGGTGGCTAAAAATGTAAAGAATGTAAAGATTACTCTCTGATTATTAAAATATCTGTAATGAAACAAGATGATGAAACAACACAGGCTATGGCTGATCTCTCCATAACAGCACCAGAGGTGCCTCAAAAGTTATAAGAAGGTTGAAGAATCCAAATAATAAGCATAAAAACTGATAAATTGCTAGTGACTTAAGTTGCAGTTATCCTAAAGTAAGGCTGATTAGCAGGCTAATGATAGGCATGAGGAGAAATTTCTTAGTGTGCTCATTTTATTTTTTTCTACATTGCCCTAAGTAGATGATTATTATCCTATTTCAAGTCAGATAAAAACAAAACAAAATAAAACAATCCACCCATATCACAGCGTGAACATAATGCAAGGTCCCGCCAGAGCCCTGCTTGGACTGGGGGTGGTGAACAACAGTTATTAGGTCCAGTCAAATGGATCAGCCCAATCTCTTGACCAATCATCTCATCATATACATACTGACAGCTGATTTAAACAAAAGTGATAAAATATTGAAAGTATCTCTTGGGAATCAGTAGTAACAGAAACTTCCCCAAGGGCCAAGAATACACTGTGGGGATGAAATCAAACAGGGAGAGATTGTATCAATTGAAAATCTTTGTCTTGAGATGCCACCCCAACAAAAACATGCAGAATTCAAATTAAAGACAGAAGGTAAAGGGTGGGCTTTTAAACTTCTCCCAAATTGTGCCACTTGTACATTAAATCAAATTCTTCATCAAATTCCTTCTTCACTACCTGAAGACTTACCTCCAACAATTACTAATTTTTTTTCATTTTTTTCTCCCAGTAGAAACATTACCATAAATATTCAAAATACTTATGTTTTTCACTACTTAAAAACAACCTTAACAGCATCTTTCTCACCAAATCCATTTGAATTTCAGAGCCAAATCTCCTCCCCATTAGAGCAAAATTCCTAGAAATAGTTGTCATTTTTATGAACTACACTATCTCTTCTCCTATTCTCTCTTAAGTCCAGGTTTCACCCTTACCACTTCCCTGTAGTTGCTCTAATGAATTTCACCAATTCAGCAATGCTCTCTTTTGTTGCCAAACCCAACAGTTCGTTGTCAGTCCTTGACCTGACAGCCATCATTTGACCCAGCTGCAATTTGTGGTTGTCCTCCTAATTCCCTGGTCTCTCCTCAAACCTCTTTGCTGCTTCCCACTTTTTCATCAAGATGTTTTAATATTAGAGTGTCCACAGGTAATAGCCTTTGATTCTTTTTGTTTTTTGATCTATACTCACTTCCATAGCAACTAATTCATCTTGGTAGCTAAATATCCTCTATCTGGTGAGAACCCTCAAATTCACACCATCAGACCACATCTCTCTCCCAAACTCCAGATATTTATTTACTTGATACCTTTACTAAGATATAAGTAGATTTCTCAAATTTAATATGTCCCCAATTGCACACCTGATTTCCTCAAAACTCCTTATTCTCTTAACTTACCCAACTAATTGATGGATATACCATCCTTCCAGTGACTTCTCTCTATTTCCATAAGACACATACAATCCACCAGGAAATTCTGCAGCATATATCTAAAATCTAACCACTTCTCACCATGTTACTGCCATCACCTTTGTCGATGCCACAAACATCTGTTGTCCTAATGTTTTCCTGGCCTCTACTCAGAGCCGTTTATTCCAAGAAATGTGTACTTTTATAACTTAAACCGTTTTATGTCACTCTGCTCTTAAATGTCTGAAAGAGCTCCCTATTTTACTCAGAATAAAAGCCAGTGTTTTTTAAAAGCCTACAGGGTCCTGAATGATCCCAACACCCTGACTTCCACTCCTAACTTTGCTTCATCCATTTGGTTTTAGCAGAACAGTCATCCTTGCTATTCCGTGAAAGAGTCACTCATGCTCCTGGCTAAAGGACTTAGACTCTTTTTCCTCTGCCTAGGACATTCTTCTCCTAAATATCCTTTCTAAATATGCCCACTGTCTGGAACCTTCTTTCTTTTTTTTTCTTTTTTTTTTTGAGACGGAGTCTCGCTCTGTCGCCCAGGCTGGAGTGCAGTGGCGGGATCTCGGCTCACTGCAAGCTCCACCTCCCGGGTTCACGCCATTCTCCTGCCTCAGCCTCCCAAGTAGCTGGGACTACAGGCGCCCGCCACTACGCCCGGCTAATTTTTTGTATTTTTAGTAGAGACGGGGTTTCACCGTTTTAGCCGGAATGGTCTCGATCTCCTGACCTCGTGATCCTCCCGCCTCGGCCTCCCAAAGTGCTGGGATTACAGGCGTGAGCCACCGCGCCCGGCCTTCTTTCTTTAAATAACCATGTGTTAAGCCTTTTCAGGTTTTCAAAGCTCTACTAAAATCTAATCTACCTATATTACTTGTAGCTGTAACCTGTACGAAACCCACACTGCTGACATTATTGTGTGAAAATAAAAGAATAAATTAGAATAAAACTTCTAATTAGAATTTAAATTAATAGAGAACATTCTTCAAGAATAGAAATGCCATTTATCTGTGAATATAAAACTGTTTTTGTTACTTTTATTAATTTCTATAACAGATAATTGAACATATATATATATATGTATTTTGAAACAGAGTCTCTCTTTGTCACCCGGGCTGGAGTGCAGTGGCACAATCTCTGCTCACAGCAACCTCCTCCTCCTCCCGGGTTCAACCAATTCTCATATGTCAGCCTCCCGAGTAGCTGGAATCACAGGCATGTGCCACCTCTCCTGGCTGATTTTTGTATTTTTTGTAAAGAAGGGGTTTCACCATGTTGGCCAGGCTGGTCTTGAACTTCTGACCTCAAGTCATCTGCCTGACTCGGCCTCCCAAAGTGCTGGGGTTACAGGCATAAGCCATCGTGCCCGGCCAGATAATTAATATTGAAAGCAAAAAAAAAGCAATATATTATATATTTTAAGATATGCAGAATAAAATATATTAAAATAACAGCACAAAAAAATGGAACATGAGAAAAATGGAGTTATACTATTGCAGTAATCTTAAATGATATGCAAATGGTATGATATTATTTTGTGGAAGACTGTAATAAGCTAAAAGATGAGATTGCATATCCTAGAGCTGCACAATTTATACGGTAGCCACTAGCCACATGTAGTTAAGTGAATTTAATTTAAATAAATTAATAAATTAAATTATAATTTTAGTTTCTCTGTTGCACATGTGCTCAATGGTCACATGTGGCTACTGACTACTAAATTGGGTAAAGGTGATATGAAACATTTCTACCATCATTGAGTGGTCTAGTAGAAAGCACTACCCTAGATAATTCACTAAGAAAACAAAAACCAAAAAGATATTTATAATAAATAAATAGATGATAAAATGGAATACTAGTAAATAATCTAATAGATAGCACTAACCTAGAGAATGCATTAAGAAAACAAAAACCAAAAAAATTTACAATAAACAAATAGATGACAAAGTGGAATACTAGTAAATAGTATAAATATGGCAAGATAAGAGAAAAAATAACAAACAAGTGATGAGATAAATTAAAAACAGCTCTCAAGATGTTATAACTAAATCTCACAACCATATTTGTAATTATGCTAAATGTAAACACATTTGTAAAGGAACATGGAGTAATTACCAATGAAGACAATGTGATAGGCCGTGAAACAAATCTCAATAAATGTAAACAATATCAAATATACATAATTTATTATCCAATCACAGTGCAATTATATTAATAATCAATAGAAATATATATAAATTCTGTATTGATATGTTCAGAAATATAAAAATGTTTGTATAAATAATATGTAGTTGAAGAAGATTTAAATCTAGAAATAAGAACATATTTGTATCACATGATTATTAAAACTCAGTTTAGATGATCCTTGACTTATGACAGGGTTGTACCCTGATCAACCCATCGTAAGTTGAAATGCATTTAATGCACATAACCTCCTGAGCATCATAGCTTAGTCTAGCCTACATCACACATGCTTAGAATACATACATTAGCACACGGTTGTACAAAATCATTTAACACAAAGCCTATTTCGTAATAAATTATCAAAATCTCATGTAATTTATTGAATACTATAGTGAAAGTGAAAAGAAAATGGTTGTGTGGGTACTTGAAGTACAGTATCTACTGAATGCATATTGTTTTCTTGCCATTGTAAGGTTGGAAAATTGTAAGTAGAACAATTGTAATCTGAGGACCATCTGTTTATAAAAATATCTGGGGTGTAGCTAAAGCATATCTAGAGGGAGACTTATAACTTTGAGATGTTTATATTAGAAAATAAGAAAAAAGGCTAAAATCAGTAATATAAGCCTCCACCATAAAAACTTAGAAAAGCAAGAGAAAATTATTCTCAAACTGAATAAAACAAAGAAAATATTAAACACACGAGACAGGGCACGGTAGCTCATGCCTGTAATCCCAGCACTTTGGGAGGCTGAGGTGGGCAGATCACCAGAGGTCAGGAGTTCAAGACCAGCCTGGCCAACATGGTGAAACCCCGTCTCTACTAAAAATACAAAAAATTAGCTGGGCGTGGTAGCAGATGCCTGTAATCCCAGATACTCGGGAGCTGAGGCAGAAGAATTGCTTGAACCCGGGAGGTGGAGGTTGCAGTGAGCGGAGATCACACCATTGCATTCCAGCCTGGACAATGAGAGCAAGACTCCATCTCCAAAAAAAAAAAAAGCCAAGAGCAGAAATTAATTAAATAGAAAGTGTACAGTCAATAGAGAAAATCAACAAAACTAAACTGGCTTCATTGAAAAGAATAATAAAATTTTTGAACCTTTAGCCTGACTAATCAAAATAAAAAGGTAGAAAATACAAATTACCAAAACTAAGAAAATAATCGAAGGCATTTGTAAAGATCCAATAACTATCAAAAGAATAATAGAAAGATAATATTTCTGCCTATAAATTTGACAAACTCAATAAAATAGACAGCAACTTGAAACCATAAGTTATCAGAACTAACAGAAGAAATATTAGAAAATTCTGAATAGCCATAATTGAACATCTGAGACACAATAAAAAACACAATCATTATATCTTCCTTCAATTGTACTGCTAAGTCTCAAAGAAAACTCATTACCTAAATGGTTGACCAACACCACATGATAGCTACTCATTTAGTTAGAATATTCCATTTGAGTTAAGAAATCATTAGAACTAATAAGAGACTTCATAAAATTTGCCAGATATAAGATTGTCTCTAAAAAGTAACATAGTCTTGGCACATCAAAATAATGACTAGAAAATATAGAAATGATGTTAGACAACAACTAATTAACTTAAAGACCATTTGTATAAAATTTCTAAACTATTAATTTTCAATTTTAAGTGAATAAGATGTCATGTTTATAAATGGAAAAACTTAACTTTTAAAAATCTATAAATATTTCCCACTAAACTAAAATTTAGTATAACTCAGACCTTAGTTTTAAATATTTATTTTCATATTTTATGAAAATGAATACCTTATGCAAAAGAATAAATATCTACAAATACCAAAGAAAAATTTAAAAAGAAAAAGAAAGTAAATGCCCTGTATATTCTGCATTTTGCCCTGCAAAGGTATAGCAATAATTATATACAAAAGAAAAGGCAAGCTAATTGATAAAAATATGAAGTACAAAAATACTTGAACTGTTTTATTATTATTGCACTTTTCATTATCTGATATTTTTAAAAGTTGACTTCCTTAAAGTGTTTGTGCTCTTAAAACAGATATTTTAACCCTTATTGTATGCTCACCACATATAACAGTGCTTAATAAGTATTTAATGAAAAAAGTATTTAATGAATGATAGAAAAGATAATTAAATGTATATGACAGAAATTAAACCATAAATCTATAGAAGATTTTAGAGAAGCTACTCACTATATGAAGAAAACATAAAACCAGGTACATAATTTATTCTCTAAAATAAATTATAGATATTGATGACTTAAATATCAAAGAAGAAAAAAGAATGGAATAATTATTATCTTGGGATAAGAATGGACTTCTTACAGAAGAATCCAATAAAGTAAACACTTCAAATATCAAATCATCTAAATAACTGGACAGCAATTTTCAGAAAATAAGACGCAAGTGATTCCTCTTAAACATATACACTGGAAAATTTCTGTGTCTCCATTTATATTTATATTTTCCTTTGGTATCCATTTATTGTAGTTAATTGAAAATTTACTGGAAATTCAATATACACAGCTTTTCAGAACAGAATAGTTAATACGTTTTTAAAAAGACTACAGTAGTGATTGTTTCATTATCTCCCAATATTTATTTTCCATTCTATTTCATTGTAGTAAACACTCTATAATTTTTTTTCAGCCATCTCTCCCCAGTAAAAGAGTAAAAGATAAAATAGGAAGAGAAGGCAGAGGAGGAGGAAAAACAGAGGAATTATGACATTTTCAGACCTTTGTTCTAGCTAGCTATGACCATAGGGAGATGTTCCAGCCAATGGAATGTGAAAGAATGTGACATAAGCAACTTCTGGGTCAGGGTGATAAACAGAGGGTGAATGTTCTTCTACGACCTCTTTTCTCTTCTATGCTGGTTAGACTGCAGGGTTATTAGGCTAGCAACTCTTCAAATCATGCATAAGAGGGAGACACTCCACAAAGGGAGAAATCCACAGGATAGAAGAAACATACCTACTGAACGTTTAAGTGAGAGAGAGAGATGTCTCCATTTTGTTTATACATAACTAAACAACATGTGACCAATTATAAAACTTTAGTTTATACAGAGATTGCATCCAATGGACAGTGTTCATTGTAACAACTGCTTGACTTTCAGAGAAGTACTGGTGCATTGTTTCTTTTGGTTATATTTGTACTTAATTAGATGTTGGTAATATTTTCTACAGAGGCTCTCCATTGAATACTATAGTAATGAGTATACTACAATTTTTATTTTAAGCTTTTATGAGCTTAAAATGAGGAGCCTTTTATGAGGAGCCTTAGGATAGTAAAGATGCTTATTTATTCATCTAATTGTAGTAAGGCACAATCACCCAAATTTCTCTGGTTGCAAAAGAAGCCAGCATAACAGCTAAAGGGGTGAAACATAATAACCTCAACTTCTTTTATGTCTTCTTGGAGAGAATGAAATCAATAGGAAGACAAAAAGCATGCATATGCCTTTTCAAAGAAAATAGGATAGAATGGTATTCTAACTGTAATTTAGAAACTCTGATTATCATGTATCATTTCTATTATGCAATATTCTGATGAATAGCAAATTCAGGATAACATTACCCTGTTACTACAAATTAAAGAAATTGTCTTTGATAGAATGTATGCTAGGAAAGAAAGTAATGCTCATATTCTTGAAAAGCATTTTGCAAACACAGAAGTTTGAAAGCCTACCGTGGAAGTAATAGTTACATGTTTTCTTTAGATTGTCATGTGAATGGGATCTTAATTTGAACTCCTCTTTCTTTCCTAGAAGAAAAAAATACATCGGAACAAAGGTTTGGATTTTTAATACAGGTTTATTTAATAGAAAAATAATGCATAGGAGTATGCCAATTACACACAGTATCTTTTGTGTGTAATTAAAACTTAAAGTCCACATATTTGAAAGTTTCTGTGTTAGTTTACCATATATTTGAAAGTTTTCATGATAGATTTGACATCTCAGGCTATATTTTTATTTCTATCACAGGTGAAGATAGTGAGGGCTATAATTTAGAGTTACTAGTAAATGAAATTATCACATTATCATTATGAGATAGTTATTATATAACACATTTTTTAAAAAGAGAAGTTACCAAGTTCATAAACCGAAACACAAAAATTTTGAAACACACGCACACACACAGACGTACACATAAAATAAAAAAGACAAAAATATTCACCAAACTTAACCATCATTGTTGCTTCCTCTCTCAGCCTGTTTTTTGCTGCTATAACAGAATACGACAGACTGGGTAATTTGTAATAAGAAGAAATTTATTTTCTCACAGTTCTGGAGACTGGAAAGACCAAGACCAAGAGGCCAGCATTTTGCAAGACTTCTTGCTGCATCATCCCATGGCAAAAGGCAGAAGGGCAAGAGAGGGTGAAAGAGAAAGAGAAATAATCCAAGCTCATTATTTTATAAGGAACTCACTCTTATAACAACAAACCCACTCCCACAATAATGGTGTTTATCTGTTAATGAGGGCAGAGCCTTCATGGTCTAATCACCTGTTAAAGGTCCCATCTCTTAACAGTTATACATTAGGGATCAAGTTTTCAACCTATGAACTTTGGGGGTCATATTCAAACCATAGCACTCCACATTCTAAATGATTTGGGCTTATACATGTACAAATTAATTTATATATAATAAAATATTATTTAAGGAATCAGTTTTTTCAATACAGCTTAAATTGGATTTCAAGACATTAGACTTCTCAGTTTCTCTCTTGAAGTAATAATGATTTGGATAATTTTTATCATACAGAGGGGTGGACTTGAAAGGCTATTCATACTGAACATTTATTTATTATCACAATCTTTAAAGTTTGGTACAAATTGAAAAGAATAATTTCCGGAAAATTAATATGAAATAAGACATAGAAGATCAAAAGTTTGAGAATAAGATCTCTTAGGTGAGGGCAAGATAAAAACTTTCTTATCTCTCATCTTGAATATTGGGAAAGGAGATGTAGATCTGAAACTATTACTTACTGAGATATGGCCAATATAGACAGCTATTATTCCTGTGAAGAAGTAAAATGATTGAATCTTGACTCTTGTTTTAGATGAGGAATGAAGGGGATTGGATAGGGAGCTTACTAATATAAGTAGTATATTATTAACAGTATGAACAGTATATTATATTATATTGCATGTTTTTATTTCCCCAAACTTCATATGTTGAAATCCGAATCCTCGATGGGATGGTATTAGTAGGTGCAGTTTGAGGGATGTAATTAGGTTTGAGAGATGTAATTAGGTTAGGTCATGAAGATGCAGCCCCCATGATATCAACAGAATTAGTATTCTTAGAAAGAGCTAGGGCTTCCTCTCTTGGCCATCTGAAGAGACAGCAAGAAGCTGACTAACTGCAATTCGGAAATGGGGTCCTCATCAGTAAGCTAATTGGCTGGCACCTTGATCTTGAACTTATAACCTTGAGAATTGTGAGAAATAAATGTTCGTTGTCTATCCCAGACAGTCTATGGTAATTTGTTATAGCAGCCTGAGCTAAGACAGATATTATATTACTAATTTCCTGTATTTTACTCCTATAATTTAAGCTCTATCAGGACAAGGATTTTTGTCTATTTGGTTCCCTGCTTTAGTCTCAGTGCTCCACACAAAACCTTGTATGTAGTAAGCACTCAATAAATGCTAATTGATTTGAAATAATAGTCCTTTCACTGAGTTGCTATGTGTCTTTAGTTAATCTTTCAGCTTCAGTTTTTTCATCTGCAAAATTTAGATACTATCACTCTCTTACCAGCCTCATAATTTTTTTGAGGATTAAATAAGATTCTTTATGTCAGAATATATTGAAAATCATAAAGTCTGATATAAATATAAGGAATAAGGAATTACCCTTTCTTACTTCATTTTAATAAATCTGCTACGCAAAATACATGTTTTCTGAATTTATTCGCATTTAGGATAAGCTAAAATTACTTAGTTATTCATGCATTTAATGCAGAAATATTAAAGTTTTTACCTAAATTTACACCTTTGAGTTCCATTGTGAACTGATTTATGATCAGTTCATCAATCAATCATTATAATTGATTTATGTATTAAGGATTTTATATTCTTGATAATATTCTATATCAACCAACATGAATTTTTGAGCCATTGGACCCAAAATACTGATTATTGTTTACCCATCATCCAGCTGTCACACAGAAAAGTTCCTGAGGAAATTTATGTGCAATAAACAAGGCAAGGAAAAAGATCATACTTTGCTTCTAGTGTATTTGCCCTGAATGCTCGTGTAGTATTTATTACATTTGGCTTCATCAGTGAGTATGCAGAAAAGAGGCAGAACAAAAACTAAAAGTAAATGAGGTTGCTCCTTTCCCAGAAAGTTCTCCTAAATTTTGGTTTTCACCACCCTGATAAGAAAAAATGTAAGGCCCACGTTCCTGGATGTGTTAAGTCCATGGCAGCATTGATCATCCCTGCAGCTGAGTTGGGAAGTGGAAGGTAAAAGAGGGCTGACAGCATAATCCCCTTCATCCTGACATTAATTTTTATGCTCAACTAACATTTCTGCTTTGTGACAACTAGACATTAACATATATCTGTGGTAATAATATGAGTTATAATTATCTGCATATAATATAAGATGCTAACAAATGTGCACCTATGAAGCAAATGCCCTAGCGTTGTGATGTTCCTATCAAAATTGTCTGGCAAATCATTGGTACTACTAATAATATTTTTGAGTAAGGAAACTAAGAGTTCTAAGCTTAAAAATAATGAAAGGTCAAGAGGAGTTTACAAGATGAAAGCTATTTAAGTCAAATCTTAAGTAAACTGTTAGAAACTTCATATCTTTTTATAGATATAAAGGTTTCTATCTGAATGAGAGATTTTCTGAAACAAGATGACATAAAAAGGAAAATAAATATATAGGACAAAAGATGAACTATAAAGCACATCATCTTGCCTTTAATATTACCCCTGCTAATGTGTTCAGGCCAATAAATTCTCTGTGTGTTTTGCATTATAATTTCCTTAATGAATACTACATTGCATGGCTAATGAAATGGCAAAAGACTTAGCTGAAAAAAAAATGAAAATGTTAGAAGATGACTAAATGAATTTTTATTTATAACCAGTCTGAGCAATTTTCATGCTCTTGAGGTATCAGCAATTTAGATAATTATCTGAAATATTCTGTATTAATTCTGCACTAATAGGTACAGAATGAATACGTTTTTTCTTATTGAACATTCATAGTAAGGAAAAGGTTCTGAATAAATGTTGATGGAGCAGTTTGTCTCTGACAGTCTCAGCTCACCCATAACTTAAATCTTTTTTGATGATTGACTTATTTCAAGTATATTACCTCAAATATACAATGGAAATTAAAATAGAATTTATCAAATGTTTTGATATGGTGAAATCACGCTGCTTTCATAAGCAAAGATTAACAACTATTGATCATGGCCTAAACATTAAGAAGGAATTTCTTCAGTAAACCAGAGTCCTATCAACAGTTACCTTGTCATAATAGTAAACAAATGAAGGCATGACCATTTCAGAACACAAAATAACAATATCTAAACTTCATAAGAGTGAAACTGCTGCAATTGGATTTTAGTAATCACCTATCTCAATAGCCTCATTCCACAAACAAGGAAACTGAGACAGTGAGGCCAGAGAGCTCATTAATGACATAAATCAGAATTCATGTTCTCAAATGACACTTAAATTTCAATATCTCCTCTGACTGAAAGGTTTTTTTTTCTCCTGCTGCCCTACTTCTGCTTGTTCTTATTCTGCCTGGTGGATTCCTTTTCATCACCCAATATGCAAATAAAATGTCACTTTTTTGAGGTGTAAAGGGCATTTCCTGTACCAAGCCTGTACCTACTCATTGTTACCGTTACACATATGGGCACTAATATGCCAGTAATTTTAATGTAAAACATTTAAGTCTATTCCAATTATTTATTTAAATTTGTCTCTGTGAGATAGGCTAGGCTAGAAATAATATCTTATTTACAGTTGAAGCCCTGGGCCTAACAGAGTTTCTGTGACACAGAAGACATACAAAGAATCTTCATTGGCTGCCTAAGAGAGGAGCATATGTCACCAAGTGTGATGGGTTGAATACAAAATTTCATACTTCACTGGACAAGGAGAGCTTTTAGTTGAATGACATAAAAAGTAGTATAGACATTATGAGGCAGTACTTAGATTCAATAACATTCTTGTTCTTTTACAGGCCTGTGTAATATACAAAAGCTATTTTTTCCAAGCTTTCAAAGAAAGGCAGCTTTCTTTTCAACCAGACAGGAATATGCAAACCCAAGAAGAAGGAAAGCCAAATCTCATTAACATTTTCTGGACAATGTGCAGTAGGAATAGGGAGCAAAATAAATGCTGCAATATTAAAATAATTGACAAAGATTGAAATATGAGAAATTAGATATTGAAACTTTTATGTTGTTAGAATATTATCCCTGCTGTAATAGAATCATCAGCTTGGTGAAAATTATCACGTACAAAGAAATGCGTTAGAGAATAATGTAGTGTCAGGGGGAAAAAAGAAACCTGAGAAATGGACCACAATCAGAAGCATTTCTACCAGGCATATCTGCCTGAACTGTTCACTTGTATATTCCTATTGTCCTATCACCTCAGAATATTACATTGGCAAGCTCACATGTATAGTTACTTTACAAAGGATCACCCACAAAATCCCTTCAGCTTGCCTGAACTCCCCAGTACTCATCTAAACTTTTACTATCACCCCTACCCTGACATATAGTTAGGCTGATTTTTTATCAAATGAGTAACATTTATTGAATTCTCATTATTGTTGGCATGGATCTCGTATTTCTCCATGTCTTTTGAACAGTGACATTGCCAGATTTTGCTCTGGACTGTCCTTCAAAGGATGTCTGTATAGAAAACAAGATTGCCGTTAGGGATGGTGTCTCACTCAGGAGAACAGAATATATTTGTTAGCTGTCTAGAAAAATAATGAAAATGTCTCCCTCCAAGACAAAGGTTGAGTAGGTTTGATTGAAGCCCTTTAAATGCTGTGATTTCCAAAAATAGGAGTTTCTCAGCTGTAACACAGACCCACTGTATGTACGCAGTTCACCTAGGCTGCTGCACACTGTCTCAAGGATATCTGGTGAGTTATAGGGGTATTAAGGCACACTAGAAGCACATGCTGCCTGTTACAGTGTGTGTAATCAAGTTCTTTGTCTCTGTGCCAGAAATATGTCTCCTTCCAGCATCTATGGCCTGGGGGACAGACTAACTTGTTAGCTTTCAAGGAGAGTAAAATCTCTGACTCTTCAAAGTTCCCGACAATTACATATCCAATACGATTCCAGGTGCTATGTATGTAACAGTGAGTGACCACTATGACCCTGACCTGATGAATTTTGCATTTTATAGAGGAAGAGAAACTAAAACCCATTTAAATAGAAAAGACCATGGTAGCCATATTTCCATACAAGTGCTATAATGAAAGTCAACAGAGAGCTGGAAGAGGGAATAATTGCAGATACAGAGAGTGGGATAGTAAGGAAAAGATATATCTGGATATATGTTATTTAAACTGGGCCATGAATTATAAGTCTTCCACAATAAATATAAGAAAGGAGTGCTAGAAATAAAATATATCAAAGTCAAGGGTTCTGACATGAAAAGGAGCTTGAATATCAGAAGACCAGTATGGTTAGAGTGAAGAGAGAACAAGAGTAAAGAGTATGGAAATTATGTAAGAGATTATGAATTAATGGTCAAATCATACAACCGGCTCTTGAAGGATCCAGTAAAAAATCAGAGTATTCTAAGTAAAGTTGGATTTTATTTATTTATTTATTTATTTATTTATTTATTTTCGAGAAAAAAGTCTTGCTCTGTTAGCCAGGCTGGAGTGCAGTGGCACAATCTTTGATCACTGCAACCTCTGCCTCCTGGGTTCAAGTGTCTCTCTTGCCTCAGCCTCCCGAGTAGCTGGGATTACAGGCATGCACCACCACCATGCCAGGCTAATTTTTGTATTTTCAGTAGAGACGGAGTTTCACCATGTTGGCCAGGCAGGTCTCAAACTCCTGGTCTCAAGTGATCTGCCCACCTGGGACTCTCAAAGTGCTGGGATTACAAGCATAAGACACTACACCCAACCTGGATTTTTCCTTTTAAGAGAAGGTAAGTCATAAGAAGTCATGATATTTGATTTCTGTTTTAAAAAGAGGACTTGAGTTCTAGGAAGTAAATAGATTTCAAGAGATTAAGTAAAAGCAAAGAAATAGGGAAGAAATAGAATTTAGGAGGCTATTACTAAGCTCTGGAAAATAGATGGATGTATATTGAAGCAGGGTAATGGCAATGAAAGAATCCAAATGTATTTAGAGGTAGCATTATCAGGATTGGGGTTCAGTGTGGGTGGCAAGTGAAAGTAAACAAAAATCTATGCCTAGATTGAAGGCAAAATCAACTGCATTCATTTATTCTTTGCCTTCCTTCATTCGTTCATTCATTTCTTCCTCCCTGTTACCCTCCCTCCCCCTCCCTCCTTCCTTCCTTCCTTCCTTCCTTCCTTCCTTCCTTCCTTCCTTCCTTCTTTCATTCCTTCCATTAGCAATTTTTCAAGGACAATATAAATGTCAGGTACTATCTTAGGTCTTGAAGACACAGCAGGAAACACAAAAAAATTCCTCAAATAATTTAGCTTTTCAATGAGAGGCAGAAAAAAATTAAAAAAATAGAAAAATATCTAACGTAAGGAAATGGTAGGAACTACGGGAGAAATATGAGGTAGCGTCACAATAAGGATGAAGAGGGTGCTATTTAGATTGTGTGGGAAGAAATGGCTTCACTGAGGAGGGGACACCACAGAAGAGACTGACATGATGTGCATGAGTGAGCCAGGCAGATATTGGCATGATACTTAGGGGTAGTAATGTTTCAGGCAAGAGGGCAAATATGAAAGTCCTGTGGGGGGGTCCAAAGATTATGGATTCACTTAAACTAGTGTATCTGGCTTTAATTCCTGACTGAAGTTTTTCTTTTTCTTCTCTCAAAACTGTAAATACATTAAACAAATAACAGTCATGCCTGTCTTGTTAACAAGAGGTTTTCCTCTTAACAGGATGCCTAGCAGAGATTTGGCTCTCAATATTCAGTTGCTCCCAAATTAAGACCTCTTTCTCCAGCAAAATCAGTGCAGTCTTTAAAAAAATAAAATTTGAAAAAAGTCTCATTGTATATTTTTTATTTAAACTTAGCCTCACTTATAAACAATTCATTTTTCATGGCCTTTGTCTACTATCCTATGAATTGCTGACCTCTCAAGAGATTTAATATGTTCCCGTTCAGCTGAATCTTTGCCATCTGCATACAAGCTTCCCTTAACCTAGCCCATCATTTTTAAAAATCTAATTTTTTAAATCTCACTTGTCTCCAACATGTCTCCAGATACTACCCTGTTTTGTATGATGCCCCTCACAGTAAAGTTATTGAAAGAGTCATATGTGGTTGCTTCTTCCTCATAGCCTGTCTGCTCTTTGTAAAGATTGTTGATTTGGGCCATTCCTGTATTTTCCTAATCAGGATTGAAAGGGGCATGTCCATGTTATTACTCTTTTTAGATAATCAGTTTTGACTTTGTTTAAGACCTGTTTTATCTCAACTTAATTAATTTCTGCTCTTTTAATAATGAGGGCTAACCACAAATTACTGAGTAAAATCCTGACACCCTGTATCCTTTATATATTTGCTCATTTGATCCTCACCACAGCTTTGTGAGGCAGGTACTATTACTATCCCCTATACATTATAAATGAGGAAAATGGAGAGCTTAAGTTACTTACTCAAGGTCAAAACACTAGGAAAGGGGATTACAGATTCACATGTAGACAATCTGGCTTCAGAGACAGTGCCTCTTTATTAAGGTCTACTTTCAGTTTTCTTTAGGTTTATTCTATAGTTTTTGTCATTTAACTTTTAAAATTGGATGCTTAACTCATTAAACTTAGCCTTTCTTTTTTTTCTAATATAAAATTTAAGCCTATATATTCCCACCTGAGTTTCATTTCATTTACATTACACAAGTTTGGATACATAATAACTTTAAAAAAATTGTTACTATTTTCTAATGCCTATTTTGATTTTTTTTTACCTGTCAATTACTTAGAACAGTGCTTTTACATTTCTAAATTCATGGAAGTTTCTTGCTTATCTTTTTTGTGGCTAGCTTTCTAATGTAACAGAATCATTGTCAGATAGTGCTAACTGTATAACACTTACCTTTAAAATTGGTAAGCCTTCTTTTAGAGCATAGGATGAAGTTAATTTTTGTAAAGGTTCACATATGATTGAAAAAAAAATTAGTGGAACTCTACTGTTTGGGTGGATATCTTTTATATTTCCATCATTCATTGTGTCGGTCAAATCTTTAACATTCTTACTGTTGTTTGACCAGTTTGATCTATCCATTGCCAAGATAGTTAAGTAAAATGTCCAAATATGGGGTTATATTTTCTTTCAATGTTTCTATGATCTTTTATACTATATACTTTTTTATTAAAAATAGAGAAACTGAATAGAATAATATATACAATGAAATAATCCAAAAATAACATTTCATTAAATACATAAAATAGTTTAACACCAGCACATCCTTATAAAGGGTATTCTTATAAAATTCATTTAAACAATTAATCACATGAAAATTTTGATTTTCAAAGAGGAGTGAAAAAAAGTGGTTATTTTTGGATTCTTTCACTGGATATAGTATTCTACTTTCTACTTAAGTATTAACTAATCAGAGAAGTTTTGTCTCACCCCAACCCTTACTTTCTATCTTGAATATTTATTCATTTCAGTTTCTCCCATCTGGCGTGCATTTATTGGTATATTTGCTCTTGTTTCCCATCCCTACTAGAATCTAAACTCCAATAGCAGAAGAACAGTTTGTTAGGTTCACTATTAATTCTTTGGGAACTAAAACAATTTCTGGCCAGTGATAAGCCCTCAAGGATATTTGTTTTAAGGCTAAATCTGGAATTAAGAATATCATAGGATTATGATGATGCTAATATTTACCAGGAGTATGGAGATCTTTTCTGCCTGGTTAACTTGTATTCTCAATGCCTGGATTGTGCTTACAAAGGTCAGGTCTTCAATAAATCACTGAATCAAGTGAATGAGTAAATGAAACCCAAATGCTTTATTTTATATAAACAAGGCTAAGGAAACCACAGTGAATACTGGAGATAATAGAAAAATCATGAGGTATTATTTCTCAAACCCTAACTTCTTTGTTTTACATTACCTGATAGAGAGTACAAGCAGTTTATCAAAGTATTCTTGGACTCTGACCAAGATTTAGAAGCATTAGTGGACGTTATCTTATGAGGCAATAATCAACTATTAAAGACAAGGTCCTTTCTCTTACACTTATGTCCAATCAGTTAATATCACAAAGGGATACATATCTATAGAGCAACCTAGGAACAAAAAGTCAAATACACTGATTAAAAAGTGAATCTGTGCAGAAAAATTTTGGAGTGTAATTTTTATTAATTTGTGACAGATGTTCTAAGTCTAAAGAAATTAGGAATAATCATTATGCAATATGTGGGACAAAGGAATACAATCATTTTTAAATTAGCCTAAAAAATAGGCTCATCAATAATGACGTTGCTCCTGAGATTTTGGATTTCAAAAGCAAGTCAAATTTTGCACATACCCCTATATATCGATAGGACATATAGGGTTAGCTTTAAAAATATTTGCCATCATGGATATAAAAACAGCAAATTATCACTATGTAGTCACGTAAGAAAAAACTCTTAATATTAAAAATTTAAGAAATAATCTCACAATAAAACATTCATTTAAATTGAATACATCTACTATTATGAAAACTTCACTAATTTATCTTTTTTATTTCCATTTTGTGTTTTTTCAAGTAAAATTTTATTACAGAATGTAGTGAGCCATAGTCAGTAATTGAAAAAAGGAACCAGAAGTATGTATTTTTGCATCTCTTCTCTGGTTTAGCAATTCAGAATATGCCTAATCAAGCACGTACTCTTTTATCCACTCTGAATATTCCAGTGAGACCTATTGATAATAGACAAATCATAACTGGAATAGTTAAAATTGTTGTTTGTATTGTTGCCCAATTCAAAAAATAATAAATGCTCTTTTTATTTTTTCAAAGAAATATCATTTATATATTAAGTAAGGGGCCATGGGCAAAATATTAACATGAAGACAGAAGATGGTAGGGGAGAAAAGAGCTAATAGAGAAAAAAAAATAGGTATTTGACACTACCAAACAAGCAAGTGATAGATATCTATGATGAAAGCTAGTTTATTCTCTATAACACACTGAAAAGGTTTATGATCCATGCTGCACCTCCCCTTCAGCTTCTTCATAAATACTTTCTCTACAGAAATGTTCATATCGTCAGTCCTTCAATCTAAATCATCATATATGGTTGAGCAATCACATTAAAATTGAATATAGGAGTAAAGATATAACTTGATTTAAAGCTAAAGAATACACCACTCATTTTGCTTTCCTTTGTCAAGATTCTTTTCATTCTGTATTGATCCAGTTGTCCTCAAATCAGTGTTAAACCAATTCTGATGCCCCAGCACACAAAGATATAAACATAGACTCACTTTAACTCACACATCTTATTCCTCTTTAAGTGAACTACATTTTCTGGAAATGTAAATCACACAATATAAAGACTCTGACAATGTCTGTAAAATGAAGTTGTATTTATTTTTTAAAGCTGTATTTGCAATATTCTAATTGAAACAGCTAGTTGCTAGCTATGTATTAATCAAGATAGTTTTCTTATGAAATGTTATATGCCAAGGTTATGACTACGGTTTGCATTCTCTGTGGAATATCAAAGATAATAACAAAGATATTATCAAAGGTAATAGTTAAACTTTAAGAGATTTCTGCTCAGATGACTTCCCTAAACATAATATTCATAAAGATTTAACTTTTTAATTTATTTTGTATTTTGTATATTTGTAAAAATTTGTGAAGGCAAAATAAACTCTAATGGTAGACATTATGCCTATCTGAGTTATGTCCCTGGTTCTCTGAGAGATATGAAATAGGCAAAAATAAAATTGCATATATTATTATAGTATTTTGCGTTGTTCATCTTTATTTACAACAAATCAGAAACAATTTGCACATAGCTTTAATAGAAGGATCTAGCAAATGTGAAGAATATTCATTCTTTCATTGAAAAACCATTTTTAAGCACCTACTCTTTGACAGACATAGCTGAGAATACTGAAGACATATCAATAAGTGATACAAAGCTCCTTTTTCATAAAACTTAAAAGTCATTTTGATCACCTAATTCACCAAGAAAATTTTGCTGTGGGTTCTAAAATAACAGCCATATGTCATGGAATTCATACTTTATAAATAAAGCTGAGAAATGTCTTCTAAATTTTAGATGATCTAGTATATCATCATTAAATATGGAACAATGTCAGAAAAATTCTTAAAATTATTTCATAAATGTATTTTAGGCTATGCTCATGGGGGTATCATTTAAGGCTATAGTATAAGAACAAATTAAAAGAAAAGTCAATGTGGAGCTGACTGAAACAAAAGATCATATTATGTTATTAAGTGTCATTTTTAATTAAAACTTTAACATTCTGATATCATTTTTCATAAGATCATGTAGTAAATTTTGAAAATGTATATTTAATTATCAGATATTAACGAGATATGCCCTAGAATCTTTACAAATTTATTGATAACTACCAAATGGCTCACAAATAAATATAAATGCACTTCTGGAACACAGGTAATTGAGGTAATTATCTAAATTCAAATGTACCATATTAATCCAACACACCTTCCAAGACAGCAAAAGCATGTTGTTTGAGACTGCACTGATCAGCCATTTGCCTCAATTATCCACTACCCTGCTCAGAACAAAATTATAAGACTTTTCAGCTAAGCTTCAGCAGATAATTTCTGATACAGATTTATGAATAATAACCCCAAAATCCAGTTTATTTCTTTAATATGATTAATCCAAATTCCCCTTTAATCCATAGATCTCAAAAGCTATATTTAAGTGGAGTGTTGATATATCAGAATGTGTATTTAAAAACACAATTATCTAAAAGTTTTATGTGTCACTTTTTATAAGTTATTTCTTAGTTAACTCTTTCCTAGCATCCCAAGCAAGAGTTAATTTGATTATTTATCAAAAATAATGAGATTCCAGAATTGTCACAATAATGATCTTTACCTTTTATTGGTTTGGCTGCCAACATAATGCATACTGAACTCTGGAAAAAAACAATGCTTCCATCTGCCTTCTAATTAGTTCTGAATTCTATTCAATAGGCCCTTATTTCAAAATATTTTGAGATTAGATTACATGCATTGAATATGTAATTTATACTGTTTAATATTATTTCATTTTTATACTAATCGCTTGGTTATAATTATAATTCAAAAATAGTTATGTATAAGCATGGTATACCATATGTAATATAATAATACAGTATTTAAATAATAATACATTTTTAAAAACATGGTTAGTGTGCTCTTTCTATACCATCTATTCTATTGTGATCCTTGGTTCCATGGAGAGTTTTTCTGGGACTACAAGAGATTTCCCATACTACATATATTTATAATTTGTATTTTATGTTCTATGACAACATTTGCTTTTTTACTGACAAAACTTGTATTAATTGTTCTTATATCGGACTACTGCACAGTTCCCTGCCTTGCCAGTTTAACTGCTTATAGTATATTGTATTGCAAATGTGTTTTTAGTGTCCAAAAGATAGCAACACCGAAGAATAAATGATTTTTTTAACTGTCATTTTAAGTTCAGGAGTACATGTGCAGGTTTGTTATATAGGTAAATTTGTGTCATGGGGGTTTGTTGTACAGATTCTTTTGTCACCCAGGTGTTAAGGCCAGTACTCATTAGTTATTTTTCCTGATGTTCTCCCTCCTCCCAACCTCCATCCTCCAATAGGCCCCATTGCATATTGTTCCCCTCTATGGTTCCACGTGTTCTCATCATTTAGCTCCCACTTATAAGTGAGAACATGTGGTATTTGGTTTTCTGTCCCTGCTTTAGTTTGCTAAGAATAATGGCCTCCAGCCCAATCCATGTTCCTGCAAAGGAGAAGATCTTGTTCTGTTTGTGCCTGCGTAATATTCCATGGTATATGTATACCATATTTTCTTTATCCAGTGTACCATTGCTGGGCATTTAGGTTGATTCCGTGTCTTTGCTATTGTGAATAGTGCTGCAGAGAACATACACGTGCATGTGTCTTTATAATAGAATGACTTCTATTCCTTTGAGTATATACTCAGCAATGGAATTGCTGGATCGAATGGCACGTCTATATTTAGGTCTTTGAGGAATAATCTCATTGTTTTCCACAATGGGTGAACTGATTACACTCCCACCAACAGTGTATAAGCATTTCTTTTTCACTGCAACCTCACCAGCATTTGCTTTTTTTTTTACATTTTAGTAGTAGCCATTGTGACAGGTGAGATATGGTATCTCATTGTCATTTTGATTGGCATTTTTCTAATAATTAACGATGTTCAGCTTTTTTTCATATGATGCTTGGCCACAAATATGTCTTCTTTTGAAAAATGTCTGTTCATGTTCTCTGCCCACTTTTTAATCGGGTTGCTTGTTTTTTTTCTTGTAATTTTTAAAAGTTTTTTATAGATGCTGGGTGTTACTTTTGTCAGATGCATAGTTTGCAAAAATTTTCTCCCATTCTGTAGATTGTCTGTTCATTCTGTTGATAGTTTCCTTTGCTGTACAGACTTTCTTTAATTAGATCCCATTTGTCAATTTTTGTTTTTGTTGCAATTGCTTTTGGTGTCTTTATCATGAAAGCTTTGCCCATTCCTAGCCCAGAATAGTATTGCCTAAGTTGTCTTTCAGGGTTTTTATAGTTTTGTGTTTTACATTTAGGTATTTAATCCATCTTGAGTTGATTTTTATACATGGTGTGAGGAAAGGGTCCAGTTTTAGTCTTCTGCATATGGCTAGCCAATTGTCCCAACACTATTTAGTGAATAGACAATCTTTTTCCCATTGCTTTTTTTTGTCAGGTTTGTCAAAGATCAGATAGTTGTAGGTGTGTGGTCTTATTTCTGAGTTCTCTGTTTTGTTCCATTGGTCTATGTGTCTGTTTTTGTACCACTACCATGCTGCTTTGGTTACTGTAACCCAATAGTATAGTTTGAAGTCTGGTAACATGATGCTTCCAGGTTTGTTCTTTCTGATTAGTATCATCATGACTATTCAGTCTCTTTTCTGATTTCATATAAATTTTAGAATTTTTTTCTAGTTCTGTGAAGAATGTCAATTGTAGCTTTTTTTGTTTTTTTTTTTGAGACGGAGTCTTGCTGTCGCCCAGGCTGGAGTGCAGAGGCACGATCTGGGCTCACTGCAGGCTCCGCCCCCCAGGATTCACGCCATTCTCCTGCCTCAGTCTCCCGTGTAGCTGGGACTGCAGGTGCCCACCACCGCGCCTGGCTAATTTTTTGTATTTTTAGTAGAGACAGGGTTTCACTGTGTTAGCCAGGATGGTCTATACACATTTCGTTGGGGAGTATGGCCATTTTAATGGTATTGATTCTTCCTCTCCATGAGCATGGAATGTAAAGAAGAGCTGGCATCAATCCTGCTGAAACTATTCCAAAAAATGGAGGAGGAGGGACTCTTCTGTAACTCATTCTATGAGGCCAGCATTATCCTGAAACTAAAACCTGTCAGAGGTACCACAACAACATAAAACTTCAGGCCAATATCCTTTATGAACATTGATGCAAAAAACCTCAACGAAATACTGGCAAACTGAATACAGCAGCACATCAAAAAGCTTATCCACCATGATCAAGTAGGCTTTATCCCTGAGACTCAAGATTGGTTCAACATATGCAAATCAATAAATGTGATTCATCACATAAACAGAACTAAAGACAAAAAACACACGATTATCGACCTCAATAGATGCAGAAAAAGCTTTTGATGACATTCAACATCTCTTCATGTTAAAAACTCTCAATAAACTAAGTTTTGAAGAAATATACCTCAAAATGATAAGAGTCACTATGATAAACCCACAGCCAACACTATACTGAATGGGCAAAAGGTGGAAGCATTCCCCTTGAAAACTTGCACAAGACAGGAATGCCCTTTCTCATCACTTCTATTCAACATAGTATTGGAAGTCCTCTCCCCTGCAATCAGACAAGAGAAAGAAATAAAGGGCATCTGAATAGGAAGAGAGAAAGTCAAACTATCTCTGTTTGCAGACAACATGATCCTATATTTACAAAACCACATAGTCTCTGCCCAAAAGCTCTTTACACTGATTAGCAACTTCAGTCTCAGGATACAAAATCAGTGTGCAAAGGTCACTAACATTCCTACATACTAATAAGAGTCAAGCCAAGAGCCAAATCAGGTATTCAATCTCATTAACAATTGCCACACACAAAAATAAAATACGTAGGAATACAGCTAACAAGGGAAGTGAAAGATCTCTATAAGGAGAACTACAAAACACGAAAGCACTGCTCAAAGAAATCAGAGATGACACAGATGGAAAAATAGATGTTGTTAAATCTGTGACTGATAGTAATTTTATTTAAACTGTATTTATCATTTTCCAGAGACTCATTTGGGGCCAAGAACTATCATCAGATTTCAGAGACTCTGGTCATGATTTAGCTATTGTAGCAACAGTCCTATAGGAGCTAAATAATGACTATCATTTAAGCATAAAATTTTTTCAAAACTAAAAGAATGCACAGATTTACACAGTTGTGTTGTTAATATAAAGAAAAAAGAATAGCAATACTTCACTTGGGGAATGTGAATTATTTATAATGCATAATTTTACTACATGACACATGGATTATTTCTCAATCCTCTGCATTGATTGTGTAGAAATAACTGTCAAATTTAATAAAGGTCAGAATGGACATTTGGAAGTTTTGATTAACCTCATAGCAATTAAGGACCAAGCAAAAGCCAACCCACATTCAGCTGTTTTTTTTTAAGATTTTTTAATAAAGAAACTATTTACAGAACTGTGAGCAAGACTAAGGGAACCAACAAGCAATATTGAGGCACCCACTGACTAATAACAGCAGAAAGACAATATCATATGTCAGTCCCATGGACAGGTAAAGGAAACTGTTAGAATTTTATTGAGAGCTGCAACCTAGGAAGAAGGACAACCTGACAAGAGCTGTAGACAAAAGAAAATTTCTGCAAAAACTGTGAAGCAGCAGAGAAGGAACAAAAGGAGTAATTATCCTAAGTCTTCTCTCCTCCCATGCTCTGATCTCTTGTGGATGACTCCCATTGGCCAAACATAAGCAGGAACCACTATGCCAGAAAGCCTGGGGATATACTCTCCATAAGGAAAAAATCTGTCAGGGCACATGGTAGAGTAAATGAGATGGGGGAGTGGGTAGGAACAGAGAATAGCCAATATAATGCACTGTAGAAGATCTGATTTATTAACATAAATAATAAACAAGACAACCAGCAAGAAAAAACTCAGCAGACAGATGAGTCACTTTGGGGGTCTCAATAACTATATGATACTGTTGTTTTTATAGTCTAAATTATTTCTCATTAGAGCTGCAATAGTGAATACTGATTAGCCATCCAGATGTGATAGAAAGGTAGATATTTTAATACGGTTGCTACAGAAGCCTCTTTTGTGTCCTTCCCTGATCATACACCCTTTCCTTGTTCTTGAAAATATTCGTTCTCCTAACTTTCTGGCAAATATATCTTTGCTCTCTTTTTACTTTTACTACCACCTATGTGTACCCCACTGACTATTTTGAAACTTCATAGCAATAGAAAATACTTTTTTTATTATTTGTTTTGAGTTTTCATAACATCTTTATTGAAATATAATTTATAATTTATAAAATTCACCCTTTTAAAATTTGTAATTCAGTGGATTTTAGTATATGCATTTTTGATATCAACACCTCTAATTTTAGAATATTTTTATTATGTCAAAAAGAAATGCCATGTCCATGAGCAATCATTTTTCATTCCCACTTTTCCTTAGATACCGACAACCACGAATCTACTTTCTGTCTCTATGAGTTTGCCCATTTAGGAAACTTCATATAAATAGGATTATACTATATGCGTCCTTTTGGGTCTAGCTTCTTCCACTTAACATAATTTTTGCAAGATTCATCCATGTTGTATATATTAGCATTTTATTACTTTTTGTGGCAAATTATATTCCATTTTATCGACACATTAAATTTTTTAACCCATTCATTGAATGATGGACAGTTGAATTATTTTCACTTTTTGGCTACTATGAATAATGCTGCTGTACAAATTTATATACAATTTTTGTGGGAATATTATATGCAATTTCTAGTGGATGTGAGTGGTGTCTCATGGTTTTCATTGGTATTTACCTGATGGCTAATGATACTGACTCTCTTTTCATGTACATACTGCATATTGTATAACATTTTTGGAAAAGTGTCAATTCAAATTCTTTGTCCATTTTTTAAAAAATAAGTTTTATTTAGTTAGTATACCACACTTGTCTGCTATAGCTGCCATAACAAAATGCTACAGATTGGGTAACTTAAACAACAGAAATTTATTTTCACAGTTCTCAAGGCTAAAATGTCCAAGATCAAATTGCTGGCAAGGCTGGCTTCTTTCTGAGGCCTCTTCTCTAGACGTGTAGACAGCAGCCTTCTTGCTGTGTGCTTATGTGACCTCTTCTTTCTCATTGGGGCTGGATAGCTCCCTAATTTCTCTTCTTATAAATGCACTAATACTGTCAGATCAGAGCAACCTCATTTAACCTTAATTGCTTTCTTAGAGGTCCCAGTTCCAAATAAAACCACACTGGAAGTGACCACTTCAACATCTGACCTTTGGGAACATAGAAAAATTCAGTCAATCACAATACAATTTATACTTTAAATTGTAAAATTCCTTTGTTTTTAATATATTCATTGAGTAGTACAGCCATGATCACAATCAATTTTAGAACATTTTCATATCCTCCCAAGAAAACATCCATATTCACTAACAGTGACTCACCATTTTCACCCAATTCTCTTCCCCCTATCGCCTCGCAATCAGTATCATATTATTATTAATTTTTCTTGCCTGTAGAGCTGCCTCTTCAGGAAATTCTATAGAAATTATATCAGGCAACATGTGATGTTTTGTGGCTTTTTTTTTTCACTTACCATGATGTTTCCAAATTTCATTCATGTTGTAGCATGTATAAGCATTTCATCATTTTTTACAAACAAATAATATTCCACTGTATGGATACTCCACGATTTGTTTATCCATCATCAGATGGCAGGCATTTGGGTTGTTTACAGTTTTTGGCTATTATAAATAATGTTATTCATAACAGTTTTTTGTTGTTATCTGAGATTGGATAACTAGTTAAGAGAAATGAAAACGTAGGTCCAGATGGTAACGCTAGTTCTTGGAGAATTCATCAGTTTCCCTCAGGAAACCATGTGGCCCTGAGCTTTATTTGAGGGACATCAAAGAAATTACAGATTCAGTCTATTTTATTGATAGAGGTCTCTTCAAAACTTTTAGTGCTTCTAGTCAGTTTTATTAACTTGTGTATTTTCAGGAGTTATTTTATTTAAACTAGCTTATATATTTTATTAGCATAAGTTGTTTATACTATTCCTTTATTTTTATTTCTATAAGATTAATAATAATATGCTCTCTTTTAGTTACGATTTTAATGATTTGAACTTTCTTACTCTTTCTTGGTCAGTCTAGTTAATGTTTGTTAATTTTTTGAATCTTTTAATAAACCACTTTTTAGTTTCATGATTCTCTCTGTTGTTTCTCTGTTCTGCACTTTATAGCTTTCCACTTTAGTCTTTGTTATATTCTTTCTCTGCTTTTTAAAATTTAGTTTGCTCATTTTTTTTTGGTATCTTAAGGTGGATGGTTGGATTCCTGATTTGAAATCTTTCTTCTTTTTTAATATAGATGTTAAGGTATAAATTTCCCTATATGCATTGAACTATATGAATCCCTGCAGGTTTTGGTATGTTAATTCATATCAAAGTAATTTCTAATTTACTTTGTGATTTCATATCTGACTCACTGGTTATGGGGGAGTGTGTTGCTTAATTTCCACATATTTCTTTATTTTTCAAATTTCCTTCTGTTATTTCATTTTCCTCTATTGTTCTCAGAGGACATCATTTTTATAATTGCAATCTTTGTATGGTATATTTATTTAGACTTTCTTAAAGGCCTATCAATATGATCTACACTGCAGAACGACCCATGTGCACATGAGAGGAATGTACATTTCATTCCTTTTGGATGGAGTGTTACAGAGATTTCTGTTAGGTCCACTTGGTTTATAGTGTTGTTCGAGTCTTCTGTTTCCTTACTGATCTTCTGCCTACTTGTTCTTTCCTTTAGTGAACATGAGGTATTGATGTTTCAAACAAAATCATTGTTGCATTATCTATATCTATCTTCAATTTTGTCACTTTTTGCTTTATACATGTTTGGGTTATTAGGAGTATGTATATTACAATTACTGTAACTTTCTGATAGATCGAACCTGCAGTCACTATTTCTCTTTATCTATAGTAATACTTTTTGTTTTGAAGTTGTATTCATTTGGTATTAATATAGCCACTCTGACTTTCTCATAGCTGCTTTTGCATGATATATCTTTTTAAATCTTTATATCTTTTTAAATCTTTATATCTTTAACCTATTTGTACCTTTAAGTCTCAAGTGCATCTCCTGAAGACAGTATAGAATGGATCTTTAAAAAACCTGGTCTAACTATCTTTGCTTTTTTATTGTATTAACTTATTCTAATTTAATGTTAGTAATGATATAGTTCGATTTAGTCTTCTATTTTAAATTTTATTTCCTATATTTCTCCTTATGTTTACTTGTATATCCTTCCTTCATTTCTTTCATGAGAATCAAGCAGGTATTTTCTACTACGGTATTTTGATTCCTTTAATGACTTTTCCATTGTATATATATATATTTATAATACTATATATATGTATAATATATATAATACTGTGTGTGTGTGTGTGTGTGTGTGTGTGAGAGAGAGAGAGAGAGAGAGACTATTCTAGGGCTTATAATTGTTAACTTATCAGAACTGACTTTAGTGTATACTGGTTTAACTCCAGCAAGAAATGGAAGCATTAGTTCTATATAGTGTAATTTCCTTTTTCTCATTTGTCCTATTGTTATTCATGTTTTACACACACACACACACACACACACACACATTTATATATATATATATGAAAATCCAAAAATATACTGTTATATCTATAGCTTTAGATAATATTATATCTTTTGAAGAAGGTGGAAGGAAAAAATAAGGCAGGCGAGTACATATTAACAGAATTTTTTATATTGTCTTTCTAATTTACCATTTCTGGTTTCCTGCACTTGTTTTTCTGAATTCAAGTTACCATCTAGTGTTAATTTTTACTTCAGTGTAATTTTTCTCCTACTCACATCCTTTGTCCTGTTATTGCTAAGTATATTCTAATTCTATAGGCCCCACAATGCAATTATACATGTATTGTTATATAAAATTGCTTTTTAAATCAGTTAAGACAGGAAAATTAAGATGCATTTTTACCAGGTGTTAAATTTTTGTAATTAGCATTACCGGTGCTCTTAATTTCTAACATGCATTTGAATTACTCTCTCAGGTAAATTATTCTTAATCCCAAGGAACTTTTTCTAGTATTTCTTATGAGTATTACTTGCTAGCTATAAAATCTATGAGTTTTTGTTCATCTGGAAATGTTTTTATTTCATGTTCATTTTTGAATGAAATTTTGCTTGGTCAAAAAGTCCCTTTGGACTCTTTTTTGTCTGTTCCTTTGTTTTCAGTACTTTGGATAAGTCATCACCCCTCCTGGCCTCCATGTTTTCTGTTGAGAAGTCAGTTGTTAATCTTATTAGAGTTCCCTTGTACCTAATGAGTAAAAGAAGTTACTGCTTTCAAGATTTTCTTGAAAATCTTTGTCCCTCAGCATTTTACTATGATGTGTCAGGGTGTGAATTTATTTTCTTTTCTCTTTCTAAGGGTTTGTTGAGAATCTTAGATGTGTAGATTAAGATTTTTTTTCAAATATTGAAAGTTTTCAGTCATTATTTTTTCAATTCTTTTTTCTGTTCCTTTCTCTCTCTCATCTCATTCCTTCCACGGTATAATCTTGAGTATGTGAGTCACTCAAGGATGACAGTGGTTTTAGCAGGGCTGTCTTTGTCTCTTTCTCTGACTTCCCTGTTAATTTGTTGACCTCTCATGGCAACACATCAAACTTAGGCTTCACCAATTGCTGGCTGATTTCTCTATTGTTTTTGACAAAGTCTTAGGGCATACATCTACACGTTATGATCCAATTAAATTAAATTAAGTTTCCTTTTCAGGAGTACTTCCTGTGACAAATCTTTGAAGTTTGCTGTAACCATATGAAGGTTCTTCTTGGCTGTATAATTCCATTGCACCAATTTGGTTGGTTCAAAAGTAACTGCCGTTTTGCAATACATATAAACTGGTAGAAAGTTTAGCTTTTTGCTCTCTTGAAACTACCAGTCTCATGTCAATGGCTTAACAAGTAAATTTATTTACTCTGGAGAGAGCTCCAGAGCTCTGTTCTTACAGCTCACCCATCATCCTGTGCTAAATTTGTGCTTCACTGCTCCAGAGCTGGGGGTGAGGACAGTCCACTGCTTCTCTTTGAGTGACACTCCTGCTTTAAGAGCTTGTTAAAGATCAGATAGTTGTACATGTGTGGTATTATTTCTGAGGGCTCTGTTCTGTTCCATTGGTCTATATCTCTGTTTTGGTACCAGTACCATGTTGTTTTGATTACTGCAGCCTTGTAGTATAGTTTGAAGTCAGGTAGCATGATGCCTCCAGCTTTGTTCTTTTGGCTTAGGATTGACTTGGCAATGCGGTCTCTTTTTTGGTTCCATATGAACTTTAAAGTAGTTTTTTACAATTCTGTGGAGAAAGTCATTGGTAACTTGATGGGGATGGCATTGAATCTATAAATTGCCTTGGGCAGTATGGCCATTTTCACAGTATTGATTCTTCCTATCCATGAGCATGGAATGTTCTTCCATTTGTTTGTATCCTCTTTTGTTTCCTTGGCAGTGGTTTGTAGCTCTCCTTGAAGAGGTCCTTCACATCCCTTGTAAGTTGGATTCCTAGGTATTTTATTCTCTTTGAAGCAATTGTGAATGGGATTTCACTCATGATGTAGCTCACTGTTTGTCTGTTACTGGTGTATAAGAATGCTTGTGATTTTTGCACATTGATTTTGCATCCTGAGACTTTGCTGAAGTTGCTTATCAGCTTAAGGAGATTTTGGACTGAGACGATGGGATTTTCTAGATATACAATCATGTCATCTGCAAACAGGGACAATTTGACTTCCTCTTTTCCTAATTAAATACCCTTTATTTCTTTCTCCTGCCTGATTGCCCTGGCCAGAACTTCCAACACTATCGGAGTGAACAGGCAACCTACAGAATGGGAGAAAATTTTTGCAATCTACTCATCTGATCAAAGGGCTAATATCCAGAATCTACAAAGAACTCAAACAAATTTACAAGAAAAAAACAAACAACCCCATCAAAAAGTGGGCAAAGGATATGAACAGACACTTCTCAAAAGAAGACATTTATGCAGCCAACAGACACATGAAAAAATGCTCATCATCACTGGCCATCAGAGAAATGCAAATCAAAACCACAAAGAGATACCATCTCACACCAGTTAGAATGGCAATCATTAAAAAGTCAGGAAACAACAGGTGCTGGAGAGGATGTGGAGAAATAGGAACACTTTTACACTGTTGGTGGGACTGTAAACTGCTTCAACCATTGTGGAAGACAGTGTGGCGATTCCTCAGGGATCTAGAACTAGAAATACCATTTGACCCAGCCATCCCATTACTGGGTATATACCCAAAGGATTATAAATCATGCTGCTATAAGGACACATGCACACGTATGTTTATTGCAGCACTATTCACAATAGCAAAGACCTGGAACCAACCCAAATGTCCAACAATGATAGACTGGATTAAGAAAATGTGGCACATATGCACCATGGAATACTATGCAGCCATAAAAAATGATGAGTTCATGTCCTTTGTAGGGACATGGATGAAGCTGGAAACCATCATTCTCAGCAAACTATCACAAGGACAAAAAACCAAACATCGCATGTTCTCACTCATAGATGGGAATTGAACAATGAGAACACTTGGGCACAGGAAGGGGGACATCACACACTGGGGCCTGTTGTGAGTTGGGAGGAGGGGGGAGGGATAGCATTAGCAGATATACCTAATGTAAATGACGAGTTAATGGGTGCAGCACACCAACATGGCACATGTATGTATATGTAACTAACCTGCACAATGTGCACATGTACCCCAGAACTTAAAGTATAATAATAAAAATAAATAAATAAATAAAATAAAATTTAAAAAAAGAGCTTGTTGTTGGATAGAGGCATAGGTGGTGGCTTCTAGTTTCCTAACTTGTCTCTTCTTGTATGGAACCCTGGTATGCAAGCAAGCTGGGGCAAGGGTGATCAACATCTCAGTATGTTCCATCTTCCAGGCCTGAGATGAAACTTCCAACCTACCAGTGTGGGCTACGTAGATAAAAAACATACTTACATTCTCAGCGCTGGCGGGGAATAAAAAATGCAGACAGCCTGCCTCTCCTGGGAAGATACTATAGACATGGACCACGGACACAGCAGTCCAGAGTGGAGCTTCTCTTATGCTGAGATGGGATGGTGGCATGCAGAGTGAGAGTGGCTATGTTCTTCCTGAGAGTGAGTAGACACTCTTGAATATATATTTCTCCATTTGTTGTATACCCATATTACTGTTTCCAGAGACTATAGATCACTATTAGTTTGTGTGTTTAATTTTCACCAACTATGGTTATTTTGCCAGGAAGAGAGTCCCTAGTTGGGGTTCCTCAAAATGCCATTTAGGAAATTGTTCATCTGTAAGCTTTCTTTTGTGATTTTCTTCCTTTCCTCAACAATGTTTGTAGTCACTTCTACTGATATATTGTGGAATATGTGTAAAACACAGTGGTATGTATTGCGGTATGAAGTACTCATTAATTGTCATTGCTTTAATTATTCTACTTTATGACTATACCACAATTCCTTTTTCCAATCTAAAGTGATAAACGTTTACAGCATTTTATAATAGAAGAAATGCTGCCATGAGTATTATTGTAACTATCTCTTCACGGACAATTATGAGACTCTTTTCAGGTTATATGTCTAAGAATGAAATAGCTGTATTACATTGAATGAGAATAACCAGCTGTTATTATCTAATGCAAAATTGTTTTCCAAATACACTTTCACTAGCAGTGTTCAAGGGATTTCAGGATGTAGCTCTATCCCCAAAACAGTTTAGTATATGAAGTCATTGCAATTTTCGTCCCTCTAATGTGTGCTTGAGGTACACCATTAACATTTTTTTTCCTGATTATTAACAAAACTGAATTTTTAAAAATGTGTTTCTTGGCCATGTGTATTTTCTCCTTGGTAAAGTGTCTGTATTTTTTTTTTTTTTTTTTGCCTTTTTTTCTATTGGGTCACTTGTGCTTTTAATAGTGATTTGAGATATTTTAAAAGCGTTCTAGAAACGACTACTGGTTTGCCTAATACTGACTCTCAGTTTTTGAAAAGTTTACAAATATTTGCTCTAATTATGTATTAATAAGTTTTGGCATACTGCTTCATTCATTTAGTATGTTTTAATGCATAGAAATTCTTAAGCTCCGTGTAAGTGAATTTATTATTTTTAACAAGAAGGAGCATGACCTATTCACAATGCTCTTCCAATCTTCACCAAAGCCTCACACATAGTGCGCTTCCATTCTTCACCACAAGCTATTTCATCTACAGTGTTCTTCCATTTATTTCCATATGCACTGCTCACTCCATTTACCGTTTCACTCCTATGGCAGGCTCCATCTCAATGGTCTCCCATTGGCCACCGCAGGCGCTGCTCTGTAGATAGTGCTCCTCCAGTCTTCATCTTAGCACTACTCCTCACACAAAGGTCTGCTTCCAGTTTCACAAAGGATCCAAGTTCTCTCCCTAATCAGAGCCTTTCCTTCTGTTATTTTCTCAGCTACTTTCCTTTATCATTGTATTGTCTAACCCAGTTATTCTTTGGTTTCAAATGTAATAATCATATTTAACAAAGACCATTTTAACCCCATAATGTTAATTTCATCATTCATTATATTCTCACTGATTACTCTGTGTTATTTTTATAAAACCTTAATGTGACTCGTTTTTATATTATTTAATATTTTCTAAATTAAATTATGTGTTTCACACAAATGTTGGCTATGCTAATACAATTTTTCTAATATTGAAAATGTAATGTAATAGATAAATAGTAAACATTTATTAAATGAGTGAGCAGGTAAATAAATAAGAGAATATATAAGTAATGGAGTATTTCAAGCATGTCTCTAAATTTAACTTTTGTTTAAGCAAGGCAAGAATTTTTAACAATTTCTTTACAATTTAAACTTATACTACTTTAATGTATTTTCACTTACCTATCATTCAATATAGAGGTAAGTACTTATTGCTGTCCATATCTTTTTTACCCCACAAATGATTTCTCAGTTTGTTTTTTTCAAAAGCTAGATCAAAACAAAAAACAAAAGTTAGATCTACAATTTAAATGTATTTTTTATTCTTATAACACAATTGTTAAAGTATTTATAAGGCATTTTCTCATTTACAGTTACTGTATCCATATTGAATTTGAAATTATTTTCAGTGGCTTCCTTGTATTCTTATCACCTTCACTGCAAATCTTAGATGTACATAATATTTAATTAATTTATAAAATGCCATAGCATATTCAATTATATGAAGTCATTTGCGAACCAACAAGATAGACTCTTAGTAAACATTCAACTCAACAAGTAGAAATGTGTGTGTAGAGTTGACTGTTACCACCAGCTCAGCATGTACATCACACTCTGGAAATCCATAGGTTTTACAGACTGTGAAGTATAATGGTTAATCTGCAAATTTAATTAATTTCAAGTCAGTCAACAAATTTCTACTATTTTCCCTTAGAAGATATTTTATGCAATAAACCAAAAAGAATTTTCAAATTCTTTATGCATATATATGTAACTACCTATGAAAAATGTATCATAGGTAGTTATACAAATGTGTCAGCCTTTAATAGATACTACTCTAATTTTTTTCAGTATTTACAGTATAACTGTACATTAACAGTAAAGAACTACCATTATCTGAAATTTTCATGATGATTTTAGTCAAAATGTTGTTTATATCATTGAATTATCTGTCTCTATTATAAACTATAAAATCTTTCTATTGGAACAGAATTATATTTTTTAAAAAAAGAGTCCCTTAACCAAGTGATCAGCATTATACATCAGCACAAATAACTCAGATTCTTTCCTTTGTTATTTTATTGTCTAATTTCAGTTATTCTTTGGTTTCAAATGTAATAATCATATTTAAGAAAGACAGTTTTGTCCCACAGTGTTAACTTCACCATCTTGTATAGTCTTCCTTGTTATTCTGTATTATTTTTATAAAATAAATGTACCTCCAGTTAAGACGCTATGTGAAAATCACATCACTTCTGCGGGTTTCTAGCCCCAAATGCGTAACCTCAGTATAATTACGAGAAAACATTCGAAAAACACAAATTGATGGACTTCTGAAAAAATATCTGACCAGTTTTCTTCAAAAGTGTAAGTCGTGAAAAATGAGAAAAAAATGGAAAAATGGTCACAGATTGGAAGAGACTGAAACATGACAACTAAATGCAGCACAGTATCATGAGTTTGATACCAGAAAAGAAAAAGAACATTGGGAAAATTGGTGAACTCTAATATATAGTGTAATTTACTTAGTGTTAATTTCCTAGTTCTAATAAAAGTACATGATTATATAAGGTATTAACACTAAGTGATGCTAGGTGAAAGGTATATGGAATCTCTTTGTACTCTCTATGCAACTCTTCTGTAAATATAAAAGTATTTCAAAATTAAAACATATTTTTAAAAAGCAAGCTTTTTTTCCTCTGAAAAGCTATTATAATATGTAGTTCTTTGAATATGTCAACTATCTTTTTTTTTCTGTAAAGCTATTACTAGGAATTGCTTGTAAATGATCAAATTCTAATCCATGTCATGTGTGCTGTTGTCTCAATGTATCGCTGTTTATGTCATTTTCGGATGGTTATCATTCCTCCTGGGAAAAATGCCAAACTAATTTCTCCAATATATTTCTGATTAGTCTCGAGTACAATTAGAAAAGTCATAAAAATTTCAGCTTTATTATAGTTAGATATAATTTTTAAGAATTATTTTATCCAGAAAAGTAACCTTCTGCCACCTAAAGAACATTCACCATCTAAACTGTGACCAGAATGAGACATGAGTGTATTTTAACACTGAAGGGAAGGTCTGGTGGAATGTGACAGCCTGCTTCATCTCGGTTGTTTTGTGTTTTATCACAATGTACAGCACCCAGCTAGATTAAGCAGTTGGACTTCAGCATATTGAACAAAAACTTTGCTATGAACTTGTTTGCTTGGCTAAACTTGTGAAACAGCCTGTACTCTAAACTCTGAAAATAAATACAACATTATCTGGAAAGATATTTTAAGTGTTCAAGTTAGTTAACCCTGATAACCCACATCTTAGAATCTCACTGTAATAGGAACAATAACTTACAATAATAATTTCAAGTTATACTCAAGAAGATAGCCATCAGAATCTTACTGGTAAGTGAAAAATACTGAAATAGCCTATACATCCAAAGAAAGAGAAATAATTTAGTAAATTATGTATACACATATAAAGAAATAACAAACATTAAAATATACTATTACAGACTATAACTTTATCTTAAATTTCTGACATAAAAAGAAGTTATAAATTCTACCTCAACTCTCTGAAATTATAAAATAAGCATTAAAGCAAAATTAAATATAGTGTAAATAAAAATAGTCTTTTTGCTTTATCTTGCTATAAAACTGAGTTCACAGAAAAAATTTGGGTCCCATTGTTATAAAACATTTGAATTCATTTTGAATTCAACTTGAAGAATTTTCATGTTAAGTCTACATATAAAACATTTTATTGTACTGTAATTCTAAATATGCTAAATTTGGGACATGTACAAAATTTAGACTTTTTTCCTACTTTTTAATGTATAGTCTTTATGTAAAATAATTTACCTATATCATCCAAATATGTTGAAAAAACATAAGTATGTTTACTTACTGTATAGGCAACAAGTAGTTGTTTATATAAAATGAAGCATTGAAATTTCTGCTTTAGGTTTCTCCAGGTACAAGCCAACCAAATTTAGTATTAGAACTTTTCTCTTAGAGTTATTTCTTTTCTCTACTTGGGTTCTGGGCAAACTGCATGTTGTTTAATTTTAATTCATTCTCAAAAATAAATCATTTTACTTGGTTCTGTGTTATTACCTACAGATCAACCTTACTTTAGAGGATTTTATGTGAGAAACCCTGGGTAAGATGAAGATAATTTGTTACCATGGAATCATAGAAGTAAAAATAGCACCTAGTGAGTTGGTGCACTCAGCCATCATCTGAAAGAGAATATTTCAAGCAAAGAAGCATTAGAGTCAGGGATTTCATTTCATTGTTTAAATCCCATTAGTCCAAAGATAGTTGTGCTTCTTAAACTGCAAGGCAGCTAAAAATTTAAATAAAATGAAATATAGTACTACTACTAATGTGTAAGATACTGCAACCTGAGAAATTTCGGTAATGATGTAATTAGGAAAACATCCCTCACACAGCATGTATTTAAAATATTTGGCATGTAATAATTGTTTATTGCAATGTTGATTATTTAAATATTTTCATTTAATAATGAAATTATCCACTAACTGCAAATTTTCATTTAGTTTTTCCTAAGAATGATTGCTGTATCACATCATTACATATTTTTCAGGATTGCCAAGTCACTGATGTTTTTAGTGGTTTACTTAAATATATGGCATAAAGAAAATTTCCTAAAAACTTGTAATATATTCTTTCAAAGTAAGATGTCATTAAACATTGAACTATACATTATTGTTCATTAGATAGTAAACTAATTAGGACTTATATGTTAATCATCGATTTACATGTATTAACCAAGATAAGTAGAAAAAAAAAGTATAAAAAACTATCAAGTAACATTTAATGAGAAAAAATTATTTTTAGATCTAAATATTGTAATGCTCAAGAATGGAAAATCCTCTTCCTCATAAAAAAAGAGAAAAACATTTTCTGAGTACTTTTATCACATCTTTTCTCTTTTTAAATTTCCTTAATCTGTTTTTATTATATTTATATTTTGTTTTCAACTTTCAATTGTTCCACTCATAAACTTGTTTAAATCTTATCTTTTAACTTCTGACCTAGACAATTAAAATTTATTCTGGAGAAAATAACTTCTGAGGAATTTGTCAATGGTGTACTTTTAAAAACTAAACATTTTAGATATTTAGAAAAGTGGAAGATTTTTACTTAAGTTAAAAGATTTTAAAATTTCACTTTACCTTTTATTTTACACCTGATCTTGGGAACAATTGCCTGTGATGCTCATTTTATGCTTTTATTCAATAGAACCACTTAAACAATAGAGGTCATATCAGTTTCTTTTATTTTCAATTTGATACCTTTTTAACATCTGGTATTTAATCTTTTTAAGTATTAGGCAGTGTCTTAAATATCATTGTTCATTTCTTCTATCTCTGTATTATCAACCTGCGCTGGAAATTGCATAATATATTGTAAAAACAACCAGTTTTTTTTTTTTTTACCAAGGTGACTGTGTATAGATTGCTTACTGCCACAGAAACTAGAGGACCGCTGCGTAGTTATCCTTACTGATACACCACATGGAATAAAAATAAACAATATTATATTTTTATAATTGGTGTATTGGTTATTTTTTCAATTATCTGCACGAATTTGTATTAGTGAAAGTGAGACAGATTCTTTTAAATAGATTACATTTAAGATGAAGTTCTAAACCATGGCTAACTAGGGAATTAGGAAGGGTGTTGTTTATTTGTTATGAAATAATTAATTGCCTTCTACTAGGTTTCCATCAAGTCTATAGACAGCAGTTTTAGTAAATCTGTTTGGCTTTTTGTTTCTCTTAAAGACTCATCTAGCAATATCTGATGTTCAAACTCCTGATACTACATTTCTAATGTCTCTTATTTCCTTGGGAGATTGTGGAGAAAACTAGGAAAATTTCCATTTACCAAAGAACATAGAAGAATAAAAAGAGAGAGAGAGAGAGAGAGACCTGGATAGTGTGGAGAGTGTGATCAGAGCCAAATAAATGTAGAAAAAAAAGAGATAGAAGAGAGCAGAATAGTAGCAAAGAAAGTAATGATTATGCTGCCTAGAGTATGGGATAATACGTGCTTTCATCTGGACAATCTCTGATCTAAATTACTGTAGTCCATTTATGAAATCGAAGCTATGGGATCACCATAACAGTGAATCAGTTTAATTACCGTATATATACTAGCACCTTCAATAAGATTTTTCTGTTCATTTGTAAAATAACAATGAATTTATAAGCAGAAAAGAGAAAACTCAATCTGTGCCACCTGGCTGTGTGTCCAGTGTACCTAGAATATTTTAAAATTATTTTAATATTTAGATTTTTTTTCAATTTGGAAAGAAAAAAGAGTTTAAGAAAATGTATGCATTTTTATCACTGGCATTGTAACCATATCTCTAATGTGAGGATAATATCTATATTTTCAGTGTCCCTAAGTGATTTTTTTCTGCCACGAGATCACCAGACATTCCCTTTATTTATTTAACATAGTTATGCTCTCTATATATTTTGAGATGGAGTCTCGCTCCTGTTGCCGAGGCTGGAGTGCAGTGGCATGATCTCGGCTCACTGCAACCTCTGCCTCCTGGGTTCAAGCGATTCTCCTGCCTCAGCCTCCTGATTAGCTGGGATAACAAGTGCCCACCACCACTCCTAGCTAATTTTTGTATTTTTAGAAGAGTCAGGTTTCACCACCTTGGCCTGGCTGGTATCGAACTCCTGACCTCAGGTGATATGCCCACCTTGGCTTTCCAAAGTACTGGGATTACAGGTGTGAGCCACCACGCCCAGCAAATTATGCTAATTTTAAAAGTTGACTTAATTACCAAACTACAGAACTAGACAACTGTTTGTGTTAATGTATCATTACCCCAAATCTCATTAAAGCTATCTTACTCTACAGGTAATTATGGACCTGCTATACCCTTTTGTCTTTGTGGGTAGAATTTATTTCCTCCCTTGATTGTCTCCAGGCTCTAACTGAATAGTTCCTTTTTAATTCGTTTGAAGGGTAGTGCGTTGATGGTATTTAGTTTTATTCAATTCCCTGAGGGTCTCATAGAGGGAACTGGAACAACACAGCTATAACCTGAGAATATTTTGGTGTGTAAATGTATTTAGGCACCCAGTGCCATATCTACTATGTGAATGTCAATTTCTTCCTGCTTCTTGGTGAGTTAATCACTTAAATGAGAAGTAAGGTTAAAGATAAATTTGTCAACTTATAGGCCTTTTTCTTCTTCTTCCTCCCCTCCCCACCCCCCGGCCAACCCTTATTTTTCTTCACCTGTACTCTGGAGCTGCCAAATATGCTTGCCTCCAGAACTCCTCTCTCCCAATTAAGAGGCTGCGTCAGGAAAAAAAAAAAAAAAAAAAAAGAGGGGTGCTCTTCTTCCTACTCCCACACTCATAAATTTCTCTTCCAACCTCCTGATAGTCCCTGTGTGTGAATAACCTGAGGACTAAGCTCTGATATTTTATCTTACCCAAATTCCTACCTAAGGGGTCTAAGGAGCCATGCCCTACAAACCATAAATTCTCATCAGATGGATTTTATTTGACCCTATATATTGTGACTTAGTTTTCAATCCGACTCTGGCATAACATTATGAGACAAGAAAAAAATATTTAACCCCAAAATATACTTCCTTGCCATACCTTGAAATTGCCCTGCAAAGTCTCTTGGGGGAAAAAAAAATCCACATTCTATAGAGAATCCCTTTCCCCTTTTCTTTTCTTTCCTTTCTTTCCAGATCCAGGAGATAATCAACTAAGAGCCAGGCACCTTTTTAAGTCCAATAAGAAACAATTTACAATCTGCTCTCTCTGAAGTCTGCTATCTGAGAGCTTCTTCTGCACAATAAAACTTGGTCTCCACAATCCTTTATCTTTAACCTGAACGTTACTCTCTATCAATCCCAGGTCTTTAGACAAACTCACCAATTGTCAACCAGAAAATGTTTAAATTTACCTATAGCGTGGAAGTCTTTGAGTTGTCCCTCCTTTCTGAACCAAACCGATGTACTGCTTAAATATATTTGATTGATATCTCATGCCTCCCTAAAACAGATAAAACAAAGCTGTACCCTGACGACCCTGGGCACATGTTCTCAGGACCTCCTGAGGGCTGTGTCACGGGCCATGGTCACTCATATTTTGCTCAGAATAAATCTCTTAAAATATTTTATAGAGTTTGACTCTTTTCGTCAACAAACCCCATTAAAGTTGTATACCACAAAGTTTTTAAAAATATTGTCCACCTCTTCATCAAAGGTTACGCTATTGAGAGATAGGACTAGCTGGATTTCCTAGGCTGAATAAGAATTCCTAAGCCGACTAAGAATTCCTAAGCCTAGCTGGGGAAGGTGACTGCACCCACCTTTAAACACGGGGCTTGTAACTCAGCTCACACCCAGCCTATCAGGTAGTAAAGAAAGCTCACTAAAATACCAGTTAGGCTAAAAGCAGGGGGTAAAGAAATAATCAGATCATCTATCGCCTGAGAGCACAGCGGGAGGGACAATGATCGGGATAAAAACCCAGGCATTATTCGATCCAGTAGCTGTAACCCGCTTTGGGTCCCCTCCCATTGTGTGGGAGCTCTGTTTTCACTCTGTTAAATCTTGCAACTTCACACTCTTCTAGTCCGTTTTTGTTCTGGCTTGTTCTGGCTCGAGCTGAGCTTTCAGTCGCCGTCCACCACTGCTGATCACTGCCCTTGCAGACCCGCTGCTGACTTCCACCCCACCAGATCCAGCAGCGTGTCTCCTACGCTTCTGATCCAGGAGGCGCCCATTGCCGTTCCTAATGGGGCTAGAGGCTCGCCGTTGTTCCTGCACGGCTAAGTGCCCGGGTTCATCCTAATCAAGCTGAACACTAGTTGCTGGGTTCCACAGTTCTCTTCTGTGACCCACGGTTTCTAATAGAGCTATAACACTCACCGCATGGCCCAAGGTTCCATTCCTTGGAATCTGTGAGGCCAAGAACCCCAGGTCAGAGAACAAAAGGCTTCCCGCCATCTTGGGAGCAGCGCCCTTGGGAGCAGCCTGCCACCATCTTGGGAACTCTAAGAAAAAAGACCTGCAGGTAACACTATGTTCATAAGTGAAATTAATAGATAACACCCTGCCTTTCCTTATCTCTTCTATTCAACTGTATTTTATTTTATGACTTTTGTGTAGAGCTTGTTAAATGTTAATTAGGTTCTTCCCTAGTTGGAATTTTTTTTGTTTTGTTTTGTTTTTGTTTTGAGACAGTCTCGCTCTGTCACCCAGGCTGGAGTGCAGTGGTGCGATCTCAGCTCACTACAAGCTCCGCCTCTCGGGTTCACGCCATTCTCTGTCTCTGCCTCCCGAGTAGCTGGGACTACAGGTGCCAGGCACCACGCCTGGCTAATTTTTTTTTTTTTTTTTTTTTTTTGTATTTTTAGTAGAGACGGGGTTTCACTGTGTTAGCCAGGATGGTCTCAATCTCCTGACCTCCTGATTCTCCCTCCTTGGCCTTCCAAAGTGCTGGGATTACAGGTGTGGGCCCTTGTGCCCAGCCTTAAATGACGTTTTCTTTGACAAGTATACATGCACTTCCTCTGCTGTTTCTCTAAGTTTTCTCTAACTTTAAATAAAATTTGATGTCTAAAAGTCTATATAAAACTTGAAGTATATAAAAAAGTCTACACAGATTAAATTAAATTATTGAATTGTTTTATTTCACACGTGTCTGTACATACAACTCTCTGAGCACAGATGTAGCCAGCATTATTAGACAAGACACATAGAATGTGCATAGTAAAATGATTCTATTGACAAAAAACTGTCCCTGCCAGTTTTAAATAATCTAAATTTGTTTATTTATATAAATTTTTATTTTTTAGAAACGGGGTCTCACCCTGTCACCCAGGCTGAAATACAGTGGTGTGATCATAGCTCACTGCAGCCTCAAACTACTGGGCTCAAGCAATCCTCCTGTCTCAACCTTCTGAGTAGCTGGGACTACAGGCACAAGCCACCACACCAGGCTAATTTTTAAATGTTTCTGAAGGGACAGGGTCTCACTATTTTGCCCAGGCTGTTCTTGAAGTCCTTCTGGCCTCAGTGATCCTCTTGATTTGACTTCCCAAAGCTCTGGGATTACAGGTGTTAGTCACTGTGCCTGGTAAAAAATCCATATTTATCTGTCTGGAAATTGTACATCTCCTTATTACATTACTATTGCTATGGGCAATAAAGATGAAAACTGAGTGTGCAGGAAGTTGTTTATTACATTAAATAAAATAACTTCAAATTTTGTAAAGTTGATGATAAATTACAAATTAGAGAAAGGAACATGCTTTTTAAACTCCAAATGACTTTTTAAAAAGTTGATATTTCTTTCATAAGAAATATTATGTCAATTTATGATTTAGGAGCCTTATTTAGAGTGTTAGGGTGGAATGTTAGAGTCCCAGTGTTCTACTTTCCAGAATACTCAGCTTTCATCATGTGAGAAGCCCAGAGCACAAATTACTGAACAGTTTTGAAATTTCCTCATTAGTTGAAAGTATTTATTATGTGCATTAGATTCTTTCTCTGGACCATTTATAAAACACTTTTTTAAAAAGCATATTTGGTGTTCATGTACTTAGAAGTAAGTAAATATCCTATTTCTTCTCACTTGGTAAGGAAAGATCACAAAACCATTCTCTTTATTCATTTGACTTAGGCATGCCATTTGAAAAAGCTGATTTCTTTTAGATATTAGAGTAACCAGTCTGTAAAACTAGACAATTTTATGTACTAACGTAATATCACATAAACCTCATTGAATCTATCTTACAGTGTGTGTGAGCTAATAAAATAAATTTAGCACATGCTTTAAAAGACTCAAGAAGCAAATTTGACTTAATTATTTTTGACATAAGTACAAGGCAGAAAATTCAGAACTACCTGATCTCAACATTAAGCAAAAACAGAGCAAGCTCCAGAAATAAATGTACATCTATGTGGCCAAGTTACACTCAGTATTTTCTCATTTCTAATTTGGTATCCTTTTGACAACCTTTATTCTTAGAGATCTAAGGTCCTCTAGACCATTCTTAAGTAGCTGTTACATATTTTAAAATTGTCAACACACGGAAACATTCAACTAAAATGTATCTACCTTCTGTGACATTCCCTAAGGGATTTTCTGTTTCAATTATAAAGTTATTGTATGTTCAAAATGTAACTAATTCATGTTAACAACTTAAATAGAAAAGCTATTTTTTATTACAATTATTACTATGTAGTCATGATAGTAAAGGGATAACAACAATGACTTCAAAAACATATAACATTTTAGTTTTATATGTAGTAAAATGATATATGCTAGACAAATTAAAAACACTTGTACTACCAAGCTCATTCCAGTAAGCGTCACAGAGATCTGTGAATGTTGTCTTCTGGCTGAGATGATGACAGAAGGCTTTAGAGAGAATGAAGCTATGTATCTGAGTTTTGAAGATTAGATAACTTTCTGAAAACACAGATGGAGAGAAAGACTACTTTCAATAATAACAATAATAAAAAGACATGATGTAAAAATGTTAAGCATCTCTTGGGGAACAGAATGCAGCAGTATAGTTTGGAGACAGTGAACATATTTTTTGTAAAAATGTTGTAAGAAAGTGCATATAGCAAGGTAATGTTTTGAGAAGTGTCCCCTGAAAGGGAAAGTAGTGGATGGCACACTAAAATTTTTCTTGTTGATGTTTGGTTCTATTTTATTTTCAATTTGATGCCCCCTTAGTATTAAATTTCATGCAGTGATTTTATTTTATTATTAACTTGACTCAATTGAAACCAGAATTTCAATGACAACAGAACTAGTTGCTTTCATGTGAGTGATATTTTCCTAATTTTTACTGTTCATTTTATATTTATTTATTTATTGAGACAGAATCTCGCTGTGTCACCCAGGCTGGAGTGTAATAGGGCAATCTTGGCTCACTGCAACCTCCCCCTCAAGCAATTCTCCTGTTTCAGCTTCCCTTGTAACTGGAATTACAGGTGCCTGCCACCACGCCCAGCTAATTTTTTGTATTTTTAGTAGAGATGGGGTTTTGTCATGTTGTCCTGGCTGGTCTTGAACTCCTGACCTCAGGTGATCCACCCACCTCAGCTTCCCAAAGTGCTGGGCCACCGCACCCAGCCTTTTCATTTTAAAGTGACTTTTTTATTGAAATACATTTCAAACATGGATATCAAAAAATAAATAACTCATGAGTGTAACTAAATGAACGCTTACCTAGTGAGCACATCTGTGTAACCACAGTACAGATGAAGAAGTGGAACATTAGTAATACCCAGTATTCTCATTTCTTTTTAGTTAATGTGTCCCCTACAAAGTTTATTGATATGCTGACTTCTGTCATCATATTAGATTACGTTTGTCTATTTATGAACATTATATAAATGGAATCATACATGTAAATTTACTATTTAGTGTCTGGCTTCTTTAACTCAACAGGAGGCTGGTAGCATTCATTCATGCATGCATTATATGTAGCAAAATTTCTTACTTTCTTATTGCTATATAGTATCCCATAGTCTATATTAAGAAAATATCACAATATAATTATTCATTTTACTATTGGTTGTTTATGTTATCTCACATTTTTGGCTACTATGAATAGTGTAGGAATGAACACTCACTGTTATAAACTGAACTCTTCCCCACCCTTCCTCAAATTTATATGTTAAAGCCCTAACCCTCAATGTCACTGTATTTAAAGGTGGGGTCTTTAGTGAGGTAGTTAAGGTTAAATGAGGTCATTGGGGTGGGTCCCTAGTTAGATAGCATTTGTGGCCTTATAAGAAGAGGAAGAGACACCAGATAGATCTCTCTCTCTCTCTCTCTCTTTCTCTGCAAAAGCAGAGGACAGACTATGTGATGCACAATGAGATGGTGGCTATCTACATGCCAGAAAGAGAAGCCTCACCAAAAACCAGTCATGTATCTTGAACTTAAACTTCTAGCCTCTGCAACTGTGAGACAATAAATGTTTCATTGCTTAAGCCACTCAGTCTGTGGGATTTTGTCATGACAGCACAAGCAAACTAATGCATTGCCATACATAAATATCACAAAATCCTCGTATTCACTTAAAGTAGAAATTTTGCACATTTTTCATCAGTCTTATTCCTAGGTAACTGAAGTTTTCTCAAACTACTATAAATGCTAACAGTCTTTAAATTTTACTTTTTAATTTTCATTTTCAACATATAAAAATATAATTATATTTTTAATTGTTTCTGTATATAGTTCCCTGACAAATTTATCTTTTAAACTAAAAGAATTTCTCTCTAGATTATCTCAGATTTTCTACGTACACATTAAGTCATCTCAAAATAATCAGTGTTTTCTTCTTTTCCAAATCTTATAATTTATATTTTCTTTTTTTATCATACTAGCTAGGATTTCCAATAATATGACTAATAAAGTTGGTAATAGTAAGCATGTTTGTTTTATTCTTGATCTCACAATGAACATTTTCAACTTTTCATTGTTAAATATGATGTATAGTGGAGATAATTTAGAAATACTCTTTAGCAAATTAAGAAAGTCATTTTCCATTTCTAGCTTACTAAGAGGCTTCTTGATATATTCATCAAGTAACAAAATGTATCTCCTGAGTATTGTATATTTTTCTTTTTATTTGTACCAGACGTGATGTTATCAAAGAAACAGAACCACTAGAAGTGATGTCAAATAAAATAATTATTATGTGGCTTTGATTACATAATTGTGGTAGTTAGGGAGTTTATTACTTCTGTTGAGTCAGAGTCTGGTACAGCACTGGGAAGCACCTGCATCAGGAGTGCAGGCAGTTAGGGAGGAGGATGATCAGATGGTAGAGAAGACTCAGGAAAAACTGGAGTCCATGAAGACAAGCTAGAACCCACACATTAATTGAAACCAAGTTAGTCTCTTGCCATATCTAAGCTTCTAATGTCTATATATGAGTGACCTATAGGAGAAGGTCGTTCCTTTTCAACTGTCCCAATAGTCAAAGGAGCAGGAGAGAGTGACCCAGAAGAAGCTGGAAGACCTGCTACCACATACCAACAACATGAGCCAGTTGATAGATAACAACCTGCATGAGCTGCAAGAGTGTCTAGCTCTGTACAGACTTCCCAGTATAAACACAGTGGCTGTTTCATTTTTCACCTTCCAAATATTGCACAGATTTCTCTCATGACAATCCCAGGCAAGCAGCACATGAGAAAGAGAATTTTGGGAAACATAATTTCAGATGAGCTATATTGACACATAACAAACCTAACTTGACATCCATGTATACACTGTTATCGACAAATAACTTCCAAATAAAAACAACAGTAAAAACATACTTCTGCATGGCATGGTATCATTATAGCTCGTGTAACTGAAAAATTTCAATAACTGTCAACCTAAGCCTTATCTCTAATGATTTTTCTCCTTAAAGTAGCAGATATCAGGGTGGAGTGGGAGGAAAGGATGGGAGTATGGAAGGAGAGAACTGCTCTCTGTCAATAAGCAAGGTATTGCATTTAATTTTAGTTTTGAACAGCTACATGCACTGCTCAATCAGACACACCTGTAATGTTTTTCATCCACCTAGAGTTCTACACCCTGTTGCTAACACCATACATTTCAACCTTGGGAACTTTCTGACTTGCTAACTACAGGCATGTTGGCTTTAGTCCAGGCCCACAGGACTTGCTGCCCTGTTGTCATCATAACACACCTCCCTTCTCCTGTCTCAAGGAGAGTGGGCAATCATCAGAGCACCCCTGGGGCAGCTTGTTTTAACTCTCACTGTTTATTCTCTAAACATTCATTAATAGGTAGGGGAGTGAAGGACTTTTAGCACCCCCTCCCACTCACCATTTGGATGAGAGCATTTGCTAACAGTTCTGAATGAGAATTTTTACAATCCCCATATCATCTCACAAGGACCACATTCTTTCTCCTCCAGAAAACCATGTACCTATCAGCACTTTATCCTCATTGCCGAAACTTTCAGTAACTATAAAGAATCTAAAATATGGCTGGGCGCAGTGGCTCATGCTTGTAATACCAGCACTTTGGAAGGCCAAGGCAGGTGGATCACCTGAGGTCGGGAGTTCAAGATCAGCCTGAGCAACATGGAGAAACCCTGTCTCTACTAAAAATACAAAAATTAGTCTTTTGTGGTGGCAGGCACCTGTAATCCCAGTCACGCAGGAGGCTGAAGCAGGAGAATCACTTGAACCCGGGAAGCAGAGGTTGTGATGAGCCAAGATCATGCCATTGCACTCCACCCTGGACAACAAGAACAAAACTGCCTCACGCACACACAAAAAATCTAAAGTATTACTCTGCTTGCAAACTACCAAGTTATTATTCCACTATTTAATGGATGCTAGAGAGATACATGAAATGACTAGACCAAGATGAAGAGTTATTACTCACAAAAATAACAGAAGCCAGAGTATCAGTTTCTGTATCTTGTTACTTGAGCCCCAATTATCACAGAGTAATTCAAAGGGGGCTACATTATGCCTATACATGTTACAGGTTGTATTATAGTTGAGAAATCCTATGTTTGGAAAACCTAAATCCTTTATAATGGCCAGTAAGTCTGCCTGCTCTTTGCTCTGGAGAAATACATTATCTCTACTATTTTGGATTGCAGTTAGGCCTTTAATTTTCTCCATAGGGAGACAACATATCTTCAAGGCTGTTTGCTACACAAACATTCTTTAAAAGATTGAGTGGAACAAAACCAGTTATTGTCTTTGTTTAGAGACCATGTAGAAACATGAAAGAGCCATGGAGATTTAGCCCTCAATAGTCAACTGAACTGCACTGAGATCGGCCAGCTAGATTATGTAACCTACTCATGACTTTAGGACCTCCCCAAGCCCAACCTTGTCTGTATCACTTCCATTTGACGAGGGAGTATTGCTGAGCACATCCACCTTTAAAGTTTGGAAGGTCATAGAACACCTGACTCATTATGGGAAGCTCAGGTTGCATGGTAATCGCATGCTGTATGGTCAAGTGTGCTGTCTTTCCTAGGCCCATATAGAAAACCAGAAGCTGGTTTAGGCACCACTTTACTATAAATTTCTAAGAACAAACCCAAGGCTTTAAGCAGCATACTTGTTCTGCCAAAGACAATTCATGAAAAATGGAATATTTGGGCTATGTGGCTAAGTGGCAGAAAGTTTTGGTGGAACATAGTGTCTTTTGCAGAGATTTTTATTGTTTGGTGTCCTGTTCAAAACTAGCAACATTGAAAGTAACTTGATAAATGGGTCACTAAAATGGGGTAAATGGAGCTACCAATATGCAAAACTGTCCATAAGCATTGTGTCTTGTTTTCTAGTGGTAGGGGGTGCCAGATGCAAAAACCTATCTTTCCACACTGAAAGATATATCTTCACGTCCTGGACAATGGGACCCTAAAATATTTTGCCTAGGTAACAATCCCCTAAACTTCTGTGGGATTTATTTCCCATTCTCTGGAGTACATGAGTCTTACAAAGGATTTTAGTATATATGCTACTTTCTGCTCACCATATCAAGAGAACATGTTATCATCAAACTAACGGAGCAGCATGATGTCCTTTAGAATAGAGAAACAAGGTTGGAAATTTAAAATTGTCCTGAGGGGTCAGAGAAGTGGTATTGTTGGCCCTGGCAGCTTAAAGAAAATGGGTTCTGATGATCTTTATTTTCATTTTTATTTTTAATGTAAGTTATTTATTTATTTATTTTTGAGACGCATTCTCATTCTGTCACCCAGGCTGTCGCTATCTCTGCTCACTGCAACCTCTGCCTCCCAGGTTCAAGCAATTCTCCTGTCTCAGCCTCCTGAGTAGCTGGAACTACAGGCACACGCCACCACGCCCAGATAATTTTTGTATTTTTAGTAGAGATGGGGTTTCACCATATTGGTCAGGCTGGTCTCGAACTCCTGACCTCAGGTGATCAACCCGCCTCAGCCTCCCAACAGATAATCTTTAAGTAGTAAGTACTGAGAAAAATATATATATATTCTCCAGATTAATAGTCGCATACCAGGTCCCAGTGGATGTGTTTATTTGTTCTGGCAATGAAATCACAGCTGAAAAAGCTATTGTAATTAGAATAAAGACCCAATTAAGTTTACAATAATGCACTGCTAATATCTAAAATCCATCTGTTTTCTGCATAAACCAAATTATAAGTTGAAAGGCTATGTAGTAGTATTCATCACCCCTGCATCTTTCAAGTTTCTAATGGTGGCACTAATCCCTGCAATCCCTCCAGTAATGCACTATGTGCTATCTATTTTATTAAACATTATTGTACTTGAGAGGCGGTTTTGGTGATTCTATTTGGCTCACTCCAACACCATGTTTCCCACTTTACAGGTCAGCGAGTCCGTGTGGCCATTCTGCATGTTACTGAATAAGTCTATTTCTGTCAGCATTCTGTACTGAGGATCTACTCACAGAGAGAATTCACAGTCCATTGGGTACACTGTGAGAATGGCTCAAGCCAAAATTTCATTTATATCATAACCTGTAAAAGCCCCTAGTACGACTGTGGGCCTCAGCTGTGTTTGGGGTCTCCAGGAATTATTGGTTCAAATTAATAAATCCAGTAATACCCCAAAATGCTGATCATTTCCCTTTCTCAAATGCTTAGTCACCCTGGTAAATAAATGATCATATAACCCTTTGTAGAAGGCTTGGGAGATATACAGAGGAAAGCTTTTGGCTGTATAGCAGGAGCCTTCCTTAAGGGGCCTGAGTATATCATAAATCCAAGGTACTCTTGAGCTGTGAACTAGCTCAAGTCTGTAATTGTGGAGCTGTTTTAACTATTGTGGTGATTCAAGTCAGACTTCTGTTCACCAGACCTGGAGATTTTCAGGTGATACAAATCAAACATTAAGCATTCCACTGTCTAAATGACTTATTGGGACACGTTATTTGCTAGCAAACCTCAAAGACTTCTGAGAGTCAGAATGTTCTGGTCACTGCTTTGTCCCTGTTGTGCAGTATGATATGCAGGCTTACTGTGTTTTTGTTCATTTGTGCCACCTCTTTGAATACCTACAGCCTGTTTGTAAAGTCTTTTAGCCCTATATTTATTATGCCTTCTTACCTATTTTATGTGTACCTGCCTGTTATGAACCATGAAAAATAAATGTGTGTACACCTGTACATGCAAACACACACAATCATACAGATGTGTTGAGGAGCTTGCATTAAAATTATGTGCTGTTATGACTAGAAGAGTACTTTCCACATTGTATAGTCTCCTTAATATGCTTTAATTTAAATCCCCTCAAAAATAATAGATGACTTTGAAATTTAAATCAATTCCTCCCAAAAATTACTTGTGATAGAAAACTGGCTCAATATATCTTAAGTATAAAGGAGACAGTTGCCTCCTGTAACTGAACTGTAGAAATGGCAGCAGTACAACTTCACCTTTGGTGTATTGGGAGCTCTATGTTACTCTATAATCCAGAATTTTGTCTCCATTGTTTATTTTCATTTCTCTCAGTATGTCAGTTTAATTTTCACAGATTACTTTTCTCAACTTTGGTCATTACTGTGACCATTAGAATATATTAGACTTGGTCGAGTGAGATGGCTCACGCCTGTAATCCCAGCACTTTGGGAGGCCGAGGCAGGTGGATCACGGGGTCAGGAGATTGAAACAAGGTGAAACCCCATCTCTGCTATCAATACAAAAAAATTAGCCCGGTGTGGTGCCATGCACCTGTAGTCCCAGCTACTGGGGAGGCTGAGTCAGGAGACTCACTTGAATCCAGAAGGTGGAGGTTGCAGTGAGCCAAGATCGTGCCACTGCACCTCCAGCCTGGGTGAGCAGAGTGAGACTCCGTCTCAAAAAAAAAAAAAAAAAAAAAAAAAGAATATATTAGACTCACATATTTGCCCTTTTATCACTAGAGAGCAGAGGATAAACAGGATGAAGTGAACAAGGTAATAAAATTGATAGCCAATTCCTGGAATACATTATTGGTATAAAATTGAGAGAAATGTTCTCTCAAAAGTGAGATCCACTGTTCAATAGTGAGGAATTATACATAGACAAAGCAATAGAGAGGAGTTATATATAAACAAAGCAATAGACAAGTACTACTAATAAGAAAGAGCTATTATATTCAATTATCTGTGAATTTTGTATACAACACTGAAAAACATTTTAAGACTGAACAAATAAGGAAATGATTTATGCTCATGGAAACATTACACAACAGGAACTGTAAATTGAATGTTATGCACAGGTGTATAAATATATACAAGTATATGAACATGCTTATATATGTATATGTATGCATGCATGGGGATAGATTGATAAATAGATAGTTGTATTTATTTAAATCTTGTAAGAAAAACAATCTTGTGTCAAGAAAATCCATCAAAATACTTTAATAAGGATGTAAAAATGTGTTACCCCAGTTATATTCAATTAACTAAGGAAAATCACTTAAATCACTGAGCAAAATAAATGATCCAAATTCGAAATGGTCTCAAAAGCCATCTGTGCTTATTGTACATTACCTGATTAAGTTATCTTCATAACTAAGTTGGGAAATTTCTCTACAGTATTAAAAGGCAGAATAAATAGAATTGTAAAGTGATGTTAAGTATGTGTGTATGCACATAAATATTTACATATATATACACACACGGGAAAACATTATTTAGATATTTTGTATTTGCAGTATTTTAATAAGTAATTGTTAAAGAAATGAGTGTGCACGTTTTAACGTAAATCTACGGGTCTATACTATACGTTGACAATGTAACAAAGTATGCTGCGTATTAAAACTTGTGTTGAGTGTAGCAATAGGTTCACATTGCCATGCTTCAACTGAGTTGAGAAATGGTCTTTAGACTGTGACCTGACCATGCCACCTATTGATTAAAGAGCTGTTTCACAGAGGCCTTATTCACAAAATAATGACTATGATATAGAGTGTTTGAAGACACTGTCATTTTACGACTAGTTCTGTTTTGGCTCCAAATAACCAGTGACAATTCAGTGGAGCATTTTAGATTTTTGCCTCACAAAGATATGATATGATAAGGAATATGTAGTTAAGGAAATTTTCAATTTATTCAAAGTAAAACTATTTCTCTTTTTCTAAATGAAAATAATTTAGACTCTATAAATTATGCCACTTATAGCCATAGAGTATAGGAAGATGGTTGGTAGATTTTGTTGTTTGTACATAGATATTGCTCTTCTCTCTGTGTTCAAATATGATTATAAAGCACTTCTGTTTTTGTCTTGATCCAGTGCAGTCAGAGAGTTACCTTGTTTGATATTACTGTTTTATGAAATGGTTTATGTTCAACGGGAGAATATGATGGCATAACCGTTAGAAGCAAACCAGATGCTAATAACCCCCAGGCCAAGCTGATAACGCCAGGCCAACTCCTCTCTGTCAGGGGTTGATTTTCTACGGAAAAGTAGGCCTGCAAAACTTATCTAAAAAATCATGACAGTGGAATGAAAAACTAAAGATGTCAGTTGATTGAGTTCTGAATCTAAGACATCAACTAGATTATCTTGAACTATTTACCTTTTTGAATTGAGCATATATCTAACACAAAATGCAAGTATTATTGAATTCTGGAAATACTTCTGAGACCTTCTCAGGTTATAACAACCACTTTAATTATATTACCAAGTGAACATTTTGTCTAAGGCATGCATAATTTTATATTGTACAATATTACTAGTTAATGGTTTTATTGTGTATTAGTGACATTTCCCACTCAATATTTTCAATTGTTCAATGGCAGTTACTGTGCCATATACTTCTTTCTATCCCTATACATCATTTATTTATGGTTAGTATTAGTGTGGATGTTAATAAACATTTAAGTACTTAATTATAGGGTGGAAAATGGAGCTCAATTAAAAGGAAAAATGACTTCTTCAAACTATTATAATTCCTGAGCCCAGTGACTTCAGAAAATCATTTTATTTTAAGCTAGATTCAAAATGCAATTTATGAAATATATTATTTATATCTCTCTTTTCTTTGAAGGCCTATCCACAATAACTCTCTAAGCTGCTATTGAAGATGGTGACTTTTTAAAATTGACTTCAACTGTCTCAGAAAATTTAATGATAACAGGGTTACTTAGGCATTCAGCCTTAATAAGCACTTGTGCATTGACCTTCTCTGATTCCTAGGATTGCTGCCTAGCTGTAGTGTTTCCTACTGAAGAGTAATTGGATTGTCATATACCCAGATGGAGCTACCTCCTAGAAGCTTGCTAAGTATAAGAATAGTTTCAGAAAGTTCTCAAACTTTATTATTCATGAGAAACACCTGGACAACTTGTAAAATAGTAGTTTTGGGGACCCCACTTACAGATTTCCTGATTCGATAAGTTCCAAGGTGGTGTAAACACTACTGGTCTGGGTACTACATTTTGAGAAATAGTAATTTGGACATTAACAAATTTATTATGAGAACTACTGATTTAAGTATTGTGGTAGGCAGCATAATGCCCCCCAAAGATATGCACATCCTAATTCCTTGAACTGTTAGTATGCTACAGTAAATGGCAAAAGACATTTTTTTTTTCTGAGGTGATTAAGGATAAGGAGGGGAGGTTAACATAGGTTAAGAAAGTGGACTAACATTATCAGATTGGTCCTTAGAAGTGGGTAACCTTCTCAATTGTATCAGAGGGAAGGACATAAGATGAAAAACAACAGTCAGAGAAGTGAAACATCATTGCAAAATGGAAGAAGGGCGCCATCATCCAAAGAATACAGGTAATCTCTAAAAGCTGGGGGAAAAAAATAAGTAAACAGATTCTCACATGGGGTCTTTAGGAAGAAACACAGACATGCCAACACCTTGATTTTAGCCCAGTGAGACTTCTGTTGAATTTCTGACCTACAGGACTGTATGATCACAAATTTGCACATTTTTATTCCACTAGGTTTATGGTAATTTGTTACAGCAAAAGTAGAAAAATAATACAGATATTCAAAAATTTTATCACTTAGAATTACACGTTCTTATCTGTTTTTTCCTGCTGCTTCACACACCATAAATCCAAAATTTAGATGGCCATCTTAGCAGAAAAGGCCTTGAACATATCAGAAAACCAGCATGTGAAATATCTATCCACCACTTACCATCTGTATTACTTCAGGCAAGTTTATTTCTTCATTTAATTGACAATTATTTGAGAACCTTTCTATGTAAAATGAACATTCTTTGTGTTAGGTTGGAAAAATCAAATCAGATGTAGCTGCTATCTTTAAGTGGCTTTAATATTGGTGACAGGGTAGGAAATCAAAACACATTAATAGTATGAATTGACCTAAATACTGATGTGCAGAATTGTGATATAGAAGCCCAGAGGAAGAGTGTTTCAACTCAATCTTCCCAGTTCCAATGTTTTATATATAAAAGAAAACAAATTATAGTTGCCACAAGGAAGGTACTATGGTCTGAATGTTTGTGTCTCCCCAAAATGCATATGTTGAAATCCAACCCCTAAGACGATAGTACTAGAATGTAGGGACTTGGGGAGCTGATTAGGTCATGAGAACAGAGCCTTCATGAGTGGGATTAGTATCTTTATAAAGGAGACCCCAGAGAGCTGTCACACAAGCTGCACCAGGTAAAGACATAGCAAGAAGACAACCATGTGTGAACCAGAAAGCAGGCCCTCAGCAGATACTTGATCTACTGCCACCTTGATCTTGGAATTCCCAGCTTCCAGAACTGTGAAAAATAAACTTCTTATGCTTATAAGCCACCCAGTCTATAATAGTTTGCTCTAGCAACCCAAACAGACTAAGACAGAAGGAGACCAATTTTATTGAGGCCTCTCAGTGCTGCTAGGAGTCTGGATGGTCAATTAGGACAATGTGCCAATATGAAAGTAGCAATCAAGCCTTTATTCACTAACTGCAATGGCATAAATACGACACACAGCCACACACAAATGGAGTGCCAGCTTCCCCCTGCTCCTTTCTTCCCCAACAGACCCAGCATTAGGTGAGGGTCAGGTGACATGCAGTACAGATGAGGGAAGTCATCTCAATGCTGAGGAGCCTGGACAAAAGGCTCTGGATGATTTATGGACCTAGAGGACTAAGAGGAAAAAAAAGCAAGGGCTAGGAGGGGAAAAGTACCATGCCATCTTAGTCAACACCCCTAAATAAAAAGATCCTTGCAGAGAGGCCTTAAAAGTACCTTAGTAAAGCCCTCTCCTTTATCTCCAATTAGAAACCTCCAAATGAGGTGCCTACACTATTAATGCTGATATATGCATGATATATGTAGGAGCATGACCAGCCATGGGAGCCTGAGCCCTTGGCTCCAGCATCTTCCAAAGACTGAAATGCACTGGCTGTGCACCAAATTTAGGGTGCGGAGGATAACTTTCTCCCATGAGGTCTGACAGGCATTGTCTACATTATGTGTAGACTTCTTATGGTTGAGCCTTAAAGATCACATGTAGGATTTTGGCCTGGAGTTGAAATCCTCAAGGTCCTGTATAGACCAGTGCCATCCAAAAGAAATGTAATGTGAGCCACTTATAGAATTTTAAACTTTATAGTAGCCATATTGAAAAAAAGTAAAAAGAAACAGATAAAATTAATTTTAATAACATAGTTTATTTGAACCAGTATAGCTGTATTAGTCACGGTTCTCTAGAGGGACAGAACTAACAGGATACATGTATATATAAAGGGGGATTTATTAAAGAGTGTTGACTCACACAATCACAAGGTGAAGTCCCACAGTAGGCCATCTGCAAACTGAGGAGCAAGGAAGCCAGTCCAAGTTGCAAAACCCCAAAATTAGGGAAGTCAGCAGTGCAGCCTTCAGTCTGTGGTTGAAGGTCCAAGAGTCCCAAAGTTGAAGAATCTGGAATTCGATGTTTGAGGCAGGAAGCATCCAGTATGGGAGAAAGATGTAGGCCAGAAGACTAAGCCAGTCTAGTCCTTCCATATTCCTCTGCTGGCTTTTATCCTAGCCATGCTGGCAGCTGATTAGATGGTGCCCACCCAGACTGAGGGTGGGTCTGCCTCTCCCAGTCCACTGACTCAAATGTTAATCTCCTTGGCAACACCCTCACAGACACACCCAGGAACAATACTTTGCATCCTTCAGTCCAATCAAGTTGACACTCAATATTAACCACCACAATAGCCAAAATGTTATTTCAAATTATATCTAAAATTAAGAATTCTTAGTGGGGCCTATTACATTCATTATTTCCATGCCAAATCTTCTAAATCAAGCAAGTATTACACATTTATAGAACATCTCAACTGGGACTAGCCACACTTCAAGTGCTCAATAACCACATGTTACCAGTGTCTGTTACATTGTCAGCACAGAATAGAGACATTTCTAAGTAATTTTTTTAAAAAGGCACAAAGGTGTAGTCCAGAATTGTTCAATGTCAGCTTTTAGTTTCAGCTTCTTAATCCTTTATTAGGCATGTGGCCATAAACACATTTCTTAACTTCTTTGAGTTCATATATTTAAAGTACCTAGTAGAGTCTGCTATGTATTTGGAATTCAAAACATACAGGTTTCTTTTACTTCAAATTCCCTAAACTTTATGCAGATTATCTTAATTTTAGAGGGTCATTATGAACTTTTAATAAGATAAAAAATATTAACGTTTTGGATGTTGTGCAGAAAAGAGTTAATACAGCAGATCTGAAACTGTTATGTTCAGAGGAGCCTGCTTGTGAGATCAGCCTTTGGCTGACTTCTGGGATCTTAGCCTTTCATCTGCTCCCTAACTGATCAAGGGTAAATCACTATGTGTAGACTGTTTGTACCAATAATGAGATTCATGGTATATAACTGTTTTCCTTCTTAGAATTTGTAATTTTGAACATCCTGACAGAGAGTGCTTGTGTGACCAGCCTAAGAAAATCTCAGGTGCTGAGTCTCTACTGGGTCCCCTAGGAAGAACCATTGCACACATTTTATTGCATTTTTGATTGTCAAAGAAAGGATCATGCTCAATTTGCCCCACTGAGGGAAGAAGAAAGCATAATGAAACCTGTGAATGGATTTCCACAGACACTGCCTGCCCTGTGTCTTTTTCCCTTGCTAATCCTGTCATAAATTCCTTCTCTATAATAAGCCTCAGCTGCAAGTCCATCTGGTGAATCACTCAACCTGAGGGTGGTCTTGGGGAACATTTGAAACATGGGGCATTTTAAACTTCAATGAAGTATGTGACTAGAAGTCTCTCTAATAAAAATATTTCCACTTTATTAAATTATGGTTTGAAGAACAGGCAAAATTAAATAAATGAAATATAGTTTCTATGTAGACAAATTCAGAAAATGGGGTTGAAGAAGGGCTTCTGGCCAAATTGCCAGGAGCTTTGAGAGCTTGTACAATGGAACCCCCACAGACACATTGATTTGGTGCAACAGGTTCAAAATTATTTAGGTCCACGGCTAAGAATGAAATCAAATGTTTTCTTCAAATCTGATATTAGTTTCATGAAGGTTTATTAAAACAACTGAACTTAGGTCATTACAATAAATTTACATTTAAAAGTCTCATAAAAAGTAACAAATGGCACCGTTTCAGATATAGATAACTGCCTTCAACAAATTGCTGACCCTTGCCATGGTGGGCATTTGTTGATGAAAAATGCCTACAATTAGAACTATATACATTCTAGTATTCCTTATATCTAAGTAGGATTACATGATGAATTATTATTTAAACATGAATGGAAATGATGTGTCATTTCTAGGTTGGACTTTTTTTTAAAAAAAGCATATGTCCTTCGCTACTGCCCCCTGCCCTGTTAGCTGGGTAGAAGCAGAAGAATCCAAGATTGTAGAGGATGATAAAACAAACAAAATGAAGATCTCATGCTTTAATTTGTATAATAGGACTACAAGCTGGCCAGGAACATTTATATTGGACTATTACAGAAATAACAAACACTAACTGTTTGAAGATTCTAAAATTGTAGGAATATTTATTATAGTAGCTGTTACTCAAAGTAATACAGAAAAATCTCAGGATATAGACAAATAACACACTTAAAACTTTACCCATTTACCTCAACATTCAAGTACACCTTGACCAACTTTTAGCTCTAGAATGGCCTGTTATTTCTGGACACCCTACTGCATTAACAAGACAATAATGTGGACACTCTTTATGGGGTATATTTTCCACAAAAGAGTGAAATGATGTCCATGTAGTTCAATCCCAGATCAGAGTTGCTTTTAAAGAATCCCAAGTAAAAAAGAGATATCCATTTTTTTTGAGATGGAATCTCACTCTGTCGCCCATATGGGAGTACAGTGGTGACGATCTCAGCTCACTGCAACCTCTGCCTCCAAGGTTCAAGAGATTCTCCTGCCTCAGCCTACAGAGTAGCTGGGACTACAGGTGTGCGCCACCACACCAAGCTAAATTTTGTATTTTTAATAGAGATGGGGTTTCACACTGTTGGCCAGGCTGGTCTCGAACTCCTGACCTCAAGCGATCCGCCCTCCTCGGCCTCCCAAAGTGCTGGGATTACAGATGTGAGCCACCATGCCTAGCTGATATATCAAATATTGAATCCTAATTATTTCATGAACGTTTAAGGAGATTGTATAACAGAGATACCTACAAATCTTAAACAATCCCCATCTATCTTTTAATATCTAGATGCTCACTGGCTCTAAAGCCTTGCACTCTCACTCATTGTTACCCAAAATAATCTTCCATTCTTGGTGTTCTATAGATTCCTTCATCCCTCTCATTTACTAAAATGTGGGCTGCAGTGGGCAGAAATGTGAACTCCATCAGCATTAAAATTTCAAAAGGACATCTGTGAAGTAGAATATACAAGGTTAAAACAGATTTTTATGTATGCAATGAATTATACTTTGGTTTCCAATTTGACATTCGTCTATTTTTATTTTCATATTTCTACACAGTAATCTTAGTCATTTCTATGTCTCTTCTGAAGAGCTTAAAAAACAAAATAAAAAATCTCTATCTGTAAATGCCTCAAAACATTTTAAAAAATATGATATGTCAAATGTAGCAACATACTTTATCTTTGTCTTTCTAGGTTTACACCTTTTTTTTTTTTTTTTTTTTTTTCCTGAAACGGAGTTCTGCCATTGTTTCCCAGGTTGGAGTGCAATGGAGTGATCTTGGCTCACTGCAAACCTCCTCCTCTCGGGTTCAAGCAATTCTCCTGCCTCAGCCTCCTGGAGTAGCTGGGATTACAGGCACAAGCCACCGCGCCAGGCAAAATTTTTTGTATTTTTAGTAGAGACAAAGTTTCTCCATGTTGGTCAGGCAGGTCTCAAACTCACAACCTCAGGTGATCTGCCCACCTCGGCCTCCCAAAGTGCTGGGATTACAGGCGTGAGCCACCGCGCCCGGCCTAGGTATATACTTCTTATCTGATACTTCTTACTTGATAAGATTCTGAGCCCAGGAGATTTCTGCAAGGTGAAATTAACTTCACAAATTTAAATTTTGTTTTCATGCCACTTAGTGATGTTTTAAAGAATATCACCAAATGCTAAAAAGCGTGTATTTACAAAGAGAGACAAAATAGGCTATATTCAGACTGGCTTGACTCTTATTTTATGAAAATGTGAATCTATAGAAGCTTCAGAGTGACAATACTAGGATCATGTGAAATTGATTGATAGCATAGCTTAAATTATGCCTTCAAGATCCTTCAAAATCTCTCTTGCTTTTTCTCCCAAATTTTCTTCCAAAACCTGAAAATTATATAGGATGGAATAAGTAAGCATTAAATAAATCTTTTTTTTTCATTTGGACAAAACATAGAAAAATATCTTGACATTTCTTGAAAATATATACATTTTTATATTTTTTATATTATAGTAGCTATTATAATATCAAAATAGGAAGATAATACATGATAACACTTTTATAATATCAAAATGAGAAAGATAACACATGATTTATAGTAGCAAACATTATATATTAGAAGATTTTAGCTTTCAGGAAAACTTCTATCATGGAATGCCCAAGATTGTTCAATTCTAAAAACAATACATTAAAATTCTTTCAGAATTTAGATGAAACCTTCAGTGTAAGTTTCTAAATAAAATAAAAATCTCCCTACTGTGATTTATATTGCTCTGAATGACACATTTGAATTGTTTTCATTTTTAATGTAGAACCACCCTTCTGGAAGCTTGATAACAATGACTAGTAGTTTTCTTCCATTGCATTATTTTTTCACTTAAAAAATTATTATACAAACTGTGCTTTTCTCTTTGTGTAACAGAATCAAATTCTGAATTCCAAAATGAGCACCTGTTGGGTCAGGCAGAATAATTTGAGTTATTTTCCCAGTTTTGATCTTTGTTACAGGGATAAATCCAGAAGTAATTGGTGAAATACTGTACCATGCATACCTTGGGGCTCCTCAATGAGTCATAATGATTTGGCAGTAATTTACACAGGAAAATAATAAAAATTACTATGGAGAGGATAACCAGTTTATCATTTAGCTTATTCTCACAAAAATGACTCCAGATTAAATGTGGAGTGAAGAAGAAATCTAGTTCAATCTTAAGCCAAGGGGTTATAGACAGGCTTAGTTTTTGGTCTTGGAAAGTGTTCATTCATTTAAGGGTCAAAATGTTTATTTTTCATTTAGAAAGGAATTTGTAAGTGATGTGTAAAATATTGAGTTTTTGCAAGAAGTTTCTTTAAGAATTGCACTGAAATACCCAAGAAAATGCCACACTTCCAAACCAGATTGAAGAGTTAAGTAATGAAGTAGAGTTAGAGCTCAATACAATACTTGAACAAGTCAATTGATGAGAAAAGCAGTTCCATCACCAACAAGAGCTTGGTGGTTTTAGAAAGACCTTTGACTGCCATGTTACTCTGCGTGAGGGCAAAGCCCAATTCTTCTACAGCTTTGCCTAAATTTGAGCTTTCTACTACTTATTTGCTACTTGCTACTTATCTGTGAGCCTAAAACTAGTTCACAGAAAGAGAGATAATTAATATTGGTTGAATATTTATCTTAAAGAGAAGAAATATTTGAAATAAAAATATTATTTATGTACAGTCTCATTATCCAGAAAATAATTATATCTAACTTCTGAACATGTAATAACATTCTTCACCAAGATATACTTGATTACCCCCTGTTTATGGTAAAAAGAAATCACAGATATAAAATTTTTGGAAAAATACAAACACTGACATCTACTCTTTTTCCTCATCTCACAAAACAAGGACTCTCAAACAGGACTCTTTAAAGTATCTTGGCAAACTTGCTTAAAATTATTAATATTTATAAGTAGGTTAAATGTGCTACTTCCATTATCTTTTTATTTACTTATATTTAAGCTACTTTCATACTATATTGACCCTATGTATATACTTTCCTACTATATCAATTCTTTGTAACTTCAGATGACTGAACCTCCGATAGTTCTTAATATTTTTCTATGCAAGGTCAAGCCTTAACGCTTTTAGATTTTTTATTGAGCAAGCTGCTTTAGAAGGTTACGCTTTTAGATTTTTTGAGAAGCTGCTTTAGAAGCATTTATTGGAGCAAGCAACTAAGCATTTTTATGCCTTGTGTATTGTTTAACCTGGGAGCAGAATTGTCCTAGTATTGTTTAATATAGAAACAGGAAAATATTTGGTATAATATTTGGCACAGGTTCTCAGTCATTGGTTCAAAGTGAAATAGCGGTAAGTGATGCAGCTAGAATGAAAATTCAGTACTTGTAACCTTTGCTGTTCCAGACATTAGAAGATAGTCATCAGTACGAGTTCAAACTTTAATAGAAAACATATAGTTCACTCTGCTTTACAAGGCACAAAAAACAAAACCTAACAAAATGAAACAAAAAGTTTCTTAGGAAATAATGAAGTCAGTATGTCAGCCTTCAATATAAATAAACTACTTAAAATTGCAATAATTGCTATGAAAATGTATGCTTATGTATTTTAGTGTATGTAATATATAGTGGAAAGAAAAGATAGACTATTCACCAATCCAAAGTGTTCATGAAAAGGAGAAAATATTTCACTCAAAAGCAGTTAATGTGTATTAAGTATATTGTACATATATCTGTGGGAAGAAAATAAACATACAATTAACACCCACACATTTATAAGAATCAGTTTTCAAGCTATCATTAAAATACAATTTTTATAGCAGTTCATCAGTATACTTCCTTATTTAAATGTACAGTATATTGTCTTACACTGTGCACTGACATTCCTAAAACTAAGTAACATACTGCAGCAGTTACATACTGCTTTCCCAAATCTGTACATTTTCTCATTCTTAAGGGCAAAACATACCGTTGACAAGCACCATATAAACATCACAGCAATTTGAAGACAAGTAAAGGCATGCCATGAAAGCTGGTTTTCAAAAGCACAGATCTATCAAGTATTCTGGAAAGAAAGAGCTTTATACTGCTTCTGCAAGCCAATTCCATCCCTGCTAATAAATTTTCTTTAGCCAAAGCAGAATTTTTGTTTTACTTTGGTTTTTCAGGATTTGTTATTATTAAATTGCAACACCTTTGGTGGCACTGGGGAAAGGAATCTGTTCTTTCATGTTTGTTGAGGGCAACGTCACTCAATTCTCTTAAACCAGGCTGTGCAATCTCTCTAGAATTGGAAAATATTTAATTTTGTAACTGTATGTTATAATAACATAGCAGTTAATAGTATTCAACCTATTTAGCACAGACTTCAAAAGACAAAGCAAAAAATAGGTAAGTAGAGGAGTTGATATTTCAGAACATGACACAATAATGACTAGAATTCTGATGTATAGCGGAATTGTGAAATTAAAATGTCTAGGTTAGAGCCAAATTATATAATATTCTAAATTCAAACAATTGGGATTAATTTTCAGTAGCAATGGAAAGTTATCAACTGATATCAAAGAGCTATACCACTTGATCAATTTCTTGTTTACAAAATAAGTTTGTACTGGGACATAGGATTGATTGAAACAGGGAGAATGGGAAGGCAAAGATGGTATGTAGAGACATGGTTATTAATGAATGGGTTATTAATATAAAAATTATTAATTATATTTGTATTCATACAAACATGAATGGGAGAGAGAGTTCTGAGGATATTTTGGCCAAGAAAAAAACAAGTAAGAAAAAGAAAAGATATCAATAAGATAGATATAGGACTTATAATACTAGGAGAATGATGATGTCATTAATTACAATAAAGCAGACAAGATTAGATATTATTATTATAAAATATAATAAGTTACTTTTAATGTAAGTATTATCTCACTGATGCAGAGCAGGTAACCCCCAGATTGGAGATTAGCCTGGGAATATTCTTGGCTCCTCCCTAGAAATAATTCAAGGGTGAGCTAGTTGTGAGAGAAAGCAACTTTTATTGAACCACAGCTGCTTCATGCAGAGCAGGGCTAACCCATAACAGGTGTGCTCAGAGTTGGTGCCTGTGGGCTGCTAGCTAGCTGAATTTATACCCACTTTTAATTATGTGCTAATTAAGTGGTCAGTTATTCAGAACTTTCTGGAAAAAGGTAGGGAGTTTCTGGAACCATAAAAGGTAATTTCTCGGCCATTGCTATGGTGTGTTGCCACGGCATTTGGAAATGGTCATGGCACTAGTGAGAGTGTCTTTATGCAAATAAGCAATGAGAGCAATTAGAGGTCACTTTCTTTTTTTTTAACTTTTATTGTAAGTTTAGGGGTACACGTGTTTGTTACATAGGCAAACTTGTGTCATAGGGGTTTGTTGTACAGATATTTTCAATACCCAGTTATTAATCCTAGTACCCATTCATTATTTTTCTGATTCTCTCTCTCCTCCAGCCCCACAAACCTATGATAGGCCCCCGTGTATGTTGTTCCCCAGTGAAGGTCACCTTCGTTGCCGTCTGCTGGGTTTGCCTGGCTTCAACACTGCATCTTCTTTTAACCTTATCCTCCTCCAGTTAGCAGGGTCACAACAGGAAAATTAAATCCTGCCAATCCCTGACCTCATCACCATTTTGTATCTGAGAAACACCCAGTATGTAGTCAGAAATACAAACGCCATTACTTATTTATACACTATAGAAAAGTTATGTAAAATATTGATTTAATTAACCAGTTTTTTCTTTTCCTCTGATAGCTATCAGTGTCCAATAAAGAAGCCAAACACCAATAAGACATTATTTTCAAAAATAAAGAAAAAAGAGACCTACGAAAAATGACAGGTCACATGAAAATATGCAAAAAATGTATAGGCATCTTTTTCAATTATTTTTCTAGTTCACTGATCCCACATCTCCCACCTGGTTAATTTAAGACTGTCATATATCCTGGAAAATAATCTTTTTTTATAATCCACTGGAAAACTGCATGAACAATCTAAACTTATTACCAAAGTAATTATTATAACAGTGTTATTTAAATTTGACCTACACATCTTTACCACTCTGGCAAATTGAGGGGTTGACCCAAGCTGTGGCCTAAAATTGTGGTTCTTCATTTTTAAATCAAAAACTCTTCTGAGACTTTTTGGAGTTTTGCCCAGGGAAAATATACATGCAACATTGTTGCATCAAACTTCCACATTATTTGTACATTTCCGGAAGTGTATTATGAACACCAATTTTAGAATCCTGAGACAAGGTGTGTAGCCCTTAATGCAAACCCTATTTTCCCTTTGAAGATCTAATTGCTACACAGTTTCAACACCCTGCTCATTTCTCTCAAACTCATCTCTACACAGCTTTAAATTTTCAAAATCCTGGAAATGTTTAGAATCTTGAATTTGAAACAAAATTTATATTTTGAATTTCTCACTCACTCTTTGCCTAATATTCACACATAGAAGGAGTTTTGAGTACTTGACTTCAAAAAATAACTACCTTTCAATTATTTTACATATCTGATAATAAAGAGAATTATAGTTGGGCCAACCAGTGATAAGGTATCAAAATTACTTTTTCAGTATATTACAAGTCTTCCTACTTATTTCACGATATTTCAAACCGTTAATCCTCCATGCCTGGAATCTGTCTGAGCTCTTCGTTTACTTTCATTTAAATAATTGCCACTTACTCTTTACTTTTATACTCAGCTTTTCATTATAACTGCCAATTTTCAAATTCAAAGCCATGCTTTTAAGGTAAATATATATTTAATTAGCTATTTATCCATGTTTTAAATTTTTCAATTAATTAAAATGTTAACTTTTATTTAAAAATAACCTTGCCCAGATTATACCAAAAATATAACTTTTCACTTTCTAAAATTGAAGCATTTTTGCCTGAGCTTCGTTTCCGCAAACATGACCACTTTAAACACACGATTCTACTTTCCTTTTCTAATTTCCTTCTATTTTTAGATAAGCCAATTTTACACTTAAAACAAAAACATTTAACAAGAAAAAAATTAAATTATCCACACTAAGTAATAATTGCATTTTATTTTATGCCCCTTCTTAATTGTCTTGCAGCCACTTGAAGATGAAAAGGTCAAGTCTGAAGTTCAAGCTTTTCTTGATGTGCTGCTCTGGGAGTAATATCCCCACCTTGGTAGGAAGTACAACTGAGTTAACTGTAATTTCTCAGTATTTTATTTATGCTCCAGTTTTCCCCATTCACTTCAATATAGGTTTAATTCTTCCTTTCATTTCTAATACAGTCATTGCCCCTTTGTACACTATATCTGTCTGATTTCTTTATTTCTCAGGACATGCAAAATTGCAAATATTTAATTGCACCTTATGTTTTCACTATACCTGCACCAATATTTTAACTCAAAACTATACTAAAGAACTTTTTGAGCCATCGTTAAGTCGTCACACAGTGCCATATAACATATTTCCTTCTGCAGTAATTGAAATAAATATAGTGCCAATACTCATATTTGCAAGATTGTCTCTATATCAAATTGTTTACATGTGAGCAAAAAATGTTTGCACCTGTCTTCCCACAGCCTGTGGGATGAATTTTTCATACTCTAACGACTGAATTTTGAGACTTCATTTTCCCCACAATTCCCAAGTTATTTCAGATATTCAATTGGAACCAGAGAATTCTCTATACAGAAGATAACAAGGTTATTTTTCTCTGGGCTTAGACCAGGTCATAGTCAATGGCCTGGACAAGAAGTGTCTAATTTAATGCCTGAAACAGAGCAGCTAACTGTCTCTATGGCTCAATGTCACAAAAGTCTGGAGACACCAAGAAAATGATAAATTGAAATATCTCAGTTAGAAATTCTCATGATGAAAGGACCAGGGTCAGAAAAAATTTAAAATAATAATAATAATAAATATAAATAAAAAGAAGAAATTCTCGCTTGCTTATACCATTGCTGTAAGGTCAATTAAATTGTGTAAAAATTATGTTATTATAAAGCAAATTGTTGACCATGATAATTTAATAAGAAGATCATATACTAAACAACATTCTTTTAAATTGTAGATAAAATTAATGAAAGTCAGAGTAACAACTCCAAAGTTACATTATCTAATATGGTAAGCATTAGTCACATATGTCCATTTAGCTATAAAATCTAGATTAATTAAAAGCAAATAAGATTTAAAAATCAATTCTTCAACTGAACTTGATATATTTCATGTACTCAACAGAGATATACATTGTCATCATCACAGAAAGTTTTATTGGACAGTGCTGATAAAGGATAAAGAATTACACTCCAACTTAAATTTTACTTTATGTTGCAAAGTAATTTTTCTTTTTTAAGTTCATGGAAGCCAGCATAAATGCCTTTGAGTGGTCAAAGACAAAGATAGTGATTAGTTTAGATAAACAAACTCAGCTAGTTTTGCACCAATAAATGATCACTTTAATGTGTGTCAATCATATCCCGTATGGGCACATGTAGGACAGTGGTCCCATAAGATTATAATGCTGTATTTTTACTGTGCCTTTTTTACTTTTATATATGCTTAGATACACAAATACTTGTCATTGTATTACAATTACTGACTGTATTCAATGCAGTAGCATGTTGTACAGGTTTATAGCCTATGAGCAATAGGTTACACCATATAGCCATGGTGTGTGGTAAGCAATAGCGTCTAGGTTTGTGGAGGTGCATTCCATGGTGTTTACACAACAAAATCGCCTGACACGTTTCTGAGAATGTTTCCACATTATTAAGTGTATTGGATTTAGCAATGACAAATCACTGTTTCAGAGCACTTCTGCAAAAATCCCCATGTCTAAAATTGTAAGTTGTGAACTTCCTCTTTCCTTTTTAAAAGCATGGAGAAAAAATAACAAACAGAATGCCAACATGAAATTGGCATATTCATACGTTAATTTTTTTTTTTTTTTGAGAAGGAGTCTCGCTCTGTTGCCCAGGTTGGAGTGCAATGGCATGATCTTGGCTCACTGCAACCTCTGCCTCAAGGGTTTAAGTGATTCTCCTGCCTCAGCCTCCTGAGTAGCTGAGATTGCAGGCCCCTGCCACCATGCCCGGCTAATTTTTGTATTTTTAGTAGAGACATGGTTTCACAACATTATTCAGGCTGGCCTCGAATTCCTGACCTCGTGATCTGCCTGCCTCGGCCTCCCAAAGTTCTGGGATTACAAGAATGAGCCACCACGCCCGGCCACATTAATATTTTTATAACTACTATTAGAAGTATAAGTACTTTGTTCTGCCACAGTTCTTTGGGGAAATAGGAAGAAATTGCACTTTTTAGTTTCATATTTTTTTAATAAATGCAAGTTCACATTTAAATTCCAAAACGTTATTTTAAATCTTAGCTATCTTTCACAGAATGTAAATCTCAGAGTTTATTTTTCAGACCTGCAGGAAAAAATTTATAAAATCACCAAAAATAGAATAGAACAATGTGTCTATAAAAGGGAGCATTTGAAAAGTGAACATTTAAGACTGAACTACAGAAACATTCTACCATTTTCCGCAAAAAAAGCAACAAAAAAAAGTTAATCTGTTTTCACAATATTACTACCAATATGCACTTGTACACACATATATTTAATAAACTATTATAATTTTAAATTATTCAGTGTGGTATAAAACTGAACTTTGTTCTCTAAACCAGATTTTCATTAAAATATAACAAGTAGCTGTTAAGATGCATACATTTGCATTATTTCTGTGACAGATAATTGTTCTTTCTGTGTATAATAAAAAATTGTATTTTTATTGATACATAATAGTATACATTTATGGGGTACATGTGATATTTCAACACATGCACACAATATGTATTGATCAAATCAGGGTATTTAGCACAATAAGGTGACTACAGATAACAGTAACTTATTGTATATTTCAAAATATTCAGAAAAGATTTGAAGTATTCCTAACAAAAGTGCAATAAAAATTTTCAGAAATTGTAGTATGGTTGATTTGCTTCTTGCTTTTTGTTTGTTTGTTTTTGGCTTCCTTTACTTTTAAATAATTAAATATCAAATTATAATAGCCCGGAATAAAAATAACAATTACAAATAACGTAAAAATAACACATCTGGCCAGGCACAGTGGTTCACGCCTGTAATCCCAGCACTTTGGGAGGCCTAGGAGGGCCAATCACTTGAGGCCATAAGTTTGAAACCAGCCTGGCCAACATGATGAAACCCTGTCTCTACTAAAACTACAAAAATTAGCTGGGCATCATGGTGCACACCTACTACTCGGTGGTCCCAGCTATTCGGTGGCTGAGGCAGGAGAATTACTTGAACCCAGGAGGCAAAGGTTGCAGTGAACCAAGATCCTGCCACTGCACTCTAGCCTGGGTGACAGAATGAGACTCTGACTCAAAAAGAATAATAATAATAATTTAAAAAGCACACCTATGGAAGCATTATTGATATTATTTTATTTTATGTAATGAAATTCAGCATCCTTTTTAACAATTATAATCATTCTACATACACATAATAATAAAATTAAGTGATGAAGGAATCGAATTAGAGTACATAATTGAAGATCAATGTCAATAGACATGATTTTCATTAAACATATTGCTAGATACTAATATATGATAACAAATTTGTGAGAGTTCCAGTGAGAATTTTTATAAAATATATAATGTACCGTTATTTACTTTGAAAATTACCCGGTTTCATGAGTGTTAAAATTACATCTCAAGCAACAGCATCTCTTTCACTTAAAATTTAGTCATTCAACTGTTTTTTGTCTCATTTGTGAACATAATTATTTGCAATTAAAAAAGCTAATTATAATCCATTCTTAGTAATGTCCCAATTTAATGCATTCAAATACATATTTTAATAAATAGCCTTATTATTTTGATTTTCAAATTGAGTAACTATTAGAGTTTGATATTTTTAACTCTGATAACTTAGATTAGCGATAAGTAGCTCACAAAACAAATGATCATAAATGAAAGTACAAAAGCCTTTTTTTGTGCTGGATATGATGCAATGAAATGCATATTCATTATATATAAATAACATCAATGGTTTCTATTTCTGTAGACAATTTACATCCCAATTATTTACTGAAGTGCTATTTATCCTGAAAAGATGGATGAGTACTTCCATTTATTTTTAAATACTCAACATAATTTTAATTATTGGGAAATACTAAAAATCTTTTAAAAAAATTAATATATATATTAAGTTGAACCGTTGATTGAATAATCTTGAGTTTTCTAAAATATTGTAATTGTCAAAAGTCACAAAATGCCAGTTGTCTCCTTTAATGTACCCATAATTTATTTAATATTTGTAGTAATGTTTTAACTAAAGTATACATGCAAAATTTTGATTCTTTGCAGTTATTCAGGAAATAAAATAAGGTATTTTTTCCTTTGTATGAAAAGTATACCTGGTAAGAGTCTTAACTTACGGAATAAAACATGCTATTTTCTATATATTTTTCTTATTTATATTTACTCAATTCAATGATGACATATCATATTCAACAACCGGCAAAAGTGGTCCATCTTTTCAATATATGAAATTATTTACACTGAAGCTTACAAAGTAGTTGTAAAATCTGCATCTTTTGTATCATATGAGTTATTTGGGGGAAATGTAGATGATAAATGATAAATACAGAAATAAAAGTATGATAAATACTGAAATAAATATATTAAAAATTAAAATACAGCGATTTTAATGTTTAGTCCAATAAAAGTATATATCAGATAAAAGCAGGAGTCTGAGTTGTTTCTAAATCATAAAGTTTAATCGACCACCAAGGCTATCATTAATTGAGGGCATGTTATGAATTGTTCCAAGAAGTTTATCTGTATTAACTTGTGGTGAGTCTTATTGCTTATTTTGCAGAAAACAATACCAAGCCAACAAAAGGTTTCATACCTTGTCAAAAGTCATACTGCAAGTAAGTGGCATGTCAGGAGAATTTAGAAAGTCTAATCCAAGGGACCAAATTTGCAATTACTGCAAATACTGCCTCTTAACAGAGATTGTAACACCTGTACAGTTGTTTTACAATCAACATAAATTAATTCATCTGTTCTCTTTGTCAAAAGTCAGGAATCACTCCCACTGGGAAAATGTGGCATAGGAGATAGAGAAAGAAGGAAGATTTCAAGTGGAAAACATTCAGATGTGGAATTTCATAATATAGCTTATATGTATATTCCATTTTATAAGGGGACTCATAAATTCTGGAAAACTCAAAAATTAGCTCTATTAAGAGAACAGTGTTCTCACTATTGTTCCTCACCATTCTCTTCCAAGATGTGACGTATCTGATCACTATTGTTAGTAGACATTAATCTGCTATAAAACTTATATTTCCTGATCTCTGATGTGGAAATGTGATGAGAATGTACTTATATGTTCCCTTGAGCTCAAGCAGAAATGACGTAAAATTTCTTCATGGAAACATTAACAGCCAATGTGCAATTAGCAACCTTCCCTTCTGTCTGCTATGATCATAGAAATATGTTTCAAGATGAAGATGAAGATTTTATTGGTCTGGGTACCAAATGATGGCAATGAACTGAGCCCACCTGACATCTTCCATAGGTCATATAGTGAGAAATAAAGTTATATTCTAATAAACCACTGAGATTTAGGGTTTGTTTGTTACTGCAGCATAACTCAGCCTATCCTAAATGATACACTCTCAAATCTCCAGATACACTCTCAAATCTTCTCAGACAGTATCCGGGAAATAAATGTCTATTTATGCAAAAATGAGGTCATAAAACTGTGAGGCAATTTTTATTACCAATAAACCTGAAATGAATTTCACAATAAATACCAGAGTCATCTTTTCCAAAAATTAACTTGGAAAGTGGATTCAGAGATTGCAACAAAAACAATAAAATCATTTTAAAAATTAACCTTGTATTTTCATTGCTGAAAATATCCATGGATTGTCCATGGACATAAATTATGATGCATCTGTTTAATCAGAAATAACATAAATTGAATATCCCAAACAAAGTTAAGAAGGCAAAAGGATGCTATCTTCCATCAGCAATGATTCCATATTACAGATCTCTTTTCCTTAATCCTGAGTAAACTTGAAGTGACAAATGACAGTCTCTCATTGTTAGTTAAAACAGAGTCTTTCTTTTAAGAATAGCTACCAGTTTCCCCGTTTGAATAATGCTACATTGACCGGAAAGACAAAGAGACGAAGAGGCTGAGTTGTCTTCTAAATAAGGTAAAATAAGGAGCGTAGAAGTGTGGTCTGGTTATGTATTTATTACCAGGTGTCATTATGCTGTCAACATGATTTTTTTGCTACTGCTGCTTTTCTTCAATAATGAAAAAGTTACTATAATGAAAACTTGCCAGAACTTATTTTTAAAATAGGAACATCCAAAACGGGACACTGCACTGTATTAAGAGGTTTAGGGTCGAAAGTGAAGTTACATGTTAATTGATTAGCTTTTTCAACATATTCTCTATAGAATTCTATTAAAAGTGATATGGGAGGGGGACAGGGAAGTGCTGGGTAGAGAAGGGCAGGGTCTCTGCCAGTGAGGGCTCCACCCTCAAACCTATGTCTGCAGACGTAAGTGAGAACAGGCACCCCTGTTTCATACCCAAATGTTGCATTTTCCAAGACCACTCTGGCCCACCACACCCCTATCCTGTGCCCATATAAACCCAAGTAGTCACACATACACAAGTGGCTGAACATCGAGAGGAGCAGAGGAACAGAGTGGCAGAGAGCCACGGAGAGCGGCCGAGTGGTACACCAGAGAAGGAGGAAAGAGGCGTCTGGACGTCAAGAGGAGTTCAGGGGAAGATTATCTCCCCGCCCCTCCACCTTCCGGCTCCCTGTCCTTCTCACTGAGAGCCATCTCCACCACTCAATAAAACCATGCGCTCAGCCGTTGAGCCCGTGTGTGATCTGATTCTTCCGGTACACTGGGCAAGAGCTGGGGACACAGAAAGCTGTCACACTGGCCCTCTGCCCTTGAAATAAGGCAGACGGTCCATTGAGTTGACTAACACTCAAGCCATCTGCAGATGGCAAAGCTGAAAGAGCTTGGTAGCACTGGGGTTGCAGGCACCCATCCCTAGACACTACCATGGGGCTGAAGGCCCAAAGCACTTGCCCCACCCTCTGCACCTGCCCATCTGCATCCTCCCCCTCCCTCAAGGGGTTTGAGAAGTGGGGTGACCCAGACAGGCAAGCCACACCCCGTTGCATATCCTGTGAGGGGAATCAGGGAACTCTCCTATTTCAGCTGGGGCCTTGTCGGGGGTATTCATAAGAAGGTGAGTACAGATGTGGAACTGTAGGATCTGCTTCTTTTCCAAGACCCTGCCACCTCTTTCTCTTTTCTGTGGGTAAAGGGCTTGGTTTCCCTTCATGAGGTCTAACCGCCGCATGGGACCAGAGTGAAAACCTGGGGAAACCAAAGGCATCTCTTGCTGGAAGGCCCCAAGACTGAACCCCATCCCCGACCTCCCTAACGAGCACTGGTCGAGACCCCCAGACTTCACTTGATGTCTTTTCTTCTCTCGGGGTTTGAAATGGCTCTTATCTCTACCTTTATATTGTTAAGAGTTTTGCTGCAGGCTGTGGCTATAATATTAAATAGAATGATGGCTTTGGCTCAGCCATCAAATGTGTAAATCAGAACAATGTGGTTTCTGTTTTTTCTCAGAGGTGCCATCCCCACCTCCACCCCAACAACTGCAGGCTCTCGCAGCCCACGGCCCCCCATCTCCAAACCCCTCGCCTCTCAGCTTGGGCACCTGAGCATGTCCACAGCATGCAAAGGCAGCACCCAACAGCCATGAGGGGCAGGAGAAAACCCTCGCTACTGCCAGGACCCACAGATGGGTCAGATGGCCGGCGCTTCAAACCCACCACGACAGTGAAACTCTACCTCCTCTGGCCAAGGAGTCCAGCCCAGCACAAACGGGGCGGGGTGAGGGGTGGGGGGAAGAATAAAAGGATTAAAGGGACCCATTTACAGTGAGCAAGGGGTCATTCCCCCAGAACCATTAAACTGTTTTCTCTCTTTTTCCTTTTCTAAGTGAGAGGATTTCCCTCCCCAGCACTCTGGCTTGATAGGGAAGTTCGTGGAGGAGCGACCCCCTGCTGGCTGATAACTGCAAATTTGGCAGGGCCCATTTGAGACAATCTAAACAGATACAAACAGCCCCTTAAAATACTTTTTATTCCCAAACTCAATTCCAAGCTTTAGGCTGAGGCTCTAAAAAGGAAAACCAGATCTGAGAGATCCACAGCCAGGCAACAGGCACAGTATAAATGGGCAGAACAAATTCCTGCCTACTAAAGCCCCAACCCCATTGATGGAGGCCATGCTCCCCCGCATAAATGAGACCCAGAGAACTGAAAGGCAGGGGAAGATGGAGGCATAAGTGAGTGCGGATAACTCCCGTTCTCTAAGCCTTCCCTGTTTCGTGGGTAAATGCGACATCGGCACTCATGAGTGGTGCCTGCCAAGGTTGCCAGGCCTGGGGGATAAAAAGATGGAAGAGAAAGGGAGAGTGCTTGCTTTCTCTCTCCATAACACTCCAAGTTTTCACTGAAAGAGGGAAGGGAAATTTCCTGTCCTTCAGAATAAGCAACCAACTCTCTTCACCATCCCCAGCTTATACACCTCTGGAGCATATCCTGAACCACGGGAACTGCTTTGACCCTCAGAATCTGAAGGAAAAATGCCTTATAGCTCTCTGCACAAAAGTTTGGCTAAATTATGAAGGATTGGTTGGCCTCAGGAAGGAACCATTCATTTCAATAAAACCTGGCAGTTGGAAATTTTCTGTAATGTGAGGACAGATGGACTGCGGCTCCATATGTACAGGCTTTCTATACCTTTCAAGGTAATCCAGATCTTTGCCAACAGGGTAGGATTGATCCAGCGCTCCTGTTTATTATCTCAGGGAAGGCTGCAAGAGGCAAGCCCAGGGAACTAAAGATGTGAGTCCCAGAGGCACCCCCAGCAGAGGACCCAGCTCCATCCAACCCTGCTCCTCAGGGTCCACCCCGACCTCCCTTATCTAGCTTCAGCCTCTCACTTGCCCCCTCCTAGAAATCCTTGCCATAGACAAGCCCCAGTCTCACTCTTGCCCCTTCAACAGATGCCCAGTGAATTTGGGCCCAGTGAGGTCCAGGTCCCCTTCTCTCTACAGGACTTAAAGCAAATTAAGGGGGATCGTGGCGAGTTTGCAGATATCCCTGACAGATGTATAGAGGCTTTCCAGAATTTCACCCAAATATCTGAACTCTCCTGGAGAGACATTATGTTACCTTTGAATCAGACCCTGACAGACACTGAGAAGCAGGCCACTCTACAAGCGGCAGAGAGATTTGGGAATGACCTTTATATCACATATAGTGTCAGGGAAGAGGGCAAATATTATCCAACTGGAAGAGAAGCAGTACCAGTGAATGGCCCTAAATGGGATCCCAATGATGAGATGGGAGACTGAAAGAGGAGACACTTTCAGGTGTGCATAATGGAGGGCTTACATAGGACCAAGACCAAGCCTCTCAATTGTACTAAGTTATCCACAATCGACCAAGGATTTGATGAAAATTCCACTGCCTTCTTGGAAAAGGCAGTGAGAGAGGCCTTGAGAGAGGCCTTGGTAAAGTACACCTCTCTATCTCCTGAATCAGTTGAGGAACAACTAATCCTAAAGGATAAATGTATTACTCAGGCAGGCCCTGATATCACAAGGAAGCTGCAGAAACAGGCCCTGGGACCAGAGAATACTTTACAGAACCTCCTTAAAGTGGCCACCTTGGTCTTTTACAGTAGGTCACTGGAATAGAGTCTTGGATTCATCATACCCAAGTAAAGGCCTGGGAAGCTGATGGAGTCACCTCCGTCAACCCAGAAGAGCACCCAAAGTACCAATGTGAAGAGATCAGGGATCTCAAGCTAAAAATCACAAAAGATAAATGTTAATAAGCTTCGATGGATATCCTCTCTATAGTCTTGTCTATGCTTGCTGTTCTTAACTTTGTTCTGTTCTATACCATGGGGCACAATAGTGTTTTGGGAATAATTAGTACACTTTACTTCTTATTTCTGTAATCGTTGGCACTAAATTCTTTCCATATATAATATACACATTTAACTCATGCATACTTAATGTTATAAAACTTGTTTTTTTCTCTCACACCTAAAGGCCATCAAACTCCAAACAGGCAGGCAACTGAAGCCTCGCATGATGGCTCCCCTTTGCCAGGAACCCTTAGGTAGACCTCTGGGAGGAATCTGACTGCCATTTTCTCCAAAAACAATTCCCCCTGTCAGCAGCAAGCAGCTGAGACTGGTCATCATTCATATTCTAATGACAGTTAGATGTGCATCTTCAGAGGGGGGAAATGATATGAGAAGGGGCAAGGAAGTGCTCGGTAGAAAAAGGCAGGATTCCTGTCAAGGCCTCCCTCCTTGGGCCTGTGCCCACAGACCTGAGAACAATCACTCTTGTTTTCATGCCCGAATGTTGAATTCTCCAAGACCACTCTTGCCTGCCAGACCCCCTGTCCTGTGTCCATATAAACCCAAGAACTTAGTGGTCACACCAACAAGTGGTTGAACATTGAGAGTTACAGAGGAACAGAGTGGCAGAGAGCAGCAGGACGGCTCAGCAGAGAAGGAGGAAAGAGGCATCTGAACATTGAGAGGGGTTCAACGGAAGACTATCTCCCCAACCCCTCCACCTTCTGGCTCTCCATCCACCTTGCTGAGAGCTACCTCCACCACTTGTGCAACAAAGCTTTATATTGACTCCATCCAGTATCATTTAGGAGATTTCCTGATGATTTTCACTGCATGGAAATATTGAAAGGGCAAAGGCTAGGTAGGATGACTGAGGCAAGAATTCTGGGCATCCACATTTCAAATCCTTCATATTCTTTCACAATATACCTGAAAATTAATTATAGAGAAAGTTTTGTATGTCAACTTTTTGTTTGTTTATCTGGAATTGGGAAGTAAATGGCAATTTCTGACTCATGATATTCATGAAGTTTAAACTAATTAATTTCAAGGTATTTTGATTTTCCAGTGCCTAGTAATAGAAACATAAAAATGTATATTTCTATTTATTTCTTTGGGTCTACTCCAGAAATCACAACTATATTTAAAAGAGTTCATGCAGGGGAGACTCTTATTAACTAACTTGAGAAATGAGTAGACTCTGTAACAGGAAAGATACAAAAATTTTACAATAATCATGGTTGTTTAAAAATTAATCTCTGTCCTTCAATGATATCGTGAAGCTACCTTACCAAGAATGAGAGATGGATGACTGATATTTTTAATATTTAACTGGTGGTACATATTTGCTTCATATGAATCAAAATGTTGCATATGTTGGCTACTTATAGTTGAAACTATTTTCAGTCCAGTACTTTGGTTATATATCTATGTAATCATATATATGGTTAATACTATATATAATGTATATATGATTATTTATATATAACCATTTATAGTATATATGGTTAAATATATGTATATATAAAATATAACCAAAGTACAGGACTAAAAACAGTTTGATATATATGATATATATAACCAAAGTACATATATATGTGTGTGTGTATATGTTTGTGTATATATGTGTATATATATGTGTGTGTATATATCTATATATGTACTTTGGTTATATATATTATATATATATAAAAGCTTTATTTAACCTGAATACTACGCTGCTATGTATAATAATGGTTATATGAAAAAATAAGATGCATTTTTTTAAACTTAATTGTTAAAAAATAACTTTCAGGAAAGTGTTCCTTTTTTGGAAGTTATTAAGTGTCCATACACTGAATTACTTGGCAACACCAGATTTTCTCATTTATATAACAAAGTAAAATTATTTGATGTTTTTTCTTTTAATGGCACTATACTTTGAGGACCATGTTGTATTTTTAACCTCATAAAGTTTTCCTAGGATAGATACAGTCATGCTTCATCATTTGAGTTTAACTTATTCTTTATGAAGATGGCATGAATCTCTTTTAGAAGTGTCATGATAATCTATTGAGATACGCTTAGATTAAATATAATGGGCTTCACCAATTTTTTTAGGAATTAAGTTTTGTAATGTCAACCAATCAAAAAGTATTTCTTTTATCTGTACACTTTAATATATGGAAACAATCTCGCATACATTAATTATGAATGACGGGAGTGTGAATAATCCTGTTTAAGAAATCTCCTTATAGTCTAAGTGCACTAATTCTCTGTGTTGTCCTATACAAGTAATTCACATTCTTAAAACAAGCACCAGATTCCATAGCAAGTAAACTACTCTCAACTGCTGCGTAAATGTTACATACATTTTAGGGCATTAGGATCTCATATTATACAGCAAAATGAGATAATTTATTTCACTTGAACAAATATTTTACTCCAAAGTTCAGGTTATATCTTAGAAAACTATGTCTAAAATTTTTATTTGTTTTTTCCTTTGATTTTCATCTTCCACCTGAAGAGTTAAAGGTCTCAGTTTCACTGTTGTGCAATATTACCATGATTAATGACTCTTCCACTGAATGAAATAAATACAGCAGAGGATGGCCTAGAATAAATAATACTATAGTCTCCACCTCAAGGTTTTCTTGTTTCAGCCTCTGAGTTTGTTTTCCCTATTTTTTAAGTATCTTAATTCATGAAATTCCTCATTCTGAAAACATTTACAATATTGTTCTTATTTTATTATATTTAATCTTTTGCACATATTATTTCTTTGGTTTCATTAAAGTTAGAAAACACCAAATTTGTATATTGAATACTCAAGAAGAATAATGTTTAACCATTTATCTGTTCTCTGACATGTCTCTCTCAATTCTCTGAATCTTCTCTACCTATTCTTTCCTTCCTTTTCTCTTGGAATGTTCAATATAGCAGGAAGAGTAGGAATAAGAAATTATAGAAAAACAAAGGTTATAAAAAAAGTTTGTTATTTCTAATTCATTTTTAAACAAACTAAATGGCATAATATGTTAAAACAATAAGCCAAACTCCTAAAAGAAATCAGAAGATAATATTTTTCAACTTCGTAATATTAGAAAAAAGGATACATGAATATAAATACAATCAACCCTGTAAATTACATGTTTATGGTCTTCAACAGGTTATATCAAAATAGAAAAATAGATATTAATTTGATATATGTTTAGGTATTTACTTTACATGACAGGAAGGGAGATTCACTTATACTTCCTGTTAAGAAAAATTAATGTCAAAGAATTGTAAATGGGCAATGAAGATTACTATATCTATTACTACATCTATTAAGTAACTTCTGGGGATTGGTCATTGGATCGTTTGGGCATTTTTAAATACTATGGAAGTGTGTACATTTGATTGATTTTGATTCATTAAGCCACTTTACCATTCTGTAGAATAAGAAATTAATTTACAGAAAACTGCTAGCAATGCAAATGTTTCATCTGTAGCAATGCAAATGAATTTTGTCTAGTAGAGAAAACAAACTTTGGAATGTCATATTCTCATTCAAATTGTTTTTAACTTGTTGTGGGAAGTCAGGGACCCTGAATGGAGGGACCTGCTGAAGCTGTGACAGAAGAACATAAATTGTGAAGATTTCATGGACTTTTGTTAGTTCTCCAAATTAATACTTTTATAATTTCTTACACCTCTCTTTACTGCAATCTCTGAACATAAATTGTGAAGATTTCATGGACATTTATCACTTCCCCAATCAATACTTTTATAATTTCCTATGCCTGTCTTTACTTTAATCTCTTAATCCTGTCATCTTCGTAAGCTGAGGATGTATGTCGCCTCAGGACCCCGTGATGATTGCGTTAATTGCACAAATTGTTCTTAAAGCATGTGTGTTTGGAAAATATGAAATCTGGGCACCTTGAAAAAAGAACAGGATAACAGCAATGTTCAGGGAACAAGGGAGATAACCATTAAGTCTGACTGCCTGGGAGCCAGGCAGGACAGAGCCATATTTCTCTTATTGCCGAAAATGGGTAAGAGAAATATTGCTGAATTCTTTCCCCAGTAAGGAATATTAATAATTAACAGCCCTGGGAAAAGAATGCATTCCCGTGGGGGGGCCTCTAAAATGGCCACTCTGGGAGTGTCTGCCTTATGCAGTTGTAGATAGGGATGAAACACGCCCTAGTCTCCTGCAGCGCCCCCAGGCTTATTAGGATTAGGAAATTCCTGCCTAGTAAATTTTAGTCAGACCAGTTGTCTGCTCCCAAACCCTGTTTCCTGATGTTTATCAATGACAATGCGTGCACAGTGGGACTGAGAACCATGTTAGTAATTCTAGTTTCACCCTGGCCTTGTCACCTTGCCCTGCCCATTTGCCTTGTGATATTTTGTTGCCCTTGAAGCATGTGATCTCTGTGACCCACACCCTATTCATACACTCCCTCCCCTTTGAAAATTGTTAATAAAAACTTGCTGATTTTACAGCTCAGGGGGCATCACGGAACCTGACATGTGATATCTTCCCCAGACACCCAGCTTTAAAATTTCTGTCTTTTGTACTCTTTCCCTTTATTTCTCAGACTGGCCAACACTTAGGGAAAATAGAAAAGAACTTACATTGAAATATTGGGGGCTGTTTCCCCTGATATTAACTCCTTAATGTTTCCCTTATATACACACACACAAAATGGGTTTAATAAATCTTTTGACAAGTTTTTATTTAATATGTATATAAAAATCATGTTTTACATTTTAATAATTATAATATAAAATTTGTAACCCCCTGAAAGAAGTTGACTTTAAGAGATACTAAATATAAATTAAACTTTAAAAAAAGAAGCGGAGATTAAATAGAATTTGTAATTTCCTATCGTATATGACTATTTGGCACTTAAATTTCCTGTATTGCCAAAATATATTTTAGAGCAGTGTTTTTTATTTTTTTATGTGCTGTGGGAAACCTCTCTTTCAGTAGATGTAGGCCAAAACCCTGCTCTGGCTGAAGTTGAGTAAGCCACTTTGTGAGAAGTTCCTGAGCTGCTTCCTATGTGGTTTCAAAAGATAATTCACAATACACACTATCTTTCAGCCCAGAGTAGGTCAAATGGAAAGTTAGTATCTTTGCAATTTCTGGAGCTGTCTTAATTTTAGAGAGTATAGAAAGCTAGAGGATAAGAGGGTGATTGGTATTAGGCCCATCTAAGAATTTTCTTTACAGGTACCATCATACCAATTGAAATATTTATTATATGGTACTATAGGTACCTTTAATATTTCTCTTATGTTTTAAAAAATATGTAATTGGGAGACATCAAGTATGTTTCAAAAGGGTTAGTGATATTCAAATTGTATCGTAAAGGTTATTTTATCTTCAAGAATTTTTGAGAATTTTTAAAATATTAAACTCTCTTGATAGTAATATAATGACATTACAGCTGTGCTTTCACTTACAAAGTGTTGCAGAAAAATGTAATTTGTCACTTCAATCAAAACATTTCTTTCACTGTGATGTGTAAATATTTCTGAATGGACACCATTGAAAGATCTCACAAATAAAGCCATCTTGTGTTTGTGGTGACACATTTAATGCTTTGAATATGATCAAGGGGACTACAAAACTGACTAAAATAAAATACACATAAAACTTTAAATGAATACTGAATTAGAAAGCATGATCTAACATTAGAAATGTAATAGGTACAGGCTAATGGAAAATACAAAGTATCTAAAATCAAATTAAATAAATGTCTGTATAATGATTACATTGAGAAGTAGAACAGAAATATGTTAATAAAGATATTGGCATTTAATATAAAAAGGCATTTTCTTTATTATCTGTAACATTTCATCTAAATAGGTGAAGTAATGGAAATGGAATAGATTAAGAGTCAAAGGCAGAATATAAGTAATCTTTAGTATAATAGGCTTATACACATCTCTTTCTGTAATTTTTTAAAGTATGAGTGACATTTTTTGCCTATAAATTTTCCTTTGATCCTGACTTTTACTCTGATGTATATTATTAATACTTGCAAAAGAACTTATCTAAGCATGTTTTGGGCAATTTCAGTTTAACTCAGTCACAGCTTCAGAAACATAGACACCTCCACTTATAAGCAGACAGCATTTTTTGTAAGATACATTAATATTTTTTACCAAGCATAAAAAATTATTACTTACTAAGCATAAAAATCATTAATATTTTTTACTAAGCATGCATTTTTTTCATCAGGTACTAGGACAATATTATGACAGTACATGAAATTCTCCAATTACCCACATTATTTCTTTCAATCCCAGTGCAAGAGTAATCCATCCTTATCAGAGTTTCTGATTGTCTTAGACAAAGTAGAAGAAACAAGAAAACAAAAGACAATACATAACTTGGAGAGAGTGAATATCATATATATTGGAAGGATAGCAAAAGAGACTGAAGCTACATTTTGTGTAGCACAAAAGGAGGTGTCATAACCCTAAATCTATACAATTTCATGCATTGCTCAAGAATAAACGCTCAATTTAAGTGTTTGGGAGCTTCCATTTTAAATATATTTGGGTATAAATTTTTCATATAGCCTATCCCACCATCCCTTTAAATGTATGTAATAAACATTAGCCTTCCAATGACTTCCTACTCTACTCAGTATAATACACAGCTTCAAATAGGGCTGACAATCTTATTTAAAATCTGGTCCCCATTCTATGCTTGACCCTTTCCTCATGAAACTCTCCCCTTCATTCACCAGTTCATAAGCTCTTTCCCAGTGCTTCCTCTCTGAGACTGCTTTCTTATTCCTTTATGTGTTTGGATGCTTTATTGTTTGTTTTTTTGCATTTCTGGTCTCAGAATAATAGTCAACTTCTCAAGAGGCATTCAAAAACCACCCCATTTTAATTAGGTACACTTGGTACTGCATTCTGTTTCTCTATCAAAAGATGTGTATCTTGATTTGCATTGGTGTTCTATGCTTCTGTAATTTTTTTCAAGTTTGTTGCAGACCTTTGTGACAAATATGGCCATAGGATGAGGTTTCTTAGGCCACAAGCAATGTTACCTAGCACAGCATTCATTATAAAAACTCAAATTTACTGGTGATATTTGAAAAATAGAAAATTTCACATAGTAGTTCTACTTCTGGCTTTTCTTAAAACACAGAAAATCTCACATCACTGGTCTGTAACTTCTCACAGAATAAATTGATAGATATACTGATGTATGTGTATATATAGGTACATATACTACTCTCTTTCACAGATATGTGTGTGTGTGTATATATATGCTACTCTATCTCTGTATATATAGGCATATACAGAGAGATAGAGAGTAGCAGCTGTACCTGTGAAAAAGCAGGTGCTTTTCAATCAATAATAGATCCACCATCTTTTTGCATACCTCTAAAATTGTTGACTTTACTCACCTGTGACCTCTTGGCCTGGATGAGGACTTGTGCTTCTCACCGTTGGCTTATCCATTTATTGTTTGTGTTACCACGATTTCCTTGGAAGACAGGAAACGTGTCTGTTTGTTTCACCACTCTGATATATTCTTTTCAGTGGCTTGCATATGTTGGCTTCTGTATGCTGCTAAATATGTGATCAGTGAATAAATGAATAAATAAATGATAGAATTAATATTCTCTTAGAAACTAAGAATAATTTACACTAAATTCTAGGTTAGTAAAACTAACATAAAAACTCATAGCTAAAGTGTGCTATGCAAATAGACAAATCAAACTTACTTTTCTGAAGCTAGTTGGAATGATTACTGATCCTTTCCCCAGCTGTATTTTTTTCTCTTCTTTAGTCTATAAACTGTTTTTATGAGCAAACAAAACATTGCCTATTCATTACTTTCATTTACAATGTTTGTCTATTTTGAGACAAATAGCCTTGCCGTTATTCTGCTCCCATCTTTACTCTCAGCGGTACTTCTCTTCCGATGTTGTGAGCCTAAGAATCACAAAGCAAATGGACAAGAAGAGGAGGCCCACATTTTTAGGAGAGACAGAATACACAGAAATTTTTTCATATCTTCTATCTCATCAGATTGTTAGAAAACTAGGTTTTCTGTAAAAATATAAAACGTCGATGGAGCTTAGCAATAAGCAAATTTTGTGAAACCTGAATAATTGGTAAGAAATTTTAGACCTAAATTCTTTTATATTGTAGTAGTGAATATGAAATTGCCTTCACAGAAACTGGTACCAAAATCAACCCTCATGTTCTGCCTCTCGATAAAACCAACTAGGTTTGGAGATTTTGCTCTTTAATCAAGAGTGATTAAAAAACACTAATATAGTTTTGCTATGCAAGAAATAGTTATTTAGCATCCACTATGTACCAGACACAGTATTATGAATGTAAGAAACAAAAGTGAACAAGGAATACATACTCTCTGCTATTATGAATTTTTTTTTTTTTTCTGAGACGGAGTCTCACCTGGCTAGAGTCTATCACCCAGGCAGGACTGCAGTGGTGCTAACTAGGCTCACTGCAATCTCTGACTCCCAGGCAATTCACCTGCTTCAGCCTCCCGAGTAGCTGGCATTACAGGCGTACCACCACACCTGGCTAATTTTTGTATTTGTATTTTAAGTAGAGACAGGGTTTGGCCACGTTGGCCAGGCTGGTCTTGAGCACCTAACCTCAACTGATCTGCCCATCTTGGCCTCCCAAAGTGCCAGGATTACAGGCGTGGGCCACCATGCCTGGCCTGCTGCTATTAATCTTAAAGAGAAATAAGTGTTTTATGAAACATTACCCTATAGCAAGACATGCGAAAATCAAAGAAAGTCTAATTTCAGAAAGAACATGAATGTAGATACGATTATGAACATGATTGCAATAGAAGGTCCAGAAAAATTGTTACTGATATATGTTACATTTTTGATATGGTACTAGAAGACACAGCTATATCTAATAAGAAAAGTAAAAACTAATCAAGAAATGTAAAGGCAGTACACTAAGATGAAGATAGAAAAAAAGAAGCAAAAGCATAATAAAAATATTAATAATACTAGTAATGTGGCCTATTGAAAGTCAATTTGAAGACAGTAATAGTCTTGGAACTGTAGAGGTAATGGGGTATTGATTTGGAAAATAAAATAGAATTGAACAGACTGGAGTTATGGAGACCAGTTAACATGTCATTTGTAGTACCTAGGTAAGAATTAATGAAGGCATAAATAATAGTGATGAGGAACCAGAGGAGACAGAACAGGTGAATAGCTTGAGTCACAACGAAATGTAAGGATTCCTAAGTTGAAGAATGTGGTGAATGGAGATGTCATTAACTGTGATGGAGTTCAGTCACGGGAGGATGGCAGGTAAAAAACTATTGGCAATTCTTTTGCAAATTTATAAATTTACATGTTTGAAGCATACTTGTTTCAATATTTTAGCTAGATAGATAGTTGAAAAATATGGTTCTAAAGCTTGGGGGAGAAGTATGAACTGTAGATTAAAATTTTAGCTCTTCTTCATAAAATAAGATTGGATAAATAGAGGGAACAGGTGCTGAGAAAGCATTAAAATGAGAATTCCTGCCTCTATAATGTTGTTTACCATAACCGACAACTATAATTCAAATTTCTTGTATAGGTTAAATGAGTCACTATTACTCTGATTTTAGGAATTTCTCCATTCTTATTCCCCATTAGTCACTGTCTCTCTGTTTTCAATTTTTAATAAGAAACGTCCCATATTTCTACACACGACCTCCATCCATGGCTCCTTGTCTGTCCTTGTTTTTCACTTAGCCTGGAATGATTTATCTCTATTGTATTACTGTGAACTATGATTGAACCTTTAATTTTATCTCAGATATGTTTCACCCAGAGATATTTTTCTGCACTCTTTGGCTAGACTTAGGCCTACTTATTTGTGTTCTAGTAGCACCTACAATTAGTTTTCACTTAGCACCTACTAAGACATATTTATTATACATACAGGAAATTATGTCATTCTTTATTTTACCATCAGTGCTTAGTAGAGTTCCAGATACATATAAGGTAATCGAATCCTTTTAAACTTCCTTTTAAAGTATTTGAGAAGAAAACCATGGCAATGACAATGTTTAATATTTATGGATACATTTTACTGAATTACCAAATAATTAATGTCCATTATAGAGAGTTTGAGATACACAAATATGCACAAAGAAGAAAGTGCAAATCACCTGCTAATTCTCCACCCAGAGAAGATCACTGTTAATGGTTCCATGTATGTAGGCGTTTTACTCTCTCCACACTCATGTACATATAGATATTGTTAAATTTAGACAGTGCTGTGTCTTTTGCTTTTAAAATTGCTTTTTTAACCTTGCAATGGATTATAAATGTTTCTTCTACAAAATAATAACCGTTAATTTATTGTATTCCATACAATATATTATGTAATATTATGTCATATTTTATTTAACCAGACTTATTTTTGAACACTAGATTTGTTTAATATGCATTATAATTAAGAATACTAATAAAAATTGGTAAATAGCCTCAGAATTAAATTTTGTTATCTAACTGTGATAACTTCATAATAATAAATTCAGAAAGGAGTAATTTGCCTAATTAGAATGCATGGTTTAAGACGATATAACTTGAAAATTACTGAACCACAAGAAGTACCAATTTAGCTAGACTCTATGGCCCTGAATGAAAGCATGAGTGTATGGAAGCAATCCTGACCTCTATTAGAATTGTTTCTTTTATTAATCTGATAGACAAATGTTGATATCTAATACCATCAGTTTAATAATTATATTGACTACTAAAGCAATAGAATATTTTTAAATATTCTATTTGATTTTAAAAATTTGTTTACTTTTAACATTTCCTACTAGAGTTTGTAAGTTTATAAGATGACTTTATAAAATTAGCATATTCACTCATAATTTGAAATGTATTTAACTTCTCTCAGATTATTACTTCACTTAAAAATATTCCTTTATGATATTTTGGAGAAGCCCTGCAGTGGAAAAATTCATTCAAGTTGATTTAAATCTGTTTTCTCTAATTTTGTGTTGCTGGTGGGCTCTTAATTTTTTATATTAACATAGATAATATCGAATGGTATTGGAATTGTTCAAGAAATACCTTGTGAGGCAATATTTTTATACGGAGAAATTTTATATGTAAAATTTAAAATTTTAAGAATACCTATATAAATCATTTTCAGAGACAAATGAAATTAGATGAGAATAGTCTCTGGAAATAAGCAAAGGCAATAATTTTCAGCACCCTGTGTGGTCAAAAGGATTAAATACTACAGAATGGTAAGATAAGATGAACATGGAATGAGGTCAATGGACAGGGAACAAAGTGAGCTCTTGTTTTATATTAGTTAACAATAAATTATAAATAATTATGAAGGTCTTTTTTCTCATTCAGAATGCTTACTAGTAAAATAAGTGTAGTAGATAGTTCACCCCATACAGATTTTATTTTGTTTTTATTCAAGAATAACAATGTATCAAAAATATATTTTAAAAACTTCCCTGAGGATATCTTGATGACAGTGAAAAATACTTTATAATGTGATTAATATACCTCTCCTGGAAATGATGTTTTTCTATCACTCACTATTGACAGGCTATTTTTAAAAATTCCTTTGGGGTAATTATTCAGGGTAATGTCTAGCCATAGGTATAGAATAGAACTTGACTAAAATTTTTATATATTTGAATAAATCATAGACTTCTAATGTTGCATCTTTTAAATAGAAATTCATCTGAATGACAGGAATGTAATCAAGAGTTTTCCTGAAGCATTTTTCACTTTTGAAGGTTTTGGTTGTTTTCTTTTCTTTTCTTTTTTTTTTTTTTTTTGGGGACTAAGTCTCACACTGTCATCAGGCTGATGTGCAGTGGCCAGATCTCAGTTCACTGCAACCCCGCCTCCTGGGTTCAAGTGAATCTCCTGCCTCAGCCTCCTGAGGAGCTAGGACTACAGGTGTGCACCAGTATGCCCAGCTAATTTTTATATTTTATATTTTTAGTAGAGACGGAGTTTTACCATGTTGGCCAGGCTGGTCTCGAACTCCTGACTTCGTGATCCGCCTGCCTTGGCCTCACAAAGTGCTGGGATTACAGGCCTGAGTTACCACGTCCAGCCGTGGTTGTTTTCTTACTTGAAACAGAGATTGGTCTAGTAATATAAATATAAAATGCTTAACATGCAAATTTCAAAAAAAAAATTACGTATTTTAAAACATACTTCTTTTTTTTTTTTTTCCCGAATCAGAGTCTGCTCTGTCACCCAGGCTGGAGTGCAGTGGCATGATCTCGGCTCACTGCAACCTCTGCCTCCCAGGTTCAAGCAATTCTCCTGCCTCAGCCTCCCTACCTCCCTAGTAGCTGGGATTACAGGCTCCTGCCACCACAACTGGCTAATTTTTGTATTTTTAGGAGAGACGGGGTTTCACCATGTTGGTCAGGCTGGTTTCAAACTCCTGACCTTGTGATTCGCCCACCTCGGGCTCCCAAAGTGCTGGGATTACAGGAGTGAGCCACTGCGCCCAGCCTTTAAACATATTTCTTTAGGCACCTATATTGAATAATAATCAGGTGTTATAGCACCACAGGAAACCTATTAATTTCTTCGAAATATGGAAGTAGGGGCTTGGGGACAAGGAGCAATAGGAAATATAAAATCTTACATCCTTGAGCATTGTAGGCAAGGTGGATTCAAGGCAACAGTTTTTAATATTTTAAGATCTTTTGTCATAGATTCTAATATACCCATGCATAATATTTTGTTTTTTTTTTTTTAAAAAAAGGACATTCAGAAATTTTTGAATGATCTTAAATCAGTAGAATTAATAGCAGCATTGTTCTATTTTGTCATCTAGTTGAATCTCAGTGCATAATATTCTCTTGCGTAGTACTTTATCACAAAAATATATAAGTAAACAAACCAGTAGCTACATGGATGGTATGTGTAAGAGTGAGACAGGGAGGAGGGAGAAATACAAACATACAAATACAATTGAAAAGATTTTGATTTGCCTATGTAAAATTTTATAGTTTAGAATGTAATGAAATAATTATATTTCTCATAACCACATTCACAAAGTAAGGTTTTTAACTTATCGTCAGTAAATTTAAAACAACCAAGCTATAAAACTTAAATATAATTTGCAATCTTATTCTAGAATTCAACAGACAAAAAACCACTAATATAGCGACATTAGTTCCACCCCTCTCTGGCATGGCAAGACCATACCTCATTTTAATTTGTAAAATACTTTGTATGTGCTATAAGAAAGTGGAAAATTCTAGAATATATGGTTTCTTACACATTGTTCCACTTTTTATTTAATTTTAGTTTTTATCAAATTAAAACATAAAGTTAAAAAGTCAAATGGTGGAAAGTCCTATAAAGGAATGAATGCTTCTCGGTTCCAGCCCTTTCCATTCCTGATTGTCACTTCTCAGAGGCATATCCTTTCTTTATTTGGCTTGAAATAACTTATTATCATCATCAGGTTTTTTGTTTGTTTGTTTTTGAGACGGAGTCTCTGCTCTGTCACTTAGACTGAAGTGCAGTGGCGTGATCTCAGCTCACTGCAATCTCCGCCTCCTGAGTTCAAGGGATACTCTCAACTTAGCCTCTAGAGTACCTGGGAATACGGGCACATGCCACCACAGCTGGCTAATTTTTTTGTATTTTTAGTAGAGATAGGGTTTCACCATGTTGGACAGGCTGGTCTCGAACTCCTGACCTCAAGTGATCCCCCTACCTTAGCCTCCTAAAGTGCTGGGATTGCAGGCGCCCAGCATACTGAGATTTTATAATAAATCCCAATTTCTCTTCCCATTTTCTTCTTAGCTTTTAATTAATTATTCACAAATCATTATTTATCATTCCTCCATGAATTTATTATTAAATCATCACAACAATGTGATGATATTTAATTTTTAGGCTGTTTACCCACCATATTTAATAATAATAAAATTAAACAAATATAATGTCTAAAAACATGTAACTGGTAAAATAAACGACATAATATGCTAAATAATTTGTTAAAATTTATTTTGTAGAAACATATCTATAATATATTTAATAGAAAAAATATGAGTGAAATATACAGCAGTAATTTAATAATAATCTCTGTTGCTTTACTAATTAAGAAAAATACATTAAATCTGATTTAATTATACCCAAAATGTTTAATGAACCCCTTGATTGGACCACACAATTTACTGAGAATAGAAAGCCAAAAGAAGTAATTGAAGATGCAATTTAACTACATATTTTCAGCTTTTACCCCAGTCCCGCCTTGGTATTGACAGATATCAAATCAGCCACACTTAGTTCTGGTGGTTTTTAGAGAGAATAAATAAATCATCTCAGATCCAGTGTGACAGGAGCCATCTTCTTTTGCTTTTGCTGTGGACTTTCCAGTGACAGTGGCTGCAGCAATTACTTTGTGTCTGAGTCCTCTGAAGCCACCATGACCTTAATGCAAGTGCCAACTAGTGACAAGCAAAGATGCTATCTTCTGACGCTCCTAAAGTTACACCATGTCTCCTGCTCTTTGTCTGTGTACTTTTCCACAGAACCCCTGGATAACAATGGTTTAGATCCATTGCTAGATCCATCATGGTTGCCACATTGGTAGTGATCTTACTATTCTAAGCAAAATAATATTATGCTGAAATTTTCATCATTACAAATCCACTCTTCACTTTAGGCTTAAGCAGAAATACTGCCTCTCTCCCTCTTCCCCTGTCATGTTTGTGTTCAAATCAGTAAGTGGTAAGGCAATACTTCACTTTCCTCATTGTTTCTCTTGGAAATCTCAGCAAATACCCTTCTTTCAGCCGCTTATTTCTTCCAACGACACTGTTAAGATGAGTCCGTAGTAAAAGATAGGCCGGCGAGAACACCAGGCTAAAAACTAAATGAATTACTGGTATCATACTCCTCTTGCTTTTGCCTTTCTGTTTATCTGTTTAAGCAATTTTATTTGCTAAATCCTATAGTCTTTACTTTTTTCACTTAAGACAAGCTTTCTTTCAGAAGCCTCCTTAGGTCTGCAAGCAAACAAACCACTAGCAGGCATGCCTCTTGTCAGAATCCCAGTTATGAACAGAGCTTTGGTTCAAACTGAGACCAATGTGTCACTGAGACCATTCCAATTTCCCCTCTACTCCCTCAGTCATGCACTGTGACATACAGCTGTCTGCCAACTGTTATGTTACAGGTTTGACCCATGTCAACCAAGGAATACAGAGGTTCCTGGAGCACTTCAGGAAATAAATCGTGTGGGAGTAAGAAGATTGTGAAAGAAGGAAAGCCTCTCACAGGAACTGATGTTTACATTGCATCTGCAGTAATAAATAATTTTTTACCTAAAGAAAGACGTTTCTGAGCCTTATGAGAAATATAAAACCAATAAGACAAAAGAAAGCATTGTCTAAATTGTACTTCAACAGGCTGGCAAGCAGTACAGAGGACATCCTGGCAGAATGGGAGATGAGATTAGAAAGGTATGCTGTCAAATTATGAAAGTCTTTGAGGCTGTGAGTTTGTATTTACTCAGAAGTCATCTGAGACTCGTTTAATGAATTTAAGTAGTGGCATCGCGTGGTCAAATTTATGTTTTAACACGGTGTCAGCAAAGTGGAGGAGAAGACCGGGATGTAGAAACAGAGACCAAAAATATACTTTCTGTGTCAAGTCTACAAGAGGACTGACTTGGAGGTGTAGCAATAGTGAAGAATTAGCTCACCTATATTAAGAGACATTGGCTACCCTCTCTCAGTTTTTGTTGTGAAAATATTTTTACTTAACCCTTATTCCAGAGTAATAGTTAACCAGAAACAAAAATGTTACTTGACACTTAATTCTTTCTAAAAGTTTCCACTCTATTGTCTTTTAAGCTTTTGTTGCTGATTAGAATCTTGCTATCAAATAACATCTGTCCTTTTTTGGTTGAGCTCTCTCCTGTCTCTGGTTGCTTTTAAGATTTTCTCCCTGTCAGATTGACTTTTTGTAGTTTCAGTACAGTGTGCCTAGTTGTGTACTTGTTGTTTATTTGTTTTTCCCAGCTCAGCAATTCAATCTAAGGATGTGTGTCTTCCTTTAATTTTAGAAGTCCTAGTTGTTATCTTCTCAAAATTTTTTTAATTTTTCTATCCCCTTCTCTGATAATTTGAATTAAATGGACCTCTGCTGTTCTCATTCTTTCTTTCACAATGTTTTGCTCTTCTTTTACATGCTTTGTTTCTTTCTCTCTGCATGCTGCATTCTGGAACTTTCTTAGTGCTAACTTCCACTTCATTAATACTCTTTTTAACTATGTCTCACCTGATATTTAAACTCAAACCATTCGTTGAATTTTATATTCCCTGAATTTATTTTTTCAATAGAATTTCTATTAGTTATTTTGTGCTTTCATTCTAATAGATACATAACAATTATATGTATACAATTTATAATGATCAAATCAGGTAGTAAGCATACCCATCACCTCAAATATTTATCGTTTCTTTGCGTTGGAAACATTTAAAATCCACTCTTTTAGCTATTAGAAAATATACAATAAATTGGTGTTAATTATAGTCACTGTCCAGTGCTATAGATCACTAGAATTTATTCTTCCTCTTTAGCTGTAATTTTGTATCAATTAACCAATTTCTCACTATTCCTCCTCTTTCCTACACTTCCCAGCTTCTAATAACCACTGTTCTATTCTCTGCTTCTGTGAGATCAACTTTCTTAGCTTTCACATATGAGTGAGAACCTGTTGTGTTTATCCTCTTGTGTCTGGCTTATTTCACTTAATATAATGCTTTTTCAAGCTCATTTATGTTGCTGTAAATTGCAGGATTTCATTCTATTTCATGAAGGAATAGCATCACATTGTGTACATGTACTACATTTTCTTTATCCGTTTGTCCATACGTGGACATTTAGGTTGCTTCTATTTCTTGGCTATTGTAAACACTGATGCAATGAACATGGGATTACAGGTATCTTCTTGACACATTGACTTCTTTTCCTTTGGATATGTACCCAGTAGTGGAATTGCTGGATCATATGGGAGTTCTATTTTTAGTTTTTTGAGGAACATCCATATTGTTTTCCATAATAGCTATACTAATTTACATTCCCACTAACAGTGTATAAGAGTTTTTCCTTTCTCCACATCCTTGTCAGAATTTTATATTTTCTATCTTTTTGATAATAGCCATTCCAACTGTAATAAGATGATTTTTCATTGTGGTTTTCATTTGCATTTCCCTGATTAGTGACGTTGAGCATTTTTTCATATACCCATTAGCCATTTGTATGTTTTCTTTTGAGAGATGTCTATTCAGCTCATTTTCTTATTTTTAAATCAAATTATTCTTTTTTGCTGTTGAGCTATTTGAGTTCCTTTTTTAATCTGGATATTAATCGCTTGTTGAATGAGTAGTTTGAAAACATCTTCTCCCATTCTTCTAGTTGTCTCAGTTGTCTCTTCACTCTGTTGATTGTTTCCTTTACTGTGCAGAAGCTTTGTAATTTGATATAATTCCATTTGTCTATTTTTGCTTTTGTTATCTCTTCTTTTGAGTTTTTCTCCATAAAATCTTTGCCCAGAACAATGACCTGAAATATTTTCTCTAGTGTTTTCTAGTAGCTTTATAGCTTCAGGTTTTACATTTAAATATTTCATCCATTTGAGTTGATTTTTGTATAGAGTGAGAGATAGGGGTCCAGTTTCATTATTCTGCATATGATTATCCAGTTGTCCTAGCACCATTTACTGAAGAGGGTGTAGTCGTTTGCTTGCTGTTTTAACTGTCTTTGTGAGGGAGAAAAGAGCTAGGGACTTGTAGTTGGCCATCTTGCTGATGTCAGACCTTACCAACTCCTTTTGAAAAACTGTTTGCTGTATTTCCATTCTGCCACATGGTCCAGTTCCATCAGTGTTTATGTATTTATTCATTTTAAATCTTTTTGACAAATTTTAGATTATTTAAACATTATCTTTGTTTTCAGATCACCATAAATATAAACTAAATTAGTTTTTATATTTTAGTGCTTATTACTTTTGTATTTGGCCAATTATGTTTGTGAAGAATATTCCTGCAGGTCTCTTTTTTTTTTCATTCTTTAAGAGCCTATCTTTCTGTTTAAGGGAGGAGGCATTTTGTGGGAATCTTGCTTAATGTCATTGTAAGATTGTCCCTCAGGCATTATTTTGTGTTTTATTCTATCCAGTATATCAGAATCAATTGAAGGTTTTTACATTGCATGGACAATATATATTCTGTTTCTAAACCTGTGCACCCAATTTCAATGTCTCAGGTGAGACTTTTTTTAACCCAGTGTCTTGGAAGACAAGTGCCTTTCCTGACATTTCCCTGCATCTGTGGAAGCTGTGAGTTGTTTCACTAGACTCACATTTTTACTGAATGTGCAGTTGTGACATCCTGGTTTCATGCAGGAGGAGTCCCCATTCCTACTTCCTTCTTCTTGTCATCTTAAGCGTCATCTGATCCTAAATGAGTTTTTTTTTTTAAGTACTGAATCCTTAATTCTTAGCCATTTATGAGTCTGAAAATTCCTCCAAATTTCATAGTATTAGTTCTTGCAGTTTGCTTTTGAGAAGTAGGGGTATTATCTCTTTCACTCTTTTTTTTTTTATTTAGCCAAGACTCATTTTAAAAATTGTTATGGACATAGGAAGGGGAATATCACACTCTGGGGACTGTGGTGGGGTGGGGGGAGGGGGGAGGGATAGCATTGGGAGGTATACCTAATGCTAGATGACGAGTTAGTGGGTGCAGTGCACCAGCATGGCACATGTATACATATGTAACTAACCTGCACAATGTGCACATGTACCCTAAAACTTAAAGTATAATAAAAAAAAAATTGTTATGTTTTGTCAGATATAGATGATAGGTAGATAACAGACAGATAGTTAGCTAGCTAGATAATTTTTTTGTATGACTAAGACTGCAGAAGTTTTATGTTAGTTAAGGTCCTCATCATGCCGAGAATGAATGTTTAATTTGTTTTATTTTATTTTGTTTTCTCTAGCATTGTCCTGTTATTTAATTTAGATGTTTCTAAGAGTAGACCGTTTCTTAACACTGCATGACACTTGGAGTGCTTTCGCTATAAATATTATATTTCCTTAATACTAGAAAGCTCACAATGATTATATGTTTTATTATCACTTTTTCTATTTTTGCATTCTTTATATGTTTATCTCTATGCCACTTTTTAATCAATTTTTTAATACTAACTTCTAAGCATCTAATTCTTTTATTTATTCTCTTCAGTCTAGAGTATATACCACCTAAGTCATTAGGCACATATATATGTATATACATATAACGATATAAACAATATGGAGGTTCCTCAAAAAAACTAAAAATAGAACTACCCTATGATCCAGCAATCCCACTACTGGCTATATATATATGTATAGCTATGAAAGCATACAAACACACTTTCTAATGGGTTAGTTTTTAATGTCTATATATTCTTGATACATATGGACTTTTTCATAATTTTTTATATATCATATTCTTCTTTATATACTAAAAGTTTTATACACACAATATATTATCATTATATAGTTGTTATAGTTTTAATGGGAATGCATTTAGCTCCAGATTATTTTTCAAAAATTCTTAGTAATAATTTTCTGTATGCCTTTTTTTTTTTCTGAGACAGAGTTTCACTCTGTTGCCCAGGCTGGAGTGCAGTGGCTTGAGCACAGCTCACTGCAGCTTCAGTCTCCCCAGGGTCAGGTGATTCTCCCACCTCAGCCTCCTGAGTAGCTGGGACTACAGACGTGCACCATGCCTGGCTAATTTTTCTATTTTTTGTAGAGGTGAGTTTTTGCTATGTTGCCTGGGCTGCTTTTCAATCCCTGGGCTCAAGCAATCTGCCCACCTTGGCATCCCAAAGTACTGAGATTACAGGCATGAGCCACCGCACCAGGCCTATGCTCCAAAGCTTAGAAGTTTGTAGGCTCACCTTGATACCAGTTATTAATATTTTTATTTTTTCTGCTGCCTATTTTTCCTCTTTCTTTCCTAGTGGTCCTGTAGAAACTCAATCTAGATTCTTGAAATACCAATCCAGAAATTCTTCTTAAAGTGGTGGTTCAGGGCTCTTGCCCCAGACTAAATTTCAATATAGAGCACATCTAGTCACGGAGGCTTAGACCTCAGCTTTCTCTATTCTTTTCACCACTCTTAACTTACAGACACGTTACATCTACGGTATCGCCTTAGAGTTTTCAGTAACTGCTGTGTTGAATCTCCTTTCACAGGTGATACAGTCTCATCCCAGTCCCTAGTTTTATGTAGTTGTCTATTTCAGGCACCTCCCATGAATGTGAATTTTTTGACCTCCTTTATCCTGAACAAATCTAGAGCCTGCTTCTTTCGGTCCTGTAGGCTCCCAACTCTAGCCTGTGCATGTTGTTGTAGGTTTATGCCTATTCGAATTATGTAATTTTCTATTCTACCTGTTAAGACAAGTGGTTAAAATTTAAAGCTGACCCTACAATGCAATCTTATCCTGCAGTTTCAAGTGTTTTTATCTATTTATGTCATTTTCCTATTTACTTTTAAGGAGCATCTCTCTCCTGCAGTGTTATACATAGATGTTTTAAAAGAAAAAGGGGCATTTAAAAACATAACATCTTTTATGTTACATATTTTGTTTTAAAATACGGGTTTGCATCTACAATAGGTGGATCCTAATAATTGCTAAGACTGTTCATTTGAGCTTTATTCATAAAAACTAAAACCTGAAACACATTAAAAATATATAGCCATTAATTATCAATTCCATGGTATTATATGACAGTTTTTAAAAATCATGTTATGCTTGTCTTATATGTCACACTTTTTATTTAGTGAAAAAAATTGAGAAACTTTCTTGTATAATGAAACAAACCAATATAATCATGAGATCGTCAATTTCTTCTTCTGAAGTATAAAAATTTAAGATAATTAGAGAAACGAATCTCTGAGTTCCATGCTAATTAGGATTAAATATACATATATTATTTTTGAACTGTAGAGGGAAGACTTGAAAGAAGTATTATATTAATCATTTGTTTACTCAAAGTGTTTTGCTTCTGTTGTTACAATTGTATGTGGTCCTATTTGTCCTATTGGCATGAATTAATAAAGTTGAAGATTTATTACTAATTCATTTATATTTATTAGAAAATAATATTTGTAAACAAATTTAATAATAATATTGTAAAATTTTAAAACCTATTTCATGTGAGAAGTCCTTTTCAAAATAAAATCTCATGTATCTGGGGACATTTAACATATATATTATATAAATAGATATTATTTTTTGGCTTTGCTAACTTTTTCTATTTTCTTCCTTTGTGCAAGCTAGTAAACTAAGGAAACAGGCCCCCTTCTTCAAGTGTATGTTATTTCTACATAAGTTATTATAACAAAAATATTAAACATGGTGTTATAACATTGATTTTACCTTATTGACTTTCAGAATTGCCGTCTGCACTTGATGTTTGCATAACACATTTCATATAAGGTTCAAAATTACTTTTGTCATTTTTTATAGAAACTTTGGTATATAACTATGCATATATTAATCTAGAGTTGTGTAGTTAAGTATTAAAAAACAAATAATTTTCTCAATTATTTCAGATGATTTTAATATTTAGATTTCTAGAATGAACTACATAAATTTTTCACAAAATTTCTATTTCTAAAAAATGAGTGGATAGAAGTTACTTTACTCCTCCCCACAATGGTGTAACTTCCTGTTCAATGTTTTAAGTCCTTTTAGCAATTAAAAGTTATAATTGCTATGAGTGCCATATATACAATTTTTCAAAAGAATTTCAGTGGTATGTTACTGATGTAAATTCAGTTTCTCCCACTTGGTTGTTGACCCAACTGTTAGAATCTCAACAGTAGGGATCCTCATGAAAAAATATTTTCCACTCACCTATTATTGTAAAACATCGTAGAAGAAGCAGCAGGTTTTGCAATCACACCAAGAACTTGAGTGGTAATTCTTATGAACACCACATGTGGTGACATAGGAAAATAATTGTATACTCTATATTTCATAATGAATTATTTTAGAAAACTGGTATGGAAATAATTATTTCAGAAAATCTTAGTGATATCCAATTTTTGCTAATTCAAATTTGTGACAGTTGGCTTACCCCATGTCTTGAAGTTTACATCTATTTAAGTTACTCTTTTATTTACAGAACTGATTTATAGTGTAAATTAGTTTGCAATTCAAATAATTGTTACTTAAAATGAAACAAAATTAAAATAACTTGCGTTATTTACAAACCTCTCAAGTTTTAGAGGCACATATGATTGGAAACATAATAAATATGTTATTAATACTTCATTAACTTTAATTCACACCAGACCTCTACACAGCCATGCTTAAAAAAAAAGGTAGTTCTCTATTTTTAGATGTGTATTAATTAAGATTTGATTTGGCTGCATATAAGAGAAAACCCAAATAATTGGCTTAAACAAGAGAGAGGCTTGTTAAGTCCTCTCATTTAAAATGTCTGGAGGTTGGACAGTCTATGACTGATATAAGGCTATTCCAAAGCCATTACATGTACAAGCTACTTTCAACTCTCTGCCTTGTCATTTGAGGCATGGCCCTTTTCCTTGTGGTGGTCCAAGATGGCTGCCACACCTTCAGTATCACATCTAATTCCAAGCCTCAGAGTGTTGGGAAGAGGAGCATGTCCTGTCTTTTTAACAGACACTTTTCAGAATTCCTATATTCCCTGTCCACTAATATGTAAAGTCATCCAGAATTTAGAGACGCCAGGAAATGATAAAGGATATTGGACAAGGAAATGTTTATTTTCTGTGGTGGTGATATAATAGAATGATATCTTTAACAGCTTAATAGTCCATATCAACTGCTAGTTTGGATACAAAATAGAAGCTTTTTACAACTGTAGAACCCTAATATTGAGGCATCAGTTTTTTTAAATAAAGCAAATTGTTAATATTGAGTCTTGATAGTCACAACATGTTTTCCTCAAGTATCTTTCCTAAGGACTCAGAAAGAAAGAAATATTGCTATTTTAAATTTCAATTCCATCTGTTATTACTGTATTTTAATATGTGTCTCTGTGAGAGGTAGGAGGATGGTGGGAAGGATGCTATTCTGTGCTGGCCTTTAGAGTGTGCCCTGGTGGCAGCTTTCTTGCTCTAATCTTCCACCTCCCCAGTGCCTGTCATCTTCCTCCCACTACCCAGTTCTAAGAATACCTCTCTACCCGAGGTTAATCCCATGCTTCCTCACATGATGAAGGGCTTAACCCTCTCTCTAACTCTGGTACCTTTAGTGCTAACCCAATGCTAGTGGAGAGGCTTCTTTGTCCAGAAATCATTGGAAACAAGAAGTGGAAGACAGGGTATCAATCTAACGAGAAATGGAGAGATGATGGCATCTGTATCTGTTTTCTTTATGAATAACTAAAAAAAAAATAAATGTATTGATTTTCCTTCAAACTCTATCTGAATGTCATCACATAGGAAGAAATGTGTATTTTTCTTATAGAAGGCCCCCTGACCCAAGTTGAAAATAACTAGTATAGGTTTCTATGTTTAAGACCATTTGATAGTGTTCTAAAAATGATCTGTCTTAAATAAGGCCATGTGATCTGGAGTATGAGGAGAGGGTAGCACGCTTGATACATTTTCAAAATGTACTGGAGTTTGGGGGAACATGGTAATGCAATTTTAGAAGCATAGTGTTATTTACATATTAGCCATAGGGTGAATAAGATATTTTTAATGAAATGTCATCAATTCAAAGTTGAGACAAATCATGAAGTTCTCAAAGTAGATTTTGAATTACTGTCTATAAGTAAGGCTTGTGATATAGTCTTCCAGTGCTTATATGGTTGGGTATTCTATAATTGAAACTAGTTTTAAAAATACTTGGAATTCCAGAATTCTTTGTTAATTCAGACAGAGACTTATGCTTTATTTAGTTTGTTTCTTCAACTAGTAACCATCTTGGATACAGCTTTTAAAAAACTGCATTTAGAAATGTATTTGCATTCCCTTAGGGTAATTATAAGTACTAAGTGAGAAAAACATGAGAAAATTCTTTATAAATTGTTTTACATTAATTAATTTAGTTAATGTAATATGAGATCTCAGTAATATATTTAATGTTATTTCAGAAAAATAATAAAATGCCTACAAGTTTAGTCTTCAAAATTGTGCTTTTGGATCAAATGGTGTTAAGAAGAAAATACCTAACTAAAGATTGTAAGTTGCAGTTGAATATCAAGTGCTAATTAAATTCTAGATTATATTGTTTTGTTCTTTTCCACTCAAAAGAATGAAAGGTGCTTTATCAGACAATACCATCAATGAATTTTATGGATAACTGATAACGTTATTGATGTAATACATGACAGATTCAATCATAAACATATGAATTAATTGCTAGGAAAGTTCAAAAAGTAGATAGATACATATGTTATATAAATATATGTGTATATACAGCAGAATTTTCATATTTGATGAAATATTTATTCCCTATTCATTTAAATATACTAAATAGATTTAATTTTTAATTGAACTTTCCAATAGGAACAAAATAAATAATCTTGGAAAATAAGTATTACAGTGTTTCTCAAAGTATAATGTAAGCATTTGTTCTTTTGACATAATATCTATTTCTCCTTTTTCAGCGATAATACCTGAATAGAACAACCTTTTGCTATGCAGATTTTTTCTGACTTACATCACAGAGGTGAGCTTGTAACCTCAAGCTAGTTTTTCACTGCATAGCTACAGAGACTGGTGCATAGATGGACATGTGGTCCCATTCATTATAAATTGTTAATTTTATATTTATTAAACTAAAAATCATAAAAGCTGTATTAGGGAAGCCTAGGTAACAAATTTCAACAATGATGTATTATATAAAAAGGGCCTGTAGAAGAGTAAATGGCAATGTGTAATTAATGCAAAAGACTGGTAGGCTCACATAACCTTATAGTTTGAACAGAAATTTAAAGGTATATGTAAATGAGTCATATAAAAATATAGTATGTCACTTTCCCCTTTAGTTTCTACTCATGTTACTTGAATTCTAAGCAATATACAGAAATATGTCAAATAGAAGAGATGCTTATATAGTCTATACATGTTCTGGGTACCTGCATAGTAAGTTTTATTCATGTACATTTGCTACAATGGTGTAATTGAACCATGCAGCAACAGCAGTTCGGTGTCCCAACTGAAGCTTTGACTCAATGACTCAAGATTTATTTTAGAAAATTGAACAAAGCTGACTTTCACTTTACTATGACAATTAAATTTTTGTGAAATGATAAGTTCCCCTTTTAAATTATAAGACGTATACTTATTAGCATAAAACAAAAAAGCTTCACTGTGAAGCCTTTTTGAAAGGTCCATACTGACCTCATCCCAGGCTGAAAGAAAGTAGACATTGGTCAACCTGCTCTAAGAATAGAAAACAAACGTAATTTCTCTGGATTACACTTTTCAACTGAGTTGATTTTATTAAACCTTGAATTGGCTTCATCAAGACATGTTGCAATCAAACCCACAGTCACAGGGATGAAAGGAGAATGCCAGCTTTAAGTGGAACATATTTACGAGAAGCAATTTTTAACAAATACTTCATAGTGCAAATGCTTAATATCCATATACATTATCTGTAAAAGGACATCTTTGTGTCTAATTATGGTCTTAATTTATTTTCCTTTTAAGCATATTATGATCAAAAGATCAAAGATTCTACTTGCATAATTCAGGACATTTTGGTATTTTTATAACATGAATTTTCTGATGGACCACAAGATTATTCAGAAATTAAGAAAATTTTAAATATAATGTACAAAATATCTTAGCTACAGAACTATACATTCAAGTGTTTTTAAAACATCTTTAGATGATCAAATTAGAACAAAATTATGCTATTTATTCTTCCTCAAAGTATTTCCTTTTTTCTGCCATTATTTTGTTTTTATTAACTTTTGCTCCCTGTTGAAGTGAATTCAATGGATATTTATACTGTCTAATATGAGAGATGCTGAAAGAGACAAAAATGATTAACCAGACATAATGCCTCATAAAATTAGAAACATTCCTGTGTTTAACCTAATTTTGTTATAAATCTGAGTAAAGAATGTGCTATTATTGTAAGGCATAAATAGCATGTTGTGGATGAGAAAATAAAGATTAATACTTTCTGATGATAGTAAGGAATATTTTATAGAGGAGACGTTATTTCTTCTTGACACTGAAAAATGTTTAAGTCTCGTCGTTAAATACAGTCAAGGAGAAATATTTGACAATATCTTTAAAAATGTTAAAGTTATTTTTGGGAGTAATAATTCCATATCTAGAAATTAATCCTTAGGGAAGATGTATTCATGAATGCACGATTGCCCTATTAAGTATATTATTAAAGCATTTAAAAATAATATCCATCAGTAATATTTGATTATGTAACAAACACTATAGCTAAATGAAGGCACATTATTCATTCATTAAAAGGAACTAGAGAAATCTGTATGCACTGGTATAAAATGGTATCCAACATGTATTAATGAGAGAAAAAACCATTTTCCAAGAAATATTATGGTTATACTTATTAATAAGCATATCCATAAACACAACTAGAACATTTATATCAACTCTTTAATTGTACTTTTTGTTGTAATTTGAGGGAATATCAAATATCAAAAATACATTTTTGTAATCAGAATTTTTAAAAATACAAGTTCTACTTTGGGGTTTAGGGAACTATTAAGATATTCACTGATTTCCCTAAATACTTCAAGATCTTTTCTAGCAATCATCTGATTTTATTTTCCTTCATAGTGAAATATATTTAAAGGAACATTCTTCACGCGTGTTTGGTTCCTTATCTCCTATTCTTTGCACAAACCATGCTTTCTCTTTGTATTGGTCCGTTTTCACACTGCTATAAAGATACTACCCAAAACTGGGTAATTTATAAACAAAGGTTTAATTGGCTCACAGTTCCACGTGGCTAGGGAGGCCTCAAGAAACTTAACAATCATGGCCAAAGGGGAAGCAGGTACCTTCTTCACAAGGCAGCAGGAGAGAGTGAGCAAAAAATGAGTAGGGGAGAGAGCCCCTTAAAAAACCATCAGATCTCATGAGAACTCACTCACTATCACAAGTGCAGCATGGGGGAAACTGCCCCCATAATCCAATCACTTTCCAACAGGAATCCCCCTCAACACCTGGGGATTACAATTTAAGATGAGATATGGGTGAAGACACAAAGCCTAATCATATCATTCTTTGTACTTTACCTCACCATAAAGTTTCAAGGAAAGGAAAAGAAAAAGAAAAGAAAGAAGATTGGAGACGAGAGGAGGAGAATGGTAGGGAACAGAGGAGAGGGGAAAGGATGGAAGAGGGATGAAGAAGAAAAAGTGTCTCATCTTTTCAATGTAAATTAAAATGTAATTTTTTTTTCAGGAATTGCCTGAGAGTACCCTTCTCTATCATTTTCTTTTCACTTCTCCTGTCTTCCGTGTTTTCTGCTTTTCTGTGTTTTGTCTCCCTTTTAGCAGTAGCAAAGACATTTGTTGCTTTTGCAACATTCATTCCACTCTGTATAGCTGCTAACAAAATTGAGCTATTCACCCCTCTCCTTCACTATTCATATACACTCCACTGACACAAAGGTAGATCCTGAGTGAACTGAGCCAATCACAATAGCTTCATTATCTGGTTGCTATAGGTTTAAGGATGCCCAATGCATCCTACCAACAGAATGGCTATGTACACCAGAACGCCTCATTCACCACCTGTCATTCTCAGACCATAAACTATCATGGATGGAGGAACACACAAAGCCCTAGCTTCAGCTACTGCCTTCAGAATTGTGGTTTCCAGGTCTCTAGCTCAGATTTATCTTCTAGATACTTAGCAATAGAGCATATTCTCTCCTGGAAACTTCACGTTGGTGCTTCATGGGTATTTTACGGTTAATCTATTCTAAGTGAAATCCATCTTCTCTCTAACCTCCACCCAAGTCAGAAACTTAGAAGTTATCTTAAATTTCTTTCTTCTTAAATATTTACCTTTTCAGTCTGCAAATAATGTTGAGTCTATCTTATTAATGTAACTTATCTGCCCAGTGGCACTATTATGGTTTAAAATATGGATACCTGAGGCAAATTTCCCAAGTTTAAGTTTTGTCTTGGCTATTGATAAGCTGTGTACTAGCTGTGACCTTGAGTGAATAATTTAATCTCCCTGGGCCTCATTTTCCTTATCTGTAAAATAAAGATGGCAATAATAATATATATCATATAGGTTTGTGCAAATTAAAGGCATTAATAAATGCAAAATACTCAAAATACTGAAAGTCCTCATTAAATCTCAGCCATTAGTATTATATTATTAATTCACTTCTTGATGTATATTCTCTTCACTTCATACCAGTAACACTGTGTTAGTTTAAACACTCACTATGTCTTATATGAATTAAAGAACTATAATTTCACTGTCTCTTAGATCAACCTTATGCAACCCATTCCCATACTTTGAGAGGTCTCACCCAATTCTTGCTTCTTTCCATGACCTTTCTCAATAAAATCTCTTCACGTAACTCCAGCATGGACTCTTTCCATGACTCCAGTTGCCAATGTCATTAAATCGAATCTCTAGTTCAGCATGCAAGGCTGTGCCACTACCCCCCAGGAACACTAAACTGTCTCAAACAACAAGATATTGGTGAATGCCATAACTGGTGACTAGAAAGGATTTCTCTCTCTTCCTATGATTAGCTCTTACTTGTCATTCAGGCTCAGCCAAGTTAGCACTCCTCCAGGCATTTCTCTGTATCTCTTCAGGGTTTACTAGACACCCATGCTCTATGAATAGCTGAATCTCTAGCATATCATCTTCCCTGTATTGCAAATGACTGTTTGTGTGTCTTGACTGTTTTTCTTTTCTTCTTATTTTTCTTGAGATGTATGCTATGTGGAGCCAGAGAGTGCATCTTTTATCTCTATATCTGTAGGACCAAGGACAGTGAGTGGCACACCACAACCGTTAATAAATATCTTTCTTATGGGCTGAATTGTGTCCCTCCAAAATTCATATTTTGAAATCCCAACTCCTATTACCCCAAAATTTAACTGAATTTGGAGATAGAGCCTTTAAAGAAGTAATGAAGGTTAAATCAGGTCATGTGGAAGTGCCCTAATCAATCTGAAAAATGTCCTTATAAGAAGAGGAAATCTGGACATGCAAAGACTCCAGTGATGCACAAACGCAAATAAAAGACCATGTGAGGGCAAAAGAGAAGATAGCCATCTGCCAACCAAGGAAAGCGGCCTCAGAAGAAAACACACCTGCCAACAGTTGGACCTTGGACTTCTAACTTCAAGAACTGTGACAAAAACAATTGATGGTACTTAAGCTACCCTAGTCTGTGTTCGTTTGTTATGGCAATCCTAGCACGCTAACATAGTGTTAAAATGAGCTATGCCTAACTCTATATTTTTAGCTATCTGAAAATCTACTAACCTAAAATCTACCAATTCATTTCAAATACCAAAGTAACCCAAGATAATTTCTCTTTTCTATGAAACCATTCAATCTACATAATTAAATTAGCAATTAATTTCAATGGATGTATTAAAAACCTCATTTATTATTTGAACTTCTTCATTAAATTTTTTCAAGAAATATTTATTGGCAGGGCGCAGTGGCTCACGCCTGTAATCCCAACACTTTTGGAGGCCGAGGTGGGCAGATCCCGGGGTCTGGAGATCGAGACCATACTGGCTAACACGGTAAAAATCCGTCTCTACTAAAACAATGAAAAATTAGCCCAGGCGTGGTGGCGGGCGCCTGTAGTCCCAGCTACTTGAGAGGCTGAGGCAGGAGAATAGCGTGAACCTGGAAGGCGGAGGTTGCAGTGAGCCGAGATCATGCCGCTGCACTCCAGCCTGCGAAACATACTGAGACTCTGTTTCAAAAAAAAAAAAACAAAAGAAAGAAAATATTTATTGAAAAGCTACTAAGTGCCAGACTTTGTAGTATAAAAATCAGGACACATTAATGAACAAAAGACTTCTTCTCTAAAGCAGCTTATATTCTAATGCGGGGTAACAAAATGTTTAATGTTATCTGTTAGGTCCAATTTGTCTTCTTTTTCTAAGAACGTTATAACCTCTATTCAATACCCCCAGATTTTTCTCATATCTTCTAGTCTCATAAATGATGAAAACTGTTTCTTGAATCTCAATATTCTCTTTCTCTATTATCCTATCCTGTCTTACTCATTATCTCTTCTTTCTCTCGTTTTCTTAATCTTTCTCACATTCTCCCAAAAAAGTATATATGTATAAAATGACATATAAACTGTATAGTTTCTCTCAAATATCACAGATATTTTAACTATTCCATTCTGGCTTCAGACATTTGAGATTTTTTGTATGTTAATGCTAAGAAAATGGAAATAAGCACTGTAATATGGATATAAAATTTCACCATTGTAATCTGTTTTTCCTAATCATGTGGTGCTGGCTCCTGAAATTTGACCCAGTGAGGTTCCCTATGAGTCAAATATTGATGACTACTGTTTCACAGATACCGGTTAGGTGTGCTTGGTAAAGTGAGTAAATGTGCTTACTTGAGTTTTTCTTATTGAATCAAAAATGAAAATGAAGTACTCACTGCCTATCTCACAATTAATACATACTTAAATCACAAAATTAATTTACAGGATCAAGACTATACTTTCCCATTTTGTTGGAGAGTGTGACCATCAAAAACATCTTTTTTACCTTGTTGGTTTTAATTTATTTTAAATAATTCTGTAATATAAATATTACTAAGATTACTACTTTACAGTTTTGCTTCTAAGTGCATTCCACTTCCCTAAGTGTGTGTGTTTGTGCATGTGCCTCTTGTATGACCATAATTTTCTCTTAAATGAATTAAGACAACCAGTTACTCATTCTTTAATTTTATAATCTGCAGATTAAAATCTAATAGAAAGGATCACAATAAGAAACATTTTAAAGAACCTCTTAATGGTAATGTGACTAAGATTAAACTGTATTTCTTTTTTCATAAACTACATTAATACAGAAAATCTTAGGAAAGAAACTAGAATTTTAATTACTGCATGAAGTTATTTGGAAGTTGCTTGATGTAAAGGTTAGCAGATTTCATATATTTTTTTCTTTTTTTGAGATGCAGTTTCACTCTTGTTGCCCAGGCTGAAGTGCAATGGCATGACCTCGGTTCACTGCAACTTCCGCCTCCTGAGTTCAAGCGATTCTCCTGCCTCAGCCTCCTGAGTAGCTAGGATTACAGGCATGTGCCACCATGCCCGGCTAATTTTGTATTTTTAGTAGAGATGGGGTTTCTCCATGTTGGTCAGGCTGGTCTCGAACTCCCAACCTCAGCTGATCTGCCCACCTCAGCCTCCCAAAGTGCTGGAATTACAGGTGTGAGCCACCGTGCCCAGCCAGCATATTCCATTTTTAAAGGAAGGGTGTATGTCTATTCTAAAGTTCACTTGAAATAATATTTCTTAAGGTTTGTGAACTTCCTTTTTTAAATGTTCTTATACTAAAAACAATAAAAATAAATTATTAAAAGGAGTGTTAGGAGTCTGCCAATAAAATGAAGTTAATTGAGGATATTTCACATGAGTTTCTAAATAAAGTAAAGTTAAAAACAATTACATTAATATAATTATGTCAGAATTCCCTAGGGACTGGTACATAAATTCACATAGGATCAGAAGCTCAAGTATTAAACAAAATAAGAATAATAGACCTGCCTCTCAAAAGGAGCTTATGTTTAGTAAATGATGAAATTTGAGTACCAATATTATTAATATTTAAACAATTTATTCTCTCTTACATAATCTCACTAAATAGTCAAAGGGGTACAGGATGAGAACAGCAAATCATTTTTTGAAGAACTGCTCAAATATGATTGTAGTCATATAATGCAGAACCTATGTATAAACAGGGAATGTAGGTTCTGAATTTACATATGTGAATAAAATAATTTAAATTTCTATCGACATTGATACAAACATCATGAATGACAAAAAACAGAAGATAAAATGCTTTGTGATCTATTTTTTGTTGATTTTTAAACTACATTTCTTTCATCTAATACTGTAGTACAGCCTATTGTCCTTCACTCAATAAATCAGCGAATGTTTATGGAGTTGTTTCAGGCACCGTGATAGGCTCAAGGGAAGCAGCAATAAATAAAAGTCTTCTCATTTATGGAGTTCACATTCTAGTAGAAGGGGAAGGAGAGTAAACAAATACATATATTATGTGGTGGTTGATGTTAAGCATTATGGAGAAAAGTAAAAATTAAGAATAGTGGAAGGGGATTATCATGTTAAAAATATAATCTCTTTGTCCTATGATTAAAATTATGTGTGAATTTTTTAAGATTAATTCTAAGATTATGTGGCTACTTCCTGAGGTTCTTGAAGGCAGGGTAATTGAGAAGAGTTTCATGAACATACTGGCAAAAAGTGGAGAATACAGCCAGGGTAATGAGACCTGCATGGTCAGGAACGGATGCCTTGTGGCAGAAGTACAATGCTGGCTGGACTGTGAATAAAAATAAAATGTAAAGAAGTGTATATGATCAACAAACACCTGAGTCAACATGCTTGGCATGCAAAGCACAAGTCTGAATGGAGGAGGACATATTGTGAAATGATTGCTTAGAACAGATAAGTTTTTATTGAATCATGAGAAGCTTTGGATTATATCATATTAGATTCCTAACATATAATCCATAAATCGCTTCTTTATAACATTACAAATTGTGTTTATCTCCCCTTGAAGAGCTAAAGGGGGAGCAACAATTAGAGACAAACCTTAATGTGCCCTGGTTTATGGCTTTTGTTTTAGGAGAGACAGTTTGCTCTGTAAAACAAATGTGGAAGGAGAGATCTAGTTTATATTTTGCATGTTGGCATTGCAATCGCTCATCATAGCATTTTTTTAATGATTTAATATATGTAGCTACATTGGTACCAAAGCCCAGATGATATGCTATCCTGAAGAAATAACATGCGGGGCTCAATATAAATAAAAATGCTTTTATTGTAAGAGAACCTTAGGAGAGTTGTACTAACTCAACTATCCTGGACATAGTCTATGCTTTACTAGTTTACTCTAAATTCTTTTCTCTATTAATTGGTACTAATGTATAGACTATTATGCCTTTATATGAAGAGATGTTATATGAGAAATAATGTGACTTACTTAGGAAAATCAAGACACTACAGAAAAATGTGAAGCTGATCATCACATAAAGTTGAACTTTCATGCCCTTTAAAAGGAGAAGAACTGATCCTATTATTTAACAGCTTATGGATGTCCCAGTGAACAAAAAAACCATTGTGTCAAGTCTTCATTTGTAAATGACAAAATCTCACATTTTATTATTTGGCCCTGATACATACTTAAATTGAAGTCATTTTAATCAAATAATTGTGGTTCTGGAAAACAGAACACAATTTGTAAAGTTAAAAAGAACTCTTTGAAATCTCCCACATTTAAAGCCTTTATTAATTTCAGGTCTAGACTAAACAGAGGGAACATATGAGTGACATAGTACTGCCTTCTACACTTGGAACATTTGTTTTATCGCGTAATGAGAACAAAGTCACCATTTAAAGCATACTGGAATGGTAGAGTTTAAAACTTTCTTTCAAAATATATCATATTTATAAATCACAGTTTTTCAGTATAGGTATATGTGGTGTACTGTTTTAATAAGTCATGGTGATCAACCAAAAATCCTTTATTACAGACAACTTATTTACATTATAAATGGAACCACTTGAGCATTTCCTTATCAATAGCAATATATTCACTTACATCTCAAAAAAAGTCAACAAATGTCACATTATACAAGTGAAGACAGCAAAAAAAAATCACAGTGAAAAAAAATCAAAGGAATAAACTAATTATATGGGAAAAATTCAAATTGCCCATATCTCTGTAATCAGTAGTACTAAGAAATAACCAATACTTCTAGTAATATAATCAACAGTGGTAGAAATACAGAAATATAAGTGGCAGAAATACGAAAATATTATCAGCAGCAGAAGTTTGGAACCATCATGTAAGTCTTTAATGGAGTGTTTGAATAGATATATATTTAAGTCTATACAAAGATTGGGAAGGCCGGCTATCCAATTTACAAACAACAATTAAACCCACAAAATCATGATTGTTCTCCAAATCTCATGATTCTGAGTATTAAGATTAGGGATGGGGTTTGCAAAACTTCATAAAAGTTGGATATTATTCTAAGATTCCAATTCCTTAACTTGATAAACCTCGCTTTTCTTGCAACTCTGTGACACCTGGGTATCAAACCATGTCATCGCAACTCTCTCAGGCCTTGTAAGTGGCTCTTTTCTGAGTTCCAGCCAATTTCTGAAGTGAGTAACAGCTGGTAATTATCTAATTTAATCCATTCAGCTGCTCTCAACTTAGACAATAAATATCTTTAGCTCTTTATTACAACCAAGTGTAGAAATATCTGAACAAAAGAAAGTAATTATACTACTTCTCAAGGAAGGTATCAGTAATCCTGATTGTATAAGCATAATAGTTTGCCTGATTTACATTTACTTTACTTAAAGTGATCATAAGGATAGTCTGTCTGGTGATGGACTAGCACTTCTATGAGCATTTTAGAAAATTCTAGCATTTTAACATTAGGACGACTATATAATTTTTTGATTAAACTATATATCTTTTGATAATGAGAGTGAACTCTATTAATAGTTATATTAGGACATGAAGTACAGTCTATAGATAAGATCACCACATTTCATTTCTAGATATCAAAAATTATAAGACATGGAAAGAAATTAATAATTTAAGAAATAGATGCATCCTAATTCCTCATATTCTTCTCAGCAGAGAAAGGGAAAGCTATATCCTCCATGTTTAACAAACATAGTTTTCTGTATCGCAAGAGCACAAACAATGCTATTTCACAATTAGCTGTTTTTCATGGGTTGAGAAATCTTTTAAATCTAGAAGCACACTTTCATATTGGAATTAAACAAGTTTTTCTTCCTAGAAACAAGACAAATGCCTCTTTCCCCTCTAGTGACAAGATAGAAAGGAGGAGTGGGAAAGGGAGACTTGACTGGGTTTTTCTCCACCCTAGAGCTTCAGCATTAAAAAAAAAAAAAAAAATCGTAAAACCATTCAGTGTAATAGTATTTTTGTGGGGGTAAAAGGCATATGAAAGGGTAAGAAGTATAGCAATGATTTTATAATCACTGATCACAACTGAAAACTCCTGTGTGTTTTTGGCTTATCCTCCTCTCGAATCATTGCAATGGATATTTAAAATATTCCACATCATACTCAAAACTTTTCTCCCATTATTCCCCATTCTTATTTCTCAGGAAAAATGACTTAGAAGAAAGAAAAAACCCTCAGCCTTTTACCCATTTGAGAAAATTATTTTAAGATAGCATTATATGAAGACTAGTAAAATATAATTAATATCACCATCATTATTAGAATCTGGGCACTTCTATGGGTCTCTTTGCACTCATCTAATGATTATGAAATTTCTCCTTTCATCATGCTTTTTCTCATTGATGTTATGAGCAGAAAAATTAAAAATCTGAATTTTAATAGTTTAATAAAATAAAAAAGTTTTAAAGATTGTAATGCTTTATTTTGCTTCTGTATGATCCTTCTGCTGTTTCCATTCTTTGTATACTTTCTTATTATTTCAGTCACTTTTAGCATGGATAAATAACTGGTAAGTGATACTGAGATAAGTTCTAGGATGATAAAATTGAAAACTATTTTGAATTTCTTCTTTTTTTTGGAAGACTTTTAATAAATTATAAAAGCCACAATATATCAATTCTTATAACTCATTAGGATTGCTCCAATAAAAATATACAAAATTAAAATGAGTCCAAAAGACTCTGATGACAAGAATTAAAAGTTTGATGTCACCCTACTTGGAAAAGAAATATACTAATGATATATTAGATATGACCAAATCTTAAAGATGTAGGAATATGTATGGCAGAGGAATGGACTATAAACACTAGCTCTGCACTGATGACTATCAGAGGAAAATATAACCATAGTTTCTCCCAGTATTTCTCGGCTTATTGAATGATATATCTTATTTGTATTTGTAGCTTTTTTCTTCATTTATCTATCAGGTCTGTAGGTTATTTGGTGGTTGTTGCATTTATCATTTTATTCACAAGTTTCAGCATATGAATGTAGTAGCTCCATAGAAATGAGAAGAATAAACTCCAACTCTAATCTTGAGTCTTATTCAGTAACTGAATAGACTTACTGTTCTCTTCCTTGGAGATAAGAATAAATGTTATAGTCAACTGTTTGTGAGAGGGAAAGAAGAAACAAGGTTAATATTTGAGACATTACTTCCAGTATTGGCCGACTAGAAGTGCAGAGCCCTCATCACCCTTACAAAGACAGCCAAGACAATTTTAAAACCTACATTAAAAAAAAAAAAAAGTAACGACATAAAGTGCTGGAGTGCATAAGAGGAGTAACAGACAACCTGGTGAGCACAGAAACTCAGGACGGCCACATAAAGAACGCAAGGAAACACTGGGCCTCCACCACCTCACCCCCAAACCAGGATTAGCTGGGAACCAGAAGGTCCTTCTACCGATAGTGAGGAGATGAGCAAAAGAGTCCCAGCAGCCCCCACTGAAACCTTGGACAAATACAGGTCTCTCCACTGGGGTCCCCTGCAGTCCTCACAGACACTAAGCCCAGCTGAGGTTGCTGCCTGGAGTCCACATAGCTGTGCTCCCCAGGGAAGGAGCCAACACTGTGTCCTGCCACCCCTGTGGCCAGAGCTGCTACCGCACTATGCCATTTTGGAACTAGAACTACCGCTGGAGTGTGTCTTGCTCTGGGGTTGATTAGCCACGGCTCCCCTTCAGCCCCGACTCTAAGCCCTGCTGAAGTACCCCAGCCCAGAGGCTCGACATCCTCAGGCTAAGCTGTTACACCATTCCCATGGGGCCAAACATGGGTGGAGCTGTTTCTCCTACCCCTTCCCCTTGCCTCCTCGGGCTAAAGCTGCAGCAGTTCTCTGCCTCCTGGGAAAACAGTACCTTGTCTGTTCATAGCAGTCATGCCTCCTGATGCCTAAGTTGAAGCCCTGTCCTGCATCTCAGGAAACACATCTTGGCCGCACAGAGTGGTAACACACCCAATACCTAAGCTGAAGCAGTGTCTTGCATCCCAAGGAAAAGGCACCTAGACTACCCAGAATAGCCATGCCCCCCAGATCTGAGCTGAAGCAGCACATTGCCTGGGGAATTGGTACCCTAGTCTAGCTGAGCAGCTGCACATCCCAGGGCTGAGCTGATGTGGTATCCTCTGTCGAGGGAAACTCCACAGTAGCTGAGCTGAGGCACTCCACTCCACAGCCAAACAACTCTATTATCCTGCTTTCCTGGATCTGGACTAGCCCCCTAAATTCTGAGCTGTTGAGACAGGCTTTCCTTGGAAGTAGAATAATGGCTGTGCTGTTCTCTGCCCCCAAAGGCTCAAAGAACAGCTGTCTTCTGACAGTCTGGGGTACTACCTGCTGTAACATCTGGCATTACAGAGTCTAGGACACTGCTGAGTCCAACCAATGCAGGGTCTAGAGTCATGACTACATGGACTCTCATTTCATGGGACCCAAGTTGCCACTGAGCCCTATCAGCTCTGTTTCCTGAATTACAGCCATGTCTTCTACCCTGTGCCCAAACCTGCAGAGCACCTCCTCTTCCCTGGATTTGGGCCAATGCTGTACCCTGCCACCCAGGAGTAGAATCACAGGTACAACTCAGGCCCCTGGGTTCAAGCTTCTTGGAGTTGCCTCAGAGTCACAGATTCTGACTCTCTGGGCAACCTACATCCAATCCTGAAACAGAGAGTGCATCTGCACCCTAAGTCCTAGGTGCCACAATAGGTTTGTGAAACTCTGAGTCTGAAACTCTGGCCCTACATTGCTCTGAGCACCTGCCCCTGGAACCAAGTGTTGCTGCAGCAGTTTGTAAGTGTTGTCAGACCTACATCTCCATGAAGTCTCCCCATTGTGAAGAAAATGAGACTAGTAGGACCCCAAAGCCTGTGACACTGAGGACATTAACAACCTACATAGGATACAGACAGATAATTTTCCAGAAGCTGGAATGTGTGAAAAGTCACGTGACAGTATGATAGCTGGGTGGAGAGCCAGTTTCTGTCATGGCTTAAGGTTATACAATTGATCAGCTGGATATGGATGTATTTTAACAAAACATAGACATTCAAATATAAAATTAAGCAGGAGGCTTTGTAAGGGGCCTGTGTATGTGAAAGGACTGAACTTAATGGCTTCATGGTAATTCGGTCTGTGGTGATGGTTACATTAGGCAAAGAACAGAGGAGGAATTTATTAGATTCCAGATATTTAAATCTGTTTGCCAGAATCTGCAGAAAGAAAGAAAATCTATACCTGGGTTTCCTAGAAAGCAGACCCTGAGGCAAAAGTAATATACCATTACTCTACTAGGGAGTAAAGTACCAGGGAAGCAAGAGGAGAGAAAAGGGAAGTGAACCAGAGGAGGAAGAAAAATCAATAAAGTATCCATTGTTGAGCTGACTACTGCTTAATATGAAGCACGATTGGTTGCTCACACTCAAGGGTCCAACCTAGTGCATCTCAGGGAGTCCTTCTGAGAACTATGCAAGTAAACTCCAGTGCAGTTCCAGATATCTATTGCAAACAAATGCCAGTGCAGTTCCAGATATCACCTAAGACGTATATCTCCCAAGCAAAGAAAGCAAGTGTCCTACTGGTATCATTGGTTAAAAGTTCACCCCATATATTGGACTTCTAGGTAGTGCACAAATGGTACCTCTGATAACCAAAGCTTTAGCATCAGTAGGAAGTCCTGGGCATGATGTAAGACATGTACCTTCTCAAGAATGGTTGTACCCATAGAGGTTGATGAGAATTCACACAGAATTGATTAACATGATATGCACTTGGCTTGGAACAAAAGGGCAAAAAGCCTGGAGATGGCTGAGACCTAGAGGATCTGAAACAGTGTATAAGAGGAGTCATACACGGAGACTAAACTTACAGAAGAGATTAAGTATAATCAGTGAAACATGATACCTTAGAAAATCTAAGTTAATAATCTAGGACAAAAATGAAATAATATATTCTAGACTACTATTCACATGTCAAATCAAAGAGGTTGGGTGTACGTACAAAATTATAAAATTACAATTCATATAATTGAATAATTGCATTCAATAGCTTAGGAGATATCTGGATAATATGTCCCGATGGGTAGCAGAGTGCCTGAAATACAGTAGATACCCAGTAAATAATTCTGAAAATATAAAGGCAAACACAACAGAAATAATACATAATTTACTTTTATATTTATTTTGAATTGTGTCATGCATAGAAGTAATAAATCCTTCCATCTCTCTTTTCTACAACACATGAAGTTTATCCTGTAGGCTCAATATACTGTTGATTGATATAACATAATCATTCAAGGGTAGTGATGAAGAAATATGTCTATTCATTCACTACAACATCTGCTTCATATTGGTAAAAATTTAAATTTTATTCTTCCAAACGTCTACTTTAGAAAAATATCTTTATGTTATAATAGAACATCTTCCAAAACCATAAAAATACTTTCAACTGAGAAAATGAGAACTGTTTATGGCATTTTTCACTTGCAAATAAAAGAAACCATCAGCTAATATTATGACAATTGATATTGTATTGTCACTGAAAATAAAATTCATGATTCAAGATATTTTCTTTAAATCTTATATATTATCTGCTTCCTGGTTGGCATGCCCCCTTTTCTCATATTTAGAAAGCAGTTGTACTAAAAACGTAAGTATATTAAAACATCAAAATAATAATGAAAATGGTTAGTTCTTTGGTCTGCATAAGAAATTAAGAACATCACAAAAACAACAGAAGGGTGGTCTTACCTGTTGACTGGCATAAAGCTGTAACTGTTTTCAGGGTCCTCATTAAGCTTTATCTATTAGAAAATAAGCTTCATAATGACAGTTTCTATCACATGGCACCATTAGATAAGATGTTTGGAACATTACTGCAATTTAAATAGATTCTTAAATAGGTCAGCTTTCCTTAACGACAAATACAGGAGTTTATATTTGTGTCAATGTCCTTCAGAACAACCGTATTTTCTGTATTAGCTACTTAGACACATTCTTAAATGAGGCCAGAGCTGATCACTTATGCCCAACATAGGTCAACTGTTTCACACAATGAAAATATTTATTTTTAATAGATGTTATTATTTAAATCACTTTTAGGTTAACATAAAAATTGAATGAAGAGAGATTTTCCCTTACATATGCATGACTCTTCACTTAGCAATATCTCACACCAGAGTGGTACATTTTTTAAAGTGGCTGAACCTACATTGATATATTGTTCTTACCCAGAATCCAGTTTCTTACCCAGAATCTATAGTTTACATTTCTCTATAGTTTATTGATGTTGTACATTCTATGTTAATGGGCAAATTTATAATTACACAGATCCACCATTATGGTATCATATAGAGTAGTTTGATTACTTTCACTGCCCTAAAAATCCTCAGGGCTTCACCTATTCATTCCTCCCTCTCCTCAACCTCTGAAAACAATTCATCTTTTTACTGTCTCCATAGTTTCCACTTCCCCAAATTGTTATATATTTGGAAACCTATAGAATGTAATATTTTCAAATTGGCTTCTTTCACTTAATAATATGCGTTTAAATTTCCTCTATTTTTTTATGGTTTAATAGCCAGAATTTTAGTGCTAAATAATATTCTATTATCTAGATGTACCACAGTTTATTTATTTATTCACCCACTTCAGAGCATCTTGGTTGCTTCCACGTTTTAGCAATTATGAATAAAGTTGTTATAACCAATTATGTGCAGGATTTTGTGTAAACACGTTTTCAATTCCTTTGAGTAAATATCAGCTAGAGTGATTTCTGGATCACATAGTAAGAATATCTTTATCTTTGTAAAAATCTGCTAAATTGTCTTCCAAAATAGCTATACCATGTTGAATTCCCACCATCAATGAATGAAAGTTCCTTTTGTTCTAAATCCTTGCCAGCATTTGATGTTGTCAGTGTACTGAATTTTGGACATTCGGTATAGAGTAAGTATCACATTTTTTTAATATTCATTTTTCAGCTGAGGGAATTTGTTACTACAAGACCTGCCTTACAAGAGTTCCTGAAAGGAGCATTAAATATGGAAAGGATAGACCATTACCAGCCACTACAAAAATACACTCAAGGACACAGACCAGTGACACTATAAAGTAACCACACAACAAAATCTGCGTAATAACCACTTCATATCATGATGGCAGAACAAATTTGCACTTGTCAATATTAACTTTGAGTGTAAATGGGCTAAATGCCTCCAATTAAAAGGTATGGAGTGGCAAGCTGAATAAAGAAGCAACATCCAATGGTATGCTGTCTTCAAGACAAACATGTCACACGCAGTGACACCCATAGGCTCAAAACAAAGGGATGGACAAACATCTACAAGCAAATGGAGAGCATAGAAAAAAGAAAGCAGGGTTGCAATCCTAATTTTAGACAAAACAGACTAAACCAACAGATAAAAAGAGACAAAGGTAATTACCTAATGATAGAGGGTTCAATTCATCAAGAAGATCTAACTATCTTGAATATATATGCACCCAACACAGGAGCACCCATATTCCTAAATCAAGTTCTTAGAGACCTAAACAGAGACTTAGATTCCCACACAATAATAGGGGGAGACTTCAGCACCCCCACTGATAGTATTAGACAGATCATCAAGACAGAAAATTAACAAAGATATTCAAGACCTGAACTCAGCAATGGAGCATATGGATGTAATAGACTTCTACAGAACTTGCCATTCAAAAACAAGAGAATATACATTATTCTCATTGTTACATGATACATACTGTAAAATCAACCACACCATCAAATATAAAACAACGTTGGGCAAATAAAAAACTGAAATCATACCAACCACACTTGACTACAGTGGAATAAAAATAAAATTTAATACTGAGGTAGTTGCTCAAAATCATACAATCACATGAAAATTAAACAACCTGCTCTTGAATAACTTTTGGGTAAATAATGAAATTAAGGCAGAAATCAAGAAGGTCTTTTAAGTCGAAAAAAGAGAGAAGATTCAAATAAACACAATTAGAAGTGGCAAAGGGAATATTACCACTGACCCCACGAAAATACAAATAACCCTCAGAGACAACAATGAACACCTCTATACACAGAAAAGCCAGAAGAAATGAATAATTCCTGGACCTATACATTCCAGCAAGACTGAGCCAGGAAGAAATTTAATCCCTGAACAGAACAAAAATGAGCTCCAAAATTGAATCAGTAATAAATAGCCTACCAACAAAAAATGAGCAGGACAAGACAGATTCTTAGCTGAATTTTACCAGATGTACAAAAAAGAGCTGGTACAATTTCTACTTAAACTATTTCAAAAAGTTGAGGAGGAGGGACTCCTCCCAATCTATTCTATGAGGCCAGTGACATCCTGATAGCAAAACCTGCCAGAGACAACAAAAACACAACAACTACTTCTGGCCAATATCCTTGACGAACATAGATGCAAAAAATTCTGAACAAAATACTAGAAAACTAAATCCAGTAGCACGTCAAAAAGCTAATCCATCACAATCAAGTAGGCTCTATCCCTAGGATGGAAGGTTGATTCATCATACACAAATCAATAAATGTGATTCATCACATAAACAAAACTAAAGACAAAAACTAAATAATTATCTCAGTAGATGCAGAAGAGTCTTTCAATAAAATTCAACATCCCTTCATGTTAATAGCACTCAAAAAACTAAGCACTGAAGGAACATACTTCAAAATAATTAGAGCTATCTATGACAAACACACAGCCAACATGGTACTGAATGGGCAAAAGCTGGAAGCATTTGCCTTGAAAACCAGCAAAAAAACAAGGATGCCCTCTCTCACCACTCCTATTCAACATACTATTGGACATCCCGGGCACAGAAAGGGAAAGAAATAAAAGGCATCTAAATAGAAAGAGAGGAAGTCAAACTATCCCTGTTTACAGGTGACATGATTCTATATCTAGAAAACCCCATTACCTCTGTCCAAATGCTCCTTCAGCTGATAAACTTCAGCAGTTTCAGAATACACTAACAACATCTGAGCTGAGACCCAAAGCAAGAATGCAGTCTCATTCACAATTGCTACGAAAACAATAAAATATCTAGGAATACAGCTAACCAGGGAGGTGAAATATCTCTGCATTGAAAATGACAAAACACTGCTCAAAGAAATCAAAGATGACACAAACAAATGGAAAAACATTCCATGCTCATGAATAGGAAGAATCAATACCATTAAAATGGCAAAACTGCCCCAAACAATTTACAGATTCAATGCAATTCTTATTAATCTACCAAGAGCATTCATTCTTCACATAACTAGAAAAAAACCATTTTAAAATTTATAAGGAACCAAAAAAGAACCTATATAGCCAAGGCATTTCTAAGCAAAAAGAGCAAAGCTGGAGGCATTACGTTACCAACTTCAAACTATACTACAGGGCTACAGTAACCAAAACAGCATGATATTTCTACTAAAACAAACAAGAAGACCAATGGAACAGAATAAAGAGCCCAGGAATAATGCTGTGCACCTACAACCGTTTGATTTTTGACAAAGGGGACAAAAAACAAGCAATGGGAAAAGGACTTCCTATTCAATAAGTGGTGTTGGGATAACATGTTAGTCATATATGGAAGATTAAAACTGGACCCCTTCCTTACACCATAATCAAAAGTCAACTCAAGATGAATTAAAGATTTAAATGAAAAGCCTAAAGCTATAAAAATTCTGGAAGATAACCTATGAAATATCATTCTGGACATAGGAATGTGCAAAGATTTCATGACAAAGATGCCAAAAGCAATTGCAACAAAAGCAAATGTTGACAAATGGGATTTTGTTCACAGTAAAAGAAACTATCAACAGAGTAAACAGACAATCTACAGAATGAGAGAAAATATTTACAAACTGTTCTTCTGGCAAAGGTCTAATTAATATCTAGAATCTATAAAGAACTTAAACAAATTTACAAGAACAAAAACAACCCCTTTAAAAAGTGTGCAAAGGACATGAACAGACACTTCTCAAAAGAAGACATACATGCAGCCAACAAGCATACGAAAAAATGCTCAATGACACTAATCATTAGAGAAATGCAAATCGAAACCCCAATGAGATATCATCTCACACCAGTCCAAACGGCTATTACTAAATAAATAAATAGCAGATGCTGGCAAGGATGCAGAGAAAAGGGAACACTTATACACTGCTGGTGGGAGTGTAAATTAGTTCAGCCAGTGTGGAAAGCAGTATGGCAATTCCTCAAAGAACTTATAACAGAATTACCATTCAACTCAGCAATCCCATTATTAGGTATATACTTAAAGGAATATAAATATCTTTCTACCATAAAGACACACACATGTATGTTCGTTTCAGCACTATTCACAATAGCAAGGACATGGAATTAGCTTAAATGCCCATAAATGGTAGACTGGATAAATAAAATGTGGTAAATACAGTATGGAATACTATGAAGCCATAAAAAAGAACAAGATCATGTCCTTTGAAGCAACGTAGATGGAGCTGGAGACTATTATCCTTAGCAAACCAACGCAGGAACAGAAAACCAAATACTGCATGTTCTCACGTATAAGTGGGAGCAAAATAACGAGAACACACGGACACAAGGAGGGGAACAACAGACACAAGGGCCTACTTGAGGGTAAAGGGAGGGAGGAAGGAGAGGAACAGAACAAGTGCCTATCAGGTACTATGCGTAGTACCTGGGTGATGAAACAATCTGTACATCAAACTCCCATAACATGAATTTACCTATATAACAAACCTGCACATGTACCCCTGAACCTAAAATTAAAATTAAAATTAAAAATAAAATCAAAGTATGCACTTTTCATATGCTGCAAATTTTACTTGTATGTATTTTCTATTTTACAAGTTTTATATGTTCATTGTAGAAAAAATAATATATAAACAAAAAGAAAATTAAAGTCAGCTGGCTCCATACCTGTACTGTCACTGTAATAGTACATTACATATTTTTTAATCAAAAAGCTACTATTAAGAAAGAGAAACAGCAAGGCATACAGTTTTAACACATAATTGTATTATACATTTCAATAACAAGACTACAATTCTGAGCATAGAAATAACTCATACTAATTAGTAAGAAATATTTAAACAATCCAATAGACAGTTGGGCAAGAAACTTGAATTGATGTTTCACAAAGAAACTATTGAAATGGCCAATAAATATGAAAATGATCTCAGAATCATTGGTCACCAGGGAAACTAAATTAAAACCACAATGGAATACTACAACACATTCTTCAAAATGGCTTAAATTAAAACAAAACTGATCCTGCAAAGTATTGACAAAAATATGCAACTACTAAAACGCTCATACACTACTGATGGATCTATATATTAGCATGACTCTTTTAGGAACTTCTCTGGTTTCATCTAGTAAACTTGATTATATTCATAACCTATGACTCAGCATTCTACCCGCAGGTAGGTACCCAATAGAAATGCATACATGTGTGTACTTCAAATATAAGAATGCTTGTAGCATAATCATTCTTCGTAGCCAAAATGTAGAAACAATCCAAAATTCTCAGTGGTATAGATTCTTCGATAGCTTCTTAGGGCAACCTTTCTCAAATTTCAGTGTGCATCAGAAATAGTTATTAAAACACGTATTACTGAACCCTAACTCCCAGACTGCATCACGGCTCAAATTCTCCTTCCACCCAGCCTTTCTTTTCTCCTCCCTTTTTTCCCTTCCAGAGGGAATAAAGTCACATGGTTTATATGGTGTTGGTTTTTGGTTTCAGTCTGTTTTCCGGGAAGTCCAATTTGAAAAGCAAGTTTGTTACTTTTTTTGTAGTTGCTTTATTCTAAACACATTCATTTTTGTTTCTAAATTTGAGATTGTTTGTTGTGTTTCTCTCTTGATGTAACTTTCTAATTTCACTATTATTACAAAATAATGTGTCCTACACACTTCTACTTTCTACCAGATTTTCTATCAGATTTTTGACCTACTACATGGAAATGGATAGATTGATGGGATAATTAGGAAATGTTTATACTCTCTATATAATGTGTAGGATCTAAAACAGATCCACTAAATTAACCTTATGTAATAAGTAACATATTATACTTATTTTTGTCTACTTGTTAAATAAAACTCTCTCAAAAGTGTCTAATGTCTTTAACCATTGTGAATACTTGTTTCTTCTCATACAGCAGTATATTTTGTATATTTAATATAATATTGTTTGTTGCATAAATTTTTATCTATTATGTATATTTTTACTGTAGATTTTGCCTTTCACCTATAAGAAATAAGTTTTTGTTTTTCCTTTTATTTTGGGGTATGTTAGTAATGGGTAGTGTAGTTTCATGTAGGTGTTTTAGTTTTGTTATTTATAGCTTCCTCCTTTCTGGGATTTTGCTACCTTAGTTTCTAGCTTAGCATCTGTAACCATCATCATCTGACACTTCGGTTTAAGAAAACCGTAATTGACTACTTGCCTTCTAGCACTCAGCGTCCTAAAGGTGGTAAAATACTCTTGAGTATTAGAGCCACGCATATGTGGATCTCACCCATTGAAGTTCCCTTTTTCAAAAGTCAGACCTTCAGTTTATGCCTGCTTTGGGTTATTCTTCACTGCCTTTGGACAGGTTATTGGATTGGGGTTTGCTTTTTACTGGGAGTAGGGGATCGAGGTCCAAAGTTTATCTGAGGTGTCTTATCTCCTTACAAGTGCTTCAACAGAAACTCCCTTGTATTAGTGTATTTTTAAATAACCGAAGATATCTTTATTTTGGTCTAAATGTACATATATTTTCAAAGGTGTATGTAGACTTTCCTACATAAGTGCCAAAATAGTGACACTTAAACCATAATCTCTCCACGGTTCTTACTAAAATGTGCAATTTAATTTTTCAAGCCCCCCACAGATTCCCTTTCCATAGGATTCAGATGTGAGAACAGAGGTTTTTGGAAGAACAATCAGGTAATATGGCAAAAACAGATAGCCCTCCTACCCAAACATCAAAGATGTGTTAGCTGGATAAGTCTATCTTTATCACTCTTTGTGGGATTAAAGTCAATTACTCACTAATACAAACTTAAAGAATGTAAGTATGCCATATGACAATCCCATTAACTTATTTTTGTAGTTCATGACTATATTTTTTTATTATTCCAATACAGGAGTAACTGAATTTTTTTAAAGTCTATGTGCATGAGTTTCTTTTTTTAAAATTTTAATTGTAAAATTTTAATCGTGAAGTTTTAAAACATGGAAAATAAAAATGATGATAGATGGACAATTATAAACTCATCAACTTGATTTAACAAATGCTATTTTTTGCCACATATTATTGACATAATTTTAAATAATAAGATGTTAAAGGTACAGTTGAAGACTTTCATTCCTTCCCAGACTGTCCTCCTCTTCTTAGTGCTGAAATTGATTTGTTTTACCTAAATATTTATATTTTTACTATATACATATAACCAGCACAATAAAGTTACTTTAATCTTTTGTTATCTCAATCTTTTCTTTTCTCTTATTATTTTGTCACTTGTTTAAGAAATATTTCCATAGCACTCAATCATAAACTTAGATATCTAGTTACAAATATTTCAAAATGTTTATTTTTATACCTTTATCAAAGTGAGAAAGTTTTCATCTATTCATTGTTTTATGAGAAGTGTTTTGTCAGGAATATATGCTGAATTTTATTAATTTTTATGCATATGTTGAGATATTCAGGTTTTAATTATTTAATCTGTTAATGGGATAAATCTAATTTATAGACGTTACCATTAAAACATTATTAAACATATGATAATTTATAAGTATTGGTTCATTTATATCTTAATAGTTAATTTATAATTCAAGCTTCTATAATTGTAATTTCTTTATAAATTATTCAATTCTAGTTTCAAAGCATCAGTGGCCTCATAAAATATTTTTCGAGAAGTCTGCATATTTCAGTATTACCAGGAATCATTTAAAATTGTTAAGCATCAGCTTTAAAACAATGTGAACCTGTTGCATTTTTGTAGGTAGATTTGTTATTAGTGATTCAATGTCTTTATTATGATAGGTCTTTCTTTTTAAATATTTTGCCATTTAAAGTTTCTAGAAAATCTTGCATTTTGTCTAAGTTTTCAATAGATTGAACTAAAAAATTTATATCACATTTTAAATTTTTCAAATGTGTACCCTATTACCCATTTATTTCTCATATTATGTATTGATGCTTTATTCTTTTCCTTTCTTTAGTAATCAATCATGCCAGATGGGCTCTATTTCATAAGTTTTTTCAAAGAAATAAGTGTGGTTTATTGTTACAAACCTATTCTTTTATTGCTGTTTCTTGAACTTACTCGCCTAGTTGCATCTCCTCTTTCCGTTTTCCTTGAGTTTCTAGATAATCAGTAAAACAAACAAACAGCAGGCAAACAAACTGTACCAAATCTCAGTGGCCTAACACCATACAAGTTTGTGTCCTGCATATCTCATAGTGTGATGTGTGTCAGTAGGGCTTTTCCCTGTGCAGCCATTCAGGCATCCTGGCTCTTTTCTTTTAATGGCACTGTCATCTTCCAGGTTTTCAGGGCACTCTGAGTCCTGTTCACATTGAGCCAGTTGGCAGGGAAGGAGAACACCAGAAAAAGCAATGCCTGCTCTCACCTCCCTTGTCCTAGCCATGATAAGTCTGTTTGTGTAGTTACCAATATCCCTTTTCTCTCTTCTCACACATAGATCATATTTATCTTTCTCCAAGGGAAAAAAAAATCTAAAATTTCATCCAGCCACCGAATCCAGCTTAATATTTTTACTCTCTGGGCGAAAGGCAGTCTTTTCCATCAGATTTATAGTGACTTCTCATTTTCTCATGATCTATGATCTAAATAATAAGTTACATATCACCTGTTTAATGGTGCACTAGGGACAAGATAACAGTACAGACATTTCCACTTGGTAGAGGGAAGATTGGAGACGCACACACTCATAGCAATGTTGGAACCCTGCTGGGAGGATGAAATAAAAACCCACTGCCATAAATGTGAGAGAGCACTGATTCTGCTTTCTAGGAAAAACATCCTTGTGTAGGCTTTGGTCATTTATGTGGCCTTTACTTCCAAAATCTTGGAGGGTTTTCTTTATCCATATCCTCAGTGTAATATCTGAAGTGGGTTTTGTGGAACATGATGTTCTTCTGGCTACATGGTCTTTGCAGTTTCTCATGCAAGTTAGGGAGCTCATTATTTGAGTTTAGGCTTGAACCATAAAGGCTTTTTATTCCAGATCTATGGCTTCTTTAACAATACAATTTTCTCCAACATAATAGGCTTCTGAGTTATTCATTTCTAAACATTTTTTGTGCTGGTATTGTGAAAAACAGTTTTTTGATTTTTTTTTCTAAACTTTAAGTGGTAAGAACTATGTACAGAGGTCTGCTGTGTACATAGGGTTACAATAAGGACCACATACGCCATTTTTCCCACTTCATAGACAGTGTGCCTCAGAATGAAGCCATCACAGATGAAGACGCAGATAAATCTTCTGATTCTGGGGATCAGAAAGACAAACAGCTCTGATGAAATTATTTTATCCACTGGACCAAGTTTTTTCTGAAGCCATATAAACCATGTGACTTTATCGTTTTATAGGATAATCTCTTGATTGTTTGTTCTTTCAAGTGAATTTCTTGCACTTATAAAATAAAACAAAACCAAAAACAATAAAAGGAAAAAGCTCTTAACAATGGAATAAGAAAATTATAGTTTATATAGTCTCCATTTTAAATAGAAACACAGTAAAAAATATTAATTAAGCCGGTTTTCATAGAAAATAACAAAAACAAAATGTATTGACTGATGAGACATTTATTCTTCCTTTTTCAACTTTCCAGTTTAGACTGACAATAATGATCAGCAGTTTATATAAAATAAAAGTTGGCCAAAGATAAGTGAGACATAGAGGAACATTGTACTGGAAGAGAGCAGTAGAAATGGCCAAAAAATTAAGAAATACTATGAAAATTATATGATTTTTCATTAGACAAAATAATAAACTAAATCAAGCAAAGAACATATTTTGCCATTAGGAATTTATTTACATTTATACTTACTTAATGGTTTCTTGATATATTATAGAAAAAATATCGTAGAATAAGATTTAGAGAATAGAGATCATTTTATAATAATTTTGCAATGCAAATAGCAAACCAAAGAATTAGGGTTCTCTATGACAGGTGAGACTTTTTTTTAAAAAATGTGGTAATTGTGGCATGTGTATAAAAAATAATACATTTTAGCTTTTATAGGATTTACCCATGTTTTAAAACACTCATATAACATAAAATTTGAGAAATTTCAATGGCTATGTTTTGCTCTTCTAACTGAACATTTACAGGATAATTACCAATTATCATTAGACTAATTATATCAATAAGCTTTTATAAAAAGGAAATAATTTATCCTAAGAAACACTTCTCTCCAAAATAAAATGGCACAAAATTTAGAGATATTTGAAGATGATGAGAATATATGCCAAATAATTAAATCATTAAGAAATAATCAGGTAATCGCATATTTTTCTGTTAAAAAAAAACCTGACATATTTTATTGAAATAGAAAAATGGATTATCCTTTTAAATAAAATGTAAAATTGACAATGGTTACTTGTAAGGCTGACTTTTAGTCTATGAACAGAAAAAACAAGGTTTAGGTTAAAAGCAATGAAGATTAATAGAAAATAAGTTTAATTTCAAATAAAATACAAATACTTTTTGCAAGAGAAATTTTATTTGCCTGTATTCTGAAATGTACAAGTGTTTTGGTCTTTCTTATCTTTAATTTTCAAGTGCCAGGGTGGTTCTCATTATGTATTTGTGATATCTAGTTAAAGATAATGTCAACAAACCAAAAGGAACGTGAGAATCTTTAAACTTAGGCTAACATTTGGAAATACTACCAGCTGTTCTCATTTTATAATAAAGGGAAAAAATAGCTCAAAGGCAAAACTATAAATAAAGTAATTTCAAAAATATTCACAATAAAATCCTTTGATGTGTTTGCACTTTTTCATACTGGCTTGCAGTATAACCAAAATTTGGCAACTCCGTAAGGGAAATTTTGAACAACACTATCTTTTTTGTCTTATTAAAACATATTACAATGCTTTACCATAGAGGTTAAGTCGGATGTTTAAAATATAACCATCGTTTTAGTCTGTTCTGTGTTGTTATAACAGAACACCACAGACTAGTTAATTTACAAAGAAAACAAAAAAATCTTACATTTTTGGAGCAAGAGCATGCGAGAGTGAGAGAGCAGGAGGGGGCTGAACTTACTTTTATAACAAACCCACTCTCACAATAACTAACCCATTCCCATAATAAGGATGTCAAATCATCCTTAAACGTCTCTTAAACATTACACCTTTCGGCACTTTTGCATTGGAATTAAGTTTCCAACGAATGAGCTTTGGGGGATGCATTCAAACAATAGCACCTGCAGACTCAGTTTTGTGAACTATTAAATAGAAGAAGCACTAACCAAAACAGAGAGAATTTAAACTTCTGTTCATTTTAAATTTAACCTGCTATGAAATTTTAATGTTATTTATTAAATATTTATACATAATTATGCACATGCAATTATATATTTGTATATATACATATACATGATATACACATCTATATATCTAGATGTGAAAGGGAGTGACAGAGACATGCAGAGACAGAAACAGAGAGACACACAGAGAGAGACAGAGAGAGACACCTAACACAAGACCACAAAACACAAGTAACGCTATTTTATAGTTAAGGAAAATGTACTTGTTAATTAAAATTCAAAACGATAATAATCTAGCTAATGTCAGATCACTAGAAGATATAAACATAGCATACCCACATTTCTACCAGTTTCTCTCCATATATTAAAATATCTTTAATAAATTTGAATTCATGATAGGTGTTTAGCGTGCTGTGAATATTGCATTCCAGTCCTTTGATGTTCAGAGGAAAAAAACAGCAAAATTACCTTACTAAGAATTAAAAATATTTTCTCTGAATGTATAAGTCATGATGAGTATTTGATCTATCACCATAACGTTATAGGTAGGTCATTACACATAAATAAAAGAACAATTAAAAAGAAGCCAAGAAAGCAAATGCTAAGCCTCATTCAGTACTAACTCCACTTTGCCATTACTTTCAAAAGCAATCTAAATGTCAGATTTTGACACCAAAATTGGTACTAAGTAAATTGCATAGCACTAAACTGCAAAGTGGCATGCAAAATTTAGAACAGTAGGTTGTATATAATTAGGAGAGAGTTTGTGCTTCTAAATATAAAAGTCCTACTTTCAGCATGAGGAAACAAAACCGTTTGGAAGATAGCAGTCTGACTGCATTCTTTAAAGACTCTTAAGAAAAAAACATAAGGGCAAGAGATAAAACATGAATGCTCAGTTAGGAGAAACAGACTTTTCACAGGCAAATGTGAGAGCTCATTATTATAATTAATCAGAGAATGCTGCTAGATTTTGTCTTTCTTTATTTATAAATATTTTGTCTACCTTTCTCCCAATAGAATTTACAGGTTTAGAGTCATGTAAAATATGAAACTCTTGCATTTCTAAATTTTTTGAACATTCTATTTATTCACTCATTCATATATTCGTTCAACTAATAATTCTGAGCATTTATAGTTAACCAGTAGCATATGTTCTTAGGATACAGAAATAGAGAAGGACAACTCCCTGTTCTCTTAAATACTAGTGAGGGAGGCAGATGATAAACAAATAAAAATATAAATGCATACTAAACTGTCAATGCTGTGATAAAAACTAAAGCAGAAAAACATGATTAGTGTGAGGATAATTTACAAAGGGTAATCATTCAAGCCTGTTCTGAGGTTGTGTCATTTGAGCAGAAGCCTGAATTAAATAAAGGCATGAGCCATGCAAAGATGTGAGAAAAAATAATGCATGAAGATAGAACAGTGAATTCAAAGACCCTGAAGAAGAAATGAACTGAATTGTGTTGCTAGGAGGCAAAGAGTGGAGAGATGAGGTTATACCCATTTAAAGGCTGTTAACAATTTTTTGCAAGAGATGAAGGAGAATTGGGGTAGCATTGCAGCAGGGGAAATGATAATAATTAGTTAGATTTAGAGTATAGTTTGAAACTTGAGGCAACAGTAAAGGGAGACCAGTTCCATGTGGGCTGAGAGGAAAAGAGGTAAGCCAAGGATGCTGTCAGTATAATGGCTTGACCTACAAGGTAAATAGTGGGGCCATTATTGATACTGGGAAGATAAGTGCAGGGCAGAACAAAATGTATTGAATATTCTCTGTTTGAGATGTCTACTAGACATTTAAGTAGTGATATAAAGAAAGCAGTTGGATATGGGAGTCAGGAACTTGGAGGAGTAGAGTGTGTTGAAGGGTGGTGGCGCAGGCTTGGGCTATATATTTGGAAGTCATTACCATACAGTGACTATTTAAAACCAGGAGTGCACTTAATATTGCATATCAAGAGAGTACAGTTAGAAAGGAAGAAGACAAAGAATAGGAGTGTCCATCTGGGAATGTGAAGTGGAATCAGACAACGTTACTGAGATGGTGCATCCCATGAGATCGATGAGAGGAAATCTAGAAGCAGAGGATGCTCTGAGTGGAATAAAAGGAACAATGAATGAGAACAGAGTAGCAAGCATCTGTCTATTATAACAGTATTCACTTTCTCCGTCACAATTTTGCAAATGGTAAAGTAAGAATATTTCTTGACACTTAGCAGAACACGTTATGTTGCCTAGCTCAAGAGCCAGATTCCATCATAATATAATTTGAGAGTTGTTAACAGGAGCCAAAAGCAGAATTATTCTTTCTGTGACCATTTTCCAGGCAATAAAATCTCCAAACCTAGGACTTCTTTGGTGAATAATAACTGCAGGAAAGCATTTTTGTTATCTGGGAAGGGTCACATAAAGTAGCACACAATTTAGTAAAGACTAGTAAAAGAAGCCCCATATTATCTGCTGTGACTTTGGGGGACATGGGAAGTATGTACTTGTGAATGGAAGACAGGAGGTGAATCAATTAGTGCCAGAAAAGCAATATAATGTTGACCTTGAGTATCCTGGTAGAGAATATATGCCTGGGAAGAAATAACAAAAACAGATTGGCAAGAACATATTCTGATGATTTGTAGTATTTAGGATTCTCCACCAGGCTCTTCTCTTCTCCTACCAGACATTTTCCCCCTGAATTCACATCTATTCCTGCCACATCAAATGTCACCTGTGTGCTCATTATGTGTACCTCTATATTCCAAGCCTAGATATTTTTCGTGAACTTGAATAATTATGTGTTTACTAACTGTCCAGAGACATATCTCACCTTCAACATGTCAAAAATAGAATTCAGCATTCTCCTGCCTCTTCCCTGCTGTTTTCCATTATCTTTGGAATGGGCCCAGCTTCAATCTCCAGTTTCCGAAACTTAAAACCAGGCGTCATCCTTCACTTTCGGTTTTTTATTTCTCCATACTCTTACAATCACAACTTTGGTTTGCTATACTTCCTATGCAAATTCCATCCAAGTATCTCTGTCTTACTTTATATCACTCCCCCTCTCTTACCTAACAGCATCATCCCATTTTGTCTCCCTGCTCTAGACATGACCCACCTTCTCTCAGCGTTAAATTTAGGTTCTTAAACTTAATTATACAACCTGCATGACCTGACCTTTATTTACTACTCTTACACTTAGATTTGCGCTGCCACCTATACATACATACAAAGAGCCTGGGAAGACTATGTTTATTGTGTTCAGAGATCATGCAGAGGCCAATAAAAATAAATTAATTTACTAACAACACTAAAGTGTAAAATATATGCTTATAATAAGGAAAATGAAAATTGAAAATATCTATTTTAGAAATTATTATAATTATCATTACTTTACTATAAACAACTTATTTAGATAAATGGTATATATTCTAAAAACTAAAGTATAGGAGATATGATATTTGATCTAAATTTACCCCCATGTAATAAAATCAGAATCTTTATGATAAACTGAGATCTTATATTGTTATTAAAAGTTGTTGAAAACAAAATATATTTTCAAAAGACAAAATTAATTGACTGGAAGAAAGAGTAAGTTGCCTTAAACTGCATCCTGATAACTTCATTTTTGGAAATCTGTCTAATCTTTCTAAACCTAGCTTAAAAGCTATCTCTTTAATGATGTCTGCTTTGAAACCCAATAAGATATAATCACTTCATTTTCTTACTGTATTTTACTTCTAACTCAATTATAAGACCTACCGTATTCAGCCTTGTATTAAAATAATTTTATTGACAATATATCGCAACAGATGACGTTGTCCTGGAAGACAGCTACTAGAGATTAAAAATATTTGTTTCCACTGAAAGACAACAATCTCCTATTTAATGAAGATTAAATTATTACAGTAGTGTCGTAAGGTAATCTGTATACTTTTTAGTTAAATCTCTATAGTAGTGTCATAAAATAATCTCTATATTTTTTAGTTAAAAAGTATACATAAACAAATGAAAATTTATCTCAATATACACCGTGAGGCTTACCTCTATGCTTATTCAGATCATAGCTTCACTTGAAGGAATGAATGACTATAACACAAGGGCTCAGCATCACCTATTGTATCCTTATTCTTTACATAAATTAAAGTTTCTAGGTATTCGTGGTCGTTTTAAGTGGATGTATATGTACACACACATATAAAACATATATATCCAATATATATGTACTGCATCTATATGTATAGTCTATGATACACATACATGTATGCACACATATATAAATCAGAATCTATCTCAAAGGGATTTAAAATTGTGGCTAGTGCCCATTTAATAAATTAGTTAAGAAGTTAATGATAAATGTACTGAGAGTGAGACACAAAAGATATTTTTAATACCATATTTTGTCAGAACAACTTTTAATGGACTTCAGTAGAGCAACTTTTTCTGAGTTTACTCAGAATCGTCTGGTCTCATGGTAACAAACCGTTTAGTTTAATACCTTTCATTCCATATCCTATTTTGAGAACAAATTAAGGATGTCAGCCATCCTGGCTTACTTTGCACTTAGGCACTCAATTATTTCAATCAAGTTGAACTGGATGCTGAAGAAGGTTGAAAATGTTTTTTCCAAGTATATCTTTATATTATTTTTGTCTGCGTGACATAATTTAGTCAGAATGTTGCCTAGAGAGAACATGAAAGCTAGATTATCTGTTCAAGTTCTATTCTTCTCTTTTTACAATATGAGTTTCAGGAAAGAGTGAAAAAGTTCACAGTTCACAGGCTCTGGGTCCTCTATGGAAATCTGTCCTGCTGAACCCAGGCATACCTAATTTGTTGCATCTATCACCTTCCCCATGAAAGGGCTTAATGTAATGTAAAGAATCATTAAATGTAAATAATTATTAAAATATCATTAGATACCAAAAGTCAATAAGGTTAGAAAGAAATGGAAAATATTATTACTTACATGGATGCTTTGAAAGTTCCTTTCAATGATTTTGATGTACAAAATGATGACAAAGTTTGAGTCTTCCTAATGGTCACATGGGAATTTGGGAAATTTCTTTGAATGATCTTAAATGCTCTCTACACATAGGGACTGAACATAAGTAGAACAATTTGCTTAAAGCAAGAGTTCTTTACCTCGACACTATGAGCATTTTGGGTCAAATAATTTGTTGCGGGAGCTGCACTGTTGGATATTTAACAGCACCCTTGGCCTCTACCCACTAGATGTCAGTAGCACTGGCTTCCCAGCTGTGACAACCAAAACAGCCAGATATTGTCAATGACCCCTTGAAGGTGAAACCATCTCCATTTGAAAATCAGTAATTTAAACAAAATCGGGGGTGTTTTACATAATTAATTATTTCCAAGTAACTTAACTACTATCAATCAAGACAGATATTACTTATATTGACTTTCAAAACATGAATCGAAGAGAAATACCTAGACATTGAAGAGGAATATTTGGATTAAAATAACTAAAGAGACAGTATCATTTCAATAATACAGTTAATTTTAATATGTGAAAAGTATGAAAAAGTGAACAATTCTCTATGTGTTGTATTAGTTCATCTATATCTGTTTCTATCTTAAAAATCTACTTGACACTGCCTCCATTATGGTTAAATCAGCTGGTCAATTTCTACATTTACAGACTCTGTATTATTATACTCTGAACATTATTTTTTGCAGCTTATTCATCTGAATATAGCTAGCCCTCATAGGTTTATTGGAAAGACATATATATATATGAATATATACCTGTATAATATACATATGCATATATATTTGTAAGTGTATATGATTGTGTTTATATATATATATACACATATCATATCATTCTGTTGCTCCTGACAGTGAATTTGAGCCCAAATACACAATTGTTAGAAAATCATGAGGAATATTTAATAATTAAAAATGTGTAAACTTGCAAACATAAATGCAAAGCTCTAGGGCCAGTATAAAGAGCATCTTATCACAACTAGGAGATTTAAAAGCAGTGTGAAGAAACATCATATATTCCAAAATGATCATGCTCAAACTTGCCAGTAGTAATCATGATAATGCTTTGTTTATTTACCTCAGCCATTCTATCTTTCTACACTGACTGAGTGCAGCATTGTTCTAAGGAGCAGGAGTTGCAAAGATGCAGAGGAATTCTCAGTTAAGTATAAATCAGATATACCACTATTAATAAAATAAAGGTAGGTAGATGCCAACTGACGTATACACACAGGGACTTAGAAGAGCATAGAAAAAAAAAAACAAGTAGAATTTTGAATTGAATCTTGAAGAGTACAGAGTTTTCTAAGATTACAAGAGGCAAGCATAGAAACTTGAAATTGCATGGCTTAATGGAGACCCACAAGTAGCCCAGTGTGACTGAAGTACAAAGTACATGCCGAACGAACTTTTGGCGATAAGGCTAGAAAGACAGGCGGGTCCAGATTGAAAAGAGCATTTCATCCCATGCAAAGAAATAGAGTTGGTATCCTGTAGGCCTTGAGGAAACACTGAAAGATTCTGAACAGTGGGGTGACGTGGTTTGATTTGTGTTTAAAAAAAAATAGATTACAATAAAATGTGACAGCATGCAGAGACTGGTAGTTTTACATAGAAAAGAATGTGAAAAAAGAAAATTATAAACAATGGTAGGGACTCCCAAAGAATACCAATATTTTAAAAGACAGAAAAGAGTAAAATAAGGGAAAAAAGCTTTTCTTTTGAATAAGTATCTGTACTGAGCTCTGTTCTTGCTGATAAGTCTTTAAGAACTACATTGTTTTAAGGTTAAATAAAATATATTTTTATAACCCTAGTTACAGACTGCAAACTACATGCAAAATGACATGACACATAGGCATTGCCACAAAATCATTGCTTTAAAAATATGGACATAAGCAATATAGTACCTGTGGTTATAAGTAATTCCCCCTTAAATTTAAAAGTTTTATTTAAAATATTACTAGCAAAAAATTATATTTCATAAAAAGTCTGACATATTTGTCATGGGTATTTGGACAATTTCTTTGGGAGGCCAAGGCAGGCTGATCACGAGGTCAAGAGATCGAGACCATCCTGGCCAACATGGTGAAACCCTGTCTCTACTAAATATACAAAAATTAGCTGGGTGTGGTGGTGTGCGCCTGTAGTCCCAGCTACTTAGGAGGCTGAGGCAGGAGAATCACTTGGACCCAGGAGGCAGAGGTTACAGTGAGCCAAGATCATGCCACTGCACTCCAGCCTGGCGACAGAGTGAGACTCTGTCTTACAAAAAATAATTATATATATTTAAAAAATTTATGGGAATGTGGATATCTATTATAAATTATAAAAAAGAAAGAAGAAAATAAATTTTCTAGAAGATAAAATATAAACTGTATGAATGATTTCTATAACTATACATTTCTAAGTGCTCGTCTTTAAACCTATTAAAGTTTGTACATTATTGGTGTTTGGGGTTGCCTCTATGCTAACAATTTAAAAATAAATATGTAATATGTGTGTATGTGTTCACATGTGTATGTGTCTAGTATCTTTCTTGATTTACTCACATGAATCTATGTGAGTTTATAAAACCTTCAGCCTCATATTTATAAAACATGTTTAAATTTTGGAAATGTCTATTTAATTGGAAATAAATTTTCATGTTATTTTACATTACAGAATACCTCCAGTGATTTTATAAAAGAATGAACTCTCTTGCATTTCTAATTAAAGCAAATACTTATAGAGGAATAAAAAAGTGTTACAATTTTTTGTTTTAATATGTTATTTGATATTTTTTCAATCAATATAGTAGCTTGTTCTAACTTATTCATGTAGTAGCAGCATAACTAGAGTGATTATACAAACATCTCTAACATATAGCAAATAAATATATTGAAGCAAATAAATGTATTGAAGCAAATAAATGTATTGAAACAAAAGACAAAAGAAAAATGAGTATATCAGATCTTATTTATCTGATACCTTAATTAATCTTAAATTTCAAAATTTGACAGGCATTCCTTTAAAAAGAATGTTGAGTTGGATATACAACCTAATTTTTTTTCTATTAATGTCACACATTAGTAGATTTTTATTAATGTCCTTTATTTTCACTAATGTCTGGTCATAAAAATTTAAGCACACTGTTAAAAAGAAACCTCCACACACAAACTGGTCTGTTTGAATAGAGAACAATAAGGAAATAATTTGTAACATCACTATTTACTCAAAAAAGAATTTGTAGAGTTTCTACTGTGCCCGAGAAACATAGTTGTGAAGATGAATAAAACAGCATATAAACTCTCTAGGAACTTACAGACTAGTAGTGCTAACAAATACAAAAATACCTCTAAATGAGTATAGATTTGTTATACTAGTGATTTCAATAATGTGGTTTGGTATCACAGAGCAGAGACTGATTAATTCACCTGGGTAGGAGTCAGGTGTATTTGTTCTGGGCCTTGAAAGCTGACAGGCAAATAAATGCTGCTTAGTCAGGCAAATGGTGCTTAGCTCAGAGTACGTGAGTGATCTAATGCACTGAGTATGGTTTTACTGGTGATACAAAGAGCATGATACTGAAAAGAAAACTGGAGCCACATTTAGAAATGTCTTGCTATGTAGTTTTGTAGTTACTTATTCTGTAAGCATTGAGGAACCACTGAAGCCTTTTAAATGGGACAAGTGTATCATCAGACATAAATAACGTATTAACTTTCCTCTGACAAAAGATGCCGGTAGGGAAAGACCAAGAGCAAAATAAAACACTTTAGCTTTAATTTGTTTGATTACCCACCCCCTTGGTGAGACTCACGTTAACATTAAAAATATGTATCAAAGTATTATTTTCTTTCCTCTTTGCTTAAGACTGTTCCTGTGAAATTGTCCCCAACCCAACAAATGTTTTCCCCAAATCAGCAAAATCAAGATTTCCATCTTACTTGAATAAATAAACCTATTTGTATTTTAAATAAACTACCTAAATACTTTTGTCTGCTTTTTAAAAAGATAATATTTAATTGTGTTTATTTCTTTTATGGGTAACACCTTTTCATCTTCTCTTGTTCTTAAACACTATAGTTTCTTTATGATAAAATTCAAGTTAGAGCAAAGAAAATGTGATACATAAGAGATTTAGAGTTCCGTTTTTACGGGGAGCTTTAATGTTATCTAAACCAGAGTTACTATATGATGAATGCAGGGTGCTTCACCTTCATGCTATCTCTCTAGCAATAAATGTTTGACAATTGTCAAACAAGAGAATGTTTTTAGGAAAAAGGTTAAAAATCAATGGAAAATATTACTTTTACTTCCGGTATTGAAAATAATTATCTTCATCTAAACTGGGAATATATGCATTTTCTGTATTTGCTATCAAAGTAAAGATACATGAAACTTAGCTGTTCGCATTTGTTCTCATATAATTATTTGCATATCCTTGCCTTTTTCCAAAAAAGGTATTAAAGCCATTTGCATCTTTCCATGAAAACATGAAGAATTTATTTAAGATTTAATCATTGCTATGTTAATTATAAAAGAGGTTTCCTGGTTCATATTGGAAATATTAATACTGTAGCACTCTGAGCCTTGCCTAATCTGAGCTCATTCTGCCTAATTTTAGAAAGAACTTTTGTCCTACACTCTAAGCTATGGAAAAACTGTGGCCATCACCTTAAAGAGCATAGAACAGAAAATCTAAATGTATTTTTTAATAAAAAATAACTGATTTACAAAGGTGAAAATCTTAATATTTTCTATTTCTACCCCATATATTGATTTAAAACTTTAACAAAACTCAGAAACATCCTCCATGCTAAGCACCATCAGATTAGGATGAAGTTATAGATATACAGGAGATTTGAATTGTAAAACTGATGATATTTAGTATGTTAACATATCCATTTTTAGAAATATTTATTCAAGCCTTGATAAAAGAGGTTATTATTTTTGCATAAACTTTACATGACTGCATAAATTATATTAAAGAATTTAACATGTGTAAGCAATGGCAGTTTTGCAGTGAGTAATATACAACCAATAAAATATTAGACATCAGGCCGGGCGCGGTGGCTCACGCCTGTAATCCCAGCACTTTGGGAGGCCGAGGCGGGCGGATCACGAGGTCAGGAGATCGAGACCATCCCGGCTAAAACGGTGAAACCCCGTCTCTACTAAAAATACAAAAACTTAGCCGGGCGTAATGGCGGGCGCCTGTAGTCCCAGCTACTTGGGAGGCTGAGGCAGGAGAATGGCGTGAACCCGGGAGGCGGAGCTTGCAGTGAGCCGAGATCCCGCCACTGCACTCCAGCCTGGGCGACAGAGCGAGACTCCGTCTCAAAAAAAAAAAAAAAAAAAAAAAAAAAAAAAATTAGACATCATATGAGTTGGCATATTGATCAGTAAAATATTAGACATTGTATGAGTTATTCTGTATACAATGTAAGTGTTCATTTAGGTTATTCCTCACCCCCAAAAAAATCATGGGTGTGAAGGCATTCTGATTATTCAATGAATACTGACACTTTTCCTTTTGTGAAAATTCACTAATTACACTTAAATACATTAATTACAATTAACACATTAAATACAATAATTAATACATTAATGACATTTAAATGCATAGTTACATTATTCTCACAGTAAAATATTATATAAAAATGGCTTCATGTGAACTCTGAGGCAAAATTTACCACTTTATTAGTTTAAAACCTTTGCTAGAATGCTTCATTCTATCATACAATCCTATATTTTGTACTGCAGTGTCAGTCACTTTTAAATTATAAATCTTAACTTGTCAAATGCAATAAAAGCAATATTAAAAGCTAGATATTGAGTAACATCATTATACTGTAGAAAAAGCTACAGAGAAAACATAATCTTCCATATGAATAAAATGTGCATGTTGTTAATAACTTTAAGCTAGCAGAGCAGATATCTTTTTCTATTGTCTTTCCTTAGGCTATTTTCACCCTAGTAATTACATGTCCCACCCTTTCTCCTTTTCTTCTGGTTCCTTTCCTTAAGTGGGGTAGGAAAGGAACAATTTTGCAAGCAAGTAATGTCTCTGTTCCCACCTATTAACAAAAATTTTTCAGCAACTAGTCACAATAGTTAGCACCTCATTCAACATCAACATAAGGAGATAAGGTAATCGCATCCCATGATAAAAATATGTTAAAAATAGACCCTGAAAATTTAAATGGTAACCACAGTTAGCAACCATAATATCTTAAAATTCTAGGCTAAATGAACTATGTTTATTTAAAAGTCTCAGAATTACTGATTTTATTGACAGTAAAATATATATGCGGGAAAATATATATGGATTACGTAGAGATATTAAAATTATATACTGTTATATTTGTTTTGTAATGGGCTACTCAGTATAATTATTTTAGATTTCTTGGAAGCTAAAAAATCATTGTTGACACAAAAATGGCTTTATTAACTAAAGAACCAAAGATATTTCCTGAACAATATTGACAAATTTCAAACTAGTATACTTCACAAATTTACTACACATAAAATAACACTATATAAGTGTTAATTATCATATACACAAAAATTCTTATGCTTACCTATAAAAACCTTTAAGTATCGAGATCTGCTAATTTGTATATATTTATGCATATATATACAGATATTGCTAAATGAATCAGCTATGTTGTAAACTTTGTTTCAATGCTTACATAAAAAAATTGAATCTGATGCTTACAGGGTTTGTATGGATAATGAATTAGAAGACTATTATACACATTTTTAATAAAGTACATAAAAATACAGAATACATGGTAAAACTCAAAGCTGCAGGAGAAAAGCACAGTCTTCATAATAAGCAAAACAAAAAATCATTGCATGATTCTGAGCAATTACAAGGAAAAAAGGTAAAATGATCCCAAATTTTAGTGGCATCAGATCACATGTCCTTCACAATATTTGGTTCTAAGTTAGATAATAATACATAAGCATAATTTGACAAAGGCCTTTACTGATTTTTGACTTTTAAACAAGCACACTTCTCCATGAAAATACAAATAATATAAAATTTGATAATTAAAAATATCTTGTCTCACAGAAAATGAAGAAGGAAAGAGGGTTATCTAGATGAAAATTATTCTAAGTGGGTGAATCAAAATTAAATATTTAAGTGTATTTTTAAAAGATCAAAGGTAAGAACTAAAATAACCAAAACACAACTAAAGGAAGTATGGGTATGGAAGCTAAAAGAGAATTGGAAGTAATGTTTTCAAATTTCCCCATGAGTTTGTTTAAATCTGTCAATAAACTATATGCTCCTTACTTAAAGTTAGGGTAATAGCTAACAAAAGCAGTTATGGACATTAAAAGCTAATTATGCATACCTCTAAGAAGTGGTAAAAGAGATGAGGATGGAAGTGAGTAAGAGACTTTTATTTTTCATTTTTGATCCCACTGTACTGTTGATATTTTATGTACTATCATATAATAGTTAAATACATGGATCTGCACTCAGATTGCCTGGGTTCAAACCTACTTACAACCTGTGGCCTTAGTCAATTGACTAAACATCTCTTTATCTTAATGTCCTCTTCTGTAAAATGGAAAATTAAAATTACTTCTATTATAGGGCATTTTTTTAAAAATCAAGACTTAATAAGTTAATAATTTAAAAAGTGGTTAAACAGTGCCTCCCCTTAGAAAGCTCTATGAAAAATGTTAAGTTGTAAAAAAATTATATATATCACGTGTAGGTATACTGGCAAATGCCTATCATAATTAAACATAACTTGAATTTCAAAATAACTTTAGTTTACAGATGTTAGTGTAAACACATCCTTGGCATTAGAAATTGAATGGTATTTTTATGATTGCATCTGATGCATGACAACACTCTAACTTTACAGAGTTTTTTTTGTATAAGTTGTAAGATATTTGAAATAAATAAATGTAGATTTTTAAAGAGTCTACTTCATGGGAAGAAAATACTACATATGCTCAAATCTGGCATCATATAAAATGTAATATTTGATATCAGAAGTCAAAGTGAATCAAAATTGCAAAATCCCTTCCTTCCTTCCTTTCTTTCTTCCTTCCTTCCTTCCTTTCTTTCTTTCTGTCTTTTGAGTCTCACTCTGTTGCCCAGGCTGATGGGCAGTGAAGCAATCATGGCTCACTGCAGCCTTGGCCTCCCAGGCTCAAATGATCCCACCTCAGTCCCCCAAGTGCCTGGGACCACAGGCATGTGTCACCACAACCAGATAATTCTTGTATTTTTTATAGAGACAGGGTTTCAACATGTTGCCCAGGCTGATCTCGAACTCTAGGGTTCAATCATTCCAACTGCCTTGGCCTCCCAAAGTGCTGGACTTACAGGCATGAGCCACTGTGCCCAGGCCAAAAATTGCAGAATTTTCTGAATGTAGTAGTTTCAATTTCACTAGGAAAATGATAAGTCTTTTATATCAGTGGTCCCCAACCTTTTTGGCACCAGTGACTGGTTTCGTGGAAAACAATTTTTCGATGAGGGTATGGAGGGATGGTTTTGGGATGAAAGTGTTCCACTTCAGATCATCAGGCTTTAATTAGATTCTCATAAAGAGCAGGCAACCGAGATCTCTCCCATGTGCGGTTCACAATACAGTTCGAGCTCCTATGAGAATCTAATGCTACAGCTGATCTGACAGGAGGTGGACCTTAGGCAGTAATGCTCACCCACTGCTCATCTCCTGCTGTGCAGCCTGGTTCCTAATAGGCCCTGGGATGGTACTGACCCATGGCTGGGGCTTGGTGACCCATGTGTTACATTATTTTAATTCCAATCATTCAGAATGCCAAGTAATATACTTACTCTTCTCGTGTTCTAAGAAAATGAAGAGTTGATAAACTCACTATTCACAATGTAAAGGAGTCCTCTTCATTCTGACCATTTGATACCTCATTGATGTAATGCAGGCCTTTAAATAAGTTTGTCTAGAAAAAAATAAAAATAAAAAAATGGTTGCTAAACCTCAATGTTCTATCCAAACATTGGTCATGAATTTAATGGGTAGTAATCAATGGGTCTCATCCTATGGTATTGTAGAATTACTGAGTTTGTTTGTAGAATACTGGCAGTTCTAACTTACAAGAAAGTTGTTTTATAAAGTTCATTGGTAAGTCACAAAATAAAAATGTCAAAAAGAACCTTTGGGGCCTTCAACATCGCTATTCAATATTTGTATAAACCCTTCTGGAACATCCCTATTACAAACAGATGGCCATTCATCCTTTGGTTAAAAATGTCAAGTGATTGCAAGCTCAGTAATTTAAAAGCAGCCCATCTTGCATCTGGACAGCAGGATACTTTATTACATTTTACTTCTGTTAAACCATTTCCCTATATCCATGCACTGCTGCTATAGGTTTTTATTTAATGTCTGATATAGAAGAGACATTGAAATTACAACAATTGCAGTCTAATAAAAAATACATATAAAAACCCAAGTAATAACACAAATACATTATTATAAGTTGAGGTAAATGCAGAGATTGCTATTAATATTTAGCTGGGAAATGTGATTCTCTCCAAAGCTAACAAAAACATGTCTAAACAAAATATGAGAATAAGCTGAGAGAAGTGTAGTTAAATAGAGCATGGAGGAATAGGAATAGGTTATGCCAAGAAGAGGGAATAAAAGAAAAGACTGTTTTACTTCAGAAGTCAGAGTGAGCAAGATGGAATCCATAAATTTTGAGAAGGGAGGCAAATAATTCCATTCAAAAAAACAAAAGAGAGACAAAGTGACTGAAGAAAATTGCACAAGAGGGAAAATGCTGCAGAGGAAACTAGAGAGGTGGAAAAGGCCAATCATCAATTATTGTCCTACCTTCTACATTTGATACTATTTCCTCTGTAAAATGACATACAGTGTATTTATAACCTCTTCTACATGACTATATTTGAGGGTAGTTATCATCTTCCACCTCTCAGCTGACCAAATCTCTTCAATTCTTTCTACTATTCCTCACACTATCAAGAAACTTCTCTATTCCAATTGGTTTCATTTGTTTTCAATGCTATACATTTTGGTTTGTAATTGCTTTCTATACATGTATTACCTGAGTGAGGTCAGCAAGATGGTGAAACTAAAAATCCTGGACCTTCCTTCTCCCCGAAAAAACTGCCAACAAATAATACTATGCCTAGCAAAAACTGTCCTTCAAAAAAGAAGGAGATGAAAACTTTCTGGACAAACAAAAGATGAAGGAGTTTATTACAACTAGCACTGCCATACCAGAATTGCTAAAGGAAGTTCTTCAACTTTAACCAAAAATATACTAAACAGCACTATGAAAGTATATAAAAATATAAAACTTACTGGAAATCATAAATATATACAAGAATACAGGATACTCTAATGCTGTAATAAAAGTGTGTCTATCTATTTTGATTCCAGTACAAAGTTAAAAGGCAAAAGTATAAAAAGCAATTATAACAATAAAAATATGTTAATATATTCACAGTATAAAAGAAATAAAGTGTGAGTCAATAATATACAAGATAGAGGGGGAAGTGTAGAGTTTTGTATAGGATTGAAGTTATCAGCTTAAAACAAACTGTTATAATTATAAAACATTTTATGTAAACTCCATGGTAACCACAAAGAAAAATAGCCACAGAAGATATACAAAAGAAAAAAAAAAAGGCGTGAGCCATCACACCTGGAATCCCAGCAATTTGGGAGGTCGAGGTGGGAGGATCACTTGAGGCCAGGAATTTGAGGCTGCAGTAGTCTATGATTATGCCACTGCACTGTAGGTTACAGAGTGAGATCTTGTCTCTATATGATAATAGTAATACATAAAATGGTTTATTTAGAAAAGAAGAAGACAAAAAGCAAGGAATAAAAGTATATCAATACAAAGAATCAATAAAACACGAATGAAGACAACAAAAGGAAAAGAAGTCAAAAGAACTACAAGACTGACAAAAAAAGAAACTGACAAAATGGCAATAATGAGTTATTCTCTATCAATAATTACTTTAAATACAAAGAATGAAACCCCTCAATCTACAGCTATAAAGTGACTGAATTAATTAAAAAAATAGGATCCAACTATATACTTTCTATAAGAGACTCACATTAGATTTAAGTGAGTTAAGGACACACATAGGCTGAAGAAAATGCAAGGATAGAAAAAGATATTCCATCCAAATGGTAACCAAAAGAGAGCAGGCGAGGCTATACCTAAATCACACCAAATAGAGTTTAAGTCAAACGCTATCACAAGAGACAAGGGACATTATATACTCTTAAAAGGACTGATTCATATAACAATCATTAACATACATGCATTCAACATCAGACTAGCAAAATACATAAAGCAAACACTGACAGAACTGTAGGAGGAAATAAACAGAATTAAATTAATGGGAGACTTTAATACCACACTTTCAATAATGGATAGAATATCCAGACAGAAAATCAAAAAGAGAACAGTGGACTTGAAAAATAGTATAGACCAAATGGACCTAACAGATAAATATATAGACATATGCCGAATAGTCTTTTCTGATCCCAATGGCGTAAAACTAGAAATAAATAGCAGAAGGAAAATTGAAAAATCTACAAATATGTGATAAAATAAAAATTAAAAACACACACATTTAAACAACAGAAGAAATCAAAAGGGAAATTAGAAAATTTCTTGAGACAAATGAAAACAAAAACATATCAAAACCTATGACAGGCAGCAAAAGTGGTAGTTAGAAGTCAGTTTATAGTGATAAATACTTTCAAAAAGAAGAATAAAAAATATAACTTTACACTAAATAGAACTAGAGAAAGAAAAACAAGCTAAGCACAAAGTAAGTAGAAGGAAGGAAATAAATATTAGAGCAGACTTAAAATAGAGAATAGAAAAACAACAGAAAAAAATCAGCGAAACTGAGGGTTGGTTTTTTGAAAAGATAAACAATATTGACAAACCTTTAGCTCACTTAAGGAAAAATAGAATTCAAGTACCCAAAATCTGAAATGAAAGATGATTATTTTTATCAATAATAATTATTAATATTTCACTTAACTGATACCATAGAAAAAAGGATCATAAGAAACTAATATGAATAATTATATGACAACAAATTAGATAAGCTAGGAGAAATTGATACATTTTTAGAAATATACAACCTGACAAGACTGTACATGAAAGAATAGAAAATCTGAACACAATAATTATGAGTAAGGAGATTGAAACAGTAATCAAAAACTTCCCAAGAAAGAAAAACACAGGATCAGATGGCTTCATTGGTGAATTCTACCAAATATTTAAAGAATCAATAACAATCCTTACTAAACTCTCCAAAAACTGAAGAAGAGGAGACATTTTCAAACGTATAAGGCCAGCATTACCTGAATACCAAAGCCAAACAAAAACACACACTAAAATAAAACTACAGGTCAATATCTCAGATGTACAGAGGTGTAAAGATCCTCAAAAAAATATTAGCAAACCAAATTCAACAGCGCATTGAAAGGGCCATATGCCATTACTAAGTGAGATTTTTCCCTGGAATAAAAATATGGTTCAACATACTCAAATCATTAATGTGATGCTCCGCATTAACAAAATGAAGCATAAAAATCACATGATCATCTCAATAATGTAGAAACAATATTTGTAAAATTTCACATTTTTATAATAAACAATTCTCAATAAAATATAAATAAAAGAAAAATACCTCAACATAGTAAAAGCTATATCTAAAAAGGCCACCATCAACATCATATTCAATGATGAAAAACTAAAAGCATCTCCTGTAAGATCTAGAACAAGGCAAGGATGCCCACTGTTGCCATTTTTATTCAACATGTTACTGGAAGTCCTATCCAAAGCAATTAGGCAAGCAAAAGAAATGAAAGACATCCAAATCAAAATGAAAGAAGTAAAATTACTTCTGTTTGAAGATAATATGATCTCTTGTAGAAAACCCTTAAAGTCACACACACAAACACACACACACTGTTGTAACTAATAAAAAAATTGAGTTAATTTCAGGATAAAAAAATCAACATACAATAATCAGTTGTGTTTTTATACACTAACAACAAATAACCCAAAAAGAACTTAATAAAAACAACCAGATATAATAGCATCAAAAGGAATAAAATACTTAGAAATAAACTTAGGAGGGAATACTTATGTACTGAAAACTACAAGACATTGATAAAATAAATTAACAAAGATACAAGTAAGTGGAAAAATATCCTGAGTCCCTGTATTGGAAGACTTAATATTGTTAAAATGTCCATACTACCCAAAGCTATCTGCAGATTCAATGCAATCTGTATCAAAATCCCAATGGCACTTTTTAGGAAATCCTAAAATTCATATAGAGCTCAAAGGATGCTGAATGGTGAAAACAGTCTTGAGAAAGAAAATAACGTTAGCCACATCACACTTCCTCTTTTCTAAATGTATTACAAAGCTATAGTAATTAATACAGTAAGGTGCTAACATAAAGACAGGCACATAGACCAATAAAACAAAATAGTCCAGAAATAAAATCATGCATATATGCTCAACTAATCTTAGACAAGGATGCCAAGAATACACAAGGGGGAAAGAATAGTCTCTTCATCAAATAGTATTGGAAAAATGCTGTCTTCATTCAAAGGAACAAAATCCAGCCTTTTATACCATACACAAAAATCAACTTAAAATGGATTAAACACTTAAACGTAATACTGAAAACTGTAAAACACCTAGAAGAAACCATACGGAAAAAACTTCATGACATTGGTCCTGATAATTGCTTCTTAGATATGACACAGGCATATACAAAACAACATAGGCTATTTCAACACAGCAACAAAAGCAAAAATAGGCAAGTGATACCGTATCAAACTAAAAACCTTTTGCACAGTAAAAGGAAACAGTCAAGAAAATGAAAAGGCAACCTAGGGAACCGGAGAAGATATTTACAAATTACATGTCTGATAAGAGGTTAATATCCAAAATACACAAGGAACAGAAAAAACTCAATAGCAAAACAACAACAACAACAAATAACCCATTTAAAAATGTACAAAGTACTTGAATATACATTTCTCCAAAGAAAATATACAAATGGCCAACAGATATATAAAAAGATGTTCAATATCACTTATCTGGAAAATGCAAGTTAAAACTACAATGGAATATCACCTCAAACTTGCTAGGATGGCTATTATAAAAGATCAGGGTTGGCAAAGATGTGGAGAAATTGAAACTCTCGTACACTGTGGGAATGTAAAATGTTGACGCTGCTAAGAAAAAGAGTACTCAAAAAAACTAAAATAGAGCAATACCATATAATCCAGCAAATCCACTTCTGGTTATATATCCAGAAGGGATGAAATCAGGATATCAGTCTCACATTGAGTGCAGCATCCTTCACAATAGCCAATATATGGAAATAATATAAATGTCCATTGTTGGCCAAATGAATCAATAATTAAATATGGTACATTAATAATAGAATATTATTTTAAAAATAAAGAAATTCTGCCACATGTGATTACATAGATGAACCTGGAGGACATTATACTAAGTGAAATAAACCAATCAAAAAGAACAAATACTGTATGATTCTTCGTATATGAGGTATCTAAAATAGTAAAACTCAGAGAAGCAGAGAGTAGAATGGTGGTTGCCAGGGGCTGAGGGTGTGGGAAATTGAGAGTAGATACTCAATGGGTATAAAGTTTCAGTTATGCAAGGTGAGTAAGTTTGTAGAAATCTGCTGTGGAACATCATGCCTTCGTTTCTCACAATAAATTTCTCACTATTCTGAGACAAGGATGAACTCTGGAGAAGTGATGGCTTCTCAGATTGTGAAACAGAAGTGAATTGATAAGAAAGTTGGTAAGAAAGTAGTTTTTTTTAATTGGAACACAACTGCACAATGAATACATAATTCTGATTTTGGAGACTGAAGTTAAAACTTAACTTCCTAGAAATAAAAGTGATTGTTAGGCATTTAGGAAAAAAACATGAATAGCATAAATCAGCAATATGTTTACTTTTGATAAATCAAAGCTATTTTCTGAGAACCTCAAGAAGTTTCCATGAATTCTATTCACTCCATTTAATCTTTTAGTGAGCTTTACAAACAGAATTTATATTTGTAGAATATATTTATAATATTTGGTATTTCAATATTTACTTGCTTTTTTCTCAGCTTCTTTTAAATGACATTTAAAAAGATATGAAAACATTCATATATTCCCACAATACTTTGCCCTAAATGAACACTCAACAGTTTGACTGTCCAGTGTTTATTATAATAGTAAAAAAGTGGGAATTTGTTTTCTTGCTGAAGAGAAAAATTGAATTTCATTCATTTTTGGGATATAAACTAAGTTTTGTCTCTTATTCTTAGTTCAATAACTTTTCTGTGAAAACTGAAGAGATACAATTTTTGATACATAAAACAAAGTTTATTATAAATATACTAAAATAATATAAACCACAAATATTGTGTATTATTCATTAATATAATTAATTAATCTTTTATCTCATAATTGTTTTTTACTTCAAGTCTATTTTTTCTAAGAATAATATAGCCACCTATGCTCTCTTTTGGTTACTATATGCATAGAATATTTTTTTCATCCTTTCACTTTCAATTTATTTCTGTGTTTCAACCTTAACTTGGTCTATTGTAAACCACCTACAGTTGGATCTTGGTTTTTGTATGCATTATGCCAATCCCTTTCTTTCAATGTGAGAATTTAATCCATTTGCATTTACAGTAATGACTAACAAGGAACGACTTACTCTTGCCATTTTTCTATTTGTTTTTTGTTGTCTTAAGCCCTTTTGTCCTTTGTATCTTCTACTACAGCCTTTGATATTGTTTAGTTGATTTTTTACAATGAACCATTTTGTATTCATTCTCATTTTCTTTTGTGTATACTTCTTAGATATTTTCTTCATGATTACCATGGAGGTCACATTTAACATACTAAATTTATAACAATCTACTTCTAATTGATACCAACTTACCTTCAGTAGTTAATAATTCATATATTATTAATAATTAGCATTGTTCTACCAGTACAGACTCTCATGTATCACTGATTTTTCAAAATACAGTAAAGTTATTTTGTTCAATTATCTATTTATTTTTATAAATAGCTTTTCAATTAATAAGCTAGTTTTTCTATATTTTGTATTTTAAGTTTATTTCTAACATTGACATTTTTCATAATATGTAGAGCTTCATACATTTTTAAGACATTCCTTCCACTGTAGAAATAAAGCTTAATATCATATCAAGATTCTGAGAGCTCTTGTTATGTGATAAGCCATAGCAAATATTTTTATTTACATCACACGCGCTTTTGTATTTCCAAATTCCCCCTTTACTTTTTAGCATAGGCCATACAAAGAATGGACCATGCTCTCTAAATGTTTCAATGACACTAAAACTTGGGGGCATATTTACTACACATACCAAAATTCTGCCAGCTGTAGGCTGTATATTAAGTCAATGATATTATTAAGTATTCATTTTGCAATTAGAAGAGGAAAATACGCAATGCCTGGAAGCCAGCATCTGAAACTTTCATTAACTTTAAATCTCCTTCAAAGTAATGATGGAGCCTTACATCAATTTCTGAGCATATGCAACGGCCTTTGTGTCAGTCAGCTATTACTGACTAAACAAACCACTCAATTTTAAGTGGCTGAGAACAACAAATATTTATTCTCAAGAATCTATGAATAGGCAGGGAGAGCTTTGCTTCAAGCTAGAGCTCAATGGGTCCAGGGCTGCTCCACATTTTTCTCATCCTCCTTGGTCATGTCTGAACAGGGCACTGTAAAATGAACGCCTTTAGCAAGAGGGAAGCCCTCCTGACCTGCTTTCTGTGTGTAGAAATTTAGGGACCCAGAAATCATTTGTTTGTTTGTTTTTACTATTTAAAACAGCATCAATACCTTTTAGTTCAGACTTAATTTTTTCCAAGGAGACCTATTGCCTTACCAACAGTCTCCACTAGAAATTACTTTATCACTTCTAAAGAACTTAACAAAAGGGTTGTTAGAGCCATATCCTTGACTTCATCTTTACCTTGAAGTTATGCTATTGTCAGCACTCTGGTTTTGAAATTTGACTCGCTTGACTAAAGATGAGAAAAAAAGATTTATTTCCAATCCAACAATCCTCCTGACAAACTGGCTAATTCTCTCCTAAGCTCTTCTTTCTTGTGCTGCAGAACCTTATATGCAGCCAGCGTAAAGCTCATTATTTCAATATCCACCTGACTATCCATCCTTTTTTTTCTTTTCTTTTCTTTTTTTTTTTTTTTTTTGAGACAGAGCTTCGCTCTTGTTGCCCAGGCTGGGGTGCCGTGGCGCAATCTCAGCTCACCGCAACCTCCGCCTCCTGGCTTCAAGTGATTCTCCTGTCTCAGCCTCCCAAGTAGCTGGGAGTACAGGCATGTGCCACCATGCCAGGGTAATTTTTGTATTTTTAGTAGAGACGGAGTTTCTCTATGTTGGTCAGGCTGGTCTCGACCTCCTGACCCCAGGTGATCCACTTGCCTCGGCCTCCCAAAGTGCTGGAATTACAGGCGTGAGCCACCACTCTGGGCCCTGTCCATCCTTTTAAAGAACAAGTGGGACAAAAATCTTTAGGTACATTTACTATATTGCATGTCATTGCAGGCAACAACTTTCCCCAAAATTTAATTTTTTAAAAAATTTTGTAGAGTGATCAGCTCATCCTATAATATATAGTATCATACATATTTTATATATAATTATTAGTAGTATCCCACTTACCTAATATCTATATCGGTATAGTAATGCATCTCCAAACTTAGTGGCTTAAAATGGCAATAACTTATTATTGCTTACTTTTAAAGTATTCCTTATTATTATGAGTTACACTATATTTGGTACCTATGATATTTAAGTTATATTAAACAAATAATTTCACACTCTCCAAAGAGGTTAAGCCACCCCGCATTCAAGGTTTTGTTTAGTCAGAATACTATTAGTAAGTAAAGGGCCTACAAAAAAATTTACAAATTTAACAACTTAGAAGTTTCCTTTCTAAACGGGAAAAGGGATTATATAAGGGACACCCAGGAGGCCTCAACGCACAGGTAAATTTTTTTTCTTAAACTAGATGAAGTAAGTGGATAGATATTTGTTTTGTTATTTTGTCTATCCTAAGTGTGATGAATATTATTTATATCTGTTTATTATTCAGTAAAAACTGTGTGTGTGTATTCTTTGACCCAGCAAATTCTATTTCCAAAATTTTGGTTCATGGAAATAAAAACAGCTGTACACAGAAAAAAAAAAAAAAGAAAGAAGGAGACACCCAACTATGTAAGCCAGAAATAAAAACAAGAAAAATAGAGTTATAATCATAGTACTCAAGAATGCCATGAGGATGAAAAGAGGAGGGAGGTGAAAAAAGAATAATTTGCTAGTTGCCTACTTTGTGCAGACACTGAGCTTTCTTTTGTTATTTTTGCTACCAAATGGAATCTTTCTAATAAGCTAGTTGTGCACAAAATTTTTTTCTTAGAGCATTTTTCCCTATTTTTTCAGAATATTCACTATTCTATTTAATCTTTTTTTAAAAATTAATATAGATCTTTCTTGTCCTAAAAGTTAGTTTGGTCACTATGGAAAATATAAATAGAGGGGATGGGAAGGAAATCCAGAACTCCACAGCCAAGATACAATCATAAGTTAACATGATACAGCATATTCTTACATTATTTTTTCCTATGTATATTTGTTAGAAATGTGATAAAACTAGTATGTACAATTGAATATATCTTTTGTTGACTTCACTCTATGCAAAAATAGTTTCTTCACAAATTACCTCTTTATTTTAGGGCTTGAAAACATGCTCATATGTGTAGCTTCCATCTCAAACCCCTGCATTATGAAGGCTCTCTTTTACTATTGCTTTCCTGAATTGAAGTAGGATATTTCTTTTCTGCATGCTTAGTTCTCTGAAATTCAAAAGAGAAACGATTCATTAAGGACAAAATTATAATACACAGGTTTATACAAACTAAATGCAAAATACTAAATAAACAAATGCAAAACAATATAGACTGTTACTAGGGCTTTTTGCTGGCTTGAAGCGTCCTAAAGCACTTTGTCTATTGGGACTCTGGCAACATGCAAAGCACCCCTGATAATCCGCACTATCCCCAGGCCACGCTTCACCCACAACCACAAAGATTTCCTGTCAAATTGTTGTGCTTGCAGTCTAGGAATAGATTCAGGAAGATTGTTAGTCTCTGGCTGTTCTGCTATCAAATGTAGCCATCATCTCAGAAGATATAACTGCCCAGCTTTCAGACTGAATTTCTGAGTGCTCTCAAATTCTGAACCAGGGAGCAGATATTCACAAAGAGAAGTTATTTAAACTGTGCTTTTTTAAAAGAGCAGACTTCTCATCCTTGTAATTAGAATTTCTTCCTGGAGTTTGATAATAGACTCATTTCAAATCCTAGTTTGTGGAATGTTGAGAGGTTTAGTCTTATTCTGTATCTCCTTAAATATTTTAGTTAGATGTTGGAAGAATTTGTTCTAGTGAGACCAATTCAGAGATATTTTAAGGAGAAAACAATCAGTTATTTTTTGTTTGTTTATTTAGTTGGGTTTCATTTGGTTCAGATTTCTCTTACAAATATAATAACTCTTGTGGTCACTTAAAAAATGGCAAAAGACACATAATGAAAAGCAGGAGTTCCTGACTCATGTCTTTTCAAGCCAACAAACCATTGCCCACAGGCAACAACTTTCAACTCTTCAAGATATTCTTTGAATATTTATCTTACTTTTTAGGATATAATATATATATGCTACTTTTCCTTATTGTATTGAGGGAAAAAAAAGATGATTTTATTAAATTATCTGTTGGTAATTTATCTGTCGAGTATGTAACCTTCCTAGAGTTACCACACTCTCTTAATGCATATTGATAAATAGTATTTACATTATTATGATGATGTAAATATAATTTAGAGCCATGTAGTGGTCTATGATTATTCTCTATTTTAATACTTTCTTATTTTTCCACCATTCACTGTTTTGGTTTTTGTTTGTTTTACTTTTGTGGCTGATGGTTACAATGATGGTCCCAATGGCAGCATGCCTCTCTTTGTCCATCCCCTTTGCAATGTGACTTACTTTACTATTTCTCCCATTAAAAAAGCTCAGTTTCCCTGCCTCATTAATCTGGGCTGGATTTCGACTTGTTTTGACCAATAGAACATGAAAAGAAACTATATTGTTTACTTCCTAGCTAACTCCTTCAGAGTCATTACAGATTTTGCTTTTGTTCTCTGGGAACCATGTGATGACTTGATGTGAAGAACCCGGATGAAGATCACAAGGAGAGAGGCCCAGACACCCTTTGCTTTTTATGTCCAAAAGCAAAGATATAAGTGATTGCAGAAAATCAACCGAAGTGCCCCAGAAACATGAGAAATAATAAGTCATTGCTGCTTCATGTAAATTGTGTACACAGAGGGACATAGAGTGACCTTATAACATAGTTCTCCATGGAAAAGAAATAAGAATCAGAATAAGATATATCATCTGTTGGCATTACCATTAATAAAATACACGTATACAAAATAATATCTATTTTTGCATAATCATTGCAGACACAAACAATACATAAAAAATATATTAATTGGTTTCCTGTGGTAGGATAGGAAGTGTGGCATAAAGGTCAAAGGAAATTTAAAAATTATGAGCCAGATCTTGCAAGGAAGAATGACAATGATGGCCCTAAAATGAGGAGTATGGTGAACTCAGCCCTCTGCCCCTGAAGCACACCCTCTCTTCAAACCTACCATGTCCACCACCAAAGCCACTCAGATTCATTAAATCAAATGCTCTTTAGTTATGCACCAGCATTGAGCTCCCCAGGCTGTAGTAATATGGTAGGAGGTCATGGTTGATAACCATTGATCTGGTATAGTATGGTTATTTTCTAAATTGTAATTTATTCTTCATTCACACATTTATTCATTTATTTATTCACTTACTTTGTTTGTTTTCTTGGATTTTTCCTGGAGTCTTCTAGCTCCAATTCATTCTCATTTCTAGGACTCTTTGTTGCTACTCTATTCAGCTAACTATATCTTTTCTTGAACCTCAGCTTTGTACCTTAACTGGTTTCTTATCATATTTTTGTGAAGTACATTCTTCAGTACCTTAGTAAGAAAGAGTGCATGGAAGGTAAATTTTAAGAACTTTTTCATGGTTAAAAATGCTTTCCTCTACCTTTACATTCCCTTCAGAGTCTTGCTGAAAATAAATTTATGAGTTGAAAATCAGTCTATGCTTTCTTGGCTCTCATTTTTCTTTATATGAAACTGAATCTTCTTTATTTTCTTTTTTCTTTTTTTTCAACCCAACTTACCTCCAACCCTCTACCCAGAAGGATCGTTTAGAATTTAGTGGCTAGATTTTAGATGGATCATTTAGATTTACATATTGTGAAAGAAAAATAGAATCTCGGGACCCCAAACTCACTATGCCAAAAGGAAAGTTAAGCTTGGGAGCTGGATTACGCAAAACTGCCTTCCTTTTTTTCCCAAACAGCTGTAATTTCACATGTTCAATTTATCCTATGTAAAATGTAGATTTATTGTGTGTAAATCGGTGTGAGACGAATGCATAATCGACTTTCTCCTACTCCCTTCTTTTCACAGGTAAAATGTAGATTCATTGAGTGCTAATCAGAGCCTCACAAGAATGTAATCACTTGCCAAAATAAATCTCTAATCCCTTGAGGCCTGCCTCAGTCATTTTTTGGTTTACAATATCTTGGCTCCCACACACAAAGATGTTATCTTTTGTTATTCATTTCTGCACTAATGTGCTATGGTCAAAGAATGCACTCTGTATGATTTGAATTGTTTAAAGTTTATCGAGACTTCATTTACAGACTAATACGTGGTTGATATTTGTAATTGTGTTCTATCTTCCAGATAATGGATATTGTACAGGTGTTGGGTGAAATGTTCCACATAGGCCATTAAGTCAAAATTGTTAAAATGTTTCTCAGATCTTCTATACATTTTTGTTAACTCTTTTCACTAATTATTAATAGAGATGAGTTAAAATCAACTACTATGGTTGTGGATTTAATTATTTTTGTTTCTTAATGTAATTTAAGAACATTATTGATATTAAATACTACACTTTCCTGGTGAATTAAATCTTTTCATCATGATGAAATCTTTTTGTTTTTAGTAATACTTTTTGTAATAAAGAGTATTTTGAATGTCATCAATGTAATTAAAACTGCCTTTTGTTAATATTTACGTTTCTCTGATTGTAAATACTAAATTAAAGGTTTTTCCATTAGTATATTAAAGATTTCTCAAACAGCACATGATTGGATTTTATTTTTGAACCAAATAACTATTATATTTTAATTGGAGTGTGCTATATGTTAACATTAAATATAATTACAGCATATTTAATACAACTATTTAACTCTACTATATTATTTTGTATATTTTGTCCCCTCTGTGCCTTTCCCTGTTCTTGCCTTCTGTAGGATTGAGTGAATATTTTTTATTATGTCATTTTGTCCTTTCTACCAATATCAAATTTATTTATCTTGCTTTTATTTTTTCCTTGATTACCATAATGAAAAGGAAGGAGTTAAACAGCTAACCTTTAATCCATTCTCTTCCAGATTACTAAAAGGATGCTCTTGGGGGAAAGAAAACAAAGCAGGTGACTAGTCTAACTTCGTGATTAACATGGTAACTGAAGCTCTAAGTAAGAATGATATTTCCAAGGAGAAAGTTTTTATTGATGTAATGTTAAACAGGAATCCCAGGCTAAAGGATTACTTATAATAATAAACTTTTGGAATCTATAGATTTATAAAGAATTGTCCTCTAAGAAAACATAAGTTAAGAAAATGAATGGATATTTTTAATAGAATGAATACTCCCCGCTGTGTGAGGTAACAATTAATACACCACAATTAGAGAACTCTTCCACTCTGAGCCAGAGGCTGGGCCATAAGAGAAGAAAATACTTGTGTAGCGACCTCTCTGCCCAGACGTCTCCCTGCATTGTCAAATCGTCTTGAATAAGGTGCATGCACTTGATTTAAAAATGAGATCTTTTGGATTCGCTCTTCTGGATTTCATCATGCATCCACTACTTCACAAAATCTAACTTTAATAAAAATCTTTGGTCTCCTACTCATCAAAATAATTACTTAACTACTGAAAGTTTATTTTCTGTCAATTTAGTCACTATTTCTGCACTTAAATGTCTCGTTTATAATAAAAAAATGAGTGTTTCTTTGTTTGTTGAGTAGTTTCATGTAGTTAATGTTAATTTGTTGTGTTTCTTCGTGTATACTTATCCTGTTGTTTTTGCTCTTCATTACTTCTTACCCCTCAAGCCTTCTAATAGGGATCATTTTGCTTTAGCCTGACATACATCCTGTATAGCTCCCTTTAGCGTAGTTCTCTGGGTGGTAAACTCTACGTTTCTGTTTGTTTAAAAAGGGATTTTTTGCTCTGATTTAAAATATATACTTCACTGGACAAAGTATTCCAGGTTATTTTTTAATTGAAGCCCTAATTATACTGTCTTCTGTAATAGATATGACTTTTCATAATATCTTTCTCCATTTTCTCTCCTATATTTTCCTCAGTTTTCTGCTTGCATTATTCAATAATGCTTCTGAATGAATTTTATTTAGTTGTATCTGATCTGCAGTTGGCCATTTTAGTTATTGTATTTTCCACTTCTAGGATATCAGTTTGATTGGTTTCCAAATTGGAATTTCACTTTTTACAGTTTCTTGCTGCCCAAAAACATTTTCATGATTTTCCCTATCTCTTTGAAAATATTGTCTGCTAATTTCATAATCCATGTCTGATAATTTCAGCATCTCACATTTCTACACTGCTGTTTCTTTTACCTATTGTTTTATTGGTTTTCATTCATTGTGTTTTATTTTCTTGTATTCCTAGTTATTGGGGGCTATAGCTTGGATACTTGGACATTGAGTGAAAATTTACTTATGGGATAATTTGAGGTCTAGGCTAGCAGAAAATTTTCCCAGAGAGGAATTTTGTTAGCTTTATTTGAGATCTTATGGGCACTACAATTCCAGGAAACATTTTAGTCCAATTATAACACATTAAGGTAGCTGGACCGCTCAGGTGCCAGAAACCAGGACTTATCTTATTGATGAGGTCCTGATAATTCCAGTTTACCTTTACCATGAAGTTGTAGCTGATCAGGGTTCCAGCTTAAAGTGGGGAAAGTTATCAAACTCTTTACCTTATGCAAATCCTGGGTTTTGGCTCTTACTTCTTTTTAGCTCGAAGCTGCCAAAAACATAGCTCAGTTTCACAGCTGTTTGCTTTAGATAGGCAAATTCCCACAGGGCAAAGGCATTTGTAGTGTTGGTTTTGAATATTTGGGTTTTCGTCTTTCCTAAAACTTGGACAGATTAAATCTAAAAATTTTTTAGCATTTCTGTTGCTTTTAAGTTTTTTTTTTTAATAATGGTTATATAGCATACAGAATTTTTATATAAAAAGACATAAAAAAACTGATTTTATGTAACCTTTCTAAAATATAATACTTCTCTTGGTAGTTCTTGTTGGATGAAACTATATTGCTGTTGCTTTATTAAAGTAAAACAAGAATATGCCAATGGCAAGAAATATTTATAAAATTCTTTACTTATCATTTTATACATAGAAAAGACAAATAATCCCTAAAGGACAATTACTATTAGTCTAATTCAATTAAGTTCTACAAATCATGAAAGGAAACTAATTCACAACTTGATTGCTAATAATTCTATCTGAGACTATATAATAAAATCATACCTAAACTTTTTTTACATAGCAAACATTAGTTTTGCAATTTTTTTAAGATTTTACTTTATGTTTCAGGATACATGTGCAGAAAGTGCATGTTTGTTACATAGGCACACGTGTGTCATGGTAGTTTGATTCACCTATTGACACATCATCTAAGTTCCCTCTCCTCAACCCCGCACCCTCCAACAGGCTCTGGTGTGTGATGTTCCCCTCCCTGTGTCCATGTGTTCTCCTTCTTCAGCTCCCACTAATGAGTGACAACATGCTGTGTTTGGTTTTCTGTTCCTGTGTTGGTTTGCTGAGGATGATGGTTTTCAGCTTCATTCATGTCCCTGCAAAGGACATGGTCTCATTTGTGTTGTTCCCCTCCCTGTGTCCATGTGTTCTCTTTGTTCAACTCTCACTAATGATTGAGAATATGCAGTGTATATTTTTCTGTTCCTGTGCTAGTTTGCTGAGGATAATGGTTCCCAACTTCATTTCTGTCCCTGCAAAGGACATGATCTCATTCATTTTTATGGCTGCATAGTATTCCATGGTGTATATGTACCACATTTTCTTTATCCAGTCCATTATTGATGGGAATTTGGGTTGGTTCCATGTCTTTGCTATTGTAAATAGTACTGCAATAAGCATCAGAGTGCATGTGTCTTTATAGTAGAATGATTTATATTCCTTTGGGTATATACCCAGTAATGGGATTCCTGGGTCAAATGGTATTTCTGGTTCTAAATCCCATATTGTCTTCCACAATTGTTGAACTAATTTACGCTCCTACCAACAGTGTAAAAGCGTTCCTATTTCTCTGCAACCTCACCAGCATCTATTGTTTCTTGAATTTTTAATGATCATCATTCTGACTGGCATGAGATAGTATCTCATTGTGGTTTTGATTTGCATTTCTCTAATGATCAGGGATGTTGAACTTTTTTTCATATGTTTGTTGGCCAAGTAAATGTTATCTTTTAAAAAGTGTCTGTTCATATCCTTTGCCCACTTTTTGATGGGGTTGTTTGGTTTTTTATTGTAAATTTGTTTAAGTTCCTTGTAAATTCTAGATATTAGACCTTTGTCAGACGGGTAGATTGCAAAGATTTTCCCCCGTTCTGTAGATTGTCTGTTCACTCTGATGATAGTTTCTTTTGCTGTGCAGAAACTCTTTAGTTTAATTAGATCCCATTTGTCAATTCTGGCTTTTGTTGCAATTTTTTTGGCATTTTCATCATGAAGTTTTTGCCCTTGCATATGTCCTGAATGGTATTGCCTAGGTTTTCTTCTAGGATTTTTATGGTTTTGGGTTTTACATTTTAGTCTTTAATCCATCTTGAGTCAATTTTTGTATAACGTGTAAGGTAGGGGTCCAGTTTCAGTCTTCTGCATATGGCTAACAAGTTTTCCCATGGTTGTAGATATGTGCTGTTATTTCTGAGGTCTCTGTTCTGTTCCATTGGTCTATAGGTCTGTTTTGGTACAAGTTCCATGCTGTTCTGGTTACCACAACCTTGCAGTATAATTTGAAGTCAGGTAATGTGATGCCTCCAGCTTTGTTGTTTTTGCTTAGGATTGTCTTGGCTATATGAGTTCTTTTTTGCTTCCATATGAAATTCAAAGTAGTTTTTTCTAATTTTGTGAAGAATGTCAATGGTAGTTGGATGAAAAGGCATTGAATCTATAAATTACTTTGGGCAGTATGGCCATTTGCACGATATTGATTCTCCCTATCCATGAGGATGGAATGTTTTTCAATTTGTCTGTGTCCTCTCTTATTTCCTTAAGCAGTGGTTTGTAGTTCTCCTTGAAGAGGTATTTCATATCCCTTATTAGCTTTATTCCTAGTACTTTATTCTCTTTGTAGGAATTCTGAATGGGAGTTCATTCATTATTTGGCTCTCTGCTTATCTATTATTGCTTTAAAGGAATGCTTGTGATTTTTACACATTGATTTTGTATCCTGACACTTTGTTGAAGTTGCTTATTAGCTTAAGGAGTTTTGGGGCTGAGATGATGGGGTTTTCTAAATATAGAATCATGTCGTCTGCAAATAGAGACAATTTGACTTCCTATCTTCCTATTTGAATGCCCTTTATTTCTTTCTCTTACCTGATTGCCCTGGCCAGAACTTCCAATATTATATTGAATAGGAGTGGTGAGAGAGGGCATCCTTGTCTTGTACCGGTTCTTAAAGGGAATGCTTCCAGCTTTTGCCCATTCAGTATGATATTGGCTATGGCTCTGTCATAAATAGCTCTTACTATTTTGAGATATGTTCCATCAATACCTAGTTTAGTGAGAGTTTTTAACATGAAGGGATGCTGAATTTTATCGAAGTCGTTTTCTGCATCTATTGAGATAATCATGTGGTTTTTGTCTTTGATTCTCATTGCCATTGCTTCTAGTTGGCCATCTTGTCCCCACCCTTGTAAAAAATGGTAATATCCATAGATATTACCATTTAAGAAAGATGTATAACATCTTTCTTAAAATCAGTAATTGTTTTCCCTGAAAAAAGAAATAATAAAAAGGATTAAGACCTAGAAAACTTGATCAATATACTAAATGAAGTTAAAATATTACATTCTAGCAGCTTTGAGTTCTCTCTGTGGCCCCCACCTTGTCTATTCCTTGAGTTTCAGATATTCAAAAGTATATAACTATTCGAGTGTTGTTAGTAGTTAAGTGGGATTAATTATATCTAGCTAAACTTTCACTTTTTAAAATTTTAATTTAATATTTAGACAAATATTAAGTATGTGAAATAAACAATACAATTATATTGCCAAGCACTAATTTGTTACTGGTAAAATTATGCTTTTCATATTTGAATGAGGTTATATAGGCTATGTCTGAGTATTCTGAGTAGTCTTGAAGTAACTTTAAAGTTTGTATCCTAGAAAAAGAAAATAAAAGTTAAAAATTATGATAATTACCTAATTTTATTAATTCTTAACCAGCTGGTATATGTCCTTCTTAATTCAAGAAGTAAATTAATGTGTTAATGACTCATAAACCAGAGCTCATAAATTTTATCTTAATGGAGAAACATTTCACATTTATTTTAGAAGATGTATTATGATTAGAAAAGTTGCATACTTTGTTCTAAAATAGGTTTCTCATGGACATTAACCTCTGAAACTTTGTCTTGTGGTATTATATGTACATAAAATATTGTATAGTAAAATTGTATCTCTCTTTATATCAGAAAGATATATGTGTATGATTGTGGGGTAAGAGGTGTAGAAAGGTGTTTTAGAATTGTAAAGGGAATAAGTTTTCTGCTTTCTAATTTGTGTGTTTAAAGTGTGTCACTGTAGTGCCTTAAATTCCTGCAACTATTTTATGCATTTTGGAATGAAGATAAACTAATTAACTCCAATATTTTTAAAAAATTAACATAATAAATATTTCCAGAGAAGTGTAAAACATATTCAATGTAGCAGGGTTTACAATAATTTATATTATTATGATAAAAAAATTAAAATTAAAATCTCCTTATGAGCAAAATGTAAACACACGAATTTAAAAGACAACCTCACAAATAGAATGATGACAATAATAGAAACTGTTAAACTAATTCATTGCAAATTACCTCGGTATTTTTATATAGATTTTAATTTTTTTACTGAGGAAAAATGCATAACAAATTTATCACCGTAACAATTTCTAAGTATACAGTTCATTATTCTTAAGTATATTTACATTGCGGTGTGCAACGAATTTCAGAACTTTTCCATTTGCGAAACTGAAACTTACTAATCACTAAACAGCTACCCATTTCTCCCTCCCACAGTCCCTACTTTCTGTTTCTGTGAATTGGGTTACTCTAAATACTGCCTGTAAGTGGAATTGGAATCATGCGGTACGTGGATTTTTGTGACTAGCAATAGATATTTTTTAAAATGCTATCCTAGTGCTTTAAAATAAAGCACATGATCTAATAAAATTGATAGATAAATGAAAAACATCTTTAAGTAAGATGTAGTGACAATGATTCTTGCCTACCCAGAATCCATTTCTCTCTTCTGTTTTTCAAAAGGGACCCCAAATGTAATTCAAATACTCTTTCCATTGTCAAATCCAGAGTAAATACAAACCAATAATGAAATTCCTATTTCCAACGATTGACTCAGGAACCCAGGCATAAGCCAGTCATCACATGACATTGTCCTGTTAATCTTTATTGACATTGACAAGTGAGCATGTGGACTGAGTCTGCTAAATAGACTATAAGGAAGAATTTATAATCTATAGATGAAAGATAGGTTTTTTTCCTCCCTCCCATGAGACTTAAAGAATAAAGCAAGCTGCCTAATTGCTACTGGAAATCATGGTAAAACTGATTAAGATAGCCTTAGTGTTCCCCTCAGCTGGACCTAACTTCAGACATGCTCCTGCCTGACTCTAGGCCCTGACCTCCCTTTTCTTAGAACACTTATTTTAGAAAACTTCTCATTATAAATCCTTTCTCAGCCCTTCTGAGATGTAAACCTTTTAAAAAGACTTTTGCCAGTTTTGCTACCAGGACTGTCTTTCTAAAGGACTATGAACCATCTCTTGGAAATATAGTCATCAAGGGAGACAGTGTCCCTCTCTCGCAATATCCATGGGAGAGGAGGAGGCTAACGCCTGTTGTTCCCTTGCTCTGAGTTGCAAAACTATCTTCTGTCATGAAGATACAAGAAACTTGTAGTTTGGACAAAGTCAGTTAGCAAACACCGATGACCTGTGATATACCTTAACCTAGTCCTTGAAAATCCTCCTGCCTTGTGTTTTACCACAGTTAAGTTTGAACTCAGATCTGTTCTCTCTTTCCGACTGCAATAGCTTTAAATAAACTCTTTCTTGCCTGCTTAACTTTGTCTAGTTTAGGTTTTTTGCTTTGACTTAACCAGAAGGACTATCAGGATGGAGTTAAAAATGCTGACGTAAGGAGGAGCGTACAGATAAGAAAATCAAGGAGAAGTTGAACCAGAGGCCCGAATCATGTCATGTCTAGAATCCACCTGATCTCTAGGTTTTCTTTTATTTGGGATAAGTATCATAAATGTTTAAGTCAGCTTGATTGAAGGTTTTGTTAGGGATGCAGCATATTAATTCATGATAATCTTGTATTTTAAGATTATACGTACTAAATTACCATTGACCCATGATATATAATGACTATAACTAGAAGTTGAAGTAGTTCTTACTTCTTAAATATTAAATTCAAATTGGCTAAAGATTAAATATCTAAGTGGCTGGGTGTGGTGGCTTATGCCTGTAATCTCAGCACTTTGGGAAGCTGAGATGGGCTGCTCACGAGGTCAGGAGATCGAGACCATCCTGGCTAACACAGTGAAACCCCATCTTTACTAAAAATACAAAAAATTAGCCAGGTGTGGTGGCAGGTGCCTGTAGTCCCAGCTACTCGGGAGGCTGAGGCAGGAGAATAGCATGAACCCAGGAGACAGAGCTTGGAGTGAGCCGAGATCGCGCCACTGCACTCCAGCCTGGGGGACAGAGCAAGACTCCATCTCAAAAACAAACAAAAAAAAGATTAAATCTCTATAAGTTACAGGGAAAAAATATATTAACATTTTAAATGTTTTCATAGTAAAAGTAGCATATATGAGTCTTTACATTTATCCAAGATGAAAGGATGTAAATTAATAAAGTTCAAATAGCTTGATTTTATTGTGCTTAGTGTGTTTAGGACAATGTGAAAAGCTTGTGATCATTGAACAAATGAAAGTTGATTGAATAACCATTGCTATGCTGAATCCACATGATATATAATAATTTTACCTAAGCCATATTTAAATTAAATTAAACAAACCATTCAAAACTAAAATGTATCTTTGTAAGATATTATATCTCCGCTTTTAGAGGACTATCAGCACCATCCTTTATGTATTGAATGGATATGTTTTCTGTCTGTTTCACAAAAAGAAAAAAATTACAAATTAGAAGTCATAATGGAATCCAGACTCATTTACTGCTATTTTTTTCTTCAGCAAAAAGGAATCAAGAAATAACACAAAATCACATAGACAAACACATGAAATGAACTAGTGCCTATGCACAGTATTTATGCAAATCTGTCAGCTTCAGAGGGATCAATAGTAAACTGTTAAATTGCTACATCCTCAATTGCAAGAAAATCAGCAGGAAGCTTGGCAATGAAGAAACAGAAAACTCTCCGAATATACATACTTCTTCTTTTGCCGTTAACATGGTGAAGTTTCTGCCTGCAGCTCGTGGGCCCTCTGTAGTCAACTGGAGGAAACAAAACAATATCATAGATCCCTGCTCCAGTGTTCTGAGAAGTACCTGGCAAGGCCTAACCATTTTCTCTCAGGTACTGTGCTCCATTGCAAGTGATAGAATCTTCCTTGAGAGATCTAACTACTGTAAGGAAAAAAAAAAAGGAAACCTCAACCTCAGCTCTTGAACCATAACGCAGAGTCAACAAGAGCTTATTTTCACAACTTTTAAGTATTCATGAATGCCCAGTAGTTGCAGGCAATGGGAAAACTAAGCTGGCCAAGAGAGGAATGCTGTCCCTGTGTTAATATGATAAGAAATGATATGAAAGATTTATGGTATTAAACATTTCAGCTGTATCATATTAGCACCATACCACAGACCTTACTTTTCCTCAGCACAATACAGAAATCACTATTATGTTAAGACATTTCTCCTAAGGAATAATTGAAAAAAGAACTAATGGGATAGGAGATCTAAAATGCATTGTGATTTCCACTTTTTTATTTAAAAAACAATGTATCTTTAAATCTCTTTCCCAAATCAGCATATGTCTGAAAACATTTGGTTTACAATGTCTGCTGCAAATGCACTAAAGTAATTTTGTGGAAAATTTGTATTGTTTCTTATTCCTCCACAAATGATTACCTTGTAAACCAAAAAGTATCTGAGACAAATCTCAATCAATTTAGAATTTTATTTTGCCCAGGATGAGGATGCATACTCAGGAGACATGTCTGTACCTTTCTCCAAAGATGATTTTGTAGGCTTCATTATTTAAAGGGGAAATTTCAGATATTGGGGAAAGAGGAAGAAATTTTACAAAGGTGTGGGTAGATAAGAGGCAAGCCATTGGTTGCATTATTTTGAGTCTTTGATCAGTTGTAACATGTGAGAGTGGCATAGAGGAATAGTCACTTATGCATTCATCTAGCTCAGTGAATCTGCATTTTTACAAAAGATAAAATAAACATAAGGCAGAAGAAGCAATCAGATATGAAATTGTCTCAGGTGAGCAGAGGGATGATGTAAGTTCTCTCCTTTGTCCCATACCTGTGAAGAAAAGCTATCAATTTACATTGTCAGGGTGAAATTCAACAGACTGTATCAAGGTAGATATCTTGGGGCCCACAAGGAATTTCCTAGTGCACGAATTGTGAGGGAGGAAGGTTTGCATGATGTAGTTCCCATATTGACTTCTACCTTTGCCTTAGAGAGTTTGAGGTCCCGACGTTTATTTTCCTTTCACAATGTAAACCAGAAATGTGGGTATATGTGCATGTGGATGCATTTGGTTTTTTTTCGTTTGTGTATGTATATGTACATTACTGTGTATATGTGTAAAGGTGTGTACAGACTGTGAGTATGGAGGTATAATTACATGTCCTTAAACAGCAGGCAGTAATCATAGAATTAGATCTGGAATGATCTGTAAAATCATCTAAGATGTTGATCTTCAAATTTTCTGAATGATTTGGGAAGAAATACATATTTCAATATATTTAGTGTAGAATACCTATTCTGTTCTTTAAAAAAGATGGACAAATTTTAAAGTAAAAATTATTAAATTGATATTTAATATCTATATGCGAAATTGCCTAAAGTGTTTCATCCATAAAACACTTCAGCTACCTCATTTGAACATACAGAATAAAAGTAATTTATCTATTTACTTATTTCAGTTTGGAAGAAAATAAATTTTATTTACTCAGAATTTAGAGATGTAGGTGAAATTTTAGATAATGTCTTCTGTATGAAGAAGACATTATGGAAGACACTGACTTCATTTAATTGCTTAATGACTGCCTTAGTAAAGATTATAGAAGTTAGTGGTCTCCGTTAGGTTTTGTCTACTTCCTGGCTAGATTTAGGTCATATTTTGACATCATTTTTGTATTTTTTTAGTTTAAATCTTGCAACCTTGCTAGTAGCAGACATAGTGGACACATGAAATGTTTGATGCATTAATCAGTGGCTGATCATCAAAAACTGAACTGAATGATAGTCTCCTGAAACTCAAACCTAAATAAGTTTAAATTTTACCCAGTTTTCCTGGAAATTATTATACACATAGATTGGTAAGATGTTTAGTAGATTTTAAAATAAAATAATTCTGAGTTTAATGTTGGGTTTTAAAGGATAAATATTTGATTTTAAAAGGTGAAATAGTAAGATAATTTATACTCACTTTCCTATCTTCTGCAGAAGGAAATCTTAGGTCTGTAAATTATCAAAACATAAAAGTAGATGATTCCGTAGTGTTTAATGCTTTGCATTTATTAAACAAACTTTGTTTAATATTGTTTACATTGCATATTTTCATTATTTCCTATATGAAAATTTTTGTTATTTTAATCTAAATGAACTTCTCACTTAGGCAGTGAGTAAGAGAAATAGCAAGACCACTGTAAAGGAAATAGCTTGCCTTGCTGGTTTGGAAGAAAAGGAAAGAATGAAGAAAAAAATGAAGGAAGGATGGAAGAAAGGAAGGAAGTGAGAGAAAAAGAAGAAAAGAGAATGAGAAAAGAGAGAGAGGGAGTCAGCCAAGGAAGGAGAAAGAGAGAAAAGGGGAGAAAAAGAGGGAGGGAGGAAAAAGCTTTGACATTTATATTTATAGTATATTTATATCTATTTCTGTGTATACATTATAAATAATTATATATATACATAATTAGGCCATAAACATCTGAGATCACCTAGGCAAAAGACTGAAAGTTTTCCTCCCTATCCAATTTCACCCACCCTTAGGATGTGTAAAGGTTTTCTTGTGTTGTTTTCTGTGTTTTTTTCCTCCAGATATTTGGAGACTAGTGTTTGTTAAGAACAAAGAAAGAGATGACAAGTATCAAATTCAAAAACAACCTGTTTTAATCAGTCAAAACTAGTCTGAACAACAGCAAAGGATTTCAGGAATTCTCTAATCCAACTGCCCTATTATACAAATGAATAAACTAAACCCTGGGACACCAAATGACTTGCCCATAGTCGCATCGTTAGTCCACAGCAGAGAGAGTGGACCTGGTTTCAGATATTCTGAAAGTTAACCTGATCTTTTATGTCAAGATCTCCAGTACCTGTTATTAAAAAGGGTTGAAAAGAAGGGGGAAAGAAACAAATTATCATGGGAATCCTGCAAATTCAATGATTTTAACGGATTTCAATTTTATCAGGCCTCCTCGAAGGTATTGTTCTATCAACTTATTCATCTTTAGTTTTTTCTCTCTCTAGTCTGTAAACATTTTTGTTCTTTAACTGTCATCATCCCATTCAACTGGATCCCTAATGCAATTCTTTTCATTGTCAAACAATAAAAAAAAAAAATCTACTTTCATTGTTTCCACTAGCACATATCTCATCTATTCATCAGCATATTGCAGTCTGGTTTCTATTAGTCTCAACTCTTCAAAAGTAGAACTCAGCAAAATCACATATTGAGAGATAGTAAATATTATTTTTATTGGAGCTTTTATTATGTACTACTCATAGTCACAGGATATTTTGTGTATATTACTTAATTTATTCACCTAAAATAATTCAAGCATCATGTTCAGTTTATCAAAGGAAAAACTGACGTTGAAATATTAAGTAGTATATTCATTATTGTTCACAGTTTGTATAATTATACAGATCATTGCTGTGTATCATTATTTCTTATAAATTTCTTTGTAACCTTCTTTCCTTCACATTACATTTTATAAAATATTTTTTTCATAAATTCCCCAAGACTCAATGGATTCCTTGTTCTAATATACCAAATGTATTTTTACTAGCTGCTAAATCTAATCTTTTTTTCAATGATAATGTCCAAAGTCAAAAGTAGTCAAATAAAAATCAATTCAAAATCATCAGCTCTTGTCCTGTTCTGGTAGAGAGGGGAATTTAAGAGTGTGAGCTGCAGTCGGACATACCGGAGTTTGAACTTCATCTCTAGTACTTATGAGACGTGCAGCAGGAAGCAAATATAGCTGTTCTCTGCTTTATTCACCTCATTTGTAAATTAGGAACATAACATTACTTCAAAAGATTATTGGGAACTTGACACGAGATAAAGTATGAAAAGAGTTCGGTACAGTTTTTAACATATAAGAACTATTAATTTATACTTTACTCCCTACTGACATGTTTACTTCATTTGTCTTCTTGTCTAGTTTGGTTTTAAAATTCTAACTCTCTGATTACTCTTTCTCAGCCTCTTAGCCCTTTGTGGCTGATTCTTCTTTGTTATTATAATCCATATTTTGCCTTTGACTTTTTCTTTCATCCCTCTGGCCATTTTCCTTAGATGATTTTACTAAGTCCACGGTTTCACCTGCCACTTCTGTATGTATAGAATTATCACATCTTTAACTATAACCTCTCTCCAGAGTTTCTCTAAGCCCTTTTACAATTATTTCTCAAATAAGACATATGAAATTCTACAAGTAATATATTACTTGTCACCTTTCCCCCATTAAAAAATATTCTCCCAATTTTCAAAAAAATAGACAAAATAGGAACCATAATCATCCAAAAATTTTCCAGCTCCTTACCAACTATCATGCAAACATACCAAGAGGAAACACACTCCTCACAACTTGGTTTTCTTCTCTGTTGTTATCTTGTTCCTATTAGTTCAGAATCCAATATTATTCTACAGAACAGGAGAGTAGCTTATTACAGACTCAAAAAAAGATTAGAAATCTGTGATCAGGAAGAGGTATATTTCAATATGAAATTAATATTTTAGATCTATTTTTAGCTATTGTGATATATTAATTGTTGACTTATAAGTAGAAAGGCTCTCTACTGTAGTACATTGTTTTACAACAATATTTTACTAATTATTTCTCTGAAGAAATACAGTAGTAGCAGATACTGGAATAATATCAAGATTGCAGAGCTCTAAATCTCTTAAAAAATGCTTTTTTACAAAAAGAGTACAACATTGTAATTAAAATGTATTTTTGCAATAAAAAGCTATTGTATGTAATTGTCCAAGTGTCATAGTCTCATAGATTCCACAAGAAAAAAGTATTTCTTTTTTGAGATGACTAAATGATATTGTAACCTGTGGAATAACACAGTGAGAAGCAAATTAAGCTTTCTAAAGTCACAACTAAATTTGTCATAATAGCGAATTAATAAATGCCTTTGTTAACTTATTTTTGCATTGCTTCAATTCTGTTGTTGCTTATTCAGTAAAATTTAAAGCATGTGTAACATATGTTCATATTTAATTATAAAAACCTCAAAATATCTTAAATTGAAAATTTATCAGAATGGTAATTCAATAACAGATTAAAGGTAATATGTTATTACATATTTCAACATTTTGCTGATAGTGTAATAATTGTTGAAATGAGCTAAAATTTAATCCAAATCAAAAGACAGACACCAGTATCTAAGCACAAAACACAAGACCTTCAATATCTTGATTTATTTACTTCATTGCTGCATCTACTATTTCTAGCAGGTCCATAGAAGTTTGTGAACCCACATATACCTAAAATTTCTTTGGCAATAAAATGTTTTTCTTTCCAGAAAGCACCCTTTGAAATGAGTTTAACACACCAGAGAGCACTTCTAACAACTCCCAGAAGAAATTCAACATCTTCTTCAAGACTTTATGATCTTCATATTATTTGCTATTGAGCAGACAATAACAAGAAGCTATTCTGAAATCTAATGTGTGCTTTAAGTTTTGTTTGTTTGTTTGTTTTTCCTCACTAGGCTGAAGGTATAAACAGAAAGCTCAAAATTCTACATTTATATCTTTTTCAGAGCAGATGTACGTTTTAATGTAGACAACCTGAAATCCATCTGCTATTTATTTAAGACACTATACAAAGAGTTCTTTAATGTTTAGAGCTACTAAAATATTAAGTTTGCTTGGCAGTCTGAGGAAATAGAATTTTTATCATCTCAGAATATGGGTAAAATATCCAAAATGCTTTGTCCTTTTTTTGGCTAGTAGCCTTATAAGGTAACAGATGTAGTATGACATTTAAAAATCTAAAGAGAATGAGCAATTAAAATGATTCTTTTAAAAACAGTACTGTCAGTGCTGTTTCTTGTAAATACCATGTCTATATGTTTGTGTAAATACATATATAATATGATATATTTGTAATACATATCATATAATACATATGTATGCAATTTATAATATGTGTGTCTATATTTGCACACAAATATATATTTACTGAGAACATGTTCAATAGCTGCACTCACTTATAGATGTGTATTAGATAAGGGTAAAACTGTTTCTTAAGAAGCCATGTGTTTATTGGATTTTAGAGCAATAGATATTTGGAATAAATGATTCTAAAATCAGATCATAAGCTTACAATTTGAAACAAGAAATGGAGGCCATAAAATGACATCAGATGTTTTCTAAATGAATATTAATGATAAAAAGGTGGTTTGCAATGCTGGCTCTGCAGCCAGTTTATCTGGATTTAAATCTCAGTTCCACCATTTACCAGCTGTTGGGTTTTGGATGAGCTACTTAAACTTTCTTCTAAAATTATTCTAATTGTTCAGATCTGATTCGGTTTTTCTTGCTGGGTATAAGAGAGGTCTACATGTTTTAATCTCTTACAGGCAGTAGGAATGGGAGGGATGTGATAAGTTCTGGCCAGTGAGCTATGAGTGGAAGCAATGTGTGCCCAGTTTGGGTAAGCCATTTCATAGCTGCTATGAGTGCTCCATGTTTACTCCTTCCTTCCACAGTGACACTGAAAGCTAAGAATTGGACACGAGGAGTCACAAGCAACGGTCTTCCTTAACTTATGAAGAAAAGAGGTTTATATGGCTTATTGTTCTGCAGGCTGTATAAAAAGCATGGCACCAGCATCCAATTCTTGAGGGTTTCAGGTTACTTCCACTCCCGGTGGAAGGTGAAGGGGTGCCAGTACATACAGAGATTACATGGTGAAAGAGAGCTGCCTGATCCTTGAGTGAAAATATATGGAGAATAACAATAGACATGTAATATGAGTAAGAAATAAACCTTGATTGTGTTAAGCTGCTGAGAGTTTGGAACTAATTTATAACTTTGCCTAACATACTCACAGTGTACTATAGTTTGGGTGTTTGTCGCCCAAATTGCCTGTTGCAATTGATCCCCATGTTGGAGGTGGAGCCTAACGGGAGATGTTTAGGTCCCAAGGGAAGATTCCTCATGAATGACTTATCAGGGTAATGAGTAAGTTCTTGCTCTTGCTCACTAGAGCTGATTGTTTCAAAGACCTTGGCACCTCTTCGCTTTCTCTTGCTGCTTCTCTCGCCATGTGATCGCGGCACACACTGGCTCCCCTTCACCTTCCACCATAGGTGGAAGCAGCCTGAAACCCTCACTAGAAGCGGATACTGGTGCCATGCTTCTTGTACAGCCTGCAGAAACATGGGCCAAATAAACCTCTTTTCTTTATAAATTACCCAGTCTTGGGTATTCCTTTAAGGTAATAAAAATAATATAAGTTCTGTGCCTTGATTTTTGCATCTATAACCAGAATAACAGTACCTAGTTATTTGGATGGTTGTCAGCAAAATTTTATTGAACTTAGGGATTAATACAGCTTTGTAATTCCTATAAATAAAAATAGTTTGTATATCCTTTATTTAATTGATCTTAAATTCTAGAACATTTCGCGTCATAAAGTCCAAACAATATACACTGAGTTCACACTTTCTGCAATGCCTACCATCTCAAGTTAAAAAAAGTCTCAAATTTTGCCTTAATGTAAAATGGCTCTAATAAGATATATAATATTTTTGTCATATAAAATATTGCATATTGACAGCAATATCCCAGTGGCTGATTTATTGATAATATCTTTGACCATTTGAATTTTTTTTCCTATTATATATAAGGAAATACAAACTAGGTAACAGGAAGAAATGAGAAAAGGTAGAGAGAGACAATAGTGAAGACTGGTGGACATTGGACTACAAAAGATTACTGCAGGATTCTTCTATGATGCTGATTACAGCTTTATCTTATCAAGCTTTGGCATTGAAGACCATGTGAATTCATCTCCAACCCTGGGAGTGAAATAAGAACTTTCTTTTTTGCTTCTGAAATTTTAAGCTCTATACGGAAACACTTTTTACTTAATCTGCATGACATCAGAGAAAGGTATTATTTTCTGTACTTTGCAGATAATGAAAATATACCATCATACCATAAGCCACAGGAAGAATAGAGAGTCACTGGTTACCCAAAGGCATTGACTCCATGGGGAAAACAACTCTGAGGTCTTCATTTCCATTCAGTTGTTCATTTATTGCTAACTCTCACGTTGTAAGCTAGAGAAAAATATGAAAAGAGCAGTTTTTCAAAGCAGACAAAAAGAAAACATTTTCTCTGGAGGAGCAAAGAATTTTTACATTATTTTCATTTTGCTAAACTTTAGGGAACAATTTGACCAAAGAAAGAAGAAAAAGTGGATTAGCAGATCTCATGGACTGAGAGTCTCCAGATGGTAGGAGGTCCATTCAGCAGAAATACAAATGAGAATACGATGTTTCTAATGTATTTAATTTGGAGAAAAACATTTTCACATTTTTTCAATAAGCAAAGTTAATCACATTACATTTTACCTTTGGTAAAAGAATATTAATTAAATTGATTATGCTCACACTAGAGAACAATATAACATATCATAGTCAAATAACGTTTATGTTTATATTCATTATTACAAGCATTAAAAAGAAATAAATAGTGTTGGCAGATATTACTTAAGCAGGCAGAGTCTCCTATATCTGGAAATTTATCATTTATACTGCTAGAGTTAAGGATATTTTAATAGTATTTAATTAACTAAAATTTAAGAGATTACTGCTTTCAGCCATTTAAAAATTATTAATTGAACGTTGACTACCTGCTTGGTCTGTGTTTACCATTATCCATTAAGAGCTTGTTATTTAATTGGGGAAATCCAAGTCAAGATACAGTAAATACGCAAGAAACTTATCAAATATTTGAATAAAAATAATGGCACCCATATTTTATGGTGTATTTATAGTATTGTTCCTGAAAAAATAAGAAAAACTATTAATATCCCCCTCCAAAAACACATGGAAGAAATTTCCCATTTTTAAAAATTATTAATATTCTCATCTAATAAATGCTATTTGGAACTATCATATTGGAAATAAATAAAATACCTTTAATCCAATAATGATATCATTGAAGAAATGAGTACCCTCATATAGTTACAGTGCTATTATAAATAACTAAAATTTCTGGAGGTATTTGTTTTACATATACCAGAAAGTCTTAAAATTTTACATTCCAGTTAAAACATATATTCAATATTTAGTAATTCATGCTAAATTATCATAAATATTTCCAAAGATGTCGATAAAATAAGCCTCACTGAAAATATATTTATATAAAATATTGAACAAGTAAAATGTTCATATCCACATTACAAACTGATATGAGGAAATTCTATTCTGTCCAAAAATGATACAGAATACGTAAAGACATGCAAAATGATTATAACATAATAAAACATAAATTAGATGATTTTTAAAATCTCTAAGTTCAGTAAAAATCCAGAGAAATCAAACTGAATGTGGATAAAGGCACCAAAAAGTGGAATGAATAAAGTCACGTACATCGGACTGTGAAGAAAAATCATGTTTTGGAAAAGCTGTCCACACAATACAAGAATTTTTAATCGAAGAAAAATTCACTGGCAAAGGTACAGAAATAGCAATAATTATATAGTGTACAGGAAATCAAAAGAACCATGGTTTACTTTGAATGAAAATGAATGATTGGAAGGAGACGGAAAGGGGAGAATATAATTAAGATTATTACAGCTAGTATTTATTGAAACTTACTCTGTAACAAGAATTGTGATAAACATTTTAAATACACTTACTTATTTAAATATCTACCACTATTCATTGAGGCAGGTAAGTACTCCCAATCCTGTTTAACAGGACAAAGTGCAGAGAAATGGTTGACTGAGAGTTCTGGAGGCAACTTGCCTTCTTTCCCATCTCAGCTCCTCTACTATTGGCTGTGAAAGCTCATCAAGTTACATAGCTGCTTTATGACTCATATTAAAATAATGACAATAACAGTACCTAGCTCAATTATTGCTATAAAAATTAGATAACTTAACACATATAATGTTATGATACTGTCTAGCAAATGGTAAATGCTCTAAAATTTTAATTTTATTTTTTAAATTGTATATAATTATTACAAGTACATAATAGTTGCATATATTTATGGAGTACATGTGATGTTTTTACACAGGCATACAATGTGTAACAATCAAATCAGGGTAATTGGGCTATAAATTGATTCTTAAAAATTCTAAGTAATGCTCAAGGTAACACCACTAGTAAGTAACTTGCAGAATGGGGACTTGAAGCCAGGTCCGTGTGATCACAAAGCCTGGGCTCATAAGTACCATGCTGTCTCCTTGGTTCATACCCATAGGCTACAGTGAAATGCCTTCTCATACCTTGGAAATAAGGGAAGATATATTTTCCTCTGATTTGATACACAATCAGAACAGAAGCACAAAAGAGCTCTTTGAAAAAGAGAATGGTAGACCTCAGGCTTCCCACACCCTGAGTTAGGTTCTGTGTTTGTAAAGAAATCATGTGTTGATCGGCAGAGACTTACCAGCTTTTGAAACCAAAAGAAGAGCATCCCAGGGGAAGTATGCATGGAAGCACCAAGAGGCATGGAGGGAATCAAAGCCAAATGGCTGTAGGTATCCCATCTCCATTGGCTGAATACTTCGAGGCTTCAGCCTGCTGTGAAGAAACATTTCATTCATTCTACAGTTTGATTCACTTGGTTCTTCTTTGGCTTCTCACTGCAATCTATCTTCAGAAAAAAGCGCAGTGACAATGCCGCATGAATATGGAAGTCTTTGTAACACATTTTCATTATATTTTCATGCACATTGATTTTCTGAACCAATCTTGTTAATATGAATAATTTAAGTTGACCGCATATTTTATTGTTTAAACCACAGTACTTTAAGAGTAAAAAAGAGCCCAATCAATGCCATGGGAAACCAGGCTGTAAACAAACTCTCATGGGAAATTTGGGGCTTATCATCGGGCTAGGTCAATATGACTTAATGCCTGAGATTTTAAAATATTCTCTCCATCCTCTCTCCTTCCCCAAATTCAATTTTTCAGCCTATAGACTGCATAGCCTAATACCCTCAGGGTAATTGTGCTTGAATTAAGGTAATGCTTGATATGATTTAAATGATGTCTGTGTGATCTTGGATAAGGTACATAATGCTTTAAGCTATAATTTCCCCAGTTTTCAATTGCAAATAATGATATCTATCTGTGAGAATTTATATACAACACACACACGCCCCAAACACATATTTACATATGTATACATACACATACACATAAATACATTAGTCCAGTGAATACTCAAAAACTGGTAGCTGTTATTATGTCTCATGACTCTAATGCCACTCTCTGAGGCCTCTTGTGAGTCAGGCAGTTGACTTTTCTTAGGCAACAGTGCTCTATTCCACTGTGTGCTTTTTTCAAACTTCTACATCTGCTATGTTCCAAGAATAGTCAGTCCTCTATGTACTAATATGGTGAGAACAAAGCCATGTACCTCAGTTCTGCCTTCCACCAAGAGCTGGCAATAGTAGTTGGTTTCATAATAATTTGGATGTACAAATAAATATACTTGCAAACTACCTTTAAGTAGCTAAAAAGTTTGTAAGTATGGATGTTTCTGTTTTATGCTAGAAGCATTGTCATATGTAGATTGTCTGACTAGGAACAGGCCATTTGTGGAAGAGGGAATAAAAATCCTTAGGGATGAGATTTCACCTAGGGAAAAATGACTTTTCAACTCTAGATGATGTTTCCTAATTACAGGAAAATTTGAGGATGCATAAAATTTGAAGGCATTGGGAGTGCAATTGGAAGGCCTAAATATAGAAGTGGATGACTAGAATTACAATAAAAGGACTCCCCAGTGAGTGATTATAGAAAGAAACAGAAACGACCTTTGGAGAAACCTATAGTTAAAAGGTGATAAAAGGAGCAAAGACAAAAATAGGACAGAGATGTAAGGTACAAAACAAATAAGTGTAGTGCCACTGAAGTCAGGGAAAGTGGACTATGAATGTGAAAAGGACTTGTAAGAAAAGCAATAACAAGAAGAGCGTGACACTTTCTCTGTTGTTATGACCCTTCTTTAGTGTCTGATAACTTCTGAGAAATATGGCATTCATTTGCCAAAATCTACTGGAGGGAGAATATAACATTGAATCAAGATTTCTAGTATTTTGTGATAAATGGTTTTAAGTGATAAGTGAAAACCTGTCTTTTTTGCTGAAAAGCTCACTGCTATTTTGATTATGATATTAAGGAGGTCTATTGTAGGCTGCATGTAACACCTCAGAGAGCCTGTGACAATGATGCAGAGTTGATAGATCCATGGCTAGCCTAATTGAGGTTTTCTTAAATATTGTATGGCTGTGTGGAGATGGCATCTTGAATCACCCTGGATCCAGAAATCCTACAGAAATGCTTAAATAGTCACAGTCACAGCTAGTAAGGATACCTGAGGTCTCTCAGCTTTATGACTGGTGTACATTATGTGTAAAACACCTTTTATAATCATTCTTGAATAGTTTAACAAGCTCTGGCAGGACTCTAATAGATTTGGATTTTTTTGGAGAAGTATTGAAATACAAAGTGGCAGTAATTGTGTTTTTTTTTTTTTAAGAAAGCACACCATGTACATCCACATTTAGAATAAGAATAGTTGCTCCTATATAGAATATATGCCATCCTGGCCAGACGTGGTGGCTCATGCCTGAAATCCTGCCACTTTGGGAGGCCGAGGCAGGAGAATCATTTGAGGTTAGACGTTCAAGAGAATATATGCCATGCTTATGGCACATTTTAAAAAGTTTTAATTCTTTTTATTTAAAGAAAAATACCATAAAAAATATTGTTTCCCATGGAAATCTCCAAATCTCTTTTTCCCTTCTAGCTTTTTTTGACCTTTGTCTACATGACTGTTAAATTGCACAAAATCTAAATTCTTATCTACATTTGTCTGACATTTTGAATTCTAAAAGAACATATGAATATTTAAAATAAGCTTTAATAAAATTTTTCATTAAAAACCAATTATTATTCATATTTCATTTAAATCTAGTTAATGCAGAATATATTTATTCATAAAGAGAAGGAATCCACAAAAAAACTGTTATTATATTCTAAATAAAGTTGATATCAACTGGACCAAATTTTAATATTATCTACAATTAAGAAATGGTGGGCCTTTAGGATATTTACAATTTCATTATCAAGAAGCACATTCTTTTCGCCAAGTAAATGTTTTATTGCCATATAATTCTAAATTGTTTATAAAAATTCTGTTACAAAACCCACATTCTTTTCTTGATAATTCAAATAATTTAGAAAAAACAGAGCACTCATTGTTTCAGAAGTATAGCTTATGTACATTTTTATGGAAGTTTATAATTGTTTAATTTTTTCCAGATGTTTGGTATTTTTGAAATGGTTATCTTACTATCAGATTATATGCATTATTTATAATGTGTACATATTCCTTATTCAACATATGTGCTTGCTTCAGTTAATATTAGAATATCGCCCATATTTGTTTTTAAAAGGCTCACCAACATTATAATAAACTAACTCAAATTTTCCTTGTTCCTCCTAACTTAGCCACTTCCAAAGCTGTGTGACCACAAGAACCTACTTAACCTCTAAAAGCCTTCTATTCCTCATCTGTAAAATGGGGTCATCATTAACTTGCAGAGACTTTGTGAATATTCAATGTAATGTCCACCACGCACTTGGTGAAAGTTAGGTGCTGAATATTGCTGGCTGTTAGCAGTAAATGAAATTGAGATCAGCAAACTCTACCTCCTTCTAAAGAGATATCAAGAAAGAAGTAGCTAGTGATCATAGCGTTTCATATTTTCGCCATGAAAATATTGACTACGTACATCATTGACAAAGTCTTTTACTGACCCTATGATACTCACTCAATGCCTTTATATATGCCACACATGCTGAGATTAGAACAGTCATGCAGTTTTTAACAATCGCACTTTAGGCTCACAGAGTCAGATAAAAAGAGATTTTATCAAGCCAGTCAAAAGATCTGTTGATCGGTATAAAAACATTACTTGAGCATAAATTTTCATTAAACTTTCCCATATGTAACACTTAAATTTGTGAGAATCAAAAATAGGTATCTGAAGAAATAGACGATCGGTCTCCTAAAACATAATTTAAAATTCTTTCTCTCCTTCAATAGATTTGTTTTGGCCCTGACCTAATTTCTATGCTAATTCAGAGGGTTTACGATTGCTTTATTCTTTGCACAGCCTGTATTTTTTCCTTCTTTCAAATCTCCCAGGGATGGACTCCAGGAAGTAAGGCATATGCATCATCAATAAACCACATTTAGTTAACTGTTCTTTATTCGGCAACTCCTGATCCACTTCGTGGAATTTTCTATGCCCTTCATTTCTTTCCCTCCTCAATCCCACCACCTTTCTTTTGATGATTTCGCTGCTCATTATCACCTCTACCAGAGGTGAGAAGGAAGAATGTGAAATTAAAATGAGTTGAAAATGACTTTTAAAATTTATTTTCAGGATAAGGAGGAAAAGTTGAAAATGTTAGCTAAAATTAGGCCTGGGGTTTTCTAATGACTTCACACAGTTATTTTTATCCCTGTTAAAGTGATGCTAATTGAGTTCTGAAATGAAAGGACCCTTCCATCCTATCTTATTCTTTCCTATTGGAATATATAGGGAAAGAGGAGAAATGTACAATCTATTTACACAAAGTTTTCTAAAACATAAAAAAGAGTCATCAGGACGGAATAATGCTTACAAAGGTCCCATGTATAAGTTGCACAGTACAGCAGTAAATGTTTTAGAATACAAGTTTTATAGTAAATTAGCTCATTTGGACCTTCTTCTTGCAAGTGTGTAAATGTATGTTTATTTACTGAATTAACTGTCCAGCTTTTTTAGCAAAAGGCCTCACTGCTGATTCCCTGTTAGTCTCACTATTAATTTCTGAATCGTGTAGGGAAATGAAGTAGGATTTTTTCAGTTTGTGTGATATACTTAAAAAATAATTAGTACTTCAGTAGTTACTTAAAAATATTTGTAAATATTTGTAAATTTGAACAATGAATAAAATAAAATAAAGTTTAGAGTAACTCTTAAAATCAAGGCTTTTGATCTTAACCGTAGATGGTTTAAAAAATATACTGTTTTTACAGGTTATCCTCTAATATCAGAGCAATTGTGAGGTTAAAATCTAGTACTATTATAAGAAATGGGAGTATTTTCATAATTTGAGTCAGCTATAAGTCATCTTTCTTACTGTCACCTAGCATGTAAAATGAGGGCTAACTAGGTGATCCCTAAAATTATCCAAAGCTTTTCAGTACTTTCAAGTATACACACAGCTATACACACATTATATATTTTACATGTATACATTGGGAGATTTAAGTTAGCCACACAGCTTAGACAAGTTATATCCATGTGTATGTATCTATTTACGAAGTAGTAATGGACTAAAGAATCCTTTCCTTCGAAAAGGCATCATATAACACATCTATGCCTCCAATTTTTTTTATTTTAAATGAGTGATAAATGTTTGTTGAATAGAAATACATTTAAATGTGTGTGGGCCCTTTATTTTCCCATTCTGATGAGAAAGGCATACCAGAGTAGAAAGATCACATATTTTGAAGGTCACAGATCAGGCTCTGGACTAGCATGTTATGTATGGCTATAAAGCTGGTATAATAATAACTATATTATAAAACTGCTGTGAGGATTAACTAAATTACATATGTCAACCACCTAGTAGCATGTTTGAAACATAATTGACACTAGGTAACCAATCTATCATTTCTCAGGTATTTTATTGGTTTTTCAAATGTAATCATCCTTTTAACCTTGATGATTGAATCAAAAAAGAATACAGATATAATATTTCATTGTATATATATTTATTATATGTTATATTTATATGTGGTATATTTTACACTTTTACATATGTACCTATATATTAATAATATATTTTGTGTACACATGTACATATATTTTAATTCATCAAAAGGGACTTCTAATTTTAAAAATTCTATTAAGACAAAGAGAAATGGCCTTAAAATAAGGTAATATTCTAAACTTATATTTATTTGCAATTATGAATTAACCAGAACATGTACACGGTTATGGTTCAAGATAGTTTTAAATATCTGTGTATATAGTGATTACATGAAACTTTGTGTATACCACAATATTATTAAACTAATCTAAATAGTGGAAATAGATTTAATTGAGAAATACAAATAAAACTACCTGTAAAGCATAGTGCTTCAAAAATTTTTTTTAAAGATTTAAAACGTAAAAAGTTTACAGATGGTATCTTTTTTCCTCATCTTTTTTTTTTTTGAGATGGAGTCTCGCTCGCTCAGTAGCCCAGGCTGGAGTGCAGTGGTGCGATCTCGGCTCACTGCAAGCTCTGCCTCCCGGGTTCACACCATTCTCGTGCCTCAGCCTCCAGAGTAGCTGGGACTACAGGCGCACGCTGCCACGCCCCGGCTAGTTTGTTTGTTTGTTTTTTGTATTTTTAGTAGAGATGGGGTTTCACCATGTTGCCCAGGCTGGTCTTGAACTCCTGAGCTCAGACCATCCGCCCACCTCAGCCTCCCAAAGTGCTAGGATTTCAGGCGTGAGCCACCGCGCCCAGGCAAAGATGGTATCTTGATATATACTTATAATCTTGCTCACATCTTTGTAGTGGAGATAATAAAATTACAAAAAGAAGGCTTGCAGTAAATGAAAAATAGTATGTTTTAGTGATAGAATGCAATAAGTAATAATCAAGTTAACCCGTGTATCAGCATGCAGTGTCTGTTAATGCCAGATATGAGGTAAGCAATTTCATGCATATACGTGCATGAAGTGTGTAGGGGTCTTTTTTTATGAAATTGAAACAGAGAAGTTTGATGACTTGTCTAAAGTCACACAGAACTTAGCAACAACCCAGAGAATGTAATCCACTCCTCTGGCTCAGCTCAGTGCACCGTCTATTGTATCCTGCTGTTTTCCTTGTCTATAGGAAAAATAGGCTTGGGAGGCATATAATCTAACTATTCTTCTAGATCGATTTTTACAAAACATGTGGGAAGCAGGCCCAGAGCAATTGAGACGTCTAAGAAGTTCATAAGTATTATTTTCAAGGGACTAATAGCATAGAAGCTTTCTGAGTCATCGTTAGAAATATGTGACACCAGAAGGTAGGTCGCAGGCTGGCATCATAAGGAATAAGAGTTTGGGAATGCTTTCACAAGGCCCAGAGAAGGGATACATGGGAAGAAAGATGTCTATTTAGTCCTTTTTATTTTATTTAAGCCCAATTAGGGTATAAACATTGTGTAAAACCTTTGGATTTTCAGAGAGGAAAGATAATAACAAGTAGTTCAGTGAATGGTTTGAAATGCGACGTGGAAGGTATTGTTCAATATTATGCCAAGATCTCCCAATCTTGATGACAAACTTCCATGCAGGGACTTTGCAATCACCGTAGTCACTTAAAGCAAATGTGGTTGTTAGTGTCGTTCCAAACATTATTTTCAAGATGTGTTCAATACTAGTGTTTCAACTTACATGAAGAACTTTTGCTATAATTCATGTTTATGGTTTTTAGAAACACTCTAGAGAATAATTATGGCCAAATGGGTATATTTAATTTCTTTTCAACTTAATAAAGGGAGGTGTGGTAATAACCCTTTCCACAGAGACCAGCTGGGTGATAGGGTCAGAAGACGAAGATTCTGCTGGTGTAGGCTGGGGGAAACACTTTAAAAAGGAAGTGCATCTGTACTACAAGCAACCACTGCAAAGTAGGGAAAGGGAGAGTAAGGGGCCAGGGAAAAGTAAAAACTTGAGATATAATTACAAAGAGAAAATGTCACTTCACCTGGACTATCATCATAAACAACAGCTCCTGTACAATGTCCTTATAACAAAGGAAAAATGAAGAAAATAGCTCCCTACGTTTCCACCAAAAAGGTGGATGATCTTAACTTGTTGCAGAGGGCATGAGCTGTGAGCGGATAAACAGCCCACTCTGCTGCTCTGTCTCTGGGGGAGAATTGTTGCAGACTGCAGGTTCTCTGACTGCTGACAGATTGCCTAACTCTGGCCGTGGGCCTCCAACTTCGGGAAGCTGTGGGTATTGTATAAAGATGTAAGTTAAACACGTTTCAGAAGCAGCTTGGTACTGATTTGGGGAGTCAAGTATGTTTCAACTACAGACCTCAAAGTAAATATTTACTAATATGGCAAAAGTTCAGCTGTAGGGCAGAACCAGCAGCTAAAAAGCACAAGGAGGGAGATCATGCTTCCCTGGCTGCAGCTTGTTTACCAACCTTCAACTCAGATGTGCATGTTCCTTTGAGTGTGTGTGTGGGGTGGGGAGGAGGTGGAGTGGGAGAGGGGTAGGGGGGTGAGGGGTGGGGTGATGGTGATTGGGGGCTGAGGTTTACCACTTCATCAGTGCTCCATTTTCACTGTAAAGGGTTTGAAGGAACTGATTTTACCAGCCAGGTTCAAATTGTATGCCAAATTTGTATTATAGAGAGACTTGTGAACTCCATGTACAGCCCCATTTGCACAATAACAAGCTGTTACCCTCCAGGTGTTTTGATGTAGTGTGTTGTCCATATTTAGGACTCTGTGTTTAGGATTATTAGAAATGAGGAGAAAATAGGAAGGATAGGAAGCAAAACAGTTAGCTCAGCCAAGCAATTTATATTCTAGTTAGCATTTGGTGGAAGGGGAAAATTGAAGTAGTTCCTACAGAAAGCATATGGAAATCAGGTATCAAAGACCTTTTTTCACTCTAGGCTCAGTCACTGGTCATTCAGCATGTGAGGTTTTATGTTCAGGACCCTGCAGAGGATATCTGGAAGCCTAGCGATGAAGAGAAATGTCTTCTCAAGGAAAGGCCGAATCATGGGCTTTTCCATTACTTACATGGCAACCTGCAGATCAAAAAGTGTTTCAGAGGCTTAATGCACTGGAGTATCCCACTAGCCTTGATTTTATAAATGAGGAAACAGAAGGCCAGGAGTTAGGTGACTCCAGGTTACATAGCTATTCAGTGTCAAAGCCATAGAAGATAGGCAATCATTTGGCACCACACTCTTCCACAATTCCTTTATGAAGGACCAGTTTTCCAGTAGGCAATCCAGGAGAAAGAAAGAGAGAGAGAAAGGGAGAGAGGCAGGGAAAGAGGGAGAGAGTGAGGGAGCGAGGGAGCTAGGGAGTAAGGGAGGGAGGGAGGAAGGAAGGAAGAAAGGAAGGGGGGAAGGGGAAGAGGGGAAGGGGAAGGAAGGAAAGGAAGGAAGGAGGAAAGGGGGAGGGAAAGAAGGGGGAAGGAAAGAAGGAAGCAGGGAAGAGGAAAGAAGGGAAGGGGGAAGGGGAAAGAGGGGAGGGGGGGAGAGAAGGAAGGAAGGAAACAAGGAAGGAAGGACTAATTTGAAAAATAACCAATGTTTTACCTAGGCTTCAGTGAATACCTCCCCCTCCCCACACCAATTTACCGCTTAGATAAATATGTTTAAGATTACTTGCAGGCAGAACTACTTGTGTTACAGCACAATTGTTTCTACTTTCCCCTTGGCTCTTCCCCGCATCCAGAAGCCACTACTGCCTCTAAAATAAGACCACAAGGCAAACACCCAGAGACATTTGAGCCTCCAACTAGGAAACTAGCAGAAGCTCTACCACTGCCCACAGCAAAGATTCAAAATTGGGGTATGTCGAAACCTTCACTGAATTCATATATTTACTTTTCCGGTTCACCCTACGTTACACAGAAGTTGAGATTCCTTCCCTCCGCTGAGAAAAGTGCATTTTCTTTCTCTGTGCCAACACTGCTGGATCCGAGGCTCCAGGAGGAACTGTTGGCAAAGCAGGCGTTTTGGGACCGCGCCTGTGATTGCTCTGTGGCGCCGACTTCCTCTCTCTGTTACATCCATATACAAATGCAAGCTTATTTATTTATTTTAATTCTCCCTCTCTTGCTAGCAACCTGTGGACTTGGCATCTGACTGGTGCGGCAAGGAAGGAGGCTGGTAGGTAAGCGCTACTGTGCCCAACCCCGAGCTGCCTCTTCGCAGTCTTCAGGAGCAAGTCCCCCATTCCAGCTCCTCTGGCAGAGTATGGAGTTACCTGCGTCCGGGGCAGGAAACCATGAATGTGCCCTTCTGCCCTCTTGCCTTTCTGCCACTCTTTGAGTTCCCGTCCTTAATTGAAGAGCCAGTGACTATTGGCTGAAGTTCCCCCAGCGATTTGCATGAACCGAGAGGGAGTGTCTTCTGCCGCCCTCCCTTCAAGAGCGCTCTGACTGCAGCCTCCCAGGGAATGCGCGGCCGAGGGAATGCGCGCAGCTCACAGGCCCTGGGAGTGAGCTGGTGCCCGGCGACCTGGCACCCGCGCCTGGATATGGGGCGTCTACATCGTCCCAGGAGCAGCACCAGCTACAGGAACCTGCCGGTAAGGGTTAGGGTCAAGGAACCCCGCGACCCCGACAAGTTGCAGTATTGTGAAGCAATTCCCACTCGGATGGTTTTTCAAACCTTCTACCTTTATCTAAACTTCACGGGAAGGATGGCGCCGGGAGGGAAAGGGAGTTTGGGATAATGTGTCTTCCTTTTAACAAGGAATAGGGAAGTCCGTGGGTCATGAGAGGAAGTTTCTGAAGCAAGAAATGTATCCAGATAAGGTCGAGGGCATCGGGGGTGCGCTCAATCCGCTTTAGCTACAGGGGTTCGGGATCGTTTCCTGCTGCTGGCGTCTGGCTATGAATGCCTACTGCAATTGACAAATTGTTTTTGCATAGCCATTTTCCGCGTTTACTTTGCTTCCCCCTAAGGGAGGGGGATTAGTGACTGCTTGGTAAGGGGTGGAAATCCAGATCCTTTCGGTTTGATTTCAGATGTGTGCTAAAATAAAAATCACTCTTTCCGACCTAAGACCTAAAGTGTTGGAGGTGGAGGAGGAAGTGTTGGTATTTTTTCTATATTATTATTATTATTGCGATTGTGGTTGTTTTTATGGTTCTCTTAGTAAGGGATGTAACACACTGCGTGTTCCAGCACTCTAATGGCAGAATCACTTCAAGGAGAAATAAATTGCCCACCTTTCAGTGCTCTCTACTACCAGCCCCCTCCCTCCCCATCACCTACCCTGGGTTTCCGTGTCGCTTTGCGCAGTCTCTGAGTCGGAATCCTCTCCACTCCGGTGTGTGTTTCCAGGGATGTTTTACGGTTTGGGATTCTGAATGTTAGCTGGATGAGGGTGGTGATGGGGAAACGAGGGGGGAAGGCGGGGGCGGAGGGGATAGAAAGTGAACAGCAAAATTAAGTTTTGGAGACGATATTGCCCCACAGATCTCTCCTTCGCAGCAGGGTTCTTCTCCGCCCCCGTTCTAATTAGAGGTTTTGCTTCTGGGAACGGGGATGGGGACAGCAAGGATCACAGGGGCGCTAGTTTCTCTCTCGGACCCCTATTTCCCCGTGTGTGTAATGAGCTTTCTTCCCTCCCCCAACTCCAGCATCTGTTTCTGTTTTTCCTCTTCGTGGGACCCTTCAGCTGCCTCGGGAGTTACAGCCGGGCCACCGAGCTTCTGTACAGCCTAAACGAGGGACTACCCGCGGGGGTGCTCATCGGCAGCCTGGCCGAGGACCTGCGGCTGCTGCCCAGGTCTGCAGGGAGGCCGGACCCGCAGTCGCAGCTGCCAGAGCGCACCGGTGCTGAGTGGAACCCCCCTCTCTCCTTCAGCCTGGCCTCCCGGGGACTGAGTGGCCAGTACGTGACCCTAGACAACCGCTCTGGGGAGCTGCACACTTCAGCTCAGGAGATCGACAGGGAGGCCCTGTGTGTTGAAGGGGGTGGAGGGACTGCGTGGAGCGGCAGCGTTTCCATCTCCTCCTCTCCTTCTGACTCTTGTCTTTTGCTGCTGGATGTGCTTGTCCTGCCTCAGGAATACTTCAGGTTTGTGAAGGTGAAGATCGCCATCAGAGACATCAATGACAACGCCCCGCAGTTCCCTGTTTCCCAGATCTCGGTGTGGGTCCCGGAAAATGCACCTGTAAACACCCGACTGGCCATAGAGCATCCTGCTGTGGACCCAGATGTAGGCATTAATGGGGTACAGACCTATCGCTTACTGGACTACCATGGTATGTTCACCCTGGACGTGGAGGAGAATGAGAATGGGGAGCGCACCCCCTACCTAATTGTCATGGGTGCTTTGGACAGGGAAACCCAGGACCAGTATGTGAGCATCATCATAGCTGAGGATGGTGGGTCTCCACCACTTTTGGGCAGTGCCACTCTCACCATTGGCATCAGTGACATTAATGACAATTGCCCTCTCTTCACAGACTCACAAATCAATGTCACTGTGTATGGGAATGCTACAGTGGGCACCCCAATTGCAGCTGTCCAGGCTGTGGATAAAGACTTGGGGACCAATGCTCAAATTACTTATTCTTACAGTCAGAAAGTTCCACAAGCATCTAAGGATTTATTTCACCTGGATGAAAACACTGGAGTCATTAAACTTTTCAGTAAGATTGGAGGAAGTGTTCTGGAGTCCCACAAGCTCACCATCCTTGCTAATGGACCAGGCTGCATCCCTGCTGTAATCACTGCTCTTGTGTCCATTATTAAAGTTATTTTCAGACCCCCTGAAATTGTCCCTCGTTACATAGCAAACGAGATAGATGGTGTGGTTTATCTGAAAGAACTGGAACCCGTTAACACTCCCATTGCGTTTTTCACCATAAGAGATCCAGAAGGTAAATACAAGGTTAACTGCTACCTGGATGGTGAAGGGCCGTTTAGGTTATCACCTTACAAACCATACAATAATGAATATTTACTAGAGACCACAAAACCTATGGACTATGAGCTACAGCAGTTCTATGAAGTAGCTGTGGTGGCTTGGAACTCTGAGGGATTTCATGTCAAAAGGGTCATTAAAGTGCAACTTTTAGATGACAATGATAATGCTCCAATTTTCCTTCAACCCTTAATAGAACTAACCATCGAAGAGAACAACTCACCCAATGCCTTTTTGACTAAGCTGTATGCTACAGATGCCGACAGCGAGGAGAGAGGCCAAGTTTCATATTTTCTGGGACCTGATGCTCCATCATATTTTTCCTTAGACAGTGTCACAGGAATTCTGACAGTTTCTACTCAGCTGGACCGAGAAGAGAAAGAAAAGTACAGATACACTGTCAGAGCTGTTGACTGTGGGAAGCCACCCAGAGAATCAGTAGCCACTGTGGCCCTCACAGTGTTGGATAAAAATGACAACAGTCCTCGGTTTATCAACAAGGACTTCAGCTTTTTTGTGCCTGAAAACTTTCCAGGCTATGGTGAGATTGGAGTAATTAGTGTAACAGATGCTGACGCTGGACGAAATGGATGGGTCGCCCTCTCTGTGGTGAACCAGAGTGATATTTTTGTCATAGATACAGGAAAGGGTATGCTGAGGGCTAAAGTCTCTTTGGACAGAGAGCAGCAAAGCTCCTATACTTTGTGGGTTGAAGCTGTTGATGGGGGTGAGCCTGCCCTCTCCTCTACAGCAAAAATCACAATTCTCCTTCTAGATATCAATGACAACCCTCCTCTTGTTTTGTTTCCTCAGTCTAATATGTCTTATCTGTTAGTACTGCCTTCTACTCTGCCAGGCTCCCCGGTTACAGAAGTCTATGCTGTCGACAAAGACACAGGCATGAATGCTGTCATAGCTTACAGCATCATAGGGAGAAGAGGTCCTAGGCCTGAGTCCTTCAGGATTGACCCTAAAACTGGCAACATTACTTTGGAAGAGGCATTGCTGCAGACAGATTATGGGCTCCATCGCTTACTGGTGAAAGTGAGTGATCATGGTTATCCCGAGCCTCTCCACTCCACAGTCATGGTGAACCTATTTGTCAATGACACTGTCAGTAATGAGAGTTACATTGAGAGTCTTTTAAGAAAAGAACCAGAGATTAATATAGAGGAGAAAGAACCACAAATCTCAATAGAACCGACTCATAGGAAGGTAGAATCTGTGTCTTGTATGCCCACCTTAGTAGCTCTGTCTGTAATAAGCTTGGGTTCCATCACACTGGTCACAGGGATGGGCATATACATCTGTTTAAGGAAAGGGGAAAAGCATCCCAGGGAAGATGAAAATTTGGAAGTACAGATTCCACTGAAAGGAAAAATTGACTTGCATATGCGAGAGAGAAAGCCAATGGATATTTCTAATATTTGATATTTCATGGTGGAATAACACAGAGAAATGTTTTAACTGACTTTGGATCTTCATCACCTAAAAAAGAGTGTGTTGATGGCAGTTCCAATGAAGGACAACTAATTTATAACTTGTTCTATATTGTAAATAGCTGTTTACAGGTTTTTAAATTTAAATTCAGAGGTTATAAAATGTGTACAGCATTTTTAAGTGAAAATTAGTACTAACAGCTATAGGACTTGTATTTAAAAAAAAAAAAAAAGCTTGGACATGGTTTGCAGCTTTCATACACCAAGCAGATGATTGATAAAACCTGGGAGTAAGGTAAGAAAAATGGAACAAATTTTTATCTAAAAATTCCTGTCACCACAAGAGGGCATCAGCTGCTCCTTTGCAGGAAACTGGGGTATTGTACTTGGCAGTTGTACATGAAATTAATGAAAGAGTATATTTTAAATATATTGTTTTTAACATTAAACAAATATGAAATTAAAGTAAATTAAATTTCACCCTATTTAAACATATGATAAAAAAAGAAATGCACTTGTAAACAGAATGTTTATTACCTCATAAGTGCATATATAGTGTGAAAGAGAAGGCATTAAAAAGAAGTGCAATTCCTTTTTAGCAAGGATAAAATCATTGCCTTGTGTTACAGATTCAGCCTGCTGAAGAGTATTCCACTTTCTGTGTACTCGAATTGCTTTCTGTTTGCTTTACCACTGCACTTGTTATTATTACAAGGGAAATAGATTTATACATACATATATATATTCTTCATTACAGGAAATGTAACTAGATATTGTGCCCAAGAAAAACAGCCAGAAGCAAAGAAATGCTTCAATCTTTAGTTGCTTCATAGGCATTCATGACATTTTAGTGCTTTCACAACTTGTTGGTCGTACTTTATACTTGGGTTATATATTAGACTTTTATAGGCTTGAAATCATCCATCACATAAGAAAATAGAAATCATATTAAAAGTGAATTCTTCTAGAGGCTTGTGTACACTACTGGTTGTTTTAGTTGGGCCTTTTATATGAAAGTTATACTGTACTTATCTTTTTGTTGTTGTTTAGGTTTGTTGACTACCATTTCTGGCTTCCTTTCTTTGGTTTTGGATTAAATCCAACAGTTTATTTGTAAGCCCTGCAGCAGATTTCTTTGATAATTTAGCTTTTACTGAATCTCTTGCAATGAAGAAAGCTATTTCATCAGTGATTTATCACTTTCAATTCATTGTGTGAGCTGGAAATATTATTTTATATGAGAGCTATAGCAAAATAATCTGTATAAACAAGGAATGTGTTAGCTTAAACTGGATCATTTTACTTTTTGGCATCATGCATCTGTACTGTACCAAAAGTGTTTATATGTCTGCAAATTAAAGGTATATATTTTCATAATTTCTTTCTCACTTTTAGCATTTTATATTTGAACATGGGCTTGTTATTTCACTGAAGTGCCTGTCATTTGTTTGTTTTTAGGGTTAAATGTGGGTAACCTGTAGTATTCTGCTATACTAAAGTTTATATTAAATGAATTCATTACTCAATTAAACATTGGGTAAATTATTAAATGTGTGTGTAGTTATAGACATATATATAGTAGAAAGAGAGTATGCCTAAATGTTTGATGTAAGTTCATATGAAAATTTGCACCCATGTATGTGCACATGCATATTAATTTATTATAGATTTAATATCATTATAAATTTTCATTTTACTACAGATTTATAACAAATCCTCTGTTAGCTGTGTTGCAATAGCTTGCAATAATTTTTAAAACAAAAATACTCTACAAAAAAGACATTGAATGCAAACAACCAAGTTCTTTTAGATTTGTATTAATTAACTCATTTATCTTATTTTTCTTCAATTTGAGAATTTCAATAAATAAAATAATAAGTATATGAGGCAGCAATGTTTGTTACAAAAAGTAAATATATTTTTATTGGAAATTCCTTTTGTACGAGAGGCATCTGAGCTAAGAGACTAAGATCATTTAACCCCCAAAACTTTTCATTTATAACTGATATGTAGCAATGGAGGAAACATCTCTTACTAGTCATATTTTATTTCTTATTTCTCTTTTTTAAAGAAAGGAACTTCATGAGATAAAAGTAACACTATTTATTTTTAAGAAGCCTCCATAAGTGCAATAATTTTACCATCAGTATAAATAGCACAATTTTCGATTCATTTCCAAATCTGAAGAAGGTTCATGTGTTTTGGGGAATGGACTTGATCTCCAGCATGAGAAATGCCTGTAACATTAATAAAAAGATGTATTTCTGAATAACTTCTTGTGGCAGGATTTCCTTTACAAAAACATCTCATTCACATTAAAAACATTAATAGCGAGGAAAGCTAAACTAAATTAAACTAAAAGATAAAAGCCCCTTTTTACTGACACCTTGTGCTAGAATAGTTGCCAAAATGTATGCTAATCATGTCAATGTTGTTAGTTGAGCTGGCACAAAAATAAATGTTCCATTCATTAAAACCCCTAATATCCATTTAACAGTTTGTGAACCAATGAGTTCTCTTTGCCCAATTTAATGAAGAAGAGATTGCTGTGATCTTTGCACTGCCAAATTCACTCTTACACTACAGAGAAAATTGTTCATTAATTTGAATTGGGAAGTTTAAAACCAACATAGCAATTTCAGCTACAGGGAAAAAAACAATTTACGTTATTTGACTACTTAGGGTAGATTTCCTGACCCTATTAAAAAAAAAAAAAAAAAAAAAAAAGCCCTCCTGGCAGTTAGGCTTTCATCAATGGTAGTTGGAAAAGAAGAGAAAAATAAATTCTTTTTAAACAGTTTTGTAGTATTGATGCATTAAAAAATGTAAATTTTGAGTGTTTTAGATGTTCTACATGTATTTTAGGAAAACACCAGGCATGATTTTACTGTGAAATAACATCACTGGAAACAATTTTTAGGAGTGGTGTATGAAGCTGATTTGATTGCAGTAAGATCTCTCACAAGGATTCTAATTTGTGCTCCCAGAAAATGCCTAAATTGACAACTATAAAGGGGGAAATTAAGCAAACCTCTGTCCTCTGGATGTTCAGGTTCCGATCTCTCCTCCTGAGGTGAGGACTCTGTGAGGTCCTGATCCCTGGCAGACAATGGAGAATGTAATGAAACTGCAGCACCAACCAGCTGGTGTTCTTCAAATCGTTGGGCAGCCTCAATTCATGGAGGCCAGGGACATAAATACCTGAGCATTTTCATCGCTCTATGGTAAATTTGCTCACTGAAAAAAGTCAAAATTGCCACGAAATGCCATATTGCAGATCTAGGCATTCTCTGCCTAGCACTGTGCCTTTATGTGCAAGTAGTCAATAAATATTTATTGAAGAGAACTGATGGGCCCACAAGAAGACTCAGAGAAAAAATCAATTAAAACAATTTGGATTCCTGAGCTAAAAAGTCGCAGCACAGTATTTTTTTTTAGTTATTTCTATTTCTAATAACAAACCATGTATATTTTTCAGATAATATATACATAAATACATAACCTATAATCATTTTTAAATGTCACTTTTTGTATATATTGTCCTTATATAGTAGCATTTGTAAAATAGACTCCTAAACTAGGAACGTCTTCCTTTAAGGATATAAAACAAAATTGAGTGAACTTTAAAACTTAACCCACTAATGTCAAGAAGTAAGAATACCGTGGTGATTTCTAAAAAATCAGTCATACAGTCATTTATCCCATACATATTTTAGTACCCATATTACAACTCTTTTAATGAACTTACATCATCCTGTGGAAAGCCAATAAGAAAACCAGTTTCAAAACATATGTGATAAATGCCTATTCTTTGGATGCTATGTGAGCAGGACCTAACCCAATTTTGGAAAGTCAGAGAAGACTCCCTAAAGGAGGTGATGTCTATTTTGAACCCTTCTCATAAGAAGTTATGAGCTTGAAAAAAGGAAAAGTTGAGAAAATGAGAGAAAATGGCAGCCAGGAGGGAAGGGCATTTGAGTGGGGAACAGTAGGCAAAGCACACATGTGGGAGTGAGCATGTCATGGTTGAAGAGCCACAAATATTGCAGTTTTCCTTTGCTAAAGGGATGAAGAGAATAAAAAAGATTATTAACAATGAGCTGGGAGACATAAGTGTACAGCAAATAATGAAGAAACTTATATGCCATACTTGGAGGTTACAATTTTATCTGAAAGGTAATGGGACTTTTAAGAATTTAGACCAGAGAGTTTATGTTTTTAAAAGATCACTTTTGGCCACCTGTACAGCTTGTGTTGAAGAAAATTCTGGATGCTAGTTATAAGGTTTAGTGACAATTTAAGTGAAAAATGGGGACTTGAACCAGAGAATATAAAAGAGATCTATTATAGGAGGTAATATAGGATATAAATAATGTATAGCTGATTAAACTTGTGATGCCATAGGAGTTAATCTGCATGGGATGACCAGAAAGTAAATAGTTTTCATAATTTGCTTTTGAGCTTATTGTAAAAATTTGAAAAAGATACAGAACTCATTTACTAAACATTAAGTCAGCAATGAAAGTATCGGAGCCATAACCCGCTTCTCCAATGTTGGGTTTTACAACACAGATGGAATTATAAAGGCACTAATTTACCCAGTTTATTCCATCTTTATGACTGTCAATCCTCTTCAATTTAACAAACATTACTCTATGCCCATGTGACAGATATTCCAATATGAGGTTGACGTCATCAAGAACATTTCATCTAAGCCATTTGTGGTATTTTACTTGTGGTTGTACTAAAAATAGACACATGTAGAGGAGTCCTTCCTGTTGAAAACAAGATAATAAAATGTCAAGTGGATAATTTAAGGTGTAAATATAACTTCAAGTGTTATGTGAATACCAAGAAAGAATGATATGATGGTTGTAGGCAACTCTTAACAGGATCCAGGAAATATGACCAGGTGAAATGGCTAGTTAGAGCCAAGAAGTATGCAGATCTTGAGGTTTAACATCACTATTTTAAACATTTAACATCATTTTAAAACCCAGTGAAGTCATTTAGCATGTCTTATGCTTCAAGTATCATGTTGTTTAAAAAGAAGAATTTAATAAGAACCAATACCAAATGGTAGAATTTTCAAACTCAGGCTAAATAAACATTTAGCAGATGTAAAAACAATATTATATACAGTCCCAGCATCTAGAAAAATCTAATTTCCCCTCCTAAGACTCATCTATGTGTAAATTATGAACTTACTGTCTTTCATGGTGTAATGAAAATTAAATGAGATAATTCATGCAAAATATTTTGCGCAGATTGTGTTCCACAAATATTAGCTTAATTATTGCTATTGTAATTAAGTGGTGTCCCATGGGAGGTTGTCTTATCAATTTATTTGCTCATTCTTTCACCAAGCCAATATTTTTGTTACATAAAACAATTCCTTAAAGTTGATAGTGTTTTAGATTAAAGGCCTATATATACTCAATATGCTCTATTTATTCAAATTATGCATTTTGTGGACACTTTGACTTTTTTTTATTCCTATGACAAGTTTATCCTTTCTCATCTGGAAATCTCGTGATGGTCAAGATTATTATTTCACTGCACTTAAGCATGGGTGACAGAGCAAGACCCTGCCTTAAAAAAAAATTATTATTTAAATTATGAAACCATAGAGGTAACTTAGTCCAACCTCTTCATTTTACAGTTGAAGAAACTAAGACCTAGAGAATCAAGAAAAAAAATTAGCAGGGTGCATTAAAGGAGAATACAGCAATCATAAATGTAAGAAATATTCAAAATCCTGCGAAAAATAGCTAGCAGAGTTACTTTTCCTTCAAACATTTCCATGAAGACATATCCTTTAATTTCACCTTTATTAGAAAGATAACCAAAGTAATATTTACAAAGGCAATATACCAGGTGTTAAAATAAATTTTCTGAAATAAAATCTCATCTAAAAATGAGGTCAATCAAAATTAATTATTAAAATGAATTAGTAAGAATCATATTTATCCTGCATGTACTTAGAGAAAAAAGATACAATTTTCCAAATGAAGTTATTTGTACCTTCTTAAAGAGAAAAATATATGAAGAATAAATTTATATATTTGACAAATATAATAATTTTTATAAAATAGTAAAAATTTTAAAAAGTTAGAGAATATGTGAGAATAATCAAGAAAAGCTTTATGAGACTAGCAGAAAGATGGAAGGAATAAATTTGGTTCTAATATGTGAATAAATATTTATATAAAATTCACACAGATTATAGAAAAGGCAGGCTCAAGTGTGAATACAAAGGACATGATTGATATGAAAATGAGAATGGGGAGATATTTGTTAAAGGAATTTTTTTTAAAAGTGGAGAAAAACAAGTTTGTCATTAGATAATTTGGAATCACTATATAGAGAGGGAAAAAGATGTCAGTCAAAATATTTTTAAATGCAAAAAGAAAAAAAAAGAGAAGGACCAGGCTTACATTTAATAAGGTAATTGAAGGTAAACTCAGGATAACTGAATGTTAGGATCTCAGTAAATCATAAAATGTTACAATTCCAAGGGAACTTGGGATCATTTTCTTACTCCTTACAGTTTTAGGGTCCAATACTCTGAAGCTTCAATGAAGATAAACACTATTATCATCAATGATTCGTTTACTAAATATATTTACTATTAGTCTGTGCGTATTACAAGCAAATCATTGTGCTGTACACAGGGATAAAATTTTTCTCCATCAAAATTATTCTCCAGCTTGGGAGAACTAACGTGAACCACACACATATAGGAATGAATATGTTCCTCCTCCAATCTACCCCCGACCTGTAGCTCTTCCATAAGCACCTCTACCAGAGAGAGACAAGAAACATTATGACAGATAAAAGCACTACTTGGAGATATACCCTATATATTCGAAGCTAATAGAGGAGAATATCAGTATATATGAATTACAAAATTAGGGTTGGGTGTGTTCTATGGCTGGAATAGGCAAATCTAATTTTTTACTTTTGCTTTTATGTATTTCTTTTATGCATTTGAAATATTAAAATTCCTTATAGCTCCAAAGTTTAACTTTCACTTAAATGATCAAAGAAATGTTTGTACTGAGATGTGAACCAATTATTCTCATTAAAAAGATCATATGCTTACCTTCCACAATAATTTAAAAATAATTATGATATTAATTGACTTTACATATTTACAAGTAACCCTGCCACTATATTTCAAAAGAATAGCACTAGTTTTTGTTTTGCAAATATAATTATATCACCTCAATTTTATAGTTTTGTGTAAATTTTTTTAAGGTAATTTCTTGGCAACGTGAAGTTTTGATTTAATGGAATGTAAAATGGACTTCGCGATTTGTTGCATAAATATTTCAAATAATACTATATTACAGTATTTTTCAATGTTATAATGTCTGGTGAAATGTATGATGAAAGGACATTTTAATATTAATGTATAAAATCACTGCAGATACATTCACTATGAAGAAAAATTACTCTACAGAAGGTAATTCTAAACAATTCATAGAACAAAACAAAACACCTTAAAGGTAGAATAAAAAGAGCAAAGGAAGACAATAAACTAAATATTTTTTTGAATTCTAAAAATAAATAAAATTATTTTAGTTTTCTTTCCCCCCCAAAAAGGCATCATCCACCTAGCTCCTCTCCCACTTACCCACTGCCTTATTAAATTGAGAAACTAGTTTCCTTCACATTTTTCTAATTCAATTATAAAATCTAAACATATTCAAAGTCAAATGAATGTGAGCAATGCTAACCATGAACCAGGTGCTAAAAAATACTATTGGTCTATGTTGAGACAGCTTCCTATTTATGATGCTTTCAATCATTTTTTAACAGTAAAAAGTGCCATTTGATTTACAGAATTTCTTGTAAATAGCAGTTAAAATACACTGCAAACAGAAGAATTTCAGTAACATGTATTTAAGTTTATCCCTAAAAGACTTCCACTGAATCATCTAAGCATTTAAATTTAGCAAAGCCAACTATCCTGTATATGTCCAATTTCTTGAACTAGTCCGACAAAATATTAGTATTCTGTAAAAAGCACTACGGAATGTACCATTTCCCCAGTCTTATTTGTAAATGTATTCAGTCCATGAATGCACAGATTTCTGAGTAACTGAGTATAAGAATAACTGAATTTATGTTGGCCTATAATTCCTTCAAATAAAACATCTAATACAACTTAAGGGAATCCAATTAGTTCCTTTTTTTGTACTTCATGTTTGACTCAGGACACCCTGGTTTAGATGCCATGTGACAACAATATTTGCAATCAAATCATTTGATGGGAAATGCTGTTTTACTCGATTGAAGATAAAATACCTTAGCATTAAAAGTATGTGTATTGGAAAAGATAGGTAAAATCTCTGACAATATACAAAACCTCTGTCTCATGGAGCCAGGAGGAATTCTAAGAAACCAGTGTTTTCTTCCCCTTTCAGCTTCCTGGATCATATTCAGTCACTATGCTGCTGCTCTTTCATAAAGTAAGCTCAATATTCTCACAATCACCATTTATCTATCTAACTGCAGTGGGCATAATACTTCCCCAGAGATACCTATGCCTTAATTCATAGAACCTGTGACTGTTACAAGGCAAAAGGGAAGTTGCATTTACCTTGCAAATATAATTGACATATGGACCTTAAAATAGGGAGATTATCCAGCCTTAAGGAGATAAGAGAGGCTCCCAGATGACAGTCAGGTAGGAAATGGAAACCTCAGTCCAGTAACCACATGGAACTGAATTCACTGACAATCTGAATGAGCTTGGAAGGGGATCCATCCACAGATCTCCCAGAAAGAAACACCACTCTACTGACACCTTGACTTCAGCACTGCAAAGCACTAAGCAAAGGACCAGCTGAGCCAGTCGGTAACCAAACTTCTGACTACAAGATTGGGGGTTAATAAATGAGTGTTATTTTAAACTGCTAAATTTGTGACAATTTATTACAGCAGTAATAGAAAACAACTACACTATCTTGAAAAACACATAACACATCCATTTAAGGCCAAGTTCAACTGACTCAGTTTAACAAAATATTGTTTTATTCAGGTAACTTTTACAATACATGTTTTAATTTTTATGATTCAAAGGTGTTAAATACGTATCATTTTCTAAGTTTAAAAATCTTATAATAATTAATGTAAATATAAATGGAAATTAAGATCACAGATTGTGATCCTACTGTGTTCCAGGCACTGTAACACTGCCAGTTCCACTCTATGTTCATTGCACTTTTACTAACAGTCACGGGAAAAAAAAGGAAAGAAAAAACCAGAGGTGTTTTTATTTCCATAAAATATTTTCTCAGTTGATTAGAGCTAGGATGAATAGCTCTGAACTGTTGAATTCATCTCAAACCCAATTTGGGATGGGATTAACTGAATGATATTTGTAATTGAGATACTGTGGGTAGATGTGTTTTGATTGCATATGTAACATTTTGCCCTCATGAAAACAAGATACTTGTTAAAATGTATGGTTTTTATGTTATTGCAGACAAAGTATCTTTTCTAATGAATGAGAATCCATGGATTATTTGAAGTGGTTTATAATCTCAACTTCTCTGAAAACAAGCACTTTCAGGAGGTTGTGTGTTTTTATGTTTTTAATAGATTCTTATTCTACTTTTCTATCAATTCTACTTCCAATTCAAAAGCTGCTTCACTCTATACAATAAATTTACAGTAGAAGATGAAGTTCATTAGAATAATTGATTTACTATGCATCAACTTTTTATTGGATATTTACTATTGGCATATCCGATACATAATACATAGGATGATATTATACATTGCATTTTGTACTAGTAAAATGATACCACTTTGCAAGTGCAGTTCAAATGTTTTGGATTCATATCAGAACTCTTCTGATTGAAAGGCTAAAATAGTCATGTCTTTCTTCATTTTGCAAAAAACAAGTATCATTCTTAAACTGGTACGTTTCTTTTTTATTTCATGTCAGTCATTTTTGATGGCTTTAGAGTATTTGTCCTAACATTTATCTTAAAAAGGTGGGGACACTGTTTCAAATAAATTTAAAATCCAAATGGGCAAAGCATATTTCAAGAATAAATTTTTCATAGAGCTACTAAATATTTGGAGTGGGGAAAAAGATATCTTAAGCAATTACTAAGAATACAGTTTTAGGAAGAAATTGGAATGCTCACTCCTGGGACTAGATATCTCATTTCTAAATGTTGCCTATGTTTTCACAAAAAAAAATCACGTCTTTCTCATCATTTTTTTTAATTTTTAAAATAACCCTTTTTTAAAAAAATGTTAATGTGTGCATTATAGGAAACTGAAAAACATAAGAAGCAAAGAACAAAGTAATCCACAATCACATAGAGTTTACAGTTTTATGTGTTCTTCTAGGTCCTGTCTGTATATAAAATAACATCCAATTTTATGGGACTGAGATTATACAATATGTGTCTTGATTTTTCACACATCATGAATATTTACCAGTTCAAAATCCCAAAGCCATATGAGTATTTTGATAACCAAGAATTCATCATTTGTGTAATCACCCGCTAGGTAGAACAATAACCTGTACTCAGGTTATTCACTTACAAAATACATTTAGGATATGAAGCTACAAGACTGGGGTTCTACAAAGAGATGGTAAACCTTTTTCTTCTCTTCCCAGAAGTTTGGTTGTTGATTAAACATGAGCCGAGTATGTGATGATGATACTCCCTGAAGGCCTCGAAGAAGATAAGCATCTCCAGGTGTATGTCCCAGGAGTCTTTCTCATGCTCAGATTGGGATGGGAATCCCATTTAGTCCATTTGCACTGCTATACCAAAATACCATACACTGCATATCTAATAGACATCAGCAATGTATTTCTTAGAGTTGTGGAGGCTGGAAATTCTAAGATCAAGGCATCAGCAGATTCAGTGTCTGGGAAGGGCCTGCTTTATCATAGATGACACCTTCTTGCTGTGTCTTCACGTGATGGAAGAGGCAAACAAGCTCCCTTGGACCTTTTCTGTTGATGTACCAATTGCATTTATGAGAGTTCAGCCCTTATGACCAATCATCTCCCCAGAGGCCCCACATCCTAATATTATCACCTTGAGGGATAGGATTTCAAGATATAATTTTGCAGAGGACACTAACATTCAGACCATACTGTGGGCTGTTTTCAAACATGTCAGAAGCCTGTGTTGGAGAGCCTCTTCTCTAAATATTTCTGAGCTTTTCCTAGTCCTAGCACATTGACATGCTTTCATTCATACTGAATGGGGTTTCAGTTACCCACTGCTCAGAAAAGGGCTGGTGGCTATCTACAGAGTTCTTACAGTCCTGACATGGGGAAGAATGTTTAGAGCCCTGCTATTTAATGTTTGGTCTACAAAACAGCAGCAGCAGAGAATCTGGGGCCCACTCTGGATCTATTAAACCAGAATCTGCATTTTATAAGATCCCTGGGTGATTAGAACATACATTAAATTTTGAGAACAAAATGTTTGGTGCATTGGCTTTCAAGTTTGTTTGCATGTTGAAATAATCAAGGGAGTTATAAACAAAATAAAACAAAGCAAAAATCACTTGACACCTATGTTTCACCTCAGACTGTCTTATTTATTTGGTATGGGGTAAAAAATGAGAGTCAGGATTCTAACAAAACTCCCCAGGTGATTTGAAAGTGCAGCAAAGTTTGAGAATCACCAGTATGAGATCCCATTATTTCTGTAATTTGCCATCTTTACTTGGTATTTTAGCATCCAGTCTATTTTGGATTTCTTCCTTCATCTGCATCGACTCACAATCTTCTATAAACTAGGACATCATTTAAAAAAAATCTAAAGATAAAACTCATAAGTGAGCATGAAATCAGATCTTTTTTTCATCCCCATCATCATCACATAAATGTTGTCATCATCATTATCAAAAGTAGATAAATCAAGTAACTAGAATGGTAGCTAACACGTCTATTTCCACCTTTTGGAAATTTTAGTCTACGACAGTACTCAGTTGTCAACCTGATGAGCACAGCAATATTGTTATCTTCTTTGTCTTCTTCTCTATCTTCTTTGTCTTCTTCTTCTTCCTCCTCCTCCTTCCTCTTCCTCTTTCTCTTCTTATTTCTTTTTTTCTTTCTCTTATTTTACAGTTGTAATCCAAGAACCTAGAATCATGGCTAGTACATAAGAGAGAACCCACAAAACATCTGTGGTATGTAGGCAACCTACAGAATGGGAGAAAATTTTTGCATACTACCCATATGACAAAGGTCTAATATCAAGAATCTACAAGGAACTTCAACAAAATTACAAGAAAAAAACAAACAAACCCATCAAAAAGTGGGTAAAGGATATGAACAGACACTTCTCAAAAGAAGACATTTATGAAGCCAACAAAAATATGAAAAGAAGCTCAACATCGCTGATCATTAGAGAAATGCAAATCAAAACCACAATGAGATATCATCTCATGCCAGTCAGAATGATGATTTTTTTAAAGTCAAGAAACAATAGATGCTGGCAAGGCTGTGGAGAAATAGGAACGCTTTTACACTATTGGTGGGAATGTAAATTAGTTCAAACATTGTGGAGGACAGTGTGTTAATTCCTCAAGAATCTAGAACTAGAAATACCATTTGACCCAGCAATCCCATTACTGGATACATACCCAAAGGAATGTAAATCATTCTACTCTAAAGACACATACACATATATGTTTATTGTAGCACCATTTACAATAGCAAACACATGAAATCAATACAAACACCCATCAATAATAGACTGAATAAAGAAAATGTGGTACCTATACACCATGGAATACTATGCAACCATAAAAAGGAATGAGATCATGTCCTTTGCAGGGGCATGAATGAAGCTGGAAACCATCATCCTCAGCAAATTAACACAGGAACAAAAAACCAAACACTGCATGTTCTCACTCATAAGTGAGAGTTGAACTATGAGAACACAGGAATGCAGGGAGGGGAACAACACACACCTGGGCCAGTCAGGGGGATGGGGGGACAAGGGAAGGGAGAGCATTAGGACAAATAGCTAATGTATTTGGGGCTCAAAACCTAGATGATGGGTTGATAGGTGCAGCAATCCACCATGGCACACGTATGCCTATGTTACAGACCACACGTTTTGCACTTGTAGCCCAGAAATTAAAGTAAAATAAAAAATAAAAACAATTAAAAACAATAAAAACAATTGAACTCATGGAGATAAAGAGTAGAAAAATGGTTACCAGTGGCTGGGAAAGGTAGTGGTGTGGGGGAAGGTAGGGATGGTTAATGGGCATAAAAAAATAGAAAGAATAAATAAAAACTATGAATATTTGATAACACAACAGGGTGACTATGGTCAGTAGCAATTTAATTGTACATTTAAAAATAACTAAAGGAATGTAATTGGATTGTTTGAAATACAAAGAATAAATGTGTAAGGAGATGGATATCCTATTTTCCATGATATAATTATTGCACATTGCCAGTCTGTATCAAAACATCACATGTACCCCATAAATATATGTATCTACCAAAAAAAGAAAGTTAAAAACAAGCAACAAAAAATCTGTAGAATGTATTACTAAATGTATAAGTGGAAGGAAATTCTAAACATAAATTACAGTAGTTATGTACTTATATTAGTCCATTATCACACTGCTGATAAAGACATACCTCAGACTGGGTAATTTATAAAGAAAAAGATATTTAATGGACTCACAGTTCCACGTGGCTGGGGAGGCCTCACAATCATGGCAGAAGGCAAAAGGCACTTCTTACATGGCAGTGGAAAGAGAGAATGAAAGCCAAGTGAAAGGGATTGCCCCCTATAAAACCATCAGATCCCGTGAGACTGATTCACTACCACAAGAACAGTATGGGGTAAACCTCCCCCATGATTAAATTATCTTCCCCATGGTCCCTCCCACAACACATGGGAATTATGAGAGCTACAAGTCAAGATGAGATTTGGGTGGGGACACAGCTGAACCATATCACTACTTTAGAAGAAAAGGATTATCTATTTTGACCTTCGAAGGTCCTGTAACAGAGGCTTGGAGTTGGGTCTGAAAGTCTTGCTTTGCGAAGGACCTGAACAGGCATGCTCTGCCCCATGCCCTTTGCTTATCCTTAGTGTTCTGGTGGAGAGTACGACATGCTTGGTGAGGCAAAAGTGAAGGAATAGGGTGGCAGAACTTTCATGTATGGCTACTGGGGCAAGAGATGTAACTATTCAGGAGACATTCATTTCTAAGAGTTGTAAACCCTGTTGTAACTGTCCATCTGAGATTTGTCTAGTAAAGACAAAAAATACAAAATATAGGAGGAAAATATAGAACAAAACTGTAAAAAATAATTCTAGGCAGAAAAACCTGAAGTAAACAAAAACAGAATGATAGTCCTAGCAATTTTTTAGGAATGAAAGACATGCTGATTGAGGATCTCCCTACTTATCTTCCTATTTTCTATGACTGAATAAAACAGGAAAAATATTACCTAGCTCAATGAAATAAGAAAGGACTAGAAATATCCAACAAGGTAAAGAAAACAGGTGTTCACATCCTGGATCTTCCTTTAAAACCTTGGAGAAACTTCATTAATATGTGTGCTATGTTTACCGAAAATGTGCATGAAGAATAACCCTGGGGCAATTCTCAGGGTTGGAGAGAATGCGTGTGAAGTGGTCAACACAATGCTTTGTACACAGTAGGCAGTCATTCAAACGTTAGCTCCCTTCTTCCCTTTGGGCACCCCACACTATTTTACATCATGTTTAAGGGTATCATAGGCATAGAAATTTCCAGGGACAATTTTTGCATCCTCAGGGGCTAGCACTTAATGTTTCTTGAATAAACAAATAGTAAAGTGGTAGCCATCATTTTGGGATTCAATTGTTTTGAATGGAGATGGGAGGGAAACTCATGAAAGACATGTGGAAAGTGAGTCATAAGCTAATTTATTTAAAATTCAAATTAAGCACCTAGGATGTGGCATACAAAGAGCTACTTTAAAACTGCAAGTGGAAATATTCTTTGGAGCAGAGTTTAGATAAGGCACTGAAAATAAAACTGCAATTTAATGGTATATATGTCTTAATAGGGGATGAATAAAGCCAAGAATCAATTCAAACATTTAGTTTACAATATTTTGGTATGCAGCTGGTTTCAATTTCAAAATTGTTAATAATCTCAGGGCTAAGTATATTTCAGTGAGTGTCCACATAGATTGTTACAGCAGAACAAGCAGGAAAAGCAAGCTGAAAATTTTGGGGCGTTTGGACTACAGAGGCATCATCTGTTCCTTATTTTACAGACTTTTTCTTCTTTTCTCTGCCTCCTGCTCTCTAATTACATCCAAATGGTTCTCTCATTTGTTTTTCTGGCCATTCCATCTGAGACATGTTGCCAGTAATATACGCCATCTTCAATTGGCTCCTTCCTTCCTTATCTGCACTGCTAAACCATTGTGTTTGGGAAAAATGGAGAATTTGTCAATTCTCTTTCATACCAGTCATACTGCTTCAGGTAGATGCACTGATGCACTTTAAGACTAGAAATTAAGTCACAAGATAGTAAACATGCTGAGGCAACCATCTCTGCCACCCTTCATTAACCAAACCATGAATGGACAAAGGAGACAACTATACATAGATCCTGCTTTGTGAAAACATACACAATGAAATTCTCTTCCAGTATAATTTTATCATCACATTGACAATTAAAAAGACACATGATTTAAGGGAGCCCATGATGCTGGAAAATTGAAACCTGTAGATTGTTCATGCAAGTGAAAACCAGGAAAATTTTCCTGGAGGGCTATTTGTCAATAGGCATACGTTTAAAAATGTGCATTATTCTTTTATTTTGCACTTCTCCTTATAATCTAAAACCAAAGAGAATAATCTCAAGCTCCTCTGTATAAGCATACTTACTGCAGAGTTTGATAGCAATAAAAACATCTTCATTAATATGTAATTGGTGAAATAAATTGTCATACAAACATAGTGTAGACTATAGAGCACCTTCTCTGCCTTTGTCAAAACCTGTCTGAATGCTCATAAACCTCATAGCAATTTACCACCTCATTGTATCATCCATATAATTATCTTACAGCGACAATCATCCCTAGAGTTGTCTCATTTTTCTCACATATTAATTTATTACACTCCCGATAAAGGCTCTCCATCCATCTAAAGCAGAGTTTCTTAACCTAACATGCATGTAACTGAAACATGAACAGAAAACAGAAAATGAGGTAATACAGGACAATGGGAGACATCTTATCAAGAACTTTGCATTCCATGCAAAAAAGTTTACTCATAAGATGCATACACACTTCATGATACATTAATATGAGGATGATTTTAGTGTAGTGCTGCTGGTGGCTGTTTTGGTTTTTCTGTTGTAAGAGTCTACATAAGAATCAGGCTAACACAGAAGAAAAAGAGAAAAGAAGAAAATGAGGAAGAAGAAGAAAAGAGGAGAAAGAAAAGGAGAAACAGAGAGAGAGAAGAACCAAAACAGAAAACTCACGCATCTTTTAAATTCTCAGTTCTATCTGTGCTTGAAACCAGCCACTCTAGTGATTTTCCATTGTGTGAACAATAAATCCACTCTGCTCTTTTTATTCCTCCAAATAATTTTGAATTGTATCCCTGTTAATTATACTTTAAAAAATCTCAGCTAGTACTTCGCTGGAACAACTGGTCTTGGTAGTTCTCCAAACATCTCATGATATCCATGTCTCTGCATTTTGCAGGTACTGGCCCCTCTGCCCAAATGCCTTTCCTCCATCACCTACCTGAAAACTGTATACAATACATCAAGCCTTAGTTCAAGTGCTATCTCTTCTGAAAAGCGTGCCCTTGAGAAACTATTTTCTCCTACTTTCAGTGCATTTTATACATTCCTGGGCTATAGCAATAAACTAAAATTCTTTACAAATTACAACTATTCTTCTGCATAATTTTCTCATCACAAAAGATAAGTTTTTCAATGGAAAAAAAGAGTCACTAAAAGGAGAAAAACTTTGAAAATGTTTCCAAATCAAATCAGAGATACATCAGAGATCTGTCACTTAATATTTGGGTTTTTAAGCCAATGAAGCTAGTTCCTAACAACAAGTAAGATTTTACTCTCTCAGTGTTTCCCTTTATACTTCGGCTTGAGTAACTTTGTATGACTTAGGAGGAGTGGTCTGTCTTTAACATGTTTAGTGTACTTACATCTACTTGAGTATTCACAAGGCAAACTTTTCTCATTAGCTTCCCCTGTTCCCAAGATGACTTTTAATTATTAATAACTGAAGATACAATGGCCTCTGTTATCAATGTAGGCCATGAAAGTGCATGATCCCAAGTAGAAAATAAAGTGTAAATATTCATGAAAAAATTAATATGAGAATGTAATTGATTATTTTATTTTACTTTAACATAGTATAGGATCCTGAGACAGAAGTTTTTCATTCAAGAGCAATTTTTTTTCAGAATATCAGTTTCATGTTCAGAAAACATGTATAATACTACAAGGCAGAAATAATACTAAATACTAAACACTAAATTAAAATAAGGTAAGTAAATATAATTTCTATATTTTAAAATGTCAATTGATCTAGCAGCAAACAAGTCATTGTGGCTTAGACAAGAGAAGTTTCAATAGAATGCAGTAGAATTTTGAGGTAATAGAAAGTGAATAAGGACAAACAAATCCCTTCCAAAAATTGGGCTTTGAGAAAGTGAAAATATACAGGGCAAAGTAGAAGGGAAATGTATAGTTGGAGGAAACATTTTTTCTCCTCCTCCCATTAGAAAAAAAATGTGAATGCAGTAACATCAATAGTGAGGTAAAGTTAAAGAAAGAAAATAGGGAAGAATCAGTAGCTCAAGTCCAAGATATTTCAGGAGAGCATGTTTTCCAGAGAAAAGGTAGAGGTAATAACCATTGACAGGATGAAAGATGTCTTACAAGGAAGAAGGAGCCCAAGATGGGTGGAAGTGAAATTGTAGAGCTAAATGAAGGAAGTTAAGGGGATAATTACCTAATTTCTCTATGAAATAAGGAGATGAAATCATCTGTAGAGAATTAATAGGAGTTAGGAGAGTTTAAAAATTTGTGGACAGTGGAAGATGATTACAATAAATACTTTAGTGTAAAGAGATAGAAGCCAACTGTGGAAAGGGCATATGAATGCTTTAACAACAAATAGGCCTTAGTTTGTGACATTCTAAATCACTGCTCATATGCACAGGTGCAGGCACAGAGAAATAGATAGTTGAGCTCCAACCAAGATTGAGATTCTGCTAGACAAAATTGATGAAAAGAAAACAAGGCAAAGGAGGGAAAGATACTCAAAGGAGGGTGTTTGAAATGGATAAAACATTAAAACTTAGGGAGGAAGTTAAAAAAAGTTATATGTCCAGAGAGAGCTACTATGAAAAAATTAGAGGATTCTGTAGATTAAAATATATATATATTATAAAAAGCATGAATTTTTTTTAAATTAAAAGAGAAGGACAGAAGGTTGTGATCAGACAGTCTATTGGTAATTTTAGAAGTGGAGCAGTTCTAGGTGACCACTAGGGTCTAAGGTGTGACCACGAGGGAGGGATTTAAATGGTGGGGATGAGAGGGTCACTGTAGATGAAGTAGGGAAGTACTACAGTACTGGCTGGATTACGTGCATGGAGGGTAGGTAGCCTGTAAAGACAGCAGGACTTGAGGAGGTAAGGAAGTCTCTGAGGGTTATGCCAGATCGTCAGTGAATGAGTCAAAGAATGAGGAAATTTGAGTTTGTGACAAAGAAGAGTGTAGCAAAATATAAATATTTTATTTCAAAACATCACTTGGGTTTGAAAACATAATACTTTGTGTTTTATTCCCCCACTGCTCCTTAACATTTGCTCACAAAGCTAATTCCACGGTCCCCCAGATGAAAAGCCACACCTGCCTCATAACTTTTCTGATGAATTTTAAATTAATTTTTTAATTAATTTTTAAAAAAATACCTATTGTCAACTCTAAATATTATATTAAAACACTGCTTCAAATCAAAATCTTTTTTTATTAATCATCTTCAGTCTCAACTTTTCTATACCCTTAAATTGAGTGGGTATTTAAAGTCATGCAACTGGTTTTAGGTAATTTTAAAATGTCCACCTTTGTTACCCAGTTTAAAAAGCGATATTAATTGTGTCTCATTAACCAGAGTTCACTTTAAAATTGTATTATATGAATGTTCTGAATCTTAAGTAGCAGCAACTTCCACAGAAAGGTAGAGAAATAATAACTGTTTCCAGCATGACAGAGAGAAGAGGATACTTTTTGCATCTTGTGATCCTGAGCCACATGAGATATGCACAAATACAGGCAGTTATTAAAGTTATTTATAAGTTTGGCTTAGGGCAGGAATGCCCTCTGGAAATGACTGTGTTTCTGGTTAGTTTACGAAATTAGAGACTCACAGAAGCACGTGAAGATGTCAACTGGGTGTGGCAGAATAATAACCTGAAACATTAATTATAGAATCTTTTTTCTGCTACTCATGACCACCGAAATTCAGAGTACAGAACCCAGGGCCACCGTTCACTAGAGAGAAAAATGGTCAGATTAGAATAGAAGAGAAAAAAGTCACGTTCTCTGTTGTTTCTAGGCTCAAAAAACTAGGTTTCAGGTGTGAGATCGAAAGTCCACGTGTACTAGTTGGCCAAAGAAGTTCTTCTCTGCAACCTCTGAACTCAAAAACTCTTAGACTCAGTAAAGAGAGAGAGAGAGTTTTGGAAAGAAAAGCTTCTGTGTCAGAACTAATTTGTGTGTATTAGGGGACTGGGGTGAAGTTTTAAATTTACTGCCTCCACCTTCCCACCTGGAATCCCTCTTTAAGTTTAAAGTTTAGCAGTAGGGATAACCTGCACTTCTATACCTGAGTTCAGCTGAGGCAAAAATAAAAAGCTTGATGTTGAAGAATAGAAATATCACTGTGAAGATGTGTGGCATTTGAAGGTTGTGATCCTAGGACTCATCTACAGGATGTCTGAGTGTGTAGAGTGGAATGATCTCTGCAAGTTCTTGCCGTTTCCAAATGACAACATACAGAAGCTAACTGAGAGAAAGCTATTGTGCCTGCCAGGAGAGTGTTGACCTAATACAGTCTTGACCTTCCTCACTGGAAATCTTGTGGAGACAGAATTCATGTATTAGTGGGTCATTGGCACTAGAAGGTAAAGTGGAAAGGGAATAATATATTTTAATACCATTTAGCTCTCATTCTTTTGCTTATGCATAAGACTTCGGAAGTTTCTATATTCTGAAGAATCTAGAGATTTCTATCTCCACAATGACACTCTACCAACAGGTGTGCTTAGAATAACTTATAATTTAATTAGCTTCATTATTTAGGGGCAAAGAGAAAACCCCAGAAGTATACTTAAATCTTAACATAATTGAATTATAAACCCACATTAAACAGGAATAACAAAATTCACTGAATTTACTTTAAATTGGCAAGATTAAGTGTTCTATTACAGAGTGGAAGGAAGCTTACATTAAAAGTTAAATTGAGTTGTAGGAAAATAAAGGTACATTTCTGCACTTTTGCACTTGAGTATGTGAACAGTAAAATATATACCTACTAAAAACAGAATATAGTTTTTGTCACATACAAGTTAAATAACCAGGAAAGAGATGGATAATGGAAAACTGGCCCAAGAGAAAGGACAATATGGGGAAAAGAGATAACTGAAGAGGTGTACATATTAAATATGGAAATATTTAAGAAAAATATGGAATGATGGGATTAAAGTTTGACAGAGTAACTCCTGATGGTCCCTAGAGGATAGGAGGTGGGAATGGGGGAGGAGACCCTCAGGACACCTAGAGTTTATCTGCGGGTTGTTACTCTAGGGATTAAAATCTATGAATAATGTTGCTCAAGTCCCTCTGAAAGGTATTAATTATGGTTTGGCTGAATTCAAGAACTTAAGAATGAGGATAAAAGCTCAAGACCGTACATTTAATTTTTAAAAGCTTCATGGAAGATACTGGGATCAATCATATGTCATCAATTCTAAGATGCAAAAAATCTGCAAATGTACCATCCCTGAAAAAAAGATGGATTATCCCTTGGAATTGGCATTGGTTTTGCTGTCTTAGTGATAAGTGTTATTATCAATGACATCTATGTTTCAATAAAATACAATATGCTGTACACAGATTTTCATCTGAAAAACACAGTTTTACATCTGATTTTTTTTTTTTTTTTTTTTTGGCAGAGTTTTGCTCTTGTTGCCCAGGCTGGAGTGCAGTGGCACAATCTCGGCTCATCACAACCTCCACCTACCAGGTTCAAGCGATTCTCCTGCCTCAGCCTTCCAAGTAGCTGGGATTACAGGCGCGTGCCACCATGTGCGGCTGATTTTTGTATTTTTAGTAGAGACAGGGTTTCACCATGTTGGCCAGGCTGGTCTCAAACTCCTGACCTCAGGTGATCCACCTGCCTCGGTCTCGCAAAGTGCTGGGATTACTGGCATGAGCCACTGTGCCAGGCCGTGATTTCCTTTCTATTAAAACACAAAAGTGAGTAAGACTTGGCTTTTTTGTTCAAATCATCTATAATCTAGTATGTAAGGTGCAGTTGTACAGAATGTATTTGCAAAAACTATCTGTGGCTTGGAATGCAACTGTAAGTTGGAATTAACTGACTTACGTACAAAACCTTGACTTAAAATCTTGTTTATAATAAGTAGAATAATATATGCCCCAAGCTTGTTTTTTTATTATAAGCCCAATATTTCAATTGAAATATTCTAGAATTTTAGAGACTTTTAAAAATTAGCATAAAATAATAAAAAGTGTTATTTGCACATTTGACATTACCAGCTCTAATACAAACTGTAAAATAGCTGATCAATTGAACTACTTGTCCCAGCAATAGTTTAATTGATTTTTTTTTACCCTGAAGATTAACCAGAGGGTTGTTCTAAAATTAGAAAACTGAACTAATGTTTAATACAAGTACATCAGAAACTTAAAAAAAGTTTTTCTTTCAGTTTTTATGTTAATTTTACAAATTTTATATTTATAAAGCCTGGCAATTTTAGCAGTCATTTCTAAAAGATCTTTGAAATATGATTGATTTTCTTTAGTTGTGTTAGGAAATTAATCTCATATTTTCAATTTAATGTCTGTTTCAAAGAATAGATTCTGAATATTAACAATTATGTTTGACACCATATTTGTAAAAATCTATTGATATGCATTTCTAATTTTTCTTCAGAGTGGTGTTCAATTATTTTTCAGGCTTATTAATTAGAATTTTCCCCTTACATTCATAAGTGAAAATAAAAACAATAGAGATTAATTTCTTCTTTTTGTCATTTTTCTTTATTGTATTCTTAAACATTCATAATAATGACATGCTGAAATCATGAAATAAAAGATCATATATATATTTTATGCCTTGAACAATAAGATAAGATTGAATTTAGGGAAGGTTGAGTGAAAGATGAGTAGATGCATCTTATACTCCCATTCAAAACACAGTCTAAGAAAAGTTTGCAAAGCTGTTGGGATGTCCTTGGCAAAAGGGAATCATTCGAGGAGTCACGTGTCTCCCAGATCTACATTAGCATCTTGTCAACTAAGTCATGGTCCTAGACCAGCCTGTGTGAGGTCCAGCCTCGGTACAAATGTAGTGATGGATTTCACAGCACACCTGGAACCCTTATTCAATTACATTCTTGGCAGCAGTAGAACATCCAGCACATCTCATAACCACCATAATTACCAGGACCGCAAAAAAGGTGCTTGACACAAAATAAGTGCTATAAAAGTTATATTAAAAGGAAATAAAATAAAATAAATCTGTGCAAACTCTTCCTAGGACTACTCCTTAGATATTCCAGTTATAAGTACAATGCCTTCATTCACTTGGAGAACAGAATTCACAGTGTTTTCTGTTTGTTACTTGAAATCTTTTTTGAAAGGAAGGCAGTGCCTTGACTCTCCAGAGAGCTGGCTGCCACCTGTGTTTTAACAGCAGCATGTTTTTGTAGGAATATGCTTTCTGTTGCTCATTTTCTGAAGGATATCTGTGCTTGTTCGGTATTACAGCAATGTTGCAGGTAGGCTGTATCCTGTGAAAGATTGATGTGATTTGCTAGCAAACTTTTCTCAGTAGGCTTCCAGTCTGGATTTAAAAAGACTGTTATAAAGAAGATTCACATATACACACTTTCCTCACACACAAAAGATGTACCAGCAGTGGCAGGTGAACAATTAGGAGAGCTGGCATTCCATTTGAACGAGGAACAGAGGCAGGACTGACTCATATTTATGGAGAGTCCCAATGCTTCTCTGACACTAATGGGTCCCAGAGACTGATGTCTAGGCCGACCCTGAGCTAGACCCTACCTCCATGACAGTCTGCAAGACTTGCCACTCTCTGCAATTCCATTTAGAACAGACTAAGTTAATTAGTCATTTCCTTACCTGTCTTTTAAATAGCGTTATCATGTACACACTCTATGATCATTCAAGTTTCTGTCTTTTCAAGGGCATTAATATTTCTTTTACAAAAAGATCACTAGGAATGTTTCCATAATATTAAAATTGGTATAAATTAAATGACATGAGGTCTAGATTAGAATATCATTCCTTCTTTCCCTTTTATCAAAAATAAATCATTGTTCTAATTTTACATCAAAGAGAACTCGTGCCTTTTATTAAACTATTATTGTAATTAAGCTTAATACTTAATAACACTTTGGAAATCTAGCTTTTAATTATTGTAATGTCAGTCACCATCACTACTCAAGATAACTGGTCATTTACTTTAGCTTTTACTAACAGGACTTGATATTGTACTTAGGAAGAGGGGTAGGAGGTTGAAGATTTAAATAATAAGTACAAGTCTCAGATAACTGTCTATCTGACATCTTTTCATGTAAAAGTGTGAACATATTTTCTTAAAAAAAAAAAAACATTTTCAAAGAACCAGTAGTTTCTGTTGAAGTTAAGGAATTATCCATCTCCTTTGAGAAGCCTCTTCAGTATGAGATGCCCCCACAATAAAATAATGGGCTATTTTCCAATATCTTGATGATTTAGAATGTATTTATTTTCTGAACCTTTTTTATTTATTCATATTTGTGCTGATCCTTAATAGGAGATAGTGAGAGTAAATATATTTGAAATACAGTTGTCCGTTGATATCCATGGGGGATAGGTTCCAGGACCCCTTCAGGTATTAAAATCTATGAATACTCAACTTCCTTATAATAAATGGCATAGTATTTGCAAGTAACCTATGCACATCCTCCAGTATACTTTAAATCATTTCTAGATTACTCATAATAGCTACTGCAATGTAAATGCTATATAAATAGTTTTTATACTGTATTTTTAAATTTATACTGTTTTTAATGTTATTTTCTTATATTGTATTGTTTCTTGTTTGGGGAGTATTTTCTATCTGTGGTTTGTAGAATTTATTGATGTGGAATCTGTAGGTAAGGAGGGTTGATTGTATTACCTCTGAGGATTTACATTTTATGGTCTTTTAGCAGGTACTTGTATCATGGAGCTGCATTTAGTCAGGATCCCATTAATAACCTAGATTGTTTACAATAATCTGTCTCCTAAACCTCTAAATCAGTTTTCTACGTTTTACTCTTTGAGCTGTATCATTTTTGTAATAATTTTTGTAACTGGTTATTGCTTTATTTCTTCCTTTAATACTCTGATTAAATAGACTTGCAGCTTATTTCCTCATCTTTGTGATTGCTATAAAAAAATTTGAGTCAATTTCAGAAAAGATCACACAGTATTTAATATGACAACTTTGAAGTCTTATTTTCTCATTTACTGAGAATACATACAAAATGTTTTTTAAATTATTAATTCTGCTTTTCTCTGCTTAAAATCAAAGTTTATGATTTTTCTATGAAAAATGTTTTTGTATATTTAAAATATATGTCTAGACAATTTTTAGAGTACCAAGTTGCATATAAATTAAGTAAATATGAATAAGAAAATTGAAATTGCAAGTAATAAAAAAATTAAATAACAGAGAAATTGTTGTTACTAGGCATCTGGCATTTGGTAAATACAATTAAGCTCTGGGCTTATCCAAGTTTCCTGGTAATGAAAACAAAAATGGCACATGTCAAATTTTTAAAAACATCTTATAAAAGGAAGCACAGCTTTTCTGACAATAGAGATAAATTATGTGCATTAATTTTCAAGAAGATATTTATATAAATTAGTCATTAAACAAATATTGGATAAAGCTTTAATAATTTAAAAAGTGTTTAAAGACTTCATTCTGTTAGGTGGGCTGTTTTCATGTTTTGTCCCTGCTAGGTACCAATTATATTAACAATTTTCCTCACCTACTCCATTAATAGATATATAAAAGTATCTGAAAGGGATATTAAAATAGTGTTAATTAGAAATTAATAAAAAATTACTTTCTACTAATTAGTATTAATAAGAAATTATTAAACCCAGAATGCTGAATGGGGATTATATGCATTATCTAAGAAACATATGTTGCTAAATATATTTTAGCAGTTTCTGATGTGCGCTTCTATCCCTGAAAGGAAGTGAGATAGGTCACACAACATGACTAAGATAAATAGCGCCATGATGTCTTTCTTCAATTTACACCATGTCTACATAGATCAGAATTCTTCTGCATGGCAATACACAGTAACTGGATAAATAACTTCTTAAAATCAAAGTTGAAAAGGATCACTCCCGAAGGCCTATTTAATATCCTCTTTCTCCTGCCGCAATACCTTCCTTAGGTGGTGCTCATCTATTTCTTAAACTTTGCTATACAATAGATTACCTCATATTTGCCAATGAATTTATTAAATACTTTGCAGAAACCACTGAAAATTTTATTTAATGAAGATCATTAATCCTCTACAAATATGGAAAATAAAATGTCATCTCTGAAAGAAGAAAAGACAATAAAGTACATACATAATTTTGTTATAATCTGACTTAAATAGAAAGAACTTAGGAATGGAGAACACAAGACACATGAAAAAAAGAGTCCTTATATAGACTTCTGCATTAATGTGGTTTCTGAATATAATCATCTATACAGCCCTCCTACCAGGTGCCTATACATGTATAGAAGAATGATCAAAATACATAATATCGAAAACTAAATATAAAATATACAATCTAATACAAAAAATAGAAAGCAGATATAAATGGATTTAAAAACAAAATATTTGCATTATGGAAAAATCAGTCTTGGACCTGGAGCTTACCTGGAAGTTGAGTAAGAAGACATTGCGTGGTTCCTTAATGTTTTCCTTTGAACCCAAAGACCAAAGTTTATCCCGTTGAAGAAACTGGGATTTCTCTATGCCAAATGATGACTGCACTTCCAGTATCAAATAAATTGGCCAGAGTACTACTGCTTCCCACCCAACATATAACCATTTTTCTAAATTTTTTTTTTCAAAAATAAAAGCCCCAATAAAATAAAGTCAGTTCTTCACTTAACATTTTCCAGGGGACACTTTTAATTTTTTATCTGACTTGATATTTTAGCATCACTCTTTTAAAATATGTCCTTTTTTTTTTGAAAAACTCTACTCCTGATTTCTATCACACCACATTTTCAGATTTCCTACTAACTCCTTGATCACTCTTTATTAACTAACATTTACCAATGTTTCTCTATGCTATTTCTCTATGCCAAATGATGACTGCACTTCCAGTATCAAATAAATTGGCCAGAGTACTACTGCTTCCCACCCAACATATAACCATTTTTCTAAATTTTTTTTTTCAAAAATAAAAGCCCCAATAAAATAAAGTCAGTTCTTCACTTAACATTTTCCAGGGGACACTTTTAATTTTTTATCTGACTTGATATTTTAGCATCACTCTTTTAAAATATGTCCTTTTTTTTTTGAAAAACTCTACTCCTGATTTCTATCACACCACATTTTCAGATTTCCTACTAACTCCTTGATCACTCTTTATTAACTAACATTTACCAATGTTTCCTTTTTGATAGGCTCTGTTTTAAATGATAAAAGATGATACATAGGTTAAGTAACTAGGTGAATGTGAATGCCAGTTTGTCCCAATAACTCAATGTCAAAACCCATCCTCTTAATCAGTGTTTCTCCTCCTTCATGCTATGATATATTCATTAATTTATTTCTTTTATTCAGTCATATCTTGTAGAAAAAAAGATAGATTTTTTAAAAGAAAACAAATAAACATGATAATGAAGAAAATTAAATTGGGTTAGAGAATAGATATGAAATTGGATGGAAATGAGACATAGCAGAATGAAAATAGATATGGGTTTAAAAAAGGATTGACTGGAAATAAAGACAGATATCAAGTATGTGATTATTGTGCTCAAAATTAGTTAAAATATCAAGTTGGCAATGAGCAGATTATTTGAGTTCTATGTTTAAGGAAAAAACTGGCCTTGGGACCCTTTGAATGCTGAACTCAGTGTCTCCAAGGAAATAATGAAGGTGAGGTGAAGGAGAAAAGAATGGCATGAAATGAAAAAGGCATGCAGTGGCTGGATGACCAAGGACCATACAGGCCATGGTAATAGTTTAGATTTTATTAAGAGTATAGTGACAAGCAACAGGAGAGTTTAAGCAGAGGATTAAAGAATATGATGCCATTAACTGTGCTAGGAAGAGAGAACCTGTGGAATGTTTGGGGAATTGAAGGAAGGCTTATGTTTCAAATATATTGAAATGAGAATGCCTTTCAGACAACCAAGCTGAGCTGTCAGAAGTAAGTATATGATCAGGTCTGAATTCCAAGGGAAAGTTCAGAACTGTTTATAAATCCGGGAGTTAACAATTTAACTAAGGTTTATTTATTTATTAACTTTTAAAAAATTGTTTTTTAGAGACAGGGTCTCACTCGGTCTCCCAGGCTGGAGTGTAATGGTGCAATCATAGCTCACTGCAACCTTAAACTGCTGTACTCAAGTGATCCTCCTGACTCAGCTCTTCAGTATCTAGGACTACAGGCATGTGTCACCATGCTCAGCTAATTTCATTTAGCACATTTTAAAATCTATGGAGTAAATAAACTTATTAAAAGAAAATAGAGTTTAAAAAAATGAGAAGTCTAAGACTGGAACCCTTGGTCTCACTAGTCTGTCAAGGCCTGGAAGAAAAGTAAGAGCCAGCAAAGGAGACTGATGTGAATGGAATGTCTAGTAAAGTAAAACCAGAATAGAAACCAGAATTAAGTGGAGTAAGTGGTAGCCTAAAAATTAAGTGTTAAAACTGTTTTAATACTAGATGGATAAACAATTTTGCTAGTATATCGGCCACTGGATTGGCAATACTGAAATATTTTTAGCTATGAGAAGAGCAATTTAAGTAGTGTGGTAAAGATGAAAGCTAAATTGGAACAGGTTAAAATGATAATTGTGACTGTAAGTAAACTTAAGATTGAAAAACTGTTTATTGCTGGTTCTTGAGAGACCCCACTCCAGTGACAAGAAAGGGATATCTTTTTTAAAGGGAAAAAAAACAAAGGACAAAGAGAGAAAATAACAGATGCAAATTTTAGATACAGAATAAAGTTAAATAAGCAGATCTGTGAAAACTGAAAAGTCAGCTGTTCATTGGGAAAACTCTGAACATTGCATGTGTGAAGTAGTACTAGGTATTTCTGAAAGAAGTGGAACAGGTTGGATTGACTACGTAAATATTGGTTGGAAGGATATATAAAAAGCAAGTAGATCCACAAATTTCCTCCCCCACCCTACCCAGCTAGAAGACTGCTACTCCACAACAGAAAACTAAGATTCATCTTCCAGTAAGAGCGAATGAGAGGGATTATGAAATGGGGAATATGATACACTAAGAATGAAAGTGGTGTACTGAAACAGGGCAAATAAAGTGAAAGATACATCCTAAATGCTAAATTCCCAAGCTTCCTTCCCCCACTTGACACCTAGAGCACCAGAATGAGGCTGTGAACTGCAGCTATTGCAGTAATGAAAGTGAGAGTGATGGTTTCCATGAGGAAATAACAATAGAGGAAATGATAAGTGCTCAGTTAGATCTAGTAAAAGAAAGAAGTCAGAAAGGATTTAAGGGCTTTTAGACTAAACAAATAGAATAATAAAGTTGCCATTTGCCAAGATAGGGAAGATCACGTAGGAAGAAAAAGACTTTTGAAGCATGTGAAATAAGGAGTCAAGCATTAAACATGAACTTTTAGCTCCTGAGTTGGCACTTGTACATATAGGTCTGGAGTTTAAGAGGAGCACTAAGCTAGAAATGTACATGAAATTCATTAGTATACAGATCTATTAAAATCCATGAAACAAGTTGTGATTACCTAGGAGTTTGGCATAGCTAGAGCTCTGTGGGTTGAACCTGGGACACTCCATTGTGTAGAAGTCAGGAAGAAGAAAGCAACAAAGGACACTGAGGAGGCAATAGTAGATGGGACTGAGGATAGAAGATAAGAGCTCCATTTCCCCCTCTGCTTTGAGTGCTTTTTTTTTTCCTCAATGAAAGAAGAGGCCAGGCTGAAGATGATGACTGGAAAGGTGGTGTTGTGAGGAAAGATGATAAGCAAATAGTCCTATAAGAGAATTTTTAATAGCATTATTAAAATATAATTCACACACCATTCACTTCCACCCTCTTACATGTCCAATAGTTTTTAGTATATTAACAGATATGTGCAACCATCAACACAATTATTATGGAACATTTTCATCACCTCACAAAGAAAATCATGCCCGTCTCACCTTCTTTCACCTCCAGCTTTGGGCAAACACTAATCTACTTTTTGTCTCTATTAATTTATCTATTTGGGATGCTTCATATAATGGAATTATACAGTATGTGGCCTAACACTGGCTTCTTTGACTTAGCATAGGTTTTCAAGTTTCATCCATGTTGTAGTATGTATTAGTATTTCACTTTTTAAATTGCTAAATTACATTCCATTGCCTGAGTATACATTTTATTTGTTCATTCTCAATTGATGGGCATTTGGTTTGTTTTCACTTGTGGCCATTGTGAATAATGCCGCTATGAACATTCATGTACAAGTTTTTACATGGGTGTATGTTTTTAGTACCTTTGGAAATATACCTTGGAGAGGAAGACTGAATCACATGGGAACTCTGTGTTTAACCTGTTTAGGAACTGCCAGATTGTTTTGCACAATGGCTGCACATTCCCACTAGCAATGCATGATGGTTGCAATTTATCTACTGTCCTCATTAACACTTGTTATTCTCTGGTGTGATTTTTAAAAATCTCATTGTCTTCTTGATTCTCATTTCCCTAATAACAAATAATGTTGAACATCTTTTTATGTGCTCATTGACCGACTGTATATTTTTGGAGAAATGTCAATGAAAGTCCTTTCTCCATTAAAAAAAATAGGTTGTTTGTCTTTTTGTTTTTGAGTCCTTTATGTATTCTGCATATAAGTCCTTTATCAGATATATGCTATGTAATTTTTTTTTCTATTCTGTTGGCTATCCTTTTACTTTTTAATAGAGTTCTTTAAAGCACACAAGTTTTTACTTTGGAAAAGTGCAAATTTATTTTTCTTTTGTCATTGGTGATTTTGGTGTCATATCTAAAAAGGCTTTGCATAACCCAAGGTCACAGAGATTTATTCCTATATTTTATTGTAAGAGTTATATAATTTTAGCTCTGATATTTGGTGTATTGTTTATTTTGAGTGAATTTTCATATATAGTGTGAGAAAGAGTTTAATTTTATTCTTTTACATTTGCCTTTCCAGTTGCCCTGACACCATTTATTGAAAAAACTGTTCTTTCCCTGTGGAATTGTCTTGGCACTATTGTCAAAATCAATTGACCTTAAATATGAGAATTTCTTTCTGGGCTCTCAATTTTATTTCATTGATCTATATGTAGAAGTCTATGCAAGATCCACATTGTCTTGGGTACTGTAACTTTACAGTATGTTTTAAATTGGGAAGTGTGAGTCCTCCAACTTTGTTCTTTCTTTCAAGATCATTTGGCTATTCTGGATTACTTTAAATTTCTATACTAATTTTAGGATCTGTTTGCCAATTTCTGCAAAGAATCCACTGGGAAGTTGATTAGAGTAGCATTGAATATATATATCAGTACTAAGTCTTCTGACCCATGAATGAGAAATGTTTTTCATTTATTTGAAACTTCTTTAATTTCATAAACTCTTTGTAGTTTTTAAGATTTAAGTTTTGTACTTCCTTGTTAAATTTAGGCTTCAGTGCTTTATTTTTTATGCAACTTCAAATGGAACTATTTTGTTAATTGCATTTATATGGTTCATTGCCAGTGTATAGAAATAAAATTAATTTTTCTATATGATGTTGGACCTTGCAACATGTCTGAACTCATTTATTAGCTCTAATCTGTGAGATAATGTTAAAAGCTAATTTATCAGGAAAATATAATAGGATTGCTGAACATTACTGTGTGCTCAAATAATATTTTAGAGTCATGCATTTAGAGAGGAAACAGTGAACAAGGTAAAGTGTTTTATTCCATTTGAGTTCAGTTGCCTCTGTAGGAAGCAACTTATAAAAGTGTGCTAAATGTTTGACAGTTGGATGAAATAAAAAATAAAATTATGAAAAAAGTCTTAAGACCATTTGAAAAAACTGAATATATTAAAACCACAAAGAATTACAAAGAAATTGCTTTTCTCTTATAACTACTTGAGCAACTTTCTATGAATGACAATTCATGCCCAAATAGAATAATCATTTTACTGTTTTGTCTGTAATGTATTCAAGGATAAGCCAAACATTTATCACTAATTGTCAACATCTTACAAAGTACTCACCTGTCAGCAGGCATTCTATACAGCCATATTTTATGAATAATGAATGAATGAATTCTGAGTTTGTCAGAATAAATTAAATAAAATTGTACTCAAATGCAGTTACTGCTTGAATGATATAATTAGGTATTGTTCGTTTAAATAGCTGAGGAGTAGTTCTCAATACTCTCTGCACAATAGAATCACCTGAGGAGATTTTTAAACACATCAATGCTCAGAACCACCCCCCAAAGAGTTTTTTATTCAATTGATTTGGAGTGGGATCCATGCTCTGCAGTGCTTTAAAATCTTTTAGGAAGATTATAATATGCAGCAAAGTTTGGCAGAAGTTAGCTTCTGCCAAATCTGTTGATTTTCATTAAAATACTGTGTTTAGTGTTGGTATTCAAAACTATTTTTTACCTGATAGTCACTGTGTTTAGTTATACTTATATATATAACTCATTCTACAAAAATCAGATCTTCATGGTGGACATGACAGAATGTCTGACATGTAGCAGAAAATCAATGCATTTTATTTACCTAGAAGCTTTCCTTCCTGTTTGCTGTACTTTAAAAACATTCATTTAAATGTTCTAATAATAGTACAAGGTCTTTTATGGATAAGTTAAAAATAAGTGGTCCTAGATATGGCTCTTGACATTCTTTCTTTAAAAAAAAATGCTACATAGTAATATGTGGACTACACTCCCAAAGAAGTATTAGTCAGCTTTCGGGGGTCAAAGATCTCTTTGAGGATTCAAAAAGCCATGAACTCTAGAAAATTGTGTTTATGGTTCCTGAGACCCATACATTTATAGATCACCTCAAAATCCATGAACAATGATTAAGGAATTCTATACTGGAAGAATAAGTGTAAATTATAAGATTTTTATAAGGCAATAAGTCCATATCCTAAATTCTCAACAACGTGTTGCATAAATAGAAACAGTAAACTATTTCAATAGTAATACTTAATCTTAATTGCAAAAAGACACAAAGTGATTAACATTTTATAATTTTATTACTCTTCTAGGCAAAGTTCTTACCTAGGTAGTCAGGGTTAGATATCATTACTCTCATTAAAGAGGTGAGGACAGGTAAAAAATATTTAGGTAATTCCCAGAGCAATTCAGATGCCCCTAGTTGCTGCTTCCCTTCCATAAAATCTCTAACACACTGCCTTGGGAATCCAAAATGTAGCATGAACAATAAAAGCCACCATCTATCAGATTGTTCAGAAAAAACTCCATAAAATTTGGAAAATATCCAATTTTAGTAGGTTCCTTTTGTGAATTATTGGTTAGTCACTAAACTGGGAATGACATAAATGTTTTTTATACTGCTCAGTTTTAGAATAATTCTGCTTGATTACCACACTAAATGACTATTTTCTGGCTTGTCTTTAAATCTTTTCTATTCTTGCTGGATCCATTTGAAGTTTAAAGCCTATAGCCTATGTAGAATCTTAAAACCATACTGACATTTCCATAATAGCACAACAAAGGGAACTGGCAATTACCCACCTTTATGAAATTAGATCAAAAAGTAGCAATAGCCCTTGTTTCATTCATAGTCCATAAATAGTAGGTTATATTCTCCTCCCTCCCTCCCAGTGGGACTACCCCTTGTAATTTTTGTAGTATCACTTTGACAACCTTGTCAGACACCCTTTAAGAAAAGGAAGAATAGGGAGGTTCCCTCTCTCAGCTTTGGAGCTCCCCCCCACCCCCCCAACCCCGCTTTGTCTCTGTACGAGGAGAGCTTCTTCCTTCTGCCCTCTTCCTCGCCTATTAAATTCTCCACTCCTTAAAACTAAAAAAAAGAGAAAAGAAAAGGAAGGATAGATCAGAGAGTAAGGGAAACAAATGACAAGATAATGTCTCTTTTCTCCTCTAGGAGATATCTTTTCTAGACTGTTTTATTAGAGAATTTTCTCAAATTTAATATGACAGGATAAATTCATGTGAACTGATGTCACCAATTACATTACCAGTAACTTGTAATGTCCTAGAAGATGGATGACCCTCAAAGAGTACTAAAGCATAATTCATTTTTTTAATATGCAGTTTTCTCCTGATAGTTAGAAGTATATGTAATAATGTTTTGATTTCATTATTATAGGTTTCAATCTCATTTTACCAAACCTAATGGAGGAGGTAAATTTGCTGGATACACACAGTTGTGAGTTTCCTCAGATTAAATTTAGTCACCAGGTAATTTTCAAGAAACACATTTCTTTCTCGATTTTATCCACATTAACACTATCTATAAATATGAGCAGCACCTACCGTACAAGTCCGAGAGTGCATGCTATAAAGAGTAAAGAAAGATCTACAGTGGGTAGCATGTATCATATGGGATCCCAGAAGTAGGTTATAACATTGTGAAATGCTTTTTTCTTACTCTTCCAAAATAATTCTTAACCTCAACCATCTTAAAATATTATTCCCTTTCACATACTTCCAAGTGAAATATGGTACCACAGATAAATGGACATGTGGATGATGTCATATTTCTATCTTCACATGGGAAGCATTATATTTTATGTAAGCAGAAATTCAACTGCTCTTATAAAATACGATATTGTGAAATATCATGAGTGTGTAAAAAAAGGACAAAATATGTTGAAGAATTTCCATTTCAATTGAACAATGCTAGAAAAGATATAAGGCATTTAATGCTTCATTTAATAAAAATATCTACTGCAACACAACCACATTCATTTTAATGAAAATTTGTTGAATATGTACCATGTGCCAAGTATGTTTCACCTAAATAAGACACATGCCTTGGGAATTTATATTATTCGTGAGGTCCACCATTTGGTGTTTAGATTAAAAAAGAGATATCTTAATATAGCCATTTTTCGCACTTTAGTTACAGCCAGGATCCTGCAGTATTTGTCATGCTACTGAAAAGGAGTGAAGAGAAGTAGCCACTTAAATTGTAGTTCCTAATTTTTGAGTCAACATAGATTCATACCTGCCTCACATTCAGCACGACTCTCCCTTTTGCCCTTATCACTTTCCCTCCAGTTCAATATCTTCAATTTGTATTACATAACTATGTTCTCCACTGGATTGTAACTGTTCAAAAACAGGAGGTGTTCCTTAAATACATAGTTGGATCTTCTTGAAAACTTAATCCTGTGCTCTTGTCCATAGTTTTTTTTTCATTTAAAAATAATTTATAAAACTTGCCAAATAATATTTATAGAAAAATAATGACTAAGATTATTTACTATCTTTATTATATTATGAAAAGGTATTAGATGTTTGTTCTGATACTCCATTTATATAAATGTTTATTAAAAATGTAAAAACAAAATGAAAATATTGCCAAGATAGACATATTGAGATGCAAAATCTAAATACCTGTTAGTAAGTTAGTAAGAACAGAAACAATTTTGTGATAAGTTGCCATGTTTTCAACTTTACTTGTACATTTCACTTGGCTATAAGTAATAAATACCAGAAATCTAAAAACTAATCAATCAGTATCATTTCAAAGTCTACAACATCAATGTGTCCTGAGCAGGAATACAATTTAGAAAAAAGTTAAATACTTAAATTACATTCCCAGTTTTTCACGTCAGTGAAATGAACAGCAAAAAAAATGTTTTTATGCCTCAGATCCCATGTCTTAATTATTTCATGTGTGAAATGATGATAATTCTTTTTCCTACTCCAACTACTCAAAATTGGTTTCATAAAGACTGAAGCAGCTTCTTTGAATGGAAAAGAGGCATTTAAAGATTATTTATGTCATTATGTAATTAAAGTAAATTTCTATAATATTAAGGGCTCTACTTCTCAGTGGTGATAGATTATTTAAATTGGATGAACTACTGTGCTGGAAAAATGCTGTTTTTTAAAAATTTTCAAATGTATAATGTTTAAAAATTATGACCAAGAATTTGTAGGAATTGACAAGGAAAAAGACAAAATCCCAGGAAAGGTAAACCATGAAGTTGGATCTCCATTACCTCTGCAAACTGAACAGAGGGATATCAGAGAAACTGCAATGCTGAGAGACTGAGGGATAACTTAATAGTTTAACATACTGAGGGATGAAGGGCTAGGATCAAAGGAGTCTTTAAAAGGTTCTTGATGAACTTTCTTGTTTTAGACTGAACTACAATAGGGCTGCAATTTAGGCATAAACCTAAACAAGAATTGATAGGCTGCCACCAGGCTTTTAGCTCAGCCTCAAATCAGCTCAGTACTTGAAACTAAAGTGATCTGCATGGTTGCTGCCTATGGCTGACTGGCAGAAGCAGAGGAAAATCCTCTTTACAGGAGTAATATGACAGCAATCAAAATAACTGTACAAAAAATATTACAAGTTCCATGTCCAATGGACCATTCAAATATCAGAAATCCATGTAGATGAAAATAATTAACAACACTCAGCGAAACAACAGAAAATAGAAATAACTAAAGGTAGTACAGATAGTAGAGTTCTTAGCTACAGACTTTAAAACAATAAAGTATAAAACCTATTGTAAACAGAATATGATTGAGGTTTTCTCTTTTAACCAGTCTAACAATCTCGTCTTACAAATGGGATATTTAGTTTATCTGCAAACAATATCATTACTTAAATGTCTCACCTTAAATCTTCTGTTTTATTAAGCAATTTCTCTTTGCTACATTTATGCTGTCTTTTTATCTTCACCTTTTTTGCCTTTTCTGAAAATTATTATGTGCATTTATTGTTTCATTTTTTAAATTAGCTAGACAATTAAAATCTTAAATATTATAATGCCCCCTGCTCCCTCTCTTTCTTTCTCTGTCTCTGTGTCTGTCTACATTAATTTACGTATACACAATATTCTCTAAATTTGCGTTGTCTGAATATATCTATGTACAATATATTCACTTTTAAGAAAGTGAATTTTAAAGAACATTTATAGGTTGGAAGGAAGTAAAAATAAAACTATAAAATATAATGACTCTCAAAAGAGGCAAAATAGCACAGATGAAGCAAAAAGAGATCATTTTATAAAGTGGAAGATTGAAACGGGCAATACTAAATTTAAATAAACTAAATGTTCCAATTCTGTCTATAAGATAGAATTGTCAGAATGCATAAAAAATAGAGCTTCTATTATATTTTGTTTACAAGAGATGCATCTAAGTATAAAGATGCAGGGAGTGAAAAGCAAAAGATGAAAAGATATATTCCATGGTAAAATCTAACCATAAAACCCCTGATATTGCTATACTAATGTCAAAATAGACTGTAAGGCAAAACATATTTCTAAAAATAAAGAGGGACAGTTCAGTTGTTATGAATGGTTCAATTTAGCTATAAGCTGTAACAATTCTAAGCTTAGAATGGCATAACGTCAAAATATACAATATGGAAATTGACATATCTACCAGGAAAATATAAATATCATGATCTTGGTAGGAATACAGTTATTCTCAGTGATCAGTACTGTGGACACATACAAGGATATAACCAATGGTGTGCTGGTAAATGTTAAGTAACTGGCTCTGGAGACTAAAAAGCCCTGACTTGTAGTATTTGCTGATTTTTATAATGTAAATTCTCCCACAATGGCTGATTTCAAGCTACCAACATGGCCTCACTGATCCAGAGTTGGGAAAAAAATAGCCACAATAATCTCAGAGAAGCCAGTTTGAGATTTTTTTACACTACTAGATATATCAGATGGGACCAAAAATTTCACCAAATTAACCTAATAAACACATAAAAGACATTGCCTGTCTAACTATAATGCACCTCTTTTACATGAACAGCATTTATACCAACTTACCTGTGTTTGGCAATAGAATTTAAGAAATGGAAATCATACAAAGTATCTCTATGACCACAATTAATCTAAAAATTAGTAAGAAAATATAATTAGGAAATTCCAGGCTGGGTACAGTGGCTCACACCGGTAATCCCAGCACTTTGGGAGGCCAAGGAGGGCGGATCACTTGAGGTCAGGAGATCTAAACCAGCCTGGCCAACGTGGCGAAAACCCGTCTTTACTAAAAATACAAAAATTAGCCTCACATGATGGCAGGTGCCTGTAATCCCAGATACTCAGGAGGCTGAGGCACTAGAATCACTTGAACCAGGGAGGTGGAGGTTGCAGTGAGCACAGATATCGCCACTACACTCCCACCTGGGCGACAAAATGAGACTCTGCCAAAAAAAAAAAAAAAAAAAAAGGTAGGAAATCCCAGTGTGTTTGGAAACTAGCAAGTAACTCATTAATTAAATTAAAAATTATGATAGAATTTTTCAAGAGGTATTAATGAAAATTTTTTATTAAAGAAGTACATATTAAAGTACATATTAAAATTGGTGGGATACATGTAAATTATGCTCAGAAGAAAATATATACCACTAAATGTATATATTAAAAATCAGAATGTTGATATGAGCTAATAATTTGTTTTAAGAAATTAGAATAAAAAGATTAAATTTTAAATAAATTATTACACATTAAATAAAATATAATGGTCAAATAATAAAGATAAAAAGGGAAATTAATGAAATAGAAAAGAAAGGAAATTGAGGAGGGTTAACAAAACCAAATTAAAGCACTAACAAGTTCGGAGGCAGGGCTAATCAAAGAGAAAAATGGATAAGTAATTTTAACTGGCACCTCACAAAAGAGGATTTGATATATCGTATTATTGTACAAAATTTTCATCACTTCTCAATGCTGAATTATAGAAGGCTTACTATGCAAATTGCTTTGGCCAATGCAATGTGAATGAAAGTAACCTGTGCCTTTTCTGAGGAAAAGCTTTAACTCATTGGGTGTATCTGCTCTGTTCTCTTCCTTTTGGCATGAGAGAAGCAATGCTCAGAAAGGGATCTCTGAATCAGCTGAGGTCACAAAGTGTAGAAACTGTGGGGAAGAGCCATAGTTGTACCAAGTATGAAAAAAAAACTTTTTCACAGTATTCTTTCTTTTTAACTATTTTATTTTCTTTGCCCTATTTCCTTTTCTTTTTCATTTACTTCATTTTTCTTGCTTTCTTCCCTCCCCTCTCTGTACCCCTTTTTGACTTCCTTTTTTGTTGTTTCCTTTTTTTTTTTTTTTTTTTTTTTTGAGACAGGGTCTCGCTTTGGTCATGGCTCACTGCTGCAGCCTGGACCTCCTGGGCTCAAGCAATCCTTTCACCTCAGCTTCATGAGTAGCTGGACCACAGGCGTGCAGCAGAATGCCTGGCTAATTACTTTTTTGTAGAGACGGAGTCTTGCAATGTTACACAGGCTGGTCTCAGCTCTTGAGCTCAAGTGATCCTCCAACCCAGGCCTCCCAAAATGCTAAGATTCTTTCCCAGGATCTCAGAATAAACTGATTGATATAAATATTATTCAAATGAAAATAATTCAGGGAGATGCTAGTTAGAATCCTGAAATACTACTAAGCACTCTCCTAAATGCAGAAACTTAAAATCTGTGGAATAATCTCACAAATATAATGTTAAGCCAGATGCCAAATAATATACACCAAATGATCATAGTTACGTAAAACACAAAAGAAAAGCAGGCAGAAGGCTGAACCCAAGTGTTTAGAGATACATCCTTAGTTAGTTAAACTACAAATATAAGCAAGGAAGTGAATATGGATCCCAATGTCCACCCCTTTAGAATTGTCCTGAAAGTCTATGAACCCAGGTTGAAGAACGCTGGGGAAAATTATGAGATTATTATAAAGCCATGAATCCATTTTCTAAAGCAAATTCTCAGCACATTGTGTAAGTAGAATGAATAAAGAGATTTCAACAGTGTTAATAAATTTCAATTATAAAAAGATACAGTGATTAACACTTTGCCATTTTATTACTGTTCTTGACAAAGTTCTTACCCAGACAGTCAAGGTTAGATTATTACTCTCATTAAAGAGAGGAAAACAAATAAAAAGTGGGTCATGTCCAGAGCAATCCAGGTGACTCTCTTGTTGCTCCCTCTTTCACAAAGTCTCAAAATACTGTCCTGGGAATAGGAATTGCATCAAGAATAGTTAAAACTTCCATTTATCTTACCATTGAGGAAAAACCTTCATAATATTTGAAAATAGATTGTTTTGGTGGTTTCTTGCATAAACCAATAGTTGATCACTAAATTAGAAATGATGCCTGACACAATTAGGTAATCCACACATTTTATTTCTCTAATCCTTCTTTTCCCCTTTGCTGTATTTTTATGGTATGCAGGACAAAGTACTACACATGAAGTTAAAATTAAGTGATCCTGGGATGTGGCCCTTTCCAACGTGCCTTTCTTTCAACATTTTTATGTGGTATCTTAAAGATTATACTTATATAGAAATGTTGGTTAACTTTTGGGGGATACAGATTGCTTTGAGAATATGAAGAAGCCATGCTGTCTCTCTTTCCAGATAATTTTGCAACGGAGCTATTGTAATAAAAGTCATGATGCTGTTTACTTTTGTGAGTAGTGATTAGATGACATGAAGTGGGTTTTGTGGTTCTGCCAAACATAGATAAGTAGAAAGACAGAAAAACAAAGTAATAAGGAAAGAAAAAAGGCAGAAAAAAATTAAAGTTTAAATTTAAAATGTCTACGTTCTCAAAGACAGGAGAATTTCTATTATTTCCTATATGTTAAGAAAATAACATAAAGTTTGAGTTACCTGAGAGAACAGAAAGACAAAATGTGTGTCTTGTACTCCTGTGAGTCATCAGGCCCCAGGAAACCTCAAAATAGGCCACATATCTTCGGTTTGTTTATCCTCATAGACTTTTTCTTAAGTAGAGAACTATAATTAACCTCACAGCATCCTACTGTAGTAGACCATAACCAGTTCTGGAAAGATGAAATCTCAAATAAAATATAAAAGTAGTGAGTTTGTAAACACTACATAACTAGAACGTATGTCTGCACAACAGAAAAAACTTAGAATTTGTGCATTAGATCCAGGCAATCTGGGCTACCATTGTGCCCCAATTCTCGCATGCTAGTTATCAAGGAGCAGCTTCCTTCAAACTATTCTTGAATCTGCAACGATGGCTACGAACAAACTTTTAGAGTATCTGCAAAAGGCAGAAGGAAGGCACTAGGCTGGGGTATCTGTCAAGTATTTTTACACTCATTTGTTTCATTTGAAAATATTTGGGCAATTTGCAATGCTTATTTATAAATTTATTGAAAGATGCCTTGGATGAGTCTAAGTAATCTTACAAGTCCTCAAAAGTGGACTACTCTGTGGTCTGTCTTAGCTCATCCAGACTTATAAAACATCTAAGAACTCCAAAAGAAACAGAAAACCCTGATTAATTAAAGTGGATGAGCAAGCAGGCAAATAAGACTAAAAAATAACAACATCAATAATGAAAATAAAAACAAGCAAGAGATATGAAATAATGTAATATATATGGAAAATACTGTGTACACATTTTTGAAAATATATTTGAAAGCTTGAAAAATAGATTTTTTTATATACAGGAAAAGACAGAAAATACAATTAAAACATAACTGCAAACTGGAAACACATGTAATATACTATGATAAACCATTCGTGGTACTATTGACAGTATAAAAAAGGATACCTGTACACTGAAAAGAAAGATATGTCTCAGAAGGCCACAGGCCAAAAACAAAAAAGGTAATATGTTGTTCCAAGTTTCCATTAGCTATATTATATTGAATCTTTTTACTCTTTGATGAAATTGTTTTATTTTATTTTGTCTTATTTTTTCCAAGGCAGGGTCTTTCCCTGTCGCCCAGGCTGGAGTGCAGTGGTGTGATCTCAGCTCACTGCAACGTCCACCTCCCAGGTTCAAGCAATTCTCCCACCTCAGCCTCCCAAGTAGCTGGGATTACAGGCATGCCACCACACCCAGCCAATTTTTGTATTTTTAGTAGAGACGGGGTTTCAACATGTTGATCAGGTTGGTCTCAAACTCCTGACCTTGTGATCTGCCTGCTTGGCCTCCCAAAGTGCTGGGATTACAGGCATGAGCCACCGCGCCCCGCCAAAATTCTTTCTTTCTTTCTTTCTTTTTTAATTATACTTTAAGTTCTGGGATACATGTGCAGAGTATGCAGGTTTGTTACATGGGTATACATGTGCCATGGTGGTTTACTGCACCCATCAACCCATCATCTACATTAGGTTATTTCTCCTAATGTTATCCCTCCCCTTGCCCACCACCCCTCGACAGGCACCAGTGTGTGATGTTCCCATCCCTGTGCCCATGTTTTCATTCTTCAAATCCCACTTATGAGTGAGAACAGGCAGTGTTTGGTTTTCTGTTCTTGTGTTAATTTGCTGAGAATGATGGTTTCCAGCTTCATCCATGTCCCTGCAAAGGATATGAATGCATTCCTTTTTATGGCTGCATAGTATTCCATGGTGTATATGTGCCACATTTTCTTTATCCAGTCTAACATTGATGGGCATTTGGGTTGGTTCCAAGTCTTTGCTATTGTGCATAGTGCTTCAATTAACATATGTGAGCATGGGTCTTTATAGTAGAATGATTTATAATCCTTTGTGTATATATCCAGTAATGGGATTGCTGGGTCAAATGGTATTTCTGGTTCTAGATCCTTGAGGAATCATCACACTGTCTTCCACAATGGTTGAACTAACTTATACTACCACTAACAGTGTAAAAGTGTTCCTATTTCTCTGCATCCTCTCCAACATCTGTTGTTTCCTGACTTTTTAATCATTGCCATTCTAACTGGCGTGAGGTGGTATCTCATTGTGGTTTTGATTTGCATTTCTCTAAAGACCAGTGATGATGAGCTTTTTTTCATATGTTTGTTGGCCGCATAAATGTCTTCTTTTGAGAAGTGTCTGTTCATATCCTTTGCCCACTTTTTGATGGGGTTGTTTGGTTTTTTTTCTTGTAAATTTGTTTAAGTTCCTTGCAGATTCTGGATATTAGCCCTTTGTCAGATGGATAGATTGCAAAAATTTTCTCCCATTCTGGAGGTTGCCTGTTCACTCTGATGATAGTTACTTTTGCTGTGCAGAATTTCTTTAGTTTAATGAGATACCATTTGTCAATTTTGGTTTTTGTTGCAATTGCTTTTGGTGTTTTAGTCATGAAGTCTTTCCCCATGCCTATGTCCTGAATGGTATTACCTAGGTTTTCTTCTAGGGTATTTATGGTTTTAGATCTCACATTTAAATCTTTAATCCATCTTGAGTTAATTTTTGTGTAAGGTGTAAGGAAGGGGTCCACTTTCAGTTTTCTACATGTGGCTAGCCAGTTTTCCCAGCACCATTTACTAAACAGGGAATTATTTCCCCATTGCTTGTTTTTGTCAGGCTTGTCAAAGATCGTATGGTTGTAAATGTGTGGTGTTATTTCTGAGACCTCTGCTCTGTTCCATTAGTCTATATATCTGTTTTGGTACCAGTACCATGCTGTTTTTATTACTGTAGCCTTATAGTATAGTCTGAAGTTAGGTAGCGTGATGCCTCCAGTTTTGTTCTTTTTGCTTAGGATTGTCTTGGCTATACAGGCTTTTTTGGTTCCATATGAAATTTAGATTTTTCTAATTATGTGAAGAAAGTCAATGGTAGCCTGATGGGAATAGCATTGAATCTATAAATTACTTCAGGCAGTATGGCCATTTTCATGATATTGGTTATCCCTATCTCTGAGCATGGCATGTTTTTCCATTTGTTTGTGTCCCCTCTTATTTCCTTGAGCAGTGGTTTGCAGTTCTCCTTGAAGAGGTCCTTCACATCCCTCGTAAGTTGTATTCCTAGGTATTTTATTCTCTTTGTAGCAAGCGTAATTGGGAGTTGCTCTTGATTTGGCTCTCTGTCTATTATTTGGCATATAGGAATGCTTGTGATTTTTGCACATTGGTTTTGTATCCTGAGACCTTGTTGAAGTTGCTTACCAGGTTAAGGAGTTTTTAGGTTCAGACAATGGGGTTTTCTAAACATACAATCATGTCATCTGCAAACAGAGATAGTTTGACTTCCTCTCTTCTTATTTGAATACGTTTTATTTCTTTCTCTTGCCTGATTGCCCTGGCCAGAACTTCCAATATTATGTTGAATAAGAATGGTGAGAGAGGACTTTCTTGTGCCAGTTTTTAAAGGGAATGCTTCCAGCTTTTGCCCATTTAGTACGATATTGGCTGTGGGTTTGTCATAAATAGCTCTTATTATTTTGAGATATGTTCCATCAATAACTAGTTTATTGAGAGTTTTTAGCATGAAGGGGTGTTGAATTTTCTCAAAGACCCTTTCTGCATCTATTGAGATAATCATGTGGTTTTTGTCATTGCTTCTGTTTATGTGATGGATTATGTTCATTGATTTGCATATGTTGAACCAGCCTTGCTTCCTAGGGATGAAGCTGACTTGATCAAGGTGGATAAGCTTTTTAATGCTCTGCTGGATTCAGTTTCCCAGTATTTTATTGAAGATTTTCACATCGATGTTCATCTGGGATATTAGCCTGAAATTTTTTGTTGTTGTTGTGTCTTTGCCAGGTTTTGGTATCAGGATGATGCTGGCCTCATAAAATGAGTTAGGAAGGATTCCCTCTTTTTCTATTGTTTGGAATAGTTTCAGAAGGAATGGTACCAGCTCCTGTTTGTACCTCTGGTAGAATTCAGCTGTGAATCCATCTGGTCCTGGGCTTTTTTTGGTAGACCTTTAATTACTGCCTCAATTTCAGAAGTTGTTATTGGTCTATTCAGGGATTCAACTTCTCCCTGGTTTAGTCTCAGGAGGGTGTATGTGTCCAGGAATTTATCCATTTCTTCTAGATTTTCTAGTTTATTTGAGTAGAGGTGTTTATAGTATTCTCTGATAGTAGTTCATATTTCTGTGGGATAAGTAGTGATTTCTCCTTTATCATTTTTTATTCTGTCCATTTAATTCTTCTCTCTTTTCTTCTTTATTATTCTGGCTAGCAGTCTATCATCTATTTTGTTAATCTTTTCAGAAAACCAGGTCCTGGATTCATTGATTTTTTGAAGAGTTTTTGGTGTCTCTATAGCCTTCAGTTTTGCTCTGATCTTAGTTATTTCTTGTCTTCTGCTAGCTTCTGAATTTGTTTGCTCTTGCTTCTCTAGTTCTTTTAATTGTGTTGTTAGGGTGTCGACTTTAGATCTTTCTGCTTTCTCCTGTGGGCATTTAGTGCTATAAATTTCCTGCTAAACATGGCTTTAGCTGTGTCCCACAGATTCTGGTACATTGTGTCTTTGTTCTCATTGGTTTCAAAGAACTTACTTAGCTCTGCCTTATTTTCATTATTTACCCAATAGTCATTCAGGAGTGGGTTTTTCAGTTTCCATGCAGTTGTGTGGTTTTGAGTGAGTTTCTTAATCCTGAGTTCTAATTTGATTACACTGTGGTCTGAGAGACTGTTTGTTATGATTTCCATTCTTTTGCATTTGCTGAGGAGTGTTTTACTTCCAATTATGCGGTCAATTTTAGAATAAGTGCTATGTGGTATTGAGAAGAATGCATATTGTGTTGATTTGGGGTGGAGAGTTCTGTAGATGTCTATTAGGTCTGCTTGGTCCAGAGCTGAGTTCAAGTCCTGAATAGTCTTGTTAATTTTCTGTCTCATTGATCCGTCTAATATTGACAGTGGGGTGTTAAAGTTTCCCACTATGATTGTGTGGAAGTCTAAGTCTCTTTGTAGGTCTCTAAGAACTTGCTTTATGAATCTGGGTGCTCCTGTATTGGTTGCAAATATATTTACAGTAGTTCTTCTTGTTGCATTGATCCCTTTACCAATATAATGCCCTTCTTTGTCTTTTTTGATCTTTTTTGGCTTAAAGTCTGTTTTATCTGAGAGTATGATTGCAACCCCTGCTTTTTTTTTTTTTTTTGCTTTCCGTTTGCTTGGTAAGTCTTCCTCCATTTATTTTCAGTCTATGTGTGTCTTTTCACATGAGATGGGTCTCCTGAATACAGCACACCGATTGGTCTTGACTCTTTATCCAATTTGCCTGTCTGTGCCTTTTAATTGAGGTATTTAGCCCATTTACATTTAAGGCTGATATTGTTATGTGTGAATTTGATCCTGTCATTATGATGCTGGCTGGTTATTTTGCCCATTAGTTGACGCAGTTTCTTCATGATGTTGATGGTCTTTACATTTTAGTTTGTTTTTGCAGTGTCTGGTACCGGTTTTTCCTTTCCATATTTAGTATAGGCATTCTGGTTTTTGGAATTTTCAGCCTTTTTGTGCTGTTTTATCCTCATCTCCGTGGATTTATCTAACGTTGGTCTTTGATGTTGGTGGAGTTTTTGTATGGTCGTCATTTCTGTTGATACTGATGCTATCACTTTCTGATTATTAGTTTTCCTTCTAACAGTCAGGCCCTTCTTCTGCAGGACTGCTGGAGTTTGCTGGCGGTTGACTCCAGACCCTGTTTGCCTGGGTCTCACCAGCAGAGGCTGCAGAATAGCCCAGATTGCTGCCTGCTCCTTCCTTTGGAAACTTCCTCCCAGAGGGGCACCTGCCAGATGCCAGCTAGAGCTCTCCTGTATGAGGTGTCTGTCGACCCCTGCTGGGAGGTGTCTCTCCATCAGGAGGCATGGGGGTCAGGGACCCACTTGAGGAGGCAGTCTGTCCCTTAGCAGAGTTCGAGCACTGTGCTGGGAGTTCCACTGCTCTCTTCAGGGTAGACAGGAAGGAACGTTTAAGTCTGCTGAAGCTGCGCCCACAGCCACGCCTTCCCCTGGGTGCTCAGTCCCAGGGAGATGGGAGTTTTAACTATAAGCCCCTGACTAGGGCTGCTGTCTTTCTCTCAGAGACTCCTTGCCCAGAGAGGATGAATCTAGAAAGGCAGTCTGGCTACAGGGGCTCTGGTGAGCTGCGGTGGGCTCCACCCAGTCCTAACTTCCAGGCGGCTTTGTTTACACTGTGAGGGGAAAACCGCCTACTCAAGCCTCAGTAATGGCAGATGTCCTTCTCCCCAGGAGGCTCGAGTGTCCAGGTCGATTTCAGACTGCTGTGCTGGCAGCGAGAATTTCAAGCCAGTGGATCTTAGCTTGCTGGGCTCCATGAGGGTCAGATCTGCTGAGCAAGGCCACTTGGCTCCCTGGCGTCAACCCCCTTTCCAAGGGAGTGAAAGGTTCTGTTTTACTGGAGTTCCAGGCGCCACTGGGGTATGAAAAAAACTCCTGCAGCTATCTTGATGTCTGCCCAAATGGCTGCCCAGTTTTGTGCTTGAAACCCAGGCCCTTGTGGTGTAGGCACCCAAGGGAATCTCTTGGTCTGCGATTTGCAAAGACCATAGAAAAAGCACAGTAACTGGGCCAGATAGCACTTGTCCCTCAAGACACAGTCCCTCATGACTTCCCTTGGGTAAGGAAGGGAGTTCCCCAACCTCTTGCACTTCCCTGGTGAGGCAACACCCCACCCTGCTTCTGCTTGCCTTCCGTGGGCTGCACCCACTGTCCAACCAGTCTGAATGAGATGAACGGGGTACCTGAGTTGGAAATGCGGAAATCACCTGCCTTCTGCATTGGTCTCACTGGGAACTATAGACCAGAGCTGTTCCTATTCGGCCATCTTGCCCGGGGACTCCTCTTTGATGAAATTCTTATGAGGACTCAGGCAAATGATCCTTTTGATATTAAGTTAATCTTAAAGAATACTATTTCTTTTAAAACTCTTAATGTCTTCCATAATAGAATAGTGTGAAGTGTTGAACCATGGGGCAGAAAGATCTTGTTGTTAAATTACAGTGTATTCTATCTTTTATTCTAAAAGGGCTTAAGTTTTGCCATAACATCTATTGGCTGTGCTGTTCTCGGAAAATAACTACACATTTTTGAGCTTCACTTTCTTTCCAAATGGAAATTATACATTTCAAATGGTGAAAAATGTACTAATATTACCTGTACCCCTCAGAAAATACAGCTATTTTATTTGCAAGGTGCCATCAAGTATAAGATTCGTGATTATTTCAGAGATAATAAAAAGTTTAAATTGTAAAATCGATAAAATATGGCAATACAAATGAGGTGAGGATACAAAATAAGGCAATACATGTTAAAATGGCTTATAAACTAAATCTATAGGATATTAATTTTATACCCATAATCTTATATTTCAATATATATCTCCACAGATTGTTCTCTAGTATGCTTCATATATGAACTTTATGTCTCCCCAGAGACATGATAAACCACTTCAGGGAACATAATTTTTTGGTAGTGCCATAATGCTTAGCATAACAGTGCAACAACTACATACCATTCGTTCACATTTCAGATTTTGTGGAAAAAGTTAAAAGAACTGTAGTGCTTACCTAAACCTTACTACTTGGATATCTTGTATTATTAAAAAAACAAAAAATGTTACTACTCAATTTGATGTTCAACTGAAGCATTATGAATGAACATTAACCATGTTACATCTATCTCAATGTTTACTTCTATCTCTTATTTGTTCTGGTGAACTATATTGTGCATTTTATTGTTGAGATGCACTTTTCTATTTGTTTTGTATATTTCTGCTAATCTAGCAAAATGAGACACTGACTGCTCTTTGCTCTACATTATCTTTTTCAGGGTGTTTATACAGCAAAGAGCATTAGAATATAGAAATACAATCTCTCTCTTGAGGAGAAGACAGGTTTGCTTCAAGCCTTGGAAGATAAAGATAATGACTCCTTTTCTCTGGAACAAAGAGAAGGCATGCTTACTGTTCTGTGTAATAAAGATAATGTCTCTGTGATGGTTAATTTTATGTCAGCTTAACTGGGTTAAGGGATGCCTGGATAGCTGATAAAACATTATCTTTGGGTGTGTCTGTGAAGGTGTTTCTGGAAGAGATTAGCATTTGAAATGCTAAACTGAGTGTGGAAGATCTATCCTCACAAATGTAGGAGGGCATTATATAATTCATTGATAGGTTGAATATAACAAAAAGGCAGATGAGGGGCTAATTCTCTTTCTTCTTTAGTTGAAACATCCATATTCTCCTACCCATGAACATCAGAGTTTCTGGTTCTTGGGCCTTCAGGCTCCAGGACTTATACTAGTGGCCCTGAAGCTGTCCAGCCTTTGGACTTGTACTGAAACACACCACAGATTTTTGTATTCTCCAGCTTGCAGACAGCTTATATTAGGACTTCTTGGCCTCCCTAATTATGTGAGCCTATTCTGATAATAAATCTCTGCTTATTTACCTATATATCCTATTGGTTCTCTTTCTCTGGAGAAAACTGATTAGTACAGTCTCTCTGCAGAAGACAGAGTAGCAAGCTTCAAGTCCCCTAAGGTCAGGCTTTCTTTCCTAAATGCAACTATTATGTGTGCATTTGTCACCTGGCTCTCTTTGTGTTGCCCTACGGGAATTGGGGATTTGGAAAATGTGCAAAATGCTAAGACTCTTAAGGTAATAAACTGTCCTTAACCTCTGACCCAATAGTCTTGTGTTTTCTATAACCATCCATGAAACTATGGCAGGTTAATTTGTTAGACTGCAAATATAGTAAAAATTTTTTATTGTTTGCAGTTATTAACATTTTAATTCTCCAATTTTTACAATAAATTTAATGTGATTTATGTCTCAAAAACAAATTTGCATCTAAATTAGGTAACTAAAATTGCAGTTAGAGAAGATATAGTTCCAAAAAAAAAAGGTTTGAAGGTTTCCTCTCTTAGGCTTTTTAAAACAATAACAATTATTACAATAAAAAAAACTCATTTGGAATGTACTGTTGTTTCCTTTGGTAAAGTATATGGCACCTGGGAGACAAAATTGATCCCTTTCTCTTTGCAGCAAACAATATAACGAAATTTGTCTGCTGTCACTTCTATCTTTAGATAAAAACTCCTAATGTCCCTCTATGACAAATATTACATGTCTTTTTAAGATTCGGTAACCACAATTATCTTGTGTTTTCTATAGCGCTTTGTTTTGTTTTGCTTTTTCCTAAAAACAGCTAAATATTTAGTGGATATAAATTAACCTGAAATACATTGTCACATAATCTTTATTGTTATTATTAATTTACTTTTTATTGTAGCTATAAGCAGAGTTCAGGTTGCCAATCATACATTTATTCATTTTCCTGTTGCTGAGCAGCCAGCTACCAGGATTCCTACAAGGCTCCTGTTGCCCTTATAAACTACCAATTTAAATGGAACCAAACGATGCAAAGTCTAAGTCACACATATCCTTAATCAAACAAAAACAGAGATATGAAAACAAGCAATATGAATCAAAATAACTATTGCTACTAAAATTCTCATTTCAGCCAAGGAACACTTTGTAAATTGATTTTATGGGATGTAAAATTGCACATGGATCAAAGTAAATAACCACTAATGTCTCCTCCACATAAGAGATTCTATGACTTTTCACATAGGTAAATAAATGAAGAATGCCATGCATTGTATCCACACCTCATCTAGCAAGATGTTATATACATAGTTGTAAACCATAAGAATAGACATCCTCAATTAACCTTCAACCTTTAATGAGCTACCTGTTTGCTTTTCACTGTGCCTCTCTGCTGCTAGAGACCTTTTCCATCATTATCTCACTGTTTTATCTCCACAGGGAATATCTCTTCCTGTTTTTAATTTCCATGCCTCTAAAGTATCCACTATATTCAATCTCTCTAAGTTCCATTCACTTCTTGACACAGGTCCAAAAGCAGACTTGTTTATGGAGCTTCGTACCCCGGATTCAAAGATGCTCAAAGTATCTATTTGGACTTATTGTTACCAAACTAACTTTTATAGGTACTTGGTATCCAAGGCTGTCGCTAAAATGTCTTCTATCTGTGGCACGAAATAGGCTTTTGCTGGTAAATTCTAAAACTTTCAGTGCAAAAGAAAAATATCCAACAGATGCTGTAGGATAAAATTCATAATTGAAATGGGGACTCTGATGAATGGCAGAAGGTTTGACAAAATACCTTTTCATCCTGGAGTTTAATTTGTCCTAACAGTTTGATTCAAGGTACATGTAAAAATTATATGGTTTCATAAAAATATATAATTGTTATTTGCATAACATTATCTTTTCCTCAACATTAGTAGAAAACTGCCCGTCGAGGGTACTTATCATAGGTTATTAATCTTCCTTCAAAGTCTTGTATAACAAGATTAAAAAATAGATCTATTGACTAAATACCTACTGTGTGCCAGGTACTTCACATATTTTATCTCAAACTCTCACAACATTTTGCAGATGAAGACACAGAAAACTAGAAAGAATAAATGTCTCTCCCAATTTTAATGGAATTTTAATCTAACACCAAAAGTGGCGGCTTTGAAATATAACACTGTACTTCACTTTTACATTCTCACTACAAGCCAATAAACTATAATTTATTAACTGAACTTTACAGAAAAAAAGTTAAAATAGGCACAGGGATGTGCATATGGTCACACAGTATGTTAAAAGCAAACATTGCATTTAAATAAGCCTTTAAAAATTAGGTTCGCTGAATTTTGGTCTTTCCACAAAAACTGTTTTGAAGTAAAATTGAATTCTGGGGATTTGTATTGTTTCTACTTTTAAATTCTGCCTTTCTAGTTATAATTCTTTTTTGCTCTTCCAAGTTATATGTATGTTAGTTATTTTTTCCCTCCTAGTTTGGGTAAACGTGATTTTCTAGATATGAAGAGAAAAATAATAATTTTAAAACAAATGTAAAAACAAACATTCAACTTTCAAAAATAATAAATCCAATTTGCTTTAAAATTCTAATAACTGACCTCCAGGTGAATGCTTATGGAAGAAAAGCTAATAAATTTTAGGAGACCTGCACCTAAACCAAACGACCACTTAATGCCTTCATATGCTATACGTATAATCAGGAATTTGTTATGAGAAAATGTTAAAAAAATACATAAAGTTCACAAATTAATAATGCTGGTTTTCTCAAGATGTGATCCAGAGCTTTTCTTCTGTTGCCCTGTGTTAGGTGCAAGTTTTGTTGCTGTGCCACCAACGTGCCAATTTGTGCTGTTGTCCTTGTTTTCCTGCACCTTAAATTATTAATGGCATATAAGAATTCATAAAATTTAAATCATTAATAATTGGCGTGCCACAATTCAGTCTGTATATAGACTTTCAAAGTAGGATGAATTAATTGATATGAGTTCTATTCTTTTTCAGATTGTCCCCTGGCAGATGGATTAATATTATCTTATCTCATAACAAACCATTCTGAAAACTAGTAAAGATAAAATTTCATTTAATTATTAATTGTATAGACAGCCTGAATTTAATAATGATTCTGAGCTCCTCACATTTCTGAAGGCACTTTATTCTTCGAGCCATGGCATTGCCACAAACAATGACGAAGTCAATAAATGAGAAGGTAAAGTTACATGCCACTGAAATCATAATTAGGCTCTGACCCGGTTTTGATAGCAATTAAGTTCTACTCTTCTATTTACTTCTTCTAAATAATGCAGACATGCCTTTCTCTTCTTTTCATAAATATTCTTTAATATTTACTATTAAATGACATCCTATACCACATGGCCCTAATCCAGGGGTATCACTAATGAGAACTTAATAGTTCTTAACAGTTTTCTATTCGCCAGTTCCAATGTCAACAACCTGCCCTGGGAGGTTAAACTGAATACAAATAAAATGACCCTTGCCTTTTCTTTCCAAATAATGCACTGAAGCTGTTCCTTTTACCCTGGGGGGTTGAGGAGCAGGAAAATGTTAATTTGTTTCTTCACTGGCAGCCCCTAAGGTTACATTACAGCAAAAGCTGTCAAATGCACAGGATCCTGGTGATCTTGATAAATAACAGGGATTAGCCACAATTTGAGGTTTAAAGGGGGAAAATAACTGAAGCTATTCTTAGAGGAAAATTTGGTGTAGAGTTAAGCAATGGACTGCAATACAATTCCTAGCCAATACAACCAATCATTTTTTAATATCAGTGTGGCACCTTACAAAAATTCTGCTGGCCAAAAGTTAGTTCATAGTTCTGGCTGTGCTTCTAAAGCAGTTCTGTGGCCTGAACCTTAAACATGAGTCAGTGGAGGTCCCGGGTTCCTCTTTGGTGACTGACAAGTTTCTTCCACTTCTAAAATGTGCATAATTCTAATTAAGACCACTTATCTCTCCATGAAAAAGAATGACAGATTTAATAATTTCACAAAGTGGAGCAAGATAGAGGAGATAGAAGATAATAATATTAAATGTACCTAAATCTGATGCTTATTAACTGCCGAAGTCAAATGCAAAGATTTAAGCAAACTTGTTCCTCAGTGGCTTGAGAAAGTATAAAACCCAGCTTATTCAGAATATTTTGAGAGAAACAGGTGCAGTAATATATTTTGAAGTAAAGTCAACATAATTTATTAATTGTTCATGGCATATGGAGTACAATATTGAGGCAGAATTTTAAGGAGATACAAACTAGTTAGTAGATAAGTTTTATGTTCTCAAAGCATATGGGAGGGGAAAATAAACAAATAAATAAAAGGACATGAAGTAACATATTATCAAATGTAATTGTGTGTGGACAGTGCCTTTTTGTATATCATCATGGCAGCCATCACTTAACCCTAGTACCTCTTTTCATTAATCGGGTCCAACAAGAGTAATAGATTTTATTCATATCAATGAAGTAGAACACATATGTGAATCCACTTGTTTGTATTTTTCCCTGTGTACACACATGGGGCTTTGCAAATGAAAGTAAAGAAATCTCAAACAAGATATCAAGGGTCTAGAAAGATGAAGAAATAACTAATGAACATTTCAGCTGATCTAAGAGAGGCACCTCGTCTTGTGATGAAGACAGTGGCTAAATAATTGGCTATTCAGCTGAGGAAACACTGACATCATTATACCAGCAACATAACAATGTTGATCAATTGCTACCATGCTTTGAGTAACCTTAAGGTAAAAAAAAAAAAAAAAAAAGAGAGAGAGAGAGAGATTTTTAAATGTATCTGCTTTTAAAACAAGGAAAATTGCTGAGGGGAAGGAAAAAGATAACAGCTAAAAATGCTCCTATTCAATGTTTAAAAAGAATTTCTGTATTCAGCTTTCCCAAAGCCTACTTAGTTATACGTTGACAAAGAGTATAAAATATCAAAGCCAAAATCAACATGATATAAACTGTTATGGGATACTACAAATTCGTAATTTTACTGGCACACAAAGACATCAATAGGATTTGATTGAACAGTGTATATAGGGACACCAGCAATCATAAATAAACCAATAGATTTTATGTTTCTACAGGTAAGTCATTTAAAGCCCCACCTTGTGGTGCATTCAATATTCATATACCTCTGTCTTGACAAGAGCTAGCTCTTGGGGGCTTTCTCCCTCCCTCTCTTAGCTCTTTGTGGATAGGCTTCTGCTGTGACCCATGTCTCTTCTTTCTGACCAGTTACTGACCCAAGACTCTATGCTGGTATCACCACTGTTGTTGGAAATGCGACTTCATACCTCTGTTCTTTTGTTTTTGAATCCACAAAATGATAAGCATGGACATAATCATTTCTAGAGAGTCTCATGTTACTCAAAAACATTTTTCCAGTGAACTCCCATTCACAATTGCTTCAAAGAGAATAAAATACCTGGGAATCCAACTTACAAGGGATGTGAAGGACCTCTTCAAGGAGAACTACAAACCACTGTTCAAAGAAATAACAGAAGATACAAACGAATGGAAGAACATTCCATGCTCATGGGTAGGAAGAATCAATATCATGAAAATGGCCATACTGCCTAAGGTAATTTATAGATTCAATGCCATCTCCATCAAGCTACCAATGACTTTCTTCACAGAATTGGAAAAAAACTACTTTAAAGTTCATATGGAACCAAAAAAGAGCCTGCATTGCCAAGTCAATCCTAAGCCAAAAGAACAAAGCTGGGGTTGGGCACGGTGGCTCACGCCTGTAATCCTAGCACTTTGGGAGGCCGAGACAGGCAGATCACGAGGTCAGGAGATCGAGACCATCTTGGCTAACACGGTGAAACCCCGTTTCTACTAAAAATACAAAAAATTAGCCGGGCGTGTTGGCGGGCGCCTGTAGTCCCAGCTACTTGGGAGGCTGAGGCAGGAGAATGGCATGAACCTGGGAGGCGGAGCTTGCAGTGAGCTGAGATCACGCCACTGCACTCCAACCTGGGAGACACAGCGAGACTCCGTCTCAAAAAAAAAAAAAAAAAAAAAAGAACAAAGCTGGAGGCTGGAGGCATCACAATACCTGACTTCAAACTATACTACAAGGCTACGGTAACCAAAACAGCATGGTACTGGTACCAAAACAGAGATATAGATCAATGGAACAGAACAGAGCCCTCAGAAATAACGCCGCATATCTACAACTATCTGATCTTTGACAAACCTGACAAAAACAAGAAATGGGGAAAGGATTCCCTACTTAATAAATGGTGCTGGGAAAACTGGCTAGCCATATGTAGAAAGCTGAAACTGGATCCCTTCCTTACACCTCATAGAAAATTAATTCAAGATGGATTAAAGACTTAAATATTAGACCTAAAACCGTAAAAACCCTAGAAGGAAACCTAGGCAATACCATTCAGGACATAGGCATGGGCAAGGACTTCATGTCTAAAGCACCAAAAGCAATGGCAACAAAAACCAAAATTGACAAATGGGATCTAATTAAACTAAAGAGCTTCTGCACAGCAAAAGAAACTACCATCAGAGTGAACAGGCAACCTACAGAATGGGAGAAAAATTTTGCAATCTACTCATCTGATCAAAGGGCTAATATCCAGAATCTACAAAGAACTCAAACAAGTTTACAAGAAAAAAACAAACAACCCCATCAACAAGTGGGTGAAGGATATGAACAGATACTTCTCAAAAGAAGACTTTTATGCAGCCAAAAGACACATGAAAAATGCTCATCATCACTGGCCATCAGAGAAATGCAAATCAAAACCACAATGAGATACCATCTCACACTAGTTAGAATGGCGATCATTAAAAAGTCAGGAAACAACAGGTGCTGGAGAGGATGTGGAGAAATAGGAACACTTTTACACTGTTGGTGGGACTGTAAACTAGTTCAACCATTGTGGAAGTCAGTGTGGCAATTCCTCAGGGATCTAGAACTAGAAATACCATTTTACCCAGCCATCCCATTACTGGATATATACCCAAAGGATTATAAATCATGCTGCTATAAAGACACATGCACACGTATGTTTATTGCGGCACTATTCACAATAGCAAAGACTTGGAACCAACCCAAATGTCCAACAATGATAGACTGGATTAAGAAAATGTGGCACATGTACACCATGGAATACTATGCAGCCATAAAAAATGATGAGTTCATGTCCTTTGTAGGTACATGGATGAAGCTGGAAACCATCATTCTCAGCAAATTAACACAAGGACAAAAAACCAAACACCACATGTTCTCACTCATAGGTGGGAATTGAACAATGAGAACACTTGGACATAGGAAGGGGAACATCTCACACCTGGGCCTGTTGTGGGGTGGGGGAAGGGGGAAGGAATAGCATTAGGAGATATACCTAATGTTAAATGACGAGTTAATGGGTGCAGCACACCAACATGGCACATGTATACATATGTAACAAACCTGCACGTTGTGCACATGTACCATAAAACTTAAAGTATAATTAAAAAAAAATTTTTCCTCCAAGTCATGAAGGTAAACATAAATGAAGTGGTGTATTAGTCTGTTTTCACACTGCTATAGAGAAACACCCCAAACTAGATAATATATAAAGGAAAGAGGTTTAATTGAATTCTCATGGTTCTGGATGGCTGGGGAGGCCTCAGGAAACTTACAACCATGGCAGACAGTGAAAAGGAAGCAAGCACCTTCTTCACAAGGCAGTAGGAGAGAGAAGAATGAAGGATGAACGTCCAAACACTTATAAAACCATCAGATCTCGTGAGAACTCACTATCACGAGAACAGCATGGGAGAACTGTCCCCATGATCCAATCACCTCCCTCTCTTGACACAGGGAATTACAGGTCCCTCCCTTTAAATGTGGGGATTACAATTCAAGATGAGATTTGAGTGGGGACACAGAGCCAAACCATATCAAGTGGCATTTTTAAAGTTTAAACTTTCTACCTTTGCTTTAATTTTAGGTCTTAGAAAACATTGCTTTTTATTGATATTGAGTTTTATTATGAGTTTAATAAGACTAACATGGAACCTAACAGCATGCCAAATGACATTAGATTTTCTTCTTTTAGCCCCACTGCCTAAGACATTCATTCTAGGTTTCTGACATCCAAATCACTAAATTCAATTTTGGTTCACAACTGAGTTTTAAAGTATGTTTATTTAAATTATGCTTACACATACATTGTCATTATGCTTTGGTAACAGTTTTATTAGATTCCCTCAAAAGCTGTATAGAGTAAGAGAAACATTATTCACCAATTCCCAGAGTAAAATCAGTTTTCTCAGCGAGAAGGGCTTCAAAGCAATTCAGCTCTGCTGAATCAAGCAAGTGCAGAGGATTGATTGTAGTCAGTTATCAAAACAGCAGTTATGTCACACCATGAAAGATGGCAGCCCATGCTAATCCCATTAGCGATAAAGGTCAGATTTTGTATTTTCAGACCCACTTGTGTATCTAGTAATAATGCCGTTGTCAGTATCATTCATGAAAACGGAGAAAACTAGAAATTGTATTGAGTTAATGCCATAGAAGTAGCATTATCAAAGTAAAAAATACAAATTTAAGAAATAATTCTGTATATGTATTTAAAACAAATGAATATATTGTGAAACAAGATGTCCAGTAAATACAGAGAAAAAACAAACTTTATAATTTTCAATGATCATGTTTGCTTGTTATCAGCCTAGCATTTAACACCAGTGAACGTTTTCATTTAAAACAAAGCAATACAAAACAAAGAACTCTCAGAGTCACGAGACATAACTTAACCCCTTATTAATCTTTGAAAGTAAAGTTGGATTTGCCCTTTCACTATTACTGTCTTTAGCTTTAACATCTGTAAAACAACCGTAAAGTGTATCTGTAATCATCTTAGAACAGATATATAACACTTTATGTTCATAGCAGTTTACAAACAACTTTTCATCCTAATAACAGATCTATAAATGGGGTTCACATTTGACATTTTTTATGTAAGATAACTTTTTTCTACTTAAGAACAGTAGCATTAAATATATAAATAATAAAATATTCCAGGTAAGATTTTTTTTACCTTATATCCTAAGTGTAATACTCTGAGGCATGCATGCTTAATCTGATAATCTTGAATGATTGTGATCTACTGGTGTTGGAGGAAATACAATAAATTTCCCATGGGTCTATCAAGTTTTCATAGGTCTTATAAGCAAGTCATTGACTGCTCTTTGCTCTGGACAATCTTTTAAAGCATGCTTGTATTGGGAATTACCTTTAAAAATAGAGTTAGGTAGTGCCTCCCTCTAGAGCATATGCCAAGTGTGCCAACTGGCCACAGAATATTCAGATTCCTAAGGCCCATATTTTGTCATACATCTCACTGAGTGTGCATATGTCATCTGGCCCTCTATATAGCCATGTGGAAATGGAACTCAGGAAACGGATACAAAAGTATTTAGTATTCTGGCTGCTTCTATTCCTGTGAGCAATAAGCTGCCCTATTGCTATGAGTGATATACTATCCTTTGACTCTGATCCACAAGTCTTGTGTCTTCTTCCAGCATCCATGAAACTGTGGCAGGCTAACTTGTCTGACAGTAGTTAAAATTTTAAAACCTACACAGATATTTGCAGAGAAGGCTCTCAAATTGCCTGCTAATTGATATTCTCAAGTTTAATGGCAATCCTTATGCATTTAATAATTTATTGGTTGATTTATTTAAATTAAAGAAATACAGCCCCAGATTTTTGGGTTAGATGTACTCCATCTCCTACAAATAATCATGCAAAATTTTTCCTAAATTAGAATGGATTTAAATATTGGGTAGCCACAGCAAATTATTAGCACATTTATGTAAGAAAAAGAAGGAAGGAAGGAGGGAGGGAGGGAGGGAAGGAAAGAAGGAAGGAAGGAAGGAAGGGAGGGAGGAAGAAAGAAAGAGAGAAAGAGAAAGAAAGAGAGAAAGAAAGAAAAGAAAGAAAGGAAGGAGAAGAAAGAGAGAAAGAAGAAAGAAGGAAAGAAAGAACGAAAGAAAGAAAGAAGGAAGGAAAGAAAGGAAGGAAAGGAAGGAAGGAAAGAAACAGAAAGAAATAAAAAGAAAGAAAGAGGAAAGAAAGAAAGAAAGAAAGAAAGAAAGAAAGAAAGAAAAAGAAAGGGAAAACAAAAGTGAAAAATGTCCACTTAAAGTGTCTGTGAATTCTGGGAGTTTGTAAACAATTCAGTCAATACAGAAGACAGGAGTTTTATCACTTTTTAATTGCTTTAATTGCTTTTATGGTATAATGCATCCAATATTTTTGTCCATACTCTTGCTTATTTATATTGTCACTCTCTTTACTACCTCTAGTTTTTCCTCCTTGGGACTAATTATTTGTATTTCATTTTCAAGCCTCCTCTTCCAATACAAGAATAAATACATGTTTTTCTCTGAATTCCTCAAAGATTAATATATAAATGTTCAAAGATATAATAGCCCAAGGTATCTATTCCCAAAATCAGACATTCATTCAGCAACCTGAATGACCTCAAAATCAAACATCAAATTCAATCCAATATATATATATATTTTTTTCTGTGATGGAGTCTCGCTGTGTCATCCAAGCTGGAGTACAGTGGCACGATCTCAGCACACTACAACCTCCGCCTCTCAGGTTCAAGTGATTCTCCTGCCTCAGCCTCCTGAGTAGCTGGATTACAGGTGCATGCCACCACACCTAGCTAATTTTTTGTATTTTTAGTAGAAATTAGGTTATGCCATGTTGGCCAGGCTGGTCTCAAACTCCTGACCTCAAGTGATCTGCCCACCTCGGTCTCCCAAAGTGCTGGGATTACAGTCATACGCCACTGCTCCTGGCCACGAATAATATTTTATTGAGCATTCTAAAGAGCTTACTTAAAATAAATTAGCTATATAATTAAGTATCTCAAAAAAAATGTGTTACTGCTGCCTTCTACCTTGTTTCATCCTATAACTCGGATGGTATTTTTTAATTCTATACCTCATTAAATTGACACTCTTAGTACAGAACTTCTTTCCACTGGGGATTACACACATCCCTTTCATGGTTGCCATTGTGTACTTCTCTAATATTTGTAACACAAAATTTGGATTCCTTACAGGTCATGAAATCTCTTCTGTAAGTCATCTTCTGTTTGTATTATAGTAAAAATAAGATCTGAGTCTACACCCTAGGGAACACCATAGGGAAATATTATTCATATTTAAATTGCATAATTAAAGAATATAGGTTTCTTCACAATTTGTAAGCGCTATTTTCTCAATTTTATCATTAGCCAAATGATCAGTTGTGTTGCTTATGCTTAAAGTCATTTTAATAATAAATTATTTTTACACCAGTGAGAAAATAAATCGGCTTCTCTTAGTTTTCCTGCTGTCACCTCTAAGTTCATAAAGGAATTTGATTACTTTCTTGACAGAGAAGACTTGGACTATAATAACCACTCAAATTGTCACCATTTAAGACAGAGTTTATGACTCCTTGCCCAAATTTCCTTTGCAGTGGCAATTTCCCAAAATTATTTCTATTTTTCTCAATTACCTCTACCTGAATGGTATGATACCACCACTGAAAACCACTAGATTGAATGATGGAATGGATGAGTTTCAGCGCAACCGTGGAAAGAAAGTCCGAAAAAAGTGAGGGACACAATTTACTCATTAAATCATGTACTCTATGAGTTTATCCTATATGCAAGCCTCCTACAGGGACTAGGCTTTGATGATAAGTAGAAATACAGAAACACATACGAAAACATGACTAATAAAAGTGCTATGTCAAAAGTATGCATACAGGTTAATGAAGCACAGAGAATGGAGTGATAAACTGTTGGCACAATGAACAATGAAGGAAAGTTCAGGGAATGAGAACGGCATGAGCAGGAACAAAAAGGCATGGTGGCTTAGAAAAAAACATATTTAAAGTTCAGTGTGCCTGGAACAGTGAGTGAAAATTTAAAAAGGAATGAAGAGGAGACTGGAGTACAAACTATGAAAATGAACTCATGATGAATCAAAAGTGGATGATTCTAGTATGTCACATCTCTGTTTTTAAATCCCAAGTTTTGTTACCACATTAATAACAGATTCAATCAATCCCTCCTTTATATGTAAAACCTCCTTTACTTTTACTTTATTCATCTTGGTTGGACCTCTGTGAACCCCTTTATTTAATCTGTAGACTCAACATTCTTTATTTCTAAAAACTGCCCTCTATTTTATCTTTCAAATTTCATGCCATCATTGGGTTCATGGCAGATGCTGAATATAGTCTACGTATCTCTCTTAAAGATTTGTTTCACATTTTATATTTGTTACTGCATTCAGTATCAATCCTTCACCCGATATGTACAGATTATTAACTCACTATTTTAATGTCAAATATATGAAATATGCAATTATCTAAAACATGTACAATTAACAAATATGAATGGTAAAATGAATACTTATTCTGGCATATTGACTAATTTTTTTTGCTAATAGTCACTCTCCCATCTTAAAAGAAAACTATATATCTTTTGGTCTTTGTGATGTGCCTTGCTGAATCTCTTATTGGAAGAAGATATATCTCCCTGTCCAATCAACACAGTGCTTAGCCATGTGACTTGCTTTGGCAAATGGAATGAGTGGAAGTAATGTGCTTCACATTCAAGCAGAGGCTTTGAGAGCCATTAAATGAGTTGCCAACTCTCTTCCTCTATTTCCTGTACCATGTGAATCACACTTCTCAGATGGGAGCTTCTCTTTTTTTAGCTGGGACTCAAATGAAAAGACATATGGAACAGAAACAGAAGCAACTGATGAGCAGTCACCATGAACATATGTGACAAAACTTTTGTTTCTAAAACCAAAAAGAAGAAGAAGTCATTTATTATTGTAGCAAACCTAATTCATATACCAATGTACTCGGTATCCAGGTTAACATACAGCAGATCATCAGCTATTTAAGGTTTGTAAGGGTAAGATTGTAGTATGAACTGCAGTTGAGGGGTTAAAAACAGGGAATTGTATTTTGAATAGAAATCTAGAAATGTACAAATTATAATGGCAGGCTTTGAGAAGGAGAAAATGAGTGGGGAAACCACTGAAAATTCAGTATATGAAATTAAAACAATTGTTATCCATATGGAAAATAAAATAAAATTGGATCTCTGCCTTACAGCACATTGAAAGTTTCAAGTGGATTAAAGACTTATATGAGAAAAACTTTTGTAAGTATAAAAAAATAGAGCAGTATCTTTTAACCTCAGATTAGGAATAACATCTTAAATGAGACAAAAAATGTACAAACTGTAAAAGATTAGTAAATTCTTCTGCATTAAAATTTTAATTCTCATACAAAAATAAGGTAAATGCATTTTAAAATAGGACTGCAATATTGGAGAACCCACTTAACCTACCAAGAATTAATATAGAGAATATATAAATAACTTCTAAAACTAATATAAAAACAGAAAACAATGCAGCTAGAAAAATAACAAGAGATATGAAACTAATATTCAAAAAGGAAACCAAAATAATCAATGAACACATTATAAGAAGTTCAATTTACTTGAGAAATTAAAATCAAAATTCTGTTGAGAAAAGAAAAATTAAATTAACAGTAAGAGATTACAGATTGCCAAAAATGTAAATACCCAACAACACGAAATGTGGACCAGATGTAAAGAAAAAAGAAAGCTCATCCACTACTTGTAGGGGCATAACTGGTACAAACATTTTAGAGAGTTACTAGGCAATACTGGGTAATGTTGACATGGCAGGCAGAGCAATGACCTGCTCCCCCAAAGATGTAAATGTCCTAATCCTCAGAGCCTCTGACTGTGTTGGGTTACAAGGCAAAAAAAGATTAAGGTTGAATAAGAATTAACATTCCTAATTAGCTGACCTTAAAATAGGGAGATTTTACTAAATTATCTTGTTGGACCCAATATAATACTGTGAGTCGTTGAAATGGATAACCTTTCCCAGTCATTCATAGAGGGAGATAGATATAACAATGGTCAGAGTGATATGATATGAGAGGGACTTGGCCCACCACTGCTGGCATTGAAGATGAAGGAAGGGTCGTAACCAAGGATTGTGAGCAGCCTCTAGGACTAAGAAAAGGGAAGAAAACAAATTATCCCCTACAGTCTCCAGAAAGAAATACAGCACTGCCAACATGCTGGTTAGCTAAGTGAGACCTGTGTGACAGTTGTGATCTAGTACTTAGATCTATATATCTATTGTAATATCATAAATATTTGTCATTTCAAGTCACTAAATGTATGGTAACTTGTTACTGCATCAATAGGAAACTAATCACTGGAGTGACACATATCCCATCAGCCAGAAATTCTACTTCTAAACAGAGCGCTTGAGGAACTCTTGCACTTTTGCATAATTTGATATGAATAACATTGCTGTGCTTTTTTGTAATAGAAAAAAATGGAAACAACCTAAATATTATCAGCAGATGAATGGATATAGTCATATAGGCTATGTTCTAGAACAATTAAAATGTAGACTATGTCTTCATTAATCATCGTAAATAATTCTCAAAAATACAATGCTGAAGTCAAAAGCAATCTGAAGAATGATACAAATGACCTGCTACCATTTATACAAAGTTTAAAAGCATATAAAACAATATCATTACATTATTTTTGAATGTATGCATACATGATGAATTTCAAATCATGAAAGAGAAAGATCCATACAAGCTTTAGGGTGGTGGTTTATGCCAGAATGCAAAGGAAGGAATGGAGCAGAGGGTAAATGTCTATGTGGAAATAGGGTATAAAAAGACTTCAGCAATTGCATCCAAAGAATTATAAAATTATCACAAAATATTCAAAATGTGACATGTTAACATTCATTAAATATTGACAGCAGTTGCACCAGATTTCATATTATCTTTTTTATATTTCAATTCGTTTTAAAATATTACATACTCTAACATATATAATCAAAAAGAGAAAAATAAAATTGAAACCTCTGGACTGAATTCTACTTCTGGTAACTACTACAATATTATTTTAGACATGGTATTACAGAAATGATATATTTGTTCACTTCCAAATTAGTAGTTTCTTTTGATAAGAATTTAGGATTTGATATGCCAGGAAATGTGCTCAGTGCTTTACTTATATTATCTCATTTAATCCTATCACAATCATCATGCAGAATGAGACAAGTTCTATTATTACTCTCTTTCCAAAACTGAAAAAAAATCAAATAACTAAAAATGTTAAGTATTTTTGCTAAATATCATATAGATGGTGAAGGGCAAAACTGGGATTCAGAAGGTTCAGCAAGTATGGCACCAGAGGATGCGCACCTGACCACCAGGCACGTTACTAAGAAAAAATTAACTTTTCTGTATGTCAGAAAAGTCTTCCCTATAACTTAAGATGCACCTCATTACGTTATGTACAGATGAAGCAAATAAGACTAACTTTCAACAGAGTTTGTGTGAACCTTAAATGTATAATACTTGTGAATATAAAATACCAAGAAAAATGCCTGGCCCATAATAGTCAAGCTGTCTTGCATTCCCTACCTTCCTGCTTTGTTCTTTTAATTGGAATGGTTTATTAGCAAGACTCATAAACTTCTACCCAACTGATTTAAAGAGGTTTTCTGTCCTAGCCTCTTCTTTAATTTAAAGAACTCTACTTACTGTCATAATTTTTAAGTAAGAAACAAAATGTAGTTAACAGTAAGCTTTCTAAGTATACATGAAAATTTCTAAACGTAGCAGTTTGCTTTTCTGTAATGCTAAAGCTTTTTATGTATCTCATAATTGCCAGTAATAGCTCTCCTACCAGGGGAAAAAATGGCAGGTTGTTATTAAATTGAAAATTTATAATGAAGAAAAATACGACTATTGATTGTTTCTGCATTGATACATTCATATTATATATGCATTAATAGATACATAATATATTAATGCAGTTTTTCTTAGTAACTAGAATCTAAGTTTCATAATGAACTATATAACCGGAAGGTAGATTTTACTATAGTTTTGATTACCAGAACAGGTTAGAAGATTAAACTTTCAAAAAAATTATGTATAAAAAATATTCATATTAATAACTCTGCAAATTAAGTATTGGGGTGAAATTGATCTCCTTTCCTATAGAATGTTACAACTGAACTTTCTTTGAGAAGTTCAACAGTTGAGGCAATCTGTGATATTCTAGCTGAAGTAAAAACACTGAGAATTGTACTGTAAAATATTCAGTTATTATTACCATCACCTAACTTATGGCTTAATGGAAGGAAGCTTCATTTTCTGTTAATTTAGTCTCAGCAGTCTTTTACATTATATTCTATGAGCAGAAGTCTTCAGAAATATATAAACAAAAAAAAGTTGTCTAATTTCAATAAGAACTGCTCTTATAAATAAATTTTTTTTAAAAAATGCGTTTGATATAATTTATTCACACCTCGATACCAAATTTATTTTGGCAGAAAATGTTGCTTTTTTCATAGTTGGTTCCTTTAAGGAGGATAAAGAAAGATAAGCTTAATCATGACTAAATATATAATATTTTTCCAATGGAAATAAATAACAGAGATGATACAGGTAGAACTAATTCCAAACTAGAGACATAGTATTCAAATGATACAAACTTACAGTTTCTCATTTGGGCACAACTATACTGTGTTTTGGTTATTCCTACACCCTTACCTTCTCTTTCTTATCTTAGTATAAATAAAATCACAGGGCAAGGCACATACTAAAACAAATATAAAAATACAGAGATAAAGAGCCACTAGAACAGACCAGGGAAGGCAAGAAGAAAACCACCAAACTTATTTTTTTGTCTTGGAATAACATTAAATACTCAGATTTTCTTCAGACCCACCTCTCAAAGGAACATCTAATTTATCATTTTTGTATGCTCGGATTGAATTTAACCCTAAAAAATGACGTATTTTACTTTGTGAAATTGTTGCATAGCTCATTCTTCCATAGCAGCTTAATCTGCTGAGAAGAAATAGCACATACATGTTCACTATAATAGACCCACTTAGCCAAGTGCAAAATACTCTACCTTGTCTACTGCATTATTTAATGTCTGAGATTATGATATTGTGAATATTCAACTCACCACTGTAAACTGTTCAAAGAATCTTTCAATCCCCTCTATGTATTACCACCACCATCCAGAGTGGGGGGCACAGTGAAAATACTGGCATTGTAATAAAAAATACGAGTAAGGGTGGGATTAAGCAGAGGATGAAAGAAAAATCTAAGGCTTAGATCCATTTTATATATGAAATGCTTAATCTGCTTAATCTGGTATTTTTGTAACACTACTGTATAGTTTAGGAGAATATAATTTGTGACAACTAAAAACTTTGTGAATCTGTGACCCATCCAAACTCCAAAACACTTAGCTCAGCCTCTGACACCATATCTCAAAGAACATTACTCTTTTGGCATTAGCTTGTGATCATTTAAAATATAAGCATAATCATTGATAACCTCTATAATTTTTACTGGAGGCAGATTAACTGCAAGTGACACTCTTATTCAGATATGGTATCTAATTTCTTGTTGAATCTTGCTAAGTTATTTGCCTTCATAAAATATTGTGGCAGGGTTCCAAGGGTTAATTATGAGTTACATAAAAGGCACTTCCTTCCACTCATTTTAATTTATGATTTCTCACTAAGCATTTCCCAGGAACTCGGCTCAGTGAAGTCCCAACGAAGAGTTACTTTCCCTTGTCCCCCTCTCATTCTACTTTCATCTGATAGATACAGTCAACAAAACTAATTTCACAGCTCAGTTATTTAATCCTTGAAAAAAAGACATTTCTTCAAAATCAGATGATAAAAAGGCATTGGTAAAGTTGTACTTTAAAAAAATTAATAGCTTTAAAATGATATTTACTTAAGCTGTATTTATGAATTTCATCAATTTAGTGAGACATATACTAATAAATTTTCCCTAAACTCTGCAAGAGTGGGTAACTTATAGATTCATATTTTTAATAATATAACACCAACGTATTATTTCAATTATGCACTCAAAGCCTAGAAATGGAAGATTATGATATATAGGATAAAAGATGATCATCAAATGACTGTAATACCATCAATCAGAAGATGGCCACAGCACCTGAGTCATTTATGACCTGCAGCAGTAGTCCCCAAGTGCATTCATATATTCAATGGGAAGTCACTACTGTTACAGAAAGAAAAACATTTATTTAAATTTTAACAAATTTCATGCCATGTCTAAAATCTCAATGCTACACATTTTAGTCTGCTTCATGAGATAAAAAGCTTTTCATTTAAATAATAATTCAGTGTAGGGTCTTTAAAGCCCTAGATTTCAAAAACTTGATCGAGGTAAATTTTTAATTAAAATCTATTCAGAATAATTACTGAAGATGGGGATGGGGCACATGACAAGAAGAGAAATTACTTTGACTTTTTCATTTAAATGGTGTTAATGGTTGGGCAAACCGACATTTGATTATATTTATAAAAAAATGAAAGGACATAAAGCTTGATATTTTCTCTTCTACATGGTAATACAAAAGGAATATTCTCCAAAACACCATATGTTCAATAATATTTAAGCATGAACACATATGTGGAATCTTTTCTTTTTATTCCATTTTGATTCCATAATGAACTCTTCTCTGTGAAACTATTCAATCGTGGAGAACTACATTTTAAGCTTATTCCACCTAGTATGTGGTATGTGAAATATCATTTTCTCCCATTTGTTTTTAGACTTGCATATTTCAGTCTTTCTAAAGTGTTGTTTAGTTTTTATAAATTGGAAAAGTATATTTCTAGTACACGTCACATTAATGATTTCTATCATTTAGTGAGCATTCACTAGTCTGTGCATTTGATATACATTATAATATTTACTCATAAAAATTATCTGTGTCTGATATTATACAAGCCTACTTTACAGGTGAGAAAATTTAGCTATTTAGCTTAAGAAAGGTGAAGCAACTTGTCCACGATAACAGAAGGAAAATAAAACCCAAAGCTGCCCAGTATTAAAGAATATTTTCTCACTTTATTTTGAGAATCTTTAGGAATCCTGGGATCACATGGAATAATTTCAAGAAGACACAACAAGAGAAAATAAAGAATAATGGAACAGAAAATATGGTGCCAGATTTCCCTTGATACACATATACATAATAATCACTTCTACTTGAGCTGTCTGTGTCATGAGACCACTCCCACCCACCACCGAGCAGGTCATTTGCTATCATTAGCACATGGACACAGGAAGGGGAACATCACACACCGGGGACTGTTGTGGGGTGGGGGGAGGGGGGAGGGATAGCATTAGGAGATATACCTAATGTTAAATGACGAATTAATGGGTGCAGCACACCGACATGGCACATGTATACATACGTAACTAACCTGCACATTGTGCACATGTACCCTAAAACTTAAAGTGTAATAATAATAAAAAAAAAGAATAGAGACAAATCTGGCATAGGATTGCCAGATTAAATACAAATTTAGTTCAATTTGTATTTCACGTAACTTATTTTTTTTTTTTTTAGTATGTGTGTCCCAGACATACCCAGCTATATACAAATAATTGATTATTTTTTATCTGAAATTCAAGTGTAAATGAAAATCTTTAAAAAAATATTTGCTAAATCTGGAGGATTATTTCCTTCGGCATTTGAATAGCTTAGGTGAGACCTGGCTGACCAGGTCTGAGTTAGCTCAGCGGAAGACGGGGCTGGTGCATCTGGAGATATTCCTTTCCAAAATGTGACTTTCCAGACCAGATAGAAGCTCTTGTCTTCTCGACCTATAAATGTATCCATCTTTGTGGGCCGGCACCCCTCTACTGGGAATGCATGCATGCATTCCCAGTAGTGCAAGAGCTCACCTCTGTCCTGCCAAAGATATCCAATAAGGAAAACTCAGGGAATTGGGTGTGCTCTGCTACTTCTTTGCCAGTAAATCACTTTCCAATAAACTCAATTTTATACCTGCACCACATGGTCCTCAAGACATGTGTCTATAAGCATTTGCATGGCAATATTTTGCATAACTATAATTCTCTTTATCCATTTCAATATTCATTTTAACTAGTGTTTACATGTAAAATGCCACACAGGGGCTTATTCATAATGGGATTTGGTGAAGAAGGCTTCTCTTGTTCTCTTGTTTTTAGCGGGGGCATTCGTAACTGCCCTCATTTCCTCTTTTCATTTCCAGTCTAAAAGTTTCTAAGCTATTTAATCTCTCTTAATACTGATACACTGCCATCATCTTAAATATTCTATTTTTGCTTGTTTGTATTTCTTTAGTTTCATAGAGTTTTTCTTTTTCTTTCTTTTTTTTTGGTTTTTGAGACAGAGTCTTGCTCTGCCGCCCAGGCTGGAGTACAGTGACGTGATCTTTGCTCACTGCAAGCTCCGCCTCCCAGGTTCACGCCATTCTCCTGCCTCAGCCTCCCGAGTAGCTCGGACTGCGGGCCCCCGCCACCACGCCCAGCTAATTTTTTTTTATTTTTAGTAGAGATGGGGTTTCACCGTGTTAGCTAGGATGGTCTGGATCTCCTGACTTCGTGATCCACCCGCCTTGGCCTCCCAAAGTGATGGGATTACAGGCTTAAGCCACCGCACCTGGCTCCAAGTTAAGTTTTAAGACAACAAACCCAAGTTTTTCGTTAAAGACAACTTTAAGATTCACAATTCTGTTTATACGGATGGCCAGTAATTTGGCTCCAAAGACAATTAATATTCTACCTTTTCATTTATACTACTCTTTCCAAAAGAAACCTGCATTTTATTGTCATTTGTTTAGAGTGAAATGGAAATATTTACATTTAATGTTTTTCTCAAATATTATTTATAGTTGAGAATGTATACAGTATAGATTTTTAAATAAAATGTATATTCTGCATTTTTGCAAAATAAAAATGTCAAAAACCTTAAAAAATTATATTTTCTCCTACATTAGCCCCCAAATGACATTTTACTTTTAACAGGTTTAGTACAAACCATTTTTATTCAAAAACTTTTATACTTTTAAGATTATCTTTTTAAGATATTGCTTTTGTCATTCCTGTATTCACCATACTCCAATTTCATAGTATTCTATTCTCTCGTTCTAAACACTCCATTTTTTCACTAATCTGCATTCTCATCAAGCTGTTGTTTGCTTTTGTTTTTTTTTAAAAAAAATTCATCAAGAGACCTTGATAATGCCCTTGCTATGTGAAAACATGCCAGATCTTTCCAGTTAAAATTAATAACTTTGCTTTATATCAATATTTGTTTTATTATGCATTGAAATCTAATTATTGACATTATCTTGCAAATAAACAGGAAAATCTCACTAAGATTGGGAACAATGTAATGCACATCTTCTCATCACCCAAAAGGCCAGGAAGGATTCTTTTCATATTACTAATTTTCAACATATTTTTGTAGGTTAATTGTTAGAATAAATTGCAAGGATCTCGGAACTATAAAATAACGTATATATACATATTTAAAAATTCAGTATTTTTGTTTTCCCTTCTGATGTATTCAAATCTACTCTGTAAGGTTACATTTTCCCTTTGCAGTAGCTTGAAATCCAGAGTAAATCTAGTCTTGTCAATCTCTGAAACAATCTAACTTCAGTAACAGAAAGATCTATTTCCATGTAATAGTCAACATTTCCAACTTTATCTGGAAGTAAGTCTTCTCCCCTTCTCTGGCCAAGGACTAAGGCTTGGGATGAGGGATGTGAGTCTTTCTTCTGTTCTCCCATCATATCCTACCTCACGTTCCTCCCAAATTGAAGAGGTGAAAAGAACCACGTAAATATTACTGTGTCCTATTTCAATGATTTAACTCTGTGACTTTGGCTTGTGAAAGGTTTAAAGCTGATGTGTTTTTCATGTAGTGAATCACTACCTCCAACTTCTTCCTGCTAAAGATTCTTTAAGTCTCTGGGTGATCTACTTAGGCAGAAGCTGACACAATTCACACGGAAAACCTTGGGCATTTTTTTTCCTCATCCTGTGTGTGTGTTACGTGAGTGTGTATTTGAGACAAGGTCTCGTTCTGTCGCCCAAGCTGGAGTGTAGTAGCATTGTGTCCAGAATTGGTGGGTTCTTGGTTTCACTGACTTCAAAAATGAAGCCAGGGACCCTTGCGGTGAGTGTCACAGTTCTTAAAGGCAGCATATCCGGAGTTAGTTTGTTCCTCCGGGTGGCTTCGTGATCTAGCTGGCTTCAGTAGTGAAGCTACAGAACTTCACTTGAGTGTTATAGCTCATAAAGAAAGTGTGGACCCAAACAGGGAGCAGCAGTAAAATTTATTGCAAAGAGCTGAAGAACAAAACTCCCACACTATTAAAGGGGACTGGAACAAGTTGCCAGTGGTGGCTTGGGCAGCCTGCTTTTATTCTTTTATCTGGCCCCACCCACATCCTGCTGATTGGTCCATTTTACAGAGAGCCGATTGGTCTGTTTTACAGAGAGCTGATTGGTCTGTTTTGACAGGGTGCTGATTGGTGCGTTTACAAACCTTGAGCTAGACAAAAAAGTTCTCCAAGTCCCCACTAGATTAGCTAGACACAGAGCACTGATTGGTGCATTTACAAACCTTGAGCTAGACACAGGGTGCTGATTGGTGCATTCACCAACCTTGAGCAAGACACAGAGTGCTGATTGGTGTATTTACAATCCCTTAGCTAGACATAAAGTTTCATCCAAGTCCCTGCTAGACTCAGGAGCCCAGATGGGCTTCACCCAGTGGATCCCTCACTGGGGCTGCAGGGGGAGCTGCTCGCGCCTTGTTTTAGCGCTCCTCAGCCCTTGGGCGGTCGATGGGACCCGGCGCAGTGGAGCAGGGGGCGGCGCTCCACTGGGAGGCTCAGGCTGCGCAGGAGCCCACGGCTGGGGGTGGGTGGAGACTCAGGCATGGCAGTCTGCAGGTCCCTAGCCCTGCCCCACTGGGAGGCAGCTAAGGCCCCGTGAGAAATCGAGCGCAGCGCCTGTGGGCCGGAATTGCTGGGGGACCCGTCGCATCCTCCGCAGCTGCTGGCCCGGGTGCTAAGCCCCTCTGCCCGGGGCAGCAGGGCCGGCCGGCCGCTCTGAGTGCAGGGCCCGCCAAGCACACGCCCACCCGGAACTCGCGCTGGCCCGCAAGCGCCGCCCGCAGCCCCGTTTCCCGGCCCGTGCCTCTCCCTCCACACCTCCCCGCAAGCGGAGGGAGCCGGCTCCGGCCTCGGCCAATCCAGAGAAGGGCTCCCACGGTGCAGCGGCGGGCTGAAGGGCTCCTCAAGCACGGCCAGAATGGGCACCGAGGTCGAGGAGGCACCGATAGCGATAGAGGGCTGCCAGGGCTGCCAGCAGGCTGTCACCTCTCAGCATGATCATGACTCACTGCAGCTTCAACTTCCTTGGCGCAAGAGATCCTTCCACCTCAGCCCCACAAGTAGGCTTGGGACCACAGGTGTGTGCTACCACGCTCAGCTAATTTTGTTTATTTTTTGTAGAGATGAGGTCTCATTATGTAGCACAGGTCTCAAACTCCTGGGCTCAAGCAATCCTCCTGCCTCAATCTCCCAAAGTACTGGGATTATAGGCATGAGCCACCGTGCCTGACCCTTTACTGTAATTTTGAATGTGCAAGTAAGCTGCAACACAGCAATGTCTGTTTGATGCTTTTTAGGTACCTTACCTGTGAGGCTAATACAAGTCCCCTGAGTTTTCCCAACTCCAGAGAAAACATATCAGGGGATACAGGGTTTTATTAGTCACCACTGGCTAGGAGTTGTGGCTACATCAGAACTGAGGTAGCTCTTGCTTTATTTGAGGATGAATCTACCTCTTCTCCCTGGAACCATGGAGTATTAGAACTAGAAGATGCATTAAAATCATAGAATCCAGAATAGCTAGGTTATAGAAAAAATGGGATTTAAACATTAAGTTACTTAACCAACGTTTGATTAATTTTAGCTGAACAAGCATTACTGAATGTTACTTGCAGGCAATAAATTGAAAGAACAAAGACAAACATGACATACAATTTGCCAAGCAATTTGGCTAATGGATGAACTGATATTATAATCCAGATCTCCTGGTTTCTGTTCCAAAGTCATATCTGCCACCCCAAACTAGGATACTGGTTTTCAAGTTTAATATACAGAAGAATCTCCCATGGGAGCTGTTAAAAACGCAGATTCCAGAGCTCTGCTACTAGAGATTCTAATTCAATGTGTAGGGACCATGAATTTTTATGTTAGCAAGCACTTGGGTGATTCAAACACAGGTTGTTCTTTTCCAAAATTTAAAAACATAGTTCTTTCTGGCTTTAGAGATAGTCCTGCCTACTGACATCAATGTCAAAGAAAAGTGGTGTTTGTGTGTGCCTCACCACCTATCCCATCACCCCACAATTTGTAGATCTCAAAAAATGTGTACGGTTTTATTGAATATAGTTTTGGGTACATATCAAGTGTCTCTGCTTTTCTGAAATGGATAATTTTCTGGGGTTATTTTGAAGTTTTCTGCTGAATCCTACAGATCAGCCCCTTGCTCTGAAATTTTCTGAGTGATATTATTGCCTGAGGGCTGTATTTCATTTTATCTTTTACCTCTCAGTAAACAATAGAGCCTTACACACAGTAGACTTATAAGGAATGTGTAGTATATTGGATTGATTACATGTTCTTTCTTCCCTTTCACAATATATATTTCTAAAATATGAAATGACAAAATAAATATTTATAGCAGTATCTATTTCTTTTGATACTTTTTTCTTATAGCATGTTAGAGCAAGCAAGGCCTAATGTTTAGAAACTTGAGCAGGTCTGATGGAACCGTAAGAAATAGCTTGTCAAAGCAGGTAGCTGAGGCATGGCAAGCCATTTCTCATATGATAAAAAGGTGGAGTTTGATTACTGATGTCACCCCTTCTTCAGGCATTTCCAGGGACCACTCTGATCCTCATTTCCAATTTGTCTGACCAATGAGAGCCCTCCTCCAGCTGAGTAAGAACACTATGCTTTGGTTATGGTTTCATGAGAGGCCGGGGGAGCCTTGTCCACTGAGGATCATGAGTGTATGTATTTTCCAAATTTTCTAAAATATGCACAAACTACTTCCATATTTGCTGTAGGATGCTATTGATTTGTAATTAGATTGCATTTATGTTTAGCATAGATGAGTTTAAAGCTATCATCTGCTTGCCTAATAATAACTTTTCAATAATAGCAGTTAATTGAGAAGGAAAAGCTAACAGGCAGCTGAATGCACGTTAGGTCTTCCTTAAGTAAGAAAAATATTTGATTTAGTGATATAATCTCTTTATTTCTTCCATAAAACAAATAAACCTGAAGGTCAATATCTTTATTTCTGTATGACAAATTAGAGTAAGTTAAAAAGCAAAAGCATCGAAAGATATATAATCAAGTTGACCTAAAACTATCTTCTCTTAAAGCATTGTCTATAATAATATTGCCTTAATATTTGCACCAATCTTTATAAATTACCTCTCATGCACATCCACACATCACACTCCTGGATCCTCATTTAATGAGGTCCTATAATATTTCAGACACATTCTGATAGATGCTGGATACCCAATAAAGAGTTAATTTGGTTTCCACTTTGAGACATTCCCAGATTCAGATTGAGGAGATTGATTCATAAATAGACACATTACAATATTGCATGGAAATGCTATTGGAATTATGAATAGATCTGTAATATACCCAAAGGATAAAGCAACTCACCAATTCTGAAAAAGCTAAAGGAAGCTTTGGAAAACTGGGTTTCAATTCTTATTCTACATTAACACCATGTGGGGAGCTCTTGAAACAGAGAATGTTCAATTCTAGCCTAGGCCAATTAAAGCAGAAATCTCTGCATGTGGGTCCACGGTATTAGTACATTTAAAAATCATGGTATTAGTACATGTTAAAAAGTACATTTAAATTCAAGTTATTATAATATGTATATAGTGTTAAGAATCGTGGTTTTAAAGAAAAGGACAAATAAACTTCTTAAAATGAAGGATAAGTAGCAAATCTATGTATTTAGACAGAGCCCAAGCTAAATTGCCTGCTGGTAAATCAGAATGTTTTGTGAGTTTCCCTCTTCCAAGTTCTTTTCACTATTTAAATAACACTTGATTAGTTCATTTTAAATAAAGCAGAATTTTAATACTTCTTGAATTTGAACAATTAGTTATGTAGTAGGTGATCAAGCTTAGCTAAGAATATTTTCTACAAAAAGGCATAATTTTTATTATACTATTTAATATAATGAATTACAGAGATTTTACTCATCATTACTCATCATTTTGAAGAAAATATACCTGAAACTAAGGTGACTGGCTTAGTGAAATGAAATAAAAGATGGAGAAGACTAATTTTTCAAATGCCACAGCAGATAATTACTATTGTTATGCGTTTATACAGGGGCATACATTGTTAGTCAAAAACTTCTGAAACAAACTACCAACATCCCTAAATTTCAGTAGATATAATTAACTAAAAAGAGATAACATAGATTATGTAATTATTATTTGTTATAAGTTAGAGGCTAACAATCAGCAATCATTGACATCTGCCATATTGAAACAAATTTGTGCCAACATTTTCTCACTCTGAGAATTCCATGGCCTCTCTACCATCTCATGTCTTGCCTGTTTATCCTCCACTGCTAGCTACATGACTAATTTACTTAAATGAAAGTTGTTGTCCTCCCAAATCAGACCATTGTCTAGATTTCTTCCTTTCCAAAATCTGAGCCTAAGGAAATGCTGTCTGTTCTGCAGATTCCACATGAATGCCAATGGTCCTTATGAGAAGTTACATACTATATTTTTACAGTGCTTATTTTTGGAATCAAATGCTTTTATATGACTTACTTTCCTGTGTTATAGAAATAATCTATTTCAGATGCCAATTCTTGAGGGAAGGGGAAAAAGAGAAGGAAAGAAACTACAAAGTTTTGAGAAGCATCTATGTATGGGCATTTGAACCTGCCTGTTCTTCATCTAATCTTAATCTGAAGTAGATTTTAGTATACCATTTCAGATTAAAAGCAATTGAACTGATGAGTGACTTGCCTAAGGCCCCATAGCTAATGATGGGAGGAGTTACGATTCAAATTGCCAAAGTCTGATGTCCTTGAGTATGAAGTCCCTGAACTTTCTACTACTTCATATTGAGAGAAGTGTATTTTATATTGAATTTTATTTTCCATAGCTCATTTATTCAGATGAGCTGATTTATTGAAAACTTCCAACTGGGTGGTATGCAAAAAATAAAATGTAGTTTTCTTTCTTTCCAATCACTGTCTTCAATATGTTATTCCCAATCTAGCCCCCACCCCGCCCTGCTCCGTAATACTATCATGAGAAAAATCTCTTAGGTTTCAGGTCACTTTAAGGTATTTAAAAGTCCAAACCAGTCTAGTCCAATTAAAAACTTCAATTATGTGTAGTTGCTGACTCTTTCCCTTTTTTTTTTTTTTTTTTTTTGAGGCAGAGTCTTGCTCTGTCGCCCAGGCTGGATGGAGTGCAGTGGCGCGATCTTGGCTCACTGCAAGCTCTGCCTCCTGGGTTCACGCCATTCTCCTGCCTCAGCCTCCCAAGTAGCTGGGACTACAGGCACCTGCCACCACGCCCAGCTAATTTTTTGTGTTTTTAGTAGAGACAGGTTTTCACCGTGTTAGCCAGGATGGTCTTGATCTCATGACCTCGTGATCCGCCTGCCTTGGCCTCCCAAAGTGTTGGGATTACAGGTGTGAGCCACGACGCCCGGCTGACTCTTTCTTTTTGCTTTGCCTACTCAACTACTCAAGGAAAAGCAAAGTAAGAGCAGTTGACCTATTCCATAAGAAAGCAAAAGATGAAAAGACGCCCAACTGAAGAGTATGTCAATGTGTTTTTATCGTCTGCACCCTACGCAATATGTCTGCCAAATTCCACAGAAGTGGGGTGAGGGATTAGCTTGTTACCATGATCTCTGCACTTCCTATCACTCCTGCCCTCAACAATTTCTTTGGTTTTATGAACTTGAAGAGAAGAAGGCTTATATACACTTGAAGAAAAGAAGGACCGAGACCAAATTAGGAAGCAGCAGGACTTAGAGTCACTTTAGAGCCTAGGAGAAGGTGCCCCTTCATGTCAAAAAGGTTTTGAGTTATCAGCCTCCCCCTTTCATGTTAGTAGCCAGCTCCCAGGCCTCTCAAGTTCTATACAAAGATATTTGTTGAGGAACTATGATACTGTTCTTCTATTAATGTTTAATTACTCAAGATAACTTATACTGCAAATACACAAAATAAAAAATCGGTCTTGTTTCCCAGCCTAACAAAATCAAAGTAAAATAGGTTAGACTGGTGATTTTCCAACTTTTGGGGACACAGCTCACAGCAAGAAATACAGTTGGCATCACAAAGTTTCACAAGACAGTGTTTACGCTTATTGTTTTTGAAGCACACTAATGTTTTTTTATTTTATCCTACTCTATTCTGTTCTATTGTTTGTATTTCTTTTACTTTTATTATTATTTAGTTGACAAATAAAAATACTATATATTTAACTTGTACCATATGATGCTTTGAAATATGTATATATTGTGGAAGGTGACATTGAGCTAATTAACATATGGATAATCTTATACCCTTATTTTTTTGTGTGAGAACACATAAAATCTACTCTTAACAATTTTTAAGAATGTAATACATTGTTATAAACTATAGTCACCATGTTGCATAAAAGATAGCTCGAACTTACTTGTCCTAATTGGAACTTAGAAATTTTCGACCAACATATTCCAATCTCCCTCCTTGAGCCCCTGGTAACCACCATTCTACTCTTTACTTCTGTGAGTTCAATTTTTAAATTTCACATGTAAATGAGTTCATGTGGCATTTGTCTTTCTGTGCCTAGCTTATTTCACTTAATGTAATGTAATTTCCTCCATGTTCATCCATGTTGCCACAAATAACAGAATTCTCTTATTACACTGGAATAATATCCCATTGTTTAAATATGCCACATTTTCTGTATTCATTTATTCCTGGAGGACACTTAGCTTATTTACATTACTTGCCTATTGTGAATAATGCTGCAATGAATATGGGGGTGCAGATATTTCCTCAAGATACTGATGTTATTTCCTTTGAATATGTAACCGGTAATGGGATTGGTAGATCATACGGTAGTTCCATCTTCATTTTTTGAGGAATCTTTATATTGTTTTCCATAGTGACTGTACTAATTTACATTCCTTCTGGCACTGTACAAAAATTCATTTTTCTTCACATTTTTGCCAGCACTTGTTTTCTTTTATCTCTATTCAATATTATACTTTCATAGTCCTCACTCCGAGGGTACACTAGTGAAAAGAATACTGAGTAGGGAGTCTGCACATGGTAGTTAATTAATAAATATATATTAAAAATAAGAGAAAAGTACATATAAGAGAGGTGTAAATAAGATAATCATAAATAAATTTGTTGAACGGAAGGATTCATTGTTTCACCATATACATAAGGTATTATAGGCAATAACAGAAAGTGAAAATTCTAAACCATGTGAACTATCTTCAGTTAGAGAGTAGAAGTATAAAGAAGAAATAGTATAGGCACTGGATAGAGCATCTGGATAAATCAAATAAAAATCAGACCAATGCACCAGAAGAAAACCAATGGAGAGAGATAAAGAGTTTGATGGACTTTGTTGAGTGATACTGAGAGATTGGAGATAAAAGATATCATCCAGTGAAGGCAGTGAAACAAAATGTTGGACACTGAGGACAGGTGTGTTGGACAAAGTTCACTTTGAATGCAGAAATAAAACAAGTAATATCTTCAGGGTTTTTTTAGGTGTCCCATGTGAGAGGAATGGAAGGCTACGTCTCTGAGCAGCTCTCACTTTCAAAATAGATGGGGAATTAAAAACAACTTACATGAAACAGTTGGCAAACAAACTATTAAGAACAGCATGTAATGCAGGAATAGTTAAAAAGTTACAGACTATTGAGGGAGAGAGAGGGAGTGATCACTGAGGGCAGTGTAATCAATAGGATTCTTGGAGACCTTAAATAGTTCAAGGAGGAGTAATGAATACAGATGTTCATGATTTATTATTTCAGTGGGGGCAGAGAGCAGACTTTCTAGTGAAAAAGAGAAAGAATGAGCTAGGGCAAGTGAGTTGGAGATCTCAGATATGAAATTGTGTAATATGATATGAGTTATACAACATGATCATACCTTCGTGTAGCTGAATAAAAGCATAAGTGAAGCTTAGAGCTTCTAGAAAATGTGGAACATAAAATCAAAGGTATAAGGTTTGTTTTCAGTATACAATTTATAGCTAAAGCAAAAGTAATTTTTTCCCTTGTTTTCTCTTTCTCTCTCTCTCTTTCTTTCTTTTATCTTATTCATGCATTAAACATACATGTTTTGCACAGCCAGTAAATAAAATACCAGATGATGGACATGAAACAGTAAAGAAACATCTTGTATTCTACTGGAAAAAAGGCTGTGTGTGTGTGTGTGTGTGTGTGTGAAATTATTTTTGTCAGTAATAAGTGATATAAAGATAAAGCAGGATAACTGGATAGAATACAGTGAGAGGTGGAGGTGATAGAGAGCTACTTTTGATAAGGTACTCAGAGAAGAAATCCCTGTGGACCAGAGTTCTTAAGAACAGAGAAATAAGGGGAAAAATTGTGGCAACATTCAGGACAGAGCATCACACACAGTGAAACAACAAATGGAAATGCCCTAAAGTTCATGCTGTGTTCCAAGTACACTAAGGAAGCCAGGGGAGTGGCATCAGTGAGCAGGCAGGCAGGAGAGTAATGGAAAATGGGGTTTGGGAGGTGGCAGGAGGTCGGGGAAAATTGTTCCGGTGATTGTCGGGCAAGAGCTTTCCATATTTTCTCCTAGTATATTTCTCCAAATTTTTGACATACAACTACCAACTGTCATAAAAATATGGGCCATTTGTCAATGTGAGGCCTTCCAAAACTATTTAAATAATTATTCTTTTTTTTTTTTTTTTTTTTTTTTTTTTGAGACAGAGTCTTGCTCTGTCGCCCAGGCTGGAGTGCAGTGGCGCGATCTGGGCTCACTGCAAGCTCCGCCTCCCGGGTTCACGCCATTCTCCTGCCTCAGCCTCCCAAGTAGCTGGGACTACAGGCGCCCGCCACCACGCCCGGCTAATTTTTTGTATTTTTAGTAGAGACGGGGTTCCACCTGTGTTAGCCAAGATGATCTCAGTCTCCTGACCTCGTGATACACCCACCTCAGCCTCCCAAAGTGCTGGGATTACAGGCGTGAGCCACCGTGCCCGGCCTAAATAATTATTCTTAAATGTACTATTCACACTGGAATTTTTTAACATATTCCTGCTGTTAGTTTAAATCTAATATGTATTTGGTCAGAATGAACAAAGAGACAGGAAATTGTTTGCAAGCAATTGTCAGAAAGCAACAGATTTTAATCCAAGCAAAAAGAATACGGTGTTAGGGTCCACAACAATCATTTTTTCACTTTTGTTTTTTATAGAGATAGGGGTCTTACTATGTTGCCGAGTCTGGGCTTGAAATCCTGGGCTCAAGAGATTCTCCCACTCAGCCTCCCAAAGTGCTGGAATTACAGGCATGAGCCACCACACAAGCTACCTTTTGTTAAATGTTGATGAAAAAGCTTCTCATATTAATCAGGATGCATGTTGAAGAAAACTGAAATGCTGACTTATGTCTGATATATATTCTTTTTCCACAGATATATAGTGTTTATTTGCTGGAAGAAAGTGGAGAACTCACTTCCATTACGTTGAAATCCAAGAGAGAATCATAGGTAAATAAATATATTGAGCAATTTTTGGTTAATATTATTATTTTATTGTTGTTATTAAGATGAATATAGAGATGCACCACTTAGTACATTAATACTTCCCAACATGCTCTTTAAAATCTTGAGCATTCTAAGATTAATGGATGAATAGTGCACTAACTCTTGCTGTAGGAATATTTGCTCGAAGAAATGATGCTACCATTTTCAACATTCCTGCAAGAGAGTTATTTTGTAATTGCTTTTAAGGAGCTTTTCCTCCTTTCTTGATGATAATCAGGAGATTAAAGTGGTGAGATCTCTAAATAAAATAGTCATCATGACCATAATCCCACTCTATGATATATTTGTATTTGAATCCAATAGGAGCATAAGTGTGCATTTTATAAAGTCATGCTTAACCTTCTTTTTTAAAAAAAAATATATCTTGGAAAGAGAAAGTCCATATATTATATCTTGAGTGAAGGAGCTTTGATTCCATCAATATTTTGGATTTTAGTTCAGCTTGGTGCCCTTGGGGTTTTTATACCTTGAAAGTATGCACCATAAAAATACTCAGGGTGGGTGAAAAATGTCTTGTTTTTAATATGAGAACAGAGTGGTCATGGTAGTGGAAGTAAAAACGTAGGCTAACCTGCTCACAGAAATGCACAGGTCAGCCCTAGAAAAGTGAACATGTGTAAGTTGAAGAGATAGAATTGTATTCCCTTACATCTTTCCAGTACAATGTACACCTTAGAAATATCTTGTGCACCCCAAGGAGTACACGTACCTCATTTGTTTATTTTTATTTTATTTTATTTTATTATACTTTAAGTTCTAGGGTACGGGTACACAACGTGCAGGTTTGTTACATATGTATACATGTGCCATGTGGGTTTGCTGCACCCATTAACTCGTCATTTGCCTTAGGTATTTCTTCTAATGCTATCCCTCCCCGCTCCCCCCACCCCACGACAGGCCCTGATGTGTGATGTTCCCCACCGTGTATCCAAATGTTCTCATTGTTCAATTCCCACCTATGAGTGAGAACATGCAGTGTTTGGTTTTCTGTCCTTGTGATAGTTTGCTCAGAATGATGGTTTCCAGCTTCATCCATGTCCCTATAAAGGACATGAACTCATCCTTTTTTATGGCTGCATAGTATTCCATGGTGTATATGTGCCACATTTTCTTAATCCAGTCTATCATTGATGGATATTTGGGTTGGCTCCAAGTCTTTGCTATTGTGAATAGTGCCACAATAAACATAAGTCTGCATGTGTCTTTATAGTAGCATGACTTATAATCCTCTGGGTATATACCCAGCAATGGAATCGCTGGGTCAAATTGTATTTCTAGTTCTAGATCCCTGAGGAATCGCCACACTGTCTTCCACAATGGTTGAACTGGTTTACAGTCCCACCAACAGTGTAAAAGTGTTCCTGTTTCTCCACATCCTCTCCAGCACCTGTTGTTTCCTGACTTTTTAATGATCGCCATTCTAACTGGTATGACATGGTATCTCATTGTGGTTTTCATTTACATTTCTGTGATGGCCAGTGATGATGAGCATTTTTTCATGTGTCTGTTGGCTGCATAAATGTCTTCTTTTGAGAAGTGTTTGTTCATATCCTTCGCCCACTTTTTTATGGGGTTGTTTGATTTTTTTCCTTGTAAATTTGAGTTGTTTGTAGATTCTGGATATTAGCCCTTTGTCAGATGAGTAGATTGCAAAAATTTTCTCCCATTCTGTAGGTTGCCTGTTCACTCTGATGGTAGTTTCTTTTGCTGTGCAGAAGCTCTTTAGTTTAATTAGATCCCATTTGTCAATTTTGGTTTTTGTTGCCATTGCTTTTGGTGTTTTAGCCATGAGGTCCTTGCCCATTCCTATGTCCTGAATGGTATTGCCTAGGTTTTCTTCTAGGGTTTTTATGGTTTTAGGTCTAGCATTTAAGTCTTTAATCCATCGTGAATTAATTTTTGTACAAGGTGTAAGGAAGGGATCCAGTTTCAGCTTTCTACATATGGCTAGCCAGTTTTCCCAGCACCATTTATTAAATAGGGAATCCTTTCCCCATTTCTTGTTTTTGTCGGGTTTGTCAAAGATCAGATGGTTGTAGATGTGTGGTATCATTTCTGAGGGCTGTATTCTATTCCTTTGGTCTATATCTCTGTTTTGGTACCAGTACCATGCTGTTTTGGTTACTGTAGCCTTGTAGTATAGTTTGAAGTCAGGTAGTGTGATGCCTCCAGCTTTGTTCTTTTGGCTTAGGATTGACTTGGCAATGTGGGCTCTTTTTTGCTTCCATATGAACTTTAAAGTAGTTTTTTCCAATTCTGTGAAGAAAGTCATTGGTAGCTTGATGGGGATGGCATTGAATCTATAAATTACCTTGTGCAATATGGCCATTTTCATGATATTGATTCTTCCTATCCATGAACATGGAATGTTCTTCCATTTGTTTGTGTCCTCTTTTATTTCTTTGAGCAGTGGTTTGTAGTTCTCCTTGAAGAGGTCCTTCACATCCCTTGTAAGATGGAATCCTAGGTATTTTATTCTCTTTGAAGCAATTGTGAATGGGAGTTCACTCATGATTTCGCTCTCCGTTTGTCTGTTATTGGTGTATAAGAATGCTTGTGATTTTTGCACATTGATTTTTGTATCCTGAGACTTTGCTGAAGTTGCTTATCAGCTTAAGGAGATTTTGGGCTGAGACAATGGGGTTTTCTAGATATACAATCATGTCATCTGCAAACAGGGACAATTTGACTTCCTCTTTTTCTAATTGAATACACTTTATTTCTTCCTCCTGCCTGACTGCCCTGGCCAGAACTTCCAACACTATGTTGAATAGGAGTGGTGAGAGAGGGCATCCCTGTCTTGTGCCAGTTTCCAAAGGGAATGCTTCCAGTTTTTACCCATTCAGTATGATATTGGCTGTGGGTTTGTCATAAGTAGCTCTTATTATTTTGAGATATGTCCCATCAATACCTAGTTTATTGAGAGTTTTTAGCATGAAGGGCTGTTGAATTTTGTCAAAGACCTTTTCTGCATCTATTGAGATAATCATGTGGTTTTTGTCTTTGGTTCTCTTTATATGATGGATTACATTTATTGATTTGCATATGTTGAACCAGCTTTGTATCCCAGGGATGAAGCCAACTTGATTGTGGTCATAAGCTTTTTGATGTACTGCTGGATTTGGTTTGCCAGTATTTTATCGAGGACTTTTGCATTGATGTTCATCAAGGATATTGGTCTAAAATTCTCTTTCGTTGTTGTGTCTCTGCCAGGCTTTGGTATGAGGATGATGTTGGCCTCATAAAGTGAGTTAGGGAGGAGTCCCTCTTTTTCTATTGATTGGAATAGTTTCAGAAGGAATGGTACCAGCTCCTCTTCATACCTCTGGTAGAATTCGGCTGTGAATCCATCTGGTCCAGGACTTTTTTTGGTTGGTAGGCTATTATTGCATCAATTTCAGAGCCTGTTATTTGTCTGTTCAGGGATTCAGCTTCTTCCTGGTTTAGTCTTGGGAGGGTGTATGTGTGGAGGAATTTATCCATTTCTTCTAGATTTTCTAGTTCATTTGTGTAGAGGTGTTTATAGTATTGTCTGATGGTAGTTTGTATTTGTGTGGTATCAGTGGTGATATCCACTTTATCATTTTTTATTTCATCTACTTGATTCTTCTCTCTTTTCTTCTTTAGTAGTCTTGCTAGCGGTCTATCTATTTTGTTTATCTTTTCAAAAAACCAGCTCCTGGATTCATTGATTTTTTGAAGGGTTTTTTGTGTCTCTATCTCCTTCAGTTCTGCTCTGATCTTAGTTATTTCTTGCCTTCTGCTAGATTTTGATTGTGTTTGCTCTTGCTTCCTTGTTCTTTTAATTGTGATGTTAAGGTGTCAATTTTAGATCTTTCCTGCTTTCTCTTGTGGGCATTTAGTGCTACAAATTTCCCTCTACAGATTGCTTTAAATGTGTCCCAGAGATTCTGGTATGTTGTGTTTTTGTTCTCATTGATTTCAAAGAACATCTTTATTTCTGCCTTCATTTCATTATTTACCCAATAGTCATTCAGGAGCAGGTTGTTTAGTTTCCATGTATTCGTGCAGTTTTGAGTGAGTTTCTTAATCCTGAGTTCTAATTTGATTACACTGTGGTCTGAGAGACAGTTTGTCATAATTTCTGTTCTTTTACATTTGCTGAGGAGTGCTTTACTTCCAACTGTGTGGTCAATTTTGGAATAAGTGCGATGTGATGCTGAGAAGAATGTATATTCTGTTGATTTGGGGTGGAGAGTTCTGTAGATGTCTATTAGGTCGGCTTGGTGCAGAGCTGAGTTCAAGTCCTGGATATCCTTGTTAAGTTTCTGTCTCGTTGATCTGTCTAATGTTGGCAGTGGGGTGTTAAAGTCTCCCATTATTATTGTGAGGGAGTCTAAGTCTCTGTAGGTCTCTAAGGACTTGCTTTATGAATCTGGGTGCTCCTGTATTGGGTGCATATATATTTAGGATAGTTAGCTCTTCTCATTGAATTGATCCCTTTACCATTATGTAATGGCCTTCTTTGTCTCTTTTGATCTTTGTCGGTTTAAAGTCTATTTTATCAGAAACTACGATTGCAACCCCTGCTTTTTTTGTTTGTTTGTTTTCCATTTCCTTGGTAGATCTTCTTCCATCCCTTTATTTTGAGCCTATGTGTGTCTCTGCACGTGAGATGGGTCTCCTGAATACAGCACACTGAAGGGTCTTGACTCTTTATCCAATTTGCCAGTCTGTGTCTTTTAACTGGGGCATTTGGGCCATTTACATTTAAGGTTAATATTCTTATGTGTGAATTTGATCCTGTCATTATGATGTTAGCTGGTTATTTTGCCTGTTAGTTGATGCAGTTTCTTCCTAGCACAGATGGTCTTTACAATTTGGCATGTTTTTGCAGTGGCTGGTACTGGTTATTCCTTTCCATTTTTAGTGCTTCCTTCAGGAGCTCTTGTAAGGCAGGCCTGGTGGTGACAAAATCTCTCAGCATTTGCTTGTCTGTAAAGGATTTTATTTTTCCTTCACTTATGAAGCTTAGTTTGGCAGGATATAAAATTCTGGGTTGAAAATTCTTTTCTTTAAGAATGTTGAATATTGGCCCTCACTCTCTTTTGGCTTTTAGAGTTTCTGCTGAGAGATCTGCTGTTAGCCTGATGGGCTTCCCTTTATGGGTAACCCGACCTTTCTCTCTAGCTGCCCTTAACATTTTTTCCTTCATTTCAACCTTGGTGAATCTGACATGTGTCTTGGGGTTGCCCTTCTCGAGGAGTATCTTTGTGGTGTTCTCTGTATTTCCTGAATTTGAATGTTGGCCTGCCTTGCTAGATTGGGGAAGTTCTCCTGGATAATATCCTCAAGAGTGTTTTCCAACTTAGTTCCATTCTCCCCATCACTTTCAGGTACACCAATCAAATGTAGATTTGGTCTTTCCACAAATCCCATATTTCTTGGAGGCTTTGTTCATTTCCTTTTACTCTTTTTTCTCTACACTTCTCTTCTCAGTTCATTTCATTCATTTGATCTTCAATCACTGATACCCTTTCTTCCACTTGATCGAATTGGCTACTGAAGCTTGTGCATGCATCACGTAGTACTCGTGCCATGGTTTTCAGCTCCATCAGGTCATTTAAGGTCTTCTCTATGCTGTTTATTCAGTTAGCCATTCTTCTCATCTTTTTTCAAGATTTTTAGCTTCCTTGTGATGGGTTCGAACATCCTCCTTTAGCTCAGAGAAGTTTGTTATTACCAGCCTTCTGAAGCCTACTTTTGTCAACTCGTCAAAGTCATTCTCTGTCCAGCTTTGTTCCATTGCTGGCAAGGAGCTGTGATCCTTTGGAAGAGAAGAGGCACTGTGGTTTTTAGAATTTTCAGCTTTTCTGCTCTGGTTTTTCCACATCTTTGTGGTTTTATCTACCTTTGGTCTTTGATGATGGTGACCTACAGATGAGGTTTTGGTGTGGATGTTCTTTTTGTTGATGTTGATGCTATTCCTTTCTGTTTGTTAGTTTTCCTTTCAACAGTGAGTACCCTCAACTGCAGGTCTGTTGGAGTTTGCTGGAGGTCCACTCCAGACCCTGTTTGCCTGGGTCCACCAGCGGAGGCTTCAGAACAGCAAATATCGCAGAACAGCAAATGTTGCTGCCTGATCATTCCTCTGGAAGCTTCGTCTCAGAGCGGTACCCAGCTGTGTGAGGTGTCAGTTGGCCCATACTGGGAGGTGTCTCCCAATTAGGCTACTCGGGGGTCAGGGACCCACTTGCGAAGGCAGTCTGTCTGTTCTCAGATCTCCAACTCCGTGCTGGAAGAACCACTGCTCTCTTCAAAGCTGTCAGACAGGGACGTTTAAGTCTGCAGAAGTTTCTGCTGCCTTTTGTTCACCTATGCCCTGCCCCCAGAGGTGGAGTCTACAGAGGCAGGCAGGCCTCCTTGAGCTGAGGTGGGCTCCACCCAGTTTGAGCTTCCTGGCCAGTTTGTTTACCTACTCAAGCCTCAGCAATGGCGGGTGCCCCTCCCCCAGCCTCGCTGCCACCTTGCAGTTTGACCTCAGACTGCTGTGCTAGCAGTGAGCAAGGCTCCACGGGCGTGGGACCTGCCAAGCCAGGTGCGGGATATAATCTACTGGTGTGCTGTTTGCTAAGACTGTTGGAAAAGAGCAGTATTAGGGCAGGAGTGTCCTGATTTTCCAGGTACTGTCTGTCATGGCTTCCCTTGGCTAGGAAGGGGAATTCCCCAACCCCTTGTGCTTTCTGGGTGAGGCGATGCCCTGCCCTGCTTTGGCTCACACTCTGTAGGCTGCACCCACTGTCCAACCAGTCCCAATTAGATGAACCCAGTACGTCAGTTGGAAATGCAGAAATCAGCAGTCTTAGCATTCTTCTGCATTGCTCACGCTGGGAGCTATAGACTGGAGCTGTTCCTATTCGGCCGTCTCAGAACCGCCCCTTCTACACATATGTCATTTTTAAAACTTTTTTTATTGTGGTGAAATAAGCATAACAGAATTTATCATATTAACCATTTTAAGTATCTAGTCAGTGGTATTAAAAACATTCATATTGGTGTGCAACCATTGTCACCACTCACCTCTGGAACCTTTTCATCAAAACTAAAATGTCATGCCCATTAAACAATAACTCCCCTTTTTCTCCACCACACAGCCCCTTCTGCTGTCTTTCTCTATAAATTTTACTATTCTAGGTAACTCATAAAATTGAAATCATACAATAGTTTTGTTCTAATGACCAGCTCATTTCACTTAGCATAATGTCTTCAAGGTTCATCCATATTGTAGCATGTGTCAGAAATTCTTCTTTTTTAAGGCTGAATCAAATTCCATGGTGTGTATATTTCACATTTTGTTTACCTATTTATTTGTCGAGGGACACTTGGTTTTTTTGCACATGTTGGCAATTGTGAATAATGCTGTTGCAAGCATGGGTGCACAAATAATTATTTGAATTCCTGATCTCAATTATTTTAGGTATACCAGAAGTGGAATTGCTGGATCCTATGATGATCTATTTATAATGTTTTGAAGAAACTCCTCAGTGTTTTTCATAGCAGCTGCACCATATTACATTTCCACCAGCAGTGGACTAGTATTCCAATTTCTCCACACCCTAGTCAACACTTATTACATGGGCTGTTTGTTTGAAAGTAGCCATTCTTATGGGCATGAAGTGCCTATCTCATTTTGGCTTTAATTTGCATTTCCTTAATATTTAGTGCTTTTGAACATCTTTTCTTGTAGTTATTGGCCATTTGTGCATCTTCTTGGGAGAAATATCTATTCAAAATTTTTGCCCATTGTTTAATTATTTCTTCATTGTTATTGTTGAATTGTAAGAGTTTTTTTTTTATTTAGCCTGGTTATTAACCCCTTACCAAATATATGACTACCAAGTATATTCCCCTATTCTGTATATTCCCTTTTTACTCTGTTTATAATGTCTTTTGATTCACAAATTTTTTAATTTTGCGGTAGCCCAATTTGTCTATATTTTCTTTTGTAACTTTAGCTTTTGGTGTTATATCCAGGCAATCTTTGTGAAATCTGAAGTCATGAAGGTTTTCTACTGTTTCTTTCTAACAGTTTATAGTTTTATCTCTTATGGTTAGGTCCTTGATCCAATTTGAGTTACTTTTTGCATTAGGTTTAGGGTAAGGATCCAACAACATTCTCATACATGTGAATATCCGGTTTTCCAATACAGTTTGTTGAAAAAAAAAAAAGTCTTCTTGAATGATCTGGTCACTCTTGTCAAAAATTACTTGACTGTATGTGTGAGGATTTATTTTTGTGCTCTCTATTCTATTCGATTGGCCTATATGTCTGTCTTTATGCCAGTACCACATTGTTTTTTTTACCATATTATGTAGTAAGTTTTGAAATCAGGAAGTGTGAGACCTCCAACTTTGTTCTTCTCTCTCAAAATTGTTTTCACCATGTGGTGTTCATTTCAGAATAGATTTTCCTATTTGTGCAAAACACATCAGGATTTTGATAGAAATTGAATTGAATCTTTAGATTTGCTCTGGGTAATATTGATAACAATATTAAATCTTTCAATTGATGAAACAATATTTTCCATTTATTTGTGTCTTCTTTGAATTCTTTCAGCAATGTTTTGCAGTTTTCAGTATACAAGTCTTTTACCTCATTGGTTCACATAACCATTTTATTATTACTTAATTACTTAATCAATTTTAAATTTAAACTTTTATTTTAGATAAAGGGGTACATTACAAGTTGGTTACATGGGAATATTGTGTGATGTTGTTTGGGGTATGGAATCCATCACCCAGGAAGTGAACATTGTGCTTAATAGGTAGTTTTTTTCCCTTCTAGTAGTCCACATTGTCTATTGTTCCCATGTTTATGCCCATGTGTGCTCACTGTTTGGCTCCCACTTATGAGTGAGAACATGTGCATACCCCATTAAAAAGACCTCAGCTGGGCATGGTGGCTCACGCCTGTAATCTCAACACTTTGGGAGGCCAAGGTGGGTGGATCACGAGGTCAGGAGTTTGAGACAAGCCTGACCAACATGGTGAAACCCCATCTCTACTAAAAATACAAAAATTAGCTGGGTGTGGTGGTACACACCTATAATCCCAGCTACTCAGGAGGCTGAGGCAGGAGAATCACTTGAACCAGGGAGGCGGAGCTTGCAGTGAGCTGAGATCACGCCACTGCACTCCAGCCTGGGCAACAGAGCGAGACTCCATCCCCAAAAAACAAAAAACAAACAAACAAAAAACCCTTTATTGTATGCTTTAGAAAGAACTTCAGCTTTTACTCAGACTGCTTTGAGAAATTTCAGTGTCATTAAAGGCAAAATGTGTGTTATAAAAGACATATCAACTGCTATGATCACACATATGCAATGTAAGGTCTGGTTCCTTTACTGAGTTAAAGCCTGGTTCACACTTCAATAACAGTTATGAAAAATATAGATTGTGCTTTCATGTCATGGTTCTTTTTATGTGCTCCCAAACACCAATTTATATTATCAAAACATAAGAAACGTGAATAATTATTCCCCCTCTTATGCTAGCAAGTGATTTTATGAGTAATTACATGAAAGATACCTGTAATTCCCATCTCTGACCCGAATTCTTCCTAGTGACTTTCCTCTCCTGTTTCAGTAGGCACCAAGTGTCACTTAATACATCAAAGATGCTATGTTCACTCAATAATATTGAAACAGTCATTTATAAATTGTGAAGGAGGCTTTAAAAACGTGTTTTGATAAAGGAGGAATTTTTCCTATAAAAAATAAAACTAAAACAAAGAAAGATTCCTCACCTGATGCATTTTGTGTGAAAATACTGCTATTTCACTATGATACAGTAAGGCTCTGTCACTTACTGCTGAATTCATGATACTGTAATTTTTTGTCATTTATTATTTATAGACTTCCTTCATTGTGCACAGAGTCCACAAAACAGAAGATGGATTGGCTAGGGTTCTAAATAGCTCCTAAGGAATGAGTGGGACCCGAAAAACACTTGACTACTTAATTATATTAATAACCTGCAATTGCAGGTGTAAAATTCAACAAAAATTATATACTCTAGTTTTTTAAAATAAATTTTGAATACCTGGGATAAAGTAAATAGGTATACAAATACTGTATTTAGTTAATCTATGATCATTAAAGGTTTGATATGTCTTAAGAAATAATAGCTTTCCGAAACACTATGCTGTATGTGCAGACACATAAAAAAGTTTTTAATCCTTTCAATAGCACAGCATTATACATAAAATTATATATCACTTTTTTCTGTACACTCACTAATTACATGCTGGGTCAAAGCTTCCTTCATGTACAAAATCCATGCACCTGAGCAACATTACCATTAGCCACAATGCACATCATTCCAGGGATGCATTGCTATTCACAGCCCTTACTAGTTATCTCAACTTCTCTACCATTTTTAGAATTGTGAATGTCATTTTGAGATATTTTAAAAAACACTTCAATTTAATATTAATTTTGTCTTTAGTTAAGCTCACAGTATTCCTTTCTCTTACGCTTTTTAAAATATATATTGCTGGAATTATAACAGCTTTTGAGGGAATTTGGTGAATTGCGTTTAAGGCCTAATTAATCACACCAGCTTCTTTGTTTTTTTATTTTTATTTTTTTGAGACAGAGTTTCACTCTGGTTGCACAGGCTGGAGTGCAATGATGCGATCTCAGCTGTCTGCAACCTCTGCCCCCCGGGTTCAAGCGATTCTCCTGAGAGCCTCCCAAGTAGCTGGGATTATAGGCATGTGGCACCACGCCATGGCTAATTTTGTATTTTTAGTAGAGATGGGGTTTCACCATGTTGGTCAAGCTGGTCTCAAACTCACGAACTCAGGTGATCTGCCCGCCTTGGCCTCCCAAAGTGCGGGGATTACAGGCCTGAGCCACTGAGCCTGGCCCACACCAGCTTCTCTTAAGCTTTGAACTTCCTGGTTTATTATCAGAGATTTTGGAAAACTGCTTTAATAATCATGTGAAAATATGAAAACATGTATAAATTAGCATTAACAAATATCTACAAAATGTAAACAGCCATGAGCTGAAATTCTAGATAAACTAATCTACGTATAATAAAACCCACGTAATTTGCTTGCCATCATCTCATTATCTTCCTTTGTTGTAGCTGTATTTTTTGGCATAAGTGTGATCCCTTTTGTAGCGTACCAGCCACTTGATTTTTTACTGCTTCTTTTTTCTTTACTATAATCAATCACTAAGATGAATACAGCATTTCTTTCATCATATAATAGGCAATTTAAAGGTCTGATTTACTCTTTTGTTATCTGGTAGAGCTCTGAAATTTATTTTTACTTTTGGCATTTTTAACTCCTCAACTAAACTATGAGGTCCTGGGGCCCCAGCTATTTATCCTTTATCCCTAGAAATGGGAACAGTATTTGGGAGATGGGAATGTTGACAGTAGATGGTGAACATAAGCTCCCCAAAACAGAGGTTTCTGTTTAAATTGCTTTATGCTGTATGTATGCCAGGGCCTAGAAGAAAAAAAATACCTGCCACATATACTATTCCCAATAAATATTTGTTAGAGGAATGAATATATAAATGATTTAAATTAAATAAAGAACAAATTATCTAGTAGCTCAAGATTAAAGAAAAGGGTACATTCAGCTTAGATTAACCAAATTATATGTTGCATCTTTCAGGTGCTTTGTGGGTGAGGTATAAAGTTGATTAAGAAAATTGTTCATAGGAATCCAAACTGATTGTAGGACCTGTCATTATGGTCTCCATGTATTTATCATATCTCATTGAGATTCTTCCAGTAACTTCCTTTCTCATATCTCTGCACTAATAATCTCTTTCAATTTCAATTTACACTTCTCATTGAACAGAGACTGTAGTACCCAAGAGAAAAACAAAAAGAGTATTATATAATGGGAGAGTATATTGCATTAACTCTTTCATTTCTTTTAATAATAATAAAGATGTTGTACTTTACTGGTTTTTGGTGTATGAATTGACAGTGAACATACTGCTTGGTTATAGGTCAGATGGTCCCTTTGCACATATGGCCAGCAAGATTTTTAGGAAGCATAAGAATTCTATATGGTCAAGTGGTTGACAGTAGCACCCTCTGTCATTTTTGTCAGGTTATATGCACCTGGTTAATGACATTATGGAATATATGATGTGATTTTAACTAAATATTCTCAGGAAATGGACAGGTAGCTTTAAAAGAACTCTACAAGGAAACCATAGGTTGAAGACACTAGTAATTGTGCAAGTACAAATAAACAAAAGTAAACGACTTTCTTTGCCCATTCTTGGTGAATATTTTTCATCAGCCATATTATGAGGTAAAAATAACAATGATCTTATCAATGGTGACAAGAAATCAGTCATCTAGCCAACGTTTTTAAGTGTCTGTATGAATCATGGATTTGCAAACACTGATATTAACCATAATCTTGATCTTATAGTATATAATACAGTAAGATATATGATAAACATAGAATGACACTATAATCAGATGCACAATTATAAACAGTAACTATACAAAATTTGAAAATATTCTTTAAATCTTTTTTTAACAATATTTAAAATTACACAATAAATTTAGTAAAAACTTTAATAAATTTTACTTCACTTAATGATAAATTTTAGAAACATATTTTAAGGTTACCAACAATAAAATATTAAAAATAAGAAGCTGCATAGTATTAAATGAATACTTATTTTTCCTTGAGTAATTTTAAAAAAATCTAAAATTTATGTGGAAAATAATACGACTAATAATTGAACCAGATTCATTGCTCAAAACATACTTTTGAAAGACAAAACAAAATTTTAAATATTTGAAGACATGTTTACAAACAAAATACACAAAATTACAAATTTACAAACAAAAAAACAAAATTTTCTTTATTTCAATAAAGAAAATACAAAAACAACTATTTTTAGTGTAAATTACTGAAAAAGTAGGTAATTCAGAATATATTTTCTCAAGTAACCATGGAAGACTAACCACTGGTATGATTCCTTCTTTGAATAGAATATTTTTAAGAATTCAGAAATAAGGTGTAAGAGATATTTCTCTAACACAGAATTCACAGGCCTTATTGTAACAAAGACATTGAGGAAAGTGACATCACCAAAATGGCAGAGTGGAAGCAATCTGGCTTCATTCCTCTCTGTAGAAAACCAAAACCAAATATCTTGCACCAAGATTACAACGAGCAATAACCCAGAACTCAAATCGTAGGAAGGGACCGTCTCTAGAACAATAGAGAAATGAAAAAACTTCTAGCAGATGGTAAGAAAATTGGACTTCTGTATCCACAATGACTCTTCTCCAATCTGCCAGGCGTCATATTCATAGAAAGTTTCTCCTGGATTCGTAGTTTCTACAATGAAGTAAGTAATATCAAGGCAGACAACCAGCTTCCCCACCACCATGAATTACTTTGCACATGAGAATTGTCTTTTCCTCAACTCACAGGACACATTGCAAGTACCAGTAAAGGAAAACAAACAAAGAAACAAACAAAAACCCTGAGGGCAGCCAGTGACAAAGGAATGAGCATCCTCAGACTGAAAAACCTTGCTGTTCATCTCAGCCAAAGAAAACACCAAACCAAAGTGGCTGTTCAGCAGCACCATGTGGTAGGAGGCATGCTCCATGGGCCCCCTAGGCACAAAGCGCTAGCCAACCTTCACACACAGCTTGGGTATTCCCCTTGGGACCTCCCCCACTGGGACAAGAAGCATTCTGAATGCTTGCTACAGCTGAGGCAAAACTGGGCTTAAGACACCATCTGCTGAAAAGAAAACAGTAACCTAGCATAAAGAAAATTCAGTGGGTAAACTGCAAGCAATCTGTAAGCAAACATATTCAAGAAAAACTAAAACAAGTCAGACATAGAAGACTGAAATAAATTACTATCTTTCAAAGCAAAAACACAGACACACATTCACAAGAACAATAACAAAGAGGAAATCATGACCTCCCCAAATGGACAAAGCAAGAAGTTAGTGTGACAGTGTTCAATGGCAATATGTGAGCTCTCAGATCAAGAATTAGGATTAGCAGTAAGAAAATTCAGTGAACTTCAAGATAACACAGGGAAGCAATTCAGAAACTTTTGACAAAGTGATTGAAATAATAATTTTTAAAAAGCAAGCAGAAATCCTGAAACAGAAATATATTTGTGGAACTGAATAACACATTCGAATTTTTAACAGCTCAATAGATTGAACAGAGTTAAGATTCAATGATCTTGAAGACAGGCTTTTTGGAAATACACAGTCAGAGGGAAAAAAAGGAATAAAGAATGAAAAAGAATGAAAATCTAAGAATCATTGATGTTCAAGTGGAGTTGAAAAAGAGCAGGGAGTTGAAAGCTTATTCAAAGAAATAATAAAAGAAAATTTTCCAAATGTATAAAAAGATATAAATATCCAAGCACAGGAGGGCAGAGATCACTGAAAATATTTAATCCAAATGAGCCTACCACAAGGCATATAATAAACAACCAAAGTCCAAGGAGAAAAACAGGATCCTAAAAGCAACAAGAAAAAAATAATAAAATAAGATAAAAAGGAGCTCCAATTTATCTGGCAGACTTCTTAATGGAAACCATATAGGCCAGGAGGGAATAGGATGACATATTCAAAGTATGCAAAGAAAAACTGCTAAAGAAGAATATTGTTCCCAGCAAAGCTATCCTTCAAATGTAAAGGGGCCATAAAGTCTTTCCCAGACAAAAGCTGAGAGAATTAATCAACACTGTATCCATCTTACAACAAATACTAAAAGAAATACTACAACAAATACTAAAAAAAAAAATACTAAAATAAATACTAAAAGAAATTATTTGTTCTGAAAGAAAAAGACACTGATATGCAAAAAGAAAACATTTGAAGGTATAAAACCCACTGGTAATAGTAAGTATAGTAAGTATATCTCTATTATAGAGTAAAAAAACAAATCTATTAAAATAATATTTACAGAAACTTGTTAAGAGATGGGCAATATAAAAATCTATAAACTAGGCCAGGTGTGGTGGCTCATGCCTGTAATCCCAACACTTTGGGAGGCTGAGGAGGGCAGATCCCTTGAGGCTAGGAGTTCAAGACCAGCCTGGCCAACATGGTGAAACCCTGTCTCTACAAAAATTAGCCAGGTGTGGCTGGGCACGGTGACTCATGCCTGTAATCCCAGCACTTTGGGAGGCCGAGGTGGGCAGATCACAAGGTCAGGAGATCGAGACCACCCTGGCTAACACAGTGAAACCCTGTCTCTACTAAAAATACAAAAAATTAGCCGGGCATGGTGGTGGGCACCTGTAGTCCCAGCTACTCGGGAGGCTGAGGCAGGAGAATGGCTTGAACCCAGGAGGCAGAGCTTGCATTGAGCCGAGATCGGCCACTGCACTGCAGCCTGGGTGACAGAGCGAGACTCCACCTCAAAAACAAACAAACGAACAAACAAAAAATTAGCCAGGTGTGGTTCACACCTGTAGTCCCAGCTACTTGGGAGGCTGAGGCACGAGACACATTTGAACCCAGGAGACAGAGGTTGCAGTGAGCTGATATTGTTTCACTGCACTCCAGCTGGGGTGACAGAGTGAGACTCTATCTCAAAAAAAATATAAGGTATAAACTGAGTTTAAAAAAATGTCCATATGTGCAGAAGATTATAGAAAGTGTAAAGCTTTTTAGTTTCTTTCAGTTTTTTAAAAATAACTTCATTTAAATACAAAGAAAGATAGAAAGGAAGAAAAAAAGAGAAGAGTTACAAAACACCAGAAATCAAGTAACAAAACAGCAGTAGTAAGTTTGTATGTATCAATAATAACATTGAGTGTAAATGGACTAAATTCTCCAATTAAAAGACGGAGTGGCTGAATGGATGAAAGAAAAAAAAGACCCAATTATATGGTGCTTACAGGAAACCCACTGCAACTATAAAACACACACAGACTGAAAGTGAAAAGATGAAAAAGATATTCCATGCCAATGGAAACCAAAAAAAGCAGTAGTAGTTATACTTACATCAGATTAAAAGACTGTAAAAAGAGACAAAGAAGGTCACTATATAATGACAACAGAATCAATTTTGCAAGACTATGTAACAATTATGAATATATGTGCACTCTACATGGGAACACCTTGATATAAATGATATAAAGCAAATATTAATATATACAAAGCAAGAGAGAGACTGCAATGCAATAATAGTAGGGGACTTCTACGCATTACTGTTAGTAATGGGATAGAGACAGAAAATCTGGATGCAGACAGAAGAATCAATAAAAAAATTACATACTAGACCAAATACACTTAACTAATACTTACAGAATGTTTCACCCAACTCCTGCAGAATACTAATTTCTTTCATTAGCACATGGAATGTTCTTCTGAATAGACCATATGTTAGGCCACAAAACAAGTCTCAACGAATTTTAAAAAGTTGAAATCATCTAAAGTATATTTTCTGACCACAACAGAATAAAACCAGAAATCAATAATATAAGTAACCTTGGAAAGTACACTAATACATGGAAATTAAACAACTAAGAGGGAAGTTTGCAGCAATAAACATCTATATCAAAAAAGTAGAGAGACTTTAAACAAACAACCTAGTGATTCATCTAAATTGCTAAAAAAGCAAAAACAAACTGAACCCAAAATTAGTAGAAAGAAGGAAATAAAACAATCACAGCAGAAATAAATTGATATGGAGACTAAAAAATATACAAAAGGTCAACAAATGAAAAGTTCATGTTTTAAAATATAAACACAACTGAAAAAAGTTAAAGCAAACTAGGAAAAAAGAGAAAAGACCAAAAATGAATGAAATGAGAAATACAAAGGGATAAAACAAATGATACTACAGAAACAAAAGGCACATTAGAGACTATTATGTCAACAAATTGGAAAGCCTAAAATAAATAAATTAATTTTATAACACATACAACCTACTAAGATTGAACAGTGAAGATATAGAAAATCTGAACCAACCAATAACACGTAACAAGCTCAAGACCTGATGGCTTCACTGCTGAATTCTACCAAACATTTTTACTACTTCTACTAAAATTATTCAAAAAATTGAAGGAGAGGGAATATTTCCAAACTCATTCTGTCCCATTTAGCATTATCCCAATACCAAAACCAGACAAGGGCACAACAATAACAAAAAACTACAGACCTAGCTCCCTGATGAACATATATACCAAAAATCCTCCACAAAATACAAGCTAAACTAAACAGCGCATTAATAAGAACATACACCTTGATCAAGTGGGATTCATTCCAGGGATGCACGTTTGGCTCAATATAAATCAATAAACATGATTCTTCACATTAACAGAAACTCTCAACGAACTGGGTATAAAAGAAACATAACTCAAAACAATATAAATCATGTATGAGAAACCCACAGCTAACATTATACTGAATAAGGAAAAACTGAAAGCCTTTCATCTAACATCTGAAACAAGACAATACCAATATTCATCACTTTTATTCAACATAATGCTAGAAGTCCCAGACAGAGCAATTAGACAATAGAATGAAATAAAGGCATCGGCGTTAAAAAGGAAAACGTCAAGTTATATTTGTTCACAAATAACATGATCTTATATTAGAAAAACCTAAAGACTGTACAAAAAACTGTTAGAACTGATAAATTTAGTAAAGTTGTGCAACATAAAATCAACTTTCAAAAATCAGTATCACTGTTTCTATATACCAACAGTGAACAACAGTCTAAAAAAGAAATAAAGAAAACAATCTCATTTATAATAGGTACAAAAATATGTAAAATACATAGGAGTAAATATATCTAAACAAGTGAAATATCTCTACAAGGAAAACTATAAAACACTGATGAAAGAAATTGAAGAGGACACAAAATAATGGAAAAGTTGTTTATGCTCATGGATAGGAAGAATTAAGATTGTTAAAATGACCATACTACCCAAAGCAATCTATAGATTCAATGTAATCCCTATCAAAAAACAATGACATGATTTACAAAAATAGGAAAAATCCTAAAATTTGTATGGAATGACAAAAAGCCCAAATAGGCAAAGCAATCCTGAACAAAAGTAACAAAGCTGGAGGTGTCAAGCTACCTGACTTCAAAATATACTACAAAGCCATATAAATCAAAACAGCATGGTAATAACAGAAATAAATGTATGCACTTTTAGCTAACTCATTTTCAGCAAAGGTGCCAAGAACATCCACTGGGAAAAAGACATTCTATTCCATTAATGGTACCAAGAAAACTGGGTAATCTATGCAGAGGAATAAAGCTATATCCTACCTCTCATCCTATACAAAATTCAAATCTAAATGGATTAAAGACTTAATTCTAAGACCAGATACTATGATATAAGTGGAAGTAAACATTGGGATAAATGCTTCAAGATACTTGTCTGTGCAAAGATATTTTGGGGTAAGACCTCAAAAGCTCATGCAACAAAAGCAAAACTGAACAAATAAGATTACATCAAGCTAAAAAGCTTTTACACAGCAAAGGAAATAATAAAGTTAAGAGAAAATCTACAGAATGGGAAAAATTATTTGCAAACTATCTACCCTACAAAAGATTAATAATCAGAATATATAAAGAACTCAAACAGCTCAATAGCAAAAAAGAAATAATCTGATTAAAAAATGAGAAAAAGATCTGAATAGATATTTCTCAAAATAAGGCATAAATGGCCAATTGATACATTTTTAAAGATGCTCAACATCACTAATCATCAGGGAGATGCAAATCAATACCACAATGTAATACCATCTCAACTCAGTTACGGCTTTTATCCAAAAGACAAAAAATAATGGATGCTGGCAAGCAAATAGTGAAAGGGCAATTCCTGTACACTGTTATTGAGAATATAAATTAACCACTGTGGAAAACAGTATAGAGGTTCCTCAAAAAACTAAAAATAGAACTACCATATGATCTAACAATCCACTACTGGATGTATATCCAAAAGGAGGAAAACGAATATATCAAAAGATTTTTGCACTCTCATGTTTATTGCAGCACTAATTGCAATATTCAAAATATGAAAATCAACTTAAGTATCCATCAATGGATGGATGGATAAAGAAAACATGGCATATATACACAATGGAATATTATTAGCCATAAAAAGGATGAAATCATGTCATTTGCAACAACATGGAAAAAACTGGAGGTCATTATGTTAAGTGAAATAAACCAGTCATGGAAAGATAAATATTCCATGTTCTCACTTATACAGGGGAGCTAAAAACGTGGATTTCAGGAAAATAGAGAGTAGATTGGTGGTTATTAGAGGCCAGAAAAGGTAGGGGAAGGGAAAGTATAAAGAAAAGTTTATTAATGGTTACAAAAATCAGGTAGATAAAAGGAATAAGATCTAGCATTTAAAAAATAAAGTAGGGTGACTATAGTTGAAAATAATCTATTGTTATTTCAAAATAGTTAGAAGAATTCATATTTTCCCAGTAGAAAGAAAAGGTGTTTGAGGTGATGTATATGCAAATGACACTGATTGTACTATTACACGTTATATGAATGTATCATAATATTTCAAGTGCCTTGAAAATATGACATCTATTCTGTATCAATAAAAATAAGTAAATATTTAAAAAGCTAAATCTAAGCATGCATATTCAAAAGAAGAAACAGGCATCAAAGGCAGTTAAAGCATATAATATCAGTTATTTTTGATGTAGCTAAATTTATATGAATAGACCTTGAAATATATTAGAATCTTTAAAATATATCACAATGAAACAGTGAGTCACAAATTTTGAACCACACAGAGTTTTCATGGTTACCAGAAGGTAACCGTGAAAGGCTTTATTAAACTTTAAGGTGAATTTTGAATTTTTCTTTTACCAAGGAAAGAAGGAAAGAAAGCAATTATTCAAAATTGTTGACATGTTTTATCAATGACAGGTGGCTCTCTGTCATATGAAACCTAATAGATATTCTTTGAGTAAATAAATAGAAGATGCAGGTATCTTCACAATAAAGGCGACCTTTTAACAATGAGTAAGAAAATAATTGTTTTCAAACAAATTCAAACTATGGAGAGAAAATATTGAAAATGGATATTGAGGTTTTTTTCTATTAAGTATGAGGCTTACTTATAAAACTTATAGCTGCATTGGAGGGTAGAGATACAGAAGTTGAACTATAGAGCTGTATTCTCCTCTGTAAAAAGGAATTTGCAAGGAATAAACAAGTTAATACACAAATAGCCTTTAGTATAGAGTCTAAAATTTTGTAAGCACTCAATATTATTATTTTGTTATCATTGCTATAATTAAATGATATACTTTTTACCTTGACTTAAGGCAACAGAAAAAGTTTCAAAGTTTTTGAATACATGTCTATATATTTTAAATATTATATAATTAAAATCCGTTTTACTCAGTAGAATGATACTATTAGTCTAGTACTATCCCAGTGCTTTAGTGACAATTTATTTCTTATTGTATCAAATTATTTACTTTTGCTTAGCATTTAAGGCTGTCCTAGTACCTGACCATATTTTTTTCTATCTGGCATTGTCTTCCATCATTTTTCATATGACTGCTTTGATTATGACAAACTGATATGTTTATCTTTCACCAAACATACATATCATGACCATGTTTTTGTAATATTTTCCCAACATATATGATTGTCTCACCTCATAAGAATCATTCAAATTTGCTCCATTCTTTAATGCCTATACTAAATTAGTTTCCACCATAAAACACAGAACTCTCTCCCTCAACTCATTTTGTTCCTCATACCACAAAATGTAATTGACTTTCCTTATTCTTGCTGGCATAACTGTACTGTTTCTAATCAGATTTGGGGTGTTTAGAAAGAATGTCTATATTTTAAATTTTACTCTCCTTATAGTGTGATGGTTAATATTCTAAATAAATAAATTTAATTTATTGTTAAAAGAACACCAGGGAACAACTACAAACAGTGCACATTAAAAATTTTAATCTTAACATATGTCAATGTTATGTAATCCAGAAATAAATTAATGCTTTTATTTGAAGAAATCTGATATTCAAATAGTTTACTGGAAATTATAAAAATAAATTAATTGAGGCATTTTTTATTGTTTAAAGAAATTCTTTAAATGTGTTTAAAATATATTTTATTTTAAATAAACTTAAAAAAAACAAATAAAGAATAAGCCTTGTCTTTTGTGATATACATGTTGCTCTTCTTACATCTTCCTCTGAGAAAACATTACATTGCATAGTTTACTATAAGTGGGTAGCATAGTGAGCATGTTCATTAAAAAAAGAAGCGATTTTTTCACTAATCTTATTTTCTCATTGAGCTTATATAGATTTTTAAGCCATCTGATTCCAATTGGTGTTTCAGCACAAATTTGAGCACAGTTTTCTTCACCTGCATGAACTATTTTTATAAAATATGAATTCTATGAATCTTGCACTGTGTACTAGAAAGAAAACACTTCCAGTCAAATTTATTTGAACCCTTTTTTATGTTAAAGTAGCCAATTACATTTTTGAGAAGACGTAATTTATATAATTTGTCCAAGCCATAGCCCATTTCTATTTTTTTGCCATTTTCTTTGAAAGAAAATAATAATTACTTTAGGTACTATAAAGATTAATTTACTTATTAAGTTAATTTCTTTGGTAGAAAAGTCCCAACGGTAGAAAAATCCATGAGGTCAGTTGAGTTTCTATTGTGCAGAAAGCTAATATGAAGTAAAGTGAAGACATTTGGAAATCTGTTTGTTTGCCTTGTAATCTATATTGTTAATCTGTTGAAATATTTTAATAACAGAGTAGGGCATAAATAAATCAGACATAATTGTTGTTCCTAGTATTTAATAGAAAAGAAAACAAGATTTAAATTTTAATATGACCTCTGAATTATCTCTCTATTTTTTCCCATATACTACTGTTGATATTATCAATAACTGTAGACTGAGAAGACACATTCTCTAAATGATATATGGAGAAGTACACTTTCTAAGGAAAGTAGTTATTTGAGACTATGACATTTTCTAAGAGTTGTATATTACTTTAAAATACTTTCTCATTGTTACCTTATTTGATATTTCCTAAAATCCCAAGTGACAATAAATGAATTAAATAAGCTTTTTAAGGGTTCACTAGTGTGAGGTCTTCTGCTATACACTCTCACATCCATTAACTCATTTAATCTTGATAAAAATCCTGCTGTGTGTGTATTTATTCTTTTGTCAGATGAGAAAAATAAGGTTTAGAAAATTTTGCTGATACTCAAGAATGTATGACTAGATAATGGCAAAGTCAAGATTCAGGCCCATGTTATTTTCCTTCAGAATGTGCTCTGTTGCTTCTCCTGTGAAAAAGGCATGGCAGATGTTACATTTTATTAATGAGGGATTGAGCTCTAAGCAGATTAAATTACTTGGTCCAAATCAAAAATAGTGTATTACTATTTGAAAACTTGAAATCAAGTCTAAATGCAAAGGTAAATTTTTATTATAGTCTATTGACTACCTGTAAAGATGGTGGTATTATTATATATATGTGGACTGTCTAAGCTGTTGGCCTGATTGTGATGCAGCTCCTGATACACAGTGGGTGGTAATAGAGAACAACTAAGACTGAAAATGAAGAAGGAAAAGAAAATCTAAGTAGTTTATTGCCCATTCTGCCTTAGTGAATTGCAATTTCTGCTGTTAGTAATTTAGAAAAAGATAATAATGAGCCAGGCATGATGGTGCATGCCTGTAGTCCCATCTATTTGGAAGGCTGAGGCGGAAGATCATTTGAGCCCAAGAGGTCGAGGCTGCAGTGAGCTGTAATCGCGCCACTATGCTCTAGCCTAGAAGACCTGTCTCAAAAATAAACAAATAATAATATAATAACAATAATAATAAAGTTCCTTTAGAAATAAACTGAACGCTGATCACTTGAGGTTAGGAGTTCGAGACCAGCCTGTCCAACATGGTGAAACACTGTCTCTACTAAAAATACCTAAAAATTAGCCGGGCGTGGTGACGCATGCCTGTGGTCCCAGCTACTCGAGAGGCTGAGGCATGAGAATTGTTTGAACCCAGGAGCCAGACGTTGCAGCGAGCCGAGATCGCACCACTGCACTCCAGCCTGGGCGACAGAGTGATTGTCTCAAGAAAAAAAAAAAAAGCTGAACAAACACATACACATACTAAGCACAAAATTGTTTATAGGCTGAGAGCAAATGCTTCAGAAGTCCTAATGAGGCCTCCAAGTTAGCACCTGTGTGTGTCCCTGTATCACCTGAGAATGAAACAGACAGCTTTCTTCAGCTGTGAACCTAGGACCATAGATCTTATCTATCTTTCCCAGAAGTGTAGATATCAATCACAACATCTAAGGATTTAGATGTTTAGAAACCTTCAGTATATTGCAGATTGTGTATTCTTATACTATACATAAACATACTGAAAGTAATTAGTGATAGAAAAGAGCTACTCTTTAGTTTCAAAATTCACATTTTTGCTAATTAGAGGATATTTAGACTTAAAGAGTCTTCAGTCTTAAAGCTCTCATAGAGTTTCCAGAGACTATTTATTTATTTGGGCCAGATTGTCATGATTATTTTCCAGGTTCTCCAATAATGTGTTTTCTAATTTCTCTCCTGCTAGTTTTTTCTAGCTATATTAACTAGAATTCTGGTTTTGCACCTGTAACAAAGTACAAAATACTTCTGGCTTAAACAAGATGGAAATATAGGTCTATTTCCCATAACATCACCTGGGTTTTAGGATTTTCACATATGAACTGGGGGGACCACAAACATTCAGACTATAATGATGTGTATGCATCTGTTCACAATAAACATGTAGTAAACATGATAAAAATATCACTGCCAATATCAACAATTTCCTCTAGTAGAATATAATTATTCCTATTTCTATATATCCTTGCCAACACCTAAAATGATCAGACGTCTGATTTATTTTGCCAATTTTATGAATATATATGGTTTTTATTTTGTTGAGATTTTTATTTGCATTCTAATGTTTGCTTTCATAAATGAATTACTCATTTAAACTTTTTTTATTAATTGACTTTTGTATGAATTGACTTTTTATAATCTTTACTAGGTTATCTGAGATTTTCCTATTAATTTGTAATAATTATCTATGTATTATAAATCCTAATTTTAAGCATGTATCACAAATAGTTTAGTCTACTTTGTATATTTTATTTTTAGTATGTTTATAATGTCTTTATTTACTAATACAAGTTTTAATTATAATGCAATCAAATTTACTCATCTTTGCCTTTATGGTTTCTGATTTATACTTGTCCTTTCAGAAGCTTCTTTCTGAGAAGCCATAAATACATTCCGATATATTATCTTTTAACACCTTCACTGCTGTGACTTTTATAGTAAGGATTTGAATAAACCAAGAATATATTTTAATTAATGATACAGAAGAGTGATATTTTATATTTTCAGTGAATAGAAAATTATCCTAGTACACTTATTGAAAAAACAATTCATTTGCTATGCTGTAGTGCCTTCTCTAGTACATATCAATTGTTCAGATATGTGTATTTCTGTTTCTAAATTATTTATTCTATTTGTGTAGCCCTGCATAAACAGCACACTCTCCTCATTAAAATAGCTTTTAGGTAAATCTTGCTATGTGTAGAACAAATCCTCCCATCTTTCTTTGAGAGTAAAAACACTCCTCTCTGTCTTTTGCAACTTACCTATTTTATCATTAACACAAAACCTCACCCTCTTCGCATACATATATACACATAAAACTTGAAATTTGCATTTATTTTTATTTTTTAAATAAGTTTTTTTTAATGTTATTTCAACTTTGTGTTTTTTTTTAAATTTCTAACTTTTATTTTAAGTTTGGGGTACATGTGCAGGATATGCAGGTTTGTTACATAGGTAAACAGTGCCATGGTGGTTTGCTACACTGGTCATCCCATCACCCAGGTATTAAGCCCAGCATCCACTAGCCATTCTTCCTGATCCTCTTTCCTCCTTCCACCCCACACCCTATGACAGGCCCCGGTGTGTGTTGTTCCCCCTCATGTGTCCATGTGCTCTCATCATTTAGCTCCCACTTATAAGTGAGAACATGCAGTATTTGGTTTTCTGTTCCTGCTTCAATTCACTGAGGATAACAGCCTCCAGCTCCATACAACTCCCCATAAAGGACATGATCTCATTGCTTTTTATCAGTGCATAGTATTTAATGATGTATATGTATCATATTTTCTTTATCCAGTCTGTCACTGATGGGCATTCCATGTATTTGCTATTGTGAATAGTGCTGCAATGAACATACATGTGCATGTGTCTTTATAATAAAACAATTTTTATTCCTTTGGGTATATACCCAGAAAGGGAATTGCTGGGTTGAATGGTATTTCTGTCTCTGTGTCTTTGAGGAATTGTCACACTGTCTTCCACAGTGATTCAACCAATTTGCATTCCTACCAGCAGTGTAAAAGCATTTCTTTTTCTCCACAACCTCATCAGCATCTGTGTTGTTTTTTTTTTTTTTTGACTTTTTACTAATTGCCATTCTGACTGGTGTGAGATGGTACCTCATTGTGGTTTTGATTTCCATATCTCTAGTGATCAGTGATGTTGACCTTTTTTCATATGTTTTTTGGCTACATGTATGTATTTTTTGAGAAGTATCTGTTGATGTCCTTTGCCCATTTTTTAATGGGGTTTTTTTTTCTAGTAAGTTTGTGTAAGTTTCTTATAAACGATGGATATTAGATGTTTGTCAGATGCATAGTTTGCAAAAATTTTCTCCTATTCTGTAGGTTGTCTGTTCACTCTGTTGATAGTTTCTTTGCTATGCAAAAGTTCTTTAGTTTAATTAGATGTCATTTGTCAATTTTTGCTTTTGTTGCAATTGCTTTTGGCATCTTTGTCATGAACTCTTTTCCTGTGCCTATGTCCTGAATGGTATTGCTTAGGTTTACTTCTGGGGTTTTTATAGTTTTGGGATTTACATTTAAGTCTTTAATCCATCTTGAGTTGATTTTTGTATATGGTATAAGAAAGGAGTTCAGCTTCAATTTTTTTATATGGCTGGCCAGTTCTCTCAGCACCGTTTATTAAATAGGGAATCCTTTACCCATTGCTTTTGTCAGGCTTATTAAAGATCAGATGGTTGTAGGCATGTGGTTTTATTTCTGGGTTCTCTATTCTGCTCCATGGGTCTATGTATCTGTTTTTGTATCAGTATTATGCTGTTTCAGTTACAGTAGCCCTGTAGTATAGTTTGAAGTTGGGTAGTGTGATGCCTATAGCTTTGTTCTTTCTGCTTAGGATTGCCTTAGATTTGCTAGCTCTTGTTGGTTCCATATGAATTTTTTTTTTTTTTTTGAGATGGAGTCTCACTGTGTCACCCAGGCTGGAGTGCAGTGGTGCGATCTCGGCTCACTGCAAGCTCCGCCTCCCAGGTTCACGCCATTCTCCTGCCTCAGCCTCCTGAGTAGCTGCTACTACAGGCACCCGCCACCATGCCCAGCTAATTTTTTGTATTTTTTAATAGAGACGGGGTTTCACCGTGTTAGCCAGGATGGTCTCGATCTCCTGACCTGGTGATCTGTCTGCCTCGGCCTCCCAAAGTGCTGGCATTACAGGCATGAGCCACTGCAGCTGGCCCTCCATATGAATTTTTTAATAGTTTTTTTTCTAATTTTGTGAAGAATGTCAAGGGTAGTTTAATGGGAATAGCATTGAATCTATAAATTGCTTTGGGCAGTATAGCCATTTGCACAATATTTTCCTATCAAAGAACATGGAATGTTTTTCCATTTGTTTGTGTCATCTCTGTTCTCTTTGAGCAGTGGTTTGTAATTCTCCTTCAAGACATCCTTCACTTCCTTTGTTAACTGTATTTCTAGGTATTTCATACTCTTTGTGGCAACTGTGAGTGGGAGTTCATTTGGGATTTGGCTCTCAGCTTGCCTGTTGTTGGTGTATAGAAATGCTAGCAATTTTTGCACACTGATTTTGTATTCTGAGACTTTGCTGAACTTGCTTATCAGCTTAAGGAGCTTTTGGAATGATACAATGGGATTTCCTAGATATAGGATCATGTCACCTGCAAGCAAAGATAATTTAACTTCCTCTTTTCCTATTTGAATACACTTTATTTATTTCTCTTGCCTGATTACCCAACCCAGAACTTCCAATACCATGTTAAATCAGAGTGGTGAGAGAGGACATCCTTATCTTGTGCTGGTTTTCAAGGGGAATTCTTCCAGCTTTGCCCATTCAGTATGCTAGTGGCTGTGGGTTTGTCACATGTGGTTCTTATTATTTTGAGGTATATTCTTTCAATACCTAGTTTATTAAGAGTTTTTTTTTTTAACATGAAGGGATGTTCAATTTTACTGAAGGCCTTTTCTGCATCTATTGAGATAATTATGTGGTTTTTTAAATTTGGTCCTCTTTATGTGATGAATCACATTTATTGTTTTGCATATGTTGAACCAACCTTTCATTCTGGAGATGAAGCCTACTTGATTGTGGTAGATTAGCTTTTTGATGTGCTGCTGAATTTTGTTTGCCAGTAGTTTTTTGAGGATTTTTTTGCATCAATGTTCATCAAGGATATTGGCCTGAAGTTAAATTTCTGTTGTTATCTCTGCCAGGTTTTGGTATCAGTATAATCCTGGCCTCATAGAATGAGTTAGGAAGGAGTTCCTCCATTTCAATTTTTTGGATAGTTTCAGTAGGAATGGTACCAGCCCTTTTTTGTACCTTTGGTAGAATTCAACTGTGAATCTCTCTGCTGCTGGGCTTTTTTTTTGGGGGGGGTTGGTAGGCTGTTTATTACTGCCTCAATTTCAGAATTCATTATTGGTCTGTTCAGGGATTCAATTTATTCCTGGCTGGGTCTTGAGAGAGTGTATGCATCCAGGAATTTATCCATTTCTTCTAGATTTCTAGTTTATGTGCATAGAGGTGTTCATAATATTCTCTGACAACTGACTATTTCTGTGGGGTCAGTGGGAATATCCTCCTTATCATTTCTGATTGTGTTTATTTGAATCTTCTCTTTTTTCTTCTTTATGAGTCTAGCTAGTGGTCCCTCTATTTTATTAATCTTTTCAAAAGCCAGCTCCTGGATTCATCAATCTTTTGAAGTGGTTTTAGTGTCTCTATCTCTTTTAGTTCAGCTCTGATCTTAGTTATTTCTTGTCTTCTGTTAGCTTTGGGGTTTGTTTATTCTTGCTTCTCTAGTTAGTTTGGTTGTTACATTAGGTTCTCACTTGGGATTTCCCTAGATTTTTGATAGGGGCATTTAATACTATAAATTTCCCTCTTAACACTGCTTTATCTCTGTCCCAGAGATTCTGGTACATTGCGTCTTTGTTCTCATTAGTTTCAAAAAACTTCTTGATTTCTCTGTTAATTTTATTATTTAGCCAAAAGTCATTCAGGAGCAGGTTGTTCAATTTCCATGTGGTTGAATAGTTTGGGGTGAATTTCTTACATTTTAGTTCTAATTTGATTGTGCTGTGGTCTAAGAGTCTGTTTGTTGTTATTTCAGTTACTTTGCATTTGCTGAGGAGTGTTTTACCTCCAATTATGTGATCAATTTTAGAGTAAGTGCCATGTGGCAATGAGAAGAATGTATAGTCTGTGGTTTTGTGGTGGAGAATTCTGTAATATTTATCAGGTCAACTTGATCCAGAGCTGTGTTCAGGTCCTGAATGTCTTTGTTAATTTTCTGTCTCAATGATCTGTCCAATATTGTCAGTGGGGTGGTAAAGTCTCCCACTGTTATTGTGTGGGAGTATAACTCTCTTTGAAGGTCACTAAAAACTTGCTTTATGAATCTTGGTGCTCCTGTATTAGATGCACATACATTTAGGATTGTTAGCTCTTCTTGTTGAATTGAGCCCATTATATAATACACTTCTTTGTCTTTTTTTATCTTTGTTGGTTTAAAGTCTGTTTCGTCAGAAACTAGGATTGCAACCCCTGCTTTTTTCTCTTTTCTATTTGCTTGGTAAATTTCCCTCCATCCTATTATTTTGAGCCTATGTGTGTTTTTGCATGTGAGATGGGTCTCTTGAAGACAGCATACTGATGGGTCTTGGTTCTTTATACAGCTTGCCATTCTGTGTCATTTAATTGGGGCATTTAGCCTATTTGTATTTAAGGTTAGTATTGTTATGTGTGAATTTGATCCTGTCATCATAATGGTAGCTGGTTATTTTGCAGACTTGTTTATGTGGTTGTTTCATAGTGTCACTGGTCTGTTTACTTTAGTGTGGTTTTGTAGTGGCTGATAACGGTTTTTCCTTTCCACATTTAATGCTTCCTTCAGGAGCTCTTGTAAGGCATGTCTGGTGGTAACAAATTCCCTCAGCATTTGCTTGTCTGAAAAGGAGCTTATTTTTCCTTCACCTTTGAAGCTTAATTTGGCTGGATAAGAAATATTGGGTTGGAAATTCTTTTCTTTAAGAATGTTGAATATTGGCCCCCAATCTCTTCTGGTTTGTAGGGTTTCTGCTAAAAGTCCCACTGTTAGTCTGATAGGCTTCCCTTTGTAGGTGACTTGGCCTTTATCTCTGGCTGCCCTTAACATTCTTTTCCATTTCAACCTTGGAGAATCTGCTAATTATGTGTCTTGGGGTAGATCTTCTAATGGAGTATCTTACCAGCATTCTACACATTTCCTGAATTTGAATGTTGGCCTGTCTAGTTAGGTTAGGGAAGTTCTCCTGAATGATAGCCTGAAATATGTTTTCCAAATTGGTTCCATTCTCTTCATCTCTTTTAGGTACCACAATCAATTGTACTTTTAGTCTGTTTACATAATCCCATATTTCTTGGAGGTTTTTAAAATTCCTTTTTATTCTTTTTTCTCTATTCTTGTCTGCTTGTCTTATTTTAGAAAGACGGTCTTCAAGCTCTGAGGTTCTTTCCTCTGCTTGGTCTATTCTGCTGTTAATACTTGTGATTGCATTGTGTAGTTCTTGTAGTGTGTTTTTCAGCTGTATCAGGTCAGTTATATTTCTCTCTGTACTGGCTAATTTGGCTGTTAGCTCCTGCATTGTTTTATTACGATTTTTAGCTTCCTTGCATTGGGTTTCAACATGCTCCATTAGCTCAGTGAAGTTTGTTTTAATCCACATTCTGAAGCCTACTTCTGTCATTTCAGCCATCTCAGTCTCAGCCCAGTTCTCGACCCTTGCTGGAAAGGTATTGTGGCCATTAGGAGAAAGCGGACACTCTGGCTTTTTGATTTTTCAGTGTTTTTGTGCTGTTTATTTCTCATCTTTGTGGGCTTATCTGCCTTCAATCTTTGAGGCTGCTGAACTTTGGATGGACTTTTTTGTGGGTTTTGTTGTTGTTGCTGCTGCTGTTTGTTTTTCTTTTAACACTGGCTACTCTTCATAGCGCTGCTGTGGTGTTGTATGCTGGGGGTCTGCTTCAGAAGCTAGTGTCCTCAGGTTTTCCAGCAACTGGAGGTATCACCAGTGAAGTCTGCAAAACAGCAAAGATGGCAGCCTACCCCTTTCTCTGGGAGCTCCATTCCAGGTGGATACTGAACTGCTGCTGGCCCAAACACACCTGTTGGAGGTGGCTAGAGACCCCAGTTAGGAGGTCTCACCCAGTCAGGAGGAATGGGATCAGGGACCTGCTTAAAGAAACAGTCTGGCTGCATTTTGGTAGAGAAGCTGTGTTGTGTTGGTTATCCTTTCAACCTTTGATTGGTTTGGGCTCTCCAAGGCCCACAGGCTGGACTGGCTGAGACATTCAAACAGAAAGATGGTGGCCTTCCCTGGCCCCCATGCACTCCATCCCAGAGATAAATTAGAACTCTGTCAGTGGTAAAACACAAGCAGGAGTGGCTGGAGGACCCAGCTGGGAGGACCTGCTGGGTGAGGAGGAATGATTATGGGTCCCATTTAAAGAAGCATTCTAGGAAGGCCAAGGTGGGTGGATCACCTGAGGTCAGGAGTTTGAGACCAGCCTGACCAACATAGTGAACCTCCATCTCTATTAAAAACACAAAAATTATCTGGGCGCAGTGGCGGGCACCTGTAATCCCAGCTACTCAGGAGGCTGAGGCAGGAGAATAGCTTCAACCCAGGAGGCAGAGGTTGTAGTGAGCCGAGATCATGCCACTGCCCTCCAGCCTGGGTGACAGAGCAAGACTCTATCTCAAAAAATAAATAAATGAATGAAAATTTAAAAATAAAAATAAAGAAGCAGTGTAACCAATACTGAACAAAACAGCAGTGCCATGCCATCCTGAGGAGCCTCCTCTGCCCAAATTGGCTTGGACTCTGCAAAGCCTGCAGGCTGGAACAGCTAAGTTGTCCAAACAACCAAGGTGGTGGCCAACCCCTCTCTACCCCCCGAAAATCCATCTCAGGGAGAGATTACAGCTCTGCTTGTAGCATATGGGTGGGTGTGGGTGGGTGGAGGCCCTCACTGGGAGGTCCCACCCAGTGAGGAGGAATGGATCAGAGTCCCACTTAAAGAAACAGTCTGGTCACATTTTGGAATAGCAACTGTGCTATACTGGGGTGGTGGGGGGAGAGGGGGTCTATTCTTCATCAGGACTGTTTGGACTCTCCAAACTCTCAGGCTGGAACAGCCGAGTCATCCAAACAGCAAAGATGGTGGCTCACCCCTCCCTCTGGGGACTCCATCCTGTCTCATACAGTCTCTATCCTGTTGGTGGTAGCTGGCTGGAATTCCAAGCCAGTGGGTTTTATCTTGTGAGGTGCTGTGGAAGTGGAGCCCACAGACCAACACTGTTTGGAACCCCTGGATTCAGCTTCCTTCCTAGGGGTCTATACAAACCTCCTGCCTTGCCTGAGTTGTAATCACCTTTGTCAGGGATCCTGGGGCCAGGGTATGTAAAGCTCCTGGGTCTCTGTGCATGCATGAGCAGCTGCTCTGCTGATATACTACACAGCTCTGTGTGTCAGAACCAAAGCCCTGGTGGGGTGGGCTCATGATGGTATCTCCTGATTGTGGGGTTGCAAAGATCTGTGGGAGAAGCATGGAGTCACACATACAGTTAACACTTCCCTTGGCTGGGGGTGGATGGGGTTCCCTTGGCTCTGTGTTGCTCTTGGGTGGGCCGTCACCCTGCCCTGCCTTTCCTCATTCCTTGTGGGCCAAGTTGTTTCCCTGATTAGTCCCAGTGCAAACACCTGGATATTTCAGTTGAAGGTGCTCTATTTACTCACCCCTTTTGTTCCTCTCCATGAGTGACACACACAGTAGCTGCTTCTAATAGGCCATCTTGGCCCCCTCCTCCAAAATTTCCATTTAGATTGCATTTAATCTATACTTCAAGTTGAGGATATCTGATTGGTTAATAAAACTGAGGTTTGTAATCCAAGGTTATAATGTAATTTTCCATCAATTTATTTGAATTTTTTTTCTTATAGAATTCCTTTCATGTGTTTGTTAGATTTATTAATGGGTATATATTACTGGATATTAATTTTTATTATATTTAGAAACACAAAGGATTATTGGATATTTATTTTGATGTCATCAACCTTGCTAAGCTTTTATATTAGTTGTACTGTTTATCTTGAATTAGCTATCTAATCATGTCATTATGAACTATGGCCTTATTTTTTTTTTCAACTTCAGCACAGTATTAAACAGAAGTGATGATAGTAGACCATTTTTCTATTTCCTGATCTCAAAAGGAAAGATTTCTAGTTACCGATGCTGTAGGTAAGTTGTAGATACCCTTCATCTTATTGAGAAAGTTTTCTTGCATTTCTTAGATGAACCAACTTGTTCATTATTCATGTCATTAATTATTCAATGGTAAATGATATTTCCATAAGGTACCTTTATATATAGTTGAATTCACTCCTTTAATATTTTATTTAGGATGTATACACCTATATTTATAAAAGTGTTTGACCTATAATTTACTATTGCTATATGGTTGTTAGATTTTTGAAATACAATTTTTGTCAGTCTCCTAAAATAAATTTAGAATTATTTTTTTCCCTAATTCCTCCAGAAAAGTTTGCAAACTTAGAAATGCTTTATTATTTAATGTTTTGTAAAACTTTTCATAGAAACCATTTGGCCTGGAGTTCGCTTTGTCTTAATATTTTAATACATTCATTCAATTTTCCAATGAGTACATGTTGTTTTATGTTATGTATATTTTTTCCATTCAGGTTTGGTAAGTTTTCTCTTTCTAAGAATTTATTTAATCCATATAAATATGTATGATTTTGCCATAAAGTTGTTCATAATGTGATCTGAATCTCTACCTAAGTCCATGATATCTGTAATTACATGTTTCATTATTTCTGACTTGATTATTGTTGCCTTCTCTGTTTTACTAAATGAATCTTGAGAATAGTTTTTGTTTTATTTTACTTTTCAAAGAATCAATTTTTGGCTTTGTTGGGCCTCTTTATTTTAGTTCTATTTCATGAATTTTTGTTCTTTATTATTTCATTTATTTCATTCCTCCATTTGTGTATCTTTGGGAGGATAATTATTGTTCTTTGTCTAACTTCTTGAGATGGCTGTTTAAAGCTATGCATTTAAACTTGAAAAATCTCCTTCTCTGGTTTTATTTAAGCTACATCCCATAAGCACCATTTTTATTATTACTTGTTTTTAACTTTTATTGTAATTTCTTCTGTGAACTATAGGTTATCAAGAAGTGTATTTATTATTTATCATTTAAATTTTTATGCAATTCCATAAATATATTAAATTTGCATGAATGGTATAAAGAACTCCAATGTACTCTAATCAGATTCAACAAGTGTTAAGTTTTTGACTTATTTTTATTATTTTATGTTTCTCTTTCTCTACATGCACACATCCTCATTGTAGTGTGACAGGTTTCCCACCAGCATACTTTAAGGGTGTATGTCCACTTCTGGAAACTTGAAGGCTGTGCAATGAACCAGGCCATGGTGCTCAGCCAAAGAGCAGGTGTCCCTAAGAACCCAAACATCCCAGAGAGTATCTGAGAACCTAACAAGGTAAACAGACTCATCTTTCAAACACAGTAGGCAAAGAGCCAGAAAATTAGCTTAAAAACAGTTTAGAGATGAGAAGTGGCATAACTCTCTACAGCTGTCCTGCGGCCATCCAGGAGTGCCCTGTATGTAAGTCCAAATAAACTCATCTACTAATCAAGCCAGACTCATTCGAGTGATTCTTTGGTCTCTCACCTCCTTCCCAGTTTGGGATAGAGGTGATATTACAGTCCCAATTTTTCTCATAACAATTGGCATCATAAACAGAATCCAAGAGACTAAATGATGAGTCAGAAAGGGACATCTGTGGGAGGAATCCCGAGATGATTGGCAACGTATATGTGAAGTGGAGTTGCCTAACTGCTCAACTTTTGTAGGCCACTGCATGAGTATAGGGACTGAGCACATATTACAAGAAGGTAAGATATTCAAGTATTATAAAGATAGCAAATACACTGCTGTTGCAATAAGGCTGGCTGATGAGAAATCATTAGAACAGGAAAGGGAGAAAGGAGAGAAACTCCTACAGAAATTCAAAAGCATGGCAGTGTTTTAGGACTCTAGCTGGTTACATATTATAGACCTTTCTTGTGCATATTTTAAAACTGATGGGCCAATAGCAAGAAAAATTCAGAACTCAAATGGTTAACCTACAACTATAGAGTTAAATATAGTCTTATAAAGCTGTTTCTCTATTTTCTTTTTTGCTTGCTTTGAATCTGTTGTTATTAAGCTACTGATGTTGAGATAAAACTTACTAATCAAACGTTACTTGGAGTTTTTTTTCATATAGTTCAGTCAGTTCTAGCTAAAAGGTAAATAAACATTGAAAACTCATTTGAAATGGAAAAAAAGGGTAAAAATGATTTCTTTGAAAAACAAACACCTATAGAAACTGCTTTATCCAAAATTTTGATCTACAGCTCTCATGGGTTTACCTATTGGAGCAACAGCTATTGGATCTTTATGTGTATGTGTATTCATGTTTAGATAGTCTTATGTGTATGGACATGTATTATGTTACATGTTGTGTCTGTCTAGCATGCTACTAAATGGCTGTAAGTAAACGAGTACTCAAATTAAGTCCAAATGCTTTTCAAGTTTATGTGAATTTAGTAATCTTTAATAAATAAGTTGACTTTAAAATTATTGGTAAAATAAAAATAGAAATTTCTTCAGAAATGTCAGTGTACATTTTTGTCTAGGTTTACCATTAGATAAGTTTTATATTTGCCTCTGCTGGAGATTTTAAGTTATCAGAGTTTGACATAAGGCTTATAAGACTGTAAGCCTAGCCACAAAAAGAATAATTTTTGTTTACATGATTTTTTGATAAAGATTAATTTGATATTGTTGGTTTAATGAAAATGGCAGCATTTTGTGAGTTATTAGCAAAAATGCCCATGTGTTTAACTTTGAGTTTCTTGCTTCAGTGAACACATGATATTCACAGGCTGTGAAAAAGGTTAACAAAGAAATAACTTGGGATAATGATTAGCTTTCCAGACAAAGTCTTGGTTCTCATGAGTAATTGAGATAAACTGCTAAAAATGAGTAAATTGAGTAAATGTAAATCAGATAAATGCATGTAGATGAATCTTTTGTGTAGTTTAAATTCTTAAAATTATTTTAGATACTCATTGAATGTCTGGGTAATTTGTGATTTAAATAGGGCTATAATATGGGGCACTGGTCATACTTCTGAGCCTGTTAATGGGAAGTAAAATCTGTGATACGGGGTAAGCACTGGTGGACTTCAGTGATCTGTGTAAGTGCGAGGACTGAGTGTAATCCAGGAACAAAAAAGGGATGGGCCAAATGGGTGCCTCTATACTCTTTTCAGCCCAGGGGGGCAGTGAAGCTGAAATAATACCATCTGCCAGGGAGACACTCTGAAATCACCTAGACAATCCAGGAATTACATAAGGTACAGATAGCCTGGCCAAGAGCCTCTGTAATAGCCCTGTATGGCCTGTGAAGAAGCCAGATGGCACCTAGAAAATGATAGTAGACTACCATGAGCTAAATAAAGTGGGGCCCCCTATATGTGCAGCTGTACTCAATATTGTTCACCTACTAGAACAAGTAGTCCTTAAGCTGAGAAATGCACATGCTGTAATTGACTTGGCTAATGCCTTTTCCAGTACTCCTTTAGCAGAAGATTCATAAGATCAGTTTGTTATCACTTAGGAGGGTCAACAATGGACTTTCCATGTGCTACCACAAAGGTACCTGCACAACCCACCTGCCTTAGTCTCCCTGTTTCATTATATTAAAGATAATATGCTAATCTCAGAGTCTCTTACAGATTTGAGACTGCCTTACAAACCATCTTGGATGGCCTTAAGGACTGTGAATGGGAAGTGTATCCCAAAAAGATACAGGGACCTGGCCTAACTGTCAGATTCCCAAGAGTTACCTAATCCAGTAACTCTTGATGCAAAACATATTTGGAGCTACACTGATAAGATAGCACAGCATCCTGTTCCACAGACAGTAAACTCCAGGTTTTCCGAGGTTTACTGGAGCTACTATTTATTCCTCAGTTGGCATAAGCCCTCTGCCCATTATATACCCTAATAAAAAAAATATCAAAATGGAACTGGACATACATGGAGCAAGAGGTATTTGACAGAGCAAAAAAATTAGATGAAACAAGCTTAAGCACTAAGTGCCCACTGTCACAGCACCCTTTCATATTAGAAGTCACTAGAGATGGCACAGGGATGAATTTGGGTTTGTGGCAAAAGCAACCAACAGGAAAGGTACCTATAGGTTTTTGGTCTCAATTATAGAACAGGGCAGAATCCCACTATTCATTCTTAGTGCAGTAGATATTGGCCATTTATAGAGCATTGCAACAAGCGGAGGCTATCACCAAAAAGCAGACAATCACAGGAAAAACTGCCTACCCCCAAAAAGGGTGAGTGGAAGGCCTCTTAGCCAAGCCCACTTCCAGGGTGGCACATTCACACACCCAGCAGAAATGACACATCTATCTACAACAAAGGGGTGTCTACTAGTCCTACAAGTCAGGTACTGCAGGAGGTGCTCAAACCCATCCACTTAGAATAAGTGAAGGGGTTGACATGGCAATGGAACCACAAATGAGGCCAACTACCATATATGAGAGGACCCCATCAATACCTATAGGGTCTGGTACACTGACGGGTCTAGCAGAGGTATCTAATACTGGACATTAGAACAAAACATACACTGGAGATTCCACTTACCATATGACCAACAGGGGCAGACTTCACAGAAAAAAACAATGGCCTGTTAAAAACCCAATTATGTGCACTGTTCCAGGACAGCTCTTTAAAGTCTTGGACTAAGAATCTCCCAGAAACCATACACATTTTAAATGAGTTGCCCACTACAACACATGGCATTATTCCCTATGAATGGTTGGCAAGACCTGTAAAACAGGCTCTGCAAATTTGCAGGGTTACGTCTAAGACACCAAACTGTGCTCTTGAACCAGATGGCCGGACTCTGCTCCTGAGAACTAAAGTGGATCTGCGAAGTGATGATGGTAATGTGGACCTGAAGTTGAGCTGGAAAATGTCCCCAGACTAGATCAGTTTTATGGCGCTAGAGGGCACCATGAAGACTGCCAGAGGGGTGGTGGTTTCAGCTGTGCTGCTTGCTGGAGGTCTGAGAGCTTTACAAAATCAACATGTAGGGGCACCAATATCTGTTGGAGTGATCATAATATGGATACCATGGGCAAAGCCAAAAACTTACCAATTTGGCTATCATGCCCACTCCTAGAAAAGGAATCCATGCATGGTACTATAAGCCAGGCCTAAAGCCCATGACAGCTTCCCTAATAGGGCCAATGAGGGAAAATACAATGGAAATAATGTTACAAGGAATAGATATACCCATGATGGTCCTTACTAAACACCTGTGTTTATGCACACAGCTGCTCTTCCTGGTACCCATGGCAGCTGGTAATGTCTTTCTAGACTGATCTGCAATTATACTAGCAGTCAGCAACAAGTCTGGTTGTTGGATATAAGCCTCCCCCTGTAAAACAACAATGGTATGCCTTGGAATATTCTGCATTTCTCCCAACAGAACTGGAGTGACTGGTTCAACAGCATCAATAGTGCAATCTGGGCTCACAGGGGATTGCATCCACCCAATCGCCAACTCAATTGAGACCAAAAACATGTGACTTTCTGGGCGCTACCTGTTGAGCCTTTAAAGAGAATAACGTCAGAGATGCTTCAAATTATTGTAAACTCAGATCCATGATGCAGTTCAATTAAGTTTCTTTGCCCCATTCTGAAATGGTTACATATCTTACCCACTGAATGGAGTTATGTTTTGCTAATAGGCATCATAATTGTAGTTAGCTTCTGCTTTGTATGCTGTTATGTATACTGTAGATGAGGACTGTATTCATAAGCCATGGCTAAACATTATAGGCTTGTATAGTTATTTCCCTGGTACCCTACTCAAGGACTATAATGCAAAATTGGTGGAAAGAGTGTAAGAGTTAGGGGATGGGATGGATTGTAGTGTGATGGGTCCCCAACTAGGTTACTTAAGGGTGAATATGTGCTGCCTGACCCTTGTAGGCTGGACAGTGAGCCAAGGTCATGGTGGCCAGCTGTGTACAGGTGTTCCTGGGAACTCAAACATCCTGAAGAATCTCTGAGAACCTACCAGGGTAAACAGTCTCATTGCTCAAACACAGTAGGCAAAGAGCTGGAAAATTAGCTTAAAAGCAGTTTAGAGATGGGAGGTGGCATGGATCTCTAGAGCTGTCCTGCTGCTGTCCAGGAGTGCCCCATTTGTAAGTCCTAATAAACTTATCTACTCATCAAGCAGGACTGTCCAAGTCACCCTTTTATATCTCAAATCTCAGCTTCTTTCCGGTTTGAGGGAGAAGTTACAGTCCCAAGATTTTCTTATAACACTCATACGCATTTTTCCGTGAATCTTTTGTCATTTGAAAGGAAATTGCAGACATTATGCAACTTTATCCTGAAATACTTTAATTTGTATTTTGCAAGAAAAAATTATATAAGCACTATACTATTATCAAAATTAGGAAATCCAAGTTAGATACACTACTATTGTATAATACACGCTCTGTACTTGAAATTTGCCACCTACATCAATAATTTCCTCTATAGCTATTTCTCCCCAATAATGCACTGTATTTGATTGTTCATAAGTAGATGTCTTATTTTTAAGCATTAGGTGCTTATTTATTGTTTCTCTCTGAGAAAATGGCACAAATAGATATAAGTAAACTTGTACACAGTTATATTTTAGGAACCTGACGAAGGAGTTCAAATAATGTCCATTTTGTATAGTTAAACTGGTTTTTACCACATAGAAGAAAAACACAAGTGGCCATGCAGTTTTACTTAAGGCAATGAAAAGGGACTGCTTTTGCAGAAATGGCTATTATATGGGAAGAAAGACTAAACAGGATGACACAGACTGAGTATCATTTCTATATGGTTCCTGTTAGATTACTGTTTTTTTTAAACTGTACAACACGACCCATTATTAGGTTATGAAATCAGTTTCATAGGTCACAGACAGTATTTTGTTATAAAATATAATAAAACAGAAAATGTTAGAGAATATAACATGTGCCAAGAGAAACTCATCTCTTGAAACTTTTGTTCAGTTATGTGTGTATGTCTGTGTGTGTATGTATGTGAGTACGAATCAGATCATAGTACAAAACGTACTTTTGACTTCGCTTTCACTGTCAAAAAATCTAGTCTAAGAAACTGGCTTAGATTATTGCAGTCACAGTAATAAAGCCCATACTGATTCAAACCAATTTTACAACTTCAAGGTTTCTTGTCCAAATAGCCCTTGAATACAGGTGTTTAAATCCCTGTAAAGGCCTAACTGTGCCCCAACATTTATATGAACAGGTAGTGATTCTCTTTTCTTCTTCTTCTTTTTTTTTCTTTTTGTTATTCTGCTAAGTCCCAAAGCAGATTTCCCTGCATTTCTCCAATGTTGGGGGATGCTGTCGGCTTTAATTTTGCTCCATCTTTAATCTAAGGGAGGTGGCCCTTTGTGTTGTCAGCTGTATATGGAAGAGATTTTGGCTTAATATAAAGACATGCCTCTCACATAGACAGGCTTCTGCCCACCCCGACTAACTTAACACAAACCCTGAAACCAAGTGTGCTATCTAAGCAAATGTGCTCAGGACAAAAAGCAGATTCATGCACTGAGATTTTGCTTATCCCTCCATGCTTTGGAAAAAGATTGTCATTGAAGGAAATGGAAAGAGCTAACATAAGTGTAATTCTTATAAGACATTTGTCCAAGAAATAAAGGAACAAGATGGGTAAAAAGGATGTGACATAGTTTTGGGAAACTGGCCATTTTTAAGATTAGAGAGATTTAAACTTACTCTTTTTTGTCTTTCAATGTCTGAGTTTGGTTTTTTTTTTCTGGTTGGTCAAGTGGTGTGGTTTGGTTTTTATTAAAGTGGCAGGCTGCAAAGACATGTTTTTGTAGTCATTCTAACATATCTCAGCAAAAAATCAAATTAGGGATTCACATTTTAATGCTATAAACTGCTTGCAATTAAGAATCTTTATTTCTAAAATTTATTTCCTAATAATGATAAAGATGGAAAACATGGATATCTTAGTTGTAGTGTTATTTGCTCTACTAAAAAACACAGAAAGTTTGTTCACATTTTTAAGGGTCCCTTATACATTACTATCTATCTAAATATCATGTATCTATTTATAATCTATCAACTTACCTACTTGTGTATCCACTATATACATTATTCATTAATAAATGATATCTACACATGGCAATTTTTTTTCTTTTAAATATGGACATACTTATTTCTGCAAGGACCACTATGAACTTTTCTCTTTATTGGCGGCCCAAACTCCCTCTGTGAATTCAACAAGCATTAACTGAGGGCTTATTGAAGTGTATTCAAGGCTGGGGACACAAAGACGAAGAAAAAAAATAAAATGAAGGAAAAAAAGTCTTAATAAAGACACAGTCTTGCAAGTAAATATGTGTTTCTCTATGTGATTATTGATAAAAAGTATAAAATGAAAAAATGTTGAATTATTCAATGAACTTCAAAAAATAATGGTTTGGTTGATATGAACTTTGACAGGAAGTGGGACCTTAGCAAGTGGAAGAAATCTCAAATAGGGCATTCTGGCTCTTTTTCTTAACAATCTTACTATATAGATTTCAATGAAAAATACGGATAAAGATTTATATTTTGAGTAAACAGGGTAAAAAAGTATTTAATCTATTTAGCATCCTTTATGTGATGGACATAAAAACAACATAATTTTATTTTTATTACATTTTAGTCATATCGATATTTTCAGTAAATACATCTAAGAATAGTTTATGTCTATCAAACTGAAAGAGTAAATGAAGTCACCTCTGTAGACCACTGTAGACTTGAGCCAAGTCTGCTCTTGGATTGGCTCCCAGAGCTGACATTGATTTCAGTAGCAGTTGCATGCAGAAATCTCAGCAATGAAATTAGCTGATGGACAGGATGTTATTACAAAGAGCGAATCTGTAAAATGTTTCAAATATCAGTAACAGCCAAAAGGGAAAAAAAAGGCAGTTAATCAAATGTCAAAGCAACATCATGTAGAGCCAGTTTTGTCTGTAAAAAAGTACATTTGGTTCTTTGTGACTGAATCAAACTTCATCATCTCAAGACTAAAATATGTGACCTTCTACATTTCAAAGTAGAGGCTTCCATTAAATAACAAATCATTATAATCTGTAAAAAAAGAATCGATGAGGAAAACACACATATTTATGTGGTCTGGGAAAAAATGAAACAATAGAAAAGAAAATATATGAAATATAAGAAAAAGTAGCATTTAGATTCCAATAAATATCTATAGTTCAGAAACACAACCAGAGAAATCCCTCAAACTGTGAATCTGATGATATTACCTCCAGTGGTGGAATTCTTTAGTGGCCTGTCATTTCTTTCACAGGAGACTTAAAGTATCTTAGCATGAAACCCAAGATTATCCATGGCTTGGCTCCCACCTCACTCTACAGCCTATCTCTTCCATGCTTCTCCATGCTCATACCCTTTCCTTCAGACCCACAAACTGTCTTCAGTCCCACATGCTTCCCCACATCTAAGGCCCTTTATATAAACCATTCATCTCTACCAGAGGCTCCTTCTTGAAGCTTATAATTAACTGAGCATACTGCTGTGCTGGCCCAGCAGAGTTGCTTTTAGTGAATCCTGATTCTGGGAAGACTCAGGAAGCTATTGCAAAAAGTGTTAGCATTTTAATATTAATAAAAGCTTTTAAACCATACCCTATTTAAATGAGTTGTCTAAAAATTGTAATGGCTAGGAGATGTGAGGCAATCCATTATTAACATCAGGAATTTTGTGTATCACAAAAGCCTGAGCCTTGAAGTATAATTAACAGAACAGAATTAACTCTCATCATTGAAAAAGAAATCAAATGTAATATTAGAACTTGAAAATGTCTAAAAACAACTGTAACTGGTGAATAGCATTAGCACCGGAAAGCCAGAGACACTTAAAAATGGTGACGACAACCCTTTAAAACAGTAGCAAACAAATGGAACCATCTGTTTCCAGAAACTGAATTTATCCATAGGTGTTCCAGGTCTTTGCAGAATCATCAGTGAATCAAGCACATAATATAATATACCTATTTGCAATTAGAAAATATATAAATTAGAAGGTACATTTTGAAATAGTCATGTATTCAAAATCACTTGTTAATGAGGCATCTGTGAAGGAGTTCTGTTATCCTCAAATATCCAAGTATCTCAGAACCAGATATTATGAGAAATGTTCCACAGTATGTCATAACTGTAAAAGAAATCCACAATTATAATAAGATAATCCATAAAAGCAATAATATATTGTATTTACTGTGACATGGTTTGGCTGTGTGTCTCCACCCAAATCTCATGTCTAATTGTAATACCCATGTGTCAGAAGGAGCCTAGTGGGAGGTGATTGGATCATGGTGGCAGATATCCCCCTTGCTGTTTTCGTAATAATGAGTGAGTTCTCACGAGATCTGATGGTTTAAAAGTGTGGCACTTCCCATTTTGCTTTCTCTGTCTCTCCTGCCACCATGTAAGACGGGCCCTGCTTCTCCTTTGCCTTTGGCCAGGATTGTAAGGTTCCTCCCCAGCCATGTGAAATTGTGAGTCAATTAAACCTATTTTCTTTGTAAATGACCCAGTCTCAGGTAGTTCTTCATAGCAGTGTGGAAATGGAGTAATAAATATTATGAATGGATATTTTATAAATATCTATCTCAGAGGAGGCTGAGAGACTGTTACTTGACCCCAGTGGCCAAGTGGTTAAGTGGTAGGTAGAATCAACTTTTGAGTCTCCATTATTTGACTTTAAAGTCCATATTTTTAGTAAAATATTCCATGGATATTACTAAAGAAAAAGAAAAAAACCTCCCACATTCATTCTATTATCTGCAAAAAATAATACTTGTGGAAGAAGAAAAATTATGTGGTTTTTCTAAGGTTCAAATGCTCTCATATCTTCAGTCATATTTGAGCAAACTGGCCCAATGGGAGATGAACCATAGATGTATTCCTAGCATTTTCAGATGTCATTTCCTATCATTTAAAAAATCTATACTTTTCTACTAGACTTAATTTATCTTTATACTCTGGTCAGCCCATGCAGTGCCTTGTACATACTTAGTCATACAATCCCTGAACTTCAAATTTAGGTATAGCATAAAAATTTTTCTTATAACTAACTACTAAAGAATTATTGTTGCCTAGACAAAATTTATCTCCCATTTTTTCTTCCTTTTGGGTCACTGGGCTTCATTGGCTGGAACATGAGGACGACAGTAAAAGTGGGTAGAATTCACCTATTCTCTGTGCAAGGAAATCTCATAGCATGCCTAGCTCTAGGGAAATCCCACTACTTTTTCTTGTAATTATTTCAGCAATTCAGATGTTAGAGAATTATTACATGACATGACTATTATTCACCCATAGGGGACACAGTCAGATAATAAGACATTTTCTCCCATATTTAAAGGATAGATCTCTCTCCTTTTAGGTATGAACAAAGGCCTTTTGCCCCTATGGCTGCTGGCTGCCATCTTGTGGCCACAATAGAAGTTGATCTAAAGGCTAAGGCAACACAGTGGGCCAGAGTCAAGGGGCTCCACGAAGAAACAGAGATGGAGACTTGAACTCACCAGCTGATTGAGTCTATCCTACGTCTTGCTATGTACTACAATGTTTCCTTATTCATAGAGTTGGTTTGAATCACAGGATCTGTCGCTTATATTTGAGAGCACCTAATTTATATAAGATATATAATTTGGTTAATGAAATAAAAGCTGCATATCAGAATGTACATCTTACCTAAAATGTAGGTCCAATTCGGGAAATGTCACCCCAAAATGTGATGCTTCAGTGTGCTGATCACTTTGAACTGAAGGCACTTGGGAAAACAGTGGATTCAGGCAGAGGCTTTTTCTCAGCTCCTCTAATCTGCATAAAGATGGATCCTCCAAATGAATCTTACATGTCATAAATCCCCTTCTCAGGAATTCTTCCAACCACGAAAGACTGACTTAAATGGCTGGAGAGGAGCCTAGAGGCCAATACTAACCCAGTAAGGCTGTCCTCTCTTCTTAGGGCTGCTCATTGACTACTTTTGTTACGTGGGAGACTTTTTTCTGCATAACAAGACCACCTTTATTCACCATACATTTCCTTGCCTCACCTTCCCATAACTTGTGTTGCCCCAAGAAGCCCCAATTTCCTATTCCTTTCTTTAGCTCAGGATGCAATTATATGAGCTTCAATATTCTGACCCTTCTTTGAGTCTCAGATTTTGCGGAACTCTTGTGCATATATATATGATTAAATGTGGTTTATTTCCTTAATCTGTTTTATGTCAATTTAACTCATAGGCCAGCCAAGGAACGTAGAAGAGTGGAGGGAAGCTATTCTTCACTTGCTTAGACATTCAAGAAAAACATATTCAAATAAAAGTTGTATCATATCTATCAGTCCTGGTCCAATAGTTTCATATAAGCATAATATTGAACTTAATTAAAATTATTTAGAAAAATAGGCATAGTGATACTTTGAATAGCATCGTACCAAAACAGTATTTATTTTTAATTTGTCAAAAGGACAGATTGTGTTACTATTGGCTTAAAGTCATTCAATGGAACCACATTGCACTTAAAAATTCTCTCTTCTAATCAAGGCTCAGTCTAAACTCTCGATTAATTTGGCTTCCAGTGTAAGGATTCATAAGGCCATAAAGTCTTACACTTCAGGCTTCAGTGCAAATGTCACCTCGTCTGAGAAGTTTTATCCTTCCACTGTATCTAAATCCATGTCTTCCTTTCCAGCATTTATCACCTTGTTCACTTCCTTCATAACTCTTATCACTAGCCTGAATGTATTTTGCTTACTTGTTCCTTTACTAATTTATCTCTGTCTACACTTGTGAGATTATTGATTCCATTCTGCTTGAATGGAATCCATTGTTACCTGGGAGACTTTTCTCTGCATAACAAAACCACCTTTATTCACCATACATTTCCTTGCCTAACCTTCCCATAACTTGTGTTGCCCCAAGAAGCCCCAATTTCCTATTCCTTTCTTTAGCTCAGGATGCAATTATATAAGCTTCAATATTCTGGCCCTTCTTTGAGTCTCAGATTTTGTGGAACTCTTGTGCATATAGATATGATTAGATGTGGTTTATTTCCTTAATCTGTTTTATGACAGGGTTCCTGCTTCTCATCCTCAGCATTAAATTCCCAGCAAATAGAACTGGCTCCCAGTAGGCAATCGAGTATTTGTTTAATAAATGAGTGAATGACTAAATACACGAAAGTCCTCTAAAACACCAAGGTTTTCTCAGTTTTGTTTCATAGTACTCTGAATAATATATGGAATATATTTTTCTATTCAAATCATATGAAAAGTAGTGTTCAATTGAGTTTAACAGGCCAGTCTTAAATACATTTGCATGAAATATCCTCCTTCATCTTAACACTTTACTATTTTTTTCCACTTTGTACATTGGTTAGATTATCTCTTTTGAGTGATCAAGAAATATTTAGATAGCTGTGATGAGGGAGGGAAGGAGAACGAGACCTGGACTTTTACAGTGCAGGGCTTCTAAATGACCTACTCTATCTTCTATTCCAATAGAAAAATTGGTCCCCAAAAACGTTTCCTTGATGAATAGCATGGCAATTTCAAAGTTGTGAGTTTTTTCTCTGTTTACATGACCTTAAATTGCAGTGAAATCCACAAGCATTTAAAAGTACAAAGACTGCAAGGCCCTTTCTGACACTCATTTCATGTCTACAATTACCCAAACTCAAAACACATGTGAATAATACTGAATAGAAATACTTCAATACAATTTTTTTCTTTTTAAATAAAATGAAAAGACCTAGGCAGTAGTCTGTACTCTGTTTTTCCACAACTTGAATTTAGATTGACAATATAAAATACCTTTTTTCATCACAGATTTAACAGAAACTATGCCTGATTCTTAAATTCTGATATTCCTGTTTTTGTATCATAGGTAAGGGAAATTGTTTGATAAGCCACTTATATTGTTAGCACTATATTCAGCTATGAACACTGTATTCACTTATATTGTTAGCACTGTATTTTATTTTCTGTGTTCTAATGCTTTGACATTGGAGCCTTGCTGACTTTAGAGGGACTGTACCTCCTAGAGTTAGCCAGTTCTTAGGGATAGTAAACAACTCACCCAGGAACATGCTTTCAAACACAAATCAATGAATCTAGAGTCCAGGACAACATCGCATGTCAGGCTTTCACACTCTAGGTGACTATCCTGTCCTTACCAACCCCTGGGTCAAGTACTAGACAACTATTCTCCAGAACTCACTAGATGACCCCCGTGTTTCTCAGTGTGAACCCCCATTTTATCATATCTTCTTCCTCTTAGGAACTATGTTGTCTTGGTGCATTGGGGCTGTTATAACAAAATATCATAAACTGAGTAACTCAAACGACAGAAATTTATTTCTTACAGTCTTGGGAGTCTGGAAAGTCCAAGATCAAGACACTGATTGACTCCATGTGATGAGAGCCTGCTTCCTAGTTCACAAATATTGCCTTCTAGCTGTGTCCTTACATGGTGGAAAGGGTAAGGGGGTATTTCTCAGACCACTTTTATAAGGGCACTAAGTTCCACCTTCATTTCTACCTCACTTTCCAAAGGTATTGTTACAGGTAGTTAGGCAGACATGAGCAGGGCAGGGAAGGCTCTCCTCCATCCACTAGGAATGTTGGATGATTGTTTGGCAATTATCACATTGCCTCTCTAAAAGTGATAAATTGGTGGTTCCAGGGAGAGGCCAGTTCCTGATGGTCCACACCTGTTGCAAATTGTTAATTGAGTGCAGGCTCCTGGGGGAAGCAACTTCCCAGTCATATGTATCAAAAGACAAAATGGTGGAGTGTCACCTTCTGGGGGCACACCACTGGAAAAGGGAAGAAAGCCTGAGATGGGCTTGCATACAACTTCCTAAACACACTGTGAGTGCTCACCTCCCAAGGGTAAGGAGGGCACTGTGCATGTGGGCCGCCCACCCTAAGGGAAGAATCACTGGAAAGGGGCCAGCCTATAAAGTCCTAGGATCATGATTAAACATGGCACTCGGTGCCTGCTTGGGTCTCTTGAAGTATCCCTTCCTTTATTTTCTATTCCAAAGCTTTTTAAATAAAACTTCCACTCCTGCTCTAAAACTTGCCTCAGTCTCTTTTTCTGCCTTATACCCCTCAGTCAAATTCGTTCTTCTAAGGAGGCAAGAATTAAGGTTGCTGTGGACCTGTACATATTTGCCACCAGTAACTTGAATATTTGCCACGGGTAATGGTACCAACTCCTAATAACATCACCCGGAGAGTTAAAATTTCAAGTTATTAATTGAGGGGCACAAATATTCAGACCATAGTATATGACTAAGAAACTATCTTTTCAGTTGCAATTTTCTTCTAATCTATTCACCTTAGCATACCTACATAATAATAAAACCTCCTAAAATAAATACATAAGGTATATTTAGTTATATGGCAAAAGGGTTATAAAGTTAGTTTCTTAGGATAAAGAAACACACTGAAAACTCCACTAATAAGTTTAAAAACTATGAAAGACCTTGAAAATAAAAAGTTGAGTGAAAAATATCAAATGTGTAATGTATAATCGTTTTTGCATTTAAAATAGTATTCATAAGGTTTTCATAGTTTTGCTTTCAATTTGACCTCATAATTCTATCATTTTGCCCATTGTCTTAAGTTATATTGCTACTTTTTATTTAAAAGGAATCGGGCAGGCACAGTGGCTCACACCTATAACCCCAGCACTTTGGGAGGCCGAGGCGGGCAGATCACTTGAGGTCAGGAGTTTGAGACCAGCCTGGCCAACATGTAGTGAAACACTGTCTCTACTAAAAAATACAAAAAGTAGCTGAGGGTGATGGTGCATGCCTGTAGTCCCAGCTACTTGGGAAGCTGAGGCAGGAGAATCACTTGAACCTGGGAGGCAGAGGTTGCAGTGACCTGAGATTGGGCCACTGCACTCCAGCGTGGGCCACAGACCAAGACTCCATCTCTCAAAAAATAAAATAATAAATAAATAAATAAATAAATAGAAATTTAACACAAAATTCAAGGACTCTTGAATTGCTCTATTACACATATTTTTGGTACCCATTGCCCTCAGTGTTACAGATTTTTTTTCTGATTTGTCTCTCTGGAGATGGGGTAGGTATGACAGGCACATCTAGGGCTAGGTCAATTCTTGGGGTCTAAGAGGTTCAAAACAAGTAAGAAGAATAGAGTGGAAATGCAAAACAAATATTTGAGAAGGATGAGCTTAATCACAGGTGTCCAACCTTTTGGCTTCCCTGGGGCACGTTGGGAGAATTGTCTTGGGCCACACATAAAATACACTGACACTAACAATAGCTGATGAGCTAAAAATAAAAAAGTCTGTGCATAATTTTGTGATATCTGCCACTACAGATATACCAAAAAGTCCTCATATTCAAAGGGTTGGACACGGCTGATAGAGATATCAAAAACCATCATCAGGCCAGGTACAGTGGCTCATGTCTGTAATCCCAGCACTTTGGGAAGCCGAGGCAGGCAGATCACTTGAGGTCAGGAGTTGGAGACCAGCCTGGCGAACATGGTGAAACCCCACCTCTACTAAATATACAAAAATTGGCTGGATGTGTTGTCAGTTACCTGTAATCCCAACTACTTGGGAGGCTGAGGCACAATAATCACTTGAACCTGGGAGGCAGAGCTTGCAGTGAGCTGAGATCATGCCACTGCACTTCAGCCTGAGCAACAGAGTAAGATTCTGTCTCAAAAACAAACAAACAAACACACACAAAAAATTATCATAACCAGTGATCCAGAATTTATTAAAGATTTATTAGTACTGTGCACACTATTAGGTATTGAATACTATTGGGGCTCAGAAAATGGTATGCAAAAATATGGTGCTTTGCCGTGCTGAGTGCTTTGAGAAGAAAGATATTGGAAGGGCTTCAGAAACAAAGTATCCCTCTGAACTTCTCCTGTCCTCCTGAAACAGCCTTTGCAAAATTATGATGGTAAGAAATCTAACATAGTTGACTTCATCTTGCTTCTGACTTCCAAGCAGTCCTTGGTCATCCCCGGGCTTAAGCCAAGCTAACTTGAGGAATTTAGTCTATAGTTTAACCTTAAAGCAAAGATGATAATAGCCCTTCCCCAAACTAAACCACCTTTGTAAAACTAATGGAAGTTTTTAAGATTCAGATTATGAGAGGGGCCTGAATTCTGACAAAATAGGCGTAGTTTCTTTCTCTGCCGCATGGCCAGGCTGCATATTTTTCAAACTTGTATGCTCTGCTTTTCTTTTAAATGTAAATTCTAACTTTAAGTAATTTCTTTGCTCCTGCATCAATGTGAAGGCTGTTAGAAGCAGCTAGGCCACTTCTTCAATGCTTTCCTGCTTATAAGTTTCTTTTGCCAGGTACCCTAAATCATCACTCTCAAGTTCAAACTTTCACAGATCCCTAGGGCATGAACAGAATGCATTCAGGCTCTTTGTTAAGGCATAACTCATGTGACTTTGCTCCAGTTCCCAATAAATTCCTCACTTCCAACTGAGACCTTGGCATCCTGTATTTCACTGCCAATATCACTATTAGCATTTTGGTCACAATTATTTAACCAGTCTCTAAGAAGTTCCAAACATTCCCTCATCTTCCTATATTTTTCTGATCTCTCCAAACTCTTCCAAACTCTGCCTATTACCAGTTCCAAAGTCTCTTTCACATTTTTGGTGTCTTTATAGCAACACCCCACTCCTCAGTCTCAATTTTCTGTATTAGGCCATTCTTGTATTGCTATAAAGAAATACATGAGACTGTGTAATTTACACAGAAAAAGAGGTTTATTTGGTTTGTGGTTCCGCAGGCCACACAACCAGTTAGTTGAGTCATGAATCAGAAGTCCAGGTGGAGTTAGCCATCCTCAGAAATGCAAAAGTCTAAAAAGACATCTCAAAATTGTAGAACCTTATGTTCTACAATAGTGATGTTAACTACAGGTGTAATTGGGGAAATTATAAATCTTGTGACATTCATAACAATGGATGGTTATTGTTTAACTACGCCTACAACTTAACAGAATTCAGGCCCTTCTCATACTCAACGTTGTGTTCTTTAATTGTTTTACAAAGGCTGTTTAGTTTTGGAAAGGGCTATTATCATCCTTGCTTTAAGGCTAAACTATAAATTTCTCCCAAAGTTAATTTGGTCTGTACCCAGGAATGACCAAGGACAGCTGGGAGGTTAAAAGCAAGATGGAGTCAACTATGTCAGATTTATCTTACTGTGTAATTTTGCAAACGTGGTTTTAGAATTCCATGGTCTGGGGAAATTTAATCTGTGCAGTGGTCAGGAAGAACTCATTACACTATCTGTGTCAGAATTTGATCAGAGAAGCAGATCCCTATGAGTGACACAATGAAAGGAAATTGTTATAGGGATTAGATATAACACAATTGTGAGGGCTGGTAATAAGTCTATACAAGGCTGTTAACTTTATGTCTAATGGGACCCTGAAGTCATGATAGGTCACCCTAACCAGTGGTCAGGAAAGAGAGCTCCATATAACTTGGACAGGAGCAAAGGAAAACTGGAATGTACAAGGACAAAATAAAACCTGTCTCTTTCTTTTCCCATGTCTAAACTTGATGATATGAATGATCTACAGGAAAATCTTGTTTTATTCATTGTTTACCACAGAATTAAACAATACCTGGATCATTGTATAGAGAAGTTGTAAAAGAAGATTTTGTGGGAGCTGGTAGAGGTGTAGATCTGGGTGCTGTCTCATGCCAGTTTCTGAGTTAACAGAACAAAGACAACAGGTATGATATGCCATATTGTCAGGCACCCTATACCAAACTCAGTGCATTAAAATGGCTTTTCACTCACTCATACCTTACAAATATTGCCCAAATTTTTGTATATCCACATTAAATATCTTAAATATCCCCAATCTGGTACTGCAAAGAAAAGGCCCATTTCAACTTTGCTAAATTGGCATAGTAAAGGGACATTATGTTCCAATCTTTGTCAATTTGGCATCTATATATATGTCTTTTAATTTTACTTAACTTCATAGTATAGATAATAGCAAAGGCATATTTCCATCTAAAATTATACTAGTATCCCTTATACAACCAAAAACATGCTGACTCTCTTTTCAAAAGGATATGATGTTTTTCTATCTAACTTGGCAATGTTCATTTCTAATTGAACCACACTGACCCTTTTATGGTTTGTAACTTAAATACTGAGATATGAGATTAAAACATTTGATGTTATATGATGGGGGAAAGGGAGAGCAGAAGATGATAATTAATGTATTTATAAGTATATTTATATCAGAATAAGAAGAAATATGTATTTGTAACTATTATAGTAAGTCATGTGTTCATACCTTCTATTTGTAACTATCTTCATACACTGCCTTTTCTACATAATCTTTGCTGTAAGCAAGCACTTTGCTAGTTATAGTTTTTGGCCTGATGAGTTGACCCAAACTTTCTTTTCTGAGCAGTCTGGTTCATTATCAGTCCTGCCTAAATGTAATTGTAGTTTACCGTTACCTTTTATCACTTGTCATTGAAGTACTGAGCAGCACCCTTCTGCAAACAGAAGTATTGCAGGTATGCTTATTCTTAACCTCACTATTCCTTAGTAACTCAATTTCCTTAAAATAGTTAAAATTATTTACCACAGTCAGCACAATCACTCCCTTCTTTGTCCATTGATTCACTTGCATGAGAAACCTAAAGTGAACTAAGTGTTAAATTTAACTTCAGTTTTAACAGAATGATTGATAGTGACTCATGGTAGAGGCATTACTCCCTCGTGAACTAAGATGCCTAGATCAGAGGAGCCCAAATTCACAATTATTGAAAGTAATATTTTTGTTAACAGATTATTGAATTATTACAGAAAGAAAACATTCCCATTTCTATATTTGATTCCCAGGCCTGCGAATACTGACCAGGAATGAACAGAACCACACATTGGTCACTGATTTAGAGCATATACTGCATTCCAGGGAAATTACCCAAGCCCTCAAGATATTGCCAAGCAAGTGGTGTCATACCTGATTCTTGAAAAATATCATTCCGCTATTCTATCAAGGCGAATGCTTCAGGATGATAGAAAACAAGATAAGACCAGTGAATTTCATGATCATGATCTAATTATCACACTTCATTTTCTAAAACATAGTGGTTTGGTCAAAAGCAGTGCTGCACAGAATACCATAATGTTTAAGAAAATCTATAATAACATGAATATGGTTCTTCCAAAAGCACTGTGGACAGTGAATGAAAATCCACATCAAGACAAAGTGTTTAACCAATGATAATAAAGCACTGTCCTTTTCATGAGAGGTGAGTTCCAATGCAATCAACTTGTCACAAGGTGGTGGGTTGAGCTCCAAAGAATGGTGCTATTTTTGAGTAGGTTGAACATTCATCAGTGGCTGTTCCCAGATAAGACTTTAGAATATAAGTCCACTTTTTCTGATGTCATGGATAGTACCCTTGCGAACATAGCAACTTGGTTTGTGAGGACAAAGGCTGACTAACATCCACAGAAATCATCAACTTATTTACAAATCTGTGAAAATTCCTCTCATCTGAGGTTGCTTTTTGGTGAGCAGTCCCATGGAACACAAATATCTTTATATTCTCAACACATATAAAAGATATCCTCACATACCTTTACTCTAGACCCTCTTGCAAAAATTTTCCAGACTTGATACTTGAGAGTCTCTGATCATTGAGCAAAAACATTATTCATTATCTATAAATTAGTGTAGATCTATACCTCTGAACATCTTTTATTTCAGGCAAAATGAACAGTTGTATGCATGGCTCAATGTCTTCTCCATTAAAATAACTTTTCCTTGCTACTGTTCTTCAAGGACACCCTGGAGTGGGACTGTATTTTTGCAATCACTTATTTACATGTAGTTCCAGCATTTTATAGAGCCACTTGTAAACCAGACCCATTTTTTTGTAGTCAAATTTTCATAGATGACTATGAAAGTATTAGGATGATTGAGAGAAAGGAGGAAGTGTGGCAGAATTAGGAGACATGGATAGCAGAACAAAATATTCTTGTGAATTTCTTATGCCTTCAGGGCATACTTGAATGAAATTTCTTATACATGACATCATTTGATGTTTATAAATGTTTGATAAATGAGTATCATTGTGCAAACCACTGAACTTTACGATTTTATGAAGCAGATACCTCCCGCACTTTATAATTGGTAGATCAGGGTAAACAGTAACTTGTTAGTTAATGGTCAAGTGTTCATTCTCTGCTATGGCCCAGTGGCAAGCCAGATGCTGTTTCTTTAAACAAGAAACATTGTCTATAGAGAATGACTAGCTTTGCTCTAAAATCATAATGGTATGTCCCAAAACCCTAAGAATTTCGCATAGGTGGTAATATCCTAAATTTTTTGTGAAAATTACTTCTTATCTCTGGTGAACATATGTTTCACCAAGGTGTTTAGAATTGTTGTTTCTTCCTGATCACCAGATTTAATCAGTATTGGGAGAGGGAATCCAGCATGGGCCTTGACTGTGCCCCTATGCATTCTTGCAGGATAGGCCAAGAATGCATGGCCCTAATTACCCAGGCCATTTTTAGAGTTGTGTTTGCAGTGAACAACTTTGAGTGATGAAGTAACATCTCCCCCAGTGCAAAGAATAAGCATGCTTCCACTTGCTTTGCTTTTGCTTATTTTAAAAGTGGTGAATTTCCAAAGCTCGGCTTGGATTTCTTTTCTTGTCAAATAGCCCACTGAACGTACACACATCCATCATGGGTCCTGTGTCATTCACATGGCATTTGAGAGAAGATGGGGAATTAACACTAACCAGCAAGGAATTTTAAATGCTGCCCTTGATGTGAGTAATAAAGTCCTTTGTCTTTGGTCCAAGAGTCTCATGTCTTCTGGAACCCATGAAACAGTTACAGACTAACTTGTATCCATTAAATAGGGTAAAAGCTCAGATTCTGCACAGTTCTTGACAATAAACATAATCTCAATAATAAAATGATTCAGCATGGTAATCTTTGAAATAGAGAGGCTATCAAGTTCCCTGAAGATTAATTATTACATAGGGCTAGAAAGTTGACATAGCCTAGAGAGGCGAGCAAGGTACACTGCTATCCTTGTCAGCTGAAAACAAAATGCTTCTGATAATTGTTTCTAGCAGGTATAAATTAAAATAATTTACCAAACCAATAGTTGCATATTACATGCCAGAGGATGTAGTAATTTGTTCCAGTTGTATATCCATCCTTGAAAAAATACCTGCAATTGTAGTCATCACCCAGTTGTGATAGTCCCCTGTCATTCTACAAGATGCATCTGAACCGGAATGTGTTGAGTTATCACTCCTGCATTTTACAAGTTCTCGTGATGGTACTAATCACTGCAATTCCTCAGGATTGCGGTATTGCTTTCGCTTTTTATAGAGAGGCATTTCATTTGACTTCCATTTGGCCATTCCTGCTGTAGTAGCCCTATTTAAAGGGTCAGAGAATCAATGTGAAGATTCGACCAGTTACCAAATATGTTTATTTCCAATTTAGCATTATAAAGTTGAGAAAATACCATAAGGTATTTTGAGGGGCCCACTGCAAGATGAACACAAGACAAAACTTTATCCATCACCTTACTTCCTATTGTCCTACTTTGGATGGTGAACCACTGTGCTCTTTTAGGTGTTTAGCAGTTATTGTCAGTTCAGTGCCAATAAGTGGTAATACCAAAACAGTCTGGTTATTTTCCCATAATGTACATTCACACTGGTAATACCCACACCTCCCTTTGGGGAAGGTTAAGAAGAGTTATAATGTAAAAGTTGGGGCCATCTTCTGCTTCAGTTAAGGAATTCTGAATTTATAAAGTAGCTCAAATTTGTCCGAGTAGCAATTAATCTCTGTTTTAGTGACTCTAGTTAGATTTCTGTTCAACTGAATTAAGGATTCCTAATTATACAAATCAAATCCGATTATATTTGATAGTTTGCTTATCTGTCTCAAATCCATCATGGATAATATGATCAAAGCTAATATTCAAAATTTTTAGGAGTCAAACCATTTGATTGATGCTTTGGCTCTTCAGCCCATGATGGCAATCTCTGCTACCTTGTTTTACGATTAAGATCTGCTGCTTGGCCCCAGCAAACGGGGTTTCATTCATCCACATGGAATCCAGAAGGCCTAGTTCAATGGTAGCTGTTCCCACTGTTATGGACAACCTGCAAAGAATATCCGGCTCAGATCTGGTGATATATTGTATATATCACTAGGTATGGTGCACTTATTTCTATCAGGGGCCACAAGAGAAGATTAGTAAGTAATGGAGGAAGTGGCTGGACACCCATATTCTTCTCAGCATGTGTCTGGAACTGGGTTTGAATTCCTTTCTCTGGAGTTTAATCCCTTACTGTTAAGGGGCCAGTACCAAAATATGACAATACATTATTTTTAATAAGGCACTGTTAGATTCTGAGTTGGCAGTATTATATCCAGAAGCTAAAAGAAATCTGTTATAGAAAACTCTGTGAAACTCTAGGGACAAGCAGGTGACCAAATGTGAGGGCTATTCTTCCAGCCTAGCACAGTACTCAGCACAGCTCTGGTTCATGGAGAATCTGTGGTTTTGGGAGCAGTGGAAGATGAGACTTGTGACAAAGATATCTACTTGATTGTGTTGGGGACCATTATTGACAGTGGCAAAGACAAGGTTCCAGTAGGTGGTCTGCAGAAATAGGTTTCTGGCAAGGCTGGTCTGAGCAGGAAAGGAAGAAAATGGAGTTACCGTATAGATATAGAAAATGGCACTGTTCACTATATATTCATGTAAGCTGTTCTCTTAGGGGTGTCTCTGAAATGCTGATTCTTTGTTGAGTTTCACTGCCTGATTATTTCTATGAGCAGATTTGGAGCCACTATAATTTAAACACAAAAGCAAAGATGACTTTGTCTACACAGTCTTTAAGTCCAGGTGACATATATTAAAACAAACAAACAAACCACTCAAAGTAGTACAAAGTTTATGTGAGGAGGTATGAAAATAAAAAAGTGATAACTTTCATTCTTTTGCTTTAAAATAAATAATTTGTTGCATTTAAGAAAAAAAATCTTCAACTTAAAAAGGTGCGTTGGCAAAATTGAGTTCAATAATTTCTTAAAAACAAATTAAGTTTCTATTACTATAAGTAGCTTCAATAAAAATAGGTAAGTAGATTATTTGAAAAAAATGTGTTTTAAGAGCTCAATGCTTTTATTTTAAGCAATTCAATCAGTTTTGTGTGTTGAATCTATTTTTCATTTGATTGATAGGATTGATTTCTATAAACTACATTACAGCTGAGAGGTTATGTATGGCATTTGGCACTGAGATTTAAAAAGTAATCATTAATTGTATATTGTTTCTGAGAAATTGATGGTATCACACTGTTATTTATTTCAGATTTCTCCAAGGACTTTCTTTAGTTTTGCTATATTTTCCAATTAAGAAATGTGACAAAAAATTCTGCCTTATAGTGTGCATATTTAACTTGGTTTTATATGTATTGGAATCATTTTGAAAGGGAAACATGTTTATACAGTTAGAGTCAAGTGAGGTATAAAGGCAATAAACTCCTGCTTTTATGTAGTTTTAGAGTTTGGATAACTAGGAGGTCAAATGTAGTACATCTGCACTGGGATCTGCCATACCAGCTCTTTTAAAATCCAGAGCATTGGCTTCAAATTGGAACAGAATTTCTCAGTAAAAAGATATCCTTCAAAATAAATAGTCTCTTACTATCACTATGTTTTCATTAAAAAGTAAAATATGTTGTTCATTTTTAAAAAGGTGTATTTTTTTCCCTAAATGTGTTTTGCTGATCAGAACATATACCTTTCATAAAAATTCATGTGCGTACATGGAAAAGTAACTCCAAGATGTTGCTGTACTTTTGCACATGAGCAGACGGCTGCCAACCAATCTCCCTGATTATGCAAAGATGGAATTATAGCAAGAATTACTAACAGGCTGATAGGTTTGGATTTCCCACTTCAAAAGTGTTGAATTGTTTCCTTTATGTTCTGAGACAAATGACCTACCTAGCTGCTTGGCCATGCAGAGAAGCTTGGAACAAGCAGAGAAGCTGACAAGGCTGCTGACACCCGTGAGAGCTGATTGTAAAAAGTAAACTTCTGCTGGAAATGAATTCTTTTTTTTAATTTTATTTTTATTATGCTTTAAGTTCTAGGGCACATGTGTACAACATACAGGTTTGATACATTGGTATACATGTGCCATGTTGGCTTGCTGCACCCATCAACTCATCATATACATTAGGCATTTATCCTAATGCCATCCCTCCCCTAGTCCCCCACCCCCCGACAGGCCCCAGTGTGTGATGTTCCCCACCCTGTGTCCAGGTGATCTCCTTGTTCAATTCCCACCTATGAGTGACAACATGCGGTGTTTGGTTTTCCGTCCTTGTGATAGTTTGCTGAGAATGATGGTTTCCAGCTTCATCCATGTCCCTACAAATGACATGAACTCATCTTTGTTTATGGCTGCATAGTATTCCATTGTGTATATGTGCCATATTTTCTTAATCCAGTCTATCATTGATGGACATTTGGCTTGGTTCCAAGTCTTTGCTATTGTGAATAGTGCCTCATTAAACATACATGTGCATGTGTCTTTATAGTAGCATAATTTAAAATCCTTTGGGTATATACCCAGTAATGGTATTGCTGGGTCAGATGGTATTTCTAGTTCTAGGTCGTTGAGGAATCGCCACACTGTCTTCCACAATGGTTGAACTAATTTACACTCCCACCAACAGTATAAAAGCGTTCCTATTTCTCCACATCCTCTCCAGCATCTGTTGTTTCCTGACTTTTTAATGATTGCCATTCTAACTGGCGTGAGATGGTATCTCATTGTGGTTTTGATTTGCATTTCTCTGATGACCAGTGATGATGAGCATTTTTTCATGTGTCTGATGGCTGCATAGATGTCTTCTTTTGAGAAGTGTCTGTTCATATCCTTTGCCCACTTTTTGATGGGGTTATTTTTTTCTTGTGAATTTGTTTGAGTTCTTTGTAGATTCTGGATATTAGCCCTTTGTCAGATGGGTAGATTGCAAAAATTTTCTCCCATTCTATAGGTTGCCTGTTCACTCCGATGGTAGTTTCTTCTGCTGTGCAGAAGCTCTGTAGTTTAATTAGATCCCACTTGTCTATTTTGTCTTTTGTTGCCATTGCTTTTGGTATTTTAGTCATAAAGTCCTTGCCCATGCCTATGTCCTGAATTGTATTGCCTAGGTTTTCTTGGGATTTTATGGTTTTAGTTCTAATATTTAAGTCTTTAATCCATCTTGAATTAATTTTTGTATAAGGTGAAAGGAAGGGATCTAGTTTCAGCTTTCTATATATGGCTAGCCAGTTTTCCCATCACCATTTATTAAATAGGGAATCCTTTCCCCATTTCTTGTTTTTGTCAGGTTTGTCAAAGATCAGATGGTTGTAGATGTGTGGTGTTATTTCTGAGGTCTCTGCTCTGTTCCATTGGTCTGTACATCTGTTTTGGTACCAGTACCATGCTGTTTTGGTTACTGTAGCCTTGTAGTATAGTTTGAAGTCAGGTAGCCTGATGCCTCCAGCTTTGTTCCTTTTGCTTAGGATTGTCTTGGCCATGCGGGCTCTTTTTTGGTTCCATATGAACTTTAAAGTAGTTTTTTCCAATTCTGTGAAGAAAGTCATTGGTAGCTTGATGGGGATGGCATTGAGTCTATAAATTACCATGGGCAGTGTGGCCATTTTCACGATATCGATTCTTCCTATCTATGAGCATGGAATGTTCTTCCATTTGTTTGTGTCCTCTTTTATTTCATTGAGCAGTGGTTTGTAATTCTTGAAGAGGTCTTTCACATCCCATGTAAGTTGGATTCCTAGGTATTTTATTCTCTTTGTAGCAATTGTGAATGGGAGTTCACTCATTATTTGGCTCTCTGTTTGTCTATTATTGGTGTATAGGAATGCTTGTGATTTTTGCACATTGATTTTGTATCCTGAGGCTTTGCTGAAGTTGCTTATCAGCTTAAGGAGGTTTTGGGCTAAGACAATGGGGTTTTCTAAATATACAACCTGTCATCTGCAAACAGGAACAATTTGAATTCCTCTTTTCTTAATTGAATACCCTTTATTTTTTTCTCTTGCCTGATTGCCCTGGCCAGAACTTCCAACACTGTGTTGAATAGGAGTAGTGAGAGAGGGCATCCTTGTCTTCTGGCGGTTTTGAATGGGAATGCTTCCAGTTTTTGCCCATTCAGTATGATATTGGCTGTGGGTTTGTCATAAACAGCTCTTATTATTTTGAGATACGTTCCATCATCACCTAGTTTATTGAGAGTTTTTAGCATGAAGGGCTGGTTGAATTTTGTCAAAGGCCTTTTCTGCATCTATTGAGATAATCATGTGGTTTTTGTTGTTGGTTCTGTTCATGTAGTGGATTATGTTTATTGACTTGGGTATATTGAACCAGCCTTGCATCGCAAGGATGAAGCCATCTTCATCGTGGTGGATAAGCTTTTTGATGTGCTGCTGGATTCAGTTTGCCAGTATTTTATTGAGGATTTTTGCATCGATGTTCATCAGAGATATTGGTCTAAAATTCTCCTTTTTTGTTGTGTCTGTGCCAGGCTTTGGTATGAAGATGATGTTGGCCTCATAAAATGAGTTAGGGTAGGATTCCCTCTTTTTCTGTTGATTGGATTAATTTCAGAAGGAATGGTACCAGCTCCTATTTGTACCTCTGGTAGAATTCAGCTGTGACTCCATCTAGTCCTGGACTTTTATTGGTTGGTAGGCTATTAATTATTGCCTCAATTTTAGAGCCTGTTATTGGTCTATTCAGAGATTCAACTTCTTCCTGGGTTAGTCTTGGGAGGGTGTATGTGTCCAGGGATTTATCCATTTCTTCTAGATTTTCTAGTTTATTTGTGTAGAGGTGTTTATAGTATTCTCTGATGGTAGTTTGTATTTCTGTGGGATTGGTGGTGATGTCCCCTTTATCATTTTTTCTTGACTCTATTTGATTCTTCTCTCTTTTTTTCTTTATTTGTCTTGCTAGCAGTCTATCAATTTTGTTGATCTTTTCAAAAAATCAGCTCCTGGATTCATTGATTTTTTTGAAGAGTTTTTTTTTTGTCTCTGTCTCTTTCAGTTCTGCTCTGATCTTAGTTATTTCTTGCCTTCTGCTAGCTTTTGGATGTGGTTGCTCTTGGTTCTCTAGTTATTTTAATTGTGATGTTAAGGTGTCAATTTTAGATCTTTCCTGCTTTCTCTTGTGGGCATTTAGTGCTGTAAATTTCCCTCTACACACTGCTTTAAATGTGTCCCAGAGATTCAGGTATGTTGTGTCTTTGTTCTCATTGGTGTTAAAGAACATCTGTATTTCTGCCTTCATTTCGTTATTTACCCAGTATTCATCCAGGAGCAGGTTGTTCAGTTTCCATGTAGTTGTGTGGTTTTGAGTGAGTTTCTTAATCCCGAGTTCTAATTTGATTGTACTGTGGTCTGAGAGACAGTTTGTTTTGATTTCTGTTCTTTTACATTTGCTGAGGACTGCTTTACTTCCAATTATGTGGTCACTTTTACAATAAGTATGATGCGGTGCTGAGAAAATGTATATTCTTTTGACTTAGGGTGGAGAGTTCTGTAGATGACTATTAGGTCTGCTTGGTCCAGAGCTGTGTTCAAGTCATGGATATCCTTGTTAACCTTCTGTCTCATTGATCTGTCTAATATTGACAGTGGGGTGTTAAAGTCTCCCATTATTATTGTGTGGGAGTCTAAGTCTCTTTGTAGGTCTCTAAGGACTTGCTTTATGAATCTGGGTGCTCCTGTATTGGGTGCAAATATACTTAGGATAGTTAGCTCTTCTTGTTGAATTGATGCCTTTACAATTATGTAATGGGCTTCTTTGTCTCTTCATCTTTGTTGGTTTAAAGTCTGTTTTATCAAAGACTAGGATTTCAACCCCTGCTTTTTTTTGCTTTCTATTTGCTTGGTAGATCTTCCTCCATCCCTTTATTTTGTGCCTATGTGCGTCTTTGCATGTGAGATGTGTCTCCTGAATACAGCACACCGATGCGTCTTGACTCTTCATCCAGTTTTCCAGCTGTGTCTTCTAATTGGGGCATTTAGCCCATTTACACTGAAGGTTAATATTGTTATGTGTGAATTTGATCCTGTCATTATGATGTTAGCTGGTTATTTTGCTCATTAATTGAGGCAGTTTCTTCATAGCACCGATGGTTTTTACAATTTGGCATGTTTTTGCAGTGACTGGTACTGGTTGTTCCTTTCCATGTTTAGTGCTTCCTTCAGGAGCTCTTCTAAGGCAGGCCTGGTGGTGACAAAATCTGTCAGCATTTGCTTGTCTGTAAAGGATTTTATTTCTACTTCACTTATGAAGCTTAGTTTGGCTGGATATAAAATTCTGGGTTGAAAATTCTTTTCTTTAAGAATGTTGAATATTGGCCCCCACTCTCTTCTGGCTTTTAGAGTTTCTGCCAAGAGATCCACTATTAGTCTGATGGCCTTCCCTTTGTGGGTAACTCAACCTTTCTCTCTGGCTGCCCTTAACATTTTGTCCTTCATTTCAACCTGGGTGAATCTGACAATTATGTCTTGGGGTTGCTTATCTTGAGGAGTGTCTTTGTGGTGTTCTCTCTATTTCCTGAATTTGAATGTTGGCCTGCCTTGCTAGATTGGGGAAGTTCTCCTTGATAATATCCTGAAGAGTGTTTTCCAACTTGGTTCCATTTTCCCCATCACTTTCAGGTACACCAATCAAATGTAGATTTGGTCTTTTCACGTAGTCCTATATTTTTTGGAGGCTTTGTTCATTTCTTTTTACTCTTGTTTCTCTAACCCTGTTTTCTTGCTTTATTTCATTAATTTGATCTTCAATCACTGATACCCTTTCTTCCACTTGATCAAATGGGCTATTGAAGCTTGTGTATGTGTCATGAAGTTCTAATGCCATGGTTTTTAGCTCCATCCTGTCATTTAAGGTCTTCTCTACACTGTTTATTCTGGCTAGTGATTCATCTAACCCTTTTACAAGGTTTCTTAGCTTCCTTGCAATGGGTTTGAACATGCTCCTTTAGCTTGGAGAAGTTTGTTATTACCGGCCTTCTGAAGCCTACTTCTGTCAACTCATCAAAGTCATTCTCCTTCCAGCTTTGTTCTGTTGCTGGCGAGGAGTTGCGATCCTTTGGAGGAGAAGAGGCTCTCTGATTTTTAGAATTTTCAGCTTTTCTGCTCTGGTTTCTCCCCATCTCTGTGGTTTTATCTACCTTTGGTCTTTGATGTTGGTGACCTGCAGATGGGGTTTTGGTGTAGATGTCCTAACTGGGAGGTGTCTCCCAGTTAGGCTACACGGAGGTCAGGGACCCACTTGAGGAGGCAGTCTGTCCATTCTCAGAGCTCAAATGCCATGCTGGGAGAACCAGTGCTCTCTTCAGTGTTGTCAGACAGGGATGTTTAAGTCTGCAGAAGTTGTCTGCTACCTTTTGTTCAGCTATGCCCTGCCCACAGAGGTGGAGTCTAGAGGCGGTAGGCCTCCCTGAGCTGTGGTGGGCTCTGCCCAGTTCGAGCTTCCCAGCCACTTTGTTTAACTTACTCAAGCCTCAGCAATGACGGATGCCCCTCCCCTAGCCAGGCTGCCACCTCACTGTTTGATCTCAGTCTGCTGCACTAGCAGTGAGCAAGGCTCCGTGGGCATGGGACCCACTGATCCAAGCACAGGAGAGAATCTCCTTGTTTTCCGGTTGCTAAGACCTTGGGAAAAGTGCAGTATTTGGGCAGAGGTGCCCCGTTTTTCCAGGTACAGTCTGTCATGGCTTCCCTTGACTAGGAAAGGGAAATCCCCTGACCCCTTGTGCTTCCTGGGTGAGACGATGCCCAACCCTGCTTTACCTCACCCTCCATGGGCTGCACCCACTGTCCATCCAGTCCCAGTGAGATGAACCAAGTATCTCAGTTGGAAATGCAGAAATCACCTGTCTTCTGCATTGATCATGCTGGGAGCTGCAGACTGGAGCTGTTCCTATTTGGCCATCTTGGAATGGAGCTCCAGAAATGAATTCTTTCTGTATAATTGGGTAAATATTCTTTGAATTATAAATGTTCCATGAGCTGATTCTTGAAATTACTATCAAATCTAGTCCAAATAAGTTCTAAGAATGTTCAAATAATGTATGCAATATTGGTTTAGAAGTAATATGGTTAGCAAGAGTATATATACATACACATATATGTTTGCATGTATGTTTGTATATATAATATGTGTATGTGTATATATGTATACACACACAGACACACACATACATTATGAGTAAGGACAGAGAAATGAAATGCAAATATCAACCGTGGAGCTTGTTTTCCCCTCTTATTTGATTTAGAGGTAAATATAATATTTAGTATATGTAAGGAGATGACAATTATTTTCCCCAATTTTACACTATACTATTATATATGTTGTAAGCTATTTATTTGAGATTGATATTTCTGTTAGATTTCTTGATACTAGAGTAATACTTTCTGCTAGAAATGCATGTATAAATCAGTGTTTGCATTTATTTGATGTTCGAGAAAATAAAAGAAATTGATGAAGTATCTTGATAAGGAAAGAGTGTCAGGAGAAAAATTTTAGGATAGCAGGATGATTCATTACTGATTTAGGATCCTAACATCTGTTCTTAGAGAAAAATAAGACAAGTATTATTTCCTTAAATATACAAAGATAAAATGCAAGACCAAAATGGTGAGATCATAATTTTCTAGAAATAGGATATGAATGTACCCCTTCTAATTCCAAATATTCCTTCCATTAACCCAGACTGACTTATAATCAAAAGTCTTTTTCTCATTCCTATCTTCATTTATCTCTTCTTCATTTCTGTGTTTTTCTAATACTCCTGTAAATTTTCAGTTCTTTTACTCTGTTTCTCCCTCATCTGTTTCTCTAAACATTTTTGTGCAAATGACTCTGATATTTTACCCTGTATGCTAATTAGAACTTTAGCATGCATTTTAATATAAGCATAGATGATATCCCTGAGTCAGGAGCATTTGAAATTATATATCTCCTTTGCTTATACAATTCAGTTGTGGTCAACTGTCTGAATTCACATATATCTTTCTTGAGCTATGATTATTGAACACAACTCACCTTTGAATAGATAGAATTTTGGAGATTGCTGTTATTGAGTAAAAACTGAAGATATTTAGTCTTCTTTAGCACCAGCTATCATACTACTTCTATCTCTAAAATAATTCTTTGATTTTCCTTCAATTTTTTACAAAAATTTAGTTTCTCTGATGTAAACTCTTTAGAAGCATCTATTTTTTAAAACCAATATAATCCTAGCACAGTAGTGGGATATTAGCATTTACTGATTAATCCAATCACCTAGAAAATTGTGATGAACTTCTCATGTGCAGATTTTTTTTGTCAAGCTGAGCAATCTATCCAACACACCTCTTTCCACCCTCATCAATTCCTTACTTGATTCTAATTAAAACTGAACAAAATATATAAAATTGTGTTTATTCAAACCCCCTCTAACCTGTCTATACTAACCCCAGAAGTAGTATGATAACTGGTTCTCATAACTGTAGTTTTCAAATTAGAAAGAACTCAAGCCATGAAAAAAGCTTTATTCAAAATTAAAATTTGTGTTTTCCTCTCTCACTTGCATGTTGTATTCCCATTTGCCCTCCAGCAGCAACTCAGATCAATTTAACTGTGGATAATCGTTTATTTTGATTGCTACTTTTCTAAAAAGAAATTATGTTACGAAAATTGAAGGTGTATGATATCTCTCTGCCCTTTAGCTGATGAGCTGCTGAAAAAGATTCATACAATTATGGAGAATGTTAAAATTCAAAGGCTTCTGGTATTCCTATCGTACTGCATCTTGTTCTATCTCAGTAAATGACCCCATACTTTACCATAGAGAGAAAAATGAGGACATCAAATTCCCACTCCTCCCTCAAAAAACTTACTTACGTTTATAACATCATTTCCTCCTTTGTAGCAATGTAAACCAGAGTTTTCTCTCTTGTTTAAAACTGTCACCTATTTTGCTTCTGTAGATCTGATTTACTCTCTTCTCAGAGACTTGTTTTTGAGTTATACCCTTCCTTTCACAATTTCACATTTCCTATCTCAAGTATTTCCCTTCGATATATAAATGATACAACTTCTCTATCATTTTAAAACAAAGGAAAAAATTCAGAAGGATGCATACATCCTTTTCATTGAGTGTGGCAGAAAGAACTGGTTATCTCAAAATATCTCCCCCTTTTTTACCTGAACTTGTGAGAGCTTTGTCCTTCTGTTTTCCAGTGTAATGTTCTGTCTTAGTACTATACCCATGATCAGAGTTTTTCTTTCCACACATAGCCTATTGGTCCCCAAACATATGCATCAGGCAAAACATTTCTCATGACCATACTTAATTATCTATTTGCTTATTAGAATCCTCTATCTGGATATCCTACATATGTATCCAAATCACCATGTATGTATTAGAATTCATTATCTTTTCAAAACTAGGTCTTGAACTTGTTGTTGCTGACATTGATGTTCGCCAAATTACCTAAATTATTCTAGACTGTGTATTCGCTTTATCTCCCAAAGCAGTTCACCAAGATTTACATTTATATCTCTTCTATATCTCTCCAATTCATGTTTTCATTTTTATTCTTTTATGGCCTGAAGCATCTGGAGAATATAGAGAATAATACAGAATTTTATATACTACTCATTTAATCCCATAAATATATGTAATTGTCATTAATAATTAAATTTTTAAACTACTAGGAAGAAAAAAGTCTATAACAACCCTATGAATTTCTAGTTTTCTCAAATAGATGAGGTGACAAGGAATAAGGAGTTAGCATAGCAAATAAGGATAGTTATGGAGTGTACAACCCTGTATAAGACACATCACATAGGGGAATAGTCATAGCAGCATTGGTTGTAATAGCAGAACCAAAACATATCAAAACAAAGTGAAAAACAATTTAAATGACCATCACAATTGAATGGATAACTAACCTGTGATATATTAATATAATGAAACTTTTTATCACAATGAAAATCAGATCATTGTCTGATGAATGATGCCTCTGTTCAGGGGAATGGAATAAACTACATGCAACAACATAAATAACTCTTGAAAGAATGCTATTGAATGAAGAAAAAGCAATTATAGGGGGTACAAGTAGTATGATTTCTTTAATGCAAAGTTTAAAGTCAATCTAAACAAAATATATTGGGGAATTAAAGATTTGGATTAAAATTGTAAAGTTGAGATATTTAATAAATGAAAAGCTCAGTATAGGTTTATACTGATGAGTAGGGGGGAAATAATGGGAAATATTTACAGGACACTTCAGGGCTAAAAGTTGTACTTTGTTTCTTAAGTGGTGTCTATTCTCTCTGCCTTATACATTTTGTCTAAGGTTTTTGTGTACCAATTCAATATTTAATAGAAACAAATCTAAGATAGTGATAATAAATCAAATTTATTAAAAAATCTTTAAAAGTCTATAGAATTAAAAATAACAACATGGAGAGTCTTTGTATAAGTGTACAAAGCAAAATATTTTTATCTTGTTTGAAAAGTAAATAATTTGTAGATTTCATAATGGAAGAACTTTAGAAATTAAACAAATCATGACATTTGTGGCACTGAATTGCCTGTAATAATAAAGAATGAGAATCAATGATGACAGAAAATGTAAACAACAGATAAGAAATAAGGGTAAATATAAAATAATTTAAATGCATAATTGAATGTCAAACAACTGCATTATTTACTAAATTCACTAAAGTGAATTGTTTACCCACGCACAAATTAAAATAAGGTGTTAGACAAAACATGTCATATTATGTCTTTGATGCTAACAAGTCTAGTTGACATTTTAGATATTCTGAAGAAAGAATTGTATCCAGGTTACTACAAATAAAGTGCAAAGTTTTATACCGATAGAGAAGTTTCAAATACATCATAGGAAGGTAATTTACTTTCTTTATAAATTTTTGTTGGAGAACATACAATTGTAGTACTTCAATGTATCTAAAAGAAAACAAAAAATCCTTTCCTTGGTCTGAGTCTATCTATCTCCATTTGTAAGAATACACCTTTTGTCTGGACATATTTGCTGAAATTGGAGAACCTTACATGCAAGTGCCTTGGGATGTATGATTGCCAACAGCAGGAAATCTGAAAAACTGAGAAGCATAAATCATTGTCAGTTAGAAAACTGTCTAATATTGTTAGTAAAAAGAAAGCACAAAGGAATTAATTAGCATAAGGAACCTCAAGGCATTTATCTAAATGATGCAAACATCAGTTCTTTTAGAGAAAAACTTCAGCACCCTGGAGATAAATAAAGTCATGTACCAGTAGAGGACTTAGATTAATGAAGTGAGGTACTAAGGAGATCTTCTGTCACTTCCTCTTGCCAGAGGCATGGTCCTGCCAAGAGGTCCTGAGTCTATGACATTTCAAGGCCTTTGAAAGTCATGTTTATGTTATCTTATAATTCTATTAAAAGAATTAGAGAAAGCTAATTATTAGAATACAGAGAGCTTTGATTTACTATGCAATAACTAAATGCCAGATATTTAAGAGTATCTAAAATCCTCTCAACAGTCTTGCAAAGTAGGTACAATCATCACTACTCTGAGTAGCAAAATTGAAGATTAACAAAGTTAAGCATTTCTTCCAAAATCATACATCTAATAAGTGTGGAACGTGGACCTAGCTGTCTTGGACTACAAAGCTCACATGATTTCCACCACACCAGCCTGCTTCGTAAAGTTATACTAAGCTGCAAAAATGACTTTATGTTTTTGTAACATTATGGGATGCACGTGGCATTTAAGTACTAAAGCTCTTCAGCAGAGGGTATAAAACTACATCTAATAATGAACGTGTTGTTCAATCACATGTAATATTTGTATAACAGAATTATCAGAAATGTGTCAAAGATGATGTCCACCTGTACCTGGATCACGGTGATAGTATTATGAGTATGTGCATAAGTCCAAACTCATCAAATTGTGTACACTAACACAAATTGTGTACACTAACATGTGCTTGTGTGTATCAATTATAATTCAATAAAGCTGTTAAAAATAAATTAAGTAAAACAAAACATTGGTTTGGAAATTTTGCATGCTGATTTATGATCTAAATTTTAATTAAGTAATTGAGAAAACATTAAGGAATTAAGAATAGGAAAGATAGTAACTAAAAAGAAAATTTGAAATGTGTGAAATTTCAAACTACATGTTCTAATGTCAATATTGTATTGGCCAAGGCTTTAAAAACAAACATATTGGACCTTGCACAATGTATCTTCCAAAGAAGGCCTCCTGTGAATGATCAAAGAAGTGTGCCTAAACAAAGGGAGACATTTTTAAAAGTAGAAATAAAATTGTGTTCAGATTAAGTCTAGGACTGTCACAGACTTACATTTATTTTTGAGTTGAAAAAAACAGGAAAATCCTCTCTTCTATATCTATATGCAAAATTAAATAGGTAAGTAGCTATTATAGAGCTATTTGGAGTAAATATTTCCATGAAAAATAAGCACATTCACATTAAGCATTAAGATGAAGTCATTTCCCAATGTCCTGAATAATGTAATTTTCCCAAGGCATTTTTTTTTTCACTCTGAGAGAACTGGCTCTCTGATCAAACCAAACCAACAAATTCTTAGGTATTTAAGAATTTATCCAGTGTTGTCTCATTGCTGTAGACATAATCAGTCTGTCCTGTATAATAGAAGCTTCTTTAGAGGTTAACAATTAAAAATCTGCATTAAAAAATATATATATAATAGAGGCCAAGCATGGTGGCTCATGTCTGTAATCCCAGCACTTTGGGAGGCCGATGCGGGCAGATCACTTGAGGCAGGAGTTTGAGACCAGTGTGGGCAACATGGTAAAACCCTGTCTCTACTAAAAATACAAAAATTAGCAGGACGTGGTGGTGCATGCCTGTAATCCCAGCTACTTGGGTGGCTGAAGCATGAGAATTGCTTGAGCCCAGGAGGTGGCTGCAGTGAGCTGAGCTCGCCACAGCACTCCAGCCTGGGTGACAGAGTGAGACTCTGTCTCTCTCATTCTCTCTCTCTCTCTCTCTCTCTCTCTCTCTATATATATATATATATATACACACACACACATATATATGAGATATATGTATGAGATTATATATGTACATATCTCATACATATGTGTATATATATATGAGATTATATATATACACATGTCTCATACATATATGTGTGTGTGTGTGTATATATATATATATATATATATACATACATACATACATACATATATATATGAGAAGCAACTACAGAGAGCTCCTATATACTCTGGCCCCCTCCTTTACTTGGTGATAGGTACTTAATGAATATAAAAATTGTAATTATTTAAAATATGCATGTATTTTAACTCCAATGATTCCAGACTGAACAAGATTTTTATTCTAAAAAGTATGAAAACATTTATGACTCTGTGCTACTAAGACAGTCATCATTCATTCCATTTACTTATCTCATCTGCAAGTCTAACTTGCTCATTAAATCATATTTTTTTACAATGTATATGGTGAACTGACTATAAGCATAAGCTTTGCAATTAGGAAGAACCTAGCTACAAACTTTGACTTCACCAAATACCTAGTCTCTCAAGTACCAAACCCAACAAGCTAGATTTTTAAAAATTATAAAACAAATCTAAAATTGGTGTCATGAGGAAAGTCCAATAGTAACACACATTTTCTACCTAAACCCTCAATCAGCAGAGAAAAAAAGTTATAATATGAGGACAAAAATATCTCCCTTATTATTGATAATATATTCATTATTGTGACTTATATCTATGAGCAAATGAGTGAAGCTCCTTACATGAACCTCCTGCAGTAGACAGAGTCATTCACCAAGCATGCCTGATCTTATAAAGCATGTGGCAATGAGCACAGTAGATCATGTACTGCATGCTAGGACCTCATTCCTGAGAAAGCAGAACCATTCAATCCAAGCATTCCCAACTTTACCAAACAAGAAAGTCACTCTATCCTCCCTGGTGACAAGAGAGTAAGAGGCAAGAGAAAGCAGAATGACAGAAATAGATGTCCCTCCACAAGTCAGAAAATGTCAGAAGTAGGAAAGAAGTGGCTCTGATCCCAATATTTTTTAAAAGTGGAGTTTTCAATTTGAAAATAAATAAAATGCACTTAGAACATGAAAATTTTTCAACAAATATTAAGCATTATTAATTGGTATATTATCATCAGTGTCTTTTATTCTGTATTTCTTCTTGTAATAAAACATGTCTTTGACAATGCCTAAAATAGCTAATGCTGTAAAATAACTGCTTGTTACATGTGTGGAATATAATAAGATTATGCATGCTTCCTCTATTTCAAATTCTGGGGTATATTTTTCTCATCTGCATCTCTAGACCCCCTGCTCCCCAGTAAAGGAAAAGTCTATTAACACATATAATGTGAGATTTATACAGCAAAGTTTAAAATGCTTGTGAGAAATGATGAAACAGATACTATTATATCTGTCACACACACACAGTTTGTGGGAGTTGTAATTAGTTCTGGAATGCAATTTTACAATACATATAAAGAGCTTTAAAATGATTTCAAGTATTTTGACCTGATAATTGTACCTATGAGAAAATATCTGAAGACCTAACAAAATATAAATAACTCATTATAAACCATAATTTTAATCTCAGCAACATTTAGAACAGTAAAAAATGAAGAACAATGTAATTGTTTTTCAATATGACAAAGGATGACACTATTCCAGTATACATTTTATGTAGCAATAAAAATCACTCTAATGAATTTTTTATCAGTAGGAGAAACATTTATAAAGTGAAAAACAAGTTAATTGAATTATATATTCAATCATTCAATAAAGTATATTCTATACTTACTAAGTACCAAATACTTGTCTACTTTCTGGAAATATTGTGAGCATAAAATAGACAAAGTTGCTAACCTGACGACATGAGGTGGGTGCAAAGACCAATAAGAAACAAAATAAAAATTAGATAATTCTATATTGTGATACCAGAAAGATAAACTCTGAGAGATTTCCATTTCCAGAAAGATGACTATTAAATGTCCCTAATAGCATCTGTAAATGAAATAATCCAAATGGATTAGATGTTTAATCTTGCAGTTGAGATGTCATGAAAAGAAAGAGTCTGTACATCCTAAAGCAAAGGGAAAGCATAGACAGGAAGGTAAGTGAAGACAAAGTCAGATTTTGTTTACAAGTGTCTCTCAACCCTGGAGCTCTTGGGCTTCCTCCTTTTGACCACAAGGGATGGAAGGTTTCTGAGTTAATGTCTGAGACCTCACCAAGGAGGGGAATTTTCAACAGCAAACAAATATTCAATGCAGATAATTAAAAGGTCTATATAGCCTCTGAGATACAAAATTTTCCACATAGAAATATATAGAAGAAAAATATACATGACAAAGGAGCAAAGGCAACATAGTGGAGCAAATGTAGTCTTCTCAATAAATGATACTACAACAACTGGACACCCACATGCCAAAAAAAATGAAATTACACACAGACTTTACATTTTGCACAAAAATTAACTCAAAGTGAATCATAGACCTAAAAGTAAAGTGCAAATTATGAAAGACTTATAAGATAACAAGGGGGAAAATCTACATGTCCTTGAGTTCGTGATGACTCTTCAGATACAACATCAAAGGCATGATCCATGAATAAAAGGAATTGATAAGTAGGTGAATGTATAAGCAATGGTACATTTAGACAATGGCATCTTATTCAGAGCTAAAAAGAAATGGACTATCAAGTCATGAAAAGTCATGGAGGAACGTAAAGTGTCTAATAACAAATGAAAAAGTATATAGCCAACCTGAAAAGGCTAGATACCATATTATTCCAACTACAGTGTATGTGACATTCTGGAAAAGGAAAAATATAGAGATAGTAAAAAGATCAGTGGTTGCCAGTGGTTGAGGAGACAGAGGATGAATATGTGGAACCTAGGATTTTTAGGGCAGTGAAAGTATTCTGTATGATACTATAATGGTGAATACATTTATAAAACCAATAAAATGTGCAACACCAAGAATGAACCCCAAAGCAAACTATGGACTTCGGATGATAATCATGTGTCAATGTAGATTAATCAGTTGTCACAAGTGTGCTGTTCTGATGCAGTAAGTTGATAATGAGGGAGGCTGTGTATGTGGGAGGGGGGTGGAGTATATAGGAGCTCTCTGTAGTTGCTTCTCAATTTTTTCTGTGAATCTAAGACTGCTCTAAAACAATGAAGTCTGTTTTTAAAAACTAAAATACCTAATTTAATTTGTATGGCATTCCTAGTGCTTTATAATCTCAAATACTTACAATAAGTATGTGTATAATATTACCGAATTATGTTTTATTTATAATTATTTTGACTTATCTTGACATCCAAGGAGTATAAGTAAATTTAGACTCAGTCTCAAATTAAATATTCAAATTGTATAATATTTAATGCCAATTTTTATAACATTTAATGCCAATTACTGTTTAGTGATTCAAATTAGGGGAAAAAATCCTCTGTTTGAAGAAGTTTTACCCTTTTTGCCATTTCCTTCTTCTACTTTCTACCATTTATTTCTTCTACCTTCTGCTTGAACAATGAAGTGATTCATGAGAGCTTTACTGTAAGGTTTCAATTTTAATATAACACTTAATATAACACTAAAACCACTAAGATAAATACATGCAGTATGATTTCTGTCTCTTCCTGATATTTTAAGAGCTAATGGTTCTCCCTCTCTGTGAATTAAAACATTACAAAAAGTATTTCATATATATATATACACACACATATATATATGTGTGTGTGTATATATATATGTCCCAGTGGCAGCAACATCACACAACTCATCTAAGACTGGGTTCAGGGTAGGGTTGCTCAGTTAAATTTGAATTTCATATTAACAACAAGCACTACTTTTTTGTACATATCTATGTCTCTCTCTCTATATATATATATATGTGTATGTGTCTATATATACATATATATGTCCTTATGTATATATGTATATATATATATAGAGAGAGAGACATAGATATGTACAAAAAAGTAGTGCTTGTTGTTTATGTGAAATTCAAATTTAACTGAGCAACCCTACCCTGAACACAGTCTTAGATTAGGTGTATGATGTTGCTGCCACTGGGAATCCTAGAACTCTCATTTTTCTTCTTTCCAACTTAGTGGTTAAATGTTTGTATTTCTGGGAAATAAGGGATGCCTACTAAGCATCTAAATACCTGAAAAGAACTGCTTGGAGAAAGGTACGGATCTAGATAACTGGGTATATTTTCATTCTTCTGCAAGTAAGTGCAAATACAAATCAATCCCTTGCAGAAGAGAATCTCTAGACAGCTAGTAGATATATATTCCTGTATGAGGATCCCAGTCTTCACTATGTGTTCCATATGTGGCTACCTAAACAAATATAGTAAAGCTTTTAATCACTTGACCCCAAAACTTTCATTTGGCACAAAGATATATTTTATTTAACAAACTTACTAAATTTAATTAATACAGCAATAAATTGCATAAAAGCAATGGTAAATTGCAAAATAGTCTAAGGTGATGTCATTGCTAGCTTAATGTTTAATTACTATTTTTGTTGTTGAATAAAGAATAAATTTGGCCAGTTAATTATTCAATATCCATTGTGAAAATATAATGTATACTAATATTAATAATGTTAATATTATTGAATGTTTCCAAAATTAGTACTAAAAATTTACTTTATAGTGCCTGGTGTCTTAAACTTCATGAATTCTTCATCTTGAGTTATATCAAACATCCATGTATATACCCACTGGCTTAGATAGTACTTTAGCTTAACTCTGTAACAAATGATAATTACACAAGGTTTGAAAGATCTGTAAAACCCGTTGTCAAAACATAGACCATGCAACAGGCTTGGCATCATGTTTCTCTTTTACTCATTAAAAGATGTTCATTTAATCCCTTACATTGGTTTTCCATGAGATTATACCTTCTTTGTAATAGTACAAGTTGGAGGCAGGGGGCGCCAAGGGGGAGAATCTAGTTAATAAGAAAGGATGTATTTCTGAAAGTAAAATATAGCTGTTTATTCTTTCCTTTCCCTACACCTCATCTCATCTTAATATTAGGTTTATATTTTTATGACTTGTACAATAAAACTCCTTTTTTTTCTATTTTAAAATTCCCTACATCTTATATTTGTTTCACTTTGTTGCCCAAGTCCTCTAGATAATTAGAATTTTCTCCTACAAATTTTTCATCTTTACTGTAAGGCCCTTGAACAGCATGAGCCTCGTTGATTTATTCAGCTATAACCTTAAAACTTTGGCATCCAACTTTACATGTGAATGCTGCTGCTTTTCCTAACAAGGCCCTGGGAGGATGACCTTATTTGGTGTATGTTTTGTTAGATTCATCCCTTGAGCTTTTCTTCCAAATAGGGATAGAAAAAGAAGGAAAAGAAATGGAATGTCCCAACAGGGCTCATAAGTATGGCCCAACTCTTTCAGTTTTCTTCCTAATGAAGAAATGTTAAGCTTAGTGAGTAGACTGCCTCTTCGATAACTTTATCCACACACAAAATGGCTCGCTTATTATTAGACTAAATCTCTTTACTAAAACTGGTGTTACTCTCAGATTAGCATTTTATGTTTTTGTTGTTGCCTGAATAACTTTACATAATTTTAAATATAACAAAAATCTGTATAAAACCAGCAACCACTTTGAGGTCATATTTTGCGACATCTGGGGTCATACTTTGCAAATATGCCTCATAATCCTTTGCCCATCAGTATATTTTTACTAGTTTAAATGTTCACTCTGAGTTCTTAGTTTTCTCAAGGCCCATTATGCTTTTATACTGTTAAGTTAATATTCTAAAAGTGAAAATTTGAAAAAATGATTAATGGTGGCATGAAAAAAATAGTTTCTCAGGAATATATGTTGACTTGTATGGACTGTTGAAAGTTTTATCATAATATTAAATATAATTATTCAAGTAGGGTATTACTTTCTGTAACACTTTGATTAATCAGTCACCATTTATCTTTATCTGTGGTAGATAAAAATGTCTGCATTTCTTAAATTTACAATTTCTATCTCTTCCTCCAGGTATCATTGTATACTGACTTTCTTTGTTGACTATGAGATGATATTATTTCATCAGAAGTAGTAGTTGTTACTGTAACTAGCTAAATGCTTTCAACAACACTTGCCATTTTTATATTTCCTTAACAATGTCCAATAAAATTAAAAAGTGGTCATTATTGTATCTTCTAAAAAACTTTGATATAGTGACCATATATTAAGATCAAATTGCTTTTACATTTTATTCTTTTATGTCATATATATTTCAATTCACTTTTATTTAAATGAAAACTGAAAACTGGTTAAAGCAGAACATACACAGAGAATTGGAAGACCATATTAAATGTGACAATGATAAAAGAGACTTAGGAGAAATTCTAGTCAGGGCAAAATTTTTGTGAAACAAGGAGTGAAAAAATAATTTATGATTTATTTATTTAAGGAATTGTAAATTAGGAATTTCAAGTTGAATATGTGAATCATTTTTCTATTTCTGAAAGAGGTTTCAAGCTCAAAATGTCCCAAGCAATTTTTGCTCTTTCCCCTCACAGCTGACATTTGTCCTATATTTTTTGTCTTAGTCAATAGAATCATCATACACCCACTTTCACAAATAAAGATCTTGTAGATATTCTTAATTCCTTTCTGCTCACATCCCACTTTAAATTAGTCACCAAGTTCAGTCTATTTTATTTTCTAAATATCTTACTTTCTCTCTACCTTCTTTCCCTCTGCCATTGTAGTCCAAGACAATATTATCTTTTACTTAAACTAAGGTTCTCTTAACTGGTCCTTCAGTTCTCTTCCCCTTCTGTCCTTCCTCTTTTGGGGCCCTAGAATTGCATTTCTAAAACAAATCCACCCGTGTTGGTTCTCTGCTCACACACTTTCAGTGAGGCCACATGGCTTGTAAAAATCCAGGTTCCTTCTAGTGGTTTTCTAAATTAATCATACATGACTTTAAAATACATAATCAAGCGTTCTACATTCCCTCCACACTTGTATTGTGATTGCTTTTTTAGTATTCCTCCAAACTCAAGCTGTGAGTTTCTAGAACTCAGGAATTTTGTTTTACTCATCTAAATGTATAGTTTGAGTTCCATAATAATTTCTCCTTGAACTTTTTTTTCACCTGCTATGAAAGTTTTAAAATCTCACTCCTCTTCTTCACTGACCTTGCTTAGGCACTTATGAGCTCTGCGCTGGTTTCTTAACTGGTTTCTAACCTCCAACTTTGCACTTCCTCAAAACCATCTTTCATGTAGCCTCTAGACTGAACTGGCTGAAATTTCATTTGCTTAGTACCCTTTCATAACTTATTTTTCTATAGGGTCATGTCTATGTTTCTTAACATGACATAGAATGTTCTCTACCAATCATTCATGCCAACCTCTGGAGTGTTATTTATTCCCATTTCCTGTCCTGTTATCATATGGTTATATATATCACATGGACCCGTTATCATATGGTTTGATTAATCTAGTAGTTAGTTCCTCACATCTATTTCATGCCTCATTGTCCATGCAGTTTCCTCTATCTGGCATTATCCCTGACTCTTATCTTTCCTGTATTTTGCTGGATAAACTTCCTATTCACCTTTTAAAACTCAGTTCAGGCACTATACCCTCTAGAAAGTGTTCTTTGAATCCTGTCATCCCACCTCTATTGAAGCTAAGGGCCCATCCTTTAAGATCTTATAGAACTTGTGGCATTACCGTATCAGTTTATTTACTTCATTTTTTGGAAAACAGTTTATGTTTCAATCAATGAGTTCTATATATCTTAGAAGAAAGAACATGACTTCTCCTTCAAGAAGTACCTAGAACAACGTTGACCAACTATGAGGTGCTTAGTAGATACTTGTGGAACAGAAGTAAATTGCTGATCATAGCTTTTCATTTGTATCTCCAATTTTTTTCACCATGTTCCAAAAACTTAGATTTTTATATGTGCTGTTCTATTTTCCAACTTCCCTGAATTTATTCATGTCATTTTTTTTCCCTGTTGAGAATGCAACCTTCTTTTAAACCACCCTATGGAAATGCTACATAATTGTATAGAGCTATTTTGACTGCCTTCTCCTCCCTAAGGCTTTTGGTGATTTCCTCATATTACTGAACTAAATGCCTACAGCAGTCTGTTTCTTGTCATCATTTTATTTGACAGCTATGGGTCCTTATTTTACTCATTTCCTGATACATGGTTAGCTTCAAGAGGCTAAGTGTGTTTTTGTTTGTGCTTGTGTTTTTGTTGTACTACATATTATATATCATAATTCTTGTTAAAATAGATGTTTCATATTTATTCATTTGAAGAGAACTATTTCTGCTATTGTTTACAGAAAAATTTTCCTCAAAATTGCAACTTAAGTAATAATTTCCAACTACAAAAAGTTGCTTACAGAAACCAACTAAATGAAAAAGAGATTATCTAATAAAAACACAAAAACTTGACATAACTTCAAAAAAATATATTCTGAAGAAAAGGTCAGCACAGCTAGCTTCCTGATGGGCTGACAAGCCATTCCTCTAAGGGATACTGATAAGTTGGTAAAAATAATAGCTAATAACCTAGATTCTATAGAAAAGTAAACTAGGTGGTTATCAGACTAAAAAAAAGAGGTAAACACATCTACCAGGGAGAAATAGATGTAATGAGAAAGATAACCATGTAGCTTGCTTTCAGACAGAAGTAAAAATAGCAAGGTTTTATACCGAATTAGGGAAATAACAGAAGGACTGGATCAGTCCTCACATGCAGATAGAATAAATCCCCAATATGGTTCACTGAAGAGTAGTGGAGTATGTCTATGAGAACACAGAATAAGTACTCTACTGGGAATACTCAAGATCTCAGCTGAACTCTCCGTCTTCTGCTACCCGCACCAATCCATCAGACAATAGAAAAGTGGGTGGGCACAAATACTGCTCTGAGGATAAAGAAACCCTTCTCAGATATGGCATAAATAATCTCAAATATTCCTATATCACATGAGAATAAATTCTCAACAGAATCTTTCATTATGGACAAGAAAACTAGAAAAAGTAAGTAGTTACGCAAATTCAACACAGCAAACACATGAGATATATACCATAATATCAAAAGGCAAAGTACTAAATTTGAAGAATTTATTTAAAGTAACAGAAGAAATTTTCTCAAAATTATTTCACCCTATAGAACACAAAAGAATATAGGTTTTGTGTGTGAGCTTATTAAGAAAATAAAAAAGGCAGCTTCAATAAAAGTAAAAAAGAGCAGACCCAACTAAGATTATTGCACAATTAGTAAATATAGTAATATAAGAAGCAGCAAGGAATGGAAAACACTGAAAACCATAATACATACATGGAAGAGTGCCTCTAGATTATCACTGTGAGTACAGCTTAAAAATAGGAAGTTATAAAAGTAATTGGAAAGAAGCTAATACATATGCATGATGGATAAAGATAATCCAACATAGATAACTGATATAAGTGAAATAGAGAAATCAACAAATGGAAGTAGGCTTATTCAACAATTTAACACAAAAATGTTCATGAAGAGGAGAAAAAAATCTCTGAAACTTGAATGTGAAGTCACACATTATATCTCAGCAAAATTTTATTAAGAATTCTCAATATTTTAGAGAGAGAGAGAGAGAGCCCCCAAAGCCTATACCCATTAATGGCCTGACCTCATTCCCCCACACCAACCCTCGGCAACCACTGTCTACTTTCTGTCTTTATAGATTTGTTTATTCTTGATATTTCATATAAATGTAATAATAAGATATGTAGTTTTTCTGTCTGACTTCTATTGCTTAGTATGATGTTTGAAGGTCAATCCATGTTGTAACACTAATTAGTAATTCATTTATTTTTATTGCCAGATAATATAGATATACATTTTATTTATCCATTAATTAGTAGATGAATGTTTGAGTTGTTTCTACATTGGGGCTCTTATGAATAATGCTGCTATTAGAATTTATGTACAAATATTTGCTTGAATATCTGTTTTCAATTATTTTCCATATATGTATAACTAGAAGTGAAATTTCTGGGTGATATGGTAATTCTATGTTTGTTTGAGGAACCAAGGAACCACAAAACAGTTTTTTCTCAGTAGTTACACTATTTTATATTTCCACCAGCAATGTATGAAAGTTCTAATTTCTTCATTTACTAATTATGGTCAGTATTTTTTTTTGTTTTATTAGCTATTCTGGTAAGTATGAGATAGTATGTAATTGTGGTTAATGATTAATAATAGTGAGCATCTTTTCGTATGCTCATTGGTTATTTATATGTCTTCTTAAAATATGTAATTTTGAAAACAGAATTACTTTATCCTAATCAGTTTGTTTCAAATTTTTTAGAAACTTGGAGGAATATTTTAAAGAATTAATATTTTCTGTCATGATTGAAATTTTGTAATTCTTTTCATTCCACCTTAGTTTTTCTTCTGTTATTTATATATTAATGTGTTTTGAAATTATATCTGTAATGTGATATAGTTTTGTGGTGCATATTAATACCTTTCCCTCTATAAATGAAAAAAGCATGTTAATTACATCACCTAATGAGAAAAATTAATTTTTCTGACTGATAGAATTTGGATGATGTTTTAAAACATGTCTTTTAAACACTAAAGTTGTGTTTAAATTTACAACAAATTTACTGTTTATTTTCTTTAAGATAAACATGTATACACATTTTTTAAAAGAAGACACAAAAATGACCAGCAGGTATATGAAAAGGTGCTCAACATCACTAATCATCAAGGGAATGTAAATCAAAACCACAATGAGACATGACCTCACACATTTTAGAATGGCTATTATCAAAAAGACAAACGATAACAAATGTAGGCAAGGATATGGAGGAAAGGGAATCCTTGTACACTGTTGGTGGGGAGGTAAATTGATAGAGCCATTATGAAAAGCAGCACGGAGAGTTCTCAAAAAATTAAAAATAGAACTACCTTATCCAACAATCTGACTTGGGGGTATATAAAGGAAATCAAATCAGTATGTCAAAGAGATGCCAGCACTCTCACATCTATTGCAGCATTATTTACAATAGTCAAGATTCAGAATCAACCTGTGTCTATCAAAGGATTACTGGATTTCAAAAAATGTTCTTTCTCTCTCTTGCTTTCTCTCTCTTTACACACATACACACAGACACACACACACCCACACACACATGAATATTATTTAGCCTTTATAAAGAAGGAAATACTGTCATTTGTGACAACGTGAGTGAACTTGAGGATGTTATGCTAAGCCATGCATAAAAACACAAACACTGCATGATCTTACTTGCATTTGGAGTCTGAAAAAGTCAAACTCAGAAGTGGAGTCACACTCAAGTGATGGTTGCCAAAGGATGGGGGTAGAGAAAATGAGGGGATGTTGGTCTAAGTCTACAGAGGTTCAGTTATGCAGGATGGATAAATTCTGGAGTAATGTGAAGCACGATGACTACAGTTAATAACACTGTATTGTTGTCTTTGTGTTACTGTAACAAATTACTACAGACTGGGTAATTTAAAAAACAACAGAAATTTATTTCCCACTATCTGGAGGCAAGAAAGTCCAAGATCAAGGTGCCCGTACAGTTAGTATCTGATGAGGGCTGCTGCCTGCCCCAAGATGGTGCCTTGTTGCTATGTCCCTCTGAGGGAAAAATCCTGTGGAAGATGGTACAGAAGGGTGAAAGGGGATGATGCTAGTTCCTTCCTGAACATTTATAAGATCACTAATTCCATTCATGAGGCTCCATCCTCATGACTTAACCACCTGCTAAATGTCCCACTTCTTAATACTAGCACATTGGCGATTATGTTTCAACACATAAATTTGGGGGGATTCATTCAGACCATAGCAATTGTATACTCAAAATTTGCTTAGAGAGTAAATCTTAAATATTCTCACCACACACAGAAAAATAAGTTATCTATTTGAAGTGATGGATATGTTAATTAGCTCTATCGTGGTAATCATTTCACAGTGTTTAGGTATATCAAGATATCACATTGTACACCATAAATATAATCAATTTCCCTTGTTAATTATACCTCAATAAATGTGGAAAAACTAAAAATAATAAGCATATATCAAGTTTACAACAATGCAATAATTTGTATTAAGAAATGAAAGAGACTTGGGTGTGGTGGCTCATGCCTGTAATCTCAGCACATTGGGAAGCTGAGGCAAGCGGATCACTTGAAGTCAGGTGTTCAAGACCAGCATGACCAACACAGTGAAACCTCTGTCTCTATTAAAAATACAAAAAATAGCTGGGCATGGTGGCACAAGCCTGTAAACCCAGCTGCTCGGAGGCTGAGGCATGAGAATCGCTTGAACCCGGGAGGCAGAGGTTGCAGTGAGCCTAGATCACGCCACTGCACTCCAGCCTGGGAGACAGAGTGAGACTCTGTCAAAAAAAAGAAAAAAAAGGAGGGGAGACAGATTCGAAATGGTTAACTAAAAGCAGCTCATGTGGACTGCTGTCATGGAAAGGAAACAAAGTGCTGAGCAAATACTAAGTTTTATGGTGAATCGTTTAATAAACCACATCAGGACACATCAAGGGGGCAAGAGAATACATGGGTGACAGAGAAGAGTAAAGCAGGGCAGGTGCCCACTCAGGACTGGTACAGAGCTAGGAGAAGCTCCCCAACATGTGGAAAGGGTGAGAGAGTAAGAGCCCCCAGGGAATCCACATTTCCCACAGGGACCTGTGCAATACTGAGAATGAAAGAATCCTCTTTCACAACCCCAGCAGGCCTCTAGACCAATACAGAGATCTGCCCAGAGTTTCTGAAGAGGTATCACTCAAGACCACAGGGGGCCCCACAGGCCTTAGACTCCTCGGCAGCCCAGGGCCAGCTGCCATAATACCAATAGAGGCAGTCACAGTGCTGGAGGAGCAGTCAGACTGCTCCACTCCTCCCTGCCCAACAAGGCTCTTCTCCTGCTTCCAGTGCAGCAGCCACTCTACTGCCTGAACTCTGCCAATGGGCACAGTTCTGTGTTCCCCTGGAAAAAATCCAGAAAGTAGACTGGGCAATTCCTCCCAACCCCACGGCTACTAGCCAGGTGGGACCTGCCACCTCGGGCTTCCAGCACAGCAGCCGCTCTCCTGCCTGAACTCTGCTGGGGAACACAGCCCTGTGTTCCTCCAGGAAACACCCAGACAGTGCATGGGGTAACTCCATAGCCAGGAAAGACTCTCTGGCTTGGGCAGCACCCAAGGAGGGGAGGGGCTCCTACACCCAGAACACTGAATGGGATGAGACGCCTGGGTTCATGAACTGACAGGGGAGAGGGCCATGCCTCCTTCTGCAGAACCAGTTTAAAAAGAGTATGCCCTGTCCGCTAGCTGTGGCCTCTGTCTGAGGGTACCCCATGTCATGAAGCACCTAACAAAGGAAATGTAGGCATGGTGCCAGTGATGGGCAGGGGTTCCTCCAAGGCCCTGGAACAGACCTAATGAGGGAATTCTCCCTCTCTGCCTCACACCACAGAGCATACTACAGAAATACAAAAGAGCCACATGGCTGAATAAGAGCCTATCTGCCAGCCATCACTCTTAAGTGCCATTTACTGGATACCAGACCAAATTACAACACCAAAAATATTTTGCCAGTATACAGTGCCTGAAACCTAAGGCAAAAATTTGTTCACGAATAAAGATCCTGTACAGAGCCTTAGACCTCTGAAAGCACCCAGAAATGAAGCGAGCTGATTATACTCATTTTGTGTCACAGTTAATAAAACAAAAGCCCTCTCAGATGAGAAAAATCAGTGCAAGAATTCTGGCAATTCAAAAGCTAGTGTCTTCTTACCTCCAAACAAACACACTAGTCCCAGAACAATGGTTTCTAACCCATTGAAATGGCTGAAATGACAAAAAATAGAATGCAGAATCTGGATGACAAGGTAGCTCATTGAGATTCAGGAGAAACTTGAAACCCAATCCATGGAATCCAAGGAATCCAGTAAAATGATCCAAGAGCTGATAGTCAAAAGAACTGTTTTAAGAAAGAATCAGACTGAACTTCTGGAATTGAATTTTCTATAATAATTTCGTAACGCAGTTGGAAGAATTAACAGGACAATAGACCAAGCTGAGGAAAGAATCTCAGAGCTCAATGACTGATTCTTTGAATCAACTCAGTCAGACAAAAATAAAGAAAAAAATAATTTTAAAAAATAAACAAACCGTTGATAAATATGAGATTATGTAAAGAGACAAAATCTATGAATCATTGGCATTCCTGATATAGAAAGGGGAGAGAGTAAGCAACTTGAAGAACATATTCGAGGATATAGTCTATGAAAAATTATTTGATCTTGCTAGAGAGGTGGGCATGCAAATTCAAGAAATACAAATAACTCCTGTGAGATACTATACAAGATGACCATCTCCAGGGCACATAGTCATCAGATTCACCAAGGTTATTGCAAAAAAAAAAAAAAAAAAAAAAAATTCTTAAAGGCAGGTTAGAGAAAAAGGCCAGGTCAGTTATAAAGGGGGCCCCATCAGGCTAGCAGCAGGCATCTCAGCAGAAACTTTATGAGCCAGAAGAAATTTGGGGCCTAATTTTGACATCCTCAAAATAAATTCCAACCATCAATTTCATCTCTCTCCAAACTAAGTTCCTAAGCCGTGAAAGATAAATAAAATCCTTCTCACACAAGCAAACACTAAGGGAATTTGTTACCACCAGACCAGCCTTATAAGAGTGCTAAACATGACACAAGCAACCAGGAAAGGACTCCCTCTTCAATAAATAGTGCTGGGATAACTGGCTAGTCATATGCAGAAGAATGAAACTGGACAGTCTCTTTTTTCACTATATGCAAAAATTATGTAAAAATGGATTAAAGACTTAAATGTAAAACCTTAAACTATAAAAATCCTAGAAGAAAACCTAAGAAATACCCTTCGCAACATTGGCCTTGGCAAAGATTTGGCCTAAGTCCTCAAAAGCAATTGCAACAAAAACAGAAATTAATAAGTGGGGCCTGATTAATCTAAAGAGTTTTTGCACAGCAAAGGAAACTATCAACAGAGTAAATGGACAGAATGAGAGAAAATATTAACAAACTATGCATCTGACAAAGGTCTAATAACAAGAATGTATAAGGAATTTAAACAAATCAATAGCAAAAACAAACAACCCCATTAAAAAGTGGATGAAACACAAAAATAGACACTTCTCAGAAGACATACAAGTGTCCAACAAACATTTGAACAAATGCTCATTATCTCTAATCATCAGAGGAATGAAAATTATAATCACAATTAGGTACCATCTCACACCAGTCAGAATGTGTATTATTAAAAATTCAAAAAACAACAGATGCTGGCATGGCTGAAAAGAAAAGGGAATGCTTATATACTGTTTATGGGAAGGTAAATTAGTTCAGTCACAGTGGAAAGCAGTTTGGAGATTTCTAAAAGAACTTGAAACAAGGCAACCATTCAACCCAGCAATCCCATTACTGCGCATATATCCAAAGAAAAATAGATTATTACACCAAAAAGACACATGCATTCATATGTTCATCACTGCGCTATACCTAAGAGCAAATACATGGAATTCACCTAGGTGCCTATTAATGGTTGATTGGATAAAGAAAATGTGGTACATATATACCATGGAATACTATGCAGCCATACAAAAGAATAAAATCATGTCCTTTGCAGCAACATGGTTGGAGCTGGATGTCATAATCCTAAGTGAGTTAACGCAGGAGCAGAAAACCAAATAATGCATGTCCTCACTTAAGTGGGAGCTACACATTAAGCGTTCATGGACATAAACATGAGAACACTAGACACTGCAGACTACTAGAGGGAGGTGAGAGAAAGGGGAGCGTGGATTAAGAAACTACCTACTGGGTACTAGGCTCACCACTCAGGAGCAGTATACCCATGTTACAAACCTGCATGTGTACCCCCTATATCTAAAATAAAAATTGAAATTAAGAAAAAAACTTTAAAAAAATAGACAGTGAGAAAGTATGAAAAAGAGAAACAGAGAGAGAAACAGAAAGGAAGCACTCAAAGCAAATATGCCAAGAAGTAAACAGTGGCAAATTCCCATTGATGAAAGTATTGACTGTTGTTATTTGCTTTGTAATTTTCTATAATTCATTTTTAATTTTCGTATTGATTCCTAAGTCCTAAAACAAGTTCTTTCTACTTCAGGGTGGCAAGTCAATTAAACATGCATGAATAAACTTGAGTCTATGGGCAAATTGAATATAATAATAGTAATCAATAAGTGTTTAGATGCAGTTTTCATGCTCCATAGAAAAATATCAAAAATGAATATCTGAGAGGTAATCCAATGCCCTCCTTTATAATACAAAGCAGGATGTTTTATGACTTTGTTTTGTAATTTAGCTTTAAAGATGCTCTGTTAACTAGTAGAGATTATACAGAAAAATCATCTTAAATCTCAAAGACATTATCAGTAAAAGCAAAAGTAAGCAGTCCATTTTGTAATAATGGAGTTTGAAATTACTTGATGTGAAAGAAATGAAATAAAATTTTAAGCCTTTTTGGCCTCAAGATTATCAGGAAAGAACAATTAGACAATTATAAAATGGTTTAGCTTCTTTTATATCTTAAATAAATAGAATGGGATTTTTGTTTAATATATAATGTATCATTTAAAGTGCTGATAAGATAAAGTAGTAGAATGTCATATGTTTCCAGTCATAGTTATATAGCTGAAAACTAAATAATAGATTTGTTGTTAAAATACTAATTTTAAAGTACTTTAAAAATAATCTTAGCTTCAGTATCAATGGAGTGACAATTTTAACATTATCCTGAATGTTTATTAATATTTTACTATATATCTTTTATTCCTGAATTCACTAATATCCATGTCAGTAAAGAACATATTTATCCTTTTTGTTACATTAAAGTAAAAGTCAAGATATATATTAAAGATGAGTTATGTAACCATTTTATTTAATTTTATCTAAGTATAATTGTAATTCACATAATTAAGATATATCATCATTGAAAATATCTTATTTCTCATTATGTTTCCAAGCCATGTATTGCTTTATGTTTGTGTGCTGCCTGTATACTACTGGATCTTAACAATAAAAAATGCCATGTATATCTTTACTGGGTTCTTTTTTTTTTTTTTTTTTTTTGCTCTGTAGTGACTAAACAGCCTCAGTTTTGAAATGTATGAAGTATATATTTATATGTTTCCAACTGAATATTTCAAAATATTTACACATTATTACAAAGATTAGTTCAGTACATGTATTTGTAAAGTGTCAGCATTTGGGATTATTTTGCCTTTATATTTATTATTAAACAACTATTGGTACAAATGCAGAGGAGATCCCACAAAACCATGTGGAGAAAATGGTCTTAAATGAAAGAGGAATAACTTCGCACTGTAATACAAAACAACAATGTAATGTGTTTAAATAGATGCAAGTTGTTTGATATCTGGAAGATGAGGTTGTTCCTTTACAATTTCTTTTTTATTATCATCATTACTATTAATAGGAATGCCATCAGTTGATTGTAGAAGGCTTCAGGTGGGTGGAGATTAAGGAATGAAGAGAAGCTTTGAACTAGCTCTTGTGGGAGGGTGAGAATAAGTTGCAAATAGAAATATAATAATGGTTAGGATATTCAAGTGCATTTGAAGTTGGTAAATATTATAGGAGTCAAGATATCATTAGCATCAGTGGTAATTTCTCCAGAATTTCTTGATTGTCTAAGTGATATGGTTTGTCTATGTCTCCACCCAAATCTCATGTTGAATTGTACTCTCAGAATTTCCACGTATTGTGGGAGGGACCTAGCCGGAGGTAATTGAATCATGGGGTCTGGTCCTTCCTGTGCTATTCTCATTATGGTGAATAAGTCTCAAAAGATCTGACAGGTTTATCAGGGGTTTCCGCTTTTGCTTCTTCCTCATGTTTCTCTTGCCACCGCCGTGTAAGAACTGCCTTTTGTCTTCTGCCATGATTCTGAGGCCTTCCCAGCCCTGTGGAATTGTAAGTCCAATTAAATCTCTTTTTGCTCCCAGTTTCAGGTATGTCTTTATCAGCAGCGTGAAAATGGACTAATACACTAAGTGAAGGCATAAGAACTTGTAAGAACTTGGACAGTTGGGGATTGTTCAGGACTAAAGTATTGTCATACAGAGGAAATGAAATATTGAAGGATCCAGGATGTTGAGAATATAGGAGAATGTAAATAAAATGATATGCTGTGCAATAAACTAGATGAAGAAGAAAATAAAATTTAGATTTGTGCAGTACTGAATTATAAGTTTATCATTCAAATGTAAAATTTATGCTTTTTTTGTTAGGTTAAAAAAGATTGTTTTTCCTTATGGGTAATTTTTTTTTTATCTACCTGACATTTGCTGTACTATGTTTATTTTCTTTCAATTTAAATATTTTCCATAACTGATTTATTTGTTACCCTTTTTAATTGTGAAATATACCTCTAGAACAGTGCAAAAGATATATGTGAGCAATTTTAGGCATAATTACAAAGTGATAAAGTGATGGAACACTGCCTGATTTCCATGTGTATTCCTCCCTAATTACCTACTCCTTCTCTTCTTGGAGATAACCAATACCCTGATTTTGTGAATATAATATCCTTAGAATTATTTTTTATTGTACCAATTATACATGACTTCTAAACTGCATAGGCCATATCTCTGATAGATAAGGGAAATATATGGTTTGTATTTATAAGCAACTTACTTCTTAATCATAGTGATTATGAGATGCATGTGGATTGTTGTGTGTAGCTTGTAGCTCATTTATTTTTACTACTGTATAACAGGAGTAATCAGACTTGTTAACTGCATGTTCTTTTCACACTCTAAAAATTATTGAGAACCACAAAAAGTATTGGTTTATGTGTTGTATCTATAAACATTTATTAAATTAGAAATAAAAAATATTTTGTAAATTTTATGTTTATTATAATAATTTATGTAAGCTTATTACAAAAATCTTATTACATGGCAATGCAAATCACATAATTTTTTAAAAAATTATTGCCATTTGAAAAATTCAGTGACAAGAGTAGCATTGTTTCATATATTTTCATCTCTTTAATATCTGACAAAAAGAGATAGCTGGATTCTAATATTTTCTTCTCCATTTAATCTGTTGCAATAGGTACAAAGAAGTATACAAAAAATATAAATAAAAACCAGCATCACACAGATACTTAAGTAGAAGACATCAGAATCTTAATAAAGTGTATACCTTATTTTTGACACTGCACAAAACTCAAAACATGGTTGTTTTTCAAAGTTAAGTTGCAATGTAAACTTGAAACTATATCAGTGAACTTTATATTCTGTTAGTTTAAAATCCACTTGTCTATCTGCAACTTTGAATCAATCTTTACCTATCTATCATTCTGAAACATTATTCATTGGTCATTTGGAAAATCAAGTTATCAGAATTATGAAGATCTTTTAAATGTCAATACATTTCATTAAATAATATCAAAAAATTGATTTGTCAGTATCATCAGGAATCTCATCAGAAAAAGCCTTTAAATAATAGAAAGCAGTCAAACTCCAACTGGTGGGTAAAAGTTCCTTGAAATTATAACATTATGGGTTCAAATTTTATCATTAGCAATAAATAGGGGAAGTTGTTTTTCTTGAAGTGATGGGGTTATTTTGTTATTTTTAAGACAAGTATGAAATACTTAGAATATCCATAATTTGCTTATCAGTTATTTTTTTCAAGTAGAAATGGAAAAAGCAGCTGATTCATTTGCACGTTAAAAAAAAAAAAAAGGTGTTGTGCCCTGGTAAAAACCATCATATTTTAGTATCTGGCAGAAATGCTTTATAAACTCTCTTCTCTTTCCACAGAATATTAAAAACATGTATTCATGGAGTGAGATTCAATGACATTTAATATTGTTACTGCTCATTTGAGGAGATTCTTAATTGAAACTTTTTTTTCTCCTGTGACTGCAGTGAAGAACACAATGAGCAGTAGTACAGTTTGATGCCACTGCTGGGATTTGTGTTAGGACACGAAGGCTTCATTTGCTATCACTTTGCATAATCATTGCAAATGTTAATGCAACGTAAAAAGCAAAATGTGTCTTATTATTATCGAAATAATTTTGACTCTACAGACCCTCTGAAAGTGCCCCAAGGACTGTCAGGGATACATGACAGCACTTTGAAAAACCATTGCTACTTAGTATTCCAAAATGTATTTAATCTTTTTACTAGAAATGGGCATTGAATATTTCTGGGTCTGTTTCTATTGATTCATTTTTCTCCTCATTGTGTATTATATTTTCATGTTTCTTTGAATTCTTGGTAATTTTTTATTGGATGCCAGACAGTGAATTTTATCATGTTAGGAGCTAGATTTTTTTCTTTGCAATTCCTTCAAATGTTTTGGGGCTTTGTTCTGTGATAGTTATTGAAGATAGTTGATCTTTTAAATATTTTATTTTAAGATTTATTAAAGACTATCAGAACAGCCTTTAAGTTAGGACTAATTTTCTCTCTACTGAGGCAGGGCCCTCTGAGCACTCTCCCCAGTACTTCATTCATCAGGAGTTTTTTCTGGTTTATGGGTATACTATGGCTTATCCTGTCTTAGTTCTGGGGATTGGACTGTCTTTTCCTTTTAGGTACTTTTTCCCTTGGTCCCAAGTAGCATCTTCTCATGCAAGTGCTGACCAATAACTAGCTAAAGAACCCATTTTTGACCCCCAGAGCTGTCATTCTATACAACTCTCTTCTCTCTGTACAGCTTTCTCTTCCTTGTACTTTTTCTGGAAAATTCTAACTACCTTGTTGTGACAGACGCATTCCAAAGTGATTCCTAACGAGTTACATGTTTGTATAATCCCCTCCTCTAGGGTACTGGCAGACCCTGTGACATGCTTCTAACCAATAGAATATGCTAAAAACAACGGAATTTCACTCCCTGGATTAAGTTATGTTATATACAACTCCAGTTGGGCAGACAGGAGAGATTCTCCTGCTTGCTGGCCTTGAGGAAGCTAACAGCCGTGTTGTTAACTGCCTATACAGAGTGCCACCTGCCAGGAAATTCGGGCTGACTTTAGGACCTGAGGATAGACTCTAGCCAATAGCTGATAATTTTCCACAGGGAGATGAATTATGCAAAAAACCTGAATGAGTCCAGAAGCAGATCTTTCTCTAGGTGAGCCTCTGGATGAGAATGCAGCCCTGCTGACACCTTGATTGCTGTCATGTATAAGACCTTGAGCAAGGACCAAGATAAGCTATGCCCGAATTTCTGACCCACAGAAACAGTGATATAATAAATAGGTATTATCTTAGCCACTGAGTTTGCGGTAATTTGTTGTACAGTAATGAAATACAAGTGCATTTGGCCTCCCATACACCTAGCTTCATGTTCTCAACTCAAGGAATCCACCACACTTTGTTTGAATTCACCATCTCTACACTGCATCCCAGAAAATCTGGGCAAACAACGAGGAAATTGTAAGCCCCACAGCATTTTTTCCCTTCATTCAGGAATCACTGACCTCAACCATATAAGAAAACCATTGTAGCCTAACTTATGTTCTTTTTTTCTTATTTTTGCTAAAAGCAGAGGCCTTTCATTGATTTTTTTTATTTTGCAAATATGTCTTTTCATTCTCTTTGTGGTATCTTTTGAATAATGGAAGACCTGGATTTTAAGTGTTGTCAAATTTGGCTTAGATATATTTTTCTTTATTAGTGCCTTTTGCATCAGGCTTAAAAAATCTTTCTCTCTTTCCCTGCCACAAGATTATGAAGTAATTTCTATTATAATCTTCTGTCAGCTTTGTAGTTTTTCTTTTCACATTTGGGTCTTTAATTGAACTAGATTGACTTTAGATAAACAACCGTTTCAGCAATATTTATTTTAAAAATACAAAATACCTGTTTGATCTAAAGGGCCACCTCTGTCACATGTCAATTGTTCATAAATACACTTTGTTTATGAGCATTCTTTTCTGTTCTATGAGTGTAATTTTTCTATCCTACACTAATAAAACACTGTCAATTACTATTCCTTCATAACATCTGCATATATGATAAAGAAAGACTCTTCCTTGTTATTCTTCTTTCTTCAAGATTTTCTTTGTTATTCTTAGACCTGTATATTATCCAATAATTTTATAATCTGCTTGGCAAGTTCCAAAAACCATGTTGAATATTTTGTTTGGAATTGTATTATAGTTTCATTTGAGGAATATTTATATGTAGATAATATTAAGTCCTCTAATCCACGAACAGATTATAGAATAGTTCTCAATTTACTAATGTTTACTTTTAATATGTATCTCTAAAGTTTTGTAATTCACTCCATGATATCTTGTCCTTCTTTTATTTGATTTATTCCTAGGTAATTTATATTTTCGATTATAGGATATTTAATTTTTCCTTCTGTTTTTTGCTGATATATTTAATTATAATTGATTTTTGAATACTTATTTTATACATTCATTAACTCATTAATTATAACTTACAATTGGTCTTTAGATAATGTCTTGGATTTTTCTATGTACGTAATTATAACATCTGTGGATCATGAAGTTCTTTCCTTTCTTCTCTTCTCTTTTCCATTTTCTCCTGCTCTTTCCTCTTTCCTTCTTTCACTTGCTATCTAGAACCTGCATTATAATTTCAATTTGTGATGCTGAGCATCCTTGTCTTATTTTGAAATTTAAATAAAAAACTTTCATTGCTTCTCTGCTACATATTATGCTCTCTGTGCTTATTTTATCTTTAAATTTGAGTGATAGGTTCATTTATTTTCTAATATGAAAGTAAAGTTGCATTCCTGAGATTAAACCCAACTCTGTCATACTGAAATATACTTTTTATAAAATGCTAGAATCATTCATCTACTATTTTGGTATAACCTTTGTTAATAAGTGAGAATGACTTGTAATATTCTTGTCTCATACTTTCCTTATCAGATTTCTCTATCAAGATTATTCTACTCTTATAAATTTAGATAAAGACTACTGCCTTTTTCCCACTCTCTGAGAAAATTTATATAAAATTGGAAAGATATAAATATTTGCTAGATTTAAAATATTTGAATATTTGGTAGATTTTGCTTGGGGAGCCGTTCAACCTTGGCGTTTGTGGAAGTTCATGTGTACATATCTATGAAAATCTTTGACTATCAATTAATTTTTTATTGATATGTAATATTTGAACTTTTTTAAGGGTACAGATGACATTTTGTTATATGCATAGAATGTGTAATTATCAAATCAGGATATTTAGGATTTTTATCACTACAAGCATTCATTTCTATGTGTTGAGAACATTTCAAATCCTCATTTGTAGCTAATTTGAAATGTTATTATTAACTATTATCACTCTATTAGCAAACATTAGAACTTATTCTTTCTAACTACAGGTTTGTACCCATTAACCAAGTTATTTTCACCCTGCCCCCACACCCACATACTTCCCAGGCTCTGTTAACCGTCATCCTACTCTCTACCTCCATGAGATCAACTTTTGTAGCTCTCAAATATGAGTGATTGGTTAAAGTGAGCATCCTTGTCTTGCTTCAGTTCTTAGAAAAAACACTTTTCCCTTTTTTCCCTTCAATATGATGTTAGCTGTGGGTATGTCATGTATGAACTTTATTATGTTGAGGTGTGTTTCTTCTATACTCCATTTGTTGAGAGTTTTTATCATGAAGAAATGTTGAATTTTATTAAGTTTTTCTTCTGCATCTATTGCGATTATCATATGGATTTTGTCCTTTGTTTTGCTGATGTAATGTGTGACGTTTATGCATTTGCACATGTTGAACCATCATTACATCCCTGGGATAAATCCCACCGAATTATGATATATTGTCTTTTTGGTGTGCTTTTTGATTCCGTTTCCTAGAATTTTGTTGAGGATGTTTGCATCTATACTTATTAAGGATATAGGCCAGTAGTTTCCTTTTTTGGTTGTTGCCTTGTCTGGTTTTGGTATCAGGGTAATGCTAGCCTTGTAGAATGAGTTAGGCAGAATTTTCTCCTGTTCAATTTTTTTGAATAGTTTTTAAGGAGGATTGGTATTTGTTCTTCTTTATTCATTGGTAGAACTCAGCAGTAAAATCATCCAGTACTGGGATTTTTGTTGTTGTTTTGAGGAGACTTTTATTACCAGTTTAATCCTGTTACTCATTATTGATTGGTTCAGGGTATCTATTACTTCCTGATTCAATCTTGGGAGGTTGTATGTTTCTAGGGATTTATTCATTGCCTCTAGGTTTTCCAGTTTATTGGAATATACTTGTTTACAATAGTCTCTGATGATGTTTTGTATTTCTGTGGTATCAGTGGCAATGTTTCCTTTTTCATTTTTGATTTTGTTTGGGTATTCTTTCTTTTTCTTTGTTAGTCTAGATAGCAGTTTATCAATTTTATTTCTTTTGAGAGAACAACTTTCAATTTATTAATCTTTTGTATTGTTCTTTTAGTCTCCATTTTGTTTAGTTCTGATCAGTTGTTTAATACTTATTTCCTTTAATAATTTTCATTTGTTCTTGCTTCTGTGGTTCCATGAAGTACGTCATTAGATTATTTATTTGAAGTCTTTTTACGTTTGTTTGTTTGTTTGTTTTGAGATGGAGTCTTGCTCTGTCACCCAGGCTGGAGTGCAGTGGTGTGACCTTGGCTCGCTGCAAGCTCCACCTCCCGGATTCAAGCGATTCTCCTGCCTCAGCCTCCCAAGTAGCTAGGATTACAGGCACACACTGCCATGCCCGGCTAATTTTTGTGTTTTTAGTAGAGGCAGGTTCTCAATGTTGCCCAGGCTGGTCTCAAACACCTGACCTCAGGTGATCCACCCGCCTTGGCCTCCCAGAGTGCTGGAATTAACAGGCATGAGTCACCATGCCCGGCCTTTTTACCTTTTTGATGTAAGCATTTATTGCTATAAACTTCCCTGTTAGCACTTTTTTGTTGTTACTGCTTTGTTTTTTGCTGTATCCAATAGGTTTTGGTACATTGTATTGGTATGTTGTGTTTGATTTTTATTTGTTTCACTAAATTTTTTTATTTCCTTGACCCAATAGTCATTCTGAAGCATGTGTTTAATTTTTATAAATTTTTACTGTTTCTAAAGTTTTTCCTCTTACTGATTTTTAGTCTTATTTCATTGTTGTCTGAGAAGATACTTGATATGATTTCTTTTCAATTTCTTGAGACTCGTTTTATGGCCTAACATGTGGTCTATTCTGGAGAATATACCACTTGTCGATAAGAAAAATGTATATTCTGTAGCTGTTGAATAAAATATTCTATAAATGTTTATTAGGTCCATTTGGTGTAAAGTGCAATTCAAATCCAATGTTTCTTTGTGGTTTTTCGGTCTAGATGATGTCTGATACTGAGAGTAAAGTGATGAAGTCCCCAGGTATTATTGTATAGATAAGGACTTACTCGTGTCATTTTGTTAACTGTTTTCTAGTTGCTTTGTATATCATTTGTTCCTTTCTTTCTCTCTTTTATTTATCATTGCAACTTGGTAGTTTTCTGTAGTGATAAAATTTGAGTCCTTTCTCTTCTTCCTTTGAGTGTTTTCTCTGCCAGTGAGTTTAAGACTTTTGTGTGTTTTCATAATGGTAATGGTAGATATCATCCTTTCACTTCTAGGTTTAGGACTTCTTTAAACATTTCTTGTATGTCTTGTATGTCTCAGCTTATGCTTGTCTTGGAAAAACTTTGTTTCTTTTTTATTTATGAAGGGTAACTTTTCTGAGTGTAGTGTTCTCAGATGATAGATTTTTTTTCCTTCGGCAATTTAAATATATCACTCCAATCTTTCCTGGCCTATAAGGTTTCTGCTTAGAAATCTACTGTTAGCTCAATGGTGCTTCCTTTATATGAGACTAGATGCTTTTGTCTTGCTGTTTTTAGAATTCTTTGTCTTTGACTTTTGATAGTTTGACTATAATGTGCTGTGGGGAAGACATTTTTGGATTGAATCATTTGGGGATTTCTAAGCTACCTGTATCTGGATGTCTAAATCTCTTGCTAGAATCAGGAAGTTTCTGGTGATTATTTTATTAAACAGGTATTCTGTGCCTTTGGCCTTCTCTTCAATTTCTGGGACACTAAAAATTAGAATAGTTGGTCATTTTATAATTCCCCATATGTCACATAGGCTTTGTTTATTCTAATTTATTCTTTTTCTTTCTTTCTTATTTTTTTGTCTGACTAGGTTATTTCAAAAGCCTGATTCAGGTTCTGAAATTCTTTCCTCCACTTGATCTAGTCTATTATTGAAGCTCTTGAATCCACTTTTTGAATTTCATTTATTAAATTATTCATTTCCAGGATCTCTGTTTTTTTTTATTTTTATATTTTTAAACAGTATATATCTCTATGGTGACTTTCTCATTCATATGCTGAATTACTTTTGTAATGTTTCATATTGTTTATCTGTGTTGTTTTGTATCTCACTGAGCTTCTTTAATATCCTTTATGGAATTATTTTTCTGGCATTTCATAAATTTCTGTTTCATTGGAATCTATTGCTAGAGAATTATTTTATTCCTTTGAAGGTGTTGCATTTTCTTGGCTTTTCATGTTTCTTGTGTCCATACATTGATATCTGTACATCTGGTATGAGAGTTGCATGCTTCAATTTTTTGGATTAGCTTTGGTAGAGGAAGGAGTTTTTCCTGAAGACATGCCTATAGTGATGTTTGGGTAGGATGCTTTGACTTTAATTCTGGGTGTGTGTAGTAGAGTAGCCAATGTATGATTTCTTCAGCTATGAATATTGGCAATGGTGCCTATGATTTCCTCAGTGACTTTGTTGCCATTTGTCAGTAGACACTGTTGGGAAACTTTTCTGGGACAAAGATGTTAGGTGGCAGCAGCAAACCAGGTATGCCTGACATTGGGGCACATGTGAATGTGCAGCAGCTCTGCTGCTGAGCAGGGCAGAGATGCTGTCAGTGGGAGCAGCCCCAGAAAGGTGGACAGCTTTCAGGCTCTGGGAAGTATACACTTCAGCACCAGCAGCAACATTAGAATGCAAGGAAAGCCTGTCCTCTGAGTGTGTGTTAGTGCACAGCATCTGTGGTGCTGTTGGGGCAGCAGAGTTACTGTCAGTGAGAATGGCCTTAGGCAGGTGGGAAACTCTCAGGCTTTGGAGAGCACATGCTTCAGCTCCCTTTTTCCCAGGAACAGTCTCTAGGGTGCATTGCATTGTCTCTTCCCTAGGGTGTAGGATTCTGGGTGAGTTAGATTGCTGGGGACCCCACTGCACTGCTGGGTCTATCTCGTGTTGCACCTCTGCAGTCCTCCAGGTAGACACAGGAGATGTCAGTGGGACTTCACAGATGTGAAAATACAAGGGCTGTTGGGCACTGAGGATGCAGTCTGATGGTGGCTGTGCTCTCAAAATGGCACTATGCTATAGCTGCTTAAGTCTTGGAGACTGAACTCCTTCTCTGGAGCAATGCTGCCACGCAATCTTCACGCTTCTCCCTGTTAGTCGAAGGGCCTGTGAGGGTCGAGGAGCTTTCCTGTGTCTAGGATTGTAGGAGTCCATGATGAGAATGTGAATCTCTGGGAATCTCTCATTCACTCTTTGCCCACACTGGAGAACCTCTCTGGGCTCCCAGCAGATCCTGGCTGAGCTAGCTGCCTCATTTCTCTGTCCTCTGTGATTCAGGTGTTTCCTGTCACTTCTCTGCTGAATTCCATTGTTGACTGTCTTCGATGTTGTACTCTAAGTGTGATTATCTATTTGCTATTTTGACTCTTCTCTGAGAAGGTATTATATGTACAATTTCTCTAGTCAGCCATGTTGAACCTATTGATTGATTTTTTAACAGCTGTAGCTAACAAAATTTCATGATGTTATGAGCAGTGTGTCAGGGGCTGCTCTAAGACCCAAGGATACACAGCTAGCACTGATGAAGCCAGAATTTGGTCCCAAAAAGCTTGGTTCGAGAGTTTATGTTCTTAATTTACACAGCATGCTCCCTTTCAAGAATCATATAGAATTTGTCAGGTGGGCTTTGTTTTATTTTGCTTTTCGTAATTATTATTATTTCTACCTAAGTCCATTTAGGAAAGTTTTTTTCAAGTGTTTCCCACTTATGTAAGGTGTGATTTATGTATGCCTTAAATATGCACAATTATTATGTGTTTATAAAAATTAAAAGCTTAAAAATAAACGCTAAATCTAACCATGGCTCTCAAAAAAAGTACCTCTGAGCTCAATGCCATTTTGAATGCAAGTGTAACTCATCAGCCTCCCACACTGGGAAAATATATGCATTGTGCTTGAAATTTAGAAGTAAACCTAATGATTCAAAAAATAATACATAGTAAGTTAATGACATATTAATTATTTGGACAAGGAATTCCCAAATGTGTGGAAGACAATGTTTCTATTCCAATTTAATTATACATGCAAGGCTTTAAATAGTTTATTTTGGTTTAAAATTTATATTTGTGAATTATGGTAAGAATGGTGTTTATGACAAAGGTAAAGGGCTATTTTGATCTACTGTATGTGATAGAGTAAAACAAGAAGTGAATGAATGATGTATAAATTTATTGATCTAGAAACTGGCAACTGCTTGACTTTTATTACCTCATTACTTTGGTACTAACTGAAGAGATGTAACAAGTTTTCTTAAAACCTTACAACTAATAAGAGAAGAAGGCTGGATTCAGATTCATGTTGACTTAGCCTAAAGAGGGTACAGGCCAATGCCTCCAAGAATGAGAAAAGGAAAGGTGTAAATAAAATAAGGAAAATGTAAAGGAGGAAAATATAATGAAGTAAAAGAGAATTCAAAGATTGCAATATTGTTCTTTATACTTAATCTCCCTGTTCTTTACAAAATTTTACCAGACTGGATTCCCAACTTAATTGAATTACCTTCTCCCTAATGATAAATTAAATGAAAACACCATTCATAGCAAAAAATAAAAATAATCAGATAGCATAAAGGCGACAAAAGGAAAGGCTGTGGTATAGTTTCTGTTATATGTGGGAGAGAGGAATTTATTACTCCCAATACCGCAGCGGGTTTACACCTCCCCCTGGCCCCGGTGATTTTGATTCTAATATCCAAAAAGGGAGAGGAAGATATTACTAACAATATGGCAGGGGGTGTACACCCCCCTATGATATTGTTTCTAATATCCAGGGAAAGAGAGCATAATATTGCTCTGAATATAGCAGGGGGTGTACGCCCCTGTGTGATATTGTTTCTAATATCCAAGAGGGAGAGGATTATATTACTCCGAGTACTGCACGGGGCATAAACTCCCCTTGTGATATAGTTCCTAATATCTGGAGGGGAGATGATGATATTTCTCCTAATATCGTAGGGGATTTACATCCTCCCTGTGATATTGTTCTTAATATCCAGGGAGAGAGAGGATATTACTCCCAGTATAGAAGGGGGTGTACATCTCTTCTGTGATGTTGTTCCCAATTTCCAGAAAGTGAGAGGATGGTATTACTCTACATATAGCAGGAGATGTAAACCCCCTGTTATATTTTTGTAATATTTAATGGGGGAGAATTTGGTATTTCTCCCAATAACACTGGAAGTGTACTCCTTCCCTGTGATATTGTTCTGAATATCCAGGGGCGGAGACATGATAATATTACTCTAAATACAGCCCTTGTGATATTGTTCCTAATTTCCAGGGAGGTAGAGGATGATATTACTCTCCATATTTCAGGGCGTGTACGCCCACCTTTGATATTGTTCCTAATAATTAGGGAAGGAGAGGATTATATTACTCTCAATATCGAAGAGCATGTACATTCTCCCTATGATATCGTTTTTAATATTCAGGTGGGAAGAAGATGATACTATGCCTAATATCACAGGAAGTGTACACCCCCGCTGTGATAATGTTCCTAATATCCGGGGGAGGTGAGGATAATATTACTCCCAATATCGCAGGGGGTGTGCTCCCCCTTTGGGATATTGTTCCTAATATCCGTGGGAAGAAAGGATGATATTACTCCCAATATCACAGGGAATGTATATGCCCCCATGATATTGTTTTTAATATCCAGTTGGGAAGAGGATGATATTACTCTCAATATCGCATGGGGTGTACACCCCCCTGTGATACTGTTCCTGCTATTCAAAGCCGGAGAGGATGATATTACTCCCAGTATCACATGGGGTATACACACTCACTGTAATATTGTTCCTAATATCCAGGTTAGGGGAGGACGATATTACCCCCAATATCACAGGAGGTGTGCAACCCCCCTTAGATACTGTTCCTAATATCCAGAAGGAGAGAGGATGATACTACTCCAAATATCGCAGGGGGTGTACACCCCCGGTGAGATATTGTTCCTAATATCGAGGTGGAAGAGAGGATAATATTACTCCCAATAGCGCAGGGAATGTACACACCCCCTGTGATATTGTTCCCAATATCCAGGGGGCGAAAGGATGATATTACTCCCAGTATCACAGGGAGTGTAACACCCCCCCCCGGTGATATTTTTTCCAATATTGATGGGGGGAGTGGATGATATTATTCCCAATATCGAAAGGGGTGTACACCCCCCTGTGACATTTTTCCCAATACTCATGGTGGGAGATGATGATACTACTCTCAATATAGCAGGGGGTTTACACATCCCTGTAATATTTTATGTAATATCCACATGGGGAGAGGATGATATTACTATCAATATTGCAGGATGTGTACACCCCCCTTGTGATATTGTTTCTAATAAAAATTAGGGGAGTGGATGATATTCCTTCCAATATCACAAAAGGTGTATACACCCTCCATGTGATAGTCTTCCTAATATCCAGGGGAAGGAAAATAATATCCCAGGAAATGTACACATCTCCCGTGATATTGTTTTAAATATCCAGGGAAGTAGAGGATATTACTGCCAATATCGCCGGGCATGCACACCCCTACTGTTATATTGTTTTTAGCATCCAGAAGAGGAGAGGATGATATTACCCCCAATATAGCAGGGGGTGTACACCCCCACCCCATGAAATTTTTCCTAATATTAACGAAAAGAGAGGATAATATAATTCCCAATAGCTCAGGAGGTGTATACCCTCCTTGTGATGTTGTTCCTAATATCCAAGGAGGGAGACAACAATATTATTATCAATATCAGAGGGGGTGTACACCCCTCCTGTGATATTGTTTCTAATATCCAGGTGTGGAGAAGATTATATTACTCCCAATATCACAGGGGTGTACAACCCCCTGTGAAATTGTTTCTAATATCCAGGGGGGAAGTGGATGATATTAAACCCAATATCACAGGGGATATACAACCCCTTTGTGATATTTTTCCTGATATTCAAAGAAGAAGAGGATGATATTAATTCCAATATCGCAGGGGGTGTACACCCCTCCCGTGATATTGTTCCTAATATTAAAAGGGGGGAGATGATGATATTACTCCCAATATAGCAGGGGTTGTACACCCCCCGGTGATATTGTTACCAATATTTAAGTGGGGAGAGGATGCTATTACTCCCAATATTGCAAGGAATGTACAGCCCCCTGTGATTTTGTTCCTAATATCCAGAAGGGAGAGGATAATATTTCTCCCAATAACCCAGGGGGTGTACAACCTCCTGTGATATTGTTCCTAATATACAGGTGGGGAGAGGATAATATTACTCCCAATATCAAAGGGCATGTACACCCCCCTTGTGATATTGTTCTTAATATTCAGGAAGGGAGAGGATGATGTTACCCCCAGTATCGCAGGGGGTGGACAACGCCCCGGTGATATTGTTCCTAATATCCAGGAAAACAGAGGATAATATTACTCTCAATATCACAGGGTTGTACACTTCCCCTGTGATATTGTTGCTAATATCTAGTGGGGGAGAGAGTGCTATCACTTCCAATATCGCAGGCGTGTACAGCCCTTATGTTATATTGTTCCTTATATCCAGGGGTGCAGAGGGTGATATTACTCCCAATATCGCAGGGAGTGTACTCCCCCTTTGGGATATTGTTCCGAATATCAATGGGAAAAGAGAGTGATATTACTCCCAATATCGAAGGGAATGTGTATCCCCCAGTGATATTGTTTTTAATATCCAGTGGGGAAGAGGATGACATTACTCCCAATATCGCAGGAGGTGTACACCCCTCTGTAATATTGTTCCTGCTATCCAAAGAGGGAGAGGATGATATTACTCCCAGTATCTCATGGGGTATACACCTTCCCCGTGATATTGTTCCTCATATCCAGGTTGGGAGAGGATGATATTACGCCCAGTATCACAAGAGGTGTGCAACCCCCCTTAGATACTATTCCTAATATCCAGACAGGGAGAGGATGATACTACTCCCAATATCGCAGGAGGTGTACATCTCCAGCGAGATATTGTTCCTAATCTCCAGAGGGGGAGAGGATAATATTACTCCCAATAGCGCAGGGAATGTGCACTCCCCCTATGATATTGTTCCTAATATCCAGGGGGCGAAAGGATGATATTACTCCCAGTATCACAGGGTGTGTAACCACCCTGGTGATATTTTTTCTAAAATCGAGGTGGGGAGTTGATGATATTATTCCCAATATCGAAAGCGGTGTACACACCTGTGATATTGTTTCTAATATTCAGAAGGGGAGAGGATAACTTTACTTTCAATGTCGAACAGAAAATACACCCCCCTGTGATATTGTTCCTAATATCTAGAAGGGGAGAGTATGATATTACTCCAAATATCGCAGCAGGTGTACAACCACTCGTGATATTATTCCTAATATCCAGTGGAGAGGATGATATTACTCCCTAGATCACAGAAAGCATACACCCCCCTTGTAATATTGTTCCTAATATTCAAGGGGGGAGACGATGATACTACTGTTAATATCCAGGGGGTGTACACCCCCTCGTGATATTTTTTCTAATATCCAGTGAGGGAAGAGGGTGATATTACTCCCAATATTGCAGGGGGTGTACACCCCCCTGTGATATTCTTCCTAATAATAAAGGAAGGAGAGGATTACACTACTTTCAGTACAGCAGAAGGTGTACAACCCTACCGTGATATTGTTTTTGATATCCGAGTAGGGAGAAGATGATATTACTTCCAATATAGCAGGAGGTGTACACTACCCCTGTGATATTGTTCCTGCTATCCAAAGCGGGAGAGGATGATATTAGTCCCAATATCACATGGCGTATACACCTTCCCTGTGATATTGTTCCTAATACCCAGGTTGAGAGATGATCATATTACGACCAATATCGCAGGAGATGTGCAACCCCCCATTGATATTGTTTCTAATATTTAGAAGGGGAGAGAATGAATATAGTCTCAATGTCAAAAAAGATGTACACCCCCCTGTGATATGGTTCTTAATAATTATGAGGGGAGAGGATGATATTCCTTTCACTATCGCAGAGGGTGTAAACCCTGTATGTGATATTGTTCCTAACATCTAGGGGCAGGAGGATGATATTCCTCCCAAAATCACAGGGAATATACACCTCACTCCCCGTGATGTTGTTTCTAATATCCAGGAAGGAAAAGGATGATATTTCTCCCAATATCCCAAGGGGTGAACACCTCTTCTGTGATATTGTTTCTCATATCCAGTAAGGGAGGGAATGATATTACTCTCAGTATCACAGCGGTGTACAACCCCACTGTTATATTGTTTTTAATATACAGTGGGGGAGAGGGTGGTATTACTCCCAATATAGCAGAGGATGTACACGTCCCCTGTGATACTGTTCCTAGAATTCAAAAAATAAGGGGACGATATTATTCCCAATATCACGAGGACTATATATCCTCCTGTTGATATTGTTCCTAATATTTGGGGAAGGAGATGACGATATTACTCCCAATATCACAGGGAATGTACATCCCCCCCGCCATGATATTGTTCCTAAAATCCAGGTGGGGAGAGGATGATATTACTCCCAATATCACAGGGTGTACTATTTTTGTTATATTGTTCCTAATATCCAGGGGGGCAGAGGATGACATTAATCCCAATATCGCAGGGGGTGTACACCCCCTTTTTGATATTTTTCCTAATATTCAAAGGGGGAATGATATTACTCCAAAAATCGCAGGCGGTGTACACCTCCTTTGTGATAGTGCTCCTAATATCCAGGGGGGACAGGGTGATATTACTTCCAATATCGCAGAAAGTGTTCACCTCCCTTATGATATTTTTCCCAATATTCAAATATGGAGGGGATGATATTACTTTCATTATCACAGGGTGTGTACAGTTCCTTGTGATATTGTTTGTAATATCCAAGTGGGGAGAGGATTAAATTACTCTCAATATTGAAGGAGGTGTACACCCCCGCTGTGATATTGTTTCTAATAACCGTGAGGGGAGGGGATGATATTCCTTCCAGTATAGCAAGGGGTGTACACCCTCCCTGCGATATTGTTCCTAATATCCAAAGGAAGAAGGATGATATTACTCCCAATATCGCAGTTAATGTACACACTCCCTCATGATATCCAAGGGTTAGAGGATAATACTACTCCCAGTATTGCAAGGGTGTACACCCCACTGCTATGTGGTTTTCAGTATCCAGTGGGGGAGAGGATGATATTACTCCCAATATAGAAGGAAATGTATACCTCCCCTGTAATATTGTTCCTAAAATTCGCGAAAGGAGAGGATGATATTACTTCCAATATTGCAGGGGGTGTATACGCTCCTTGTGATATTGTTCCTAATACTTAGGGAAAGAGACAATAATATTACTCCGAATGTTGCAGGGGGTGTACACCTCCCCTGTGATATTGTTTCTAATATCCAGGTGGCAGAGGATGATATTACTCCCAATATCACAAGACAGTACACCCCACAGTGATATTATTCCTAATATCCAGGGGTAGGAGAGGATAATATTACTCCAAGTATCTCAGGAGGTGTACTCCCTTTCTGTGACATTTTTCTTTATATTCAAAAAGGAGAGGATGATATTACTCACAATATCGAAAAGGGTGTACACCCCCCCGTGATATTGTTCCTAATATCCAGAGGGAGAGAATACGGTATTACACCCAATATCACAGGAGGTGTACACTTCTTTTGTGATATTTCTCTTAATATCCAGTGAGGGAGATGGCAGTATTACTCCTGATATAGCAGATGGTGTATAACCCCCTTTGATATTGTATTTAAAATTCATGAAAGGAGAGGGTGATATTACTCTCAATATCACAAGGGGTGTACACCCCTTCTGTGATATTTTTCCTTATATTCAAAAAGAGGATGATATTACTCCCAATATCGCAGAAGGTGTACACCCCTTTTGTGATATTTTTCCTAATATCCAGGTGGGGTAGAAAATGACATTACTCCCAATATTGCAAGAGATATACACCCGTTTTGTGATGTTTCTCCTAATATCCAGAGGGGGAGATGACAACATTGCTCACAATATTGCAGGGGGGAATATGCCCCCCTTTGGTATTGTTCCTAATATCCAGGGGGAGACAATGATATTACTCCTAATATCGCAGAGGTGTACACCCCCCTGTGATATTGTTCCTAATATCCGGGGGGAAGAGGATGATATTACTCCCAATATCGCAGGAGATATACACCACCTCTGTGATATTTTTTCCTAATATTCAAAAATAGAGAAAATGATATTACTGCCAATATCGCAGGGGGTGTACACCTTTTTTGTGATATTTTCCCTTATACCCAGAAGTGGGAGAGGATAATATTATTCCCAATATTGCAGGTGCTGTACACTTCCTGTGATATTGTTTGTAATTTCCAAAGGGGGAGATGGCATTACCCTTAATATTGTAAACACACGTGGAAACACCTCATATCCGGGGGGAAGAGGGGGGTGATACTACTCCCCATATGGTGGAGGGTGCCACCCCCCTGCCATGTGGCTCCTAATATCCAGAGGATGGACAATTGGGAACAATATTACAGGAAAAAAGTACATCCCCTGCGATATTGGGAATATTATCCTCTCCCCCTTTGATTATTAAGAACAATGTCACGGGGGGGGGGGGTGTTATACCCCCTGCGGTATTGAAAGTAATAACATCCTTTCTGTTTTTTGATATTAGAAACAATATGACAGGAAACAATATCCCAGTATCACAGGGGGAGTGTACACTCCTTTCAATATTGGGAGTAATATCATCCTCTCCTTTTTGAATATAAAGAAAAATATCACAGAAAGGGTGTACATCTCCTGATACTTGGAGTAATATTGTCCTCTCCTACCCCTGGATATTAGGAATAATATCACTGTGGGGTGTATGTCCTTGCGATATTGGGAGTAATATCATCCTCTGCCACCTGGATATTAGAAACGATATCACAGGTGTATCACAGTGTACACCCCCTGCGATATTGGGAATAATATCACCACCCTCTCTTCCCCTGGATATTAGGAACTATATCACAGGGGGTGTACACACCCCCTGTGATATAGAGAGTAATATACTCTCCCCCTTTGAATATTAAGAACACTATCACGGGGGGGTGTACACATACTGTGATATTCGGAGTAATAGTATCCTCTCCTCCCGTGGATATTAGGAACAATATCACAAAAGAGGTGTACACCTCCTGCGATATTGGGTGTAATATCATCCTCTCCAAACTTAAATATTAGGAACAATATCACGGGGCGGGGTGTACACCCCGTAAGATATTGTGAGTACTATCATCGTCTCCCCCTGTTGATATTAGGAACAAAATCACAAAGAGGTGTACACCCCCTGCAATATTCACAGTAATATTTTTCTCCTCCAACCTGGATATTAGGAATAATATCACACGGAAGGTTTACACCCTCTGAGATATTGGAAGTAATATAATCCCATCCCCTTCTTGATATTGGGAATGATATCACAGGGATGTGATATCATGTAGCATGTAGCATGTAGCATGTACACCCCCTGCTATTTTGAAAGTAATATCATCCCCTCACAAACTATATATTAGGAACAATATAACAGGGGGTTGTACACCCCCTAGGATATTGGGAGTAATATCATCCTCTCCCCCGCTAGATATTAGGAAGAATATCACTAAGGGGATGTACAGCACCTGCGATATTGGGAATATCACACTCTCATCTCCTAAGTGTTAGTAACCACATCTACAAAGGGGGTGAACACTCCCTGCGATACTGTGAGTAATATCATCCTTTTCTTCCCATGGTACTAGCAACAATGTCACAAGGCGGGGGGATGTACACTCCCTTCGATATTGGAATTAATATCATCCTCTCTTCCCCTAGATATTAAGAGCAATATCACAGAGCAGTTGTACACCCACTGAGATATTTAAAGTAATATAATCGTCTCCCATCCTTGCAATTATTAACAAAATCAGAAATGGGGTGTACACCTCCTGTGATATTGGAAGATATATCATCCTCTCCTCTCATGGTTATTAGAAACTATATCACAGGGGAGGTGTACACCTCCTTCGATATTGAGAGTAATTTAATCCTCTTTCCACTTGGATATTACAAACAATATTATCCTCTCCCCACCTGTATATTAGGAACAATATCACAGGAAGGTTGTACACCCCCTGCAATATTGGAAGAAATATCATCCTCTCCCTTCTGGATATTAGGAACAAAATCATATGGGGATGTAATTTCCTTGCGATATTGGGAGTAAAATCATCCTCTCCCCCTTGAATATTAGGAACAATATCACAGAGGGGTGTACACCCCCTGCGATATTAAAAGCAATATTATTTTCTCTCTCCCTGGATATTAGAAACAATATCACGGGGATGGGGCGTACACCCCCTGCCATGTTGGTAGTAATATTTTCCTGTCCCTTTTTGGATATTAGAATCAAAATCACAGGGGAGGTGTACACCCGCTGCGATATTGGGAGTAATAAATTTCTCTCTCCCCTCCTGTCCTGTATATTAGAAACAATACCACAGCAGCGGTGTACACTACATGCGATATTGGAAGTAATATCATCCTTCCCCCCCCCCGATATTAGGAACAATATCACAGGGGCGGTGTACACCCCTTAGATATTTGGAGTAATATTATCATCTTACCCCACGGATATTAGGAGCAATATCACAGAAGAGGTGTACAACTTCTACGATATTTGTAGTAATACCGTCCTCTCCCTCCGTGAATGTTAGGAACAATATCACCGAAAATGTATACACCCTTTGTGACATTGGGAGTAATATCATCCTCTCTGCCCATGGATATTAAGAACAATATCACAGGAGGGTGTACATCCCTGCAATATTGGGACTAATATCATTTTATCCCGAACGGGATATTACGAACAAGATCATGGGCAGGGGGCGGGGGGGGGTGTACACATCCTGTGATATTGGGAGTAATATCATCCTTTACCGCAGTGGATATTAGGAACATTATCACAGGGGTGAGGTGTACACCCGCTGTGATATTGGGAGTAACATCATCCTCTCTCTTGATGTTAGGTACAATATCACAGGGAGAGTGTCCACCCCCTGCAACATTGAAAGTAATATAATCTGTCCCCGTGGATATTAGACACAATATCACTGTGGGGGTGCACACACTCTGCGATATTAAAAGTAATATCATCCTCACCCGCATTGGATATTAGCAACAATATCATGGGGTGGAGAGTCTACACCACCTGTGCTCTTTGGAGTAATATCATCCTTTTTGCCCCTGTATGGCAGGAACTATATCACACAAGGGTGTACACCCCCTGTGATATTGGGAGTAATATCATCCTCTCACCCCGTGGATAATACAAACAATAAGACGGGGGTGTACACCCAAGGTGTTTACAATATTGTGATTGACGTTATCCTCTTCACCCCTGGCTATTGCAAAAATATCATAAGAGGATGTACACCTTCTGCGATATTCAGAGTAATATCATCTTTTCCTTCCCTGGATATTATGGAAAAATATCACAGAAGGGTGTACACCCCTGTGATATTGGGAGTAATATCGTTTTCTCCCCTTCTGGATATTACAAACTATATCACGGGGCGTGTACACCCCTGCGATACTTGCAGTAATATTATCCTCTCTCCCCTGGTTATTACGAACAATATTACAGGAGTGTGTACACTCCCAGGAATATTGAAAGTAATATCATTTTCCTTCTCCCTGGATATTACGAACAATATCGTAGAGGGGAGTACACACACTTCGATACTGGCAATATTATCATCCACTCCCCCCGTGGATATTACGAACAATATCACAGGGTGTGTACAGGCCCTGTGATATTGGGAGTAATATCATTCTCCACCCGTCTGGATGTTAGGCACAATATCGCAGGGGGGTGTACACTCCCTGCAATACTGAAAGTAATATCATCCTCTCCATCTTTGAATATTAGGAAATATATCACAAGGGAGGTATACACTTGTTGTGATATTGGGATTAATATTACACTTCTCCCCCCTCCCATGGATATTAGGAACAATATCAAAGGGGGGTGTACGCGCTTTGATATTGGGAGTAATATCATCCTCTCCCCACCTGGATTTTAGGAACAATATCACGGAGGGTGTTGTACATTTCCTGCGATATTGGGAGTAATATTGCCGTCTCCCTCCTCAAACATTAGGAAGAATATCACCAGGAGGGTATACAGCCCCTGTGATATTGGGAGTAATATTATCCTCTTATTTCGTAAATTCTGGGAACAATATTACAGGGTAGGTGTACACCCTCTGCTATATTGGGAGTAATATCACCATCTCCCCCACTGTATACTAAAAACAATATAACAGTGGGAATGTATACCCCTGCGATACTGGGAGAAATATCATCCTCTCCCTTACTGGATATTAGAAACAATATCACAGAAGGAGTATACGCCCTTTGCAGTATTGGGACTATTATCATCCTTTGCCTTCCTGGATATTAGAAACCATATCGCGGGGGGTGGGGTGTACATTTCCTGCTATTTTGGGAGTAATATCATCCTCCTGCCCCTGGATATTAGAAGCAATATCACATACACGGTTTACACCCTCTGTGATATTGAAAGAAATGTCATCCTCTCTCCTCATAATTATTAGGAACAATATAATTTTGGGGGGGATGTACATCTTATTCGACATTGAGACTATATTCATTCTCTCCCCCTCTAAATATTAGGAACAATATCAAAGGGGGTTGCACACCTCCTGTGATATTTGTCGTAATATTATCCTCTCCCAACCTGGGTATTAGGAACAATATCACAGGGAGGGTGTACACCCCATGCGATATTGGGAGTAATATCATCCTCTCCCGCTTTGGATAGCAGGAACAACATCACAGGGGGAATGTACACCTCCTGCTATATTGGGAGTAATATCATCCTCTCCCACTTTGTTAGCAGCAACAATATCACAGGGCAATGTACAACCCGTGCGATATTGGGAGTAATATCATCCTCTTCCCAACTGGATATTAAAAACAATATCACGGAGGGATATACATTCCCTTTGATATTGGGAGTAATATCATCCTCTTCCCAACTGGATATTAAAAACAATATCACGGAGGGATATACATTCCCTTCGATATTGGGAGTAAAATCACTCTCTCTTCCCATGGATATTCAGAACAATATCCCAAAGGGGAAGTATACCCCTGTGATATGGGAGTAATATTATCCCCTCCTCCCCTGGATATTAGGAACAATATCACGGGAGGGGAGGACGTACAACCCCTGCGATATTGGAAGTAATATCATGCTCTCCCCACCCCGATATTAGGAAAAATATCACAGGTGGAGTGTACAACTTCTGCTATATTGGGAGTAATATCATTCTTTACCCCCTTGGATATTAGGAGCAATATCACAAGGGGGTGCACAACCCTTGCGATATTGACAGCAACATTATCGTCTCCTCCTGTAGATATGAAAAGCAATATCACAAGAGGGGTGTATCCCCCTGCGATATTGGGAGTAATATCATCCTCTGCCTCCCAATATAAGGAACAATATCATACAAGGGCTGTACACCCCCTGTGATATTGGAAGTGATAGCATTCTCTCCACTATTGGATATTAGGAACAATGTCATAGGGGAAGTGTACAACCCCTGCGATACTGGGAGTAATATCATCCTCTCTTTACCTGGATATTAGGAACAATATCACAGCGGGGTTGTACACGCCCTGCGATATTGGGACTAACATCATTCTCTCCCTTCCTGAATGTTAGGAACAGTATCACAACGGGGGTGTACATGCCTTTTGATATTGGAAGTAATATCCTCTCCCCACCTGTATATTAAGAACAGTATCACAGGAGATTGTATACCTCCTGCATATTGGAAAAAATATCATCCTCTCCCCTCTGTATATTAGGAACAAAATCATATGGGGATGTAATTTTATTGCAATATTGGGAGTAATATCGTCCTCTCCCCTTTGAATATTAGGAACAATATCACAGAGAGGTGTACACCCCCTGTGATATTAAGAGCAATATTCTCTCTCCCTGGATATTAAAAACAATATTATGGCGGGGGGAGTGTACAACCCCTGCCATATTGGTAGTAATATTTTCCTGTCCCTTTTTGGATATTAGAATCAAAATCACAGGGGAGGTGTACACCCGCTGCAATATTGGGAGTAATAAATTTCTCTCTCCCCCCACCCCGTATATTAGAAACAATACCACAGTGGGGTTGTACACCACATGCGATATTGGGAGTAATATCATCCTCTCCCTCCTTGGATATTAGGAACAATATTACAGGTGTGGTGTACACCCCCTTAGATATTTGGAGTAATATTATCATCTTACCCCACGGATATTAGGAACAATATCATAGAAGAAGTGTACAATTTCTGTGATATTTGAAGTAATATCATCCTCTCCCTCTGTGGATATTAGGAACAATATCACTGAAAATGTGTACCCCCCCTGTGAAATTGAGAGTAATATCATCCTCTCTGACTGTGGATATTAGGAACAATATCACGGGGGTTTACACCCCTGAGATATTGGGATTAATATCATCCTATCCCAAACGGGATATTATGAACAAGATCATAGAAGGGGGTGTACACATTCTGTGATATTGGGAGTAATATCATCCTTTTCCACCCTGGATATTAGGAACATTATCACGGGGGGGAGGTGTACACCCGCTGTGATATTGGGAGTAACATCATTCTCTCTCTTTCTCGATATTAGGTACAATATCACAGGGAGAGTGTAACCCCCTCCAGCAATAATGAAAGTAATATAACCTTCCCCCGTGGATATTAGACACAATATCACTGTGGGGGTGTACACACCCTGCGATATTAAAAGTAATATCATCCACACCTGCGTTGGATATTAGGAACAATATCACGGGGTGGGGGGTGCACACCACCTGTACTCTTTGGAGTAATATCATCCTTTTTGCTGCTGTGTGGCAGGAACTGTATCACACAAGGGTGTACACCCCCTGTGATATTGGGAGTAATATCATCCTCTCACCCTGTGGATAATACAAACAATAAGACGGGGGTGTACACACAGGGTGTTTACAATATTGTGATTGATGTTATCCTCTTCCCCCTTGGCTATTGCGAAAAATATCACAAGGGGATGTACACCTTCTGCAATATTCGGAGTAATATCATCTTCTCCTTCCCTGGATATTATGGAAAAACATCACAGAAGGGTGTACACCCCTGTGATATTGGGAGTAATATCGTTTTCTCACCCTCTGGATATTACGGACTATATCACGGGGCGTGTACACCCCTGCAATACTTGCACTAATATCATCCTCTCTCCCCTGGATGTTACGAACAGTATTACAGGAGTGTGTACACTCCCAGGAATATTGAAAGTAATATCATTTTCCTTCTCCCTGGATATTACGAACAATATTGTAGGAGGGAGCACACACACTTCGATATTGGCAATATTATCATCCACCCCTCCCCACCAACGCTGTGGATATTACGAACAATATCACAGGGTGTGTACAGCCCCTGCGATATTGGGAGTAATATCATTCTCCCTCCGTCTGGATATTAGGTACAATATCACAGGGGGGTGTACACTTCCTGTGATCTTGGGAGTAATTTGATCTTCTTCCACCCTGATTATTACGAACAATATCACAGGGGGGTGTACGTCCCCTGCGATATTGGGAGTAATATTATCCTCTCCCCCCTGGATACTATGAACAATATCTCAGGGGTGTACACTCCTTCGATATTAAAAGTAATACCATTGTCTCCCCCCAGAATATTACAAACAATATCACAGAAGGGTGTACACCCCATGCAATGTTGGGAGTAATATTGTCTCACCCTTGAATATGTCGAAGAATATTACAGGCAGGTGGACACCACCTGGGATATTGAGGGTAATTTCATCCTCTCCCCTCACAGATATTTCGAACAATTTCACAGGAATGTGTCCACCCCCTGCAATGTTGGCATTTATATCATCCTCTTCAACCTTGGATATTGTGACCAGGGGTGCACCCCCTGCGATATTAAGAGTAATATCATCTTCTCCTCCCCTGAATATTAAAAACAATATCACTGGGGAATGTGTACGTCCTGCGATATTGGGAGTAGTATCATCCTCTCCCCCCCGGGGTGTACACCCCCTGCGATGTTGGAAGTAATATAATCCTCTCCCTTCCTGGATATTACAAACAGTGTCACAGAGGAGTGTATACCGCCTGCGATATTTGGAGTAATATCATCCTCACCTTCCCGGGATATTACGAACAATGTCACAGGGATGTGTACACCTTCTGAGATATTGGAAGTAATATCATTCTCTCCCCACCTGGATATTACAAACAATATCACAGAGGTGTGTACACCACTTTCGATATTGGGAGTAGTATCATCCTCTCCCCCGCCTGGATATTGCAAATAATATCACGGGGGTGTACACCACCAGCGATATTGGGAGTAGTATCATCCTCTCCCTCGCCTGGATATTGCAAATAATATCACGGGGGTGTACACCACCTGCGATATTGGGAGTAATATCGTCCTCTCCCCATCTAGATATTATAAACAATATCACAGGGGGGTGCACACCCCCTGCGATATAGGCAGTAATATCATCCTCTACCCCTTGGATATTATGAACAATGTCACAGGGGGGTGTACACCCCCTCTGATATTGGGGGTAATATCATCCTCTTCCCACCTGGATATTAGCAACAATATCACAGGTGGGTGTACATCCCCTGGGATATTGGAAGTAATATCATTGTATCCCCCCACCCCCGGATATTATGAACAATATCACAAGGGGAGTGAACACTCCCTGCGATATTGGGAGTAATATCATACTCTCCACCCCTGCATATTATAAACAATATCACAGGGGGGTGTACACCCCTTGCAATACTGGGAGTAGTGTCCTCCCAGTAATATTCTCCCCTGGATATTACAAACAATACATTAATCTAGGGGCTATATTTAAATAATTTGTGATATTAATTGGTGTTTGACATTTTGTTTTCAGAATAACAGAATAGTAACTGAACACAGCCAAGTCCGCTCTCCAAAGAAATCATCGGCTGTCTTTTTTTAAATTACTGTGAGTTAATACCTCAACTTCAATTGAAAAATATATTTAGAATACATTTAGAAAGTCTTTGGATAAACTCTTAAACGTGATTAGTTATGTAACACTCTGATAAGATGCACATTGTTGAGGCTTATATAGTCTGTGCCTAAGTAGCATAAATAACAGTTGGAGTATTATGTAATTTCAATTTGACATGAAAGCGATTGGTTTTGGATTTTACAAAGTACTCCACTTCTCTTTGCAAACATAAGCTTTAGTAATGCTGATTTGCTTGTGTTAAAGATATGTCTTATTTCCAATAGTATAAAAGACTAAAATAAGCTAATTAACTTTAGTGGGATATATTTTCAGGAAACATAAAAGTAGAGTATCTAGATAAAACCTGTTGAAAGTTGTATGCTCTCTGCATAATTGAAATAAGCCAAAATGCCATGATTTTCCTAAGCTGTAAATGTGTGTTTTACAGCTGAAAGAGAAAAATGACATTTTCATGCACAGTTTGAGCATGTGTGACTGCATTGATTTATTAATGTAATAAAAAATAATGGAGTGAAAAAAATTCAATTAGTCTTAACAGGACATAGACTACAATAACATACTGAGACATAATTTCAGACAATATGGAATACTTATAGATATTTGAGACACACAGATGTGCACGCATTTAACATATAGCCAACGCAATGATCAGTGACATGATAAAAACCAGACGTAGAAGACACAAACAGTGATTCTTAGAGGAATCACTGAGTCAGTAGCAGAAAAAAAAAAAAAAGATGAAAATGAGTATTACTATAACATTTGGTTATCTGCAAGATCCTCAAATAGTCAATTTCAATATTGATCAGCTGTATAATTGAACTTCATCATATGCCATGGGCAAAATGAACTATAGCCTGCTGCAATTGACATTTGCTTTTAATACAGTAGTTAACATATACATAGATCAACTTGAATTCCATTACATCTTTTACCAGATATGAAGAAAAGCCTCTAATTGACTTTAGAAATGCCTGTATTTGACTGTTATCATAACCATGGTTTATCTAAAGCTGATGGTGTCACCCTGTCTCCAAAGTTTCCTATATCTAAGGATAATGTTTGCAATTTTTCCAGTTGTACTATCTCACTTGTAATGAGAGTTTTCTCCTGCACTCAATCAACGCATCCCTTATCCAGTCTGTAGATATTTGCTGGATTGTGCACAGATCAGCTCAGATGGTCCTGTCCTCGTGAAGTTTACAATTGAGTAAGACAGACATCAAAACAGTAACCACATGCTTAATTAACAGTTGGTGCAAATGTGCTGTAAAAGAGGTATAGAGTATGACATGAACATGGGATTAGGGGATACTAAAATAATTCATTAGCGTTCACTAATGCTTTCCAAAAGAAAGCAACGGATGTTTTATTTTATAAATAGCTAGATAAAAGGATGGGAAAGAACATGTTAGGATGAGGAAACATCTTTAATACCCCATGAGCAAGCAAAAAACATTTTTTTAAAAGATGGCTGATTGCAGTGAGAGGAATGGCTTAAAGGGGAGAAAAAGCATGCATGAAAAGAGATCTTAGAGAATATATTAGGTTAGATTGGAATAGCTGACAGTGCTCATTCATCCATTCATTCACTTTTTCAATTATTCATGCTCTATAATGGTGCAGAGCACATTTGTCTTGTTTACTAGTTAATAGTAACTGTGTGTTAGGATAAGATTAATTTAAGGGAAAAAAAGTGGAGAAAGAGGAGTAAACTGTGTAAGACCATGAGAAAATTTTCTACGTGGATATAAACATGTTCAGGTGGTGTACCAGTGATGACACCAAGTTGAATGAAGACTATAAATTCTAATCTAACTCTGGGTGAAAAATGTTCCTAAATGCTCTGTGAGTGTTCCTACCACTCATATCATATAGTCATTAAAAACCAGGTAAAATGTTTCTTATTGATGTTGCAACTGTAACCACCTCCTTGTTGTTCTAGATTTTTTCCCTTCACTTTGTATAATTATATGCACTAATTATAAAACCCATAGTATAATGATCATATATGTGAATTTTTACATATATATCAAGATTTTATAGAAATTTTCACTTACAAATTTTATGAAGACTTGAAAATAGAAGCTTTAATAAAAATATTTAGGCGGTATACTGAGAGGAGCATGGGCATCAGGCAGATGAATTGGAATTAAGCATCTTTCTCATCTGTAAATTTGTGATAATGTATTTCTTTCAACACTGATGTGATGAATAAATGGTATCATGTGCCAAATATTATGGATTAAAAACATGCATTCAGTTTGTGAAATTACTATTATTAGAGCAAAAGAGACAAAAGCATCCATTATCCCATCTAACAACTCCAAATAATTGGCATAGAATGGCAGGTAAAAGTCATTCTATCACTGCATTGTGACTCATTTCAAACATAAAGACTGAGTTAATATAAGGAGTATAAAATTAATGCCTCTAGTAGTAATTTTTTAAAATAATAATTTATGGTTTAGTCTGTAGAATTTTTTCTGTAGTATATGTACTTTTTTCTTTCAACTCTGATATCGTTTTTTCCAGAGGAGACCATTTACCTAAGTACACAAAGTACTATTTAAACTCCTCTCAGAACCTACCATTTGACTGTAAAGTTATCATCTTTTAAAAAAAATTTATACAGTATGTTTTATACTCTATAATAAAAATAATTAAATTTTACACACTAACTTAATAAGCCTCATGTTTTCCTGAAGTTTAATACATTTATTTCATGGGAATTTGAAGCATATTAATGTTTTTGGTGGTTAATAGAGTTTTTGAAGGAATAAGTTTATTTTCAATGCTTTCAAAGCATTAAAGTTAAGTTACAGTGAACTTGGATCCATGTTAATAAACCTAGGAGTGTATTAGTAAGTTTAACCTGCCGTAACAAAAATATCATAGACTGGCTTAAACAACAGAAATTGATTTTCTCATAATTCTGAAGGATGGAAGTTCAAGCTCAGGTTGTCCACAAGGTTCGGTTCTGGTGAGGGCTCTCTTGCTGCATTGCCAACAGCCGCCTTCCCATGATGTCCTCACATGACAGAGACACAGCTATGGTGTCTCTTCCTTCTTCTGTAGGGACTAGTTCCATCATGAGGGTCCATGCTCATGAACTCATCTAATTATTTCTCAAAGGCTCCATCTCCAAATACCATCGCAGTAAGAATTAGGGCTTCAATATTTGAATTCAGTGGGAACACAATTCAGTTCATAGCCTTGAGTTTTATATTCAGGACTCTTATATAGAACAGTAAAAGAAATATTTGTAAATAACCAAGGAGTTAAAATTTTACTTTGAAATGGCTATCGTTTAATCCATAAGCATGTACACAAAGAAAGTAGCATGGAAAAAGTTGTTTATGTGAAAATCTATGGAAATTCCATAGATTTTTTTAGATTTTTTTTATGGAATTAATTCCATAGATTAATTTTTAGCCATTATAATGCTTACATTTGCATATCATTTTACAATGTCAAAATGTTTTCTGATAAATTGTCCTTTTACACAAGTAAAGTGATAATCCTGCTTTGGAATTTAGATTTTTTTCTTATTAATATTTACATTTTCAAAAGTCTGTTTCTTAGAATTATGTTTATGGTTACTTAAAATTCAAAGAAATAAGTAGATAATTCCTCTGCTCTGAAGTTTTGCTTTCAAAGGTGACATTAATATAATGTGTCACATTAAAGGACATTTTTCAGTTGAGATGAAAGTGGCGAAGAAATCCTCTTACTGAAGATCTCCCATGCATAAGCCTCTCTCACATGTAGGTGACAAAATGACGTGAATTTCCAGTTTTGAAAAGAGACCTGCTCTTCATGACATACAGGTCAAAATGATAATTTTTACCTAAAAATACACTTTTGATACAAAGGTTTAGTCTCTGTCTCTTTCACTGATATGTATTTTATTTGATGTATTTATATGGAAGCTTACTTTCTCCTTTAAGAGCACACGACCATTTCCATTTCTTATGTCTGAATAATCTAAATATTTATGGGCAGAATGAAAATTGACAAATGCAAATAATCAACCCCAAACAATATTAAATTTCAGTGATAAGAAGCACATGTGAATTTTCTTCAGCTGCTCTTCAGAGATTCTATAAGCACATTTTTATCAACAAACACTTCATTCATATAAATTATTTTACATCAGTGAACCTATTACCAAAATGATTGTGAGATGCTCCATGGCTTGAAACTTTAATGCCACCTCTGAAAAGAAAGGTCATTTTGGATTCTTTTTACCAAATTGTGATTCTGAAGGAACTAGGAGAAATGTAATCCAATTAAAGAAATAAAATGATTGGAGCATATATTTAAAAGGCTCTTGTGTGGAAGTATTCATGTAAAGAGAAGAATCAGCATATTTCTTCCATTATATTTTTAAGAAGGATTAGAGAACATAAAGTAGCTGGCTCATTTGAAAGTCATTCAGATTCTTAGAAAATACATGAATCACACAATTTAATTTACAAAGTCTGAAATGCTGTCATTCTTATACTTTGTAGTGGATAATTTTATTTCTAGATACATAAAATGCTTGGAGAATATTCTGATGTAAAATTTGAGAAGGAGTAAGAAGTCTAGTGATATCAGTTTACTAATTTTTAAAATTAAATTATCTTTAATCTGTGTTGTTTTTAGATGATCTTTTTCATGCGTGTCCCTGTGAAGAGACCACCAAACAGGCTTTGTGTGAGCAACAAGGCTGTTTATTTCACCTGGGTGCAGGCAGGCTGAGTTCCAAAAGAGAGTCATCGAAGGGAGATGGGTTGGGGCCGTTTTATAGAATTTGGGTAGGTAAAGGATAAAGGGGGGTTGTTCTCTGGCAGGCAGGAGTGGGGGGGTCACAAGGTGCTCAGTAGGGGAGCTTTTGAGCCAGGATGAGCCAGGAGAAGGAATTTCATAAGACAATGTCATCAGTTAAGGCAGGAACAGGCCATTTTCACTTCTTTTTTGGTGGCATGTCATCAGTTAAGGCAGGAACCGGCCATCTGGATGTGTACGTGCAGGTCACAGGGGATACGATGGCTTAGCTTGGGCTCAGAGGCCTGACATTCCTGTCTTCTTATATTAATAAGAAAAATAAAATGAAATAGTGGTAAAGTGTTGGGACGGTGAAAATTTTTGGGGGTGGTATGGAGAGATAATGGGCAATGTTTCTCAGGGTTACTTCGAGCGGGATTAGGGGCTGTGTGGGAACCTAGAGTGGGAGAGATTAAGCTGAAGGAAGATTTTGTGGTAAGGGGTGATATTGTGGGGTTGTTAGAAGAAACATTTGTCATTTAGAATTATTAGTGATGGCCTGGATACGGTTTTGTATGAATTGAAAAATGGAATAAGAGAAGGAGAAAAACAGGTATTAAAGGTCTAAGAATTGGGAGGACCTAGGACATTTAATTAGAGAGTGCCTAAGGAGATTCAGCATAGTCTTGCCAGCAAAGATTATTTATTTACTTTAAGAGTTAAGAGTGGCAGTTTGGGGATAGCACCAGGAGATATCAGCTGTGATGGCTTGGGGAAACAGTGTAAACCGGCAGTGTAAACAAGAGCAGGGCATGTATGAGTAGTTGAGAACAGTGAATAGGAGTATGACTAGACAGAAGATAGTAGGGATGACAAGTTTTTTGGGGCACAGTCCAAGTTGGTCTGGTGTCTGGAATGAGACTGGGGCCTAATAAAAAGGAGCGTCTATACAGGAGCTTCAATGCGCTGTACTTTGTAGCATTCTGAGGACAGGCCTGAATTTGAGAAGGGAAAGTGGTAAAAGCATTGTCCAGTCCTTTTTAAGTTGGTGGCTGAGCTTGGTGAGGTGTGTTTTTAAAAGACTATTAGTCTGTTCTACCTTTCCTGAAGACTGAGGACCGTAAGGGATATAAAGGTTTCACTGAATGCTAAGAGCCTGAAAAACTGCTTGGCTGATTTGACTAATAAAGGCTGGTCTACTATCGGACTGCGTAGAGGTGGGAAGGCCAAACTGAGTAATTGTTTCTGACAGAAGGGAAGAAATGACCACGGTGGCCTTCTTAGACCCTGTAGGAAAGGTCTGGACCTATCCAGTGAAAGTGTCTACTTAGACTAAGAGGTATTTTAGTTTTCTGACTTGGAGCATATTGCGTAAAGCTAATTTGCTAGTCCTAGGTGGGGGCAAATCCTGGAGCTTGATGTGTAGGGAAGGGAGGGGGCCTGAACAATCCTTGAGGGGTAGTAGAATAGCAGATGGAACACTGAGAAGTGATCTCCTTGAGGATAGATTTCTATGATGGAAAGGAAATGAGAGGTTCTAAGAGACGGGCTAGCGGCTTGTAACCTATATGGAAGAGGTTATGAAATGACGACAGAATAGAATGGGCCTGTGAGGCTGGAAGGAGATATTTTCCTTGAAGAGATTGATAGGTGGAAGTTTCAGCGGGGGAGTAGGTGGGAGTGACTGATGTGAAGGAGAAAAACTGACCGTGAGGGACAGAAGTTGGAGAGCTAAGTGCTTGTCTAGCCACCTCATCAGCATAAGCGTTGCTGTGAGAGACAGAAGTTGGAAAGCTAGCTGCTTGTCTAGCCACTTTATCAGCATAAGCGTTGCCTAGAGCAATGGGATCTGATGCCTTTTGATGCCCCTTGCAGTGAATGACCCTAGCTTCCTTTAGAAGTAAAGCGGCCTTGAGCAGAGTTTTTATTAAAGAGGCATTAATGATAGAGGACCTTTGTGTAGTGAGGAAACTTCTTGCATGGTGGTGCAGGATATGGAAGGCATATTTAGAGTCAGTATAAATATTAATGTTTAGTCTTTTTGCAAGAGTGAGGGCTTGACTTAAGGCAATGAGTTCGGCTTGCTGAGAGGTAGTGAAGTGGGGCAGAGCAGTAGCCTCAATGATAGATGTGGAAGATACTATAGCATAGCCTGCCTTTGCTGGTCAGTGGCAATTAGGCCTGGTGGAACTGCCATCAATAAACTAAGTGTGTTCAGAGTAAGGAACATGAAAGAATATGGGGAAATGGAGTGAATGTCAGGTGGATCAGAGAGATACAGTCATGGGGGTCAGGTGTGGTATCAGGAATAATGTGGGAGGCCGGATTGAAGTCTGGGCCAGGAACAATGGTAATTGTGGGAGACTCAACAAAGAGTGAATACAGCTGAAGGAGCCAGGAAGCAGACAGTATATGTGTCAGGTGTGAGGAAGAAAATAGATTTTGGAAGTTATGAGAATTGTAGAGAGTGAGTTGAGCATAGTTTGTGATTTTAAGGGCCTCTAAAAGTATTAGGGCAGCGGCAGCCGCCACATGCAGACTTGAGGGCTAGGCAAAACAGTAAGGTCAAGTTGTTTGGATAAAAAGGCTACAGGGTGCGGTCCTGGTCCTTATGTAAGAATTCTGACTGCACAGCCCTGCACTTTGGCTGTGGGTAATGAACAGGGTTGGGATGAGTCAGGTAGCGCTATGGTGGAGGCAGTCTCTAAAGCTGTCTTCAAGGAACGGAAAGAGGAGTGGGGAAAGGATTTAGGATCTATGGGGTCAGCTAAGTTTCCTTTTGTGAGTTTATATAATGGTTTTATTAGGATGGCAAAACTAGATATCTAAAGTCGAAAGTATCTGACCATACCTAGGAAGGAAAGGACTTGTTTTGTAGAAGGGATTGAGGTTTGGGGGATTAGTCGGACACGATCAGCAGGGAGAGCACGTGTGTTTTTATGAGGATTATGCCGAGATAGGTAACAGATGAGGATGAAATTTGGGCTTGATTGAAGTAATGGGGGCTGTCCGTGAAGCCTTGTGGCAGTACAGCCTAGGTAATTTGCTGAGCCTGTTGGGTGTCAGGGTCAGTCTAAGTGAAAGCAAAGAGAGGCTGGGATGAAGGGTGCAAAGGGATAGTAAAGAAAGCATGTTTGAGATCTAGAACAGAATAATGGGTTGTGGAGGGAGGTACTGAGGATAGGAGAGTATATGGGTTTGACACCACGGGGTGGATAGGCAAAACAATTTGGTTGATAAGGCTCAGATCTTGAACTAACCTGTAAGGCTTGTCTGGTCCTAGGACAGGTAAAATGGGGGAATTGTAAGGAGAGTTTATAGGCTTTAAAAGGCCAAGCTGTAGTAGGCGAGCGATAACAGGCTTTAATCTTTTTAAAGCGTGCTGCGGTATGGGATATTGGCGTTGAGCGGGGTAAGGGTGATTAGGTTTTAATGAGATGGTAAGGGGTGCATGATTGGTCACCAAGGAGGGAGTAGAGGTATCTTATACTTGTGGGTTATGGTGGGGGGATACAAGAGGAGGAAGCAAAGGAGGCTTTGGATTGGGAAGAAGGGCGGCAATGAGATGTAGCTGTAGTCCGGGAATAGTCAGGGAAGCAGATAATTTAGTTAAAGTGTCTCAGCCTAATAAGGGAACTGGGCAGGTGGGGATAACTAAAAAGGAGTGCTTAAAAGAGTATTGTCTAAGTTGGCACCAGAGTTGGGGAGTTTAAGAGGTTTAGAAGCCTGGCCGTCAATACCCACAACAGTTATGGAGGCAAGGGAAACAGGCCCTTGAAAAGAAGGTCATATGGAGTGGGTAGCCTCTGTATTGATTAAGAAGGGGAGGGACTTACCTTCTACTGTGAGAGTTACTTAAAGCTCGGCGTCCGTGGTGGTCTACGGGGCTTCTGAGGCGATCAGGCAGCGTCAGTCTTCAGCTGCTAAACCGAGAAGATCTGGGAAGGAGTCAGTCAGAGAGCCTTGGGCCAGAGTTCCAGGGTCTCTGGAGGAGTGGCTGCCAGGTGAGTTGAACAGTCTGATTTTTATCTGATTTCCAGTGGGGTCTTGCACAGATGGGACATGGCTTAGGAGGAATCCTGGGCTGTGGGCATTCCTTGGCATGGTGGCAGGATTTCTGGCACTTGTAGCAAGCTCCTGTGGGAGGCGGTTCTGGAGGAATGCCTGGCCACTGAGGTTTAGGCGTTTGGAAGTTCTTGTGTGCTGGAGATGTGGCTGGGGTTTGTCTCACAGTGGAGGCAAGGAATTGCAACTCAGAAATATGTTGCTATTTGGCTGCCTCTACTCTATTATTGGACACCTTGAAGGTGAGGTTAATTAAGTCTTGTTGTGGGGTTTGAGGGCCGGAATTTAATTTTTGGAGTTTTATTTGATGTCGGGAGTGGATTGGGTAATAAAATGTATATTGAGAATAAGACGGCCTTTTGACCTTTTAGGGTCTAGGGCTGTAAAGCGTCTCAGGGTTGCTGCCAAACGAGCCATGAACTGGGCTGGGTTTTTATATTTGATGAAAAAGAGCCTAAACGCTATCTGATTTGGGATAAGGAAAAGGAGCGTTAACCTTGACTATGCCTTTAGCTCCAGCCACCTGTTTAAGAGTAAATTGCTGGGCAGGTGTGGGAGGGCTAGTCACGGAACGAAACTGTAAGCCGGACCCGGTGTGAGGAGGGGAGGTGATAAAAGGATTATAGGGTGGAGGAGCAGAGGCTGAGGAAGAATTGGGACCTAGCTCGGCAATGATTAAACACCAAGGGAAGGCTGCCTTCCCTAGTCCGTGACCGGCGCCGGAGTTTTGGGTCCACAGATAAAACGTGTCTCCTTTGTCTCTACCAGAAAATGAAAGGAATTGAAATTAAGAGAAGGGAGAGATTGAAGTGTGGCGCCAAGATTGAAAGGAGAAAGTGGTTGAGGGATAGTGAGAGAGGTTGGAGAAGAGAGTAAGGAGAGGCTGCTTACCTGATTTAAAATTGGTGAGATGTTCCTTGGGCTGGTGGGTCTGAGGACCTGTGGTCGTAAGTGGATCTTTTTCACGGAGTAAAGAGCAGGAGGACAGGGGATTGATCTCCCAAGGGAAGTCCCCCGATCCGAGTCACGGCACCAAATTTCACGCGCGTCCCTGTAAAGAGACCACCAAATAGGCTTTGTGTGAGCAACAAGGCTGTTTATTTCATCTGGGTGCAGGCGGGCTGAGTCCGAAAAGAGAGTCAGTGAAGGGAGATAGGGGTGGGGCCGTTTTATAGAATTTGGGTAGGTAAAGGAAAAAGGGGGGTTGTTCTCTTGTGGGCAGGAGTGGGGCTCACAAGGTGCTCAGTAGGGGAGCTTTTGAGCCAGGACGAGCCAGTAGAAGGAATTTCACAAGATAATGTCATCAGTTAAGGCAGGAACAGGCCATTTTCACTTCTTTTGTGGTGGAATGTCATCACTTAAGGCAGGAACCGGCCATCTGGATGTGTATGTGCAGGTCACAGGGGATATGATGGCTTAGCTTAGGCTCAGAGGCCTGACAATCTTTACATTAATTCATGGGGCAGGAAGGAAGGTTAATAATTACTAAGTTAATTGCAAAGATGAATGAAATCTTGTGATCCAAAGAGCAACAGATTCCTTGCACCTAACACATTTATGAACAACAACACAAATTTCAAGATTATCAAATTGGTCCTTTATTTTAGAAGATAATATTTAAAGTTAGAGATTATTTCATCATGTTCTCTATAATTAGAAAATTGAAAGTCAAATAGAGAGTTTCTTGAATGAAATAATTATGCAGTTCATTGAAGTGACTTACATTGTCTTACTTCCCTACTCCAATTCACTGATACCCTTTGGTTTTGCCTGTCCTGGCTTCTAAAGGCACTCTTTATTCACATAAATTTTCTCTTAAGAGTTCCTCCCAGACTTTGAAAGTCATGATAAAAAAGTGCAATGCTTAAAGGTAACAATCAAAGCTATGGGATTTTCTTGGCAATCACTGATCTGAAATACTCAAGAGTGTGACTAAGTTTTGGATGGAAATTTCAGGAACCAAAGCACTGTCAAACTTAATGTCAATGTCTGTATGTGGCTTTCAATTCATATTTAAAACATGTTCAATTGTTTTTGCATAAAAGCAAGGGGGATAGTGTCAAGATAATTGCAAACTGAATCAGAAGAACAGATTTTGCCAGATTCTGATTCTCAGAATTCTGAGTCTTACTGTGGAATGTGCTGCCTTGTGGCCCTGACCAGGGCATCTTACCTCTCAAGTGGCTTCCTGGCCTATTCCATGAGGATGGAGACACCTGCCTCACTGTATTGAATGGGACAAGCTATGTTTGCTTTCTCTATCTCGCTTGAGAGTACAGATGTGTAATGGGAGGATACAAGGTTTACATATTATGGATACCACTAGTGTAATATAATAAAACTATGATGATGTATTTCTTAGATTTTAGAGTCCAAGTAATAATTGTAGATGGAACGTGATCTTGTTACAATATAAATGATCCCAATTTAATTTCTGACTATCACAGAATAGAGGCACAGAGGGCAATCTTTTGTGTGGAATAAATTGTCAATATCTTGAGTTGCTTTTCAGAAGTACATGTGAATATAATTGAATACAATTTATGTGTATTTCCACATCTGTAGTGCTCATCTGTCCAAATTGATCAACATCAAATGATATCACCATGAAAATAAACCACGCAGAAATTTATGTGTGGAAGGGGGAATAAAGGCATGAATGATGGCTTTTGCAAAACAATAACCAAAGACTCTTCATTCACTCCCTTCTTTGTTGTCCCTGATCAGCATTATCCATACCATGAAGTTTGTAACAAAAGAACAAAAAATCTAGAAAAAATGAAAACAAAGAATCACTGTACTTGAAAGCTAACTATTCTTATTTGTAAAATACTTAAAATATTGATTTTCTGAATCCCACACTTTGAGTTATCATCCCGGAACTATTTGACAGATGCTGAGTAAGCTTTTTGAATGCATTATGTCATTTAATTTCCACATATGTAGGAACTGGGACATTAAAAACTTTGGGCAAAATTAAGAGGTAAAGCCAAGATTCCTCTAGCAAAGCATACCATAAAGTAGTGCCTTCCATCACTTTGGTGTAGGGACTTCAACTAGTTAGCATGTAGTCTTTTTTTCTACTATCACCAATTGCAAAAATTGTACCTCCATATTATTATGCTAAACTCATGTAATACGATTTAGAGTATCCATGCATTACTGATTATGAAAGCTGACAATCTCAAAGATGATAGCACCTTTATATGAAATATAAAAGTATCCTCTTTAGTAATTGGAAAGCTTTAAAAATAAAAAATATCTGTGTGGTAAAATAAAGTGAAAAAGAAAAGTCATTCAGAAAAACGTATTATTTTAACACTACCAAATCCTCCAGTTCTGAATCTTCAAATAGGTAGAATGCAACCTATTTTTATCTTCTATAGAATGTACACCTTTTTTTGACATTATTTCATAGTAATGTCTACCTGATCTAATAATATGAAAGTGACAGGCTTATAATGAATTCTTAATTCCCTGAATCTCTCTTCTGGTAGTCATCAATTAAGGCATTGGTTTATAAATGTATTTTCTCCATGAACCATTAAAATTTTACAGGAAATTTTAGAAGATGATAAGTTTAAACCTTCAGTTTGATGAGAAATCAATAAAATTTATATTATGGATCTGAGGAAACCTAAAATGCCACAACAGTGTTTGGATATTTTAAAGAAAAATAATACTATACCAAGCCCATATTTCTTAGAAATGAAAGAGAAGGAAAAGTGGAAATTATCAAGGCCCATTTCAGGTATCAGCAAGCTCAGAGATCATGAAACTCAAAGAAGTGGTGGAGCTCAATTTTCTATCAGCATTTCTCTAAAATAATTTGTGCTTTATAGAAACTCTTCTTTGGTTAATTAAGTGACTGATCCTCTGGCTCACACATTCATGTATTTCTTGGGCTTCCTCATTGAATGGAGGAAGTGAGACATTCTTTGATTTTCAGGAGATTTTCAGAATTTTAAGAGATTTTCAGGATATCTGGCACTCTTACACAACAAGCTCTGCTCATTTGGCACATGACTTCAGGGTTAGTGCCACATCCTCTTGGTCATTTTTTTTTTTTTTTTGAAGGAATTTCTACGTGTAATCCATGATGTCAGTCCACATTTTTCTGTATAAGCATTACTCCATTCCATTTTTGCCTTCTTCACATTCACCACTGAGTCCATATCACCCACTGCTAGACACTGCTTCCTCCTCCTGCTCTGATCCCTCCTCTTCACATTTAATCAACATGTCAGAATTCCATTTTATGCCATTGATTGTCATTACATCCTCTTACTTAGGAAAAGGGAAGCCACTGCCTTTCTCCTTTGTGATCTTCATACATCATTGCCCTTGAACGATATTTTCTTCCATTTCTCCAGTGGGTACAAATACTTTTCCTTCAAATGCCAGGAAACGTACAGTCTTTTTGTGAGACCTTCTTGTCTTTTTAGTATTGCATTTTGATAGTCCTCCAGCATTATTTCTTCTGCTGATCTTATTAAATTGTCATGTCATAATATTTTTAAAAATCTCCCTTTTTCTATGAGCAGTCCACCCCTCCCTCATCCTCCAGAAAGGAGATAGTACTTTGAGTTTCCTTCTCTCAAGAAGAGCAAGGGATTACAAGGCAGAAAACAGAAATCCTTTTTTAGCCTCTGGACTTACATTTCCAAAATTTTCTAGCTATCAAGGAGATTATGCAAGTTATATATGAGGCAAACAACTTTGGGGCAGGGAATTTGTCTTTGAGGAAAAACCATGAGGAGTAAGAAGAGAGTAAGGGTGGAGATGGGATTTGTGGCATGCTGTGTGATGCTCCACTGGTTGGATACCTGGGGACATGTTAGAGATGTGGAGTCTGAGAACAAAGGCGTCTGTACTTTACCTGCTGAGCTAGAGACTCAGGGAAACAGCTGGGTGAATGCTTGGGCTCTGCAATAGGGGGTTACTGACAGCTCATATGTCTCAATGAATACCTTCAGAAAACAGATCTTCTCCTGCCCCAACACACTCATAGCCTTGGATACACACACTCCTGGGATTTAATCACAACCCCAGGAAAACAGAAAACATCACAAAATAATGTTTTTCCTTCCTGATGGAATCAGGGTTTAATATATACATGCTACAATTATAATTATGTTTATGTTTTTCCTTCCTGGTGGACTTGGGGTTTAATATACAAATGGTACAATTATAATTCTCTCACTCTCTCTTCTCTCTGATGAGCTGTGAAGCTCTTAAAGGCAGAGACATGTTAATTATTTTTGTGTTTTACTGTCTAATTTCATTCATTAAAAATGGTTGATGAATGATAACCATTTTTTTGGTTGATAACAAATAATGAATACAGATTGTTATAACCTAGAAGGCAGAAATATTATCTAAACTTTAAGCTTCAAAATTAGAACACAGAGGAGTGTATTGATCAAAAATTTATTATCACAAAAAAGTTTATAATGATCATAAGTGTATTATGATTATTAACAATGATTTTTAGAACGTGGCGTTTTATGGACTACATGCTTGGAAACACCTTAATAGGTTTTGCTTATCATTTATCTCTACTCTATAAGCCATTTCAGGAAAGTTATTCTTTTGAATACAGGGTCTGTGTTAGTTCATCATTTGGTTTCCAACACTGTAATGAAATAAAGTGCCTGGGATATTCTGAATCACCTTCCTGACAAAGCTTTAGAGGAATTGCTGATGAACCTTATAAAAGACTAAAAATATTTGCATGTATAAAGAAGATTGAGAAATGTATAAAAATATATCTATTACAAATTAAATATATTTTTAGAACAATCCCTAAAATTCCATCACTGAGCATTGATAAAAAGAATATTTTAATTTTTCATAAGTTAGCTATAATTTTCTAAAACCTCAAACAGAGCAAAAGTTTTAGTAATATATGATAGCTCCTAGAAGTTCAGAAGGGTAATTATTAAAACATGTTTTAAACTTAAAATAGCTATAAGACTTCATATTTTAAGCAGTGTTATAAATTATAATCTGATATGCATTTGTTTTGCTCTAAACTAAATGATCATCCTATGAGTGATGGAGGCTTTAACCAGAATAATCTGGTTATAATATTTATGAAATTGCCTTATAGGATGTTTAATTCCCACAGTGGCTTATTATAATTTCAGTTCTACAGTGTGAAGTGATACTGTCCTTTAAGAATTGGGGCTCTACTGTGACTGAGGCACCTTATTTTAACTTGGTCTCCTGTTAGGAGAAGTATTTGATTCTTTATTTATTTCTTTTATAGTCTCAGGTTATTTCTCAGATTAATGGGCCTAATTAAACCAAAAAAAAAACCATAAGAAATAGCAGCCCTATTTTGCTGATGCTCCCACTTTTTCATACCTTTAGGAATAACCATTCTTATTCTGTTATCCTACTTGATCACACTTAATTATGTTAGTAAAAATTTTTTGTAAAAATCCAAAAGGTATTTATCATGACATTGAAAAGTTGTTAAAGGTTTTCTTCTTGGATAGTTTACCTTAGACAAGAGATAAACTGAGTGCAACATGAATTAAATTAAGTGAAATAAATTTTATTGGAAACCACCATTTATGGCAGAGAGACTTTCCTTGAACTGATGAGTGATAGACACAATTGGATGCTAGGAAAAATATAATGGGTTATTTTTTATTACAGTCAAAATGTATCAAATATCTGCTACTCACTCATGATTCTGTAATGCTCTATCAGAGTGATGAAAGAAATCACAGATGCAGCCCATAGGTTCAAACAGTTTACTTTGTGGTGACAATGTGAATATAAAACATCAGTGAAGAATATAAGGTAGAACATAATTAACCACTAAATTACCTGATACAGACAATATAAATATTGGTTGAGAAGATTTAAATCAATTCAATGAAACTGTAGACAAGATGAGATTTGAGGCAAGCTTTGGAAGATAGAAAGGATTAGAATAGACAAATGGAAAGAAAAGGACATTGTAGGTGAGGCTGATGAAAGATCAAAAGCCATAGGTCTGGTAAGAGCATGCTGATTTAAGATACAATGTCGTAAAGAGATCAGCTTAACATGTGGGAAAGTGTGGTGAAATTAAGGAGGACTTTCAAAACCATGCAAAGTATTGACTTAAAGAGCAAACAACGATAAAATCCTAATTATTTCTAAATCTTTGAATGGCCTGATGGTAATAGTGACAGTGTTGATAAGGTTGCTAATAATACTTTGTACTGTGACTTATGCTACTAACATATGTGAAAACATAGGACTGTGCTTGGCACATAGCACAAAGTCTTATGGTACTGTGTGCCAAGCATAGTCCTGTGTTTTTACATATGTCATCCCACATGAATCCTCACAAAACCTTGTAATATTTCATACCAATTTTACAACTGATGAAACAGAAATTGTTTTAGGTCATATAAACTGTAAGAGTCATAATGAGGAATTCAACTCAGATATGTCCTAGCAAATACACGTAAATATTGGTAAACTTTTTACTGAAAATACAGACAACATTAAGTAGGAGGTAATTTATCAGAGGGCACAAGAAAAATTCGACTAAATTTCTAAAAGAATTTTTATTCGAGTAAAATAAGATATTTTAAAAACACACGTGAAGAAACTGTAGCTTATAATTGGTCTGTATTTCATTGTGATAAATCAATGTCTCTCAAAATGGAATCTATTCACTGTTCACATATTCATAAACTTGGCTTGCTCATTAAACAACAACAACAATAATAACAATAATAGCACAACATAGATTATTGAGCTTATTCAAAACAAAATGAATAATAATATTTTGGTAGTGAGAATGGTGGGTTTAACAGCCTTAAGAAGAATTGGTATGTACATTGACAATACCCACACTAGGATGCAGAAGAAATCATTCTTCCTGGTATATATATAAAAATATAATTGATAGAATTTAGATGTACCCCATGCTATTTCCTGGACTGTCTTCCCAGAAAGATCTATGATTCTCAGGTTGGTGTAAATCTTTCCTATCATGCTTTTGCATTTTAAAAATAAATTATAATTTAATATATATGAAATTGCTTTGTAAATTTAAACTACTGTATATATAATTTTATGATTTAATTTTTAGACTTAGCATTATGTTTTTGAGGTTTTAAATGAAGATAAATGTAGATCTGATTAATTTTCATTGCTTTTTAATATTCAATTTATAATAAAAACAAGGCTTATTCATTCTTCTACTGAGATAGGTTGGTACAGTTTTGGAATTCTTTTGGTCCATTTATTAGAGTTTCTCACATATATGCTTTCTGGTGAAATTGCTGAATTCAGGGATACACACATACAACTTTATTAGGCAATAAAAAATTATGTATAAGAATTTCTGTTTATCCTCAGTTATAATAAAAGTAATTATGCAAATGGAAAAGTTTGCCACTATGGATATGAAATGGTATATCAGTGTTATTTATTAGCTGTTCAGATGAGAAAACTGTGAAAATAATTCCCTGTGTTTATTGGCCATTTCAGTTTCTGATTCCTTAAATTGCTTGTTTTCTACAGGATTGTTTATTCTTAATTTGCTTATTGCTTTGGTAGAGTTTATTATATATTTTGATTTTTTAAAAACCTATTGAAAATATAATCTGTGATTTGTCTTTTCCTTTCATAAGGTTGCCAGCACTAATTATGTTAAATAAATTCATGATGTAAGATACAGTAGAAAGGAAAATCATCATATATTCAGTAAATTTTTAAGGGCCAGACAGTATACTAGTTATTTTGGGATGTCTTGTTTCAATGTAACTTTATATTCAACCTCCAGGCTATGCATTACTACCTCAACTTTGCTGATTGCACTGAGGTTCAGAGATGCTAAGTAACTTGTCAAGGGATTTGGATCTATGAAGAAGATGAGGAAAATTCCAAGCTAGTTTTATTTGGCTCTATAACCCATGTTTTTTTTTTAACAAGGTGAATAATAGTTACACTTTCAACTCTTCAACACTCATTCACATAGATTTGTTAACTTGAGTCCCATTAAATTGCAGCGATAACAAGGATATGTATTATTAACACTGTTTGATCATTAATTTGGAAGATGGGGTGAGAAATAATTCGTCCAAAGTTACTAGCAAAAGTATAATTCAGTTTAGCCTTTGGATCCAGTGCTTCTTCCATTGACCTTCCTTAGGTTGACATAAATTGGCATCAGTGATACATGTGCTCATGACTAGTAAAGACAACATTTTAAAAAATTAACCTTTTAATGCATAAAATTAACCTCATAATGCATAATATATGCTGTGTGAGTATAGATTACATCAGTCTTAATACTAATATACTTGTATCTACTTTACTAATGTGTTTCCTTCATTGACCTTAGTCATATATTGACCTTAGTTTTATATATTTTAAGATATTTACTTCATTTAGTATCAAAAAGAGTCTGGAAATTTAGCAAATATTTATTTTAAAATTAAAAGTACTTTTTTGAACAAGAGAGTTTTATATTAAAGGAAAAAGACTTATAAATCCAGAGTTTGGATAATAAAAAATAAAAAGAATCAAATAAAGCAAGGAAAAAATTATATGTGGCCAGAGAAAAGAGTTGGAAATTCCTCATATAAACCATTCACATAGTGCAGATAAAATCCATGGCTCAAATAACTTATGTGCTTTTTCTTTTATAAAGTCGGTTGATGGAGGATTGATAATTTAGTCATGCATTTTTAAATGATCTTTTAACACACACTGGTTTTGTTTTCTAACCAATTCAATTTTGAACAGATACTTGTATGTTTCTAGAACAATGCAATACAATAATATAACATTTAGTACTTTTGCTGATAAGTTTTATAAAATAATTCTGAATGGCAAGTTACCACTCGTCAGACCTGCTACTCCACTTTTCAAGATCTCCTAGAAACAATGGAAATTCAGGAGATATATATATAGATAGATAGATAGATATAGATATATATAGATATACACACACACACACACAAATATTGAGTTTTAAATGGATACACTATACAAAGTCAATAAAAAATAAAATGACTACCCTTTATTGTTTGGCACCAAGTATGTTTCTAGTACTATACTAATAGATATGTTATCTCATTTAAGCTTTACAACCATTCCCACCAAGGGAGGTACTAATATTCCAGTCTTACAGATAAACATAGGGAGCAACCTAAAAATTACGTAATTACACTATGGAAAATAACTAAAAGTTGAGTTAGGATTAAAATCCGAGCCTGTCTTTTTTTTCAGTAAACTATACCAGCTCAGGCTACAAACTCCATTCACCTTATGCCTAATAATTTGCATATTTTTTGTAATGAATGAATATGGGTTGCTCTCATTTCCATATGTAGCTTCCCAGTATTTCCCATGTGTGTAAATCTTTAAGATCTCCCGCAGCTGAGATACCATTTCTCTCCCTCTGTTTATTTCTTCTTGACTCCAGCTACTTGGTCAATGCAAAGTTGTAATTATGTTGTTTTTTATAATCCTGGCTATGATTGTTAGCTACTTATCCTATTTCACATGTGATACTCACAAATGCAGATCAGAAGAGACCCAGGATGATGTGTTTGCTCTCAGGGAAAGAAAGGTAGGGCTTAATTGCTTTGTATCCCCTTGGGGTCAAACACATCTGGTTCCTCAGTATCCTAATTCTTCTTGGTTTTCTCTAATCAAAAGTTTTAATGTAATAATTTCAAATATTCAAAGCTATTTTTATATTATTCATAATATATATTTTCAAAATGTCTTTTAAAACGTGAGGAAAAATTCAAAGAGCTTTTAAAGATGACTATTAGTTACTTTTTAAATTTTCTTCCTACAGTTTAAAGAAAAGCTCTGGGTTGTATATTAAAAGTTGAGGAATATATCATTTCAGAGAGGAGTCTGATATTTGGTGTGCATTTTCTAATTCTTCATTTAATGTGCTTCTGCCATTCACAATGTTTTGAGATTGTTATTTTATTTTGGTGCTCCTGAAATATGTGCAAAATATAGTAAATGCAACAGATGGCTCTAATTATAAATCTTTCACTTACATTTTAAAAATAATGCCTAGTTTTAAATATATCTAATTTCACTAATGTCTTTACTATTTAGAAGATGCTTACATAGAGATAAGGAGAAATCTATGTTGTAAGTTTGTTAAAAATATATCCTTTTCCATACATTATTTTCCACATCATATTAGATTTATAAATTAATGCATTGTTGGTGAAGAATTTTAATTGGTAGTACAGTTATCTGTTTCTGAGCATATCCTTCTCCTTTCTAAACATTAGATGAAAAATCACTAAATATTTTTACTTCATATTTACCACAGCCTGAAATTCCATGATTACCTTGAAGTTGTGGGAGAGGCAATTTCGGGAAGTGGTGTTCTGACCAAACTTCATTCTCATTAAGTTTCCTCAAGTTTGAAGGCATGTTTCATCTCCACTGATTTAAAGCTATTGGATTTGATTTGTATTTTCAAGAAGGGCTTTGGAGAGTTTTGTTTTCAAACGCTGAAGAAAAATTGAACCCACCAGACTTTGAAAATCAACAGTAGACCTAATAAAATTCTTCAGTGCCTCCCGACAGGCTTCAAGACAAAATCCCAACTCCTTCCTATGGTGAGAAAGCCCTCCCTTTATGACTCAGTAACACTCAGTTCCTCCCACCCTGAACAGAGCCACTGTCTCAGCCATACACGATGATTATGGGCCCCAAGTGCACAGGTTCTCTCCGACTTGTGTACCTATGTAGGCTTTACTTTTACTCACAATGCATTCTTTCTCCAATCGGCTTTCTTCCATCAACACCTCCACACCACTGAGGAAATTAACTAACTAAACGACCCTGTGTGCTTGAATAATGTAGCAAGAAGGGGCCTGAAGAACATCATCTAAAAATCAAGCTATGGAAACAAGTGAATCTACTTCTGAATGTCAAAATGGAACTTCTTTCTTTCCAGAGACCTGTGTGATCACCGGGCACCATCTCATTTTATGCCTCATGCTGACTAGAGCCCTTTTAACCTTGAGTCTGAAGTTAATATTATGAATTATAATTAGTACTTACTGTGCATGAGGTTTATGACCGCAGGAAGTCTTATATTAAGAGCACTGAAAAGAAGCCCTAAATAAAAAGTTTAAAAGCCCCAAATGGGAACATGCCAAATAGTTTTAAGAAGGACATAAAGTTATCTTATTTAGGTTATCTCCCTACCCTCAAATCAATATGTACGAAAAAAAAAATTGTGAGTTAAAAAAATTTTTTGTTTCATCTTGGTTGAGGAGTGGATAGAGGATTGGTAATACCAATTAGACAGAGCTAACACTTTCATGATTTAGTCCAAATAAGAGAGGATAGAATTCAAGAAATGGTGATAGTATTGAAAATGGAGGAAAAAAGATTTATATTACAAAATTTGAAAACTTTACTGATGAATTGATTTGAAGGAAGTACAGATAAAGAAAACACAGATGACTTGCACATTTATTGTTTCAGCAGTAGGGAGAAGGCAGTGTCATTTCCTAAGATGTAAAAGACTGAGGTGAAAATTAGGAATTGGAGAAGAGAAGAGATTGCAAAAACTGAGAGTGAGTTCACCCACTGTGAATAATGAATATTTCAATAAGCATTAGAGGAAAAAATCATAAACTGCATCACCTTTCAATAGTGCTTTTTGAGAGCAGTGTAAATTATCAGAAATATTGCTACTGCAGAAATTCACCTCAATAGATATCATGAGGTAAATTTCCCCACAAGTTCCAGGTCCCCATGATTATGGCAGTAAGTTATTTCATTAATATTTGCCAAACTAGTTTTAATGTAATCGCTGTACTTCATATATAAATGCCCATTTCTGGGAAAAAGAATACAACTTATTTGGATCTAGTAATTATAAAATATAGCTATGAAAAATATCTATTAGCAAAACTCTGTAGGGGATTTTCCTGTAAGGGTTTTGGCAGATTGCTCCCAATAGTGCTTTTAGTAATGCCTTTATGTCTTCACAAAGCAGGATGTTAGAGAGAAGGTAGTAGTTACTAGTAAAATTGAGTTGAGAAATTGTCAAAAATATGGAGCAGCTCATAAAACAGAATCTTCAAAGTGACATGTGGCATTTGAAACCTTAAAATTTTAACAAAAGTGAAAATTATGTACAAAGATTTTTACATATTTTATTTGACGAAGCAAAAGATTAATGCTCAGTGAAAACAGTGGGGACATGTAAAAACACATAATCAATTCCAATGTCTTTAAAAGGCAGACTAATTAGGGCACAGAAATGGGTCTGTGCAACAGAAAATATGTACCCCATAAAGCGCATAAATAGATTTTTCATTGATGACAAACTTTGAAAGTCATAGGAGCATCTTTGGAGTATTTTCAGCTAACCTGCCCAATTAACCCATTTGTTGCCTCCCGAACCCACTCATTACCTGTTCTTTTGGACAGGTATTGCAGCAATTGCTATCCATATGTTCAAAATTCTAAGAAAATATATAAAAATTACATGTCAATCTTATTGTAAGTGTATCTATAAAAATGAAACATGGTGAGTAATTCCAGTGCTCCTCTTCTTCAGAAAGAATCACTTCTTATAAAACCACCAATTGAAGCACTAGTTGTTTGTGAATTTTGTTTTGTTTTCTTCAGATCAGTCAATCAGATTCACCAGAACTTAATGTGTCACCCTTCATTTGGAAAGGAAATTCTCCATGTAATAGGGAAAAAAGTATCTTTTCTAGGACTTGGTTCACTTGTGAAATTCAAGTCATTTTTGTAAAAGCTATAGAAAAGTCCTCTCCTTTTTCTAGGTAGAATCACTGTATATGTGAATATGTATTTGTTGTACAAATGAGTGAATGATCAGATGGATGCAAGACAGGGCTTTCTGCTTCTATTGAAGCCCCATCTATGTCTATGTCTCAAAACATCATCCTGCAATCCTGTTAAAATAAAGACAGGTTATGTCATTCCTCTGGCTCAAAACTCCCATATAGCCTCCCAGCTTACCCTGAGTAAAGTCCAGTCATTACCCTGATTTACAAGGCTTGATAAGACTGAGACCTCATTTCCCCTTTGACTTCACTTCCTTCTATCCTACCACTGCTCACTTTGCTCCAGCCCCTCCCCTCCCTCCTTATTCACACCCAACCCACCACATATACTCCAGATGAAGGCTTTGCACTCTGTCATGCTCAACTAGTGTCAACATGCCACACTCCATTGCAAACTGTTTACTAAAATGTAACTTTTTCGGTGAAACATTTCCAGACTATTTTATTTTAAAAGCATGTTTTCTAATACTCCTTGTCTCATTCTCTGCTTTATTTTTCTCTGTAGTATTTATTGCCATTTGACATTCCACAAATTTACCTTTCCCTTTTAATTAATTTTGCCATAATTTACAGTCTAAATGTATGCACAATCTAAGAGGATACGGTTTTCTGTGTATTCTGTGGACCCCCTGCTTAGAAAACTAGCACATAGTGGGCATGCAATAAATATATTTGAATGAGTGAATGAATCAAGGCAACTGTCTTGACAACTGTGAGTACTTATACAGTTCTTTTTGCAAATGGACCCCAGAAACATATAGTTGTTTTGTTTAAAGCAATGAATATTTTGCAAAAACATTGCTACCAGGGAGATTCTCTCCAGACACACTTCAATTTCAGCCAAGTAAACCAGTAAACTGAATCATGACTAGAAGAGTCAATGGTCAAATATATCCCACAGCCACTAATGAAGTTTATTAAAGCCTTGTGCCTAGACTCTAAAATTATTCAGTCGTTGGTCAAGGAAAACTTTCATTATCCTCAAACTAAAAAATAGTCATCATAAAGCTGTCCACAACTTCTAATCAATGGGCTTTTCTATGTATAGTAATCTCTCTCCCATTTTGGGTCTTATCACTGTAGTTATCTACATTCCTTTCCTCTGAAATGATAAAAGGAAACCCATATGAAACTGGGATTGCTGTTTACTTTGCAGTGTATGTTTTGATTGCTATTACCTTCTACACTGAGTAGAAAAATGGTGGTATTAAAGGATATATAATGACCTGTTAGCATGGCATGACTAAGAATAAATAAGTAAGAATATCTTGAAATAAGAGGTTCTTTTTCATGTTTTAATATCTCACTCATGGTGAGCCATCTTTCCAATTAGTGCGAAGTATGGCCCACAGGTGACCCAGTGATGATATGTCTTTACATTCTTTTCAAAACTTGTCAGTAAAATGGATTAACAAAAGGATGAGTGACACTTATAAATTAATTTGGCTAACTTCCAAGCATACCAAATTAAATAAGCTTTTGCCTACCTTGATTTATAAATGATTACTTGGTCTTTATAATAGCCAAAAGGATAATTTTTATTGCAAAATATCCTTCATAAAATTCCTATGAAAGACAGAATTTCTTTTATTTCCCAAGTCTGCTAGTTTTCTGGAAGTTATTGGTTATATTAGCTTTAAAGGTTCCTTATATGTTCATTGGACTCAGATCCAACAGAAATCAACCAATGTTCCAAAGAATTTGGGGTTTCAGTTGAGATAAAATTAGTGGGTCTTTAACTCTTTGCCATTATCCTAATAAAAAGATGTTAATTAATCACCTGATTCATTCCAGAAATTTTTATTAAGCACCATTAGCTAGATATTATTTCATGTTTCTCTTCATTCAAGACCTTAATCTCTACATGCCAAAACAGCCAAAACAACACAGATCACTGAAAATTTCATAAAGGCATGAACAGACTGTGGTGAAAGCTCAGAAGATGCTCTGACTGTCATGGGCTGGGAGAGAACAAAAGGCTTTGCTGAGAAGATGAGTATGACAACCAGTTCTTCTAGAGAATAACTAGTCTAACTCAAATTCACAAAGGAAAAAAAGTCCTGATAGCCCCTTATTCCTATAGAGTGGAGATTTTTTGGTGGCTTTTTTTTTATTTGAATGATACAATATGAGAAATAAGGCAGGATATTTCAAGAGAATCCAGGGCAAAGGGATGCCAGGGAGAAAACCAAATGGCATGTGTGGACATAAGTAGAGGTACGTGTGTGTGTGCCTGTGTGTGTACAGGTGTGCTAGTCACCACTGGACAATGAGAGAGTTACTGTTGTACTACCAATAGAATACTGTGGTGGTCCTGGCCAGGTCTTCCAGACTCTGTGCCTTCTTTGTCTTGGAAACAACCAAAAGTGCATGCCTACCGGTGGTTATCACTGCCCGGTTGCAATGTGACTGAGCATTGCTCATTAAATATAGAACATGTGCACAGTGGTGCTAAGTGACATAGGTAAGGAAACTACCAGGTAGGTAGATAATATTAGATCCAGAAGATGTGGCTTGGTAAGTGCAGTTTTTCAACCACAAAAAGTGATAGTTTCAGAATAACATGGCTACGACTCACTTATTCACAATTTACCCCAACCAAAGCATAATTGCTACCAAACCAATTACTTCCTCTATGATTTGATTGATAAGACTGGAGAACCCACCCTCCCTGAACATTCTTAGCCTGATGATTCGCCAAAAATATGTCTTGAGCTCATCTCACTAACTCTAACTTGCATGTTTATTTTAGGAATAAAAACACATGAGTGTTCATCTTCATGAAGCCTCAAAGCCAGTGCTCTGCACCTTCACAGCAATATAAACAAAAATGAACATATATGCCTGCATAACTATGAAAAGGGTGATTTAATAATGCTCTGTGAAACTTGGCATATAACTCTCCTTAAAGTATCAAAAAAAAAACAAGGTAAAAAGAAATACATATTTTTGACTAGAGAAACATGAAAGGGGATGAAGTATGTAGTATAAAAAGTTATTGATAATTGATAAAAAAGTATTGATAATCACTGAAGATTGCTACCATTTAGAGATACAAATTTCTATGATAAATGCAGTGGCATGACAGTATTGTCAAATTATTAGGCAATATATAGGGAAGAAGTATTTATGTTTCACATCCTTGATGGTGATTCAAGAGAGACAAAAACAACAGAAATGGCAAGTGGTTTCATTCTGAATCATGATAGCTGTCTTTGGTAGCTGCCCAGAATACTGTGCTAAGAAAGATTTCAATATTATGCCCCAAATCAGCTGAAAAGTATAAAACAACTCATGATCATGACAGTGGAAAGGGTTAAGGTGAAACATGTGTTAAATAATTGATTCCCATTTCACCAAGAAAAACAATAATCACTTTTAACATGGTAAAAAAAAAAGTTAACAGAAATAGGCAAAGAATGAATAACTCTTTTTTTTTTTTTTTTTTTTTTTTAGAAAAGTTTAGCATTTGTCCCAAGACCTAATGGCTTATTTTGCTAATATCTGGTAGCTTTGTTCTGACTTGGCAGGATGTCAGGATATCATATTAATGGAGACAAAGCAGGACTTAACATACTGGATAATTGGAAGAAAAAAGAAATTAATTAGATGATTGTTTGAAAGTCATTAGATTTTTGAACCTGTTTGTTTTTAAATTTTTGGTGATCTAAGTAATACTTCAAATGATTACAAGTTCAAATGACAAGAAATAAGAAAATACAGAAATTCAAGCTATAAAAAGATATATATATACATATATATGTATGCATATATATATATATGTATGCATATATATATATATATATATATATATATATATTTTTTTTTTTTTTTTTTTTTTTTTTTTTTGAGACAGAGTCTCGCTCTGTCGCCCAGGCTGGAGTGCAGTGGCACAATCTCGGCTCACTGCCAGCTCCGCCTCCCAGGTTCACGCCATTCTCCTGCCTCAGTCTCCCAAGTAGCTGGGACTACAGGCGCCCGCCACCACGCCTGGCTAATTTTTTGTATTTTTAGTAGAGACGGGGTTTCACCGTGTTAGCCAGGATGGTCTCCATCTCCTGACCTCGTGATCTGCCCGCTTCGGCCTCCCTAAGTGCTGGGATTACAGGCGTGAGCCACCGCGCCTGGCCTAAAAAGACATATTTTTGCATTATTTTTCTACCTGAAAATAGATGACTCTCACTAGATATTATTGAATGTGTTTATATTTGTTTCAAACCTATATAAAAATTTTTATAGCAAAAATTTAAACTAGTTACAAATGTTTCTCTAATTATCACAAAACTATCTTCACGAGCTATATACTCTTATTTGTCTCAGCACAGTGGTATCGTCTGGTTCCTTGTCACCCCCTTGACCTCTAAATTTTGGAGTTCATTCCTTAGATTTCTTTATATTTATTTATAGCTACTTCCTAGGTTATATGTTGGCTTGACATACCAATTATATACTGCCAAGAACATGTCTTCAGTCAAGAACTTCCTCCTGAACCCCAGTTTTTTCAACTGCCTACTCAATATCTCCAACTGAATGACTAACAAGAACTGAACATGTCCATAACCAATATCTTCATCTTTCCCTCAAAATATGCTCAGTCTTACCCAGTTTAATCATGGCACCTCTGTCCTTCCAAGTGCTCAGACAGAGCCTTCAGCACTTCCTTGGTATTCTCTGTTTCCTTTCCATCACCCCTCCAATCCCTTAGCACATCCTATTGACTCTACCTTCAAAATATATCCAGAAATCACTCAATGCTTATTATTTCCATCACCAACACATTGTTCAAGGCCGCCATCATCTTGTGTCCAGTTTATTAATGAACTTCCCGGCTACTTTTCCTATTTCTATCCCTACTTTTCCAGAGTCTATAATTCTCAACACAGCAACTGTATCAGTTTCCTATTGCAGCTGAAATCACGATCATAAAATCTGTGGCTTAAGACAGTAACTACTTATGATTTCACAGTTTTCATAAGTCAAAAGTCCAGGACAATATGGCTCAGCTGGTTCTCTGTTTAGGTCAAAATCAAGGTGTCAGCAGAATTGTATTGCTTTTGGAGACTCTAGGGGAAAATATGCTTCCGAGGTCATCCAGGTTGATGGCAGAATTCAGTTCTATGCAGTAGAAGTCTGAGGTTCCCAGTCTTCTTGCTGGCTTTCAGTTGGATATGTCTAAAAGTTTCCCACCTTACTTGGCTTATCCCTCCTTCTTTGATAATCAAAGCCAGCAAGGGAGGGTAGTATTTTTCTCACCCTTTTTATCCTTCCTCTGCCTCCTTCTTCTGCCACATCTCTCTGACCCCAGGAGGAGAAATGTCTCTACTGTTAAGGGCTGAAGTGATTAAGGTAGATCTATCTAGATAATCCATGATCTCATTATCTCAAGGCCTGTTACTTTTCCAAAGTCCCTTCACAGCAGTACCTAGATTCATGTTTTATTGACTAACCAAGGGAAGAGAATCTCGGAAAACATCTTTGGAATTCTGCCAACCACAGTAGCCAAAGGATCCTGTTACAATATAAACTAGACTATGCTTTTCCTCTGCTCTATAGTATATAATGATATCTCACTTCATTCAATGTAAGAGCCATTTTTTAAGAATGTTTTACAAAGGCCTATGCAATCTCTTCTCCAATTACTCATGACGTCATTTCTTATTAACCCTACTGCTCATGGTTTCCTCTGAGCAGCAGACTTTTTTTTTTTCGGTGGCGGGGAGAGTGTGGGACAGAGTCTCACTCTGTCACCCAGGCTGGAGTGAAGTGGCTCAGTTTTGGCTCATGGCAACCTCTGTCTCCCAGGCTCAAGCAATTCTCCTGCCTTGGCCTCCCAAATAGCCGAGATTACAGGCATGCACCACCACACTCAAATAATTTTTGTATTTTTAGTAGAAATGGGGTTTCACCATGTTGGCCAGGCTGGTCTCAAACTCCTGACCTCAAATGATCCTCCTGCTTCAGCCTCCCAAAGTGCTGGGATTACAGTCGTGAGCCACTGTGCCTGGCCAAGAAGACATTTTTAAATACTTTACTCTTTGAAAAACTTTCAATACATTAAGTAAGCATTCTTTTATCTATGCTTTTAAGAGTACACTAAGTTTTTAAAATTTAATTTGTCTAAACTTGTGTTTCTTAATCTCAGCACTATTTGCATTTTAGGCAGAATAATTCTTTGTTGTAGAGCGGTGTTCTGTGTTATAAGATATTTAATACATCTCTGGCTTCTACTCACTAGATGTGTTCACACTCTACAGTCGTGATAACCAAAATGTCTCCAGACATTGCCAAATATCTCCTGGGTGCCAACATTTTCACAAAATGTTAAAATAAGAATGGCTATGATACCACAGGCGCAAAGGTACTAATGCCTTTAAATATCTCATTTCAGGAGTTTCAGAATTTCTTTAATACATTTTATATAAATTTTACTTTGGAAAGATAAAACCGAAATGACAGCAGATTCTATATTAACAAACAACCTTTATTCAATCAAAAACATAAATCAAACATAAGCTAAGATAAAAAAATTTTAAAAACAATGCTTAATGAAAATAAAATAAAAAAACTAAACAAATGGGTTACAGTAATTATTAGCACAGAAATATAAGTGAGCTAGTAAACAGTATATAATCACATCATCAGTCCTTTTTATAATAGGTTAACAAAAACCTGTCTTTATACGAATGCCAGATATTAATATCCAATCTCCTGGCTTTAGGAAATCCATTTTCAATAGACTATGGCTGCATGTTTAAGAAGTCTCTACTGAATATTTAAAATGCATCATGAATAGATTTTAAATAGGAGCTTAGTGCATGTCCTCTGCCATTCAGCATAAGGTTAATTACTGTAGAACTCTAGGGTACTGCAAGATGTGGGAAAATAAAGCTCTAATAAATGAATCCAAGTTATTTTCAAATGTTTTGATGGAAAAATGATGAATGATGTCATGGTCACATGTTATTTCTGATATCTGGAAAGGAACAAAAGTATCAGTTCAGCAAGAGTGTGAAATCAAGGGCGCATTCTAGTTTCAGCAGCAGAAAGAGAAAAATAAAACCTTCAGGCACAATGACTAGCCACAATGATTGCAAAAGTTATCTCCAAGGTCATTAAAGAATTAATGTATGTTTAAATTACAAATACTATAAAAGCAAAAAGGAATGTCTTCATTTTCACCAGCATGTAGGTATACCGAAGACATTCAGAAATAAAAATTCAAAATCAACTACGTAATTACTAAGAATATTCTAGAACAAATTAGCTATATCTAGACTCTTGTCAGAATTGACATTTTTAACACTTAACATTCTAACATTTCTTTCTAAAATGACTTAACATATATGTAATTCCATGTTTTCAATTAAATGAAATTAAGATAATATTTTAATTAATATTGTTTTACATTTAGAGATGTCTAGCATCAGTTATTTGAAGAAGTCTTCATTTATCAATGTTCATTCTGTCATTCAGCCAGCATTTCCTGAGAGTCTTCTTTGTGCGGGTTTTGTTCTTTGCAGTAACGAACAAGAAAGAAATGATGCCTCTGGTTATAAATCTTGTGTTCCAATGGACAAAAAAGGTAAAGAAACAAATTAACAAATAGTGAGTAATAAAAGGTAATGATAGCGATAAGGACAAAATGAAAGACAGGGCCTGGGAGTTGATTGGATTGGGGTTGAAGAAGGCTCACTGAACAAGTGATTGTATACCAAGCCTGAATGAGGAGAGAATCTCGAAGATTCCAGGAAAAGAAATAACTACTGTTTTGTATGAAATCAAGCATTTCTTAGAAGTAAGCTAGAGTCTCATATCTCAGCTTTGAAGTTCAATGCACAATGTTTCTTCCTAGAATCAATCATAAGAAAGAGAAAAGTAAGAAGAAACCAGAAGATGCCACAGGGTCTTTTTATTACCATGTCAGCTATTGTCATAATTTTACATATATCCTAGAAATGAAGCTTTTTTTATGACTTAGTGATTCTTCAAAGAGCAATAAGTCCTGTGATTTTTCAAATGAAAAGTGGATGTTTGCACTCAAATGGTTGAAGCACTGAGGAAAATTTAAAATTTCAAAGTAAAAATAAACGGTAATCAACTATCCAATGACAGTTCAGAGGGGATGTAAAAATCAAAGAGAAAGAAATGATTGAGGTCAAAGAAATAATGAAAACATTTGTAGGTTCAGGAGTTATGGGAATTGGGGTTAGGAAGAATTGCAAATAAGAGGATCGTGATTGTCTTGCAATTTTGAAGAACATACCCACTTTAAACTGCCCTATTTTCTTCAGAGGCAAACTGGTATCTGTCCGAACATCTGTCCTGAATAAGTTTGCAAAACTTTTTCTATAAAAGGGAGTCTAATATTCATGAGTGAGAACCCACTTTTTATTTTTAGGAAGAAAGTTATAAACAGCTCCTACTTCATGAAAACTCCATGCCTCTCTAAATATGCCCTATCCTTCTATACTCATTTGGGAATATGAGGGAGTCTCACATTGAAGTGCTAGAAAAAGCTGAGGCTGTGGAACTAGGTAGGAATACAAATGAAAGAATAAGGTAAAGCAGTTGACTCTCTGTTGATATTTTAAAAGGCAAATGAAGGCTCTTTAAATTTAAAATCGATTCTCTGCTCCATTGTGATTCATTTGCAAAATACACCTCTACCTGCTCCAAATTTTATTCCTAAGACATTTATAACCCCCAAGAATATCGCATTAATTATAAACATTACCTTTTTACAATTATCAGTTATTAAACATTTTAAGTTATTAATGTAATCAGATTATTTTCCATGTTTTGCATCCAAAGGAATAACTTTTCCATTTCAATTATGAAAATTTTCTCTGTGCTCTGAAGGATCTGAATAACTTTATGATAAAAAGATAATGGAAAATAGAAACAAAACTAATCTTAAAATAAAAATTTAACAGAATGGACAAAATTTTAGCATTTAGTTCCCTGAAATACATTGCCAAATCATTTGTAAATTCCTATGAATGCCTATGTGTAATACACATTATTCTTAAGTAATTTATTCAGAAGTGCTTCCTACCTATTTTCAATGATAGAGGATTGCCCCATGGTTAATGCATTTGTGTAAAAAGCGAAAGAGATCTATAATGGGAGCATACGGCTTTGCGATTATTTTAAGTATGTGTACCTAAAGGCGATGATTCTGATCTCTATGGTGATATATGAACAACTTCCACTTGGTAGATGTGTTAAATTTCTCAGCATGTTGGAAGATCATTTTAATGTAGGAAATAGTAATTTATTATGTGTATATTTGTTAACTGGCATAGTGATTCTTAAGATGAAACACTTTTCCTTCTCACTATGCCTGGTATCACTAAGTACTTGCAATCAAATGTCATATCTTTATGTAGAAAGAAGTTAGTATTAAACATTGACATTTTAAGTATAATATGACAGGGTGATTTGTTTTGTTGTCAGCGATTTGATAAATTGCAGTTTAGCATGAGTAATTTCTATAAGCATGTATAAATGAACTGTGGACAAAAATAATGTTTACAGAATTCTGTATTTGTGTATATTGATTGCCTGGGTTTTCAAGGATGACTGATGCATTATAATTTAAACTTCAAATACCCTTCAAATTAACAGCCTGTGAATGAATTTAAATCCTTACAAAGAAATAGCTTTAGAAGCTCTACTTTTCATTTTGAGGATATCTGTGAATATAAAGCTCCCTCTTTAAAAAAAAAAAAAAAAAAACCCTAAACTTTAAAAGCCTACTGAATACATTTTTAAATGCGCTTATCCTGAAAAACACAGTTTGTGTTAATGGGTAAAATTTCAGGGTTAAAGGGGAAAAATAAGTATCCCAAAGCTTCAAAAGTATCATCCTCAAAATCAAGCATTGGTAGTAAAATGAATGAAATGAGTGTCCCCAACTCTCTTCTTAATAACAATGCACTTAATTGAGGATGTGTGGCAAGTAGCTCTTTTCAGTGAGTCAGCCCAATTTTAGTTATCTAAATGAACCAGAATAATCAACTCCAAAAATGTCACTTAATTTGTATCTTAAAACAATCTTTTTCCAAGTCTCCGAGTATTTTGTAGTTAACTGAACCAAGAATTCTGATTTTTAAAATATTTTTAAAGACTTTAAATTGTTTTTCTTTACCTGTTTTTATAGTTTCACTTCCATTTCCAGACAAAATCAGGCAGTGCTAAAAATAACAAATGTGACTAATTCTCAATTACCTGCAATAAAGAGAAGGCAAATAGGGAACCAGCATGATGGAATAAATTACATCTACTGATAGTTTAAAAATCCAATTTTAACCATTGCTTTCAACCTCCTACTTATTAACAAATAAAATTGGACTTCTCTGAGTTCCACTTCCTGTTTCTTCACTTGAAAATTTCCCTGATGGAGTTTGTGACATGAAGATGTGTCCCCAAAATGGGCACAAGGAGACAAAAGGAGAGCAAAAAACAGAATTACAAACTCGAAGTTTCCCTCCAAATACATAAAATCCAAATAACTGAATTACATTAAACGTTATTTCAAAGCACTGATTTACTCACTTTAGAGACAGATTTTAAATGGACCTGAGGGTTGAACTAGAATTTATATGATAGTAAGGTTCTTTCCAATATTAAAAGTGCATGATTTTGTATATAATACAGAATTGTAGGCACGTAAAAAAACTTCAAAGTAATTTTACAATTCAGTAGTAAGAATGTGTAATGTTCATTTAAAATATAAATCATTGTTAATTATATGAGGAAATATAGATTTGTGCACAGAAATTTGATCTAGAAATCACAAAATCTAGTTCACTTCTTAATTTTTTTCTGATGCCTTGAGCGAATCATTTTAATTTGGCCACAGTTTCCTTATGTGTATAATAAAGAAAATGAGGATGTTGAGAACTATATGATATATAAATTCCTTTCTAGATTTAATTTGATTAATCTAATAAAAAATCAGATGTAAGTGAAAATTCCTAGAAGAAAATAATTGTTATGGAGTGACAATTTGTACCTGCGATCTATGTTATTCTTTGTTGTATGTCTGTGTTTGTGTGTGTGTGTGTGTGTGTGTGTGTGTGTATAACCTTTATCCTTTAAAATTTAGTGATGACTAGACCCATATATATATATATGGGGGTTCGTGGTACAATTTTTCAACTTTTGTGTCTGAAAATGTTCATAATAATATTTTGGAAGTAAAAGTGAAAATTTTCTCCAAATAAATTCAAGATAATACTAGAAGATAATTAAATATTGCATGAGTTCGTCTTTTCTGACCAGACAAGTGTTTCTGAGTATATGGAACTATCTAGCACCCTCAGACAGTGCTGGTAAGAATGTAAAATGCAATAATCAATTTGACACACAATTAGGGACTTTTTTCAAAATTTAAACATATAATTGCTAGATAACCCAGCCATTCCACTCCTAGGTATTTACCCAAGAAAATAAAAAAGAAACGTACTTCACACAAGAATGGGTATTTCTTTTTTTTTTTTTTTTTTTTTTGAGACGGAGTCTCCGTCACCTAGGCTGGAGTGCAGTGGCACGATCTCGGCTCACTGCAAGCTCCGCCTCCCAGGTTCATGCCATTCTCCTGCCTCAGCCTCTCGAGTAGCTGGGATTACAGGTGTCCACCACCGCGCCTGGCTAATTTTTTGTATATTTGGTAGAGACGGGGTTTCACCGTGTTAGCCAGGATGGTTTCGATCTCCTGACCTCGTGATCCACCCACCTCGGCCTCCCAAAGTGCTGGGATTACAGGCCACCGTGCCCAGCCAAGAATGGGTATTTCTAATAGCTTTACATGTAACAACCAAACACTGGAAACAACCTGACTGTCCATGAACATGTGATGGATAAACAGTTTATCCAAGGGAATGCTGATTAGCAACAAAAAGAGATGAACTTTTGATAAATGTGGCAATATGAATGAACTTCAAAGCCATGCTGAGTGAGAAGAGCCAGGCAAATGTAAATATTCTATGCTTTTAGAAAATTCAAACCGAGGAAAGCCTATTAGTTGTTACCTGGAGACAAGGTGGAGAGAGGTTAGAGAATGGACTACAAAAGGACATGAAGAAACCTTTTGGGATAACAGAAATATGTGTTATGGTGATGTCTTATTTGTGGGCGGTGGGGGTGGGGGGCATGTTCATATATTGAAAACTGCTAAGTTTTATGCTTTAAATATGTACAATTTAGTTTAAGTATGCCTTCATAGAATTACAAAAAATGGTAGAAATTGGTCTTTTCAAGCATTTTTTGAATACACAAAGAGAAATACCATCAGAAGTTTGATAACTATAAAGAATACTATAATATTATATTTATGGGGTTTTCCTTGTGTGGAATAACTTTTCTGATTTCCAAGTGGCCTTCCTGGATATGTGTTGTCTGTTGTGGGTATGCCAGCTTCCTAGACATGCTTTGCAGGTTTGCAACCTGTGCAGTCATGGAGGACTCCATACTTGGTTTAATGCTCTACTGTTGCCATCTCAAAACGTCTGAAAGCTTTGCATAAGGATTCCTTATTGTCATTTGTCACTGTGCCTGGCAAATTATGTACCTAGTTCTGTCCCAGATCCTAAAATCTTTAGAGAGGCAATTTAATATAATTGAGACTTTTGGTAATAAAGAGTAGATCTGATCACCAAGAGTCTCTGTCCACATTTTGGAAATAAGTGACAAGATATGGGAAATTAGATTGCAGTGTGGGTTTTTTAGGTATCACTGGCAGAACAGAATGTTAAACACTCAAAGCACATGCTTAACAAAGACGTTCCTGACTAAACTAGGAAACAGCAGTCACTGGCGCTCTGGATATTTAATGAGAAACTCCCAGCAGGTCGAATTTCTTCCTTTTTTTTGTTTTTCTATTTCAAGGTATTAAATCATACATCATTCCCCTGATGTGTGCTCAGTAGTTAGAGGCCTCCTGTAAGAGTTATTAGAGAGTTGATGATGTACATGTTATTTGCTATGGGGCTTTGCAGAGACAAACACGTTAAACTGTCCTCCACAGATGTTTTTCATACCACAATTACTGAAACAGCCATGTACTGTACTAAAGTTTCCAAACAAAAAGTAGAAACAGAGAACGACTGTAAGACAACTGACGTTATTCAATCCCCTTCCCCCTCCCCCTTTATTTTTACCAACAAGCATAATGAATATCAATAAACCAACCTGTACTATCAACAGGTGAAGTTGATTAATAATGTATCCCTAGGTAACTTGCTGGAATTTCTTTGTGAAACAAAAGCTTACCTCCTCTGTTCCTTCTGTTTCTTCTCCCACTTTAAAAGCTTCAGCTTTTTGCATATTGCTGAGTGGAGGCCAAGAAAAAGCCTTTGCCTTAGCTACGCAGAAACCAACAAGAAAAATAACAAGTCCTGGGTCATTTGCTTGATGTCTTAGAGCTAGATCTAGCTGCCTTTTAGAGACTGTTCATAAAAAATTCTGAGGCTTTGCTGAGCTATGAAACTACTTCACTACAGGAAAAGTACAGACAATAAAAATTCGGGAGCTGAAAGCAAGCAGGAGGTAAGTTGTTCATATTAATAACCATTAGTTGGACTTGCAGTAAGGAAAGATATATAATAGTGGGTATCATACTTCACATTTCAGTTCATAGGCAGGCTGTTCATATTATTGAGAAAGCTAGTGTAAAGAAATACCACATTAGAGCCAGAACTCAGAGGACATAGGGCTGCAATGTGTCATTGCAGCAAACACATTAGATTATTATATGACTAGTGTCAATGGCCTAGGGCATCTCACCAAAATGAATTTTGTGCCCTAAATATTGACAACTAATTCTACTCGGGGTATAGGGATGATCTTGAGCTGATTATCGACTGGGTGACTGGCTTGGGAAGATCTCAAGGTTTGCACTTGCAAACAGTTCAAGAATTATGACTGTGTTCTGGGTCACCCCAGATCCAGAGAGTATGAGGAAAACCACAATTACTAGAGTACCTCAGGACTCCCAGGCCCCAGACGTGCTTGTTCTGCCATATTGTGCCATGACTTTCAGGGTTACATGATTGCCAACTCTCTGATATCAGAGGTAATCCCATTGCCCTAGTCACCTTTTAAATGATAAAAACCTGTTAAAAATGATAAAAACTTGTTAAAAACCAATGCTCTATAAATTCAAAATAATATATCACACAAAAAGATTCCTAACCCAAGAGATCCCTAACCCAAGTTATATTTAGCCATATTGCCAAAGTGAAGATTATTCCTGAATTCCAATTTTGTCATTGTTTTTTGGTTGTCATTTTATCTTTTCAATCTTTATTTTTGTTATACCAACTTTTATCCTACAGTCTTGTAGTAGAGAAACTCTCTCATACTCACAAAAGCAGAGGAGAAAAAGTTATAGAAGCAAATTTGCCTTCCCAAAAGGAAGAATTTTTCATTTGTCTAAGGTATAAGGCCACATAAGACATCTGTGTAGACTATCTCAGAAGATCATGCATAGAGAAAGGGAAAAATTCAGATTGCAAAAAAAAGAAAGCCTTTGGTAGAAGCCTATGCCAGGTCCTGCTTCTACTCTAACTTTAAAGGCAAAGATCTTTTATTTCTATTATAATATAATTGTATGGAATAGGGGAATAAGTAAAAAAAAAAAGTTTAAGAAAAGAACATGGTACATAATAAAAGTTATTTTACATTATTTGGAGAAGGGAGAAGACACCATGACACTCCTTGCTAGCATGCAGACTCCAGCTTGGTTTAATCTATACGAGGGTTTCTCAGCCTTGTCACTGTTGATATTTTGAGCCAGATAATTCTTTGTCTTGTGCATTCTAGAATATTTAGCAGCCAGCCTGGTCTCTACCCATTACACTGGTCCCTCTGTATCCGTAGGGGATTGCTTCCAGGACCCTCACGGATACCAAAATTGACAGATGCTCAATTTTCTTATATAAAATGGCATGGTGTTTACATACAACCTCTGCACTTCTTTCTGTAAGCCTTAAATCATCTCTAGATTACTTATAATACCTAATACAATGTGAATTCTATGTAATAGTTTTACACTGTATTTTATTTGTATTAGTTTTAGCTGCTGTATTATTTTTTATTGTTATATATATATATATATATATATATATATATATGGTATTTTTTTACAGTCAGTGGAATCTGCATAGGTGGAACTGACAGATACAAGGAGCCAACTCTATATGCCAGTAGCAGTGTCTCTGTCTCCCAGGTAATGACAAGGAAAAATGACCCCAGGCATTGCTAAATGCCCCCTTGGGGGAGCTAAATTGCTCCCAGTTGAGAACCACTGCCCTAAACAGCGCTGCCTAGTATATCACTTGGCACAGTCTCCTCACAGAGTCTTCACACAAATTGTTTTCTCTTCCTGGCTTGTCTTCTTCAGATGTACACCAACAATATACACTTTCCTTTTAGATTTTTGCAAATGATTTTTTCTAAAACATAAATTGTTAAAAGTTATATTCATTTATTTTAACCAATATTTACTAAGCACTTATATTTAGAGCAGTGTACTATTCATTAAATTAGTTTTAAAAATGAAGACAATTTCCCTCCAAAAAAAAGTTTGCAATCTACAAAGAGGAATCCAAATCACTAAAATACATTACAGAGCAAGTTAGCACCCTACGAGAGGTAAAATGATGTGGAAATTAAAATAAATATGACACCTAGACATACTGGTTGAATAATCTCAAGACTCTTTGCAGAGTACTGTACGCTGGACCTGTTCTGCTTCTTGAGGACATGTTTAAAAGCCACTGAATTTAAATTCATCCCCCAAAATTTCCTTATTTTTAGGCATGTTAGGAGATATAGTAGAAGAACCATGAATTTATCTTAAGCGACTTAAATTTCAAGGCACCTAATCTGAGGTGCCTGGTTATTCCTCACTATTCAGTGCTAATATTCTTGCACACATTTCCTGCAAATGACTATTTATTTGCTCTTCTCAGAACTAAGGTAATTAACTGAAAGTATTACTAGCTACCTTTTAAAGGATAGAGTTAAAAGCCCAGGAAATTTCAATGATTTTTCGGGACTGCTGAAGAAAATCACTTTAGAACTTTATTTTAAAACTAGCTATTCTCAGCTTAAATGTGGTTTAAAAGCTATGTCCTAAATGAGTTTAAATTACAACTGACAGTAGCTTGAATCAGAATATGGTTTGACTATAAGCTAAAAGCCAGCTAACCTTATTATTAAGAGAAGCAACAGGAAAAAGTTTCATACCTAAACATTGCCTATAAATATTCCTAGTGACCAAAGCTGTAGTTTCAAAAAGAACTATATATCAAAAACTTGATGATTAGAAAAGAAGCCTAATTATTTTTTCATTTTTCTAATAGGAAGAACAAATAAGTTAGGAGGAAAAATACAAGATATCTATTAGCTGATAGGAATACCAAATAAGGAAAACCAAGTTATTTCTTTAATAGGCTAAGCAAAATAGACAGGAAAACAAAGAAAACAAAATAGTTTATGACTATGCCACATAAATTTCCAGTATAGGAGATTAATTCACAATAGTTTATTTTACCATATCCAAGAGTCACAGATATGGTAGATTCTAGAAGAGTAATATTCAAAATAGATATAGGCAATGCTATGACTAAACAAAGTTGAGGACTAGGTGTGGTGGCTTACAACTGTAATGACAGCACTTAGGAAGCTGAGGCAGAGGGATCACTTAAGCCGAGGAGTTTGAGACCACCTTGAGCAGCATAGTGAGACTCCATCCCTACAAAATATAAAAAATAAATGAATTAAATAAAAAGTAAAAACGTTGAATAACCAAAGGATAGCTGATGTTTAAATAGACCTCTTGATCTGGTGGGGTGTTTAAATTAATGCTGGTATTAATAGTTACCAGTTTATTAATATAATTATTATAAGTTGTAATATAAAAAATCATTAATTTTTAGTGATGTTTTATTCTCAGCATGAAACACATTTTTGGGTAACCTGTTGGTTTAGACTACAAGGCAGTAATCATGTTGTCATTTTGCAAGTTAATTTAATAGTTGAGCAAGTATGAAGGAGAAATGAAATAGCTCCCAACATGTTGACCTTTCATCAGGTCACAAAGTGGCAGTAAGTATAGGCATACCTCAGAGGAATTGAAGGGTCTGTTCTAGATGACTGCAATAAAGTGAATATCATATGAATGTGAATTACACAATTTTTTTGGTTTCCCAGTGCATGTCAAAGTTCTTTGAACACTATACTATAGTCTAACTGTGTGACAGCATTTTTCTAAAACAAAGGAACATACATACCTTAATTTAAAAATACTTTGTTACTAAAAAATGCTAATGATCATCTGAGCCTGCAGTGAGTCATAAACATTTTGCATCTTTCCTCAGTGTTGATGGCTGCTGACAAGTTGCTGAAGATTGGGGTGGATATGGCAATTTCTCAAAATAAGCAACAATAAAGTTTGCTGCATAAATTGACCTTTCCTTTCACAAAAGATTCCTCTGTAACATGTCATACTATTTGATGGCATTTCCCCCACAGAACTTCTTTCAGTATTGGAGACAATCCTCTCAAACCCTGAAGCTGCTTTGTCAACTAAATTTATGTAATATTCTAAATCCTTTGTTGGCATTTCAACAATGTCCACAGCATCTTTGCCAGTGCAGATCCAGCTCAAGAGATCACTTTCTTTGCTCATCCATAAGGCGCAAATCCTCATCAGTTCAAGTTTTATCATGAGGTTGCAGCAATTCAGTCACATCTTTAAGCTCTATTTCTAATACTAGCTGTCTTACCATTTCCACCACATCTGCAATTACTTCCTCTACTGAATTTTTGAACAACTCAGAATCATCCATGAAGGTTGGAATAAACTTCTTCCAAATTCCTGTTAATTTTGGCATTTTAACCTACTCCCATGAATCACGAATGTTCTTAATGGCATCTAGAATGGTGAATTCTTTCCAGAAAATTCCCAATTTGGTTACCATATCCATCATAAGAATCACGGTATGTGACAGCTATAGGTTCACAAAATATACTTTTTAAGTAATACAACTTGAAAGCGGAAATTACTCCTTGAGCCATGAGCTGCAAAATGAATATGGTGTGAGCAGGCATGAGTTCTTGGGTGACCAGGTGTGTTGTCAATGAGCAGTAATATTTCAAAAGGAATCTTTTTAATTTTTCTGTGCAGTAGGCCTCAACAACGGGCTTAAAATATTCAGTAACCAGGCTGCAAACAGATATGCTGTCATCCAGGCTTTGTTGTTACATTTGCAGAGAACAGGCAGAGGAGATTTAGCATAATTCTTAAGGATCCTAAGATTTTCAGAAGGGTTAATAAGCATTGACTTCAAGTTAAAGTCACCCTTTAACAAGATAGTCCACCTGTCCTTTGAAGCTTTGAAGTCAGTCATTGACTTCTCCCCTTTAGCAATAAACATTTTAGATGGCCTCATCTTTCAATAGAAGGCTGTTTTATCTACATTGAAATCTGTTGTTAAGTGCAGTCACCTTCATCAATTATCTTAGTTAAATATTCTGCATATCTTTCTGCATAACTTGCTGGAGCTTCTCTATCAGCACTTGCTGCTTCATCTTGCACTTTTATGTTATGGAGACAGATTCTTTCCTTAAACCCTATGAATGACCTCTACTTGCTTCAAACTTTTCTTCTGCACCTTCCTCACTTCTCTTAGCCCTCAAGGAACTAAAGAGAGTTGGGGTCTTTCTCTTGATTAGGTTTTCGCTTAAGGGAATGTTGCAGCTGGTTTGATTTTTTATCCAGACCACCTAAGCTTTCTTCTTATCAGCAATAAGGCTGTTTCACTTCGTATTATTTGTGTGTAAACTGGGGTAGCATTTTAATGTCCTTCAAGAACTTTCCCCTTTCATACACAACTTGGCTGTTTGTTTCAAGAGGTCTAGCATTGCCCCCGTCTCACCTTTCAACATGCCTTCCCCATTAAGCTTAGTCATTTCTAGCTTTTGACTTAAAATGAGAGATGTCTGGCTCTTCCTTTCACTTAAACACTTAGAGTCCATTGTAGGATTATTAAATGGCTTAATTTTAGGTTGTGTCTCAGGGAATAGGAAGGCCAGAAGAGAAAGAGAGATGGGAAAAAGCCAGTAGGTGGAGCAGTCAGAACAAACACATTTATTGGTTAAGTTTACCATCTTATGTGGGCACAGGTTGTGGCATCCCAAAACAATCACAATAGTAACATCAAAGACCACTGATCACAGGTTATCATAACAAATATAATAGTGAAAAAGATAAAATAGTGTGAGAATTACCAAACTATGACATAGAAATGCAAAGTAAGCATATGCTGTTGGAAAGATGGTGCCAATAAGTTTGATCTATGCAGAGTTGCCACAGACCTTCAATTTATGAAAAACACAATATTTGCCAAGCACAGTAAAATGAAATATGATGAAACAAGGTATGCTTGCAAAGACTGTGGTGTGAGATTCATCAAAAAGACATTGACCACATCCATGTAATAACCATAGAAAATGAGATATATCTGGAGAAGCTTGTTAACAGAAGCAGCTTTGGTGTCTTGAGAGTGTTAAAGTAGGTATTTAAATTGTAAATAACAAAGTTTATTTTGAAATAATTTTTAACTTATAGAAAAGTTGCAAAAATAGTGCAAGAGAGTTTCCAGCTTCACCTAGGCTGCCTTAATGTTTTCATTTCATATAATTAGAAATAATGGAATCAATAATTAGTGTTGATACAATACTATCAATTAAACTGAAGATGTTATTTTATTTCATTAGATTTTTCCCTACTGTGCTTTTTCTGGTCCAGGATGCAATCAGGATCCTACATTGCATTCAGCTGTCACTCAATATCCTCCACCTTGTAACAATTCCTTAGACTTTGTTTTTTGTGAACTTAACACATTTGAAGAGCATTTGTTAGCTGTTTTATAGAATACCTCTTAATATTAGTTTGTCTGCTGTTTTCTCACGATTATGTTGAAGTTATTCTTTTTTGATCAAAATACCACAAAAATGATGTTGTGCCTTTCTCAAAGTATTATATTAGAAAATAATAAATAAATGCCTCATTACTAATGATAATTTGATCACTTAATCAATAGGGAATCTTCTAGATTTGTTCACTATCAAGTTACTAGATCCTCCAGAAGAAACACCAACTGACTGCCATGTAGTTTTAGCCCAATTAACCCATGTAAGAATTGACGCTCAGAACCAAAAGAAATTTAATTTGGGTTAAGCCTCTAAGCTTGTAGTAACTTGTTACAGCAGCAATAGAAAATTAATATATTACCCATATTCCCAGCTAAAATAAAAATATATAATTTGTCAGATATTTCTGGGAAAAAAAGTATTTGCATTAATAAATGTTTATGTCCTCCAGAAGTTAATTTGACTTAACACTCTGTAAAACAAGGAAGTTGAATTTCCTAGGCTATGGTAGGTTGGAAATAGAATATTTTAATCTGAAAATATCAGCATTACATTGGTTTTTAATTCTAGGTCTAGTGTATTCCAGGATCAACAGAGCCATATAATATCTCTTTAAGGTGATAAAAATCAGGAAAGACCTTCCCTTTAGGTTTGTTGTATGAGCGAAATGGAGAGTCTATCAAGCAACACCCAGAGCTCTAAGCAACCAAGAAATTTTAGAAGTTCATAAAAGGTTATCTAACTAAGTACTTTGCCTTGGTGATTAACTGAATATAATCTTTTATGTACATTTGTGTTTTCTTCTTCAACCAAATATGTATGTTTGCATGCATGTGTGTTTCTATGCATGCATATATTCTTTTTTATAGTATATTAAATATAGAATCAATGTTTTCAATTAATAGGAACTACAAGTACTCTATAAGTACTTTCTGTTGGTGATGAGGAAACCAATGCTGCTATTGTTAAGAAATATATTCACATTATCCTTAATCATTCATACTCTTTTGCACTTTTTCTTGGTTGGTGCTTGAAAAAGCCATATTCTGCTCTTGGAGTTGCAGGAGCATTGTTTTCACTTTGACTGGATGCCTTTCCTCCTAATATCGCCTTTGTTCCTCTGTTTGATTGGGGAATAAAATCAAAGTTTTTTTTTATTGACTGCTTCTGATAAATAATCATTACTCTTTTAAATAAAAAAAAACCTTAAATTATTTTGTCATAGTTGTTTGGATTTTGAAAATACTCCCAAGTAGTTATCTCATTTTGGTAAAATAAATTTGATTTCAGTATTACTGTTTAAATTTAGAAACTTCTAAATGGTGTCCGTGGCTATTGAACTAAATGTAGTTTCTTCACATTGACTTGATTTATTTCAGTTTATTTCATTAGAAAAATCCACAGTGCAAAACATAAGCTGAAGTGAGACCAGATAATAAAAGTGATGATTAAAAAGACTCATAAGTCCTACCACCTTTAGAAATATTATCAAATCAAGGTATACTTTTATTTTTCTTAAGGAGTATTTCTCTTCTTTTCTTTAAGAGATGGGGTCTGGCTCTATCACCCAAGCTGGAGTGCAGTGGTGCAATCATAGCTCCCTGCAGCCTCACACTCCTGGGCTAAAGTGATCGTCCCACCTCAGCCTCCCAAGTAGCTAGGAGTACAGGAGCATACCAGCACGCCTGGCTATTTACTTTTATTTTCATTTTTTTAGAGATAGGTTCTCACTATATCGCCCAGGCTGGTTTTAAACTCCTGGCCTCAAGCGATCCTCCTGTCTTGGCCTCCCAAAGTGATGGGATTACAGGTGTGAGCCACTACTCCCAACATAATTTTCTTATTAATGTTAAGTTTAAATAAAGATCCTTTCTCACTCTCAAATTTACTTTGTTCCTCAGGACGCCATGAAAGAAAAATTGTTTTCATTCTTTATATTATTTTATATAAAAAAACTTAAAATATCTATACTAATCTCTTACCACTCACTAAAAATTTAACAAAATTAGGAGTGCCTACTATGTAGAAGGCATTATGCTGTAGCAATAGGCATAATCCATATATAAAATAAACAATAGAATCACAAGAAGCTAGCTGGAAGTGTTATTAAGCTTTTGGCTAGATTTAGCTTGAGGCAACTCAGGCCAAGACTGGAAATAATAAACTACACTGAGGCAGCCCAGGATGTCAGGCTGAAGCCTGATGAATGAGATGGAAACAAGGCATCAGTCAGTGGGCTTTGCTTTCACTGCTGTAGTGTATGAGATGAACTTGGAAAAGTAGAACTTTCCCCTAGGCAGGGAAAGAGATGCATGGGTGCTTCTCCAGGATGGGCAGCTGCCAGTCTAGAAAACAAGCTAACCAGTGTCCCAGTGGCAGCCAAGAAAGCCAGGAAGCTTGCCAGGCAGGCAAGGATGATTAATATTCAGCCATTTATCCACCCACCAGGACTCATTCACACTTCAAACAACAAAAGTTGAATACAAAAAGCAATTATTTTTCCCCATATAGGCTTTTGCGTTGCCTTGATTGCTAACTAGCTTGCTTAGTAGTCACTGTGATTAAATTATCCATGTTGTCTTCATTTTCTTTATCCTAATACCCTGGAAATACACAGTAAAATTGTTGGTGATTTGTTTCCAGCTAAATATTCTGTATTATATACAGAAATTTAGAGCCCTGTAATACCTTCATATGCTTCTTGTTCTAAATTACCTTAGAAAATTAGCAGGATTGTATTTCCCTTACTAATGATAAAACTGGGACCCTAAAAGGACAAGAACATATTCAGAAGGTCAAACAAAGGTGAATGCAAACCTTTATGTGTTATGCCACCCTTCCCTTGTCCTATTTGCTCAATTTTGCTCTATTGTTATTGGAGCCCCTGCTGTTAGGTAAAAATAAATCATAATTTGTATTAATAAGTTACCTTTTGGGTAGCAGGATTCCTAGGTGAGACTGGCATAGATTAAGCCTTCCAGGAGAGTCTAATTAGAGTGTTATTATTCTCTAGCTATTACTTGCCAATTATTTAACATAGTTTTTGATCACCAGCTTATTTCAACATCTAAGAATATTAATGTACAGTTGAGACATCTTTTTGCGATTAGCTCTTATACCTTCTGGAAACAAGTATGTTTCTAGGGGAGTAAAGGAAGGAAAAGCCAAGATTATCTTGCTTGAATGATTTAGAACATTAAATATCCATCTCTATTTCTGTGGCATGAATTCATTCACTGAAGTTCATAACAGGATAAGGTTCACGAGGCTTAGGAAATTATATCCAAACTCCATTTATGAGCATCTGTCTACTTTAAGCCTCTATAGTCTTTATAATATCTGGGAAAAGTTGGAAGACTAGATTAAACTGTTAGAATCTCCTGAATCCACTAGTTAATATAATGCACAAAATATAATAAAGATTCAGTAAAAAAAAAAAAAAAATACCAGCAACAGTTTAAATGGGAAAGAGGTACACTCTTACACTTCAAACTGTGGAATATAACAGCCAAATAAGAAATGGAAGGTTTCAAGTTTGCCTAGAGTTCAACTCCTCCTACTTCTCACATCTCTGCTTAAATACAATCAGGAAAGAAGGTAATAAAATGGCATCTTCATTAATATCTTCCAATTTTCTGAATTGGGGGGATAAATGGTCAGTAATAGGAAAGGTCAAGGGGCAAGATTTTGTGAGTGGTAGCTGTGACATATCACTCTGAGAACTTCAGTAGAGATAAAAAGCTTATAGAGGACTTCCTACTCTCCAGGACATTGTGATACCTGGGATGGGGATGTTGGAGGCTATAAAGGGGCCAATAAAAAACTCCTTTTATTTAATCGGTTCCCAAACCTGTCAAAAAATACAATAAAAGAATTAGCATATAGAGATTTTAAAAATTGCCCTTACTACTAATAAAACCATGTAAGAGAATATAGCATATACCTGCAAGAAAGTGGGCTTCCTGATAAAAAATCATAGAATTAAACTGACCTACCCATGCCTTAACAACCAGGGCTGGAAATCTGCAGACCTCCCCATGTGAAGGCATACCTTTGTAAAAGTTAATGGAATCAAGGAGCAGACCAGAGTCCATGCTTTATACAGGTGCCTTAGTTTTCAAGAGGAGAGTGGCTTAGCTATGCATACCTACTTTCATGGCCCAAAACACCGTGTAACATTCATTTCAGCTGGTCTTATTTTCAAAGGTAGTAGAAAAATAGGTCAGGTCTGTTGAGGGAAAATGTCTTACAGATAAGTCAGAGGACTAAAGATTAAGCACCCTTCCCAATTGGGCTTATTCTGCTGTCTGGATAAAGTGGGTTCTGCTATCAGAAATGTAATCAGGTCTTAGAAGAGAGATCAGAGACTTGAGCACAGCCTCATCCCAGCTCTCCTATGCCCCAGAAGTCCTAGGTCTCAAGAAAATTAATACATAGAACTGGTCATAGGGAGAGAAAGGCAAATTAGTACCAGATAAGAAGAGTAACAAGGGATCTCTCTCACATTGTATCAGAGCAAAGATGTCTGTACCTGAGAAATAAATGAAAAGTAATGGCATGGCAATTTTGCAAACATACTATAAACACATGTGAAGGAAAGAATGAACAAAGGAAGAAAAAACAAGAAATGAGATATGCAGAAAGGAGACAAATTTCTTAAAATGGAAGAGAATATCATGTAAGAAATCAAAGCAGCACTACAAAAGAACTACAGAAGAATACAAAAATTAACATAATATAAAAAGAACTCAAAACTGAGGTAATTAACAAAACAGAATGAGATGAAGAAACACGGTAAATTTAAAACAAGTATAGGAATAAATAATACCATTACAGATATGTTGCTTAACAAATAAGAACAAAATAGATATGGATGAGAAGAAAAAATGGACATAATTATAATGGGTAAACAAAAAGAAAAAAGGCAACAATAGAAACTAGTGATAAGGGGAAAAGTATATGGAACAGATGAAAATGATCCAATATAAAGATGTTTGTTGTCTCTGAGATAAAAATAATACATCATGCATAAAATATTTGGAAATATAGGAAAATGCATATGAAATATAGGAAGATATGACTGCAGATTGAAAAGATAAAATCTCATGGGAAACACTGATGAAAACAAGCAGCATGAAGATAAATCATGGTTAACCTATTGAACTATAAAGATAAAGGAAGAATTTTGACTTCCAAGTACAAAAAAAAAATCACCTACAAGAGAGAAAAATAAATCTAGACTGAGATCTAGCAATTATCAATTTTAGCATTGATTATTTAAAGCAATAAATACCCTTGCTATTATTTACAGCAATAATCAATGCTAAAAAAAAAAGTACATTCTACTTTTTTTTAGGAAAGACATTTTGACTCAAAATCATGCTTTGACAAATTTTCCTTTAGATTGGACATCAATAGGCTAATCCTGAAAACATAAGCTAACTCAGAGAATAAGTAAACATTAAAATAATTTTAAGTGATAGGAATCCAATGAATCAAGAAATAAATAATAATCACTAAATGTTAACATGGATAAGTCTGGTGGTGTGGTTTAGAATGATACATTGAGATACTAATTTCTCCTGCTTTATCCTGTTTGAGTTTGTTTAAAATGAACATAGATCATTTTTAAAAAATGAAGACTGTACTTCTCAAACACAAATAGTATGATTTTGTTTGTGGAAAATTTTTAAAAGTTTAAATTAATTTATAGTTACAGAAATAAATTAACATTTGATTAGGCCTAAGTGTAGGGAGTTGCCTGCAAAAATCATGGGGAAACTTTTCAGTGATGAAAATTTCTACACCTTGACAGGGGTTGTGCTTACCCTGGTGCATCAACTTATCAAAACTGATACAACATTCTACTGAAAATAGGAGCATTTTATTAAATGTAAATTATACTTTAATAAAATCAACTTTAAAAATGCCATGTGAGAAACTCATAAAAACTATCAATAGCATAGACATAGGTATTTGCATCTCAAATATCCACACAAACACATGCACACTCACACACATACTTTCTACCTGGTGGCTATGATTATTTTCCTGCTAAATGCAATCACACAAAATTTGATTGTAGAATTTAGGAAAAGAGGTGAAACAGAAGCTCCAAAAAAATTAAAATGACTGATCCTCTTTGAGATGCACAAAGATTCCCCATAAGAGACGGCTCTCCCTAAAGTCTTTTCCCATTTCCAGTAATCTGTATTCATGTCATCAATCCATAGTGATTTTATCAGTTTCAGAAAAAATATTCAAAATTATTTGCCAAATTTTCCCTTTAGATTCTAGATTCAATATGTTGTAATACAGAAAAACCTGATTGCTACAATTCAGTGTGTGTCTGCTTTGATTTCTTTTGTTCTGAAATATAATCTCATTGAAATGTAATTTAGTCATTATTAATTTAATCCTTGTATATGTAAGACATGTTCAAAATACTTTAATTCTAAAATCAAGCTTTTAATACTCTGAATTTTTATGATCCATATGACTTTTGCTGTCATAATTATTTATGTTTTACTGCATACATCTATGTATATACTGTATATATATATAGGTAGATAGGTAAGGAGATGATAAATTGATAGATACATAGAGATTATTTGCTTTCCCTAGACATCTCCAAAAATCCACATATCCTTTCCATGTCTTGCAAACCATTCTCAGAGTAGGATTAATGAGAAACTAATGAAGTTCAGCTTTATGTACCCTAACTTGCAGGAGCTGTTATGAGTATTGTGAGTTGCCATAGGGTTACTGGAGCTTACTGCTTTGAGAGTTTTCAGGTAATAGCAAAGAGAGATGGAGCCCTAGTGGAGCTCAGTGTACTTCCTGAATTGAGGCAACGGAGCTGAGAATGTGTGGACACCAAGGGGCTAGAGCTCTCAGGGCAGAGTACCAGAGAAGAAAAAGCTACACAGACAGGAAAGGGAAGCAACATCTTAAAAGCCCCAAATTGAAAAAGAAATGACAAGAAAAACCTGTCAATCTAGAATGTCTTGCCAAATTACTACCATTGGTTATTTTACCATCAGTGCCAATGAAGCCTCACAAATTCTAGGTAGTATTGTTCTTCACTTTGCCCATTTGATGGGCAAAAAATATTATTTCATCTTAATTGCATTCAACTGATTTAGGGAGATGTAGAACATTCTGCCTAAGTATATTGGCCATTTATATTTTTTTCTTCTGGGACTGTCAAAAAAGAATTTTAGAACAGACAATTTGTAAACACAGGCAGGCATAATGGAAATCTGTCTTTATGTTGTGAGACCCCCTAGCCACAGCGTTGAGTTTGAGAAGCTGAATTCCTTTGAGGGGATCCTATAAATAACAAGGCAAGGCATCAAAAACATCGAGGTGCTGGGCATATTTTACATATATATCCCTATATATATTTAAAATTTTGACAACAGAAATTTTGAAAACATAATGTATGTATATATAATGTTGGGCAAAAAGAACAGAGTAGACCTCTTTCTGTTATCAAAATTCCTATGAGAATTTTAGCTCAAAATAAAGTATATTTGAGCCACAATAAGTGAGGCAAAAAGCCATAGATGTCACGGTAAAAGACAAAGCCTTGCACTCAAGTTTCTAGCACTGTGCTTGACATATACTAAATGTTGAATAAATATGTGATGAATGAATGACTGAATGAATAAGCAACTGAATAGTTTAAAACAAATGTGTCTAAATGGTCTTCCCCAGTAATATTTTTTCTGCTAAAATCCTTATCGTGTAATTTCTTACCTATCTGCTGAAATGTAAACTCCCAACAAGATGCTGCTAGATGCTTCAGATTCTAGCAGAGAATCTAGATCACATTGAACATCAAATACATATTTATTAAATGAGCAAATGAATGAAGGGAATAATGAAGAAATGAAAGAATAAAATATGATAAAATATTTTATGTACTAGAGTTCACAACAAGTTATCTCTTCCACATTTCTTATATAGAGACACGTTTATCACTTCAACAGCACTTTATGGCTAAGTACAATGGCTCATGTCAGTAATCCCAGCACTTTGAGAGGCCAAGGCAGGAGAATTGCTTGAGGCCAGGAGTTCAAGACCAGCATGGGCAACATAGTAAGACCCTGTCTCTACAAAAAAAAAAAAAAAAAAAAAAAAAAAAAAAAAAAATTAACTGGGCATGGTGGCACACATCTGTCATCCTAGCTACTCAGGAGCCTGAAACAGGAAGATTGCTGCAGTGAGCCATGATTGGGACCACTTCACTCCAGCCTGGGCAACAGAGACCTTGTCTCAAAAATGCCAAAGAAAGGACAACAGAAAAAAAAACAAAACAAAAAACACACAGCATTTTATTCCCTAACTGAAGATTAGCTCTGAGACTTAGATATTGCCTGAATTTGTGCATTGTAGAACAAATATAATAGAGCTCTGGAATTATGTTCTTTATAATTTAGAGAAGAATGCAATTTTCTCTCTTTTTTCTGTTTCTAAACTGTTCCTGAATATCATTTCTTAAACTACACATCAAATTATGACTTCATGTTGCAAGTAAAATCAGTACTTTCTGATTAAAAGGCAGAATTTGGTCTGGAGGAATCAGAATTTATATAACTTATCAAAAAATGGCAATATATTAATTTAAATTTGCTTTTTTTCTAGTTTAGCAGTTGTTAGTTTTGCCCCAGCATTAAAACATAAGAATGATTCCAAAAGTCTTGTTTTTCCTGCCACAGTCTTATGTGGTCTGGTCTTCCATCACTAATTGACACTGAACACCTAATATGGCAATTTAGTACATGCCTCAAGAAGTTGTGAATTTTATTGTAATTTTAGATTGAGTTTTACAATAAAATATAAATTTTTTTAACAGGAGACAAGTCATTCAAAAATAGTTTTATTTATTCCCATGTGATCTACCTTACAAATCTTGTCTGGAGTTTTGCTGCTGAGTCCTAAGTGACAGAAAATAGTAATTGCAAAAAAAAAAAAAAAAAAAGAAGATAAACAAAACAGAGATATTTTAAAAGAAGATTTGTAACTGCATATCAGAATTAAACTTGTCACTACTTTGGATTGGATTGTTTATTATCTTTTAAAATCAAATTAATTTTGTTTTCTTAAATCCTCTAAAAATGTTCACTGAGTTTTCTGGTCTTTTCTAAATTGAAGCTATGGAACATTCTTTAATGTAAAATATAAGATTTAAATATTTTGACTTGTACTTGTTTTAACAGCATTTCCTCCATGTTTAGAGAGCTCTTTTTAGAGTCCAGTTTTTTCCTGTTTTATAACGTTAAGTGAACACAGAATTTTACAACTGTAGTTTTGATAAAGACAGTTTCACTTTCCTCTGCTTAAAAAAATCACAGACATGTATTCATCTCATCAGGAGAAAAACATCAATAATGCTATTTTTTTTAACTTGAGCTCTCTGGTATTAGTAGGTGTTGCATTTAAGAAAAATAATGCGTTTTCAAATAACACATAAGTTTCACTGCTATTATTTTTCTATTTCTTTAAACATTTTAAAACTTGTTTCAAATACCAATATTTAAATGTCATTTTATAAAATTAAGCAATAGCCTTAATTATCACTTAACTTTACTGGCCAATTATTGAAATGCCTTGCTTTTTAAGAATAATTCAACATAAGATTTTCTATGTTCCCAATCTGAAAACCCCTGAAATTTCTGGTCATACATGTAGCAGACCTTTCAAACAGAGTAAAAGAATATATCTTGCTCTTCAATCTTGATGACATTTTATTATTGTCTGTGGCTTCTGGAGTGGAGACATAATAGAGGAAAATGGGAACTATCTGTCAAAAGGTATGAAGAATTGCTAGAAGTCATTTTGTTTGTTAAAGGCCAATACAAAGTTGTAGGGCTTGGTAAATAAAATAGGCCCAGATATTGTATCAAATCACACATTACTTTATGCTTGTAAAAAAATAAATCAATATTTGTGAGAAAGTCTTATATTACTACCATCTTAAATGAATACTTATGTATAAGGGATATAAACAAGAGGCTTCACTTTTTCTCTACATTGAAGTTGGTCTTTTCTCCAATTTTGAGAGATATTTATGTTTAAAATGTGAATGTCTTTTTTTTTCTTCTTTTATTTATGTTGTAGGAGAAAACTTAGTAAATATCTTTAGATGATTCTTCAGAGTAATTCATTAGCATTTTCCTAGGTAGAAAAAGAGGGGCTGGAGGATTAGGACCAAACTCAGTCATCTCCACAATTGCTGTTACCACGTTCAAATCACTTGTGCACAGATCCACATTATCAGGCTTAGAAGGGTCAGAGGAATGGACAGAGTTTTGGTCATTTTGTTACCTTGTATAGATGTATCCACAGGCTCCAGAGCTCTGTGCTATTTGTGTGAGCTTCTCATTTTGTATGGAGGCATATTTCCTGGCCAGAGGTGACTAAATCACATATTGTCATCTTCAGTGAACTTGTGTTAGTCATTCACCACCCCTTTTCTCACTTGCCATTTATGTTACCAGAACAAGCATGCTTTGTAAGCCTCATCCAAATTCTGTTTTATTTTTGGATGTGCTTTAAAAAGAAAAATGCTTGGCTAAAGAGTCATTGGAGTGAGGATATATTTTAATCTTTATATGTGGAGAACTTCTCCATTGAACTCTCTAAGCTGTTCAGATGAGATCACTAACGTTTCCATATTAAGAAATTTTCCAAATAATCTAGCATTCTGAATCCAAAAATGGCTTAAAATAAATGTTTGCAAGGAAAATAGAGGTGAGATATATAAATGCTGGCTTAAATAAGACAAGGGAAAGCTTTTGTAAAAGAACACCTTGTCCTGAAAATTATAAGGTCTGACAATTCATTGTTTCATTTTATCTTTCATTGCTGCTAAGTGTTTCTGGTGTTTTCCGTCTCCAGCATTTTCCACTGACACTGGTGGTCATATGATAAAAAGATTGTTTTTGAGGACTTCAATATTGCCTGATGGATTATAGCCAACTCTAATGAATATGAGTTCCCAGAGTGATGAGCACAGTGTCGTGTGAAGATTATGGTGTCAGATGGCCTGGTTTTGATCTTGGTCTCTAGCACAAGCTAACTGCATGACCCAGGGCAACTTGCTTAATTGCTAACGTCATAACTAATAAAGTTACCTAAAGCATAGGGTGTTTTGAGGTTGAATGAGATAATGCCATGCTTTTCAACAGTAAACATTCAAATAACATTATTATTGATAAATCTTCAATTTTGCTCTTGCCTGCCTCTAATCTAGGCTTCCCACAGCAGCAGGTGTAACGTTTTAAAAATTAAAACAAATCATGTCACCAGTGTGCTCAAACTCTCCAGGAACCTTCTGTGCCTGTAGAATAAATGCCAAACCCCTTACAAAGACCTTAAAAGGCATGGTGATCTGACTCCAGACTGTCTCTCTGGCCCCATCTCCTAGGGCGTAGTGCTCCAGCCACACGGACCTTCTTGCCCCTCTAGCACACCAAGATCTTCTTGCCATAGGACTTTGCACTATCTCTTCCCTTTCCTTGGAGCACAGGATCTTTGCTGATTCACCCTTTACTTTCCTATAGGCCTCATCTCTAATATAAGAGAAATCTTTCTTAACCACCATATTGCCCGGATTCTTTTCTTCATAGAATTCAACACTATCCAAAATTATCTTCTTTCTCTCTTTTTCTATTTGTCTTTTGCCTCTCTCAGTAGGCTAAAAGGCTGACAGGTACATGGACATTTTCTATGATCCCTAGTGCCACAATATCACTTGATAAATATTTGCTTAATGACTGAATATTACAATTTGACTCAAAGGTGATGTAACTTATGATAATTTGGTCACAACTCACATCAGATTAAAAATTTTTATGGCAAGAGGAGGTGGTTTCCAGGCTAGAACACAATTGTTTTATTTTATTTAAATTTTATAATTTCTCTTTGTCAGGGTTATGCACACCAGGAGAGGGTATTAAAAAAACAAACAAATTATCATATAAGGCTCAAAAACCAAGTTCCAAGTCAAGAAACTATGTGAATATATGTAAAGGTTGTAAGAAGACAGAATTCTGATGAAGAAAAGCCTAGATATAGTGAAAAAGACCTGGTCTCTGAACTTTCCACCTTTTTATAATTACTATTTTCATCCAGAGAGACTCTCTCTCTCTTTTTCTCTCTCTCCTCAATTGTTTTTGCAGATCTGTTGATTAATCCTTTAGGTTCTTATAGTCTTGAACATCTTATCATTTACAACATTGGCATTAAACGGATGACACATTTAAAACTGGAAAACTTGAAGAATGATTAATAGGACACTGTTTTCTAAAGAAATATGAACAGGATGATTAGTTTCTATGCTGTAGCCCTTAACTGTGCTGAACTTTTACAACTCTTAAACCTTATGATGCAAAGACAGAGGGCTGTTGCCACAACCCAGAGAGTTAAATGCATTGGGGAAGGTAGCCAGACCACACCTGTGGCTTTAGGGGGATTCAGCCCACTGGTTACAACCTAGCAAGCAGGGTGCCAGGGAATAAACATCCTATCTCACTTCTTCCACTCTCCAAGCATCTATCCCTGGTGCCTCTAATTGGCCCAAAGGGGAAGTCCATATCAGTAATACACCCCACACTTTTCCCAACAGGGAAGCACCCAGTTTGGGAACAGTGGATTTGAAGGTACAGAAAGAAGACCTTCAGGACATCTTCTCCTCTATAGTTTGTGACTCATCTTTAACATATTTGAAATGATACCAAACTCTGACAAAACCTTTGCTATTTAAGCCCCTCTTGAATTACCCTTGTGCTCTGAATACTACACATTCAAGGTCGTGTGCTTCTCTAAACTTTCCATTCCTCACTCTCCAGGTTGTCATTGCCACTTCCTGATAGGTTTTGTTCTTTCTGCCAAAATATATGCTAACCTCAAACCAGAAAGAATAAATAAGCAAAAAGTGCAGTAAATCCTAAATGGCTTCTACTTTTTCTCTTTTTTCCCCAAACTCTTAAGGGAAGAAATCTATTGCCTCTCCTCCTATTTTCTTATTCTTATTCTCTTCTACACTTTGACAATTTAACATTTGCTCATTAAACTCTCACCCACTAAAATTAGTTTAAGTTCTGTTTAACTCTAAACAAATCATATGATCTTTCCTAATTTTTTCACCCTTTTTTCTCTGTCTCCAAAAGCACTGTAATCCTCTGCATTTTCTTCCACTCTTTCCCTCAGTATTTCCAACTATATTATATGCTTCAATTTTATTCTAACTCTGCATAGTTTTAGCTCTTCTCTCTTTCAAGTGTCCAGTGTATGGCATTACATGATTTCAAATACTTTTATTTACTATTTTACAAGTGAAAACTCTCTCCAATTCTATTAAATAGTTATGTCCTCCTTTATATATCTCAGTTTCACTATTCTTATAGTATCGTGGGAGAAAAACATATTTCACTATTCTCACTTATAAACCAATTGGTGGCCAAGTCCTATTGCATTTTTTATACTCTCTTTACTATCAATTTCCATCATCACCTTATCACCATCTTACCAAATTTAAGCTTTGACATTTTTGCTTGGATTGCTAATGCCAACTAATGTGTTTCCTTGACTCCAAAATCTTCCTGAACCAAACTATCTTTCTCAACACTGGTTAGAAACATCTTATAGCATCATAACCTTAGAAAGAAATTTCCCTAAAGAGAAATTTTCAATGGCACTTCCATTGCATTCTAAACCCTAATACACATAATGATTTCCCCAAGATCTTATAATTGTCCAGTCCATGTTTAATTTTTATGTATTTGACATAAACATTTACAAATAAAAAGTAATATTATAACAGCTAAAATGCAAATATTATTCAGAATTTTGTTAAGTCATTGAGAATGGAATGCAGTTCTCTAATGATTTCATTGTCAGGATTCATTTTCTGAATTTTTGCAAGGTATGTGTGGGAAGGAGGAAAGCACTTAAATCCACATAGATTTATGAAATTTTCAAGTTAAAATATTTTCACTATTGTCCGTAATTAATTTTATGCTCATTATCTTATCCCACATCTGTTTAAGGTAATGGCAAGATGTAACCTTCCAACTAAATTTAGCATTTTAACTGCAAAATTAGATCTTGCTCCTCTTCTATCATGAAAATGTTGACTGAAATAATAGGGAATAACTACAATTTTGATATAAGAACTACGTTCATAAGAGTCTAAAGAATCTAGGAATTCTCATGCAGAATTAATTGTGCGTCTAGAAAAGATTTTAAAATTATTTCAAAATGAGTATAACTACTTAAGAGTAATATTTAGTGGGAGGCTATAAAATAGCATTTGAAACTATGTTAAAAAAAGGGATCTTTGCAATGATAAATACGTGATTTTTATTATTAGAATGACATTTGAAATGCTTAACACTAATATGTGCTTATCATCACAAACAATATTTGAAGTTTCTAATGATGATTTAATGTTGCTACACTGATCTTATATCAAGAATTTGGCTAAAACCCATGTTCATTAGCATTTATAAATAATAAAATCCTTGAAGAATTAAACTTTTCACCTTCCATAATTGTATTTGAAATTGTTCTATGATTCAAAAATACATAGTAATTCAATACAGGATCATAATCTTAAATTATATTTTATAGAAATTATGAGATTAGAATAATGCCAATATACCTTGAACTAGTTGCCTTGTCATCTAGACATAACGAAGATTACCTTCAAAAATACAGTCCATTTAACATGAAGACATATAAAAGGAAGTACTTGTTAATCTAAAACAGTCATTTAGACATGAATGTCTGAAAGTACTTGGTGAAGACTGAAATATTTGGTGGAATAATTCCTAGAAAATTCATTTTTACCCTCTTGTTATTTGATTAACTGATCATACAGCCCATCATTAGAGCATGCTTAATTAGCTAATTAGACTAGTTAGAATGAAAGTCTAACCATGATCTTGATTTAAAACATTCAAAAAGCTTTTCATCTTCCAAAAAATACTAAATTAAAAATTTAGCCATGTTCAGCCCATGTAAAATAACAATGTCAACTGGCCAAAACCTATTGCCAAGTACGCATTTTTGCAGTTTCTGGAGTGTTAATAGTAGGTTTTAGTGTGCTATTAACTGTTACACTCAACAATAGGCATTCATCAGTATTCTGCTAACCTTTGAAGACTGAATTGCATAGGACTTACTGTGAACTTCAAGGTTAACCTGACCATCTAGTAACAGTGGTCAAATTTTAACAAGATGGTCTCTCCCATATAGCAATATGATAAATCAATTATAATAGAGCTTTAATTTTTTAGAACATTTTTTATTACTCATTTTCTTTCAGTCAATGAATGGTTAAGACAGGGAGATCAGACATTTTTCTAATTAAAAATAGAAAATAATTTAGAAGGAAGTTGATTGATTTACCAAAATGCATACAGATATATAGAAACAAAATACCAGAACCTAGGCTTCCTGATATCTTACGTTTTTTCCAGTGAGCAACAATGTGTGAAAAGGAGTAGGCACATTGTATCAAAGGTTATTTTATCACCATCATTATCTCCAGAGATTGTTCCACTGATAGGCTCGATACAACCCACATTTCTATTTCTGCTACCAAGAGATTTTCTAACCAATATTAGCTAGTTCATCTTCCCATTTTCTCTCTCTTTAAAATATCTAAACAGCATGGCCCTCACCTTTCTCTCTACCACTCCATCGATAGCATTTCAGCTGCATCACTTCACTGCAATAGACTCCATGCAAATTCTTTTGACTTTCTGGAATAGTGATTGTAGTAACTCCTATATGTCCATCTAGAACCTCGGAAATCCAGTTGCATTGGCTCACATAGGTAAAATGATTGCTGCTAATACTGCTTCAGAAATTGAGGGACAAAAAGCTCTAACTGCCTTCCTACTTTATATTATAATAAATATGTCTTCAAGAATACCAGTATGGCAAAGGTTAAAAACAGGTTGTTCATAAGCTCAATCTGAAGGATTCAGAATAATTTCATGGAATCTAATATTAGGAAGAATATTCAGAATCCACAGAAGTAGGAATGCTCTAGTCTGCCACTCCCTTTGTCTTTCTTTATAGTCCTGAGTCTTCACATTCTTTTTTCCTCTTTTTTCTAAGTGTTATCTACTTCACAGTTTTTCTGTAAACTCACTTCTCTACTTATATATCCAATTACACATGGCCAGCTGTGGCTTTCCTAAAATTATGATATTAGTTTTTGATCTTTAATGATTGTCTGACTTAGATATTTCCAGTTAAATGACTCTGTTTTTGTGTCTCAATTTTAATTTCTGGAAGAAAATCTGATTGGAACAGCTTGTGTTGAGTCAGTGCCTGGTTCCTGCACCCCCTTCAGCCATATCTAGAGTTGCATAACATTGTGATAAATAGTACTTCCTCTTTCAACTTGGAAAGAGGAGCCAATTGGCTCCTCTGAGGAAAAGGGTTTGGAATTGCCCATTAACTTCAGTATATTAGCTTTTGAAACTGGCAACTATAGTATATTAGCTTTTATAAGACTAAAATGCGGTTACTGAGGATCTACAGAAGCTGCAATTCTAATGAAATATTTTCAGCTTTGAATTTTCTGGAAAAAAAAGAATGCATTCATTAGCACTAAAAATAATCATACACATTGACCCAGTAATTCACTTCTAATAATTTGCATTAAGAAAAAAGGCAGGCCAGGAGCAATGGCTCACACCTGTAATCCCAGCACTTTGGGAGGCCAAGGCGGGCGGATCACGAGGTCAAGAGATCGAGACCATCCTGGCCAATATGGTGAAACCCCATCTCTACTAAAAATACAAAAATTAGCTGGGTGTGGTGGCATGCGCCTGTAGTCCCAGCTACTTGGGAGGCTGAGGCAGGAGTATCACTTGAACCCATGAGGCAGAGGTTGCACTGAGCCGAGATCGAGCCACTGCACTCCAGCCTGGCAACAGAGCAAGAGACTCCGACTCAAAAAAAAAAAAAAAGAAAAAGAAAAAGAAAGAAAAAAGGCAGAGTTGAGATGCAAGATTTTGCAACTAGATTATATTTACAATAATTAAAAGCTAGAAATAACTTAAAAGTGCAAGAACAGGAAAATTAAGAAATATTCTGACATATAGAATATGATGCAGATTCAAACAATAATGTAGATATGTATTTAGTGATAGATGAAATACCAAAAATATATTTATGATAAAAATGAAAGACAAATTTGTATATATACTGGGATATAAATGAATAAATAAGTTTAGTGCTCAGAACAATGCTAGACACATTTGATATTATCCCAGTTATGTTTATGAATATATGTGAATATACATCCCAACATGTGCATACATAGATACATATGAAAAGTTAGAAAAATTTTGTATACCTCCCAAATCACCAATCCCTTTGAAAAGCAAATTAATGAGACATTCCTTTAATTCAGACACTGTTCTGTTGCGTTTAGTATAGTAATCCTGTCAACCTTTCTTGCCCCAAACTCTATTTTAGCATAAGACAGCTTGGCAGTACTAGGAAGACTAGTTGTGATACCATGAATTCTGAGACATATAATTCCAGATGTTAATAAAGACACAGGAGGAGAAAGAAATCAGGTAACTGGAATATAAATATTATCTTCATGACTCTCATGTATTTTTAACAGAGTATCATTAATGGCAGTAGAAAGGGAAAAACCTAAATTTCCTTTCACATCTAGAAGTTTTCAAAATTTTTTTTGTTTTAAGATTTGTTGAAGTTTTTCTTTTCTGATCCATAATATATGCATGAACATTTTAGTATTAAAAACAATGTTTCTCCTCCCACCCAAGAAAAACTTTTGTGTAAAATTAAGTCTTAAGAAAGATGAATAGTGGCCAGGCAGACCACTTGAACCCAGGAGTTTGAGACCAGCCTGGGCAACATGTCAAAACCCCATCTTTAAAAAAAAAAAAAATACAAAAATTAGCTGAATATTATGGCCAGTATATGTAGTCTCAGCTACTCAGGAGGCTGAGGTGGGAGAATCACTGAGCCCAGAAGGTTGAGGCTGCAGTGAGCCATGATCATACCACTGTACTCTAGCCTGGGTGACAGAGCAAGACCTTCCTCCCCACCCCCCCAAAAAAGATGAATAGTGTTATATTGTTATATTTATCCTTCAGACTTAGTGCTTGGGACACTATCATGTGTCATCAATGGTAATAGCATATTCCTTTGAGGGCCACAGAATTTCATTATTTCAGATTCTATGAAAGCTGTTGAAAACAAAGTGTACTCCAAACTCCTGGTACAACAAAGAGAGTGTCTATTGACAGTTATAAGGGGTAAAGTCAATATCACAAAATTCTGTACTCCATCAAGTTTATCACATAAAATAAATAAAAGAAAATTATTTGAAATCATTCAAGGACAGAGAAAAGAATATGCTAGCTATCATTAATAAAATTTTGACTTGAAATTTTGTACCACATATAAATATAAGATGAAGCAAATGTATGAGCTTAAGAATGAGAAAGTATAACATAAACAACTATTAGTAAACACTAAAATCATCTATAATAAAAATACACATTGATTTTGAATTATAGTATAAAACAATTCAAATTCTTATATTTGTGTGTGTGTGTGTGTGTGTGTGTGTGTGTGTTTATTCAGTCCACACTTTGCATGGTGGTAGAAGACCATAAAAATGATCAATGATCACTTAGGCTGGAACCATGCAATGAAATGTTTATATTCAATGGGAAAATGAAATTGTTCTGTGACCTTATAATATTTTTGTCAAAACATTTAAAACACATACTATAAGTTATAAATACATAGGAAAATAAAACATAGTAAAACTAAGATTTACTTAATATACTGTAAGTTAAAATATTAGGAATCCTTAGAATTAAAGTATTTTATTTCTTTGTAAAAATTTATCACAGGTAGTTTGAACAGCTTTTGCTTTCGTGTCATGCAGGAACCATCTTTTGTATGCCTTAGTGAGTTGTCATAGTTCTACTTTTGGATCAGTGTATTAGTTTTCTATTACTGCAGTAACAAATTATCACAAGTGTAGTGGCTTAAATCAATACAAACTTATCTTACAGTTATGTATGTCAGAAGTCCGACATAGGTCTCACTAGGCATAAATAAGAGTATCAGTGGGACTGTTTTCCTTTCTGGGGGCTCTGCAGGACAATCCATTTCCTTGCATTTTACAGCTTCCAGAAGCCATTTCTTGGCTCACAGTCCCCTTCCTCCATCTTCTAAGACAACAACGTTGCATTTCTCTGACCATTCTTCTATAATCACATCTCCCTCTCGCTCCTATCTTCTGCCTTTCTCTTCCATTTTCTAATGACCGTTATAATTACATTGGGCCCACCTGAATAATCCAGGTTAATTTGTTTAAAGTCAGCAGATTAGGAAAATTAATTCCATCTGCAACCTTAATTCCGGTTTTCCATGCAACCGAATATATTCGGATTCAGGTATTAGGACATGAACATCTTTTGGAAGACCATTATTCTGCCAACCATAATCAACTTCCAACACTTTATCCCTTGTGTTTTGATGATGTGAAACATCACCAAAGTTTCTTTAATGTGAAATATCTTGCCAGGGTCACTTCATCTGTAACATCTTCCTTTTCATCACAACCACTTTCCTCATTTATGTCAAAAAGTTCACCTCCATTAAGTTCCTCTGGCTGCATAGCTCTAGTCTCTCCTTTACGGCCACTTTATAATCCTGTGTCTTTTGTTGCATAAGCTCTTGATGAGATTGCCTTCCACAAAAGATATTTCTCATCAATCATAAATATTTGATGATCATCATAACTATCTGCATTAAGTAATCCTTGGAATCAGGGGACAAATTTTACAGCAGTCATCTTAGTTATGCTAGGAGTTTTGTCAGACAGTTTAACACTAATCATTAATTTATGCCCACCTTTGAAACAATGAAACAAGCATTAACTGGCAGTAAATAATTACTATTTTCTGTCATGCAGTATATAACTTCCTCACTTTGGCCTGAACACTAGACAAACTAGTTTGTATAGTGTAATCTTTGCTTGTGATCTTTGTTTAAATATGGTTTGCAAACCAAATAGAAATAAATGCCCCATTTAGCCATAGCAATGTCCCTTTTTTGTGCAATTTCAACTAAAAAATGTTGAAGCAACTTTACCCTGTTTTTTATATCCATTGGACATTTTCAGTAGGATTCATAGATAGCTTTATGCAAGCCTAGGTCTTGCTCTATTATTAGCTTTCCTATTGCCATTTTAAAATCGTCCAATCACATCCAGCTTCACTTATAGCATTATCATTTTGGGTTTTTTGGTTTTGTTTTGTTTTGTTTTGTTTTTTTGCTTACTTTCATTTTTGTTACCCAATTCCCCCTTCAAATTACTCAATTTGGTAAAATGTAGAATGCATGTATCATATGGGTAAGGAGGCAACACAAATGCATGCTTTGCTGTGTGAGAATAAACTAAATAACAGATGAGCAATGTCTTAGTTCATTTTATGCTGCCATTACAGAATACCACAGATTATGCAACTTATAATGAATAGAAATTTAATGGCTGATAGTTCTGGAGGCTGGGAAGTTCAAGACTGACGAACCAGTCTTGGCAGGGGCCTTCTTACTGCATCATTCCATGGCAGAAGGCAGATGGACAAAGACTGAGTATGTGAGAGAGAATGAACAAGAGGGGGCCAAGCTAGTCCTTGTATAAGGAACACACTCTCATGATTACAAACACATTCCTGTGATAACAGCATTAATCCATTCATTAGGGTGATGTCCCCATAACACAAACACCTCCCATTAGACCCCATGTCCTAACACTGTCACATTGTGGATCAAGTTTTCAACACATAAACCTTGGAAACACATTAAAACCATAGCAAACAGTAATTAATAGACTTTGGAGTGATATGATTGGTCACTGATCATGATATGCATCTATTATTTGGATAGTTATCTATAGATTGAAAGGCTAGTAGTGAATTTGCACTTGATGCAATTACTCACAGTTAGCATAACATAGTAACTGAAATTTAAGCCATATGGTTTGATAATTGGTGTTATTTAACTAACTGTGGGAAATGAAATTTATGCATGTCATAACTGTCAAAGTGAGGACTTCCTATGTATGTGTGTATAACATAGAGATATATTCCTAAAATTGCAGATTATTTCAACAAACTCATAAGGTATTATTTCTCTTGACTCTGTCAATTTAAGAAATGTAGTTAAAATGCTTTTGAAAAGCATAGAGGCAAACACTAATGGAATTTAAAAAAATGCACTTTCTAATACATTTAATTTAAAAAAATACAGGACACACCACTCCCTCAGCACTTCTTGTTATGATACATCCTGACTTGGAAACTGATGATAAAAAAACAACAACAAAAGTAATAGGAGTCAGAAACTATATGGCTATAATATGGAAGGGGATTAAAAAATCTTATAGAATAATATATTAGTCCACTTCATGCTACTATATGTGAAAAAATCTTTATGAACGTTATTTTCTGGGAGAATACAAGCAGCCAAGAAACTTAATAAAAAGAATAATCAATGGAGATCTATAAGCAATGTCAAAAAAATACTTTCTGAACAAAACTTTAGTTTTTTTGTATTTACTCATATTTTATATCAAACATTCAGAAAATAATTAATTCCTGATATATTTGAACTTCTCCAGAATACAAAATGTTGGAAACAATTCTCAATAAGTCTTACACAATCTTGCGTGCCTCACCTTTTGAGGCATACAGAATTGTGAAAATTCTTAACATCTAACTTGCTTGATACTGTATTTTCAAAGATAGCAAGCAGCTTCAGAAAATAGAAACACTGTTTACCATTGGAGCAGGTTTATTCACTGTCCAATATAATGAAAAATACCTCTCTGTAGAAGAGATGTGCATATACTGTTTGCTAGCAGCCTCCTATACAAGATCAGGTTTTCTAAACTTAGGGTTTTTCTCTTCTCACACACACCACTGGGGTGTATATTGCATGGCAGTTCTCTTGTTGCCCTGTGGAAAGTGGGGCTCAAGGAAGCAGCACAACATTGTTACTCTGGCTAGTCCTATTGTTGCTGGTAACACATTGTCTTTTGTTTCCAACTCAAAGGTCTCCTGTCTTGTCCCAGTATCTCTCAAACCATGTTAAGCTAACTTGTTTAGCTTGCAGGGAAGGTAAAAATCTTGGAATCTTTGCAGTTCTTGAAGAAACAACATGGAAAACATCTCAATTCCTTGAATAAACCTAATACGTAAATCAGACAATGAAACTGTGAAAAGAAAATATCTACAAATTTATGTATAAAGGTGCATAAACCCCAAATAAAAATCAGCATACAGAACTCAGATCAATTTCATTCCTATTATTAAATAAAATGTTATATTTAAGTCATATGTATTCTGGAAATATAATGATACAACTAGAGTACAATTATATTTGGTGTATTCATACTAATCCAAAAATATTTACAAAATTTGGAATTATTTAAAATATTATGATAAAATATATAACACTTTAAAAATATGACTTAAGATAGATACCTGCACCCTAACATTAGAATATATGTTAAGTTAATTAGTAAATGAGTAAACAACTAAAGACAAAATTGTTGGAACATTTCCATTGAGGTCATGGACAAGATAAATATTATAATGCAAACTTCTATTATTCAAAATTATTAAGGCTTTTAAAGCAATAACCAAAGATGAGCTTTATGTATTGAAAAGAAGGAAATTTTTATATTATATTTAGATAATATTATTACATAATAAAGGAAGCAAAAAATATTCATTTAGATTTAAATCAAAATTTAAAATACCATTATAATAGATTTGGAACCAGAAATTAAATAAAGAGCTTTCTTACCTCCCTAAAGTGATTGAAAATGAAGGATGATCAGGATCCATATCAAGCCAGGTACTAAAACGTAAAATGTAGCTAAAACAAAATAATCAATGACCCTACAATGTATACACTACTTTGTATTTGAGTTGTCAATCACTCCTCAACTTTTTTCATTTTTTATTTTAATATAAACTGGTGCTTTTAGATACTATTTTGTTTTCTTATTTTTAGTTAATAATATTGATAGTTTAGGATATTTTCAAAAATCACAAAATATATAAAAAATGGAAATAGAAATAGAAATCAACCATAATTCCATTATATGAAGAAACATTTATTTTTTAGTTATTAAAAGAGAATATATGTTGATGATGAAAAATGAGAACCTGCAGATAAGCCAAAAGACAAAACGAATTTAAAATCTCTCATAAACACACCTCTTAGAGACAACTACAGTTAACACATTCATAAATTTATGTCCACACATTTTTCTATGCATATAGATTAAATGCCAATATTCTGCTTAACAACCTGAATTTTTCACTTAACTATACTTCATAAACATCTCCCAATACCAATGGATATTTATCTACAACATCATTTTTAACTGGATGAAAATTGTTCCTTTTATTAATGCACTATAATTTATTTAATGACTTTATATATATTAAGGATATCTCCTCCTCAATATTTTAATTTAATAAATAAGGCTATGGTGGATCTTTTTCAGACCCAGCTGGATGTATTATATGGGTTTTATAATCTAGGAACCAGGTTTCCAAACTTGTTTCAAGAACTAATAGTCATTGTGTTTCTGATCATTGCTTGTGTTACATTAGCCAATGTATCCTGTCAGGGACTTAATTAAATGCAGTTGCACAGCCATTGTTCCTTCAGAAAGTTCAACAATTCATCCTACAACAAAAGGAGCAGGAGAGACTAACTCTAGTCTAAGTAAAGACTGCATTCTCTAAAGGAACTCCTGATCAGCAAAATCTCAACAATGATGAAATTTCAGATGTCATGGATTAATGTGCTGTGGCCTAATGTTATCTGCCTGTGGACAAAAGAAGAGATTAAGAAAGATAAAAGTGGCCTCTGACATTTGGGAACTAGTCTGGTACTATAAACTAAGTCTTGGTTCTCTCCTGTTGAACATAAACAATGTTATAGAATATCAACATCAGAAAAGGCCACAGGTGACACATGACCATGATGGATCAAGAGCAAAACAAGGCCATTTGATGATCACGCTTGCACAGAGACAAAAACCTGATCATTGTGCAACCCACAAAAATGACCTCAATATTCCCCTCTCCTGCCTAATATGAGTGTGACTGTTTTCTCAACCAGTTACAGCTTTGACCTCATTCTAGCCTGCCCTTCTAGATAAGATTAGCATAACTCATCATAGAATTACTCCCACTTCCTGACAGCATCCAAGCCACAGCAAAGACCTACTTTCAGAAATCTTTTCTAAAACCATCCAAATCAGGATAATAAACCTAAATCCTATAATAAGTCCTTTCAATAGTTTCGCACTGAGATGCCCCATAGTTCCTGATGATGTGAGTTCTTCCTCATTACAATGAGTCACAGTCCCAAATTATTCAACCGCAGCCTGGTGGTCTTTGGTCGCAAAGCACCAACAGCTTTAAAACACTTAGAAGAATTTCTGGCACATGTTGAGTGCTTAATAAAAGTGAGCCATTATCATTATAGGAGGCACCGTGTCGTGCAGTAAAATCTACAGGTTTAGAAATTAGACCTCTACTCTACGCTTTAGCCAAATTCCAGATTTCTCTAGATATCAGTTTCTTTATCTAAAATGTGAGCTTTAGTCCAATCATTTACAACATTGTCCTGCAGACAAATTAGTATTATTAGATGAGGTAATTAGATGAAGTACTCATTTAATGTTGATTTCCCTCTCATATTTTCCCATTTATTCTACAAAATTTACACCCCATTTCTAAAACAGTAAGTGAATTCTCAACAGCACAGGCCATTTGTTTGCAGTTCTTGTATAGATGCCCACGGTAAGTAGAAACAAAGACCTCAGTAAATCCTTCACATAAGTGGGGATTATTTACACAGAACCAGTTCTCTTTCTTTTTTCCATACAAAGGCTGCTGTAAAGGCTTAAGCTGAGAGTAAGGGAATGAGAGAGCAAAATATAACTTTGCCTCTTGACCAAGGTACAAGTGACCAGGGCCAGGTAGAAATATTCTTAGAGACTGGGCAGCAACTTATACACAGCCCCTTTCACACTTATTTAATACGTGATTTAATGTCTTAAAAATTCAATTTACATACAATGTCAATAGCCACTTACTGCGTAACTAAAGCTACACTGGCATATAAAAACTCTTTAGTTGTCAATACACTAACCAAGAAAATTTGGCATGAAAAGAAAATAATATAACCTTTTTCCTTTTTTTCCAGAACAGGTCCAGTAAAGAAAAAGAAAAAGGAAAATAGAAAAAAGAGTTTGTATGGCACTTCAGTAAGAGGAGGGAAAAGGACAAGACTATAGGCCATACTCAAATCAAATACAAAAATAGAAATGTGCCTACTTAAACTGAAACTCGGTGAATATATACCATGAACAGCTCCTTTAGATTTATCTAAGCATATTATATTATTTATTGGTTTTTAAGAGACTGACAGTTGTCTCTGTGAAACAGACGACACACCTTAGATGAAAGGGCTAATGCAAAGAGGAATTAGAGTGGAAAAAATTTTGTCCAATAGAAGTCAACTTTCAGTATGTTAGAATACATCTTCGAATAAATCTAATCAGTTTATTTTTCCTTCTGTTATTTAATAGAAATTTAACCTCATAATTTAAATGACTGCAACTTCTGTTGAAAGTAATAGACTGAAATATTAGCTTGGGAAACTTACTAACTGGTAATAATTAGAAAATTGTTCAGGAAATATGAAATAAATATAAATATAATTTAGGAGCAATTCCATTGGAATGTATTGGTATGTTTTATCCATCTGTCATTTTGTGATTTCTTGAATCTTTTTTAGTACTTACATTCTAATACTCCTAAATGTATATTCAATATATAGGCATATAAAGGTATATTCCAACATTAACCATCTTATACAATATACTCACATTAATTTAAAACATCATTTATTTAAAAAATTTAAAATGTAGATTTTGCATTCTTTCTTATACTTGTTCATAATTATTACATTATTGTCTTTTAAAAAGTTGGTAATTGAGTTTACAGTCACTCACTGTTCTATTTACCAGTTTTCCTAAACATATGCTCATGCCTTGAGCATGACAGATGCTCATTTCCTGTTTGTTTTACCACATATGACTAGATTTTAATTATAAATACTGGTAAAACTCTGGTGTTAGTTATTAGTGATTAGTTTGTGATTCTGGATGTAGTTGGTTTGGGGGAGCTGTAAATAGCAAGTCTTTAAAAAGGTTTCTGAGGTGTATTTAAAAGAGAAAAAATGATTAATCATCTGATGTATATTAATAAATCACAGTTACCAGACCAGGTGTGCAAGAAGCCAAGCATTCTATATTTTGTGCAATTATATTAATTGACTTTGTGACTCCATTCCATCAATCTAGCAGGAAATAAAAATAACCAGCATTTCCTGGTGTTTTTTCTTCCTTCTTCTAGGGTTGAGCAGGAAACTGCTCAGGAAGTCTAGGCGTGATCAAGACTCTCATAAAAATCTCCTCTGTTTGACTAAACTTTAGATAGAATTCTTCCTGGCCTCTCTTTTCTTAGAGAATTTACTTTAGAAAACTCTCTAATTGTAACTTCTTTCTCTGCCCCTTTGAGATGTACATTTTTTAAAGCCTCTTGCCAATTTTACAATCCAGGAATGTCTTTCTCAAGGTCCTGGGAGCTATCCTTTTTAAATTAACAAAGATAGCACCTCTGTCTTCCAATCTCTGTGAGATGATGTCGTGAGATGCTTAGGGTGCCACTTTGGCAGCTGGAAACCTCTGTGGCCAGTGGCACCTTTGCTTGAGTTTTGCTTGGGCCTGCTGGGCTTGTTCCACCCACTCAACCTTGCAGACTGTGTTCGGCTCATGCTGCTAGCCCAGATTCCATGCCTGCCAAGGCTGAGCCATGTGCAGAGTGGTGAGGGATGAGCAAACATGGGTTCCAGTCACTGCACACAACAAGGCACGCTGGCTGCAGTGGGGCAGGCAGTTCCAGGTGCAGGCATGGGTGCCAGCTCCCTGTGAGGCTGTGGCTAAACCAGGCATATTGCAAGCGGCTTCCACTGTGGGCACTAGGTAACATGGTGGTGGCTGGAAGCTTGGAGATGCCAGAAACCACAGAGCCCCAAGGAGGGTGTCACAGCCTTGGCTTAGGAAGCTCCTGGGTCTGGGCCCCACAAAAGGCTGCAGCTCTTCTTTTCTCTCCTATTCTTCTCATGCTCACAACATGGTGAGCAAGGAGGTTGTGTTTCAGCCTTGTTTGTGTTACAGCCCTTTAAGTCCTGCCATTTGGTGGGTCCTGAGTTCCTGTCCCACGTCTGGGAAGAATGAAGTATGCAGACAACTGGAGGGTGAGCAAGGTGAAGTGCTTTACTGAGCGACAGTAGAGCTCTCAGGAGACCCGAAATGGGTAGCTCCTCTCTGCAGGCAGGTTGTCCTGTAATCCGTGCAGCCATCAGTGGAGAGGGGACCCAGAGTGGGTAGCTCCTATTCTCATGCAGGTCATCCCAATGAATGTACAGCTATTAATAGAGAGGAGACCCATAGTGGGTAGTTCTCTCCACAGGTACGTCATCCCATTGTCTGCCCAAGTCTGGCTGAGTCTGAGGTTTTTATGGGCTTCAGATGGAAGGAAGTGCATGCTGATTAGTCCATGGGTGGCCATGGGCAGGCTAGAAAAAGCACCATAAGTTCTCACTCTGATCCACTGAAGTGACAGCCTGGCCCCCAGCCTTCAGGCCATCCCTGGCTTGAAGGTGGGATTTCACCCGGGACCCACCTCTTTCTGCCCAGGAGCCTGTATGTCTCCTGATGGCATTCATGGGGCCCAGGCTGCTCATGCTGAGGGGTGCCTGAAGTCCTACACCAAGCTGCCCTCAGCACCCCCTCAGCCTCCCTCCCATGCCTGTCAGTGGCCAAAGTCTGGAGGGGCCTGAGGCAGCAGGAGGCTGGCATGTCAGTACTACCCTGAGTATGCACACCCAGCCAAGTCATGACAGCACCTGAGCTCAGCCACAATTTTGCTCTGAAATCAAAGTGGGCACTGGGAATGGGGAGAGGCCAGGCAGTGGGAGCAGGCACTTCTGAGCCTGCTGAGGCAAGGGAGCTTCCTGGGCCCCTGAGAGCACAAGGATGGCTGGGTCCACAGCCACAGCTGGGCAGCTGCAGCTGTGCCTGGGAGCACAGGGCTTCCTTTTGACCAACTCAGAAAGGGACAGGACTCCCTCCTGTTCCTGGCTCCCACTGGCTCCATGGAGTGCACAGCCCCAGCTGCACCTCCCCAACTGCAACCTGTGTCTTTGCAGCAGCCGCTCCAGATGGGCTGCCACTGCAATCAATGATACTAGCCTAACTATTGGGTGCCACTTAGCAAGCACAGATGGCCTAATCACAGGGAAAAACATTTGCAAACTCCAGAATAACTCAATGTGCTCAACACATCCCATTGATCAATCTCAACCCCTACCATCCTGCAGTACTTGTCCACTAACTCACCCCAGTGCTTAAAAACTCTTCCACCCTTTATTCCTACAGATAATCAGACACCACAATTTCCATTCATCCTTGAAAATTGCTCTATCATCCTTGCTCAAGAGTTCACCTGCACATGGCTAAATTATTTTGAGATTCTCCTCACTAGAATGCCCTTGCATCAGATCTGCAAGCAATAGAAGCCAAGTCTTATTAGCTTACACAAAAATGGCATTTGTTGAAAGGGTAGCTCAAAATATCACTGGGATAGTCCCAAACTGTGTTTGAAGCCAAGAGCTGAAGCGTAGTGTTGCAGAATTGCTGACATTCTTGCCTCTGTTAGGCACAACACTGCTCCTTGCCTGGCCAAGTCCACCAAACCTGATCCTGGCATTTCTCTACCTCTGCTTTCTCTAGAAACAAGATGTAGCCACTGCTGTTGCTGCTGCTGATGCTGCCCATCTCCAGACTGAGTGCAGAGTATTCTTTTTCATGGTACCCTTGCTAGGACATGTGCACATTCTCTCACTGCAGAGAACACTGGAACAATGAGTCTTTTTATATTCCATAGTGAGAATTGAGCTCTGCTACATAAGCTGCAAAATTCTAAAATTATTAGAAAGTGTGTTAGATGCTGAGCTCTAAAATAATGAAAAAAAATTTACGTAAGTTGCCTCTCCTCTCAATCTTACATAAAAATCCAATATTGCTTACATTATCTTGTCAAGACCTTGCTTTCAAAAATCAACTGGTTCTCAGTAACTGAGCAACACTGATATTCTAAAGTGGCATGTATGATCTTCCATTATTAAAGCACATTGTAACTATGCAATCTCCCTTCCTCTGTGCTTAATGTAAATCCCAGCTTCTTACTATCCCTAGAATGCAAATTTCAAGGTCAATCTTTTACACATGTTCTATCCTAGGCCTGGAATGCCCTTTCCTTAATTTTTCTATGCAAATCAGGGATGGTAAACATATATCAACTCTAGTGACATCTGTAATGAAAGGTAGGGTCTTGCAATAGTATAATGAGAATGATTAATACTGCTTTGGGTTCTGTGGGAACAAGACTAATTTGTGATGTTTCTTATGGATGAAGGAAATGAAAGTGACTCCCTCATGCAAAATCTCTGTCTTCCCTGGTCCAAATATACTCAACTTTCAAAACTCTATTCAAGTATAACTTTTCCATAAAGCCTTTTCCACCTGTTATACCTCACTATCATCAATCTATGTTAACAACTTAGCACTTGTTTTTCATACTTATTTTGGCACTTTTCTGTCTCTTTTCACAGTATCATGAGCATATTATATCTGCTTGTGTCAGGTTCTCCAGATAAGTTCCTAAAGGTGGGGTGTATTAGTCTGTTCTCACACTGCTATAAGGACATACCTGAGACTGGGTAATTTATAAATAAAGGAAAGAGGTTTAATGGACTCACAGTTCCATATGGCTGGGGAGGCTTCACAATCATGGCAGAAGGTGAAGGAAGAGCAAAGGAACATCTTACATGGTGGCAGGCAAGAGAACAAGTGCAGGGGAACTGTCTTTTATAAAACCATCAGATCTCATGAGACTTATTCAGCATCACAAGAACAGCACAGGCAAAACCCATTCCCATGACTCAATTACCTCCCACTGGGTTCCTCACATGACATGTGGGGATTATGGGAGCTACAATTCAAGAAGAGATTTGGGCAGAGACACAGCCAAACCATATCATAGGGATTATAATTTTTCCTTCTTTTCCATGTCAGCACATTATTCTGTACTCTGTCCTCTGCAGATAGTCAAAAGGCTTATTTATGGAAGGAGCAAACACCATTGGAAACTTACTTCAGATTTTGTCTTCCTGTTTAAAACGTGGGGCTCTCTTATTCTCCACAGTGACTTCTATAAAATTTTATGCTGTTCTTGCTGTGCAAGCCTGGCTTCTCAAGTTCCTAACACATCACTGACAATGATGCTAGTAGATAAATTGGCTCAGAATCTTGAATGGATTCCCTAAGGTTCCTTGGAGCCCAGCAGCTGCTACAAATGTGTTGCACTTGATTCTCTTGGCAAGTCTCATTATGTTCCCCTGAGTCACCTGTTCTCACACTGCTTTGGCAAATTCACCTGTTGTGACATATGTTCTCTGTTTTCAGCCAAGCAGTGATTCAGCAAATACCTTAATCAGACATTTCATCTTCTAAGGCTTTACATGCATTTTCTCTTCTTTTGTTGTATGATTGCATGCAGTTCTTCTCATTATTCCTGTGTGCTAAAGAAAATACTGTCTCAGGTCCTAAAAGAGAATCCTCTCTAAAGAGCCTGGTGTGAGAAAACTATGATGACATTTTTTGAGTGTTTAGGTTTTGAATTTTGAGGATGTGAGTATGTGTACATACTAGTTCTTGATGGCTCCGAGAAAATTGGCAGAAAAGTGTGTGTATATGTATGTATATGTGTATATATATACACAGACACATACATACATACACATACACTATATTTAAATTTTCTATAAAACATCATTAATTTTGAAGAAAGTCAAAATTGTTTCCATCATTAACTTTAACTTGTGATAAAGTAAAATAAACAATCTATTAAAGTAGAAAGCTATTCAGTTGTCTCGCAATTTTTTTCAAATAACAAGTGTTTCACTCACATCTAATGTTTATTCATTTTGTGATATTAAATTCCAAGCTTGCTGGACATCTTCAATACCACAGATCTTCTTTCAAGTGCTTAAACTAGCAGTCAATTTGCAATCTACCTTTTCGCTATTATCACTACCCCGAAAATGCATGCCCTGAATCCCTGCCACATTTCATTCTTCACCATCCAGGACACTATCTTCTCTTTACAGAATCTCCAAATCTGCTCTTATTATTTCTTCATCCTAAAATACCTCCCTAAACCTCCTTTTTTGCCAGACAATTGTATGCTAAGCCACCAAAAACCAGTTCATCTGCCTCCTCTTCTGTATAGCTCTCCTCAGATTCCCAAGGCTGACTAAAAATGATCCACCCTTTAACTTCCCATAGAATACTTACCTACTAAAATGAACTGGATCTCATAGTTGTTACATTATCTGTCACTAAGAACCTCCATGGCTGGAAATTGTGAGCCATGAATAGTACATGACACATATGATGCACTCAGTAAGTATTGGGAAAAAATGGTTGTGAATTTGCTGTCATTTTTGTTAGGTTTTCATTGTTCTTAAAAAAAATCTTGAGATGGAGATTTTTACTTTCAGCATTATGGTGGATTATATTTTTTCAATGACTCTCATTGAAAATAATTCAATATGCTGGATAAAATATAAAAAGCATAATTTTAAATCCATTACTAGATTGGCAAAATAATCAGAAATACAAAAAGCCCAAAAGCAAAGCCAACAGAGAAACCTGGTGATTTTGAGTTTCCTTTTTAATGTCTGCAGAGTGTACCGTGTGTCAGACATGAAGCCAAGGGTTAACCCAAGTTTGAGTCTGCTATGAGCCCACTGCATAATGCTGGAAACTCAAAGCAGTACACACTGAATGTAAGGGTGCGCTTGAATAAATCTACTACACAGGAGGGAAGGCCAGCAAGGAAAGGGACTTTTCCTTTTGTTTTCTACCTCATTACTGGTTAGGGAAGAAAAAATACTATCTCCCCACATTTCTAACCATATTTTAGCCCTCATTCAAATTTGTGCATCCAAATCATACCATTTGCATGGTTCAAAAATCCTCAAAGAAAATCCTTAGTACAAAGTGACTATTGGTTAGTGGCACTTCAAGGTAGCTGGCAGAAGAAAACACAAATCCTTTCTGGTTCAACTTAAGAATCATTACTGAAAAAAATTTCTATGAACATACAAATTGTAGCACAAAATTACAAGCTATACAAATAATGCACTGTAAAATTTAAAGAAACGACAAAAAAATTGGACATATAAGACTTTTAGATATTAAATTGATCTGAAATTGAATATATAATAAATATATTAACAGGCTGGGTGTGGTGGCTCATACCTGTAATCCCAGCACTTTGGGAAGCTGAGCCAGGTTGATCACTGGAGGTCAGGAATTTGAGACCAGCCTGGCCAACATGGTGAAACCCTATCTCAACTGAAAATACAAAAAATTAGCTGAGCATGGTGCTGCGTGCCTGTAATTCCAGCTACTCAGGAGGCTGAGGCACAAGAATCACTTGAACCCCGGAGGCAGATGTTGCAGTGAGCCCGTGCCACTGCATTCCAGCCTGGGTAATGGAGTGAGACTCTGTCTCAAAATAAATAAATAAGTAAATAAAAATATATAAATTATTGTATACATATTAATTAACATGTTTAAATAAATGAAGAGACTTGAAAATATCAAGGAATGAAATATTTTTAAATAGCCAAAAAAATTTGAAAAGAAGCAAATATACCTTCTATAGTGTTATTTCAACTAAAAATTGAAATTAATTTTATGAATGGATTAAAGAGCAGATTAGAAATAGCTAAGGATACAATTAGAGAAATTATAGATTAATCTATAAAAATTATTCACATGCTAAGCATGAAATGCAAAAAGGTAAAAAAACTAAATACATTTATAAAGAATAAAGTAGCAATATTTTAAAATATGAAAGGGTGATACTACATATTCATGAATAGAAAGAATGATAAAATATTCAATTTCCCCAAATAACTTATAGTTTTAATGGAATGCCAAAACATTTAGAAGCAGAAATATTTTGGAACTTGAGTAAGTAGAATCTAATGTGGTTCGTATGAGGCACCATCCAAGAAGGAACAAAACACAGCTGGAAAAGAACAAGGGGAAGAGATTTGCCATATCAGTTATTGAGATCTGTTAAAAACATATTAAAATGTATTATAATGGTGTGTTTAAGTACAAGAATGCAGAAATAGACTCACAAAACACAATAAAAAATTCAGGCTATAGTAAAATCACAAAATGAAGCTCAATACATCAATATGGATGAATTTGACAAAGGTAATATTGATTTTCTCTTTCTGTGTTACTTTGCCAAGGATAATGGCCTCCAGCTCCATCTATGTCCCTGCAAAGGACATGATCTCATTATTTTTTATGGCTGCATAGTATGCCATGGTGTATGTGTACCACATTTTCTTTATAGTCTATCATTGATGGGCATTTGGGTTGATTCCATGTCTTTGCTATTGTGAATAGTGCTGCAGTGAACATACATTTGCATGTATCTTTATAATAAAATAATTTATTTTGCTTTGGGTATATACCCAGTAATGGGATTGCTAGGTAAAATGGCATTTCTATCTTTAGACCACATGTTCTCACTTACAAGTGGGAGATAAATGGTGAGAACACATGGACACATAGAGGGGAACAACACACACTGGGGCCTTTCAGAGGGTGGAAGGTGGGAGGAGAGAGTGGATCAGGAAAAATAATGGATACTAGACTTAATACCTGGGCAAGGAAATAATTTGTACGACAAACTCCCATGACACAAATTTACCTATGAAACAAACCTGCACTTGTACCTTGAACTTAAAATAAAAGTTAAAAAAATATGTAATGTTAAGCATCAGTTAAATCATGAAAGAAAATATGTCATTATTCCAATTACATGATTAAAATTATTAAGTTTTACATTCACATGTGATAAAACACTCAAGAAGGACTGAAAATAAATAGAAGACACAAAATCAAGAGAATGAATAATTCTGATGAGGAAAAAAGAGGAACTGGAATAAGGAAAAAGCACACAGTAGAATTCTAATAACTTGGCCATACTCTCTTGCTTGTATTGTATAGTGAGAGTAGAAGGGCTTGCATTAATATTATATATTCTTTATGTCTCCATTCACATATATTAAAAGTACTGATTTACATATTTTAATAAAAATTGAGATTTGAATTTGAGCAACTAGAATTTATTGATTAATTGAACATATTTACTGAGGATGTTCTATATGCAAAGCACTGTTTTGAGTATTGGGATAAAGCAGTAAATATACCAGATTAACTTTTTACCATAGTGTGGCTGACGTTCTAGTTTCAGAAATAGAATGATTAGCACAATCTTTTTATTTTACTAAGAAACTGAGAAATCAGAAGTCCAGATGACTTTTATATAGTTCTAAAACCAGGACAAAGTCCAGATTTAATTGTAGACTATCCTGATAACCAGTGCAGTGCTCCTTTCATTACAAATTCAGCTATCTACATGGAGTAGAAATGCTATCTAATAGACACAGGGATGGAAGAAAGGTGGATGAGTGGAGAGAGAGATACGCATTCATAAATATTATACCTAAGCAAAAACAAATAATACATTAAGAATATGTTCTGTTAGGGAGTTATCTGTTGGATTCTAATAGCATATACTCTTTCACTTCCAAATAGTCCTCACAAAATGTCATCTCCTGACAAATGCAGTCATTTGCATCTCATGTTTATTTCAAATGGTGACAGACACTAAAATATACTCTTCAATGCCCCAAATTAAATGAGAGTATTTTAACCTTTACAACTAATCAGTAATAGCAAATTGTTTAGATACTTTAGTAGTGACATAGTGACAATGAGAATACTTATTTTTTTTCTTTTTTTTCTCTTTTTTTTCTCTTTCTCCTTTTTACTATGTCAGGTCTAACTGATAACTGATTAACACAAGGAAGCCTCAGTTAATTTGAAAAGAGCCATATCTGAGTAACAGCCTATATTAAAGAGAGAATATAAATTATGTGTTTTTGCATCTTTAAAATGAAAATGTCTAAAGTACAAATTAGTGCCTACAATTCTATACTGACCCTATATACCAGTAAAAATTAAGAAAACCTCCTACATAATAATGGGTAACTCCATCCTTTTTTCCTAGAAATGTCAATGCTATTTACAACAATACATAATTAAAATATTTACTGTAATATTTTTAAGGCCAATTTGATTATCTAATTCCAAAGGGTAATCAGTTAAAAACTGTTTCTCTTTTTTTGAGGAAAATAAATGATCGTGTAACAATTGCAGTAAACTTATTCTTTGTTTTGACATTTTACCTTGTTTTGTTTTTTGCTTAGAACCAGCAAAAACACAAACATGTTTATTCTGCCCAACCACAGTTACAAAAGACATACCACATCATATATTATATATTTTACACAGTGCTGGTAGGGATGAGGAAGTAGGCAAGAATTGCAGACAGTGCCAGGGGAGAACACAATTTTTTAAAAAACAAAATCATGAATTGATGTGATTTTCTCTGAGGGCTTCTTAAAATTTGATTTTTATAGAAATATCAAATGCTGCATGCAAACTACAAATTATATATATTATTAGGTAAACTTAAAAGAATTGATTAAAAAGTCCCTACATCTGTCATAGTTTCAAATTATTCAGCCATTCATAAAAGCTACTCATTAGTAAAGTCCACTATTTTCCTTTTTCTGGAAATGGTGTGTCTGGATTATCAAATTAATTCTTATTCAGAAAAAAAACTTATTCTCATAAAGATTCATGGAAATAAATAACGCAGTGTGATATGATCCAGAATTCAAAATTAGCGAATGATGAAAATACAGGATATGGTTTTAGCTTATTTAATATCTCTGATAAATAAGCTTAACAGTCCTAGAATAGATGGGCAAATATGGCATTTTAAAAAGCATACAGTGTTAATGTCATCACTTATGCTCTGAATCAAAATGACAGGATTACCGATAAACTATGAAAAAACTTTTTGACTTAGAATTTTAATTTATATGTTCCTAGCTTCACTAGTCAGCGGCTGTTATAATACTTATTTCAACTTTGCATAACTGTGTACCTCTGTACTGCCAGGTATACATATAACTACTTTGATCACTTAACATTATAACATTGTATCCTTTGGGGACTGAGGTTTTTATCTGCTGCTTAAGTCTACTTACTCAACAGTACTCTGTTCTATTTTATTAAAATCTTAACATATTCCAACAAGGTATTCATTTATTTATTCTACAACATTCTAGATGCTTGGGGTGGAAAGGTAAGTGAGACATCATCACTGCCTCTATGATTCTGGCATCTTACTCAGCGAGACCAACAAGAACATAAATAAGTATGATCTAATGTGGAAAGTTTTATATTCAAAGTGCTTTGAGAAATACAGTGTGGTAAGTGCTGTATGTAAACTTACCCCACAACTTGATCCTTTTCCCCTAATTTCTTCTGTACAGATTTATAAGCCAAAAACTGATTTATTGGACCCACTGCACTCAGAGAATGCTTTATGAATAAATTCTTGTCAATGAAATATATGCAGACATCTGCTGTAGCTGCCTCTTCCCTTTCCTCCTTCCTCCTACCTGAAATGTGGATGTGATGTCTGACTTTGGGTCATTTGAGTTGCGGCTGGAAGGATAAAGTCCACATGCCAAGAATGCAGAACATGTGTTGATTTCTCATGTCAATACTTTACTACCCTTGAAGCTCTTGTTGTATAAGATATAAAGACCTTTCACTTGTTTAAGCCACTGTTGCAGAGTGTCCTATTACACACACAGCCGAATTCCATCCTAAGTGATGCAATAGAGAAGAGTAAGCTAATTCTGCTTGGAATAGTAAGTGATTTCTGATATGAAAACTGTGGCAGGGCCTTGAAAGAAGTGTAGGAGCTCAGAAACGAAGAGGGGAAGGAAATTGAACAAAGCGCAGGGAAGAGTAATGTTTGTTAGAAGTATAGGTTTTGGAGAGTGAAGGCAGGCATCCACCAGAAGCAAATAAAGATGGAAATATGGATTGGAGTTTGATACTCCTGAGTCTTGTGTGTTTAGGCCCAGGAATCTATTTTATTTACTGTGTTAGAGCGCATGTTTTCACCTTAATACCACAACCATTTGCTTTGATGTTCTGGGTTACAGTTTGCAAATGCACATAATTCAAGCAAAGTTTAGAAGGTGAAGTAAACTAGAAACATTATTCTCAGGAGGCCACATAGGTCATCCTCAGCAGCTACACCAACCTTACCATGAAATTTCAATGTATGATTGCAGAGGTCAGTGATGACTTTTTGGAATTCCCCACAAACTCTGTATTTTCTGCCTGCTTTAAGAAGTTATTCGTAACCATTTCTGCTTCACTGTTTCAGACCTTTGCTCTCCCACCTCCTCTGACATTAATGCAAACCCTATTCCTATAACCAGCATCTTAGAGGTAGTGTCTTGTGCAAATAAACACACACTGATATACCTGGTAAGCAATGAGAGGCAACATTTTTATTAATTTTCATCTGGTTCTTCTGCCTCTCTTCTACTTTCTTCTACTCCATCCACTACACTGTATCCAGAATATTCTTTCAGAGTACATCCCTCACTTTTCACCCAATGCACTTCCTCAGTACCATTCCACTCAGTGTTGGATAGTTTTTAGTTTTTCTATCCTGGCATCTATGGCCTATGAGAATCCTATTTTCCAAAACTCCTCCTATGGGCCCAAATCTTCTCACCCATGATGTTTACAAATATCAAGTTTCTACTGTGAGCTACCCAACCCATTTCCAGAGAGAAACTTCATCTAGAACTTCAGTGGGCCCTCAGCCTTTAGAAACTGAAAATCTCATAATATCCCATCCAATCAAATCCCTGTCATCATACTTATCACACTGATATTTATCTATGTTAACAGTGGTGTTTTATTCATTTTTAGCCTCTAATGAACTAAAAGCTCATGATATTTGGGGCCATGTTTAATTCAGTCATTATTAAATCCCCTAGGTTTAGTTAACTGACTTGTACAAAGTTGAGATTGGTAAATATGTACTGAATGAAAGAATAAATGCCTAGATGGCCCAACTATTGTAATGTGGGCAACTCATAGTGCCCAGAAGTCTCACTTACCCAATCAGCATTCTTGATTCCAACCCCTCCACACATTAAAGTCCAGAGCCCTTTCTTTGTCCCCTGGAGTATGCCATCAGGGACAAGAATCAGCTCATTTTGTACTCAAGATTTATCATTTGATCCTCATTCCTATCCAAAGGAGGCTTCTGGGACCACATCTCCTTCCCTCAGCTCACCTATCCCATCTTTCCTCAGTAATAATCATCTTTCACTGGTTTAAAACAGCTAAAAACACTATAACTCCTTTAATAACTAGTTTTAAAAGATTGTCTGCAAAAAGTTTCATAGAAAAATAAACATCCATTTAGGAAACGAAATTTCAAAAAAAAAATCTAACCACAAAATACTAGGGGATGAATATATTTTCAAAGATGTTATTTATATTATCAATCCCTTTGGGAAAAAAACCTTATATATATTATATGATAAAATATGAAAGTAATGCTATGTCAGAAAAGTAAAATATAGCCTTCCACTTTTGTTTAAACACTATCAAAAGAGATGTAGGTTATAAAATTACATTGTTTCATAATCCTACCATGTCCTAATGAAATCACTAGTGTCCACACATAATTATGTATGGAGAAGAGAATGCATGGGCATAACGAATTAAAAGATAATATACTTTTCATGTATTTCCCACATGCAGTTCTCAATAATGATATGCAGTTACAAATTTCAAAAGACTGAGAAAAATGCATCTCTAGGCATTCTCTTATCATCCCTAAGTTCAGCACTATTGAAACCTTACCCACAAAAATAGTGATATTGCAATACTTTGGATGACGATGCAATGTAATATATGAAGGAGAGAAAGAGAGACACAGAGAAAGAGAATGTGTGTGTGTGTGTGTGCGTGCATGTGCGCACACTGCGTGTGTGTGTTACAGGTACAGAGAATTGTATGTAAATCCTGACTCTGCCCCTTACTGCTATGTGAGTTTGAGAACATGTAACTTCTCAGCAAGTTTCCTCACCGGCAATGGTAGATGATAGCACTCATCCCAAAAGTTGATATATGAATTTTTTTTCTAATTTTTGTTTTTGGTTTTATGAAGTTTAAATCAGGTATATATAACATGATTATTACAGAGTTGACACCTATAGATATTTCAGAATATTGTAAGTAATATTCCATATATGCCAGCCCAAATTAAGCTGGCATTCTCAAATTAAGCTGGCAAATTTGACATATTAATTATAAGAATCTGAAATGTTTTGAGAATGAGTATCTCAGTTTAAGAAATACTTATAAAAGAGTGATTTTCCCACATGTCTATACTCCTTAATCAACAAAGGTTGACATAATGCTAATATGAAATAAAATTATGATAGGTTCTTCAGAAATTCAAAAGTCTATTACCTTTTTCATTTCCAGAAAGTAATTGGTAGCATCATCTCAAATGGGAGTGGAAAAATAAAAATAAAAGCATGACAAGTAAATGAATGGTAGAAGATAATCTATGTAAGATTAAGGTTCTAGCTAAGCAGGTCTTGGCAATTTATTATCCTTGATTATTTCAAAGATATAATGAATAAAAGGTTATTTCATTGTTTTTTGTGATGAGAAGTATATATATTCACTTTGGAAATAGGGTCTGAGCCATTTTCCTTTTTCATTTCAAGGACATTTTAGACATCTCTGCTATTCACTTTTTTATTGTAATTTCATGCAGGTAAAGTAAAAAGGATTGTCCACATCAATAACTGGCTATTCAGGCACTGAGATAAAACCTTAATAATCAGTGATAATATACCTTATTTTAATAAAGAATACTAGTATGTCTTTAACGTGGTAACCTTTGACTGTATTATGCAACAAACTCTTATTTCCCTTCTTTAGTGAGATCTGGAGGAACTGTCCTCCATGTTAAATGATATTCATGTTTAACTGATTATCCTTGAGAATATAGACTTATCTGTTCTCAGCAGAACTCTGGGAAAAAAATATTTTTACATCTGGTAAGTAATACCGTATATTTTATAGTTTTTCTCATTGAATAGAAATTAAGAAGAGATTATTACATTGATGAATTTGCTCTGCTCCATAAATTTCTGTAATTAAGCTGAAATTGGTCATTCTAGTGGCAGAGGATAAAATTGCACAAGTCTTACTTGCAAGCATAGAAATCATGAAATATTTAAATTTCAAAGCTTATTTAAAGTCTTCTTTCCAGAATTTCATTAAGCTCTTAAAGAATACTATTGTACTTGTAACTAAGAGAAGACGTTTCTTATTTTCTGAGGTCTGCTAAAATTATATAGTTAAAATACTAACATGATTTTACAAAATAGACTACCCACGTGAAAGTATTGAGCTCAAAACATTAGCTACATAGAGCTAGTTAGTTTGAAAATGAAAAGAAAATTATTATTTGACTGTCAAAGATATTCATTCTTCCGGAAAAGGTGATTTTCAATCTTTTAAAATTTTCAAACTTTTCTTGTCACTTTTTAAAAAATATATTTCTTGACAATTTTTAAATAAACTATTCAGAAAAAAAGACATGAAATTACACTATCCCAATTACCTTGTAACTTTTCATCTTAATCACTTAGATGCAAATCAAATGGTTTTTAGAAATCGTAGTGACACTCTGCCAAAATGTAATTGGCTGTAAACACTGAGTTTGTCTTTTTTATGCCTCATCTTTCATTATTTTGCTTTTACACCTTCTTCTCGCTGGGATTACTAACTGGAGTCATGTCTATCCATATTCTGCATTTAGATCTGTCATTGAAAAAACACAGTTCTTGTTTGAATTTGTATGTCCAATGAGAGTGGTTGATTGAGTCTGAGGTTTAAATAAAAACCTTTCTTTGATACACATATTTGAGAATCAAAACAAAAATGAATGGATTGATTAAATTCCTGGCCACAGCATTAGGTCCAAAATTAAGGAAGCATTTAAGCAATCATTCTTTAATTTTGCTTGTCAACACAAGCATTTTGCTTGTGACATTTCTCCACTGAAGATATTATTTGCTCAAGTATAATGAAATTACATTTATTGTGAAATGGAAAAGCTCCAGGGATGTGGCTGAGAATGGTGGCTCCCACCTGTAATCCCGGCACTTTGGGAGGCCAAGACAGGAGGACTGCTTGAGCTCAGGAATTTAAGATCAGCCTGAGCAACATAGGGACATCTCATTGCTACAAAAAATTAAAAAAAAAATTGGTGAGCATGATGGCATATGCCTATAGTCCCAGCTACTCAGGGGGCTGAGCCTTGGGAGGTAGAGGCTACAGTGAGCTGTAATAGCACCACTGTACTCCAGCTGGGGCAACACAGTGAGACCCCATCGCAAAAATATTTTTAAATTTTAAATAATGTTTTAAAAATCTCCAGGGATGTGAGTTAGTGTGGGGGTAAAGTAGGGGTAAACACTAAGATGCACAGTGGAACTTGCAGAGCTTGGGAGTAAAGAGAAAAAAAGCTTACTTCTGTCTCAAACATGTACTGTTTTATGACCAAGAAGTAAGAAATCATGGCAGATCCAAATGTTCAGTTTTCAACCAAAATTTTGTTGCTGAGATTTTACCAATTTAACCTTCTAAAAAGAAATGTAATGTCACTCAGGCTTGGGGCAGAGTAAGTGTAAGTTAATGTTTAGGTGAGTATGTTCATTTACTGTCATGAAAAGTTGTACTTTTCTCTCTAAGCTTGCTAGGGGTCAGAGACAGAAAATGTGTTGTTTTCTTATCCCAAGCACATACCAAACCCAAAATACCGAGTAAAAAAGATATACTATAGTTTTAAAATGTAAATTGTTTTTAAAAGAATTAGTAAAAATGGAAAATATGTTAAGAAGTCTATAATAGGAAATTGCAATTTCTGGTAGATAAATTCAGTGCAGTCATAAAAATTCATAATGATAAAAAGCACATAAATATGTACAAATATTTATACAATAATGTTAAGTCAAAAACTTAATTCAAAGTCTGTATTATAATTAATTAAGATTGATATGATCTAAAAAGAAACAGAAAAAGTAAAACAGGCTATATATTAGTGGAATTAATAGGGCCTTCCCATAATTTTATTTTATGTATTTTGTAATTATTAACAAAAAGTTCCGTGCAACAAAATGAAATAGAGAGAGTATAGAAAAAGTGGCTTAACTTACTGATGATCAATTTATAATAGGCAGTAAAAGAAGACTAGAAATTTGTCAGAATGTAAACTGAACATACTCATACTCTCTAGGCCAGAAATTTCACTTCTAGGCATATATGCAACATAAATGTATACACAGACTCACCAAAAGGCACATTCTAAAATATTGGTAGCACTGTTTATCACAGCTCCAAACAGGAAACTATTTAAATATCTATCAACACTGCAATGGATAAATAAACTGTGGTACATTCACTCCAGTGAATACTACACAGCAATGAGAATAGACCTACTACAACAATGTGTGACAGTGTGAACAAATCTCAGGAACACAGTGTTGAACAAGATAGAAATACATACTCTTTTGTATCTGGCTTTCTGTGTGTAATTGTATGCTTGTATATTTCCATTTATATCAAGTAATTGGAAATCAGCATTTAATCCTTCTAGATGATATTTATACATTTCAAGTTAAGGGGAAAAAAAAAACTACTAGAGGAAACCAAGAATCACAATGGCCCATTAGGAGTCAACACATATGTCGAAGTTGAAATCTTCTGCAATGAGGTAAATTCATCTTTACCTAAAGATTTTTAATATAACAATTATCCCTTATTCTAAAACCTATATTTTTATACATATATGCATGCATACTATATGTTTGTACATGTGTATATGTGTGTTTATATGTGTGTGTACATATGTGTGTATATGAAGATATATATTCTAAAACTCAACTAAACAAAAATAGCTGTATGTCCAAAAAATAATCGTGCTCTTTTCCCATAGAAAGAGTTTTGCTAGGAGGTAGCTGCCTAGCCAGGGCCTACATTTACTAGCCTTTCAACCCTTCTCTATCAAGTAGTCAAGATGACTACTTCTAGCCAATGAAATGTGAGCAAAAGGGATGCTCTTTGGTTAAGAGCAAGTGCACTGTCTTTACACTCTCCTCTGCCATTTGCCAACAGAATCCAGAGAATATAGAGCAGGACCCCAAGGTTCTGATGATGGAAGTATAGTAAGATGGCCATAGCATGAGTCTGCAAATTTCAAACTATAAAGCTCCCCATCTACCAGAATCATATGCATTTTGACATGATCCCGAAATAAATTTATATTGTCTAAAATTTTGAAGTACAATTCATAGCATATCATAACACAGTTTTAGTTTAGATGTTTGTTTACTCAATGCTGTCTTGACCCAGTTTTTTGGCTGTGGCTAAAGACTGGTCAGTTCACCTTTATGAGCAGTTGAATTAAGTCCACACCCCAGTTGCTTCACTTACCAGACTCTCACAGTCTAAGCAACTAAGCACTTCACCTAATTGCCCTGGGGCTAACAACCAGACAACTAGGAACAGCCCAAATGCCTCCAGAGCCCACAGAATTATCCACATTAGCCAGTCCTCAAGGAGTCCAGGAAACCTAGCTAAACTCACCCTGCTTGTCTATATAAGATGCATCCTGCAGTTCCAGCTTACCTCTGTGTACAATTCCCTGGGTGACCCTGCCTGGCCGCCAGCTCTCATTTAGAGTTATAATGAAGAATTCTGCCTTCCAAATGTATCCAAGTGTTGTGTTCTGCCATCCAAAAGAAACTTAAATCTTATAAAACATGAATTTAGTACTATCTTAATTAAAATATATCCTAAGCTGCTTTCCATTAAATGTAGGCATTTAGCATTCACAGCATTGTGCTCTTTCACCAAGAATACCAAAGACTCATTGTTTAGTAGTTTGTACATTTGCCAAGACACACATCTGAATAACTTCAAGGATGGTTGAGTACACATGATATTTATCTAGCAATTAGGTTTATAAGGCTGCCCAGTATCTGCATTTCAATGTGCTTTTGTGATTGCCTTATAATTATCTTTGCAGAAAATATAGTAAAGTACAAAAATCTGTACTTCTTTGTGAAAAACGACCATTGAATGAAAGATAAAGCTCAATGAAATCTAAAAGAGGGCTAACATGGCACAAATAAAAACTCCTCAAAGAAATGTGATTCAGGAATAAGTTGAGAGCCTGTATAAATACAGCCATATTCTGACATTTCAGATATTTCAAAAGTATCAATCTCATCCCTCCAAAATGATATTATCTAATTATAGAAATTTATGTAGTTCAAATTTTCTTGGCTTCTTGTGGTTTTCTCTTTGCCAATCTACCTTAATTTTTATATATTAGACTAATTCAAGAGATGCACATTTTTCAAGGATTAAAGATGATTGTGTGCAATTAGGAGCTCAAATATGGAAAGACAAACTGCAGTCTCAATGTCTATTCATGCCTCTTACCTTCTCCATGTTTGCAAAAAATAAAAAATAAAATAAAGAGCATATCTGGGTCCTCTTTAATGTAAACTTTGCAACTAGGTACTTCCATGAACAAGAGTGGGAAATGTGCCTGATTTTCTGTTTCCTAGGGATTTGGGATATTTAAAAAAACGGGGCTAAGAATAAAATACACACACCACGATAAACGATACTTATTTTGTGAACAATGTTCATTTATATATAAACATCAACTTGGTTAAACCACCTATTAAAAGAACTTTTAAACAATAGCTATGCTGAACTACTCAGTTGTAGATGTAAATAATCAGGTAAAGAGAACAATGTAATGTAATGGTTAAAGTCACAGACTCTAGAGCCAAATTGTCTGCATTTGCATCTGAGTTTCTCTATTTGAATAAGTACTTTCACCTGCTTGGACTTCAGTTGAATAATCTATAAAATGGAGATAATGGTACTAACTACCTCATAGTGTTGTTTTAAAGACTAAGTGGATGTACGTATATATTAAATGAATGTATATTAAATGATGTGTAAAGCACTTAGAACTGTTCCTCACACTAATTGTTACCTATTATTATTATTTGATGTGATAAAAAAAAAGTAGGAGTGAGGACATTCTAGCTCTGTAACCAGTTCTCTATACAACCGTGAGCAAGTTCTTTACTTCTCTGGGTTTCCAAGTCTATATCTGCACAATGAGAGATTTGGGCTACATAGTTTCTAAGGTCTTTTTTAGCCCTAAATTTTTGAAAGTCAAATAATATTCCATAGAAGTTACTTCAGTTATTACTCTTCCAATCACATTCTTATAAATGCCTTAATGGGCTGTGTGTGGAATCTTTAGTGTAGTAGCTTTTTGGTTAAAGATGAGGGTGGAATGAGATAGCTGCCGAGATCATTACAGTTTCATGTTACATTTTCCTTGCCATATATATATATATATATATATATATATATATATATATATATCCCAAAATAGGACAATAATTTAAGAAGTTGTATTTCATGTGAGATGTTATATCATACTTATGTAGCAACAATCAAACCAAGGAGAAAAAGATTTCTGCTGATATTTTTCACATTTTGACTGATTTTCAAATCGATCAATCTACCTTAACTTGTAAAAAATATTTTCCCTGATTTGGCCAGGCATGGTGGGTCACGCCTGTAATCCCAGCACTTTGGGAAGCCAGAGCAGGAGAATCACTTGAGTGTAGGAGTTAGAAACCAGCCTTGGAAACTTGATGGAATCCCATCTCTACAAAAAAATTTCAAAATCCAGGCATGACGGTGTGTGCCTGTAGTCCCAGCCACTAAAAAGGCTGAGCAGGGAGGATCACTTGAGCCGAGGAAGTTGAGGCTGCAGTGAGCTCTGTTTGTGCCATTGTACTCCAGCCTGGGTAACAGAGCAAGTCCCTGTGATATGGTTTGGCTATGTACCCATTCAAATTTTGACTTGAATTGCACCTCCCAGAATTCCCACGTGTTGTGGGAGGGACTTAGGGGGAAACAGTTGAATCATGGGGGCAGGTCTTTCCCATGCTATTCTCATGATAGTGAATAAGTCTCACAAAACCTGACGGGTTTATCAGGGATTTCTGCTTTTGCTTCCTCCTCATTTTCTCTTGCTGCTGCCATTTAAGAAGTTCTTTTGCCTCCTGCCATGATTCTGAGGCCTCCCCAGCCATGTGGAACTGTAAGTCCAATTAAACCTCTTTTTTTTCCCCCCAGCCTCAGGTATGTCTTTATCAGCAATGTGAAAACAAACTAATAAAGTAAATTGGTACCAGTAGAGTGGGGCGTTTCTGAAAAGATAAGCAAAAAATGTGGAAGCAGCTTTGGAACTGGGTAACAGGCAGAGGGTGGAACAGTTTGGATGGTTCAGAAGAAGACAGGAAAATGTGAGAAAGTTTGGAACCTTCTAGAGACTTGTCGAATAGCTTTGACAAAAATGCTGATAGTGATATGAACAATAAGGTCCAGGCTGAGATGGTCTCTGACAGAGATGAGGAACTTGTTGGGAACTGGAGCAAAGGTGACTCTTGTTATGCTTTAGCAAAGAGACTGGTGGTATTTTGCCCCTGCCCTAGAGATTTGTGGAACTTTGAACTTCAGAGAGATGATTTAGGGTATCTAGTGGAAGAAATTTCTAAGGAGCAAAGCATTCAAGAGGTGACTTGGGTATTGTTAATAAAGGTATTCAGTTTTATAAAGGAAGCAGAGCATAAAAGTTTGGATAATTTGAAGCCTGACAATGTGATAGAAAAGAAAAGCCCATTTTCTGGGGAGAAATTCAAGCCAGCTCCAGAAATTTGCATAAGTAGCAAGAAGCCTAATGTTAATCCTCAAGACCATGAGGAAACTGTCTCAAGGCCATATCAGAGACCTTCACTGCAGCCCCTCCCATCGCAGGCCTGGAGGCCCTGGAGGAAAAAGTGGTTTCATGGGCAGGGCCCAGGGTCTCCATGCTGTGTGCAGCCTAGGAACTTGGTGCCCTGTATCCCAGCTGCTCCAGCCATGGCTGAAAGGGGCCAATGTACAGCTCAGGCTGTGGCTTCAGAGGATGGAAGCCCCAAGCCTTGGCAACTTCCATATGGTGTTGAGCCTGTGGGTGCACAGAACTCAAGAATTGAGGTTTGGGAGCCTCCACCTAGATTGCAGAGGGTGTTTGGAAACTCCTGGATGCCCAGGCAGAAGTTTGCTGCAGGGATGGGACCTTCATGGCAAACCTCTGCTAGGGCAGTGCAGAAGGGAAATGTGGGAGTCCCTACTAGGGCACCACCACAGCACCACCTAGTGGAGCTGTGGGCAGTGGGTCACGGTCCTCCAGATCCCAGAATGGTAGACCCACCGACAGCTTGCGCCGTGCAACTGGAAAAGCCACAGACACTCAATGCCAGCGCATGAAAGCAGCCAGGAGGGAGGCTGTACCCTGCGAAGTCATAGGGGCAGAGCTGCCCAAGACCATGGGAACCCACCTCTTGCATCAGCGTGACCTGGATGTGAGACATGGAGTCAAAGATCGTTTTGGAGCTTTAAAATTTACTGCCCCGCTGGATTTCAGACTTGCATGGGGCCTTTAGCCCCTTCATTTTGGCCAATTTCTCCCATTTGGAATGGCTGTATTTACCAAATACCTGTACCCCCACTGTATCTAGGAAGTAACTAGCTTGCTTTTGATTTTACAGGCTCATAGGTGGAAAGGCATTGCCTTGTCTCAGATGAGACTTTGGACTATGGACTTTGGTTAATGCTGAAATGAGTTAAGATTTTGGGTGACTGTTGGGAAGGCATGACTGGTTTTAAAGTGTGAGGACATAAGATTTGGAGGGACTGGGGCAGAATGATATGGTTTGGCTGTGTCCCCATTCGAATCTCAACTTGAATTGTATCTCAGAGAATTCCCACATGTTGTGGGTGGGACCCAGGGAGAGGTAATTGAATTATGGGGTCCAGTCTTTCCCATGCTATTCTCATGATAGTGAGTAAGTCTCATGAGATCTGATAGGTTTATCAGGGGTTTCTGCTTTTGCTTCCTCCTCATTGTCTCTTGCTGCCACCATGTAAGAAGTGCTTTTCACCTCCTGCCATGATTCTGAGTTCTCCCCAGCCATGTGGAACTATAAGTCCAATTAAACTTCTTTTTCTTCCCAGTCCCATGTATGTATTTATCAGCAGCATGAAAACAAACTAATACAACCTGTCTCAAAAAAAAAAAAAAATTGTCCCTGATTTCTTAAAGTGTGGTAAAATACACATAACAAATTTTATTATCTTAACCATTTTTAAAGTTTATAGTTTAGTAGTATTAAATATATTCATAATTTTATGAATTTACCATAATCTATATAATTTCATCTTGAAAAAATGAAACTTTATACCCATTCAACAATAATTCCTTATTTCCCTTTACCCCAGTCCCTGGCAACCATCATTTTCCTTTCTGTCTCTATGAATTTGACCTACTTTAAGTGTCTCATATATGTGGAATCATACAGCATTTACTCTTTTGTGCCTGACTTATTTTGCTTAGTCTAATGCCCTCCAGATTTATCCATGTTGTCATAAATGTCAGGATTTCATTTATTTTCAAAGCTCATTAATTTTCCATTGATTATATATACCACATTTTATTTATCCATTCATCTGTTAGTGCAGTGGTCCCCAATCTTTTTGGCACCAGGGACCAGCTTTGTGGAAGACAATTTTTTCACAGACGGAGGGGATGGTTTCAGGATGAAATTGTTTCACCTCAGATCATCAAATTATCAGGTATTAATCAGGCATGAATTAGATTCTTATAAGGAGCATGCAACCTAGATGACTTACATGTGCAGTTCACCATCAGGTTTACGCTCCTATGAGAAACTAATGCTGCTGCTGATGTGACAGAAGGCAGAGCTCATGTGGTAAAGCTTGTTTGCCTGCTGCTCACCTCCTGCTGTGTGGCCTGGTTCGTAACAGGCCACTGACCAGTATTGGTCTGTGGTGCAGGGGTTGGGGACTCCTGTGTTAGTGGACATTTGAGCTGCTTAGACTTTTTAGCTATTGTGAATAATGCTATGAACATAGGTGTACAAATATCTCTTCCAGACTCTGCTTTCCATTCCTTTCGGTTATACATCCAGAAGCAGAATTTCTGGGTCATATGGTAATTCTGTTTTTAACTTTTTTAGGAACTACACTATTTTCCACAGCAGCTGTGCCTTTTCACATTCACACCAATACTGCTCAACGGTTCCGGTCTTTCCACATTTTCCCCAACACTCATTTTCTGTTTTCTTGATATTAGGCATCCTAATGTGTGAGATGGCATCTCATTGTGGTTTTCAGTTTCATTTCCCTAATGATTTGTGATGCTGAGCATCTTTTCATGTACTTATTGGCCATTTGTATATCTCATTTGGAGAATATACCTTTTTGAGGAATATATCATATTCTTTGGAGATATATCATTTGTGTATCTTCTTTGGATAAATGTCTATTTCGAAAAGTCCTTTGCCCATTTTTGCATTGGATTGTTTGTGATTTTGGTTGAGTTTCAGGAGTTCTCAATATGTTCTGGATATTAATCTCTTATCACATATATTATTTGCAAATATGTTTTTCCCATTCTGTGGGTTGCTTTTTCATTCTGTTGATATTTTCTTATAATGTACAATTTAAAAAAAATTTATGAAGTCCAATTTGTATTTTTGTTGTTGTTGCCTGTACCTTCAGTGTCATATTCAAGAAAATGTTGACAAATCAAACGTCATAGAGCTTTTGGCCTCTGTTTTCTTGTAAGAGTTTTATACTTTTATGTTTATATTTAATTCTTTGATCTATTTTTGGTTTATTTTTGCATATGGCATTAGGTAAAAGTCCAAATTCGGGGAGGGGGGAGGGATAGCATTGGGAGATATACCTAATGCTAGATGACACGTTAGTGGGTGCAGCGCACCAGCATGGCACATGTATACATATGTAACTAACCTGCACAATGTGCACATGTACCCTAAAACTTAAAGTATAATTAAAAAAAAAATTAAAAAAATAAATAAATAAATAAATAAATTAACATAAAAAAAAAAAAAGAAAAAAAAAAAGTCCAAATTCATTCTTTTGCATGTGGATATCCAGTTTTCCCAGCACCATTTGTTGAAAAGTCTGTCCTTTCCCCCATTGAATAGTTGTGGCACCCTTGTCAGAAATCACTGGACCATATAGATGATAATTTATTTATTTGGGGGCTCTCTATTCTATTCCATTGGTTTATATGCCTGTTCTTATGCTAGTACCACAATGTTTTGAATACGGTAGCTTTGTAGTAAGTTTTGAATCAGGAAGTATGAGTCCTAGAGCTTTGATCTTTTTTTCATGATTGTTTTGGCTGCTCAGTGTCCCTTGACATTGCATATAAATTTTAGAATGCATTTTTTTTTTTATTTCTGCAGAAAATGTCACTGAGATTTTAGTACAGATTGCATTAAATTTGTAAATTACATTGGGTAGTATTGATATCTTAATATTAAGTCTACAATCTATGAACATGGAATGTGTTTCCATTTATTTGTGTGTTTTTTAATTTCTTTCAGCATGGTTTTGTGGTTTTCAGTGCACAAAGCTTTCACCTCCTCAGTTAATTTCTAAATATTTATTTCAATGTTATTTTAAGTAAAATTGTTTTTTAATTTTCTTTTCAGATTGTTCATTGTTAGTGTCTAGAAATGCAACTGATTTTTGTGTGTTGACTTGGTATCCTGCTTCTTGCTAAATTCATTTATTAACAGTAACACCTTTTTAGTGGAGCATTTAGGGTTTTCTACATAGACACTTACATCACCTGAGAACAGATAATTTTTCTTCTTTCTTTCCAGTTTGTATGCCTTTTTTTTCTCTTGCCTAATTTCTCTGGCTGAGACTTCCAGAATTATGTTGAAAATAAGGGGCAAATGCAAGCATTCCTGCTTGTTCCCTATCTTATAGGAAAAGTTTTTATTCCTTCATCATTAAGTATGATGTTCACTGTGGGTTTTTTTATTGTGAGCTTTTATTATGTGAGGATACTTTTCCTTCATTCCTAATTTGTTGAGTGTTTTTTTAATCATGAAAAAATGTTAAATTTTGTCAAATTCTTTTTCTTCATTGATTTAAAAGATGTGTATTTTTTTACTTCATTTTGTTAATGTGGTATATTACATTGATTAATTTCTATATGGTAAACTATTCTTGTATTCCAGGAATAAATCCCACTTAGTCATGGTGTATAATCCTTTTTATATGCTTTTGAATATTTCTGCCTTTCCAAATTTTTGGAAAAGTTTGAGAATAATTGACATTACTTCTTCTTTAAATGTTTGACAGCATTCACAAATAAAGTCAGCAAGTCCAGGGCTTTTATTTATTGGGAGAGTTTTTTCTGATTCAAACTCCTTATTAGTTACAGATCTCTTTATTTAGATTTCCTATTTCTTCATGATTTAGTCTTGTTTGGTTTTGTGCTTCTAGGAATTTATTCATTTCATCTAGGTTATCCAACTTGTTGCTGTACATTGTTTATAGTACTCATATAAACCTTTTTTTATTTGTGTAGAATCATTAATACTGTCCCCAGTTTCTTCCCTTTTTTTTTTTTTTTTGTAATTTGAGTCTTCTCTCTTTTTTCTTACTCTATACTGCTAAAGGTTTTTCAGAGTTCTTAAACTTTTCAAAGAACCAACTTTAGGTTTTATAGATTTTCTCCTTTTTCAATTCTCTATTTCTTTGTTTCTGTCTAATATTTATTATTTCCTCCCTCCTGCTAGCACTGGGTTTAGTTTGTTGTTTGTTTTTTAGTTCCTTACATTGCAAAGCTAGGTTGTTATTTGAAATTTCTTTCTTTTAACGTAAGCATTTTTAGAAATAAATTTCCCCTTTAGCAGTGCTTTTGTTGTCTTACAAAAGTTGTGGTATGTTTTTACTTTTATTCATCTCTAACTATTTTATAATTTCCTTCAGGACTTTTTCTTTGATCCATTGGTAGGTTAAATGTGTGATTTCCACAGTTTTGCAAATTTTTCAGTTTACTTCTGTTATTGATTTTTAACTTCATTCCATTGTGGTCAGAGAAGATACATGTTATAATGTATATATTTTTTAAATCTATTGAGATTTAATTTGTGGCCTAACATATCCTTTATCTTGAAAAATGGCTCACTCACGTACCCTTAAGAAGAATGTATATGCTATTGTTATTGGGTAGTGTTTTGTAAATGTTTGTTAGGTCTAATTGGTTTATTGTGTTGTCTTCTTTTTTCTTACCGCTCTTCTGACCAGTTGTTGTATTTATTAGTGAAAGTGGGGTATTGATGTCTCCCGCAACTATTATTGTAGAATTATCCATTTCTCTCTTCAATTTTGTAAATTTTTCCTTTACATATTTTGATGACCTGATATTAGGCGTGTAAATGTTTTTAATTGTTATATTTTCTTGCTCTATTGAACCATTGGTTAAGATATATTGTCCTTTTTTTGTCTGTTATTAATTTTTAATTTAAAACCTATTTTCTCTGCTATTCATATAGCCACCCCTGCTCTTTTTGTTACTATTTGCATGGAATGATTTCTTTATCCTTTCACTTTTAGTCTATTTGTATCTTTATATGTAAAGTGAGTTTCCTATAGGCAGCATATAATTGAATCAGGTTTTTTAATCCATTTTGCCACTCTCTGTGTTTTGATTGATGGAGGGCTTATGTATTTACATTTGAAGTAATTACTGTAAGAGCAATTTACTTCTGTCATATTGATACTTGTTTTCTATATGCATTATAGCTTTTTTAATCTTCATTTTCTCCATTACTCTCTTCATTTGTGTTTATTTTTTATTGTGAAAGGTTTACAATCTTTCCTCATTTTCTTTCTGTATATTATATGGCTATGTATGTACACATATGTTTATTGCGCACTATTCACAATAGCAAAGACTTGGAACCAAACCAAATGCCCATCAATGTGACTCGATAAAGAAAATGTGGCACATATACACGATGGAATAGTATGCAGCCATAAAAAAGAATGAGTTCATGTCCTTTGCATGGACATGGATGAAGCTGGAAACTGTCATTCTCAGCAAACTAACACGGAAACAGAAAACCGAACACCGTATGTTCTCACTCTTAAGTAGGAGTTGAACAATGAGAACATATGGGCACAGGGAGGGGAACATCACATGCCAGGGCCAGTCGGGGGGTGACAGGCTAGGGGAGGGATAGCATTAGGAGAAATACCTAATGTAGATGATGGGTTGATAGATGCAGCAAACCACCATGGCACATGTATACCTGTGTAACAAACCTACACATTCTGCACATATCCCGTAAGTATGGGATACTTTAAGTATCCCATAACTTAAAGTATAATTTTTTAAAAAATAGAGAAAAGGTGGGAATAGTTGAGAAGGCCACAACGATATGCACAAGACTACAAAAGCAGATATAGAAGAAAGATGAGAGGGAGATATAAAGCAATGGCAACTCGTCCTCCTTCTGGAGTTGGTTGCTCACATCAAGGTAAATGATAGGAAATGGCACATAGAGTTTTCTATCTTATAATGTGCTTTTGTATCTCGATGCCTTTTTCCTCATTCAGAGCATACATTGCTCAAAGGCAGGAAATATGTGTGTGCTCAAAGAGAAAATAAAGGGGGGTTTCTAGGGAGCTGGACTAAACTACTCAAAATGTCTTGAGGATGTTATCTCATATGAGGTGACAGCTTTTTATAGTGGGTGCCTGTTGCCTGTGAATATACCCCAAAAGATAATGTCTTAAAAGAGGAATTTTATTTTGCTCATGATTTTGTAGGTCAAGAACTAGGCTTTCCTGGATCCAGAGAAGTCATTTACACAATAGCTCACTCTCTTAAAAGGCAAATTTGTACTGACTGTGGTCTGGGAACTCAACAGGACTTCAGTCTGGGACCGCCAGTTCTCCTCTATGTGGGCTTCTCCACAGGATTGCTTGGTCTTCCTCACAGCATGGTGGCTGGTTTTCAAGAGTGATTGTTCTAAGAAACAGGTAGCGGAAGCTGTCAGTTTCATCAGGCGTAGGCACAGAAACAGGTACAGTGTCACTTTTATAGTTTTCTGATGATTAAAGCAATTGCAGAACATACACAAAATCAAAAGGGAAAGGACATAAATCCTCTACATCTCCATGGTTAGGTTGAAATGTTAAATGAAAAAAAAGTGTGTCATTCCTACTTGATTGTCAAGAATGTTTAGATTTTAAGACTCTGTTTGGTTTACTGCATCTAACATAGTACCTTAAGTTGTCATTGTTAAAGTCAATTTAAAGTTAAAATGAACGATGATTTTATATGGCTCAATATTTGAGGGAAAGTGTGAAAGATGTTTTTCTAAAATTGAGAGAGAACAAACTGGATAGAGTCTTTTAAAAAAAAAAAAGAAAATAAAGGAATAAAAAAATGGCTACTCCATAGGCAGAATAGCAGCACGGGTCACTGGTTGCCCATTTTTGTGGTTATTTCTTGATTATATGCTAAATAAGGGGTGGATTATTCTTGAGTTTTCTGGGAAAGAAGGGAGCAGTTACCAGAACTGGGGGCTTCTCCTTTTTTAGACCATATAGGGTAACTTCCTGATGTTGCCATGGTATTAGTAAACTGTCATGGCACTGGTGGGAGTATCTCTTAGTATGCCAATGCATTATAATTAGCATATAATATATATAATTAGCACATAATGCATTATAATTAGCATATAATAAGCAGTGAGGAAGACCAGAGGTCACTCTTGTTGCCATTTTGGTTTTGGTGGGTTTGGGCTGGCTTCTTTACCACAGAGTGTGTTATCAGCAAGGTCTTTATGACCTGTATCTTGTACTGACCTCCTCTCTCATCCTGTGACTAAGAATGCCTTAACCTCCTGGGAATGCAGCCCACTAGCTCTCAGGCTTATTTTTCCCAGCCCCTATTCAAGATGGAGTTGTCAAATGCATCTGACATTTCACCCCTCAGTTTTAAAAGAGAACCCTTAATCCTAAGGGTTGCAGAGGAATGAAGATTCATCTGCTGTAACTCATTCATGCTGAACAAGGACATTTATATGCCTGCCTAACTATCGGGGTCTCTTGTTGTATTCAGGGTAAAGAGGAGCTCAATCAGAGAGCATCAGTATGGTGGCTGGGCATGGTGGTTCACGTCTACAATCCCAGCACTTTGGGAGGCTGAGGTGGGTGGATCACTTGAGGCAGGAGCTTGGAACCACATTGGCCAATATGGCAAAACTTCATCTCTACTAAAAATACAAAAATTAGCCAGGCATGGTGGTGCATACCTGTGGTCCCAGCTACTTGGGAGGCTGAGGTGGGAGAATTGCTTGAATTGGGGAATTGCTTGAATTGGGGATGCAGAGGTTGCAGTGAGCTGAGATTGTGCCACTACACTCCAGCCTGGACAACAGAGCAAGACTATGTATCAAAAAAAAAAAAAAAAAAAAAGAAGGAAAGTATCAGTAGTATGATAAGGGCCATTCATAACTCCAACTGTTATGAATGGAGTTATGAATCTGGAAGATTAATAACTCTTCAATTTAAGGAAACTGAGGTCAGGCACAGTGGCTCATGCCTGTAATCCCAGCACTTTGGGAGGCTGAGGTGGGTGGATCACAAGGTCAGGAGATCGAGACCATCCTGGCTAACACGGTGAAACCCTGTCTCTACTAAAAATACAAAAAATTAGCCGGGCGTGGTGGCAGGTGTCTGTAGTCCCAGCTACTCCAGAGGCTGAGGCAGGAGGATGGTGTGAACCCAGGAGGTGGAGCTTGCAGTGAGCCGAGATTCTGCCACTGTACTCCAGCCTGGGCGACAGAGTGAGACTCCATGAAAAAAAAAAAAGAAAAAAAAAAGAAAACATTGAGTAAGCTTATCCAGCACTCCTATATAAAAAGTACAATAGCAATATAATTCTGCAACATTAAAGCAAAATAAGTAAAATTATCCCAAGTAAACTGTTTAAGAAGGTTTCTCATGAACTGGGCAACTGATGGAACCAAGCTGATAAAGAGTTGCTAGCTGATTCCAATGTGTCCAGAATTAGAATATTGATCTGGATTTTTACATTCCCCATCCCTCTTGTTCCTTCTGAGCTGCAGTCAGAGATCACTAATTGGCTCACAGGAATAAGCAAGGTCAGCCTAAATTGCAGAAAAACCCTGAAAAACAACTGATGAGACTAGAGTTTTATAACAGGTGCATCATAGTTCTTGAAACATAATTTTTTTTCTCTCCAGTTTCCCATTTTTACTAAAGACAAATCATGGTAAGACTGATTTGCTTTATTATACTTGGCCAGATTATTTGTATAAAGTACAGCAAGAAAAAATGTTTTTTTACATAGCACTTTTTAAATTGGCTTTGATAGAGCTCCATTCCATAGAAGATATCTCAGATAAGACTTTTTTAAAGCCAAGCCCAGCCATGGGTTTCTACCCTCAAATACCTAGGAGTTGAGTAAATTCCTCTCCTCTTAAGGTCCCAAGATAACTTGGGGTTCCTGGGCCTGTCAGAAAGTGACATTCTTTACTTACACAGGTCTGGAACCCTGTACAGGGACTATGTAGACATAGTCTACATAGGACTATGTGATGCCAGTTTTCTCAAGGAACTTTTATTGGCTCTATAAGTCAAGTTTGACTTCTTAAAAGAAAACATCATTTCAGTCAAAGCCTTGGTAAAATAACCAGTTTCTCCAATTATGTCCTGTTACAAATGAAAACAGATTCTTATTGCACTTCTGAAAAAAATATTGCCGTAAGTTAAGGATATTTACAAATAGTGTACAAATATTGGAGAAATCAAGTAGAGAGAAACAAACATGCCCCAAATTTTGTTGACAGGAGTATACTTTACTCAATTGTTAAAAGCTGTGATTAGTGCAAAAGAAAAGTTTGCTTGGCTCTGAAAAACAAAGGATCAGCAACATTTTAAGCAAAAATTCAAAAAAGCTTACTTCAGTCTTCTCTTAGTTTGGTCCATGCAGTTAGCTCCTGTCCTGCTTGATATTCATTAACACTTTAGCTTTCCATGGATCCTGAAAAAGTTTTTCCTCTATTCTAATGTCACAATCTCCAAAGTTATCAGAAACCTGCATTTAAGAGCATCTGTCAAAGTCCAATATCTGACTATAATCCATCTTCTAAAGAGGACCAAAGCAAGACAATTGTCTGTAGGTGATAAAAAGTCTTAGTTAGGACAGTCACTACTAAAGCCACAATTGGCAAGAAAATTTGGTTACTTCTGTGGCATACAACAATTTTATATAACAATTATAATTATTAATAACATACACTAAGTCATATTAAAATTACAGGAGTTTCCCATGGTTTTGGAAAACCTACCAATAACATATTTATATAAATAGATCCCAAAGAAAGCCTAACACCATTTTATATTTGACAATGTTTCCTGCTGGTTTTTATACCAAATAAGCCAAATTTCACCACTGCATTTGTGCATTATTGAAGTCAAACCCAATTCTTAATACCTTATAGAAAAATTTATCCAATTTTAATGTCTGACCATAAGGTAAGATTTTTATTAACCTTTTAAAACGCTTTACAAAATTTTGGCAAAAAGTAGATCAGTGCTCTAAGAAAAACCTTCTGTGCTTTTATTTTAATATTCAGTTTACAGAAAAACTGAATAATACCCCTTTAACTTTATCCAGTATGTTCACACACAGAATTTCTTTTACAAGATTAATTTTTCACAAACCTTCCAAAACTTGTTCAAACCTTCAGCTTTATCATATCTAACTTAAAATAATCCTTTAACCCTCTAATCTAGGCAAACCTGCATAATTTAGACCAAATGTCTAAATTTTGAAGACATTTTTATTTTACCAATAAAACTGTTTTTATTTCCCAAAGATTACTAAAGTCGCATGAACTCACAGGCATTACACCTTTTACCTTTCGATAAAATATTTGATTTAGCTTTTATTATTTTAAAGCTTTCATATAACATCACACACACAACATATATACAGAGACAGAAGATCCAGTAGTTGTAAAATTTTTCATTTGCCAGTTTCCTAATATGATTACTGGCCTTAGGGTGGAGCCCCTGGAGGAACAGGGTCAGGGAAGCATACAGTTTCTACAGCCGAGTAGGCACAGCTAGAAGGCAAAACAGATCCCCAAAATGTAAGGGTCCCTTTTTTATACCAAATCCTGGATTCCCCAAAAATAAATACTATGGAACAAGACAGCGCAATGATTTTATCATGCATTTTATTGCAAAGCAACCCAAAGCCAATCAGCCCATTCTGTGATTAGCCCATCCCCTATGGGAGTTTCATTTCTCAGTGGAGGGGACATGACATTTCCATACTTTCCAGGTGGCCAAGAGCATGCTTCTCTGATCTAAATGTGCAAACAGCTGAGTATCCTCCCATAACTACAATTAGCTATGCCCAAAGTATATTTTCTACAGTTATTACACAGCAAAACTCTCTCATAATGCAAAGTAATTTCTGATATCACCAAAAGTCAAAAATCAGATAACGCAATGCAAAACAGAAAAGAGCCTTCAATTTTGAGATGGATCTATCCATTTCTAACTCCTGGGGTTTCATGAGGAAAACAGAGGTTTTCCCAAAATGGGGTCTGTAGCATCTCCTCTGCTTTTCCCAAGGAATCCCAGGTTGGTAGAACTTGAATATCCACGTTTAATTAAGCTGACTTCTAACCCTAGTGCTCTTATAAAAAAAAAAAAATCCTTTTTAATCTCATTACTTGACTTTAGCCAGGCTGAATGGCTGATATTTCTGGCTTTCAAATGCTACCAAAAGCAACCTCACAGGTAAAACCAATAAGCCTTAAGTAAAGTTATGGCTTAACAGGAGTGTACAGGTATTTTCAAAGAGGTGGAAAGAAGTTTTTATAAGCTCTTTTCTGCAGGAAGGTTGTTCTGAACAGTCAAGGAGACCTGAAGTGGATAGCTCCTTCCTGCAGCTGGTAGTCCCAAAATCTGTTCAAGCCTGGCTGGGTCTGGGGTTTTTATGGGCTCAGAAGGGAGGAAGTGAATGCTGACTGGTCCATGGGCAGCCATGCGAGGTCCTGGAAGAAGCACAAGTTCTCACTCCAGGCCAGAGACTCCACCTGGAACTGGCATCCCAGCACCCAGGCTTCAGGTCCTCCCTGGCTTGAAGGTGGGGTTTCACCAGGGACCTCCCTATTTCAACCCAGGAGCCTATCTGCCTCCTGCCATCATCAACATGCTATCCATGGTGCCCAAGCTGTTCATGTGGAGGACCACCTTCAGGTCTGCACTGAGCTGCCCTCAGCCCCTCCTCAGCCTTCCTCCTGTGTTTGTCAGGATCCAAAGTCTAGAGAAGACCAAGGCAGCAGGGGGCTGGCATGTCAGCACCATCCTGAGTGCACACACACCCAGCTGGATCACAACAGTGGCCAGGCTCAGCCACAACTTTGCTTTGCCCCAGAGCGGGTGCCAGGAGCTGGGAGAGGCCAGGGAGTGGGAGCAGGCACTTTTAAGCCTGAGGGGGCAGGGGCTTCCTGGGTCCCCAAGAACACAGAGATGCCTGGGTCCAGAGCCATGGCTGGGTGGCTGCAGCTGTTCCTGGGAGCATGGGGGTCCCACCCACCAACTTAGTAGGGGGCAGGGCCCCTGCCTGTTCCCAGCCACCCCCTAGCTCTGCAGAGCCCGCAGCCCTGACCTTGCCTTCCCCACTGCAGCTGCTGTCCCCGCAGTGGCTGCTCCAGAAGGGCCACTGCTGCTATCACAGTGATCCTGTACCTGCCTACTCCTGTCACCTACAGCCATCAGCAAAGAGTACAAGGCAGATTAATCCAAAGAGAATAGTGGTTAACATGCCATAATGCCAAATCCATTCTTGGCCAAGAGGACATTTACTGAGAGGATAGTCCAACCCCTCAAAATCTTAGGAAGGACTCTAACCTTCCTAAATTGGACCTCAAACCCAAGTTCGCTCAAGCATCCTAGCCTTTTTATTAAGAGGGTCCTTTAACCTACTCTTTCTTAGGAGAGACTCTCACTCCCCTAAGTTGGGCCTCTAACCCAATCCCATTCTTTACTTGGGTACCCCACTACTTTCCCAAAGTCAGCCAACTGGTGCTGCAGTCTATTTCCTTGGGTCAGGGGTCTCTTCAGTACAGTCCCTTCTGGATTCACCAGAAAGATGTTACTGGAAAAGGGTCCCAATCCAGACCCCAAGAGGTTTTTGGATTTTATACAAAAAAGAATTTAGGGCAAGTTCATAAAGCGATAGCAAGTTTATTAAGAAAGTAAGTAATAAAAGAATGGCTACTTCATTGGCAGAGCAGTGGCTTGAGCTGCTTAACCAAGGATATTTATTGTTACTTCATAATTATATGCTAAACAAGGGATGAACTATTCATATTTTTTTAGGTTTTCTATTAGTATTTCCACTTTGTTTATGCATCTTTTTTAAACTTTCTTCACATCTTTTTTAGTTCTTCAAACATCTTTAAGATAGTTTGAAATCACTGTCTAGTAGACATGCATGAGGTCTTTTTAAAAAATAGTTTCTATTGATTTAGTTTTATTTTTCCATTGAATGGGTTATGCTTTTCTGGGTTTTTTTTTTTATGTCTTGTAATTTTTTTAAAAAAATTTGACATTTGAAGCTAATAACATGGTAACTCTGGAAATCAGATTCTCCCGCTTCCACAGGGTTTGCTGTTTTTGTTATCATTATTGTTTTTGTATCATAACTGTTGTAGCCTGTCTCTGCCAGTGATCAGCCTGAGAATAAACTTAAGGTCCTGGTAGGTCCTTTTGGAGCCTGCACCTTTCCCTGAGAATACATGGTCACTTCCTAATTTTTCCCACATATGCAATTGTTTTGTAATGTTTATTCTTTTATGTCTGGCTTCTAAAAGTGGAAAAAGAGAAAAATGAAGGCAGGAAAAAGATACCAGCCCTTTAAGTCATCTGAAAGTCACAACAACCAATGGCGGGAAGGTAGGCGGTATGGACTTGTAATAATGGGAGGAGGAGCAAAGCAAAGGCTTCCCACCTCTTTGTCTGCACCTCTGCGATCAGCAATTAGAGCACAGATCCCCAATATTTGGAAGACAGGGTCCTTTTGTGCCCACCTTGGCATCTGTAAGCTGTGTGTAGGTTGCTCCAGGAACACATGCACAGCTGCCTGCTGTGAATCTGCAGTGGGAAATGGGTGTCAGCTACTGTTCTGGGAGCTGAAATTGACTAAAATTAACTACAATTTACCATTCAAGCCTTTCTCTGGAAGTTTTAAGCCTTTAATAGACTCCAGATTTCCAAAATAGTTACATCAGACAGATTCTGCCAGTGCAATTATTGACTAGGTGGGGAGACAGAGTCCAGAAGCTTCCTCTTCTGTCATCTTCTTTAGCTTAACTTTTAAAGGAATAGACTTATTACATATAATTTAAAATATCCAAAATTACGTTTGCTTTTCTATGGCTAACTTACTAATAAAAAGCAGTATCTGCTGCACATAATAAGTTCACTATAACACCTGATTTGGCACTTACACTATTGCATTGTATTAAAGTGAATTTGTATCATTTAATAATAGTTTCAGCCTAAAGATGAGCATTTGTATAAGGTTTTCAATTGTACAGATAATCAAAAGTGCCTTTGTCTTTCAATATTGTCTTTATCTAACACTGTGGCCATGATAGAAGTATGTCTGCAGAAATTAAGTTGAGGTATAATACCACCTGGAAAATAATTATTAGTTAATTATCAACTTCTAAATGTGTTTCCTTTTAATATTCACATATGGAAGTCTATAATTGCTGTCATTTTGCCACAGATGCCCTATATTTTTTAAAAATCAATTTCAAAATAAGACACAGATGGCCTTTGTTCCGTTAAATCTCTGGTTTCTTTCTCCTTCACTGACCACATAGTCAATAAGCATGAATCACAAAGCTGAGACTTAACATTTTCTTTAATTAGCCTGGGGCAATAATAAATCAAGGATTCATTTCTGGAGATGGCAAACTTCACAGATACAATGCTGTGGGGAGCAGATAGACATCTGTTTCATGGCAGAATGTTGCTAATGTGATCAGTTACACATTAATGCATAATTTGCACTCATTTTTTATGGGTCAGAAGCTTATTGGGTTAACCCCCATTTTTTGTTACTGAAGTTCAGGCTGCTTTAATGTGATTAATACATAACACTCAGGATTTATTCAGGTCAGATGTAAGTGTTGCAATAATTGTTCCACCTCAGCTTCCTGATAGATCTGAAGCAGTGGACAGTCAATTGGACCCAACTCTTGAGCACATCCTGACCATAATATAAATATACACTTTCTTTTTCTTTTGAGTAGCTTGTATAAAAATATTTTTGGATAAATATATTGGCTTTATTTAGATTATTCTTCAATAAGATTTATGAAGAATAGAAACTATGACAGAGATGACAAGTCTCCCAAATTAAGGCGGGGGTCACTATTGAGGTTTCTCTGGAAGAAATTCAGGATCAATATGTCTTTGAGTCTCGACTTTAGGTGGTGTAAGAATAAGGAAGACTAACAACCCTATTGAGAGGGAAGGCAAGGAGAAACATCAAAGAAGAAACAGGTATAAGAATTTTTCTATTGAAATGTTGTGGCATATGATTCTGAACTCCCTCTGATGAACCCTGCAGTCTTCAATAGAATTAACCTCAACAAAATTATTTCACAAATTTGGTAGAAATGCTCTGTGTGTAAATCAGTGGAGAGGCCTAAATATTGGAACAGAATAGGAGCAGAAGCAAAACAGCAGGAGATGGGGGCAAAGGACCATAGGAAAACTACCCTATAGACTACAGCAATGAATGTGGATTATGTTCCAAAAGCAGGTAGGATTTATCATAATCTCTGCATGAGACTCCAGTCAGATTTATAAGTAAGTGTTTAGCATTTGTTTAAATAAAACAGTAAGGACATGACACATAGAATGTATAAATTTTTAGTGGTAAAAAGACACAGAGCCCTATTATGAATAAGTGTAAGAAAAATTTCCATGAATAAAGTATCATCTAGTTGAGACCTGAAATATGAAAAGGAAATACCCAGGTGGAGGATATGTGGAGAGTGCTGGCACACTCCAAAGAAAATGGTTTCTGCTGGCCGGGCACGGTGTCTCACGCCTATAATCCCAGCGGTTTGGGAGGCTGAGGCAGGTGGATCACTTGGGGTCAAGAGTTCAAGACCAGCCTGACCAACGTGGTGAAACCCTGTCTCTACTAAAAATACAAAAATTAGCTGGGCATAGTGGCAGGTGCCTGTAATCCCAGCTACTTGGGAGGCTGAGGCAGGAGAATCGCTTGAACCCAGGAGGCGGAACCTGCAGTGAGCAGAGCACTCCCACCTGGGTGACAGAGCAAGACTTCATCTCAAAAAAAAAAAAAAAAGGTATGTAAAATCCAGGTAGAAGAGAAAATATTCCATATTTAAAGAACTGAAATGACTTCTGATTTACCAGAATTATAGAATATGAGTATATGAATATGAATATAGAATTGTAGAATGTGAAATATAGTATGTTGAGAAATAAAATAGAGAAATATACAAGAGTCAGACCTTTAAAGGCCTTCTACTCTGTACTGAGTTGGGACTTGATCTTGAAGAAAATAGAGGGTTATTAAAGTATTTTCAAAAGGGAATTAATAATAATAGCAGTATCACACTTAGACCCAGAAAAATGGGCCCTGGTTCATGGCTTCTTCTAACTATGACTCTCTTCATAGGGCAAGAAGTCCAAAGGGCCAAGGGCACAGTGCCACCTGGAGCCCATTCTCACCCTTCTATAGCACTCTCTGTGTATATAGTCACCCAGGACACCATACCTAGATAATCCCAAACTGCTCCCATGGTATGTGTGGCCTGTTCCCTGGGTCTGTCCCTTTAAGGGCAGCTCTCAACTGTGGGCTCACCAATAGGCTGGAGTAAAGGGCCCTGAACAGCTGTTTTGGGAAGGATGATCATGGGCAATGATTGGACATACAGGTTGAAGTGTCTCTATGTACGTGCCTGAGGCACCTGGGAGCAATGAATGGAGCTTGAGGGTAGAGATGCTATATTAGTCAGGATTCTCCAGAGAGACAGAACCAATAAGATAGATGACATATAGATGATAGATGATAGATAGATAGATAGACAGATAGACAGATAGATAGATAGATAGATGAGAGGGGGTTATAAGGGGAATTGGCTCATGCGATTATGAACACTGAGAAGTTCCATGACAGGCCAGCTGTAAGCTGGAGACTCTGGGGTGCTGGTGGCATGGTTCAGTCCAAGTACAAACTCCTCAGAACCAGAGAAGCTGAATGTGATATTCTCAGTCCAAGGCCACAGGACTGAGAATCTTGTGGGGATGGGTGGTACATCATGGAATCCAAAGAAAGACCAGAGAGGCTGGAGTTCTGATGTCCAAGGGCAGGGGAAGAAGGGTTTACCAGCTCTTTTTCTTTTCTTTTCTTTTCTTTTTTTTTTTCTGCTTTGTCTGGTACTCCAGTCAATTGGATGGTTCCTGCCCACAATGAGGGTAGATCTCCCCGACTCAATCCACTGACTCACACACCAATCTCTTCTAGAAACATTCTCACAGACACACACAGATATAATGCTTTAGCAGTTCTCTAGGTATTCCTTAATCTGGTCAATTCGACACCTACAATTATCCATCACAGAAGCCATGCACTTCCATTTATGCTCTTGCCTGAGCCTCACTGATTTTAGAACTGGGTCTGATAATTACATTTGTGCTTTAGAAGGATCATGCTGGCTATGTCGCAGAGACTGAAATGGAGGCAAAAAGACTAGTAAAAGCATAACATTTAATTATCTGTCAAAATATCTTAAGAAAGAGTGGATATGGCCTAATCCAGAGTTGTGATAGTAAAAATGGAGATGATATGGTAGAATTTGATGTTTGATTACTGTGAAGGCTGAGATGGAGTGAGAAACTGAAGATGATATCCAGATTTTCAATTCTTACAACTGGGTTGATTGCAGCATATTGTATTTCAATAAATACAATAAGAGACACAATAGTTTACCAGCAGATTATGTTGAATTCAGTTTGTATGCACTTATAATTCCTGTGGGAATTAAGATGGAGATGCCCAATAGAGCATGGATTTTATGATATAAAGAGCTATGTGCTGGAGAAATAAATGTAGAACTTATTAGCAAATAGATAGTAACTGAAGTTCCTGGGGCGAATGAGATCATCTGAGGAGTGATAGGTGAGAAGAGAAGAGAACTGAGGACAGATTTCAAGAGTAAAGCCAGCATTTAAGGGATAAGAATTTGAAAAGGGCTCCATTATTGAGTGTATTGCCAAGGAAGTTAATTAAATAGGCTGAATAAAATGAGTCAATAAAATTAAATGCAGTTTGTGCGTTAATAGCCAATACTACCTCCTAATCCTGGAGGTATAGCCTGCAAAGATTTTCAGCAATTTAAAAATAATGTTTAATTATATACAATACATGAGCCAATGCAGGTAACTCATTTACAAATAATATTCTGTAAATGGGTATTTTTAGGGGTCATAAAAATTTGCCTTATTTATTAATTGTAATTGAAACTGAAGATGATTGGTTATGTGCACTATTATAGAATGTTTTTATTTAATTACATTAAAATTAATTTAATTGACATACTCTTCATTGAGTACCATATGTCAGAGATCATGTTGAGAACATTTTACATAATCCCATTTAATCCTTATGAAACATTTATAAAATAGCTACTGCTTTTCACCTTTTATGAAGGAACAAACTAGAGTTTAGAGAAATGAAGTAACTTGGTCAATATCACAGAGCTCACAAATGACAGAGTTAGAGTTTGAACTTGGGCTGATTAGTATCAAACATGTTAACATTACAAATATATTTTGGTGTCAGAAAAGGAAGTACAAATAAATATATTCTTAGCAGTTGATTTGAATTATCATAATTTATTGTCATAAATAATTTTAGGACATCTGCGTATTGACTTTCTTATCATGTGTTCAGTACTTTAAAAAATGAATCAACTTCGAATTATCTATTTTTGCTACATGATAAATAACTAGAATGGAATCAGTTTTAATTGAAATATTTAAATATCAGTTTATCTTGACACAATATCCAATTCTTGACACCTACACTATTCAAGTTATAAGAAAAAAAAAAATCTCAGTAACTTGAAATCAAGAAAAACACTTTGAATATGTGAAAATTTCTAAATAAACAATATTTAAAATTCAGTTTATTAATAAGATCATATCTAACACATAATCATAAATAATTTTTTTAAGAGTCAGCGTCTCACTCTGTTGCCTGGAATGATGCAGTGGCATGATCACAGCTCCCCATAGCTTTGAACTCTTAAGCTCAAGTAATATTACTACCTCAGGTTCCCAAGTTCCTAGGACTACAGGCATGTACCACTTTGCCTTGCTAATTGTTTTATTTTTTGTAGAGACAGAGTCTCACTATGTTGTCCAAATAGGTCTCTAATTCCTGGTCTCAAGTGATCATCTCACCTCAGCCTCCCGAGTAGCTGGGATTATAGGCATCAGCCATTGTGCCTGGCTACTAATTTTAAACATCATGGACAGATTAGTTCTAGGTAAAGTGACTTAAGTAAAGTAAAATAAAATATATAAAGTAAAATAACTTCAGCTATCTATTGATGACTACCATGCAAAGTGACACTGCTAAGGACTTGAAACATTTTCAGTTAATCCTCTTAAAATTATATGTACACTATAAATTTTTTTAGCAGGATTTTTTCTTTTAGCATAAAAGTAAATTTTAGCATCATTCCTATTCAAATCATTATATATTCATAATTACTGAGGCATAGCTAATGAAATATGGCATTATTCTTAATTACTATAATAACCTGTAAGTATTTCCATATGCTATATTAAATATAAAGATGAACTATCCAAATGACTTTTAGTTAGTCACATTATGAGGCTGGCATGTCATAAAGTTAGGTGTCAACACTGAGGAATGTAAGGAGATGGACAATGTCAATGAAGACATTCAGGAGTCAACCAATAGAAACTTAGACAAGAAATAAAGCATTCGGTAGTGGAAGGAGAGGGAAATATTTACCTTCAGAAAATCAATTCAAAGAGATGCTCCATCTTTTTATAAATACACATTAAACCAATTTTTTTAAGATTTATATATATGCATACATATTAGAAAAAGAAAAAAGGAGACAGCAAAAGAGGGAGAAAGACATTTTTGTGAGGTAAACAAACAGGTAAATCTATCATTTATAAGTATTGATTTTAATAAACATTTTAAACTTCCTCACTATGGTCTATTTTCAGTAACCATTATCAACAATAATGAAACTTTATCAAGTCAGGAGCTCCCAAAATATAAATACTTTATCAAAGTATTTATATTTTAGATACTCCTAGATACTGTATCAATTTTTATACACTGAGTTTCCTATTTGTGAGTTACTCTTTTATTGAGCTTATTTCTCTACTTTTAGATTTATCATATCATTAGTGACTTCATTTCATTTATATACTTTAATATTTTAAGATTCACTAAGATATAGAGAGGAGAGAAAAGAAGTAGTAGCATTAGTATTGTCAAGTTGTCAACAGACTAAAAGAAATAGGTGCATGTTGCCCTGCCTTGAATTATGTGATCTTATGATCACCCTATACTCACAACTACCTATTCATTGAGCTTTTAACGGGTTAGTTGCTAAACCACACCTCAGAACTTTTCTCTCATTTAATCATTCATTCAAAATACTTGAGATCATCTCCTATGTATCAGACACTATATTTTTTGTGCTCAGAGTGCAGAAATAAACAACATAGTCCTTAATCACATTGAACCCATAGTCTACGGGGGGAAAAGTAAAAACCAGTGATTGCAATGTGGTTTGTTAACCATCTCATAAATGTATGCCCAAGTGCTGTGAAAGCAAAGGAAAGAACTGACTTTTGAATTAGCCTATCAGACCTGGGAAATTTTCTCAGAAGAGGTTGATTACTTTTGAGGTAAGTCCCAAAGTCCATCAAGAAGATTCTTCAGCAGAGAAGAGGGGTCAGAATATTCCCTTAAGAAAACATAGCAGGTAGAAGGACGAAGCATTAAGTTAACACCAGGACCCCAAAAACTGGATATTAATTAGAATGGCTTAAGTAGAGATTGCATATGAGACAGTAGAACACAGAGCAAGAAAAAGAGTCAAGAGATTTGATTTGTTCAGTAAAGACATTTGAAAATTATCCTAAAATCTAGAAACCACAGAATAATTTTAAAGAAATTTGTATATTTATCTAACTGGAATCTTGACATGAATAATCTTGCAGTATGTGCTTTGACAAGAGATTTAGGCATCAGATAAGGACACAGATGAATATGCTCTTGCAATAACCTGCATGAGAAAGATGGACCCAAAGTAAGGTAGTTGTAGTGGTGACAGACTTAGAAGGAAATAGGAGTAAAATATTGCATGTAGAGAGGTTATTAAGAGGCCTCTGATTGACATAAGTCGACATAAGAATTCATTGATGTTGAGGTTACAGGTGTAAAATAAAGATAGAAAACATCTTTGGCAAAGTATCTGATGGACTGTGCCTTTGAAATATCAAGTTATTAGTGACCAACAAATAAAGTAGGATACTCAGACTTGAATCTCAAGAGAAAGGTAGAGACAAATATCTCAGAAAAGCAGCATTATATAAGTGATAGGATTTGGCTGAAGTCACCCAAGGAGACCAGGAAGAGTGAGAACAGATGCAAGGACAGTCTCACATTATTTTACTCAGAGGAGGAAACTTTATGAAAATTAAATTTCAGATGTTTTAGAGGATATAAATTCATTTCTTTTCCAAATGTAAAGAACTCAGATCCACATATTAAGCTGTCTATATACACATTTTGAGAAGGAGTCTCACTCTGTCGCCCATGTTGGAGTGCAGTGGCACAATCTCAGCTCATAGGTTGCAACCTCTGCCTCATGGGTTCAAGTGATTCTCCTGACTTATCCTTCCAAGTAGATGGGACCACAGGTGCATGCCATCATGCCCAGCTATTTTTTTTTTTTTCATATTTTTAGTAGAGACGGAGTTTTACCATGTTGGCCAGGCTGCTCTCAAACTCCTAACCTCAGGTGATCTGCCCATCGTGGCCTCTCAAAGTGCTGGGATTACAGGCATGAACCACTGCCCCTGGCTGTAAAATCATCTTTTAATCTAATCTTCACATCATGTTCAGAGCCAGGTTCATCTTGAAGCAAATGAAATTTACTTGCATAGGTTCCTTCCAAGGCCCAGAAAAGGGCCACCAATGTGTTCACAGTCATGTGACTTTTTAAAAGTTTGCAAAAGATATTTTAACTGCAGTTGGTTAAGAACACTGTCTTTTTTGCTATTCAACTCCTCCTGTTGTTAGATGGCACAGCATACCTTTGGGCCTTTGGGGATATAGCTAAGGAGAAGTTAAGTTGGAGTACATTTAGTTTGAGTTTAGTGGGAAATACTGATGAGATTCAGTCACTTCTGTGCATAACTAGATAACTGCTACCTGTTTCAGTATAGGAATGACTTCTAGAAATACTCTTCTACCCACTGACATAAAGTGCTGCAGAAATGAAATCCCATTATGATATGAGCAGGTCCTATGACACACCAACCTGTGAGTTGGGGAATGGAATCTGTTTGTAAAATGTTAGGAACCAGAATGTGTGTAAAATTCACCTAAATCATACTCACATATTGAAAAAAAAACCTTAAAGTCTTTCCCAATTTTGGAAAACAATTCTAGAAATTGCATGATAGTTTCAGTAATAAGTTATAATACTAAAAGGAATGCTAATAAGTTATAAAAATATATTTTCATCAAATACACTAGAGAAAAATATTTTTTTCTTCTCTTTTATAGAAAGATATGATAAAACCATTGTAATATGAAGAGTTGATCAAGAGCATGCAGCCAAATGTGAGGCAGGTGTTGGGGTGGTTATAAGGGGGCATTGTAATTTAGTAAATACCATACAAATTTTCTGGATTTCTATGATGTTAGCAGTTTCCACTAACATTTTAAAATGCAATGTTATTTTATATTTATTTTCTCATTTTAGATAAATGCTCACTTATGTACCTAATGGTGCATTTATAATTTTACATTAGTTTGTTAAAAAGAACCTCAAATTGTATAAAGCCTGTCTCAGTAAAACCTAGTTTTTCCCTGATAATGTTCTTGTCACTGCCATAGAGAAAGAAAAATAGTTAGAAAATATTTCTTTAATATGCACTATACTATTGTTGAAAAAAATAGAGAAAACATTATTGAATACTATTTATATTCATTAAAATTATATATAGATGCTTGACTGATAGTTCAGTTCTTTAAAATGATGTTTGGTCTACCACTTAACATCTTAACATCATGATAGGTAACACTTTAAAACATCATTGTCATACAACAAATTTACATCAATTTTAGAATGTTATAATCTATACATCGACTTAAAGACATGTAGGTCTATTTTACACTTTTTGAACAATTATTATCTACCATTTTGGCAAAGTACATAATTTAATAGTATAGTGTATATTCAGTTTATTCCTTAAACAGAGAGAACATGTTAATGTTGAATTTAAAGTTCTTGAAAAAAATGATTATATATTTTTAAAAATTGTCCATGTATAATGGTAGCTGCAAAAAAAAATTAGCTTTTGTTTTATTCCACAAGAATATCATACTGACCTACAAAATTACAGCTAGACCCACTCTTAGGTATCTTTGGAGCACAAAAGGGCCAAAAATCCATAAAAATTACTGTTCTAATAAGTTAAGCATATTCCCTGTAGGTACTGATATTTAGAGATGAATAAGAGAAAAAAAAATTTCTAAAATGTCAGTTGTGCAGTTTGGGCTAACCTGAAGCATTTCAAAATTGCAAAATACTCATAGGCAGACAATAGGAGAAGCTTTGCATTCATAGTAGAATCGAGGGATGGATTTCTGAAAGCTAACCACTTTTATAAAACTTCTACATATATGCAGTGAATTAGACATACACATTTTTGTTTTGAAGTCATTTGTAGTCTCATTTATCAGGATCAACATTTTAAACTGTATATTTATAACTTATAAGTTTTCCTTATCTCTAATATGGGAATTTATAGTCCTTAAAGAAGGGAATAAGTAAATTTTCCATATTATTTAAATCTGGAAATGCATGCCAGATTACTTTCACAGAAATGTTTCCAGTATCTAAACTAATTATACATGTTTAGCTCTTCATAAAAAATACACAAGGAGGAATTTCACTGAAATTTCTTCAGTGTGATCATGTGTATAATGTGCAATTGACTTCATTTCACACTACCTCTATCTTTCTTAAGTTCTCTGTCTTTATTCTCCTCCAACATTTCATTAAAATAGCCATTTGGACTTATATAAAAATCAACACATCCAGTGACACAGAGAAATATGAGTAAAAGTTGATCATATCCAGTATGGAGGTGGAAAAGTGTGATATCTTTTCTCACCTATCATATGTATCACCATCCACACACCTATAACAAAAGACAGGTTAACAAGAGAAAAGCATAACACATTTATTTAATCAAAGTTTTACATGGCACAGGAGCCTTCAGAAATGAAAACTCAAAGATTCAGCAAAAAACTGAATAATTTTTCAATTATTTTTTATAATATATGCTTAGGTTAGAAGAAGAATGGACAGCTGTGGAGAAATGTGAGTGGACAAAAGGGTACCGTATTAGTCCATTTTCATGCCGCTGATAAAGAGATACCTGAGACTGGGCAGTTTACAAGGGAAAATGGTTTAATGGAGAACCTACAGTTACACGTGGCTGGGAAAGCATCACAATCATGGCAGAAAGTGAAAGGCATGTCTCACATGGCAACAGACAGGAGAAGGGGGCTTGTGCAGGAAATATCCCCCTTAAAATAACCATCAGATCTCATGAGACTTACTGTCATGAGAACAGCACAGGAAAGACCTGCCCCCATAATTCAATTACCTCCCATCCAGCCCCTCCCACAACACATGAGAATTCAAGATGAGATTTGGGTGGGGACACAGCCAAACTATATCATTCTGCCCCTGGCTCCTCCCAAATCTTATGTCCTCACATTTTAAAACCAATCATGCCTTCCCAACAGTCCCCCAAAGTCTTAACTCATTTCAGCATTAATTCAAAAGTCCACAGTCCAAAGTCTCATCTGAGACAAGGCAAGTCCCTTCTACCTTTGAGCCTGTAGAATCAAATGCAAGTTAGTTACTTCCTAGACATAATTGGGGTACAGGCGTTGGACAAATATAGCCACTCCAAATGGGGGAAATTGGTCAAAACAAAGGGGTTACAGGTCTCATGCAAGTCCAAAATCCAGCAAGGCAGTCAAATCTTAGAGCTCCAAAATGATCTCCTTTGACTCCATGTCTCACATCCAGGCCATGCTAAAGCAAGAGGTAGGTTCCCATGGTCTTGGGCAGCTCTGCCCCTGTGGCTTTGCAGGATACAGCCTCCCTTCTGGCTGCTTTCACAGACTGGCATTGAGTGTCTGTGGCTTTTCCGGTTGCACAGTGCAAGCTGCCAGTAGATCTACCAGTCTACGGTCTGGAGGACTGTGACCCTCTGCTCACAGCTCCACTAGGCGGTGCCCCAGTAGGGACTCTGTGTTGGACTTCAACTCCACATTTCCCTTCTGTACTGCTCTAACAGAGGTTCTCAATGAGATCCCCTCCCCTGCTACAAATTTCTGCCTTGAGCATCCAGGAGTTTCCATACATCCTCTGAAATCTAGGCAGAGGTTCCCAAACCTCAGTTCTTGACTTCTGTGCACCCTCAGGCTCAACACCACATGGAAGCTGCCAAGGCTTGGGGTTTCCACCCTGTGAAGCAGTAGCTTAAGTTGTACTTTGCCCCCTTTCAGTCACGGCTAGAGTGGCTGGGACACAGGGCACCAAGTCCCTAGACTGCACACAGCACGGGTCCGGACCCTGGGACCAGGCCACAAAACCATTTTCTCCTAGGCCTCTGGGCCAGTGATGACAGGGGCTGCCATGAAGACCTCTGACATGCTCTGGAGACATTTTTCGCATTTTCTTGGTGACTAACATTCAGCTCCTTGTTACTTGTGCAAATTTCTGCACTGGCTTGAATTTTTCCTCAGAAAATGGGTTTTCCTTTTCTACCATGTTGTCAGGCTGCAAATTTTCCAAATTTTTATGCTCTGCTTCTCTTATAAAGCTGAATGCCTTTAACAGCACCAAAGTAACCTCTGGAATGCTTTTCTTCCTAGAAATTTCTTCCGCCAGACACCCTAAATCATCTCTCTCAAGTTCAAAGTTCCACAAATCTCTAGGGCAGGGTCAAAATGCTGCTGGTCTCTTTGCTAAAACATAACAGGAGTTACCTTTGTTCCAGTTCCCAACAAGTTCCTCATCTCTATCTGAGACCACCTCAGCCCAGACCTTATTGTTCATATTGCTATCAGGCTTTTAGTCTAAGCCATTCAACAAGTCTCTAGGAAGGTCCAAACTTTCCCAAATCTTCTTGTCTTCTTCTGAGCCCTCTAAACTATTCCAACCTCTGCCCATTACCCAGTTCCAAAGTCGCTTCCACATTTTCAGGTATCTTTTCAGCAGTGCCCCACTCTAGTGGTACCAATTTACTGTATTAGTTCGTTTTCATGCTGCTGATAAAGATACAGGGGCCACACTCGGTGGCTCATGCCTGTAATCCGAGCACTTTGAGAGGCTGAGACGGGCAGATCACCTGAGGTCAGGAGTTTGAGACCAGCCTGGGCAACATGGTAAAACCTGTCTCTACTAAAAATACCAAAATTAGCCAGGCGTGGTGGCAGGCGCCTGTAATCCCAGCTAATTGGAAGGCTGAGGCAGGAGATTCACTTGAACCTGGGAGGTGGAGGTTGCAGTAAGGCGAGATCACGCAACTGCACACCAGCCTGAGTGACAGAGTGAGACTCCATCTCAAAACAACAACAACAAAAAAAAAAAAAGAAAGAAAAAAAAGATATACCCAAGACTGGGCAGTTTAAAAGGGAAAGAGGTTTAATGGAGAACTCACAGTTCCACATGGCTGGGGAAGCCTTGCAATCATGGGGGAAGGTTAAAGGCACGTCTTGCATGGTGGCAGGCAAGAGAAGGGGCTTATGCAGGAAAACTTCCCCTTATAATAACCATCAAATCTCCTGAGACTTACTCACTATCATGAGAACAGCACAGGAAATACCTGCCCCCATGATTCAATTACTTCCCACTGGATATCCCCCACAACACGTGGGAATTCAAGATGACATTTGGGTGGGGACACAGCCAAACCATGTCAGGTATGAACTAATGGTAACAGACTGAGGGGGAAGCCCAGCAAGTCCTGTCTGTTCAGATTCTTCTTGGCCTGTCTATGTCATATTCCTTCTTCCAGTGTATAGGGCAAGAACCTTCTGAAATGAGGGTCTTCAAGTGAGAAGGGAAAATGGATAAAATGGTCTTTCTAGGTTTTATGTCTTGCTCTGGGGGAGAAGAGTTCTAATTTTTATGACCCATCTTGAGGAATAAGAATTCTGGTTTCTATGACTTGCACTGCAGGAGAAAGAGGGATGGAAAACAGGAGGGTGGAAGAAAGTCAGAAAGACTGTTTCTGAGATGGTTCCAATGTCTTTTACTTCAAAGTATACAGCAAGCCAAAGTGTCACACTTTGGAATATCATGTTCTGAGCCTCAACACCAGAATCTGGGAGGAGTTTATACAAACTCTGATACCAGTAAATTGGATTTAAAAAAATCAAACTAGTGGCTTGTTCTTTTTCACATCATGACTCTTACTCTAAATGTCTTATGTGGAAGATTAAAGTATTGTTTCCTTAAATATTTACCTATATTGTTTATTCACATGCAACACCTTGCCATGCTTCAAATCTATTCTAACTTAATTATGAAAGAAAAAAGGAATGTCAGCCTACATGTGGTTTCTCAGTAAATGTCATTTAAGTTTTGCAACTAAACTTAATATAAGTATTAATCCTTGGACTACAAATAAAATAACGGTTCAGCTTCTAATCTAAGGCATTGTTTAATTGATCATGGTAACGCTACTACTTAAGTTCTTACATTTGCTAAATTACATCTTGAAATGAAACTCTCATTTCTCTTACAGATCAAATAGAATTATTTTTTACTGGATGATTAATTATGGTTATTGTGCTTATAGTAAATAAGAAACTGCCTGAAGCTTTAGCTAATATTCTCCCCTAAACCTATTGATTAACAATTTACTTGTCTTGGCTACCAACAATTAAATTTCAATCATTCTACAGTTGGCTTAAAGCTATTTTCTCTAATAAAGTATATATGGACTATTTGGCCAGGTAGAGTTTTAAAAAGTTTAAGAATATTCTTTATAAAAATATAGAAGAAAGTAATAGAAAGGAAAGAAATAAACTCCAAAGGCTTCATCTTGATGTTTGTAGCAAGAAAATAACTCAGGATTTCACAAAAGATGAACTAAATTGGCATCCGGCCATTTTAATACACTTCTGTATTAGCCTGACCCTATCTGTACACATTGATTGGAACATTTGGTGTATGTTCCTTACAAATGGTTCACAGTAAATGACCCTGCAGTGCAACAGACATTTCAAGACAAATTTAGAGCTTACAGGTCTTTCGTTGTTGAAAGAAAAGAGATTATCCAGAACTAATGAGGTGGCTATGACATTCAGCAGATGAAGAAAAAATGAAAGATAGAAAAGAAAGAGAAAAAGAAATGCAAGAGAATTGTCAAATCTTCCTCCTCCATGAGTTAAGATTGATTTAGATTCCAAAAATAATTTATCCAATCACTGCTGTGGAAAATGTAACAATCAAATATATTCATTTGTATAAATATCAGAGAATTACATAACAACTAATCAAGCAACTAAAAAAATCATGTTGGAAAGTAACAGTGAACAACTAAAAATGGGAGAACAGGTATATTTTCATTCAGGCTAAAAAAGTGTTAAAAAAAAAACAAGCCAATGAAAGTATCCTTAGATAAAAGTGAATATCTGACTGTATAGAAACCCTCAAAATTATGACATGTGCTTTGTTGCAAAGATGCTGGCCTCAATAATTATAGTGAGTGTTCCCCGAGTTGACTTGTCCCCACTCTAATTTCTAAAGAAAAAAATGTGTATCATGATGAGCCTAAGAACAGTTGAGGAGTACAGATGTCACTGAATCAACCACCAGTAGTGTAAATTAAATGTCATGTTTAGTTTGGGTTTTCATGAAGGGCAATGTTGTGGTTACAAGGAAAAATGGCTTTGTTTTGTTGGTTTTACATGTCATTGTACTCGTAAGAGACTATGTCCTTCTCTAAATCCAGATGTTAGCAATCAAAATACTTTTCAAAACATCTGAGTCTACAGAGGCTGATTTGAGCACATCCGGAGAATTGGGCTCCAAAAATATTAAAAGTAAACAGGGACATAAATTGTATGGATATATTATTCTAAATATTCCCATCTTTTCTCTGTTGCAAGTTTGTGAATGTGGGTGGAATGGGCTTATTAATGGATAGAATGGGTTTGTAGGGGTGGAGAGGTTTGACATGTTTCCTTACCCATCATAAGGGATATAACTGACACTCCAGCAACAATAGATAAGTTAACAAGAGAAAAGTATGAGAGATTATATTTAATTAAAGTTTTATGTTATATGAGAATCTTCAGAAATAAAAGCCCAAATACCTAAGAGAAAACTCTCCATTTTTATGCTTAGACTAAATGAAGGGTGAACAGCCATGTAGAAATGTGGTTGGACAATAAGTGAATGATGTATTAGTAATAGACTGAGTGGGAAAACCCAGCAAGGCCTGTCAAGATTTGTCTTGGCCTCTCTGTGTGGCAATCCTTTTTTCCTAGGTGCAGGGCAGGACCCCTTGTGTAATGAGGATCTTATGGTCTACTTTCAGACAAGGTATGTCAGAGAATTTCTTTATGGCCAGTTTTTAGACAGAAAGGTAGAGGAATATTAGAGTAATAATTCTAGTTTTTATGGCTGGGTTTGGGAAAAGGAGTTTCTAGTTTCTATAAAACTCTTTCCCACAATCAGGAAGAGGAATTTTGATTTCTATGACTCACTTTAGGGAAAATGATGGACAAGAGACAGGAGGGCAGAAGAAGCTGAAAGAGGCTGGTTCTGAGGCTGCTTCTGAGCCTCTGTAATGTCCTTTAGTTCAAAGTACTCTGCATGCTGAAAAGCCATATTTTGGGATATTATTTTCTGAGCCCCAAAAGGCTAAATATTTTTAAAGGCTAGAAAATATTCCTTCAAATGTCCTAGTTGATTTCATGGAAGTAAGTTAGAAAATACTAACATGAAACACTAACTATACTATTGCATTTAATGCAATATGGCCACATTTTTCTCTTACATTTATGAGAACCATATACTACCACACTGAGGTATATAGAACCTTTCCTCTGTCTTCTGGGCCACTGACCTCTGCCACAAACCCTAATGCCATTCCCACACTGATTAATTTAGGTCATGCATTTCAAAATAAGTTTGTTCCAAACCATCCACATCTGGAAAAGTTCCCCCATTAATCAGGGACTTAGAGGGAACAAAGAAAAAACTGCCCCTTTGCACTCTGAAGGTTTGCTGAAAAATCAATTCACAAAAGGAGATTAATTGCAGAAAAAAGCATAAAAATTAATTAATGTCACATAGAAGTGGGACCAGAGAGTGATTACCCTCAACTCTCAATGGGTTACAGAAGCTTTTATACCATCTTGAAGTTACAGAAAGAATGGGAGCTAGGAGCATGGCCCAAAACAGGTTATGGTGGTAAATCAGGTTATGGTGGCAAAACAGGTTATGGGAGGGAAAGAAGAGGAGGCCTATCTGGGAAAGGTGGTCTTGTTATGTAAATGAAACATCACAGGCAGCAGACCTCAAAGAGAATAGATGGTAAATGTTTCTTTCAGACCTTTAAAGATGAAAGACTCTCAGTTAATCTTTTCTAAAGTGTCAACATGACTAGGCTGCAGTTCCAATTAATTCAAAAAAGCACTGATCTAGGTGTTGCTGTGGGGATATTTTACAGATTTAATTAAGCCCTAGTAAGTTGACTAAGGTAAGGGGCTTATCCTGGATAATCAGCTGGAAGTCCTTAAAAGCAGAACTGAGTTTTTCTCAAGGGAAGAAGAAACTCCTGCCAACTCTTGGCTCTACTTCTATGGTTGACCCTGACTGACAGAGAAGGAATGGATACTACCTCTGCCACTTAACTACATATATGTGATCTTTGGGCAAGTCACTTATTGACTTTATGCAAAATGTATAAAACGCAAAACAATAGAGCGCAGCTCACAGCATTGTTGATATAAAATGTAATATAAAACATTTAACACAAGGCTTAGTATATACAGTTGACCCTTGAACAATGTGGGCACCTACCCCCCATGCAGTCAATAATTCATGCACAACTGTTGATTCCCAAAAACCTAAGTACTAATTTTCATGTGCGTCCGTGTGAAGAGACCACCAAACAGGCTTTGTGTGAGCAACAAGGCTGTTTATTTCACCTGGGTGCAGGTGGGCTGAGTCCGAAAAGAGAGTCAGCGAAGGGAGATAAGGGTGGGGCCCTTTTATAGTATTTGGGTAGATAAAGGAAAATTACAGTCAAAGGGGGTTGTTCTCTGGCGGGCAGAGTGGGGGTCACAAGGTGCTCAATAGGGGAGCTTTTGAGCCAGGATGAGCCAGGAGAAGGAATTTCACAAGACAATGTCATCAGTTAAGGCAGGAACAGGCCATTTTCACTTCTTTTGTGGTGGAATGTCATCAGTTAAGGCAGGAACCGGCCATCTGGATGTGTACGTGCAGGTCACAGGGGATATGATGGCTTAGCTTGGGCTCAGAGGCCTGACATTCCTGTCTTCTTATATTAATAAGAAAAATAAAACGAAACAGTGGTAAAGTGTTGGGAAGGTGAAAATGTTTTGGGGGTGGTATGGAGAGATAATGGGCGATGTTTCTCAGGGCTGCTTCGAGCAGGATTTAGGGGCGGCGTGGGAACCTAGAGTGGGAGAGATTAAGCTGAAGGAAGATTTTGTGGTAAGGGGTGATATCGTGGGGTTGTTAGAAGAAATATTTGTCATTTAGAATTATTGGTGATGGCCTGGATACAGTTCTGTATGAATTGAAAAACTAAACAGCATAAGAGAAGGAGAAAAACAGGTATCAAAGGACTAAGAATTGGGAGGCCCCAGGACATCTAATTAGAGAGTGCCTAAGGAGGTTCAGCATAGCCTTGCCAGCAAAGATTATTTATTTACTTTAAGAGTTAAGAGTGGCAGTTTGGGGATAGCACCAGGAGATATCAGCTGTGATGGCTTGGAGAAACAGTGTAAACTGGCAGTGTAAACAAGAGCAGGGCATGTATGAGTAGTTGAGAACAGTGAATAGGAGTATGACTAGACAGAAGATAGGGATGACAAGTTTTTTGGGGCACGGTCCAAGTTGGTCTGGTGTCTGGAATGAGACTGGGGCCTAATAAAAAGGAGCGTCTATACAGGAGCTCAAATGGGCTGTACCTTGTAGCATTCCAAGGACAGACCTGAATTCTGAGAAGGGAAAGTGGTAAAAGTATTGTCCAGTTCTTTTTAAGTTGGTGGCTTGGTGAGGTGTGTTTTTAGAAGACTATTAGTCCGTTCTACCTTTCCTGAAGACTGAGAACTGTAAGGGATATAAAGGTTTCACTGAATACTAAGAGCCTGAAAAAATGCTTGGCTGATTTGACTAATAAAGGTTGGTCTGTTATCAGACTGTATAGAGGTGGGAAGGCTAAACTGAGGAATTATGTCTGACAGAAGGGAAGAAATGACTGCGGCAGCCTTCTCAGACCCTGTAGGAAAGGACTCTACCTATCCAGTGAAAGTGTCTACCTAGACTAAGAGGTATTTTAGTTATCTGACTCGGGGCATGTTGAGTAAAGCTAATTTGCCAGTCCTGGGTGGGGGCAAATCCTCGAGCTTGATGTGTAAGGAAGGGAGGGGGCCTGAATAATCCTTGAGGAGTAGTAGAATAGCAGATGGAACACTGAGAAGTTATTTCCTTGAGGATAGATTTCCACGATGGAAAGGAAATGAGAGGTTTTAAGATGCGGGCTAGTGGCTTGTACTATAGCATAGCCTGCCTTTGCTGGTGTGTGGCGATTAGGCCTGGTGGAACTGCCATCAATAAACTAAGTGTGATCAGGGTGAGAAACAGGGAAGAAGGAAATGTGGGGAAATGGGGTGAACATCAGGTGGATCAGAGAGATGCAGTCATGAGGGTCAGGTGTGGTATCCAGAATAATGTGGGAGGCCAGATTGAAGTCTGGGCCAGGAACAACAGTAATTGTGGGAGACTCAACAGAGAGTGAGTACAGCTGAAGGAGCCGGAGAGCAGAAAATATATGCGTCAGGTGTGAGGAAGAAAATAGATTTTGGAAGTTATGAGAAATGTAGAAAGTGAGTTGAGCATAGTTTATGATCTTTAGGGCCTGTAAAAGTATTAAGGCGGCAGCAGCCGCTGCATGGAGACATGATGGCCAGCCTAAAACAGTAAGGTCAAGTTGTTTGGACAAAATGGCTACAGAACGCAATCCTGGTCCTTGTGTAAGAATTCTGACTGCACCGCCTTGCACTTCGGCTGTGTGTAATGAAATGGGTTGGGATGAGTCAGGGAGAGCTAGGGTGGGGGCAGGCTCTAAAGCTGTCTTCAAGGAACAGAAAGAGGAGTGGGGAAAAGATTTAAGATCTATGGGGTCAGCTAGGTTTCTTTTTGTGAGTTTATATAATGGTTTTGTTAGGATGGCAAAACTAGGTATCTAAAGGCAAAAATATCTAACCATGCCCAGGAAGGAAAGGAGTTGTTGTTTTGTAGAAGGGGTTGGGGTTTGAGAGATTAGTCAGACACGACAGGCAGGGAGAGCACGTGTGTTTTTATGAAGAATTATGCCGAGGTAGGTAACGGATGGAGAATAAATTTGAGCTTTGGAGGGGGATACCTGATATCTTTTGGAGAATAAATGCTGAAGGAGCAGAAGTGTGTCTAGTTGAGAAGATTCAAAGGAGGGGCTACAAAGAAGAAGGTCATCAATATATTGAATAAGGTGAGAAGTGGAGGGGTGGAAAGAAAGTAAATCATGAGAAAGAGCTTGGCTGAAGTAATGAGGGCTGTCTTTGAAACCTTGCGGCAGTACAGCCCAGGTAAGCTGCTGGGACTGATGGGTGTCAGGGTCAGTCCAGGTGAAAGCAAAGAGAGGCTGGGACAAGGGGTGCAGGGGAATAGTGAAAAAAGCATCTTTAAGATCAAGAATGGAATAGTTGTGGAGGAAGGTGTTGAGGACAAAAGAGTGTACAGGTTGGGCACTGCAGGGTGGATAGGCCAAACAATTTGGTTGATAAGGCATAGATCTTGAACTAACTTGTAAGGCTTGTCTGGTTTTAGGACAGGTAAAATGGGGGAATTGTAAGGAGAGTTTATAGGCTTTAAAAGCCCATGCTGTAGCAGGTGAGTGATAATAGGCTTTAATCCTTTCAAAGCATGGCGTGGGATGGGATATTGGCATTGAGCCGGGTAAGGGTGATTAGGTTTTAATGAGACGGTAAGGGGTGCATGATCGGTTGCCAAGGAGGGAGTAGAGGTATCTTATACTTGTGGGTTAAGGTGGGGGGATACAAGAGGAGGGGGCAAAGGAGGCTTTGGATTGGGAAGAAGGGCAACAATGAGATATAGCTGTAGTCCGGGAATAGTCAGGGAAGCAGATAATTTAGTTAAAGTGTCTCAGCCTAATAAGGGAACTGGGCAGGTGGGGATAACTAAAAAGGAGTGCTTAAAAGAGTATTGTCTAAGTTGGCACAAGGGTTGGGGAGTTTAAGCAGTTTAGAAGCCATACCTACAGCAGTTATGGAGGCAAGGGAAACAGGCCCTTGAAAAGAAGGTAATGTGGAGTGTGTAGCCTCTGTATTGATTAAGAAGGGGAGGGACTTACCTTCTACTGTGAGAGTTACTTAAAGCTCGGCGTCCGTGATGGTCTACGGGGCTTCTGAGGCGATCAGGCAGCGTCAGTCTTCAGCCGCTAAACCGAGAAGATCTGGGAAGGAGTCAGTCAGAGAGCCTTGGGCCAGAGTTCCAGGGGCTCTGGAGGAGTGGCTGCCAGGTGAGTTGAACAGTCTGATTTCTATCTGATTTCCAGTGGGGTCTTGCACAGATGGGACATGGCTTAGGAGGAATCCTGGGCTGCGGGCATTCCTTGGCCTGGTGGCCAGATTTCTGGCACTTGTAGCAAGCTCCTGTGGGAGGCGGTTCTGGAGGAATGCCTGGCTACTGCGGTCTAGGCGTTTGGAAGTTCTTGTGTGCTGGAGATGTGGCTGGGGTTTGTCTTACAGTGGAGGCAAGGAATTGCAACTCAGAAATATGTTGCTACTTGGCTGCCTCTACTCTATTATTGTACACCTTGAAGGTGAGGTTAATTAAGTCCTGTTGTGGGGTTTGAGGGCTGGAATTTAATTTTGGGGGTTTTATTTAATGTCAGCAGCAGGTTGCGTAATAAAATGTATATTGAGAATAAGACGGCCTTTTGACCTTTTAGGGTCTAGGACCGTAAAGCATCTCAGGGTTGCTGCCAAACGAGCCATGAACTGGGCTGGGTTTTTCATATTTGCTGAAAGAGCCTAAATTCTAACTGATTTGGGAGAGGTCGGATAAAGAAAAAGGAGCGTTAACCTTGACTATGCCTTTAGCTTCAGCCACCTTTTTAAGAGGAAATTGCTGGTGGGGGAGGGTTAGTCACGGAATGAAACTGCAAACCAGACTGGGTGTGAGGAGTGTAGGTGATAAAAAGATTATAGGGTGGAGGAGCGGAGGCTGAGGAAGAATTGGGACCTAGCTCAGCCTGGCGAGGAGCAGCCTGGGGAGGAGGGGAGAGATCAGATGTGTCTGTAGAAAAGGAAGATTAGAAAGACTCAGTGACGCTTGGGGTGGGACTGAGGGGACAGGCGGGAGGGAAAGAAGGAAGATTTGGGACGAGCTGCATTGGGCACAGAGACTAGGGAGGGACCGATGTGTAAAAGAATGCCTGGACGTCAGGCACCAGAGACCGTTTGCCCATTTTACGACAAGAATTATTTAGATCTTGCAGGATGGAAAAATTGAAAGTGCCGTTTTCTGGTTATTTGGAACCACTGTCGAGTTCGTATGGGGGCATTGCAGAAGAAAATAAGGCATTTAGGTTTTAGGTCAGGTGTGAGTTGAAGAGGTTTTAAGTTCTTGAGAGCACAGGCTAAGGGAGACAGAGGAATGGAGGGTGGAAAGTTGCCCATAGTGAAGGAGGCAAGCCCAGAGAAAAGAGAGTAGAGACACGGAGGGAAGGGGTTCGGGGGTTCTTCCCCTCCAGAAAAGCGGGAAAGGGGTCGGGGTGCAGAAACAAGGGGTTGGGGCACAGAGATAAGAGGTCGGGGCATGGAAATAAGGAATCGGGGCACAGAGATAAGAGGTCGGGGCGTGGAAATAAGGGATCAGGGTGCAGAGATCAGAGGTTGGGTTGCGGAAATAAGGCATTGGGGGTTCTTTCCCCCTAGAAAAGTGGGACTTGCCGCTAAGGGTGAAGGACCAAGGCAGGTGTCCCTGCGTGGTCTGACACCTCTGAAATGTGGGTGAATAATCAGAGGCCTCCCTGCAATGATTAAACACTAAGGGAAGGCTGCCTGCCAAGTCCGTGACCGGTGCCGGAGTTTTGGGTCCACGGATAAAACGTGTCTCCTTTGTCTCTACCAGAAAATGAAAGGAATTGAAATTAAGAGAAGGGAGAGATTGAAGTGTGGTGCCAAGATTGAAAGGAGAAAAAGGTTGAGGGTTAGTGAGGGAGGTTGGAGAAGAGAGTAAAAAGAGGCCGCTTACGAGATTTGAAATTGGTGAGATGTTTCTTGGGCTGGTCAGTCTGAGGACCTGAGGTCATAGGCAGATCTTTCTCACGGAGCAAAGAGCAGGAGTACAGGGGATTGATCTCCCAAGGGAGGTCCCCCGATCCGAGTCACAGCACCAAATTTCATGCGCATCCGTGTGAAGAGACCACCAAATAGGCTTTGTGTGAGCCACAAGGCTGTTTATTTCACCTGAGTGCAGGCGGGCTGAGTCTGAAAAGAGTCAGCAAAGGGAGATAAGGGTGGGGCTGTTTTATAGGATTTGGGTAGATAAAGGAAAATTACAGTCAAAGGGGGTTGTTCTCTGGCGGGCAGAGTGGGGCTCACAAGGTGCTCAGTAGGGAAGCTTTTGAGCCAGGATGAGCCAGGAGAAGGAATTTCACAAGACAATGTCATCAGTTAAGGCAAGAACAGGCCATTTTCACTTCTTTTGTGGTGGAATGTCATCAGTTAAGGCAGGAACCGGCCATCTGGATGTGTACGTGGAGGTCACAGGGGATATGATGGCTTAGCTTGGGCTCAGAGGCCTGACACTAATGTTACTGGCAGTGAATTCATAAGGGTCTGTGGCAACCTCAATTCTTGCCTCCTCAGAAGAAATCAGTTGACTAAGGGGCATAAGGCAGAAGGAGACACCAAGGCAAGATTTTTGCAGGAGTGAAAGTTTATTAGAAAGTTTTAGGGCAGGAATGAAAGGAAGTACAGTTGGAAGAGGGCCAAGTGGGTGACTTGAAAGACAAGTGCACTGCTTGGCTTTTGACTTAGGGTTTTACATGTTGGCATACTTCCAGGGTGTTGCACCCCTTCTCCCCTGATTCCTTCCTTGGTGTGGGCTGTCTGCATGCACAGTGGGCTGATAGCACTTGGGAGACCAGCACAACTCCAGTGCAGTGTGTTTTCTGGAATTGTATGCATGCTCACTTGAAGCGTTCTTCCCTTACCGGCCAAATGTTCCTAGAAGGTCATATACCAGTTAAACTCTACCATTTTGCCTCTTATGTGCATGCTTGAGCCCATTCATCCAACTCCTGAGATCTTTTCTTGAAGCTGCTGATCACTAGTTTCACATTTGTTCTATCTACTGGGAGAATGCCTTTCCCTGGTGCCAGCTGCGACTAGTTATTATTTTAGAGAAACCTTTAACAGCTGCCTGATCATCACCTGATGGTGACCTGACATTCCTGGTGTGTGTGTCTTGGGAGGTGAGCCCTCTCCTGCCTTGCTCACGTTTGACTAGCTACCTACTGTAACACTAGTAGCCTGCTGATGACCAAAAGCCTTACCAATAACATAATCAGTTGATTAACACACAATTGTATATTATCTGTATTATATACTGTGCTTTAACAATAAATTAAGCTAGAAAAGGAAATGTTATTAAGAAAATCATGAGGAAAATATATTTACTATTCATTAAGTGGAAGTAGATTAAAGTCTTTGTCCTAGTTGTCTTCATGTTAAGTACGCTGAGAAGGAGGAGAAAAAATAGGAATTGGTCTTGTCTCAGAGGCAGCAGAGGAAAATCCATGTGTAAGAGGACTTTCACAGTTCAATTCGTGTTTTCAAGGGTCAACTGCAGTTCAACTAATATTTTCTATTATTATCACATACTTCTAAAATAGGTGTTGATTAAAATAAATTTATTCTTATAAAATATATGTTACATCTTTAAAAAATGTTCTTTACTCCAGAGATATGTCTCTATATCTATCTATATTTATCTATATTTGTATCTAATCTATCATCTATCCATATGTATGTATCTTACATATCATATAAATTTGAATCAGGTATGCATTCACATTATGCTTGATTTATACTCACATCAGTTTCACATCAAATTTCACCTAAGAATGTTCAATTTAAGATATATTGGATTCTGAGTAGATTTTTGTTAAACAATAAACTTAAACATTTTAACTTTCTGCAGAGATAGTAGTGAAATGAAGGTGTGATCAACTGGTATTTGTCAGAGGTTAACAATCAGAAGTTCTTTTCAAATCCAGAGTGATCTGGAATATTATAGAATGTGCTTGATTTTCCAGTTGGACCATTTTTTAAGGTTTTTGCAAAAAATAAAATTTAAATAAATTCAACTAATTGTTTATATTTTATATATCAGTATGTAAGAAACTCAAAGCTTTAACAATGTTTCTTCACCAACAGAACAAAATAAAGATATCTTTTTTTTCAATTAAGAGATATAGCAAAAAGCCAATATAATTTTTCTGAAAAGTTTTTGTTATTGTTTATCTTTAGTGTAGGGGCCAAGGAAAAGCTTTCTATCTACCCTCTGAAGGTTTGCTGAAAATCACTGACAAAAGGTAGATTAATGGGAGAAAAGGCATATAAAATTTATTTGATCATAGTTTTATGTGACACAAGAGCCTTTAGAATCAAAACACAAAGATACACGGGAAATTGTCCATTTTTATGCCCAGGGTCAACAAAGTATTGACAGCCATGTGGAAATACGATTGGATTAAAAGGGCATGATCTAATGCTAACCTAACAGACTGAGTGAGAAACCCAGCATGGCCTGGTCTAGATTCTTCCTCTCCTCTGTGCAGCATTCCTTCCTTGTGGGTATGAGGCAGGACACTCTCTGGAATGGGGGTCTTATGACCTACACAGAAAGGCACAGTGTATGACTGAGTTAGAGTAGTATTTTTAAGTTTGATGGCTGGTTTGGGGAAAAAGTTTCTGGTTTCTGTGTCCTGACTTAGGGAAGAGGCATGCTAGTTCCTCCAGCTAGCCTCAGGGGAGAATGAGAGTGAGCGACAGGAAAGCAGGGTGAGGTCAGAGAAAAACTTGCTTCTGAGGCCTTCATTTTGGGATATCATTTTCTGAGCCCCAAAATTAGCTATGGAGAGAAGCAAAATATTCATATTTCACTAGAGAGTTTTTAATTTGATGAGCAACATCATCACATCGAAAGACTAAAATGATACTCTTCTTAAGCAAACTTAAATCAGGCTCCTCCAAATCCTCTTCTAGGCCCCTCTACCTTGCCTCCCCCAATCATTGACAGACATAAATATCCCAGTTTTAGCAAGAACCATGCTAAGTCAATTTTGAGACAATCTGCCCCCTCGATCTGATCACCCTGACCTGCCTTCATCATGAATCCTGGTAAGTTTGGCAAGAATCTTCCCTACCCTTGACAATTTCTCCTGGTATTTTCCACCACCACCCCTCTCCCCTAACCTACTCCTTGACTAAAAATCCCCACTTGTTCTTTTCTGTATTTGGAGTTGAACCCAATCTCTCTCTCCTATTGTAGTCTTGATACCTATCACAACAGCCTTCAGATGTCAGAATACTTTTTTTTTCTTTAACAAGACCCTAAAAATAAATCAGAAGAGAGGAAGGTCTTTTTTGCCTCAGGCTTGCTGTATATGTATGTGTACATGAAGTAATTCTAATAATACAAGGGGGAAAATTTAGTGAAATCGTGAATTTATTTATGAAGATCATATAACTGAAAGGGTCATCATGCAGAGTTTCTACATTCTCTCCCTCTCACTCTTTTCCTTTTATGGTTACCTTGAAAAGGAGATGAATCTCTGTAATACTTAGCATTTGAAACAAACTGTTTAGTATTTTGCATTTCAATAGAAGAAACAAAGAGTATAAAAATAACCACAATCAACAATTTTAAAGCAAATTCATCCTACAAATAATAGTCCTGAAAGATGTTTTAATGCAAACTGACAGGCAAAACCTTATGCAGTGAAAAGCTGAGTAACATTTTCTCTTCTGCATTATGTTGAAGATTTATAGGTGGAATGACTCATATTGGAAAATATCTCAATTCTCTTTATATTGAAAATGTTTAGAAGAGAGAAAAGTTGGGTGGGTTGGAAGAGTGAGCTTGATGACTAATGTTTCATTTATTCTACCAATGAATAAGACAGAAAAATTAAAATGTCCTCACAAATCCTGTACACAAAAACTCATATTTCATGCTACCAATAATCTTAAAATTGTGTACCTGAAAAAGGGTCATGTGACACTATAGTGGAAGTTGCTACACTTTAACATTTTCAGTTTTAAAAATGATATACTTAATAAGATTTTTTCTTAAAGAATAATCATATTTTTAATGAAATAAACATGTAAGAGAGAGACATGAATCTTAAAAACAGAACATTCTAGATTTGTTAAGAGTTTAGAATAGAGAAATCAGAATGTTATTCTGAGTTTGGGTGCATTAAATGGGCATTTGAGAAACCAACATTTGTAACTCCAAACATGTTCAGACTTTAACAATTAGTAGTAGTTAATTTAAGTCCCTCTGAAAATAAATAGTTATCAGTTACCAAGAAGATAGGGTTTTTTGGTGGGGGTAGTGGGAGTACTAAAGTGTCAAATGATGCCCCCAGATGGCAGGCAAGATGGACTCTCTGTGACTCAAAAGTTAAAAGCAGAACCAAGAGATCATGGCAGAGTAAGGGAGCAGTCATGCTGTGTCCTTAAAAAGTATTGCAGAATCTATTTTCATGAACAGTTCCTGAAAACAAATACAGCTGGAAATTCCCCAGTTGACCACCAACAGACCACCTGGCACCAATCAACCAGCTTCCTGGAATCAGACAATTAAGACAGACTGGTGATTTGGGGCTTACAGGTCATCCAATCAACACTGTGATCCACACTACCTTGATGTTCCTCCCCTGCCCTGCAATTTTTGCCTTAATAATTTCTGACATGGTTTGGATTTGTGTCCCTGCCCAAATCTCATGCCAAATGATAATCCCCAATGTTGGAGGTGGGGCGTAGTGACAGGTGATTGGATCATGGGGCCATGTTCCCCTTTGGTGCTGTTCTGATGGAGTTCTCACAAAATCTGGTTGTGTAAGATTGTGTGGCACCTCCCCCACTCTTCCTTCTACTCTGGCCATATGAGGACACCTGCTCCTGCTCTGCCGTCTTCCATGTGTAAAAGTTTCCTGAGGCTTCCCCAGAAGCTGAACAGATGCCAGCATCATGCTTCCTGTACAGCCTACAGAAGCATGATTCAATTAAACCTCTACTCTTTATAAATTACTCAGTCTCAGATATTTCTTTATAGCAAAGCAGGAATGGGCTAATAAAATCTTCTACTCTCCCAGTCCTCTTTGGACCACACTTGTGTTTTACACTGGAGGTTCTGTCTTCCCAGTCTATAGATTCTTTTAGAAAACAAAATTCTTTTGCCTCCACGGATCTAATTTGTCTTTTGTTAACAAGAAAAAAAAAAAGAATCTTTATTTTTGTAACTTCTAACAGAATTTTTTTAAATTAGTAGACTTTATTTTTAGAGCAACTTTATTTAGTTTTACAGAGAAATTTGGCAGAAAGTACAGAGCCTCTATATGTATCAACTCTCATTGTTCCAACAAATACACACATTTACCCCATTATTAACATTTTGAATCAATGTGGTATATAATTAATGACCCAATATTGATGTTATTAAATAATGTTCATAATTTACACTAGAATCTCTCTTTGTGTTATACCACGCAGATAATTTTGATTATTAAATAACATCTGTCACTATTTAAAAACTACTTACAAGAAATTGGCCATAAAGTTAAAAACCAGTGGAAAGATAAGTTCAAATAATCAGTATGCTTTATATACTCCCATAACATCTTCCATTTTTTCTCATACTTACATTCTAAATTGGATGTAGAAGAGAATAGGGCAGATCCCTTCATATCTGAAATCTAGACTTATGTTTCTAATTGGAAACCAAATCTCTTAGGATTATTCTTTTTTTCTTCACCAATTTATCTGGTGCTCACAACCAATTTCATTTTTGTTTATAAGAAGAAAAATGAAAGGAGTTGCACAATTTAAAGGCCACAAATACATAGACTTAAGGCTTAAGATAAAAAAAAAAAAGACATTCCAATGATCAGGATTACCTAAAGATGAATGTTTTATCTTTGAACATGATCACTTTTCAAAAAGTTTCAAGTAAGTGCTCAACTAAACCATGGATCCACTATCATTGCATCAATTAGTCTATATTGGATAATTAGAAATAATTTCATGTTTGGAATTAGCATATAAAAGTTATCTCAAGGCAATGAAAATAATAATTGTCTTATGATATCTTTGTTATTCATTTCCTTCCTTAAACACATAGATTAACTATCTATTAACAGGCTGTTAGTAATAAACCCAAGTGAAAGCCAATAAGAAAATTTAGTGCTGTCATTTCTCCACAATAAAACAAAGTCAAATTAGAAATCTACTTGTCCAAATAGATCATCAAAATAACTTTTATATGAATGTGTGTTTTAAGGAACTGTTTTGTGGTTAGGGTAGTTAATGTTAATTTAAATTATAATTTAAATTATAATAGTTTATTTTCAGAAATAAGGTTTAAGGAAGAGGTAGTGATTAACTTTAACTTTTAATAATAATTTAGATCTAATACTGTAACAAATTAATTAACAGCATCATCAAGGAGACCTATAATGTTTTCTTAAAGTCAGACTAAAAACTAAATAGCAGGTCTATGATTTGCACCTCTGTGATTATAAAAGAACTAAAACATCTTACACTGATAGTCAAAATTACACTGTACCCCTTAAACCACTTAGTGTTTTCTCTGTACAATTAACACCAAGCATGCCCCTATCCATACCTTCTTAATGACTGGCAACCAGTTCCAGCTTCTAGATTGAAATAACAGCAACCACACCTTTCTTCACCCACAAATGCAAAATAACACGCAGACCACACAGCTGGCATCAATTAACTCTGATTAAAAGTATTATCATTGATTTGGCATTGGAGTTTTTATTCCCATCCCTTTTGTTCAACAGTGTCACTCAGCCAATTTCATTTACATCAACTAAATACTAGCATAGAAAAGTTTAAGCAAAAAATAATCTAATAAAATACAATTTTTCAAATACTAAAACTTCAACCCCTTCTATTTTCTATTTCAGTTCTATCTGGAGTGTAGCCAAATATAACCATTTAAAATGTTAAAGATGTTTTGAGACATTTTTTGGAAAAGAGCTTATTTAAATTGAGTAGATTCAAAACAAATACATCATGTCTATGAACAAACATTGAATAGTGCTTATGCAAGATAATCAGAACTAAGTGGGAAATTATCTCAAAATGTAAAACAGCCCAATTTCACTTTATGGCCTAATTTAACATGGGCAGACCACTTAGTTTGCCAAAGGCCCTTGTTTTGAAAGAGTACTGTTAACAATGTACACACCTGCTTGGAGCTAACTGTAGCATTAACTACCTCAATTGCAGAATGTTAACAAGCAAGTGCACATACTAGGGAAGATTTGAGCCACCAGCTAATGCACATTTTTCTGGACATTAACAGGACACAGTTATAGTCTTAATCCAAATATTCTTTGCAGTGGAGCGGCTAAAATGTAAAATAAAACTTTTGGAGATTCATTTAAGATAGGTGTTTTCTATTTAACAGTTCTTTTCTTAAATAAAAAGATTTAGCTATTCTGTAATCTTTATCTAAATTTTGTTATACATATATAATTAACATATATATTCATCTATTTATACTTACACATACACATACCCAAGAGACAGAAAAAAAAACACCTGTGTTAGAACTTTTTTCTACCTACAACTTTTAGAGAGCACCATACACACAAAAAAATTACTACAACTTTGTCATGAATACTTCCTAACAGGATTACTTTTATGCAGTTACAAAGTTTCCCTAATAATCTATCATGACTCTATCAAAAGACTTTTAAGAGATTAAGTAAAAAATATCCTTCAATCCTACATTTAGAATTATGTTAGAAATTTGGGGTTGCCAGGCAGCAAGAACAGATGAGATATCAAGAATTCTGGGTTTTAATTCTGGATCAAAAACTTTAACACATGTCATTCTCATCACAAGTCAAATTGGAATAATCTCTGCTCCTTCATGAATAACTTAGTAAAAACTACACCAGTCCACGCCCTGAACACAGGCACTTGTGTAGAATCAAGTAGCAAAGGCCTACTGTAGGCAGAACAACAATTTCAGAAGTGATCTCTCCGTCTTCCCAACAAATTTTGCATTTTCACCTGAGTTACTGAAGTTACTCAATCTGGAAATCTGGGTGGCATTTTTGACACCTTTCTCTCCATCACCCACCCAACCAAATCCAAAAGTTTTAGAGGTGCTCCTAAAATCTGTTGATTTTTCTTTTTTTCACTATTTTTCTGTTTAAGTCCATCATTATTGCAACAGTCACCTAAAATGGCCTCCTGCCTTCATTGTTGCCCTTTTCAATCCACTTCACTTCTCTGTCAGAGAGTTTTCAAAAGCTGCAAATACAGTATTCACCCTTTTGCACAAAATTCTTCAAATAGCTCCTCATTGCCCGGATGATCAAGCCAAAAATGATGGACTTGACTTAAATTTTCTGACATAAAACTACTGTCACCCCATACCTTCACTCCATCTTTCTCCACCATCCCCAGCTCTTTACACACCGTCTTTGTTTTAGTCATGTATTATTGTTTTTATTTCATTTATATTCTTGGCAATCTCTAGGCTTTGAATGTGATATTTTCCAAGCCTAAAACATTTACCTGCATCTCTTTCTTCTTCTTTGATTTGTTTTCGGGTTAGTGGTCCCTTCTCATGAGAGGCTCTCCCAGTACCACCAGACATGTGTTAGAAACCCAGTTTATGTGCTTCAGAGTATCATTTACCACTTCAACAAAGTTGCCTGTTTCTTGTCCATTTCCTCGCTGACTATAAATGTTATGTCATAAGGAATCATATCTGTCTTGTCTGCTATTTTATCACCAACCCCGACACACAGTAGGAGTCAATATGTGTAATATTAACCAAGTAAATAAATAATACAATCTGTAAAAATTAATGATCAGCTTTAGTTGGAAAAGAAAAGAGTGACAGGAATGTTAGAAGTGGGTGTTTATGGGAGTCAAGAGTAACGGGAGACAGAATAAGTCTTTGTTTCCTTCTTACTCTCCGGAGAAAGTGAACATCTCTACGTAATACGGTAAAATGGGAATAACAGCATTGTCATCAAAAAGAGTCAAACTTCGTAAAATGTTTAAAGAAGTTTATCTTGAGCCATATATGAGTGACCAAAGCCTGAGTCACAGTTTCAAGAGGTCCTGAGAACATGAACCCCAGGTGGTTGGGTTACAGCTTGATTTTATACATTTTAGGGGAACATAATTTATAGGCAGACATCAGCCAATATATGTAAGGTACACATCGTTTCAGTCGAGAAAGTTAGGACAACTTGAAGCAGGTTATGGGTGGATTCAAAGATTTTCTGATTTGCAATTGATTGAAAGACCTAAGTTATTATCTAAAGACCTGGAATCAATATAAAGAAGTGGCTGTGTTAAGATAAGGGGTTGTGGAGATCAAGTTTCTTATCATGTAGATGAAACCTCCAGGTGACAAGCCTCAGAAAGAATAGATGGTAAATGTCTCTTACCAGAACTTAAAAGGCGCCAGACTCTCAGTTAAATCTTTTCTGGATCAGGAAAAGACCTGGAAAGGGAAGGGGGTTCTCTACAAAATGTAGATTTTCCCCATAAAAGACAATCTTGGAGGATCATTTTAAGATATGTCAAAGAAATGTATTTTGAGATGAAATACTTCAATTTCTTTCAGGCCTTACTATCTGTCATGTGATGCTATACTAGAGTCAGGTTGGAATTTGGTTTCTTATTGCTGGAAAGAGTCTGTTTTATCTGTTTAAGATCTGTTTTAATGTTAGTGCTGGTCAGTTGTGCCTGAATTCCAAAGGGAGGAAGAAGCATAATGAGGCATGTCTGACCACCCCCAACCCCTTCTCACCATGGCCTGAACTAGTTTTTCAAGTTTACTTTAAAGTCTCCTTGGCCAAGAGGAGGGGTCTAATTCAGTTGGTTGGGGAACTTCGATTTATTTTCAATTTACAGTCTGTCTCACAGGATTTTCATGAAATTAAACAAATTAATATTTGAAAGCACTTAGAAATATGTCAGACACTTCCTAAGTGCTTCTGGATATGTATTGCAAAATAAAAATTACATCAGACAGTCTAAAAATTATTCAAAATTATTGCAATGGTAAAGACAGACTATTGCAATAGAGGAGAAAGATTGAACTCAATTCCATTAACATGAACGACAGAAAAGTTTATAAACACTAGGATGAGCTAGTAGAGAAGTACAGGAAGATGCTGGAGGAAGTTGGTCAACGTGATCAGGCTATCCATGTTTTCTGATTGACTCTTTTTGAAGTTATGCTCCTGCTTTCCCACAGAGATTGGGAAATGGGGAACTATCTTGATGATAGTGATGGCTTCCAAGTTCTCGAGAAAGATATTCCTAGGTTGCAGAAAATTTACATCTCAAAAGGGCAGAGAAATAATTTACAATTACAAGTTTTCTAAAGTAAATACTCTTTAAAAAAAAAAAAAGGGTGGAGGGAGATCAGGAATCAGAAAGAACCCTATCTAAAATTTAGTCAAGCTGAGAGAAACTCGTTTAGGCTACCTTGGTCAGTATCAACCATTATACTATTAACCAAAGGGTAGAAATGAAGGTAAATTAACTTGATTTTTTTTAGATGTTACTGAATATACTTTTTTTATGTTTCTAATAATCTTGTGCACATACCAACTAAGGTCAATACATTTTTGAAATTAAAGTACCATTTTATACTGCAAGAGTCTTTGCTAGCTCCATAAAATATGGCATAAAGTCAGAATTGGAGCTAATGAGAACATAATGACATGTCCCTTCGGATAGTGGCAAAAGGCAAGAGAAGGGTAAGAATGAATGAATTAATTAATTATAGGTCACACCAAATGCATATCACTTAACTCCAGGCTAAAAATTATGGACTGTTAATCTGCAAGTTACCAAATTTTAGACCGTTAAAATGTATTATTTCTCCTAGGGAGGAGTGTTTCTCATCTAAAAGATATTTGAGTATTTGAATAAGCCTGTCTGAGAAGTTACTCATCACCTTCAACTCACCGAATTTTAATTATCAACATATCAAACCATTTGATATGTTTTCAACTTTGGTAAAAATGTCATAAACTTCATGTCATAACACAGACAACTACTATTTAATCAGAAGATAATGGGCTAAAATATGACACCTGCTGATTAAATTTCCTCATGTAATTTTAATATTCAATGGCAGCTTTTGTGTATATCCATATTTAGGAGAAGCAAACATGACTGAATCCATAGACTATGTTCAGCTACAACTGTAGTGAATATCTGCTAATTATCTTAATGACTCCATAATAGGTCACTAATTGTAGCTGGAGAAGATCAGTGGAAATTCAAGGCATAAGTGAACAGTAACAGACTCTATTCTGGACTAGCTCCACCTAAGACAGAGAAAAAAGTAACAGCATCAGACAGTGACAGTGAGTTTGAACACTATATTCTTTCTAAGTTTTCTATCTTTCCCTGCTCAATTTTTCTTGTATAGAGTTAAAGCACCACTCCTCTACTGCCTGTGTATATATAACTTCCAAGTTTACCACACTGATTCTAATCCCTGTGTATTAGTCTGTTCTCACACAACTATAAAGAAATACCTGAGACTAGGTAATTTATAAGGAAAATAGGTTTAATTGGCTCATGTTTCCATAGGCTGTACAGGAAACATGGCAGCATCTGCTTCTGGGAAGCCTCCGGAAATTTTCAGTCATGGCAGAAGGCAAAGGGGGAGCGAGGCATCTCACATGGAGGGAGCAGGAGGAAGGAGTGGGGTGCCACACACTTTTAAATAACCAGATCACTAGAACTAACCATCATGAGAACAGCACCAACAGGGAAATCCACCCCCATGGTCCAATCACCTCCTACCAGGACCCACCTCCAATATTGGGGGTTACAATTTGACATGAGATTTGGGTGGGGACACAGATCCAAACAATGTCATTTTGTCCCTGGCCCCTCCCAAACCTCATGTCCTTCTCATATTGCAAAGTCTAATCATGCCTTCCCAAGAGTGCCCCAAAGTCTTAACTCATTTCAGCATTAACTCAAAAGTCCAAAGTCCCAAGTCTCATCTGAGACAAGCCAAGTCCCTTCCACCTATGAGCCTGTAAAATGAAAAGCAAGTTAGTTGCTTCCAAGATGCGATGGGTATAGGCATTGGGTAAATACTTCCATTCCAAAAGGGAGAAATCAGCCAAAATAAAGGGGCTACATGCCCCATGCAAGTCTGAAACCCAGCAGGGCAGTTATTAGATCTTAAAGCTCCAAAATAATCTCTTTTGACTCTATGTCTCACATTCAGAGCACACTTGGGCAAGCAGTGGGTTCCAATAACCTTTGGCAGCTTTGCCCCTGTGGCTTTGCAGGGTACAGTGGCCACAGCTGCTCTCATAGGCTGGCGTTGAATGCCTGGAGCTTTTCCAGGTGAGAGATGCAAGCTGCCAGTGAATCTACCATTCTGGAGTCTGGATGACAGTGGCCCCCTTCTCACAGCACCACCAGGCAGTTTCCCCATGGGGACTCTGTGTGGGGGCTCCAACCCTACATTTCCCCTCTACATTCCCTAGTACAGGTTCTCCAGGAGGGCTCTGCCCCTTCAGCAGGCTTCTGACTGGATATCCAGTCTTTTCCATACATCCTCTGAAATCTAGGCAGAGGCTCCCAAGCCTCAACTCTCACACTCTGTACATCTACAGGCTTAACACCACATGGAAGCTGCCAAGAATTATGGCTTGCATCCTCTGAAGCGGTGGCCAGAGCTGTACCTTGGTCCCTTTGAGTCATGGCTGGAGCTGGAGCAGCCAGGATGCAGGAGCACTTTCCTGAGGTTGCACAGGGTAGCAGGGCCCTTGGTCCAGCCCATGAAACCATTCTTCCCCCCTTGGCCTCTGGGACTATGAGGTAGGGGCTGCTGTGAAGGTCTCTGAAGTGGCTTCAAGGCCTTTTGCCCATTGTCTTTGATATTATCACTTGGCTTCTTTTTATTTATGCCAATCTCTGCAGCCTAATTGAATTCCTCCCCTGAAAATGGGCTTTTCTTTTCTACCACATAGGTGGGCTGCAAATTTTTCAAACTTACATTCTGCTTCCCCTTTAAATATGAATTCCAATTTTACATCATATCTCTGTCTATGCATATGAGCATTTGTTGTTGGAAGCAGCCAGGCCACATCCTGAATGCTTTGATACTTAGAAATTTCCTCTGCCAGATACCCTAAATCATTACCCTCAAGTTCAAAGTTCCACAGATCCCTAGAGCAGGGGGCACAATGCCTCCAACCTCTTTGTTAAGGCATAACAAAAGTGACGATTGCTCCAGTTCCCAATAAGTTCCTCATTTCCATCTGCAGCCTCCTCAGCCTGGCCATCTCTGTCCATATCACTATCAGCATTTTGGTCACAACAATTTAACAAGTCTCTAGGAAGTTCCAAATTTTCCCTTATCTCTCTGTCTTCCTCTGAGCCTTCCAAATTCTTCCAACCTCTGCCCATTATCCAGTTTACGAAGCCACTTCCACATTTTCAGGTATCTTTATAGCAATGCCTTACTCTGTGGTACCAACTCTGTGTATTAGTCTGTTCTCACACTACTATAAAGAAATACCTGAGACTGGATAATGTATAAAGAAAAGAGGTTTAATTGGCTCACAGTTCCACAGGCTGCACAGGAAGCATGGTAGCGTCTGCTTCTGGGGAGGCCTCAGCAAACTTTCAACCATGGTGGAAGGCAACAGGGGAGTGAAGCATCTCACATGGTGGAAGCAGGAGGAAGTGAGGGAGATGCCACACACTTTTAAGTGACCAGCTCTCACAAGAGCTCACTCACTAGCACCAGAACAGTACTAATGGGGAAATCCACCCCCACGATCCAAATACCACCCACCAGGCCCCACCTCCAACACTGGGGATTGCAGTTCAACGTGCGATTTGGGTGGGGACACAGACCAAACCATATTATCCTGGTTCCTTTCAATCTCTGTTTCCCTCTCCAATCTATATCATCTAATATACCCAGAAATATCCAAGATAAATTTTTCTTTTTTTCATTGAACTGAAACCTGCAAGTCATTATGTGACTAGTTGCTACATTTTTTGTCTTAACTCACAAGGGAGTTTCAATCATGAATTATCTATAATGTATCTCAGATCTAACTCCCAACACCCTACAAAATGAAGGGAGAAAATCTCTAAGCTCATCACTCTTTCTCTCTGAGAAGGTCAATCACTAGAACTTAAGTCACTGCCTGGGCAATACGGTGAAACCCCATCTCTACAAAAAAATACAAAAAAATTAGCCAACCATGGTGGCACATGCCTGTAGTTCCAGCTACCTGGGGGGCTGAGGTGGGAGGATCGCTTGAGCCTGGGAGTTTGACCTATGATCATACAACTGCACTCCAGCCTGGGTGACAGTGAGATTCTGTCTAAAAAATAAAAAATAAAAAACTTAGGTCAAACAGAAAATCCATGTTTAAGATGTTTATTTTTAAAATATTTTAAAGCATCACAGGACTACCCATAATAAGTTTATAGGGAAGTGAAAATAAATAAAGATGTGCTCCTAATACAACTCCAGGTTGTCATTTTGGGTCTCTCTCTTTTTCAATGATGGTAGTTTCCAAGTCAGGCTTATACATATGCTAAAACTGTAATGAAGTTGGAATAATGCAATCTGGATGTGGACTGATCTGAGCACTTAAATAAAATTTGAAATCCTTAATAAATTCTCATATTTTGAGTTACTCTTACCTTAAAAATATCAGCATCTATTGAATGGATAAATGTGCAGAGTAACAACTCCATAGAGAATAAGACAATCAGTTTGTCAAAAAATATTTATTGAGCACTAGCAATGCAATAAATGAGACGGGAGTAGCTCTTACTCTCATAGAACCTATAATTTTGTGAAAAGGACAACATTAATCAAGTAACTGTAAGTATATTGAGGGCTGTCAGAGTAAAGTACAAGGGAAGTCAAAGGCTAAAAGAAAGAAGTGAGATTTAAGTGAAACTTGAAAAATTATTGGCAAACACTTCAGTGAAATACATCCATGTCAAGTTTCTAGTGAAGTATGCCAAGTAATCATTAGACCCATATTGGGTTTTGCCCTCAAAAGAGACCATTGGACCAGAATTGCAAATTAAAGAGAAGTCATCAGCATTAAAATGTTAATCATAGACATGGAAACAAATGAAATTACCAAAGGAAGGGGCATGAACGAAAGGAGGACAAAAATAATTAAAAACGTGCACATAAGTAAATCTTGAGATTTTTTTAGAAGACAAGTCTCATGCCAGATCTCGTTGTTCCCTTCCACTCTGATGGTGCAGGCATGTGTTTTCTCTCTGAATTCCCCAATCACTTCATCTCTGTCACTGATCTCTCTTTGGTCACTGAATTCAACAAAAGTTTTTGTTGCAAATAATTTATCTCAGTTTTGTCCACCTCAGGGGCACTTACAGTTATACCCATAGTCCATGAAATAGCTTAGAAGACCCCACTGGATTTTGTACTTGTACTCCATTACTTTTTTATTCCATCTTCTCCTCATTCTTTCTCTTTCAGCTATGCTGGCCTCTGCTGTTTCTTGACAACACCAGACACATTCTGATTTTGGAATTTTGCACTGGTTGTTCCACGCTGTCTAAAACACTCTTCTTTCAGATTTATACCCAGCTCTCTCTCCTCCTTCAATCACTTTTAATCAATTGTCACTTTATATAAGATTGCAACAACCCCAGCTTCCCTAAGCTTCTTTGTTTGTTCACTTCCCTACAGTACTTTGATATTAATATATTCCAGTTACTAAGGTCATTCAATAACTGTTCTTAATAATTTTTGATGAATAAATAAATGGATACATGAATGAATAGACGAATGTGTAAAGAACCCATTTGCTCCAACTTCTGGCAACTTAACAGTAGGTAAGTCTATATATACCTCATGAACTATAACAATGCAGTAAATATTGTTTTGGAATACTGTACAACTTACCAAAGCGCTAGCATACTAATAAAGTAATTTAAAGCAGACTCTCTGAGAGTTTAAATCTTTGCATATCCTGCCTGAATGCAGATTAGATATGTGTAATCAATGGACATAGAAAGGAATCAGATTTGAAATCTGTGCTCACCGTCTCTTATTGCACCACAATTCTTGATTCCAAGGGCTGTTTCAGAAATCTTAGCAAACTAATTCTCAATGGTTACTTTCAAAGTAAACACGAAAAAGAGTGGGCTGATATATCGAAGAGTTTCTGTCATAGATTTGTCACACTACCTAAATGGAACTGTTTTCCTTTACCTGTGATTTAAAATGAAGAACTAAAGATACTGCATTAAACAGTTATTAGTTGGCTCAAATAATTATAGCAAATAGTAGGATAAGTACCTCTAGGTCAGAGGATACTGTAAACATGTGTACGAGTAATCTTACGTAAAAAGTCATGCCTAATTCCATATTAAATGAGCATTTGAGGCTAGTAGCCACCATTTTTTTAAAAATAAAGATAAAGGTATTTATCTTTATTTAGGTATCCTCTAAAGGTATCCTCATTTAGGTAGCCTCTCTAGGTTTCCTAACAATAAACTATTTTAAACTTTCTGATCAACAAAACAAAGTTTGAACATAATTCAGTTCTAATTTAATGATTATTTTTATATCATTAATTTCTCATTTGGAGGATCACAATCCAAAGTTTTACTAATGAATATATAGTGAATGTAAGGTAAGAATGCTTGCCTTCTTTCTGTCCACGTTTCATTTGAAAATGGAGAGTTATCAGATTTGCTGCAAATCAATCCCTCGTACTCTGTGGCTTCAATTCTGAATTTAATGTTACCCTTAGCTTTAAAGACACATTCTTTACTGGGGTGAAGACACAGCCAACTAGAAAGTTCAATAGCTCATTTTGAGCTGGAGCGTTTATAGCCATCAGTCTTATTCTAATGAAGTTCCCATTTTAAATAATTTGATAAATTAGTATAGTCTTATCTAGAGAAGTACCACTGTGTTCTATTAAAATTTAATTGCATAAGTATGTAAGAAGCAGTTTTTGAATCCTGTAAGGCTTGATTTAAATTAACCAAGTAAAGGATGAGATAGAAACATGCAATTTCGTCATAAAAACAAATACAACAATGAAATACAGACACCTACGGTGAGAACACAAACACTAAATAACTCATGAAACACAGCCCAATGGGACATTTAATTTCAATGTGTTTATTGAAAAGCTCACCAGCTGCGAAGTCCCTCTTAAGAAATGAGCTGGACTCAAATTAAATGGTGCCTCTCACAGTAACTAATTGTGATTTCAGTTACTTCAAAATTGGAATATAGAAATATATTGTATTAAAAAGGTGAAATAAAGTTTTAATATCTAAGAATAAGAATAATCCTGGTCTCAGGTAGATGTTGTATGCTTCTAGTGAAGACAACACTGTGAGGGTGATCGCACTACATTTGCTTTGTACAGAGAGAAATTGTCTTATAATTTTAATCTATATATCTAGACCAAACAGCTATTTCACAAATGAATTCCTTTTGTGATATGAAGCCAATAAGATGAATATGGGTGAGAAAACATACTAGCATTACTTTAAAAAATCCTATAAGTTCATGTCTTCCTTTTATTAGGCAGTGAGAACATAAAGAACAGTACATTTCACTTCACTTACAAACATATTGAGAGATGAGACTCCAAAATCATTTTTAGTAGCTAGTATTTAAAAGGCTTAGAAATTCTCTAAATCTTTAACATAGTAGTTTATGATCCTTTTTGGTAAAACCATGCAATAGCTTGTCAACCTCTTCTGCATAATCCCTGAGCAACAAGGTGATATAAGGAAAATGTCACATTTTAGCATAAAAGAGGGTTGACTACTTTTCTGAGATTTTTAATTGTATAGGAACATTACAAACTTCTCTAAGCCTTATCTTATTCTGAAAAAGGACTTTAACACCTATATTGTACAGTTGCATTAGAAGGAACTTCTAATTTGAGCATATCTAATACAGTGCCTTGTCTTAAAATTAATTTTTTTTCTTCATAGTGACATGAACATTTTATTGCTGGGTTTTAAAATAAAATTCCAGATCATCTAGAGCCTCTGATGGCATGCGTTAATTAAAGTGAAAAACACTGAAATTGCTGGGGGAAATCACTAGGCTGAATTTACCATTATCTGTGCTTTCACACGTACTAGAAACCATCACGTAGAAGAGTATGTCCAGCACTTGCCTCAGAACACATAAACAAATGTCTTGCTTCCAGCTCTATCCCTCTGTAGCATTTTTTGAGGTCTGACTTCAGAGTCTTTAGTTGTATTATAGCTAGTCCAGGATGACAGAAAAACAAAGGAGGAAAAAAAAGCAAAGAGGAAATATTTTGCTTTCCTGAAGTTAAGGCTGTGTTGAACCGAATAAGGCTATACTTCTGTGAGTTTCTACAAGATATTCTGCACATCCCGCCCATAGTTGTAAGAGAGAATCTTCTAACAATATTACCTCAAACAACAGTGAGGTAATACATATTTTGGCTATTAAAAATGATAGATACATATCTATCTTGGCCAGACGGGGTGACTCATGCCTGTAATCCTAGCACTTAGGAGGCTGAGGTGGGTGGATCACCAGGTCAGGAGTTCAAGACCAGCCTAGCCAATGTGGTGAAAACCTGTTTCTACCAAAAATACAAAAATTAGCCAGGTGTGGTGGCGGGTACCTGTAATCCCAGCTACTCAGAAGGCTGAGGCAGGAGAATCACTTGAACCTGGGAGGTGAAAGTTGCAGTGAGTCAAGATCACGCTACTGCACTCCAGCCTGGGTGACAGAGCAAGACTCCATCTCAAAAAAATAGAAAAAATATCTGTCTGTCTGTCTGTCTGTCTGTCTGTCTGTCTGTCTGTCTGTCTATCTATCTATCTATCTATCTATCTATCTATCTACCTATCTAAAAAGCCAAGGTCTACTCTAAACTACCTAATATTTGACCTGCAATTAAACATGTATTAAATGGTACCTGCCCTATCTTTTCTTCAGTGTATGATACAGCTCATGAGTTGGATTTGTAATATCATCTGCAAAAATCTTCTAGATGATGTCATGTGTCCCCCAAGCAATGGAATTTATTTTATATACTGTGCAAACACCTGCATTGCCCTCTTGAGAAGTAGGATACAAGGACTAGAGAGATAATCTATACACTCTGGCAACAGAGAGACCTTAAGCATTTCATCTGTAAGAGGGCTATTAATTACTCAAGAACTAAGATGTATCGAAGAGCCAAAACTGTGAAACTCCTTCACATTCCTCAAGCACAGAATATCTTCTATTCCCAATGCCTTTCTACTCTGAAAAGAGTCCAGTGTAAATTTATGCAAGGTGTTACTGTGGGAGTGTTAAGATAAACAGGAAAATGTTGCAGAAACTCCAAAACAATTAAGGCTTTTTAAAGCTAATCTCTTCAGGATTAATAAAAAAATTACTTTTTCTTTGATATGATCAAAGATTTCCAAATTTGTTTTAAAGTCCTCTTTTAAATAATTTACAAATGGACTTACTAATATTAAAAGCTTAATATATTATAATTGGCTGAAGAGTTGCCTTATAAATTATTGTTATTGTTCTATCAGTATAATTATAGTGAACATGAGGAAGATGTTTAAACTGCTAGAATACTAGCTTTGAAGGTATGTACAGTACAGACAAAATTTAATGTAAAAATTATCTGAATTATAAATTCTATTCAATTATTATAACTGCTTGATTGTGATTATTATAAGGTATATTTTTTAAGAAAGAGATTTGTGTTATGCCTGAAATTTAAACAACATAACTGAATCACTGCTACTCCCATCTCTGAGCCTTCAGAATGCATTTAAAAATCTAAAATTATAAAGACAGACTCACAAAGGCCAATGCCAGATATAAAGATGAAAAGAACTTCAAGATAGAGCCTACCTAAGAAATCTCCTAGCATTATTGCTTAATCCTATTCACTTGTTTATTCATTTAATATTTGTTGACCACATACTATGTTGCAAACATCAAAACAGGTTTTCTGCCTTCATGTAATTTAGAATCCAGCAAAAATAAATAAGTAAAGATAGACTTTGAAAAACTATTAGAGGTCCAGTTTCGTTAAGGAAAAGAACAGAGATCTATGTAATCATGATACAGGAGCAAAACTAGTGTGGAAATTAGAGGTTTTACTTCAGTAAATGATACTTAAGCTGACAAATCAAAAGGGAGTTTTGCACCCACTCAGAAAAACATTATCATCTACCCAAAAAGATAATCACCAGAAGGAAAAGATCTGAAATTGAAGCTTCTCCTTCTCCCTATCTAACTGCCCTATGCTTCCCAACAGACAAAGCTACCTGAACTTGGACTTGGGGAACCCTCAAAATGACTCATTGCTTTTCTCTGGAGTAGGTGCAACCAGAAAATAGAGGAACCCAGTTTATATTTCAAATAGCTAACTCATTCCAGTTTATGGGTAAGAAGCTACTGATTAATATCCTTCTCTTATGCTTTTTTTTCACATAAAGATGAGAATTAGTTGTGGTAGCTTAAAATGTTGAGCTGTTATGGTCACATCGTTGATACTTGTCTGTGTACGTATTAAATCATTTTAACATGCATTTAGCCAATAGAACATTTCTAGAAACTAATTCGAATACCTGAAGTTTTATGCATGAAAGTTTACTGGTGTTGATAACACACTATCACCTATTCGCTTTTTAAATTCTTAAAGTAACAGAAGTTACATAATGAGTATGTTTCAAAATTGGTAGATTCAGGAATAGCATTATTAAGATATGCATAGTGACTCAATACAATTCAATCCAACAGACATCACTGAGCTGCTGTTATGTACGTAGCACCATTCCAGGTGTTGTGGGAGACTTAAAGATAGAGATAACATGGTTCTTTGCCTGAAACCGTTTTCTTGATTAAGATCTTTGGCCTCTGTAAGTTTCTAGTATTCCAGGGGCTATACAACCTCAGGTGTCCTCAATGAGCAGATATTTCTACACTGATTTTGTAAAGCACTTTATGATTCATTGATTACCTTACTTTGTTTCTTTGCTTCTATTTACTTTGTCTTTAATTTACTCCTTTGTTTTAGCTTTGTAAAATAAAAACTAATGTCTTTGGTTTGTAGCCTTTTGTCTTTTTGGATATACTTATATAAAGGTAAAAATTTTCATCAAATTATTGTTTTAGCATCACTTTACATATTTCATATATTTTTCTTTTTATTGAATTCTAAATATTTGCTACTACTCGATTTCTTTTACTTATAAGTTGTTTAGAAGAGTGTTCAAATGAATTGAATGTACTGTTTAATTTTTTGTATCCCTATTTTCTATTTCTTATTATATGAATATCAAAAGAGGAGTGTTGACATCTCCAACTATAATTGTGAATTTCTCGATTTCTCCTTTTCAGTTAGGTCAATTTTTACTTAATATATTTTGAAGCTCTGCTATGAAATGCATACATATTTTCAACTGCTATGTCTTCCTGATAAGCTGACCCCTTGGCCAGTAAAAAATGACTGTCTTCATTCCTGGTAATATTCCTTGTTCTAAAGTCTGCTTTGATATTAACTTAGCTATGCAGGCTTTCATAAAATATGTATTTGTATGAAATATGTTTTCCCACCCTTTTCTTTTAGCTCCATGTGTCTTTATTTGTATTTTGCTCTTGTTTGTGGAAGGCATAGTCGAGTTTTTTAAAATTCAATCTGATAATCTTCATTTTTTAATTGGAGTCTTCAGACCATTTACATTCAGTGTGGTTACTGATGTGATTGATTTAAATCTACCATTTGTTCTTTGCTTCCTAATGGTTTCATTAGGTTTTTATTACTTCTTCCTCTTCCTGGAAATATTTTAAATTGTATAAATTTTTATAACTTCATATTATATATATCCTTGACTTATTAGCTACACTTCTTTGTTTTTATTCCTTTTAAGAATCAAGGTCTCTTCCTGTTGCCCAGGCTAGAGAGCATAGAGAGTTTTGTGATCATAGCCCACTGTAGCCTCAAATTCCTGGGCTCAAGCTATGCTTCCACCTTAGTCTCTCGAGTAGCTGGGACTATACCAGCTGGTACACTACCATGCTCAACTAATTTTTGTTAGTTTTAATTTTTAGAGACTGGGGCTGACTATATTGCCCAGGCTGGTCTAGAACTCCTGGCCTCAAGCAATTCTCCTGCCTCAGCCTCCCAAAGTGCTAAGACTAAAGGTGTGAGCTACCACACCCAGCTTGTTTTTTATTTCTTATTGATTTCTCTACAGTTTGTAATTCTATCTTTAATTATTATATTCTACCTTCAATTCTATTATACCAATTTTCTTATTGTATAAAGACCTTATAATATTATGCTTTCATATCCCTTCTTCTATCTTTTGCGACTTTGTTTTGGCATATGTTATAAGCCCCACAAAATATTGTTGTTACTTTGTTCTAAACGATCTAATGCCTTTAAACAAAATTAAAGAATTAGAAAAAATGTTTTATTAGTAATATCTACATATTTACCACTTCCAAGACTCTTAATTTTTTAGCATAGCTCTAAAATTGTTTTTCTTCTCTCATATCATTTGTGCATGAGAAAAAGTATTTATTTTTACCGTAATATATGAAAGATAATTTTGATGCAGAATTCTGAATTGACAGGTTTTCTTTCTTATTCAGCATCTTAAAGTTGTCCTTCTTTTGTCTTCTGGCTTTCAGTTTATAACAAGAAGTCTATGGCAATTATCTTCGTATCTATGTAGGTATTATCCCTTTTTAAAATCTGGCTTAAGATTTTTTCCATTTCTCACAGATTTTCGGAAATTTGATCATGGTATGTTTGGTGTAATCTACCTTGTATTTATCCTGCTTGGGGTTCATTAAACCTCTTGCTTCTATGGGCTTGTAATTTTCTCAAATTTGCAAAACTTTGAACATCTATTTTTCACATTTTTTTTCTGCTCTTTTTCCGGGACTTCAAGCATTCGTATGTTAACTGCTTCACATACTCCCACAGATGACTGGGTCTTTATTATTCTCTGTGCTTCATTTTATAGAATTCTTTTGGCATTTCTTCAAGTTCACTGATATTTTATTCTTTAAGATTGTTTAATCTGCTTTAAGCCACTGAAGTGAAATTTTCATTTAAAAATTATTTTTTAACTTTAGAAATTCCTCTTGGTTCTTATTTTTTAAAACCCTGAGCATATTGAACATATTTTAATGGCTCTTTAAATGTTTTCATCTGCTAATTCTGTCATCTCTGCCATTTATGTTTCTATTGATTCATTTTATGTCTGGTTATAGATCACAATTCTTCTTCACAAACTATTTTTTAATGAATCACAAATGTAAATTTTACATTTTTTAGCAAATATTAGTGTATTGTTAATGAGTATTGGAGTTTGTTCTGGCAGGAAATTAAGTTACTTACGAATCAGTTTAATACTTTTAGATCTTGATTTTTAGCTTTTAAAGGGTAAGTCTTCAATAGCCTTTTCTATATTCCTGTTTTAGCTTCACAGTTAAAGAATACTTCTGGAATCTTGAGTTACATGTCTCATGTTTTCAATGACATCTTTTCACTCTAACTCACACAAACTCAAGCAACTATCCCTGAGTGAGCTCTGGAAGTTTTTCCTGTTAGAGTTCCCTGATAATTGTTCTCTCCCCTTAATTTTTCCCCCAGCGGCATGAAGTTTCACCTATGTATATGTAGATAGGTATATAGCCAAAGATACAAGAAAGCCCTATGCAGATTTCTGGAGCTCTTCCTCTGTGTACCTCTGTCCTTTCAAATATTCTGCCTCACAAAGTTTAGTCACCTTGGCCTCTGGAGACTTTGATATTGATTCCCTCAACTTGTCCAGACCACTCGGCTCTCTTTGAGTTCCCTTTCCCAGTGAGACTGTGGGTGGGACTCACATCATCTGTTTCCCTTCTCTCCAGGATGACAGTCCTATGTTGCTTTTGGTCTAATTTTTAAAACCAGTTGTTTTAGACATTTTTTCCACTTTTCTTATTGATTTTGGTGGAGGAAAAATGTGGATCTGATAAGGTTTGGCTCTGTGTCCCCACCCAAGTCTCATGTTGAATTGTAATCCCTAGTGTTGGTGAGGGACCTGGTGGGAGATAATTGGATCATGGGGGTGGTTTCTAATGGTTTAGCATCATCTCCCTATTACTGTCTCGTTCTCACGAGATCTGGTTGCTTGAAAGTGTGTAGCACTTTCCCCTTCACTCTCTCTCTCTCGCCACCATTGAAGATTGCGCCTCCTTCCCCTTCTCCTTCTGCCATAACTGTGTATTTCCTGAGGCCTCCCAGCCATGCTTCCTGCATAGCATGTGGAGCTGACAATCTCTTTTTATTTTATTATGATAAAAACTTTTTTATACTTGAATATAATTATTACAAGTACTAAAAAATATTTCAAATGACTAACAATGATAAGAACAAAAACAGAACTTACTACAATTTTTAAAATATTCTCTAAACAATAAAGTATGAAAATAAAGAAAAAACTATGAACAAAGTACAGTATAAATACATCTAAAGCAAGACAAAAGCATGAACACTGAAAATTTAAAAAATTCAGTACTGGATAACCCTGGATTTGTGTGATTTGTGAGAGTGTATGTGGTGGTAATGACAGTGATTTGTGTGTGTCTGAAAACACACAGAGAAATAAATACTAGAAAATGTATAGTAAAACATTATGTGAAATTACTTCTCTTCAATACAAAGTCATTGAATACTTGTTTCAAGGTTATTTGGTGTTGTTCACAGACTGCTGAGCTGGAAGAGTTTCCAGGAGATCAGTTTTGGGTTTTTATTTGTATTCTAAGCATAGCTGAATAAAATAGAGTGCTTTAAGCTGTGCTATGAGACTGTTGTTTCACTCCTTTTAGGCTGCCTGTCACCACACTGAACTAACCAAGCACATTCTCATGGTTCTGTCTTAATATTTTCATAAACTCTGGACAAACACATTTATTTAGTAAATGCTAACTCTTATATTGATATATGTAAGTTCAATGATTCTACATTCTCATTATATATGTATATCTTTCACCATACACTGTCCTAGGTTTTTGCCTGACTCTTTCATTTGCCGGCATTCTATGTCTTCAACTAGATTATAAATTCTGATTATAGCTTCTTTCAAGTTAGTATGACTCAGTCCCTTGACTGTGATTATTTTCTTAGTTTTGGGACTTTTGATGCTTACTGAAGTTATCATTTAAATTAAGACAACCTGCCTAAATCTTGATTTAGTAATGTCTATGTCATGCATATATTTTGTTCTTAAATTCATTTGATGTTTATTTCTTAATGCCTTATGTAGAATTCAGTATTCAGCTATTAGAGTAGCTACAAGGAGATGAAAAAAAATTAAAGAATTTTCCCAATTTCTTGTTTAGAAGGCTAGCATAGCCCATATAGCAACACCTGACGCACACAAACACAGACACACACACAGACACAATATTAGATTTACTTATATACATACAATGTTATACATATATAATTAAATACATTAAAATAAATGTGAATAAATACAAATAAAGCTAATTCTCTTGAATATCAGGAAAAAATTCTTAAGTAAATAAATATGCATACAATATTGTTAGATGGAAACACTTCTAGGGGTATAGATGCCAGTACTTACATATACTGAATTTTAAATGCAGTGATTATAAGTAAAAATCACAAAACAATATTATTTAAACTGAAATAGCACTCTACATTTTTCTAAAAGATCAATCACTAAAAAATGATCAGAAATTATCTGAAAAAGAGGAATGTTTGTTGCTGAATATTAGAGAGTACTCTAAAGCTAAAATAATTAAAGCTTTCAATATTGAAATAGAAAATTGATGAAAATAAAGAACAGAATGGATAATTCAGGGACATCTCCAAATATTTTTTAATGTATTATGTAATAAACTGTGATACTAAATAGGTAATGAATGGACAAAGAATAAATGGTTATTTTGTCTCTAAACATTTGAGAACAAGATAATAAATTACTTCCTCATGTAATGCCATGCAACAAAATTATTTTCAGTAAATTAAAGAACTAAAGACAAAGTAAAATGTAAAATTTTTGGATAAATCTTAGGTGGCTAGTTATATATATGATACTAGGGCCAGAGGGGACTTAATATCTCCAGAAGTAAGCATAAGGAAAAGGTTGATGGATCAAACTACATAAATATTTAGACTACTAAAGTTAAAAAAATCATCCCATAAAAAACTTAAATGGCAAAAACAGATGGGGAGTTAAGTGAAACAATGTATAACAAAACCAATTTTTGATCATTAAAGCTAGAAGAAAACAATGCTTAATGAAACATTAGTCAAGGACCTGCTGTATGTTGTTTCACCTAAAGTTGCAGTTTTCAAGAACCTATCAACAATTTTAAATGAAGACTTACTGTACTTTTAATATACTTGGCAGAAAACAAATGATAGCTTTATTCACTTATGTTTCTCCATATCAACAAGAAAATATAATACTTAGGAATAAATTTGACCAAGAAAATTAAATAATTGTACACTGAAAACTATAAAACATTGATGAAAGAAATTAAAGAGGACACAAATAAATGAAAAGATATTCCATGGGCATTAATCATTAGAAAAATTAATACTGTTAAAATATCCCAACTAGCAAAAGCAATATATGGATTCAATGCAATACCTATCGAAATTCCAATGGCATTCTGCACAGAAATAGAAAAACAATCCTGAAGTTGATATGAACCACAAAAGACCCAAAATAACCAAAACAATTCTAAGGAAAAAAATTGAAGGTGTCATAATTCTGGATTTAAAATTATATTATAAAGCTATAGTAATCAAAACAGTACTGTACTGGTATAAAAACAGACACATGGATCAGTGAAACAGAATAAAGAGCCCAGAAATAAATCCCAACAGATACGGTCAACTAATTTTTGGCAAGAATACCAAAAAGATACAGTAGAAGAAATGATGATCTCTTTAACAAATTGTTCTGGGACAACTGGATTTCTATATACAAAAGAATTAATTTCAACTCTTATCTTATACCATATACAAAAGTTAACTCGAAATGAATAAATAAGGCCTGAAACCATAAAACTCCTGAATGAAACATAGGGGAAAAGCTCCTTGACGTTGGGCTTGGCAATAATTTCTTACATATCACACCAAAAACTCACACTACAACAATAAAAATAAATAAATGGGACTCCATCAAACTAAAAAACTTCTGCGCAGCAAAGAAACAATCAAGAAAATGATAAAGCAACCTACAGATTCGGGAAAAATGCAAACCACATATCACATAAGGGTTAATATTCAAGATTTATAAAGAAGTTATATAACTCAATAGCAAGAAAACATATAAGCCAATTTTTTAAAAAGGGTAAAGAAGTTGAATAGGTATTTCTATGAAGATAACATAAAAATGGGTAAGTACATGAAAAGGTGCTCAGCATCACTAATGTTCAGGGAAATGCAAATCAAAACCACTGTGAGATATCAACTCTCACCTCTTAGGATAGCTGTTATCAAAAAGACAAGGGATAAGTATTGGCAAAGGTGCAGAGAAAGAGGAACACTTCTACATTGTTAGTGGGAATGCAGATCAGTGCAGACATATGGAAAACAGTATGGAGGTCCCTAAAGAAATTAAAAATAGAACTATCATGTGACTCAGCAATCCCTCTTCTTCGTATATACTCAAAGGAAATAAAATCACCACCTCATAAAGATATTAAAAATATCTGCACTCCCATGTTCTTTGCAGTATATTTATAATAGCCAAGATATGGAAACAACCAAAATGTCCATCAATGGATCAGTGGATAAAGAAAACATATATATGTATATAATGGAAGATTATTCAGCCTGAAAAAAGGATGAAATCCTGCCATTTGCCACAACATGGCTGGACATGGATGACATTAATGATAAGTGAATGAAACAGACACAGAAAGAAAAACATTGTATAATCTCACTTATATGTGCAATTTTTAAAATGGTCAAATATATAGAGAATAAAACTGCAGTTATCATGTTTGCAGTGAAATGAAGCAAATGGGAAGATATGGGTCACAAGATAGAAAGTAGTAAATATGCAGAATGAAAAAGTCTGAAGTTCTGATAGATATGAGGACTATTTAATAGCAGTATATTGTAATCAGGATATTTGCTAAATCAGTATATTATACCTGCTCCTGCTATGGGGTGGGGCGGAGAATGAGTAAGTATGTGAGATGATGGATATGTTAAGTTGTTCCACTATAGTAAACATTTACTATATATATCTACCTTATAACATCATGTTTTATACCATAAATATATACAATAAAATTTATTTTTTAAAAATGAAAATACAGGTCAGGCACGGTGGCTCACATCTGCAATCCCAGAATTTTGGGAGACCAAGGCAGGGGGATGGCTTGAGCCAAGAGCTGGAGAACAGCCTGGGCAACAAAGTGAGACCCCATCTCTACAAAAAAAAAAAAAAAAAAAAAAAGCCAGGCATGGTGGTGTGCACCTGCGGTTTCAGCGCCATGGGAGTCTGAAGCAGGCGGATCACTTGAGCTTGCGAGGTGGAGGCTGCAGTGGGCCATGGTTGTACCACTACACTCCAGCCACAGTGACAGCGTGAGACGCTGTCTCAAAATAAATAAATAAATAAATAAATAAATAAATAAATAAATAAATAAATAAATAAAAAAGAAAAAAAAAGAAAATACAAACACCATTTGAAAAACAGGCAAATATCATGAAAAGGCAATCACAAAAGAATACAAATGGCTAACAGGCATAATAAATATTCAGTCTTTCTAATGGAAAAGGATATGGAAATTTACCAAATTGTTAGGTATTAAAAGTACTAGCACCCATCGTTTGAAATAAGCTTTTTATACATATTTTTATATTTTGTTGTTGGAGATGTGAGCAATATAGCCTTCTGTATAAAATATGGTGATATATATCTCAAGGCCTAGAAAAGCTCACATCTTTGCACCCAGAGATTGTGAAAATTCACTGTGAGATGGCGGTTTGGATTTCATTCCAAAGTCAGGGTGGTGGAAACAATATGTCCAGGGTATAGGCAGTAAGGAGATGCATTGTATGTGGAGAATTTACAACAATAATAAGGCTGGCTAAAAGTCAGTTTGCTTTTTATTCTCACCATGCACAGGCAATTTTAAACAAAATCTGCAATTTAAATGTCCCTCCTCACCAGGATGGGCAGTCTCTACTGCCTAACCTTGAGATTCCACTGTTGTAAGGAAATAAGAACAGAAATGTAAAGTATTTGGTGAATATTATTTATCACCATATACATTTTAATATTAAAATAACCATGTTAAGTGCTTAATATAGGATTAGAAAAATAAAGCAGGGAACATTCATATTTCACAATCATTAAAAATGATGGTGCTATCTAGTATTTGTTAACCCATGGTGTATTGTTAAATGAAGAACAGACCAAAAATTATACTCACAATCTTTTAAATGCATTTATATTATATTATGTTCCATAAAAGTTTACCATACAATAATTGTAGTTATAATCTGGTTTTAAGTGCATTTTTGTCATAGTGTAGGAGAGAGATATCAGGAAAGAGAAATGACATCTACAACATCTGTTCTTTCAATACACACGCATGCGCACACACACACACACACAGTTTCACTAGAGTAGTTGTTATCAAACTTGGCTGCATATTAGAAAAGCTCCTGGGGAGCTTTTAAAATCCCAATACCCAGGATGTATCCGTACCAATTAAGTTGGAATCCTGGTAGGTGCAGGGAGGAACCAGGCATCAATATATTTTAATATTCTTTGATGGTTTCAATGTCCAGCTAAGTTTAGAGCCGATTAACCCAAGTCTTGCTGTTCAGGTGTGGTCCGTGGACCAGCAGGAGCAGCCACCACTGGGAGCTGGTTAGAAATGCAGAATCTTGAGCCCCATCCCAGACCACAATCTTCAGTTTAACAAGATTGTCAGGTGATTTCATTAAAGCTCAAGAAGCCCTGATTGAGCACCTTTGTTTCCATCGCTTTAATATAAGATTTCAATGGAGAAAAGTGTTCTGGGGTCCAAAATAAGTCAGAAAACACTGGATTGCTAAAATCTTTGTCTGGCTATACATTTTGTGACTCTTTCATTTTACCTTTCTTTGTCTAGGAATGAGTACAGATTTTTACAAATCCATAGTCAATAAGAAAAAAAATTAGAGATTCATTGGAAACAGGTTTAGAAGGTGATGTATGTTTCCTTGCACTTGAGGAAAACGATTTACATCATGATTTTCCTTTCTGTTTGGTAACAGGAAAAAAAAAAATCCAGACTTTGAGTTCAACATTAACTTACTTGATTAACTTTTTTCAGAGACATCTTAGCTAAATAACTTCATAAGATAAACTTTAAAAAATTTGCTAAATTGCTAGAGAAATTGAGTGAAACATCTCTGTCCAGATCAAAAGCATATCTGAGTCACTCACATGTGATTCTAATCCCAGCGGTTGTTTAAGTAACAAACTGCAAAGGAGTAAAGTTAATAAAAGACAAAAAATGAAAGTTTGGGGAGGGGTATTAAAATGAGACAAACTTTTAAATTGAAAAGCCAATTGCCAAACAAGGTATTTTGTGTTGGAACTAAATTTACATAATGGAAATTCTAGGCAACCTGAAATCAATGCAAATATCCCAATGCAATAACAGCTTTATTAAGATAACAGCTATATACATATGGAAAAGAAAGGCATTTCCCTCAGCCTTAAAATGGTATTCTCCTAATAGAAACCAGCGTTACAAGTTCTTCAGTAACAGAACAAAATTGGCTGATATATTGATGTTTCCTGTGCGTAATATATTAATGCAAACTCAATTTCTTAGCAGTTTCTGCTATAAACATTGACACTGTTCTATATGGTGGACAAAAGTTTAAATTGAATTTTGTACCATAAATTTTTATTAGTGCTTCAGAGTTTTAAAAGATTTTTTTTCCTACTCATTGAAACCTCATCACAACTCTCTTATGGATTGTTATTCCCATTAGACAGATAGAGAAACTCAAAGTTGGAGGAATTCTATAACATAGCCAAGAACACACGGCAGCAAGTGGTACACTCAAACCTACAGCTCTCACTCTGTTTCTCCTATATCACAACTTCTTTTCATGTCATTTCATTTTGATTCTTTCAACTTATTTTGTTCCTTATGTTTTGTGGCAGTATACACACACATACACACACACTTCTGGGTAATCATGGCTGAAATCCAGGTCACAGGTCACAGGTCAAGTGTTGTTAAATAAATACATTCACATAAGTGGAATTTTTCAGATTCTGATGGCACCTGCACATGGTAAATATAAAGAATTGGGTCTTTGGTTTCAGGCAGCTAAATATAAAGAATTGGGTCTTCTTTGGTTTTCTCATTATTCCGAGAGTCAGCACTAACTTCTTCTTATACAGATTATTGTTCATCACCCTTGCCTAAACTAGAAAAAAAATTCTTAGGAAGAAAATGTTATTGATCATTATGCAAGGTAAAATTAATTTTTAAATAATCTGCTTTTCAAATACATAACTGCTGTGCAACATCTGTCTCTATATAAGCCTGAACACACCCTATTGCATCCTTGTTTTATTTTGAATGTTGCTTTTTTAGTTTAGAAACTGTCTACCTAGTGTATTTTTCATGGTATAAACGCAACATATGGTAAACTGTTTAAATATCTAGAAGGCTAGTTAGAGTTTGTTTACTTAAACATAATAGTCACAAAAATTTTCAGTTTACTTCCTGTAACTCATTTGGGTTTACTTCTAATTCATGCAGGCTTATTATTTCTCTTTATGCTTTTAGTAAACATTTTCATGCATATGAAGGTAAAAAAAGGAATTTTTAAAAATCTTGATATTGGTATTTTATTTAATAGTTTTGCAGTTAATAAAATCTGTTCAAAAATAAGAAAACTCAAGGAGAAAATAATTGGAAACAGATTTGAAATGAATTAGTGATACCAAATACAATTTAAATAATCAACATTTAATTCCAAATAATTTCTATCTTATAAAATTTATAAAGATATCTCTAATCCCTTTGGTTTTTACTTAGCTATGCAAGTTTTAATATACATAGGGATACCTTTGTGATATAGTGGTTACCAGTACACTATATTTTATCTTTAAAGGTAATTATGGTCATTATACAATATACAACTGAAAATTAAGAAAACAAAACAATTTTATTACCTAGCTATTTGAATATTCAGATATTTTTCTTAGCCATACAGTTATGCTGCCGGCAATGTATACACTTGATTCAATTTCAGATCAAACTAAACTTGCAATTTTGCTCATGTTAAACTGTGTGTCTTAATAGCAAATAATAAAAAAAATTACTATTAGAGTTAGAAAATCATGTACTAACCAACTAATTTTAAATGGGAAAAAAAGTATTAAAACAAATGACTGTTATTAAATTTAAGAAAGTATGTTAGTTGTAACAGAGAGAAATTTATTTTAATGGTAGTGGTCTCCAAATCTGCCCACCTTTCTCAGCCCTCAATGAACTGCAATTCCCAGTATTCACTCCCTTACAGATCCTAGTCTACTTGAATGTGGGTTGACATGTGACTTGCTTCTGACCTGTTGAAGGCAGAATAAGCATCTTTATGTTATTTTCAAGGTTAACTCAGAAGAAGTCTGTGCTTACATCTATGTGTCTTGAAATGCTAGCTCTAGGGGAAGCCAGCCACCTTGTAAGAAGTCCTACTACCTTGAAGCTGCCATGGTGTGAAGGAACCCAAGACAGTTACATGGAAAAGGAGATCTTGGCTAGCCCCCAGTTATTTAAGCTGTCCAATTGCAAGCACCAGACATGTGAGTAAAAAAGCCTTCTCAGACATTCTAGTCCCGAAGACCCGAGGAATCAGGCTGACAGCCAGAACTGAGGCTCCAGAGAGATGACTCTAGTTGAGCCATTTAAGCATCCCCAACCATAATGAGCCCCAGTTAGCCCAGATGTGAACCAGACAACAAGGAGCAGATGCAAGTCATTCTCACTATATTCTGATGGAATCGTGACCTACAGAATTGGAAGCATAATTGCTATATAAATGAGCCCAAAAGATGACCTCTGTGTATTGGGTGCTAGCATGTTTATTCTTCACTACAAGATGAGACCTGTTAGCTTAAAAGCCCACTAGTGCCAAACTCAAATATTAATATATACTATTATTAGAAAAATAGTTCAAACAGGCATTTTTAGCCATTTAGAGCCTGTCTGCTTTGCATCCTCTGAGAAAACTCACCCAGTATCTGCCAGCCATAGGTAAGATAAGCCTTGTGCTTAAAAGACTTCAAAGTACTGCTGCTCTCCAGTTTTCTGACCCTGAGACTCTCCACTATGTTGTTCAATATTACCTAGGCATTCTAGACACAAAAGCCCCCTCTCCCATTTTCCTCTTCCTGTAGAAGTTCTCGTGCCCTCCTCCTTTTTTGAGTAGTAGTAGCTTCTGGACAGACTCCTGCTTCAAGAAACTATCCCACATCCAAGACTGTTAAAGCATGTATGGGTTACTGCTACCTCATGGTCAGGTCTTTTTTCTTGATCATCCCTCAAATCCCTTTAACTCCTTATGATAATAAAATGGCTTTTGTTTTATGCATCCATATTTCAGGATGATGGGTTATGCAGCAGCAATAAGTAATAAATGCAATTTAAATTGTTTCTCTAAGACATTAAACACCAGTTATAAAACTACTAAATGCCCTAAGATATTTGCAAATGTTATAGGGTTATTCTAGTTTTGTGCATAAATACCATGATGCAAGTCTGCAGATGGTGAAGTTCCTGAAATAATGTTACCTTTCATGGTCCATTATATCCTTTAAAGAACACTATGAGATTATAAAATATTTTAATAAGAACAAGGAGCAATTTCCCCAACAGGAAATTTAACTGTTATTAACGTGCAATAAATAATCACAACGGCAAGCAATCTTATCCATCAAAGGGAAAAAGGGCAGTATTAGAACTAATCAACTGTTCCTAAATTGTTAATATAAATGCTCATTTCTTGTTTGCTTTTTTCTATGCATTAACATTTATTAACAGATAAGGTTTAGTTAGAGCCAAAAGGTTATAGAAAATATTGAAGAAAAACCAAAACTTGGAAAATCAATAACATATCTGTAAACTTTTGTAAATAAGAAATAACTTCTTTAAGAAAATTAAACTTTATAAGAATTAGAAAGACTGCCATTATGGTGTTTTGGCAGTGTAACACTCTGGTCTGGTCTTGGCTTTATTTCTCATTTTGCCACTTCTGTGATTTCAGGCAAATTATGCAATCAAACCAAGTCTTTACTTACACATTTATACAATTTTATTAATTTCAAAAAGTCATTTTGAGGATAAGATGTTATAATGTATGTAACACACATTGTATTTCATATTAAGTAACTTGCTATGCAAAATAAGCTATTATTTTCATGGATTGTTTTACAGTCAGGACAATACTACACGACCTTAAGGAAAAGGAAAGTCTCTCTCTCTCTTTTTTTTTTTTTTTTTTTTGAAACGGAGTCTCGCTCTGTCACCAGGCTGGAGTGCAGTGGCGCAATCTCAGCTCACTGCAATCTCTGCCTCCCGGGTTCAAGCAATTCTCCGTCCTCAGCCTCCCAAGTAGCTGGGACTGCAGGCATATGCCACTACACCCAGCTAATTTTTGTATTTTTAATAGAGATGGGGTTTCACCATGTTGATCAGGATGGTCTCAATCTCCTGACCTTGTGATCTGCCTGCCTCAGCCTCCCAAAGTGCTGAGATTACAGGCGTGAGCCACTGCACCTGGCCAGGAAAAGGAAAGTCTCTTTCTATTTTACTTACCAGGAAAATTCATCACATGACCTGAGACTTTCAGGAAAAGTAAGAAGGTTACTACTTTCATTTATTTAGATACTTCTATGATGTAACACGGTAAGATGCACTGACTGGCAAATAAATTATAAACAAAGTAGACTACAATGTCCATTTACAAGCTTTTGAAGCAAAGAAAACCTAATACCCATAAGACTTGAAACACCATACCCAACCAAAATGATTCAATTCCATTCAACTTTCAGATAATACTATCAGTTACAGTTTGTATTTGTGGCTAAAAATCCCTTAAACATATTTCAATTAATCTTCTTAAAACTATATGGAATATTTTCTTAATTATACCAATCAGGATATTGAAGTATCAGAAAAGAGACAAAGTCAAATCTCAGACCCTCTCCAGCTTCACCCTGAATATAAATTTGAGTTCTGCAGAAACCCTGAACAAAATATATATTCAGACAGCTTTTATGTGAGAAGGGGAAACAAGGTTGTATTAAGGAGAACTTCTAGATAGACTATGTTAACGCTTGTAGATGGCTAGGCATGGTGGCTCTCACCTGTAATCCCAGCACTTTGGGAAGCCAAGACAGGAGAATCAGCACTTGAAGCCAGGAGTTCAAGACCAGCCTGGGCAACATAGCAAGACACCATCTCTGCAAAAAATAAATCAGCTGGGCCTAGTGGTGCACCTGTAGTCCTAGCTGCTCTGCAGGCTGAGGCAGGAAGGTGGTTTGAGCCCAGGAGTTTGAGGCTGCAGTGAGCTATGATCAGGCCACTGCACCCCAATCCTGAGTGAGAGAGTAGGACCCTGTCTCTGAAAAAAAAAAAGTTACCACTTGTAGAGATATTTGAATTTTTGAAAGGGAACAATTCCTTACCTAGAGTTATTAAACACTTAACTATTGAATGTCTCTAGTGACAGTGTAGTCATGCATTTATATATCTCAGTTTATGGCTTCTTTGCCATGGCTCAGAAGATCCAGGAAAACTGGGAGGTCACTGTGCATGAGCATGATTGATGTGTTCCTTCAACTCAAGGCCAAAAGTAGGTCAAACTGAGATCAAATATACCCAGGTACAAGACACAGACAAATACTAAAACCAAGTACTGTTAAAAAAAAAAAGAAGGAGGAGGAAAATTGAGAGGAATAAGAAAAGGTCCTAAAATGCCAGAAAGAAGTTGAAGTTGGGCAGATTATAGGAGTAGAAGCAATATATAAGTCTATTTAGTAAATCATAAAGAACCATAACATTTTAGCTATTATTGGGTATTATTGGTCAGTTAAATTTCCCAAATTCATCTCATCAATTTACAAAAAGTTATCCTGTTCTCCCTATTTACATGAATCCCTCCCTACCTCAATTATTTTAGGAATTAGTTTACACTCACTTTACCAATTTCCCCAGTCTTCATTCACTACTTAACTCACTCTGCTCTAGCTTGCAACCCCATTATCATACTATGATAATTCTATATCGGGTCACCTGTGACTTCTAAGTGATTTAAATTAATGGGCATCTTTGGTTCTGATCTTGCTTGAGTTTCAACAATATTCAACACATTTTTCCATTCCATCATCATTTAAACACTCTCCTTGCTTCTATGATATCACATTCTCCTGGGATGTTCACTTTTTTTTTTTTTTTTGCCTGCTTCCTCTTTTTCTCCTGTTAGCCCAGCTGCTTCTACACAGTCCTTAAATGCTGAATGTCCTCAAAACAGTTTTCAGTCCTTTCCTCTTTTCACTCTATGCTCTCTATGTGCAGTTTCATGTATCCTACGGTCTTCAGTTATCAGTCATATTTCTTTGACTTTTATATATACTTCTAGTTCACACCTCATAACATCAGGATGCTGTATATCCAACTCACATTGACTTCACTTATGTGTTCCTGAGACACCTTAAGCAGCCAGTTCAAAGCCAAATTCCTGAGCTTCTCCCTAATCCTGTCCTCTTCTCATGCTCCGTCTCTCAGTAAGGGAGTCTTATCCATCCAATTATTCAAGCCAGAAGCCTAAGCATCATTCTTGACTCTCCCTCCAGCTCTGTACCCAATATATCACTAAGTTCTGTTGACTCTATCATATAAATTTAAAACTATCCACTCCTCATTTCTGTCTGCCTTTATCTAATTCAAGTTACTACAGACTCTCATGTAGATGCAATGCCATAGGTTCCTGACTGAGGCTTCCTGAAATTTATTTTCCAAACTTCAGCAAAAGCATTTTTTTCATGTAGACGTAATGCTATAGCTTCCTGACTGGGGCTTCTTAAAATTTATTATACAAACTTCAGCAAAAGCATTTTTTTAAAAGCAATCTGACCAGGTATTTTCACTGCTTAAATCTCTCAAGGAAAGATTCAACATCTCTAACTTGGCTCATAGGGCCCTGCATGATCTACCCCACTATGGTGTCTCTGGCCTCCCCCACACTGCTCCGCCTCCCATTCTGTGCTCCAGCCACACTGAATTGTTTCAGGTGCAAAAATACATCCCACACTGTCCTGTGACAGCCTTGCACTGCTGCTCCCTGTGCCTGGTGCACTCTTCCCTGCCATTGCCTAAATTAAATCCAGTTTTTTTTTTATCTCAGCCCCAAATTTGCTTCCTCAGAAAGTCTTCCCTGACCTGCTCCCCACAGCCACCTCCCCAAAAAATTATTAGATTTTTTATATACTCTCACTATACTCTGAATCTTTTATACTTAGCTCATTCTGCAGTATACAAATATACAGTTATTTGTGTGATTGTCAACTCCAGGAAAAATAAATAATGCTCATCTTTTTAAAAAATTAATTTATTGTTATATATATTTAAAGATTACAATGTTTTGATATGTTTATACATAGTTGAATGGTTGTTATAGTCAAGCAATTAACATATCCATCATTTCATATAGTTACACTTTGTGTGTGTGGATATGTGTATGTGTGTGGGGGGCTGGGGGTAAGAGCAGCCACAATCTACTCTTTTAGCAAAAACCCGGAGTCCCATACAATATTATTAAGTTCACTTATTTTGTACTTATTTATCCTACACATCTGCAACTTTGTATCCTTTGTCTTATGTCTCCTTATTCCCTACCCCTGCCCCTGGTGACCATTTTCTTCTCTACCTTTACATATTCAACCTTTTAGAAAAAGTTCCACATATAAGTAAGATCATGCAGTATGTTTCTTTCTGAGCCTGCCTTACTTCACTTTGATGCCTGCCTTTGGTCATCATTGCAAGTCCAGTGCCAAATACAGGAGCCATCACCGCGTATGGGTTCAATGCTGTTTGTTGAATGACTAAGTGTATGAACTGAACTGGCCAGATGACTACCTTCTCATCTCATGAAGGCTCTATGAACCCTTCCTCAAATGAAATATTTCCACCTCTGTGCTCCTAACTCTGATTATGACAGTATCAGTTTTTTTTTTTTAATCACACTGATGGTTGTGATATCTTTTTGCCAACACAGATTGTGAGTTCTTCAGATACCTTGAGAGTAGAAATCATGTCTTGTTCACTGTTGTCTCCTGGGGACTCTCTTAGTGCTGGGCATGTCACAAGAATTCAAAGTGGAGGCAACCGAAGTGATGAACTCTGCTGACTTTATGATTTCAACTGGCCTTGCTTCAACAACAAACACATTGACACACGGGGTGAAGCCACCTATTATTGAGAAAAACTACTTAATCTGCTCTATATATTACAGATAATGTCTCAAATCTGCTGTCAGTTCCTGCCAACCTGCTGAGTTCTAGAATGATTCAGGTCTTGCTGCTGCTGCTGCTTCTTAATTCATAAATATAATCCACATATTAAAACTTCATTGCCCTTTCAGAACAAACAAAATGCTTCATGGTAATTTCATATTCTTTGGAGAAAGCTAGATTTAAATCCAAAATGAGCAGATTTTTTTAAAAAAACAATTAAGATAAAGCATTAATGTACACAGCAGGTGATCAAGTTTTAAAGCTCATTATTAAGAAGAAATGATTATAGAGACAGGAAAAGGAGAATGGATTTTATTTTTTAAGTTGGTTGTATTTATGACTAATAGAGTCTTGAATTTTTACCAAGATGAACTAGGTGTAGTTAACCTTTAAAAGTCACATTTAAAAAAAAAATGTGTCTTCTCATGATTTGTCTTTCTCATACAGAGTTTGTTGTCAGCGCTTCTCTAAATGAGTCATTTGTTCTTTTCCAGGTGGTCAATTTCTAACTTTTGTGCTCTGTTAAATATAACTAGTAAATACATTTTAAATTTTGCTTTTAGTAACTAACAATCTCTCATAGAGTTTAGAAAAGAAGAAAATATATATAATTAGTTTGTTCCTCGTCTTCCAAATCTGAAGCATTAATATTATCAAAGTGAAAACTGTTGTATTCACTATGAAGGGAAATTTGGATAGAATATATAATGAGCCTGCAATGAAAAAAATAGGAACAGGAAGCTTTGAAGTTTTCAGATAATAATCTCAGTAAGGAGAGACTGACTATCTTTACCTGAATTTAGCAACTAAGCATATCATCAAAGCAAGAACACACTAGAGGGAATGCCATGCATATGATTTAATGAGTAATATTTTAACATAAAAATTACACTGATATTTCATTTATATGTATCAGTTGATGTGCTTATTAAGTGTAACTAAGCTTATTGGAAAGAATATTTTCAAAAATTTTTTCTTCGTTGGTTTGGGTTAACAGATTTTATACACCAAACTACAGATTAAAGTACTAATAGATGTCAATTACTCCCTTAATTTTCAACTTGTCAAAAACAGATATAAAAATTACACTTTTTACTTTTAAAATCAACTTTATTGAGAAACAATGTACCTACAATAAAATGCCCCATTTTTTAAATGTATAGTTCAATGGGTTTTAACAAATGTCTATAACCATGAAACTACTTCCTCCATCAAGATACAGAATATGTGGATGTACAATTTGTTCATTCATTTGTTGATAAACATTTGGGTTGTTTTCAGTTTGGGGCCATCATGATTAAAGTTATGATAAACAAACATTCATGTATAAAAGTCTTTTGTGAACCTTTTAAACTTTTTCATTTTTCTTTCATAAATACCTAAGAGAGGAATTGCTGCATCATAAGGTAGGTATATATTAAACTTATAAAAACTACCAATGTTAAAAAAACATTTAAGTTAATAATGTTAAAAAGTGTCAAAAGGAAATAAATGTATATTCAATATTTGTTCATTCATTTAATAAACATTAAGTAATCATCTCTTATGTGGCATCACAAGCTTGAGTATTCAGTGTGCTGAATTTAACAAGACACAATCCTTGACCTGAAGAAATTCAGATAATAATGAGAAATAACTCTCCCTTTTGCATATATAAAAAGATACCACTCTCTAAACAATGTGGTCAAGAAAGCAATGCTTGTATAACTGGATAGGCTAAGTTCTAGGTCTGGCTCTATTATCAGCTGGTTATCTAACTTTGAGGAGACAATCTTTCTGAGCTTTATCACTTCTAAAAAGAGAACTGAAATAATCATTGTTTTTCAAACACTAAAATAAATCTGTAATTTGTAGTGAAGTAACAGAAAATAATAACTTTTGAAATTTGGCAACTCTAAATAAAGTTTAAAATATAAACTTTCAAACTTTGAAGCTACTGATAGTTTTGTTAGAAACTGATGAACAGGGTAATTTCTAACAAACATGAACAATATGATTCATTTCTTAAAACAATAGTTTCATTGACCCATCACTAGAACATCAATTGTATGAGAAATCATTATCAATGAGAAGCCTGAAAACCTGTTCTCCATTGAATCCCAACCGATGTGAAGTCTAAAAGTGGAAACAAATTGTTGCCAAATATAACCAAAAACTGAATTGAAAAAGAAAAGCACAAAACTCCCATTGGCTCCCAACATCACCTCTCTTTTATCACAATTTTCAGCTATCATATTTTAATGCTCTTGACACTAAATAAACTGAACATTGCCTTGTACAGAGGCTTTTGGTGATACTTCTCTCAACAAACAGTTCAAAAAATGATTTCCATGGAAAGTCAAAACTGGCCAGTAGCCAATCTTTTTGATGAAATAAGAATATATCACAGTCCCTGTCCATCATTAAGGAATATGTTTGTACTTACACATTTTCAAAGAAGAAATTCCTATTTCTTTTTATGATAATTTAAAGATCTTGAGTGAAAAGAAGAGCTTGGTTTTACTGTGGTTTTTGTTTTGTTGTGCTGATAACATCCTTATCTGTCATTACTGGCTGCCACGGTCTTCACATTAAGACTCTAATTCCTATACAACAGTGACCAATTGCCCCTCTACCCCAGACAACAAAAACACACTGTTCTTTAAGGTGTAACAGCTGAAGATTTAGTCAAGACCACAAATCACTAGGTAGAGAAGATTCCTTAAAAGGGAAAGAAAGAAGAATGAAAACCATCTTCTCCCAGTTTTTGAATAAATATGCAAGTCAACACATTAGTCAGAAGATTACCAAACAATGAATAATAAAATGATGACTGCCCGCCTTTGAGGTCTTAAAGAGTTAAGATTATGGAATTAGAACAGTATCCAGACTCAAAACCAAATGAGGTATTGGTCTCCATAACCAGAAGCAAGTCAATGATCACTTCCCTATGCCTTATTTTCCCCATCAGAACAGTAACTACCTTTTTCTTTTAACCTAGAATTTGCAATAGTTAACAGAAAAGTCATAAAGAATATCTAGATATAACAGTTTAAGAGATAATAACACATACAAATACATAAAGTATTTTATATACTATATACAAATAAAGTATTTTATATACTATATACAAATACATAAAGTATTTTATATACTATATACAAATACATATTTTATATACTATATACAAATACATATAGTATTTTATATACTATATGACAGTGTATAATATAAAATAATTATTTTCTCATAATTTCAGATATAGATACTATTTGAGATTTCCCAGCAGGATAAGAAAGTACTTCTTGGAGTAATAGAAGTTTCTCATAAATTCTAGAACTTCAAATTCAAGCCCAAATGTGAGGCTAACTTTCCACAGCTGGGCCTCATAAAATGATCTCAAACTTGACCACCTATAAATCAGCCATGAAATGCTTATGACAGATGATTACTACATGCATATCATGAAGGCAAATCTACTCTCTGATACAACTCTGAATCTATTACATCTATTTTCCTCTTGATCAACACAGGGGCACTTTCTATTAAAGAAAGACTTAGCCATCCAAGGCATTAAATAGACCTCGTTTCCATGCTCACTGGGTCACAAATCATAGCAGAAAGCCTTAGGGGCTGAAAAGTAACCAGCTAAAGAGTCTCCCTCTGGCTCTTGGTTCTGTATTTACCAAGCACTACAGAATTGGACCAGCTTTTTCCTAATCCTGATGCTCAGTTTTGCTTTGGCTTATTTAAGTCCATCCTTAGTCATCAATCTTGTAATTCTCCAGTGTGGTGGAAGCTAGCAGGGAGAGAAGGCAATGCTAAAATGAATGCCCAGTGACTGCTAGTCTTAAGATTATTAAAAACAACAGGAATTGTTCAGCTGGGAACAAAAACCTTGAACCTGTATGCAATCACGCCTGTTCTTCACATTCAGGGCTAACATTAAGCCCATGGGTTACTAGGGTAAACTGAGGCTGAAAAAAGCAACACAGTCTTTCTTGTACCCAACAGCCTGTCCTGCATAGTAGTCAATGCTGTTGGTAGACTTCTCTTTTACATATGAAGCCATCTGATTTGGTCTGTCTTGACTTTTTCTCTTTAAAAAAAAAAAAGTGTATTCCTTTAATAAGTATGTCATGGTAGGTAGTTACTGAGCTAAGTGAATTCCTTGGCCTCTTCTATGTGAACCTTGCAGAAATTTTTGGCCAGTAAGAGAGTAAGGAATAAGGAGATCATTGGCATTCAAATACCAAAATTATGAACTGTAAAAAGAATAAATGAGGCTTTAAAACTTGTTCCTACAGTATCTCTAAACAATGTAAAGTCAAATGGTTTTGAAGAGATCTCTTGTTTCTTAAGCAGAAATGCCAAAGAATAAGTTAAGATTTGGAAGATTTTAAAAAGAAGTAGCATTTTACTGTTTAATCACCTTCTGCAAGCATGCTGCACTACTTGGCTGATTTGGGAAGTTTCTGAAGTCAGTTGTTGGTTTTCTCACTGATGATAGATTGTTTCTTACATTAGCTTTAAGCACTTTGCAGACACCACACATTCCCAGCGAAACTGAAATAGTATAGCTATGAAAAAGTAGAGAGCTTCAGAAATACTGATCTATTTCTTTCCATTTATATGTATATAAACATAGAAATGAAAATATATAGAATATATATGCATATATAATCATAGCATTAAAGAAAATATCCTATTTATATAGTTGAAAAATATTCTTTAGAATTAAATTTCACAAACAGAAACATGGTTCTATAAATTATACAACTACTTTCTTTCTTTGATCTATTTTTACTCTCTCAAGAGCTTTCTGGCAGTCACCACCAAAATTGCATCTGCTTCATTTGATAAGGACACTGTTAAAAGGTGGATTGCTAAGAAAGAGTGAGTCAGAAGTTAATGCCTTTACCTTTAAGGCACAGAAGATTTGTACAAATGCAAGAACAACAGAATCTAGTTTCTTTGGTTTCAGTTCTGACTCCCGTCTAGCAAGGCACAGCCTGACATCAGTATTGTATCCTGAGAGAAAGTGGAGGAAAAATGGCAGATACCAGATATCAGAAGTGAAAGATAAAGAAGCTAAATGAGCGTATGCTTTCTAAGTCTGCTGTACATTTTAAAAATGTAGGCTTTATACACTAGAGGAGAAGTGTAGAAAATTGAAATGTCACAATGTATAGGATTGAGGTTATTTCCTTATATTTAAAATAAGTTAAAAACCAAAAGCATAATTCTAGTTCAACATACCAACTTTATGCCTGAACTTCTAAATTCTTCCAAAAATAAGTATGATATAAGTAGATAAGCAAATAGTTGTAGTGAGTTTGATAAAAGATAAAAGCTGCAAGTTGGCTAAAGATGACTGTATTACCTTTATTTACCTTCTGTTGCTCCAGTATCCAAATAAAGTAGAATGTAAAGTTCTGGGAAGCACAGCTTCATATGGTTTTATATTGAAAACTTAGAAATGCATGGGTGAAAATTGTAGAACCCTTTCCAAGGAAACCATTAACTTGCTTGTTTGACTAATACCCCAAAATAATTGCTAAGAGACAACAGGGTGCTAGACTGATAAAAAAAGACAGAACAAAAGGCTGGAGCTTTGCAATCCAGATACACTCATGGTCAGATTCAAATCCAAGTAGTGAGGCTAGCGGGCAATATTGATATGTAATTGACATTCTATTGTGATTTTGTGTTCAACCTAAGCCTCTTTTGTAACACACTGGATAAATAAATTTGGATGACTTAAAGACCTATGAGGAACATGTATGGAAAGATAGAATCTTCTGAAGGAATAAATGGAAAGTCAAAAAGTAGAAGAACAACCTGATGTGTTTCTCAAGCCCTAATCTATCACACTGTATTTCAGTGCTGAAAACACATCAAATTAACCCTTTGTGTCCCTTTTTTCTTTTTTTTTTTTTGTTCCTATCACCTCTTTCATCTTTGCTTGTCTTCTCTCTGTCAGCATTAATGGTATTGGCAACATAGGAGGTTTTCAAAGAATGCTAAAGATTTAGTCACAAATTGTAATTAGTGAAATCACACTTTTTGTTGAATTATCAGCAGCAATCTCTTTATTATAATATCATGGTGCGTTTATGAGTGTTAATGTCATAGGACTTTACAATGTACTGTAATTTTATAGTTTTGTAGAATATATAGACTCTAGTACCTGTACAATATTTGAGTATCAGAGGAGTATTGCACTCTTCTGAATGAGAACTGAAAGGCATGACTGGAAAGCTGATAGAGTGTTTATAAATGTGTTGTACTAGAAAACGCCATACTTAAAGCGAGAGACTGCAAGCTTTCAAATTCTCCGTATGTTAACTAATATTTAGTATGAAGAGTTAGCTGTAACCCAAAGATAAATATCTTGGCTTTTTTACATAATGGTTTTCCTTTGTACTCAGCTAATTGCCTTTGAATACCTCTGCAGTTTCCCTATCAATAGTATTCATGGCCTGTTATAGGAATCCAATTTTACTTATGCATAAATTATAGGCAACTTGTAATCAGCAAGACACAATGTTGGACTTAAATTATGGAAAGGGAGAAGATGCAAGAGATCATGGGATGGCTAAGCACTTCAGCTGAATTGTAGCAGAGTATGCCACTAAATTTCAAAAAGACATTGAAATGGAGAGGAGAGAGAGAAAATAATCCAAAGCTACATTTCTGGATATTTCATATGGTATATGTTCAGAGGGCCCAACTGAAATGAAATTGGAAGAGCTGTTGTGATTGCTGGCTTTATAAAACACTTCGAAAACACTTTGACCTTGAGCCAGACTTGTGATAAGGCATTGCCTGCTTCACACTCACAACAGTCTTGATATTTTTCTCATTTGTTGCTTCTTCATCTCAGTAAATGGCATTCTCATTCCTCAAATCAAAAAACTGAAAGTCACCATTGATTTCTGCTTTTACATCAGCCCTTATATCTGATCTATTACCAAAGTCTGTCAGTTCTACTCTAAAGAATATAAAATAAAAATATATTTCTCCATCTCCATTACCACCACCCTAGCCCAAGCTCATGGGGAGATCCATATTTGCAGATAATGAATCTTCTATACTCTATTCTTGTCCACAATGAAAGCATTTTCATCAGGGTAGGCAGGTTTACTTTTTCAAAAATAAATCAGAACTTACCAGACCCCTGACTGAAATCTTCCAAGGGCTTTCTAATTATAACCTGAATAAAAACATTCTCCAAATGATGACCTTCAATGTCCTGAATGATCTCATTTCTACTTATTTCTTCCACCTTATCAGACACCTCAATCTGAGACCACTTATTTAATTATTTTTTGTCCCCCTCTTTCAATGCAGGCTCCAAGTGCAGAAACATTGACTCTGTTGTTCACTATTGAGTGTACTTCACTTCCTAGTAATTGGCACATATTACGTGCTAAATAGATATATAAAATAAATGAGCAAATGGAAGCATGCAATTCAGCCTGTTCTCTGCCTGTGTTACGGTTCCTTATAATGCTAAGGGGCTAGCCATAGTGACCCTAAGGAAAGTGCCCTAAAACTACATTTCAGTGGCAATCACTTGTTAAACTGTGACTCCAATCCACAACTCTCCAGACAAGATGGGTCTCAGTACTACACTTATTCTACTCTTGTACTCAAGGATTTAATTTTATTATCACAACTGGCCTGCAATAGGACAGAGACTAAATAACATGCTCTTATTTTAACAGATAAGGCAACAGATCTAAAAAGTATTCTAGGTTAAAGCTATGCACTTGACAAATATAGAGATAATATGTGTATTAAAACTATTATCATTATCATATATAATAATACATGAAAATGTATTCATTAACACATTCCATAGACATTTATTGGGTCTCTCTTCCTGGAAAGTTCAAGTATTGTGTGGCCTGAAGTCTGCAAAATTGAGCATAAGAGATTCCTTAAAAATATAAAAAAGTAGTTTTCTTTTTTTGAGTTTTACTATAATGTGTGACTATATGAAGACATGTCTAGGGTTCCTCGCAGGGCTTTCAAAAGAGTCTGTTCAAATGAGGGAAGCTGAAATTAAGTCTAATAAGGTTGATGGTAAAATGGTGCTCTGTGAAACTACAATATATTTTATAATCCACTAGAATCAGTCACAAAAGACATTGTCCCAGCTCCAAAGGAGGTGGTCAGAGAAGCAGAATTAGAATAAATATTACAAAATGTGGGATCAAGATAAGGCCTGGGTGTTGGGGAAGCACTAGAAAGTTGAAAGACCACTCAGGGAAGGCATCGTGGAAGAGGTCCCACTGTGACTGAGTGTTGAAGTTTAATTAAGTCTTCTACTAAATAGGAGAGTGGCCCTGAGTGGGTAGGAGACAGCATGATAGTTGGCAAAACGAGGTGGGGCAGTGTATCAGAGAAGTCCTTGGAAAGGCATACATGTACAGAAGAGGTTGGTACATCTGTGAACTGTCAGTACTTGGATCTGTATGGCATTCCAAGTGAAAGCACCAAACAGCAATGAGATGCTGGAGGAGGAGAGCAGGAACCAGCTCAGAAAAAACCTTGGTATCACACTAAGGAGTCTGTGTTTTCTCTTTAGAAATACTGAAGATGTTTAAACAGGGAAATGGTGTATGAAATACATGTCTTAATAAGTTTATTCTTTTGGTAATGTGTAAAATGAATTGAAGCAGGGCAAGGTTGCAAGTAAGGGTACTAGGCAGAATGCTATTGTAACCAATGAGGAGGAAAATGATGAGGAACTGATATAAACAGTTGGGGAGACACCTGCTTCTAGCCTATGTTTCTCATTCAGAGATGAACCGTTTAAAGAATACAATATGTAATGAGAACTTCATTCTCATTCATAATAAGAACACTGGGAAAATGGGTAACCTGTCTAGTTGTGCCAGATCTGCTCCTACTACACCAGTCTTGACAATTAATTAATCCTCAGTTTTTCTCTTCTGAGAAAAGGAGGAACTGACCTAGACAATATTTGAAGCTCTCTTGCAATTCTAAAATTCAGTGGACAACACAGTTTCCTCATTTCTATTATAGAGCTGTTATTTACTGCTCTTTTTTGCAAGTTGGGAAAAGAAAATTAGCTCATTAACTTGGAATTAATCCTCCAATTGTGCTGTCTTATATCTAGAATTGCTGGCATTGATATGGACCTTTTACAAATAGTAATTAAACTCAGTTATCTTTATGAGAAAGGTTGTTCAAAAGAAGAGTATAATTTAAATATAAATCCTAAATTAAAGAGTTAGTTGTATTTTCTCCTGTGTCATAAAAAACAGAAAAATCTCTCTCCCTTTTCTCTCCCTTTCACTATGTCATATATTATTAATTTTAAAATAGCATAAATTAATAATTAGGTACAGCTAAGCAACTCAAAATCCAATGCTTGTGGTTATAAACTAAGTTTAAGCAGTTTTAAATAATTCTACTAGTTAATTATAATTAAGAGTTGTGCTGGAGTACTCCAATTCTGCACTAGAATTAGAAACTTGGTGTCAAGCAAGTACTTGCCACCACTTACTACATGGACCCAGTAAGCCATTCAAGCCATCTAAACCCCATGTATTTAAATATAATGCATTTTAATTTACATATTAGGTAAAATCACATGGAATGAAATTGCTTATATTTGAGCATGTATGATCCCCAAAACAGCAATTTCTTATAGTTCATCATAATACTAGTATATAAGTCATTAAAAATATAATTTCTATAATTTTTAATTGTCAATTAGAAATAAAATTATTTTTTTTCTAGCAAAAAGCAAAGCAAGATGCATCATGAAAAGATCACATTTTCACATTGGAATTTGGGACTTAGTTGCCCCACCCCACCTAAAGCATCAAAAGAATTAGAAGCTATATCTTTAATTTTTCCAAATCATCTAAATGGAAGGAGAGCAAACCACATGTCAAGGCCTCTACGGAAGTGACCTGGAACTCCAGCTGCAAACCCCATGCCGTCAAAGCAGCCAGACTGGAAATAGAGTGGCTGTGGGTACCCACAGGGAACCAGGAAACCACATACTTCACAGGCAGCAGCAATGCCAGATGGAAGTGTATCTGAGTATGTTTAGGAAAATAAACTAAAAACTGCTTTGGGAGATGCTAGTTAAAGTGCATCAGCAAAAGACAGAAGGGAGGATTAGAACTGACATGTTAGGGCTGTAGCACTGTGAGCAGACATTTTTCTGAGAAAATCCTGGGGAAAGTAAAATAAGAAAAAGAGAAGAAAAAGCACAGATCCACTAGAAGGCATATTCAGGGACCATCAATGAATGGGTTAGTGGAGACAAAGCACCCTAGTAGCCTATCGTTTTTCAAATGGAGACAAAGATGTGATGGAGGTGTAAAATACTATGCAACAGTCAGAGGACTGAGGATATTCCTGGAACAACATGGATGGAGTTCCAAAATAGCAGGAAACAGATTGAGATTTATACCACAATGCCATTAACTTATTTTAAAATCACACTTAATACTATATATTTTACATAGATTGACACAAATGAAAAAGACTGTACGAAGGAAGAATTAGAAAGACTAACCTAAAACTGAACAAGGATGCCTATGGCATGGGACAAGGGTAGGGAGTAAAGACGGTGGGGACAAGAGAGCCAAAAGGAGAAATAAAACAAAAATATATAAAATAGATTATACATGATGAGATGAGTCGCTAGAATGTCATTATTGAGGTATGTGGTTAATTCTATACTTCTAGTGAAATAAGTATAAAAATAAAAATAGAGTACTTCCCATCCAGCACAGCCCCTTTCAGACATAACTATTTGTAAATTTCCTTCAATTCCCTGCATATTTTTTTACTTAGCTCTTTTCTACCATGCACATCCGTAAGTTATTGCACAATAAATTGTTGTGGCTAGCATTCGACAAATTTCCAACATTTCCAAAATTTGTAAGTCGCAATTTGCTATATATGATAATGAGGATAGTAAAACTGAAATTAAATGAAAGAACACAAGTACAACAATATTTGGTATGTATAACATGCTTAAGTTTGAATAAATATTAGCTCTTGTTCCTCCTCCTCTCTCCTTCATATTGACCTTCCTCTCTTACTACTGAAGTTTCTTCAGATTCTTACTATTCTCCCTGCTGCATGACTTGGCAAATAGCTGTTTTAACTCTGCCTAATCTGTTGTTTGTTGCCACTCATCACTGCTTTTATTCAATTCTTTTCTCTTTGTTATAGCAACTACCGTTGCTTCCAATAAAAACTACAGTCTAGAGGTCTAAGAAGGGAAGTGAGTTAAGAGCATGGCAAAGTTCTTTTGATGCTTGAAACTCCCAGCCCCTAGGTATCTAGCACTTTAGCTCACCTCCATGGGATCTATTGGACCTGATAGAGATACCCTCTCACCTAACTCGGGATCTTTTTCACTTTGCCACATTGGTTCTCAATAAACCTTCCTAGCACCTCCTGGGCCAGTCACTCTCCTGGCCTTGCCCCCAGTGCGCTAGATTCCACGAATGGTGGTCAGAGCACACTATCCTCGAAATATAGCACCTTGGAATTTGAGGCAACATCAGAAGAAAGAAGGTCTCTCTGACCTTTCTCTAAAGTAAGTCATAAGACCCTCATTCCAGAGGGGTCCTCTCTATTCCAGGAAGAAAGGAATGTTCTTTTCTCTAAAGACATAGGAAAACAAGGAAGAATCTAAATGAACAGGCCTTGCTAAGTTCCCTTCAGTTTATTACCATAGAATATACTCTTTGTCCAATTACACTTCTGTATGATTGTCCACTCTTTATCAAACCTAAGCATAAAAATTACCCTGTTGTTTGTTCTTCATTTCTGAAAGCTCCCATGTCACATAGAAATTACATGAAATCAATTTGTATGCTCTTCTCTTATGACTCTGTCTTTTGCTATGGGTGCCTCAGCCATGAACTTAGTGATAGATGAGGAAAGAAGTCTTTCCTTTCTGATACCACCCTGCCACCCTCTAGATTTTCTGGAAAGGAGACAGATCTCAGCACAGTCCACTTGAGCTTTCTCAGGCACCAGTCTTCATTCTCAACAGCTCAGAATAAGTTTCAAAATTACTGGGTGGGACCATGGAAGGTCACCAACAGACTTGAGATAAGAGGACAGAAAACTCCACCATGCCCCCATCAGCAACATCAGAGATAGGAGAAGACTCTAAGCTGTCTCCGAAGAGATTTACTCATAAAATCCCTTCTCCTCCACTTTTTCAGTCCTCTTAGATTGTGGAAGTGATTGAGGAGGTCCAGAAGTCCTAGAATAGTTCTCAAACTCTGTCTTTCATAATCCTTGTACTGTAATGGAGATGTAAAATTTAGCAACTCTCTTTTGTGTCTAGTCAACACTTAAGTTGTATCATCATATTACATATAGAAAATTAAAACAAAAAGAGGGTGAAATTGGTTATCATTCTAAAAGACTTTTTAATTTATAGATCATAAAGACTGAAAATTGATATATATATTTTAAAAACATGAGGTCAATCTAATAGCTAAGTAATAAAACTTGTAATCAATAAAAAAACACATTACTTTGAAATGCATATGGGGTATTTATAAAAATGATCCCTGTGTTAATTAGATCACAAACAAATTTCTCATTTTCTGATCAAAATGTAACAAATGTAATTGTTAATAAAATTACAGTAAGAAATATCAATAACAAAAATACAGGTAAAAGAAAATTGTATTTTGAAGTGAAAATATACTTTTAAATTACTCATGGGCTAAAGAGGGATTAATAATGAAAATTACAAAAATAGGTCTGATCAATAATAGCAATAAAAATACTATGTATTAAAATAAAAACTATAGCTAATGAAAAACATATAGCCCAAATAAGATTTTTAAAATATTTAAAATAATATATGCAAACATATATTGGTTCAAATAGCTGGAAAAATAGCAAGAAACTAAAAGGAAATAAAGATTAATGAGGAAATAAAAACATTTCTGAAGTATAGAAAAACTAAAAAACAATGATGTTCAACCAAAATTGAAAACTGTCTCTCTGAAAAGATTAATAAAGTATAACAAGCTTTAGGCAAGAGAAATTAAGAGAGAAGTCAAGGATAAACGATATTAGCAACAACAAAAGCATAGACTCTAGGCACTGTGGAGATCTTTTAAATTCTTAAATACTTTAAATAATTATATGATGAAATTTTTAAAATGTAAATGAAAGGAACACTGAATAGTTTCAAGCACTGTCTGTTTAGAAATACCTAGATAGACAAATGACCATTTAATAAATGGACATCCGAGTCAGAAATCCCCAGCCCCAACAAAAATGCCGAGGCCAGACAGTTTTATAGTTGACGTTTAATTTCCTAGAGTAAAAAGGAATGCTTAAATTTCACGAAGTGTTCTAAAAACTAGAAAGATAAAGAAACACTTCAACTCATGTTGTGAGTCATTTTAACCCTGATTCCTATTCAAGACAAAAGCATGACAAAGGAAAAATGTATGAGTCAATCTCACATATGTCATTAGGTATAAAAATCCTAAATTAATCTTCCATTCGGAGAGTCCAACAGGTTTCTATAAGCACAGGTTCATCACAAGATAAAAGGATCAGGGTGTTATATATAAAGTTTAGGTGCCGCAAAAGAAATAGCACTTGAATGTAAAATTTTCTTTTTAATTCTCAGCATGGCAAGGTACTTCTATAGAAGGGTGCACCCTTACAGATGGAGCAATTGTGAGTGCACACTTGGACAAGGGAAGGGAAGAGGTTCTTATCCGTGACGCGCACGGCCCCTGCTGCTGTGCTGTTCCCCTATTGGCTAGAGTTAGACTGCGCAGGCTAAACTAATTCTGATTGGCTAATTTAAAGAGAGCGACGGAGTGAGGGAAAAATGGTTATGACAGAGCAGGTAATCAGAATGAGTCAGGGTAGAGCAGGTAATTGAAATGAGTCAGGGTGGATCAGGTAATCGAAAAAGGTAGCTTTATGAGAAAGTTAAGTTTAAAAGTAGAAGGCAAAGAATTGAACATACTGACATAATTGATTCTTTGAAAAGAAATTTAGAACTCATATCTAACAAGGATGTGTGTCAGTTCCTGAATTCTCACTTTTGAGAAGTCTGAGGCAGGTGGAATGCAATCTTCCATCTTTGGAGCTGAGGGATGATAAAATGTCCTAAGCCTTTGGCTCTCTAATCCCAGTCACATACAAGTAATACTGTAACTTTCAGACGTATAATTTTTTTGTGGTTGTAGATTTACGTGGGTGTACTTTGCAACTTCTGGAATATCTTGGAAGATATATTAATGGCAATAAGTAAACACAAACAACTTAGGGGGAAGAGAAGAAGACAGTTTCTGGTTCAAGGCAATTAGTGATCTTGTGGTTGCACTTATGCTCATAGCCTAAATTACAAGTGACAAAAGAAAGAGAAAATTAAAAGTAAAATCATGGTTTTGGTGATTTACTAAGTGAAAAGAGCGAAGTATGAGGTTAATGTGTGTAGAATAGCTGGCATAATTTTTTGAAAAAAAGAAAACAACTGTTTATGTGCGTGTGTGTGTATGTGTATAAAACAACATAAATGGGGAAAACTTGAAAAAGATACACACCAATATATTAGTGGTGATTATTTAAAAAACATTGGCTTGCAGAAATGGAATGGATAGTAGTATTTCTTACAGATAATTTTTACTTTTTAAATTTTTCTATATTTGAAGATAAAACACATCCAGGAAAAAACACAGAAGAAGAGGTACTGTTTGGCTGAAAGAGACAAAGAGGACTGGGAGAAAGAGTAAACAGAAGACGAAAAAAATTACAATTTTGATAAACTGGGAATGGAGAAGTGAGCATAACAAACATGACCACATTTCTAAAACACCTAAAGCAGATGGTGAAATAAAGTAGATTTAATAATTCCACAACCCAATATGGGTGATTAAATGAGTACCAATTTCTCCAATAGACAATGGAGGAGGGCGAGGAATCAGAGTCAGCAAAATCTGACAGCAGAAATGAGAGGTGAGCAAGTCATAGGTAACTGTATTAGTCTGTTCTCACACTGCTAACAAAGACATAACCGAGACTGGATAATTTATAAAGGAAAGAAGTTTAATTGACTCACTGTTCATCATGGCTGAGGAAGCCTCGGGAACCTTACAATTATGGTGGAAGGGGAAGCCAACACATCCTTCTTCACATGGTGGCAGCAAGGAGAAGTGCAGAGCGAAGTGGGGAGAAGCCCCTCATAAAATCATCAGATCTTGTGAGAAGTCTCTCACTATCATGAGAACAGCATGAAGATAACTACCCCCATGATTCAATTACTTCCTACCGGGTCCCTCCCAAAACATGTGAAGATTATGGGAACTCCAATTCAAGATGAGTTTTGGGTGGGGACACAACAAACCATATCAGTAACTCATGGGAGATGTCTTGCACAAGCTAACGTCGCTCAGTGGCTGGCTGATATTTCTTCTCCCCAGGCCATAGTAAAGAAATTTATACAAGAGAAGTTGGCAATATATTGGGGCTTTCAGTCGATTGGCAAATACTAACTTGTAGAATAAGCAATTCACTTAATAAACGTAATGTTGTAGCAATACCAAATTGTCTCCTTATCACAAATTTAATTATAGTTCATTTAGACACAGGAATAAGAATATTTTAAAACCAAACTTAAAGAATTTAGCCAAAAAGAGTGCCATATGTAAATGTTATAATGTTATGTTTTTTAGATAACAAAACATTTTAAATGAAGAGAGAATTCAACTCATAAAAGTTAAAAGAACAATAGAATAAATATAAAGGAAGCAAATTGATGAAGAAGTTAATGAGATAAACGTAGCAATTAATAAAATAGACAAAAACAGAACTAAGTGACTGAATAAAGAAAACCAAAACAAGTTTTTTTAGAAAGAACAATAAAAAGGCACCATTCTAGCAACTCTGACAAAAAAAAATTAATGAAAAAACAAGTGACAATAGGGATGAAAATGGGAACATAGTCATAAATATAAAAGAGCATAACATATTTTGAAAAAAATGCTCTATATAATTTTATTTCAATAAATGTGGAAACATCAATATAGTAAATAATCCTCAGGAACAGTTATCAATATTGATACAAGAAGAAATGAAATATTTCAAAAGACTGATAACAACAGAAGAAATTTTAAAGATATTTAAAACCCATCACCCCACATCCCACATGGGTTCTAGAAAATCTCAAGAAATATAGGAATTACACTGCTTTGATATATGGTAAAAGTTGATGAGATACTCCCACAATTCCACAAAATTATCAGAACCTCAGCAACAAAAAAATAAAAATAATATTAGTAGTAGCACCAGCAGCAATAGTAGTAGTAATAGCAATGAAATCCAATCTTATGAATGAATATAGATCATTAAAATCCTAAAGAGAGTATTGCCAGATTCCAGAAATGAATTAAAAACATATTCCTGACTAAATAGAATGCACTCTAAGAATATAATGATGTTCTGAAATTAGAAAATACAATAAAGAGGAAAGACCTTATAATAACCTTCACAAATGTCCAGAAAACATTTAATAAAATTCAATTTTTATTCCAAATAGAACTCTTAACAAGATAACATTAAAAAAAGACTTTTGGACTTGTGAGAGTATGTCTGTCAAAAAAAACAGTAAAATATCATATTTTTCAAAATTAGTAGTGATTTTTTTTAAAATTAGAGGTATATTATCTCTACCAGTAATCAATATTTTTCTGCAAATTTCTGCTGGAGAATTTAGACGAATAGAAATGAAATGTGATATGAATATTAAAAGAAAGAGACTACATTTTCCTTATGTTTTTGTAAAAATTTAAAAGATACAATTGTAATTTTGTTACATGGATTTATTCTGTAGTGGTGAAGTCTGGGCTTTTAGTGTTTCCATCACCAAAATCCATTGTACCCATTAAGTATTTTCTTATCACCCACTGCCCTGCCACCCTCCCTCCCTTCTGAGTTTCCAATTTCTAGCTTTCCTCATTCTGTGTCTATGTCTACATACTATTCCGCTCCACTTATAAATAAGAACATGCTGTATTTAACTTTCTGTTTGAGTTGTTTTACTTAAAATAATGGCCTCTAGTTCCATCTATGTTATTGCAAAAGACAGGATTTCTTCTTTATGGCTCAATGGTATTCCATTGTGTACATACACCAAGTGTTCTTGAATACACCATCTGCTGATGGATACCTCAGCTTTGCTATTGTGAATTGTGTTGTAATAAACATACAAGTGTAGGCATCTTTCTGATATATTTTCCTTTGGGTAGATACTCAGTAGTGGGAGTGCTGAATTAAATGGTAGCTCTATGTTTAGTTATTTGAGAAATCGCCATACTGTTTTCTGTATAGGTTGTACTAATTTACATTTTCACCAGCAGTATACAAGCATTCCATTTTCTCCACATCTTTACCAGAATCTTTTGACTTTCCAATAATTGCCATTCTGATTGGTATAAGATGATATCTTATTGTGGTTTTAATTTGCATTTTTCTGGTGATAAGTGGTGAACATTTTATGTGCTTATTGGCCATTTGTATGTCTTCTTTTGAAAAATGTCTATTCATGTCCTCTGCCCACTTTTTAATAGGGTTATTTGATTTGCTGCTGCTACTGTTGTTGTTGTTGTTGTTGTTGTTGTTGAGTTGTTTGAGATTCATGTGAATTCTGGAAATTAGTCCCCTGTTGATTGTACAGTTGGCCAGTATTTTTGCCCATTCTGTAGACTGACTGTTCATTCAGTTGATTATTTCTTTTGCTGTGCAGAAACTTTTTAGTTTAATTAAGTCCCATTTGTCTATTTTTGGTTTTGTTTCTTGTGGTTTTGAGGTCTTAGTCATGAATTCTTCATTTAGACCAATGTCCAGAAGAGTTTTCCTTAAGTTTTATTCTAATATTTTTATAGTTTCAGGTCTCACATTTAAGGCTTTAATTTATCTTGAGTTGATTATTGTATATAGTGAGATACAGGGGTTCAGTTTTGTTCTTCTGCACATGGAAATCCTATTTCCCAGCATCATTTATTATTGAATAGGGTGTCTTTTCCCCAGAGTGTTTTTTGTTTACTTTGTCAAAAATCAGTTGGCTGTAGACATGTGGCTTTATTTCTGGGTTCTCCATTCTGTTCCATTAATCTATATGTCTATTTTTACACCAGTATCATGCTGTTCAAACAAGACAAGTAATGTCCACTTTTACCCTTCCTATTTAGTCAGCATAGTACCAGAAGTCTTAGGCTGAGCAATCAGGTAAGAGAAATAAAAAACATCCCTATTAGAAGACAGGAAGTCAGATTAACTCTATTCTATTTAAGCTCTTATATCCAGAAAACACTAAAGACTCCAACAAAAAACTCTCACATTTCATAAATGAATTCAGTAAAGTTTCAGGATACAAAATCAACATACAAAAATTAGTAGCATTTCTATACACCAGTAGCAGTTAAGCAGAGAACCAAATCAATAGTGCAATTCCATTTACAATAGCTACAAAAAATAAAATACCTAGAAATATATTTAACCAAGGAAGTGAAAACTCTGTATAAGGAAAAGTACAAAACATTGATGAAAGAACCTGTAGATGACACAAACAAATGGAAAAATATCTCATATTTATGGATTGGAAGAATATTATTAAAATGACCATACTGCCCAAAGCAATCCGCAGACTCAGTGCAATCTCTATCAAAGAGTATATGCTCTTTGATACTAATTTCATTTTTCAAAGAATTAGAAAAAAAATGCTAAAATTCATATGAAACCAGAAAAGAGCCCAAGTAACCAAAGCATTCCTAAGCAAAAAGAACAAAGCTGGAGGTATCACATTACCTGACTTTACATTTCCCTTATTGTTGCTAAATCATTTTCTCTTTAGACAATCTAAGCAAATCAACTAAAAAATTGTTAGAACTAGGATTATTATTTCCAGTGTCAACTCTGAGGATTTGACACTGGAAATAAGACCTAAATAAGAAGCTGATTCTACAAAGACTAGGGATACGTGTGTGTGTGTGTGTGTGTGTGTGTGTGTGTGTGTGTGTGTGTATACAAAGTCTGTGTACATTTCAGTATTTGTGTGTCAGTGTATGTATATGTCTCTATGTATCTGTATATGTGTGTGTCTGTGTTTGTGATTGTTTGTGTGGTAGATATAGGATGCAGGAATCTTTATATGCAGGAAGGAAAGAGAAACTCAAAGGCCTTGGGGTAGGAGACAATTTGGTGTTCCTTAAGAACAGGAAGGGTTCTGGGAAGCTGGAGGTTATTAATCCAGGCAAATTAGTAAACATGGGTTCTGAGAGGTAGGTGGGAGCCAAGTCATAGAGAATATTGAAAGGCATGAAATGAGTTTGGATTTGTTCAAAGAGAAACCTCTGGTCTGATGAATAATTAGGAGGGTGGTATATCCAATTTACATTTTTAGAATATTGTCATGGCTACTGGTTAATAGTAATAAACTATTGTTCTTGAATCAGAGAAGCTGCTTAGGAAGCTTCTGTGATTGTTCAGGTGAGAGCTGCAGTGGCCTTATTTGGATGTTGGCTGAGTTAATGGAGAAAAGTAAACAGATTTGAGATGTATTTTGAAAGTGTAACTGACTAGACATGTGATTGAAATGAATATGGGAGTGTCAGGGAAAGAAGGCTTTCAATGGTAGAATGAGCAACTGTGTGGATGATACTGTTGCCACCAACTGTGATAATGAATATTGGGCTGAAAGAATGTTAGATGGGGGGTGATGAGAGGTGAAACTTAGAGATTCATTGTAAGCTCACTAGATTGAAATGCCAATCAGAAATCCAAGTGGATATGTCAAGTTTGACAATTGAAAAAAATATCTACAGTTCAGAGGAGAGGTGTGGGCTAGAGATGTATATTTGGAAAAATCAATATTTAAGTGTTTTATAAAGGTGTATCACAAAATAAAGTTATTCAGAAAGACAGAGGGAGAAATAGAGAATATCCAAGCCTAATCCCAGAGGCACTGCAACATTTACACACCTCACAGATAAAAAGGTGAGAGAAAGGAGAGACAGGAGTGTAGAGAAAAAGCAATCAAATGAAATGTAACAGAAAATAAGAGAAGAATATGATTCAAAAAGGAAGGGCAATCAGTTGGATCAAATTCTGCTAAAGAAATGAGCTAGATTACTTTGACAAGAAGCAACAAAAGCCAGACTGTATTGTGCTGGAAAGGACACAGAAGATAAGAAAGGAGTTACATGCAGGTAGTGAGGGTAACGCTGTCAAGAGGTTCTGCCACTGAAAAATGGGAATATAGCAGGAGGTTGAGAGTCACTATGCCAGTGCTTCTCACACTTTATTATATTATTCATACAAATCACCTGGGACTCTTGTTAAAATTCAGATTATGATTCTGTAGGTCTGAGATCTGCACATCTAAGAAATTTCCATCAAGATCTATAATATGCTTCCACATATTCAAGTTGGAAGACTATCCACTGTTCCACGAAAGATGAAAGTCACAGAAGTACATGTGCAAGAGGCATAACACACAAGATCAGATGGTCAAATCAGACTCACAGAAATCAGAGATAATTCCCAGAGTCAAACTTTACTAGTAATTTAAAAAATACACAGATGAACAAAGTATATTAAGGGCTGAGACATGCCACATGACTCCCCTAGTCCTTCCTCACCACATCTGATGCATGATCTCTGGACCAGAATAATAGATGAGTCCTCTAAGTAGGCATCTGCAGGTTATTACCTCCCACTCTATTGAGAGCATTTAATTTATGAGACATCTCCATTTTATTCCCTAGAAAGTTATGTAGCATACATGATATTCTCCAGAGAGCTATGTCTCATAAACCTAAACATTCTGGTTTTATTAACTATGAGAAATCCTTCAGCCAGGGACATCCTGTTGACGGCATTCAGGTGAGAGAAGGTCTCTTCCTCCTAACAAATATCATCAGTTTGTTTATCTAGAGATTGAGTGGACAGATAGGTTAGGCCACACCACCTGCTTTCTTTCTCTTCCCCACAAGACCTCACCCTCAGCAGAGAAGGCAGTGAGTGGTTCACAGGCCAGCTGCATTGACCACTCCTCCCCAGCAGGGTGATGAGGGTTCTCACTCATTCTATATCCTCATCCTACATCCTGTCTGGAGGATGGGGAACCTCTCTATGCTCTCAAGGGAGCAATATGGGAGTGAACACTTACTCCGTTCTCTCTCCTCTGTTCCTGTCACACTTCTCCAGGAAAGGTGTTTGGTGAGAGAGGGAGGAGACTTCTAGTCACTGGATCTCATTGCCTGCTAGTGGGATCAGTTGTTAATTGGGCCTGAAAAGCCCTTTGTTCTCTCGATGTGATGTGCCTGGCTCAGAAAGCACACTCGCTCTAGTTTTATGCCTAATCCCCTTAAGCCTTCAGAGCAGAATCTCTCCTGAGCAAAAAAGTGGTCGAGCCTGGTTGGGTAAATGTGGTTTAGGTAGAAAGTTGAAAGCCCTGAGAGACCTGTTTTTGAGAAGGAGCAAGGCTTCTAGAGAAAAGCTGTGCTCCTAATTTGTCTTCTTAAGTTATCAGACAGAATTAGAGTAGAGGATGGAGGGGTGTAAAGGGCCCTCTCTTAACCTCAGACATATTGTTACTAGAAGTCGTATGTGTGTGTGTGTGTGTGCATGCATGTGTGAGTGCACCAGGAGGAGGGACTTCATCTCTTGTACATAACAAATTTTTGGAAGGCTGCACCTCACCTGTTCATAGTGGTTTCTTTAGCAAAGTGTAGGGTAAAAGCAATTTTCCCTTTTTACTATATAAACTTTTGTATTATTTAATTTTTAATGTGCATGCATTTCTTTGCAAGTTTCAAAGTGTACAGATGCCAAAATGGAAAGAGGCTTAAATAAAAGCTGTTCCAGAAACACAGTCTCCACCTAAGGAAGATTCAAGTCCAATACCAATTTCACCTCCTCTGAAAACTATGCATACTTTGCTCAGCTGACAGGAATCTTGCCACTCTTAGAACCCTGAAGCACATATCTCTAAACTCATTTAGACTTTCTCATTACTGCTTGCAGCCTGCACTCTCTATTCCTTTATGTTTGTAGCTCAAGGTCCTACAAACCGCTTAGGTTAGGAACAGAGTATATCTTGTAGTGTTTCAGTTTGCCTGATTGAAACAGCCTCTTGCACATGACAGGTTCTCAACTGTCAACAGTGTTGATTAACTGATGGAAGAGTTTCCTCTGAAACCTGGTGAGAGGCAGAGAAAGCCCTCTCAGTCCTCTTCTTCATCCTTGTGATTCATAAGAGGACATGGCCCAAATGGAGAGGGCCATGTTAGCAACATCAGTGAGAGCTGTGGGGAAAACAGCCCTATCTCCTCGGCAGAAGGTCCTCTTATTCACAGGTGCATGCCTCAGGATCATGGAAATTAATAAAATAGTGAATAAGGCAAACAACTAAATCACTTCTGTGCATTCTGAGATATAAATGACTAAGTCCAAGTCGCTTTAAGATCTTAATCTAGTCTGAGGTGAGGTGTATCTTTTTGAACTTTCACCAACACAAACTTTTATTATTAATAATATTATGTAAACCCTTTAAAATGTTTATTCAATTTGTGCACTGTACTCCCTGGCCAACATGTATCAACACTAGGACTAAAACACTCCTCCTCTCTGTGATCTGACCAGAACAGTTCCACCTCCCTGCTTTGGTACTAATCAGGCAAAGTAACATAATATTGGCACCTGAAAACACTTATCCTCACATTTCTGGTACCTCTCTCCTTGGAGGTAACTAGGAAAAAAGTACCCTGTGTAAGGACAGCACAGCAGCTGCTAATCCTCTGCTGCACCTTTGCTGATTCCTCATCTTCATTTTCCCTCTCCCTGAGTGCACCACCTTGTTTTGTCTCCCATAACTCTAACTTCTTCCAGCGAGAAGGTTGCTGTTTACTATAGTTCACTTACCTGTGTCAGAAAATTCAACCTGAGGTTCACGATGATATAACAGTAGGAAAGTAGACTATGAAAGAGATACCTTGGGTAAAGATGGTAAAGAAAGTGAAGTATGTTATTACATAGAAAATAATGAACTAGAGGATTTACCACACTATCATACCATTCAATTATTTCTAATGGCAGAAGAAGAAAAAAAAACCTTCAAAATTCAGAACTGCTAAAAAACCTACTCCTGTCTGCAGCTTATAATTACCTGGTTTCTGATTTGAGAAAAATAGTGTTGTCATGAAAAACATGGAAAAGTATACTTAAATTGATAGAATAGACTGGCTCAAATATATCAATAATCTGTCAGGTGAATGATTAAATAAACACAGAATGTGCATAATATGTACTATTAGCCAATAAAAATATCAAACCTATATGTACAAATTAGAAAAGATATAGACAGAATAAGTGAAAAGGAAGCTATAGAACACAATGTATAAAGGAATCCATGTTTTTTTAATTCTGTGGAAGTATATGTGTGCATATGTATATAAATAAAATACATGTCTACACACATGCATAGCAAAAAAACAAGGAAGACTACACAATAAATTGTCAACAGCAGCTATCTTTGACAAATAGGATTGGATGTCTGTAGAGGCCAGATAGACTTAATTTTTTTACTTGATATGCTTTTGTTTTAAATTAGAGAAGATGATTAGAAAAACATAGTACTACACATGGATATATTTTTCTTTAGTTAAACTGAGGTAAGAATATTAATACATGTCATCAAATGCTCTTACTATCAAAAAGAGTCATACGATTTCACACTGTAGCCTCAGCTACACGAGGAGTATTTTGGGAGCTTTCTCCAGCATCAGTTTTTCTCTCTGTATTCCCATTGGCATATTAACACAATAAAATTATACCATGCATATAAAAAGGATTCCCTTGCTCTCCCATCCTTCCAGCGATCACCGCATTTGTCTGCTCACTTTTTCCTACTTACTTCTCTTCTTCTCTTTAGATCACTCCATGGGGCTTTCATCCCCATCACTTCTCTTGTCCATGTTCCCAGTGGCCAAACCTAATGGACAAACCTAATGGACACTTCCTTGTCCTCTTCCTACTTGGCTGCATAGCGGAGTTTAATACAGGTGACCATTTCCTCACCCTTGAAACACTGTCTTCACTTGGCTTCCATGTTACTACAGACTCTGATTTCCAAACACTGGCAGAAATTTCTGGCCTCCTTTATTCTATCCTCTACCTTTTCCATATTCTCAATAATGGAGGCTTGAGACTCAGCCATCAGACCTCTGTTCTTCTGTATCTTTTTTTTTTTTTTTTTTTTTTTGAGACAGTGCCTCACTCTTTCGCCCAGGCTGGACTGCAGTGGCGCGATCTCGGCTCACTGCCAGCTCTGCCTCCCGGGTTCACGCCATTCTCCTGCCTCAGCCTCCTGAGTAGCTGGGACTACAGGCGCCCGCCACCGCGCCCGGCTAATTTTTTGTATTTTTGGTAGAGACGGGGTTTCACCGTGTTAGCCAGGATGGTCTCGATTTCCTGACTTCGTGATCCGCCCGCCTCGGCCTCCCAAGTGCTGGGATTACAGGCGTGAGCTACCGCGCCTGGCCTGTTCTTCTGTATCTTTATTCACTCCAAACTTCAACCCCATGGCTCTAAATACTGCTGGTCATAGCTTAGAAGAATGCCAGTGGATATAGTAGACAAACCCCCAAGTTACAGTAAATAAACAAATTTACTTCTTATGTAATAGCTCAATGCAGAATTTTTCTCACATATGAACTGTTATTTAGTAAATAACCAGAAATCTTATAACCAAGAGATTTTTGTAGAATCTTTCTCTCTCCCTCTTAAACTTCTACTCCCACTCCAGACACTTGACTTTTTGAGTTATTCCTTGTTAACTGAAGCATCATTACTAGCATCGACACTATGATTATAGAGGCATGTGGTCTCACACGAGCATGTACTTATCAGCAGGCACAAGCTATGTGCATTACATGAAGCTTTGATAGCTGGAGAATTAGACCACACATAAATAAGTAGCTCCACTGGAAAATACATTGTTTGATCAGGGACAGCCAAGTTAGTAGATCAATATATAAAAGCTACTTTAATTCATGGCAAGGCCAAAGCTCTTGTGAATGAATATTCACATCCATCTGATACTCTTACAATTTTGCCAATTTCACAGGTATAAGTGAGAGCAGAAAGAGCACATGAATTTCAAACACATTCATCCGGAAAGCAGAGATTATATAATGTTTAGGAAAAATCACCTGAGTTCAGATGGTATAAATTTAAAAATTAGCTTAGCAGCAGAACAACTATTTAATGACTTTATTTCACTGGATAATAACAATAATAACGATGATAATAGTGAAATTTTTACTGTATGTCAGTCTTCTAGATGCTCTCTATACATTCACACATTTAATCCTTATAACAATTCTAAAATTTAAGGGTACTAAGTCCTCATTAAACAGATGAGGGCTGAGGGACAGAGAGAATACGTGGTTTGTTCAAGGTCTACAAGGTCTGCAGCAAACAACTTGTAGCATCAGGATTTAAACCCAGGCAATCCATCTCCAAAGTGTGCAACACTGCTTCTAGAACATTAGGACCATGAATTTCCAAAAGATAAGAAAGAAGGATTGACATTTATAGAAGTTGTGTGTTACCATTCCTGAACTTTGAAAAATTGATATTTAATACTTATGAACAACACACATTCAGTTATCTGCTATGGAAAAACAAGAAAAATAAAAAATCAGGCCATCTTCTTACTAATGGCAATATTTTAGTTGCTAGGTTAATAAACAACAACAAAACCATCCATTGAAGCCCTCAAATCTATGGAATGCTTAGTCACAAATTAACCACTGAATTCTAGAAAGCTATGGGATGTTTAATCACAGATTAAACCACTGAATCTGAGCATTATTTTAAATATTATTATTAAAACAGCAAAATACAGAATACCACAGTTTTTCTGTCTCAGCTGCAAGGAAAGATTCTATTTACATTTCTATCTCCTTATCAGGGAAAGATTTGATCTAAATTCCTATTTCTGGCAAAGAGTAAAAACAACTATGAGGCAGTAGAGCAGAGTGTTAAGAGAACTGACTGAAATGGAACAATGACCCTCATTCATTAGCCAATGTTGCTGCCACCACCACAAATTCTACAGCCAATGTTGTCACTGAAAGCATTCTCCTCAGGCTTGGTTTTCCTATCTTGAAGAGTGTAAAGAGAAAATAAAAATTTGTTTAATTATTCTTATTTTAATTGTATACTTAAGTCTACAATTGCAATAGCATTCTTGATTAATTGCAACTGTATTCTTATTTTAATTGTAGACTTACTCATTGTAATACTAAGTTATCCTGTTCAGGACAAAGATCAGAGTGGCGGATAGGGTATTCTAATCTAACATACTTTTTGCCCCATTATTTTAAAACTACTTGTCTTACTTTTCTAGAAGGCTTGTTGGTATCCAGTGGATTTCAAGCAAGCCTGTCCCAGCTTTGCTGTGGGCAAGGCCCTGTGATGCAAATCATGGTCTGATCACTCTCAAGTTCAACTGGACCACTTCTGACCTCACCATCACTGGATCTGATATATTAAACACCTCACGCATGACATTTGCTAGGTTCTCATCCAGATGGAGTTAAACTTTGGGTCCTCTCTGAAATATAGAAAAATTTGAAGGGGATACAGACTGAATTGAATATTACTTTCTCACAATAAAGAAAGTTGTCAATAATTCTCAAAAATTTCTAGAAAATACTGAAAAGTAAAAAGAATTTTAAAAGTCATTATTATTGGTTCTGCCAATAAGAAATTATTTCATATGGCTTTTTCAGTCTAGTCAATATACTTGAAATCACACTCTATTTCTATATTTTTCATTATAAATGTAATTTATTTGTATTTTATTTATTTATTTATTTATTTTTTGAGACGGAGTCTCTCTCTCTGTCACCCAGGGTGGAGTGCAGTGGCGCGATCTCGGCTCACTGCAAGCTCCGCCTCCCGGGTTCACGCCATTCTCCTGCCTCAGCCTCTCCGAGTAGCTGGGACTACAGGCGCCCGCCACCACGCCCGGCTAAGTTTTTGTATTTTTAGTAGAAACGGGGTTTCACCGTGGTCTAGATCTCCTGACCTCATGATCCGCCCGCCTCGGCCTCCCAAAGTGCTGGGATTACAAGCGTGAGCCACTGCACCCGGCCTTTATTTTTAGATTACTAAATTTACTTGTTAAAAATATTGGCAATGCCACTATCACATTTCATTATTATACAATATTTTACTTAGTTCTTTCGTTGTTTTTGAACATCTAGTTTACAAGTTTTCATTAGTGTGAATAAAGTTTCAGTGAACATCTTGAATATAACAGTCCTTTTTGATTTATCTTTAGTATTAATGAATAGTGTGGAATTAAATCAGCAAACTAAACATCTTTGCCTTTGTAAGCTTTTGATATGTATTGTAAACATGTGTTAAGAAAGCGTGTGTACCATCATGTATTCTCAATGAGAAGAAACAAAAGTCACCCATCTACCAAAGCATCATCAATTTTATGCATTTCCTTGATTATATGTCGCTGATTTGATAAGTGAATGTGGTATCTCACTTCATGAATTCAAATTATTTTGATTATTCCCAATGAGAAATGATTTTTCATTTTCTATTAGTAATATAACATCTATTTTATTGATCCTTCAGAGAACCTTGTCTAAGATATGTTTACTCAACCCATTCTTTTCTTCCATTTTCTAATTCTTTCATTTCAACTCTAATTTCATAGTTTCATCCTGCCTGTTTCCCTTGAACCTTCTGGGGTTGTTTCTTTTCTAAATCTTTGAAGATCAAAACACAAGATATACTTGTTTTTTTCATGTCAATATTTTATATCTGATCAAATACTTTGAGTGTATTTTTTAATATTTGCAATTTAGATATTTTCAATTTAACTTTTGTTAATCTTTAGTTTATTTCATTCTAGTCATAAAATATGACTTCTATAATTTCTAGTGATTATTTCTGGAAGTACTTCACAAGTGTTATTCACCAACTCCTTATTGAGATAAAAAATAGTCACTCCCATTTTCTCACACCAAATGTTTTTACTTCAGTGTATGTCTTGCTGTTAGTAATTACATATTTCTTAGCTCATTCACTTGCTTATTATGTCTCACCCACTATGCTCTATAAAGATAGAAATCATGATGCCTTCTTTGATCATCACTGTATTTCCAGAACGTAGATATGGTTTTATTTTGGGAATGAGTGAAGTGTGAAAAACATCCAAGGACTGGTAGTGGGAGTAAGGGCTGGGAGAACTAACACACCCAAAAGCTTGCCTCAAGAAAGTCAGTGTTAGCGATGAGTAAGTGATATTGACATTGTTTGTCTTCCACTTGGTTCAGACAAACTAGGGGGAAAGGCAGATGGCTAGAACATCTTCTTATCAACTTTATAACTGGGTGTGCTATTTCATTTCATAAGGCAAATTGTGCATAGGTCATGGACTGATTTTGTTGTTTGCTTTTTCTCTCTTTGTGTGTGTTGTTGATGATGATGTTTTGTTTTGTTGCTCTTTTTTCCTTTTTTTATGTTCTCCAGCCTATAAACCTTCCTTTTAAGACTGGCAATCAGTAACTGTACTGTAAATGGGGGAATAAATTCCACTTATGGGGATTTTAAGGATCATTCCAACCCAGCCGCAGAAATTATACTCAGGGAGGCATAGGAAATTAAAAGATTTATTATATTTGCAAGTCCTAGAGAGAGAGGCAAGGCACACCACACTAGCAGCTATATGGGAGGAGCTCCAAGGGAGCAGGATCAACTAAGCAGGAAGCAGATGGAGAGCTTAGAGAGTCAGTGAGGACCCGAGGGCAAGTGCCTTTATTGAGTGTTGGGATGAAGTACAAGCAAAAAGCAGGAGGGGATTTTATTTTTGTGTTTGAATGACGCTAGGTCATGGGGAGGCCAAGATAAGGAATTTGTGGCAGGGACCAACCTTATCAACAGATGTACCTAGTTGTCTGACAGAGAGCTCACAGCCTGTTTGTGGGGATACTGAGGAATCAGGAATACAAGAAGTTATAAAAATTTACAATACAGTAACCTGTGATAATAGGTTATTGATGGCAAATTTTTAAAAAATTTTGGTACATTTTTCATCAGTTTTCAAGGGTTCTTAAATATTTCGATTCAGAATTCCCTGTTTTATTTTGAAATCTGGGTGTTACTTCTTAGACTTCAAGTTTTTATGCTGTTGGAGTAAGATTTAAGTTAATGCATTTGTTCTCTCATAAACACACATCAGTGAAAGCACTCTGTTGTCTCTTTATTCAACAGCTTCCACAAGCATATTATTATCTACAAAAATTGGAAAACTCATTTAATTTGACCTGTGAAAAATTTTCTACAGTGGATGAGGTGTCATTTCTTGTTATCACCCTTTATTTGTGACGTGCTTCTGGGAATAAGTTGACCTAGGAATATAATTTTCAAACCTCTCTTCAAAGAATCACTGCAATTACTAATAATAATGACAAAACAAGCCTCTGAATGATAGACTTGTTTCCTAATGGCACATATTTCTTGTTATGCAGATTGATATTATCATCTTTCCTAAAGAATTATCACTGAGCTTCAAGATCCATCATAAGCATCACTCCTCTGGTTTCCATCTCCCTAAAGTAGAATATGTGTCCCCTCGCCTGTTCTCCCATCAAAAACTATTTATTTTTTTTCATGTAACTATTTTTTTTTTTTACATTAGACTGTAATTACTTGTTCACCTGTCAATCTCCCCAAGAAAATTTTGAACTCCTTGATAACAAGTCTTCATATAGCCCCGGTGCTTACCATAGCGCCTAGTACATAGCAGCACTCAATAAATATTAGTAATACATGGGTAAAGGAAAAAAGAACAGAAGGATAAAAGAAGGAGAGGGAAAGGGATGAAAAGTAGGTTGACTATAGAAATAGTCAGAATCAAAGTTTGATATTATAAGCATAGGAGTGTGTGTGTACACATGTGTATGTCACATGTGTGCATGTTTTTTGGCAAATAGGAATGATATCATATGCAACAAATTAAAATCATAAAAATATTGATGCTTGCTCAGTCTTCTCAAGCTATATTGTAGAGGTTTGAATCCTCATTAAAATATTTTCGTCCCTTCTAGAGAAGCAAGTTTTTACGATATCTGCCTCACTACTGTACCTTATTTGCTTTCTTTTTTATCTCATCATCAACCCTCTGAAGAAATGAGTAACACTGAATGCATGTTTTGTAAGTGCATGATAAATATCCGCTGAATAAATCCATGAGTGAATGAATGAATACCTAACAATGAAAGAATACCTAAAGCATAAAGTTAAAAATAAGATCTGGTTTTCCTACTCAGAATTTTAAAAATGTGCTTGAAATACGTTTATTCCTTAGTGAAGTGATGGTTGATGTTTCAGTAGTGAGGATTGATTTTCTAAAACTTTGTTAATTCACAGTAATTGTCCTTTATGTTCAAAGTAGAGGCTGTTGACAGCCATGTCCTGGTCTACTCTAGACTAATAACTTTCTAGTCACTGGTTTGGCTTTGCTGTCTAAAAAGCAAAAGCTTGGTTAATCAGCAAATGCGAATAGTACTGGATTGACTCTACCAAATTAGATTTTGTTGACCTGCCAAAGTGAATTTATCATTAGCATTTATTAGGTATACACACACACCAAAAACAATTGCTCTAATGGGCTTTAGCATTCCAGATTGTTCATGGTATCCTCTTTTCACTCAACTATAGTGTAACTGAAAAAAACAAAACTTTAGAATTGAATGCCTGTGAACATATTTCAGCTCTTCACCTTTCAACTGTAGGCTCTGTGAATACTATTTAACCTACCTAAGCCTCAATATTCCAGTATATAAAATGGTAATAATAATGCTTTTGTTATAGTATTATTATGACAATCAAAGTAGATCATGGAAAAGCCTGCTTGATTTGTATCTTATAACATGCCTAGTGTCTGTTAGATACTTGGGAAATCTTTTTAAGCAGAATTATTTAGGATTAATTTAGGACTACTATCAAAACAGTTTTGAAGTTAGAGAAGGTGTTCTGGCTAGATTCATGAATTCACTTATTCAGTATACATTTATTGGGAGAACTTTGAAAGACCCGTACAGTTGACCCTTGAACAACATGGGTTTGAACTAACCAGGTCCACTTGTACACAGATTTTCTTCCACCTCTGCCACCCCTGAGACAGCAAGATCAACTCCTCCCCTTCTTCCTGCCCCTCAGCCTACTCAATGTGAAGACAATGAGAATGAAGACCTTTATGATGATCCACCTCCACTTAATGAATAGTAAATATATTTTATCTTCCTGATTATTTAATAACATTTTCTTTTCTGCAGCTTACATTATTGTAATAATATAATATGAAATATACATAACAGAAAAATATGTGTAAATTGACCATTCCTGTTACTAGTAAGGCATCTGGTCAACTGTAGGCTATTAATAGTTAAGTTTTGGGGGAGTCAACAGTTAAACAAGAATTTTCAACTACACAAGAGGTCTGTGTCCCTAACCTCAGGTTGCTCAAGGGTCAACTGTGTAAACACTGAGATATTATCTCTGTCGTCAAATGGGTTATGATCCACTTAAGGAGATAAAATACATGCATGTGTGACTAAAATACTACATAAGATATGATAAAATTAGATTTTAAAAATTGTTTTCTGCAGCTATATAAAAATATCTTCCCCAAATTAGTCTATTTGAACAACTGACTAAAATTACTCGTATATATATATTTTTTCTTTTTGAGACGGAGTCTCACTCTGTCGCACAGGCTGGAGCACAGTGACACGATCTCGGCTCACTGCAACCTCTGCCTCCCAGGTTCAAGCAATTCTCCTGCCTCAGTTTCCCAAGTAGCTGGAATTACAGATGCCTGCCACCATGCCTGGCTAACTTTTTTGTATTTTTAGTAGAAATGGAGTTTCACCATGTTGGCCTGGCTGGTTTCAAACTCCTGACCTCAGGTGATCTGCCAGCCTCTGCCTCCCAAAGTGCTAGGATTACAGGTATGAGCCACCACTCCAGGCCACTCATATCATTTTTTAAACACACATTGTCACTCTAATTACTATCAAAATTGACTTCCCAAGTTATGCTAAGAGCTACTATATTATTTCCCATTGTAATAACAATCTTCCTTTATATAATTGGTATTTTTTGCGGCTATTTAAAAAGCCAGAATTTGTAAGGGTATTCTCAACAGCTTCATTTGGTTAGTAAAGACGCTTCTAATTCATAAGACAAGCACTACTGTAACAGCAATTAAAAAGGTATCTAAGTGGTCTTTGTGTGTGTGTGTGTGTGTGCATGTGTGCTTCCCCAGAGTCAAAGGAATTCCATGATTCATGGAGGAAAGAGATACATGTTAGTGCTGGGATATCAGGCAATGACTTGGAAACTAGGCCTTTTGTTACTGAAATAAATGAAAGAAAAACTAAAATGGAATGAATGGTGAAAAATAAAGATGAATGGAGGCCGGGTGTGGTGGCTCATACCTGTATTCCCAGCTCTTTGGGAGGCCAAGGCAAGTGGATCACTTAAGTTCAGGAGTTCAAGACCAGCCTGGCCAACATGGTAAAACCCCGTCTCTACTAAAAAAAAAAAAAAAAAAAATACAAAAATTAGCCAGGTGTGGTGCCACACACCTGTAATCCCAGCTACATGGGGAGGTTGAGGCAGGAGAATGGCTTGAACCTGGCAAGCGGAGTTGCAGTGAATCGAGATTATGCCACTGCACTCCAGCCCAGCATTGCACTCCAGTCTGGGTGACAGAGTGAGATTCTGTCTCAAAAAAATGAATAAAATAAAATAAAAAAGATGAATGGAGGCATGAGGGTGATGGATAAACTAAGAATGAATAGACAGTAGTGTAGTAGTATCAGCTGAAAGCACACATGTGATTGCTAAATGTGTGAACTCAGATCTGAGAGCTTAAGGCATACTGAAATATGCTTTGAGCTTTATATAGGAATGCCAATGTGCCACATTAAAATTTTGAACTTCTATAAGACCCGAATGATTGTCCCCAAAAGATTGCTTCATGCCTTAGTCGTGTCACTATTATTTACAGGTATTTTACTAAATTCTGTACTAAGTATGAGGAGTTGGGCGCGGTGGCTCACGCCTGTAATCCCAGCACTTTGGGAGGCTGAGGCAGGCGGATCACGAGATCAGGAGATCGAGACCATCCTGGCTAACACGGTGAGACCCCGTCTCTACTAAAAATACAAAAAATTAGCCGGGCGTGGCGGCGGGCGCCTGTAGTCCCAGCTGCTCAGGAGGCTGAGGCAGAAGAATGGCGTGAACCCGGGAGGCGGAGCTTGCAGTGAGCCGAGATTGCGCCACTGCACTCCAGGCTGGGCGACAGACCGAGACTCCGTCTCAAAAAAAAAAAAAAAAAAAAAAAAGGGAGTCATATTTATCACTATTAACTAAGCAACTAAAAGTTTTGCTATTACGTATTGGGTTTTTTTCTAAAACGAATACTGTGTAATTTCTGCTTCTTAGGAAGAAACTAGACTATTATTAATCTGTGACAAGCTCTCATGCTTCACTGAGGAGTGTAATATTTTAGTTATTCTCTTTACCATTCCCCAAAATGCCACTCACTAGCTCTGTGAATTCATGCAAGTTATTCAGCTTCACTGAGCCTCTGTGTCTTTTCTGCAAAATGTTAAAAAATCTGTGATTTTAAGTTTGAGATAATATATATAACTCAGGGAATATTACATACATATCATTATTATTAATATTACTACTTTTTGCTGTTTCTTTTCTCTCATTGTGGTAAGAGCACTTAACATGAGATTTTTCTCTCAACAAATTGTTTGTGTACATTATTATTGACTACATGCACAGTGTTGTACAGCAGATCCCCAAAGCTTATTACCTTGCTTGACTTATAATGCCCATTGATTAGTAACTCCCCATTTCTCCTTCCCCCTTGTTTGCCATTTCTTTACCCTTTGCTTCACTTACCATTAGAAACAGCTGTCTGACCACTCTCTACAACTTTGGAGGATATCATGCTGCATATAATTATAAACCAGAGTTCTAGAGGAAAGCACTTTACAAATTGTAAAGTTCAATAAAACGCAAAAAAAAATGAGAAATAAACTTCTTAATAAATTTTACTACACCCGGTACTCTACAATAAATAAAAATTTAAATCAATATCTTCTCCCACACACAAAAAATAAATAAATCTATGGAAGTGATCACACGCTCAAGCATGGAAAGACAAAATCAACCCTTTGCACTAATCTAATCCAAGTTATAAAGCCAAAATACACAATCTCTAATCTAGAGGGACAGTAGCAAGTAATTTCAAGTTATAAAAAAGTTAGTTAGCTCTAAGCAAAGGAAAAGATAGCTTTAGATGCCAAAAAAAGTAAAATAAAATGAATAGAGAACAATTTTGATGAAATGCTTACTTTTTTATAATAAACAGAGAAAGAACCGTTCTAGGATTGAAAGAAAGTATTTTTATTTGTGTGATGTCTACAAATGTGTTTAATGATACTGAACACCTTAATTGTGGATAGTTCCCTCAGAGAATCAATAGATTTTCCTGTACATACATTATCAAAAGACATGTTTGCCTTTTAATAGGAGTTGATACAGATGGAGGTATATTCCTCCCATAATATTATGAGGAGCTTTTTGGCTTTATTTCTCTTTTACCATTATATAAGCCTGTGCACTGAAAGGCAGCATTAGACAAGGTGCAGCCATATTGCTAAGAAGCTAAAATATATGCTATTATTGCCCACCAACTTTATTTTTATATATATATATATAGAGAGAGAGAGAGAGAGAAAGAAGAGAGCTTGAAGCAAGCATATTAACAAAAAAAATAATAAAACATAACAAACACTGCTACTGTCTCTGAAAGGGAAGCACAGCATGTGCTGTGGAGCAGCACGAAACAAACAAATCCTCTGAAAACAAGGAACTCTTCCCAAGAAATATTAACACACAACATTCAGATATACAACATAAACAAGAAAATACGACAAAGAGATCATCTGTATTCTGATCACCAAGAGTGGCTAAAAGCTCACTTAATTGGTCTCATTTCAAAGGGCTTCTCCTCCAGAGCACATATGGATGCAATGATTACCTGTTATATCAGTACTGCTTTTAGGACAGGGCAATTTCCTATGAGCACAAGAGCTGCCTCTCAGGGGCATGCCTCATTCCCCCACCACAGGTTCTGCCTCCCCACTGCCTCTCCTCCATTGTACTACCTAGAAATAGCTGCTCTCTACCACTGAGGAAGTAAAAGAGATATTAATAAGTTTCAACCAAGGCCTCACAATCTCCTCTCCTCTACTCAGAAGAGGGCTGCAAGAGCAAGAGTCATCAGAGAGAGAACGAAGCAGCAGCAGCAAAAAAATAAGATTCCTAACTGTGCTGACTTACACTCCTCTCTGCAAGGAACTGAGGAAATAATATTCAAAGAGGAAACTGTGGCTTCTATTTAGGAATGCACCTAAATGCACCTTAGCAGAACCTTATTCCAAAAAGAGGACTTGCCCTTGAGTGCATACACCAATAACCTCCAAGAAGAAATGGTTACGGTTTGCAACACTGAATACAATGGGTAGTATCCATTTTGTCACTTATATCATTCCTAATTCTGTTACTGGGCATTGTACACCTCTGGGGAAAGCAGGGGCACATACATACAAAACACTGTGAGAAAATGGTTCCCATTCTTATGAGTGTAATTCCTATTATAGAGATGCTGTCATTATTGCATTATGTTAAAAAACATACAATTGGGTCTGTCATGAAACAGACATAATTCACAGTAACAACAGCTAGTTCTCATTTTCATTCATTCATTAAAAATTATAACATTTATTGAGAGTCTTCCATGTGCCAGAATGTCAGAATCTATTACTGATATTGTTCAGCTCTGGGTAAAACACATGCATGTACTCACATATAAACGCCTGTGAGACAATGCCCTCCTGTATTATATTTATATAGTTCCTATTATACAAATGCTAGCATTATTCTAACATATTAGAAATAGACATATCTGGGTCTGTCAACATAAAGATATAATTCATTGTGAAGAGAACCAGATCATTCATTCATTCATTCATTCATTTATTTATTCAGAACTATTTACAGAGAGCCTTTGATCAGCCCAGAGCAGCATGTGTTCCTAGAGAATACAATATACAAGGTCAAAAAGAGTCTCCACTTTCATGGAGCTAACAGTGCAGAGATAGTCAGAAATTAAATCAGCACTGCTATTCATGAGGGTAAGTGCTCAGAGGGAGGAAGTGAAGGGCACCATGGCAACACCTAGGTGGGTGAGGGTGAGTCCGGAATGACTTCCCTATGCAATGGATATCCGGTTTAACAGGCAGATGGGTTAGGTTCCAGCAAAGGGAGAAGCACATGCAAAAGCCCTAAGCTAGGACAAAGAGAGTGATATTTTTAAGGAATAGAGAATGTAGGAAGGCAGCATTAAAAAGTGATCAGAAATGAGGCACAACACATCAGCGGGGGTCAGATTAAAAATTACCCCTTGATATGGTGTGTGAATTTTATCTCAAGGGCTACTGGACTAAAGGAAGTATTCTAATCAGGTGAATTACAAGAGCAGATTGGCGGTGCAAGCAGGTAATAAATTTGAAGAAGCTGACCCTGGAATGAAAGAGATCTGGTGTGAAGAGTCTTAACATATCTATTTAGTGTCAGTAAACGCGGGTGGCTTGAGCTTGAGTAGTTATAGCAAGAAAACTAGAAGTCTTTGGAGAGGCAACTAGATGGCCAAATCAGCAGAGCATGGGAAAATATGCACACAGAATATAAAGGGGGAGGAGAGTCAATGTTGTTACCCATAGGAATTGGAAACTGGAAGAATGGTGAGATCAATTAATGAGAAAGTAACACAAGAGGAGATGTAGGTTTAGCGGTCCAAGACAGATAGGCTGTATTTTAAAGTTGTTGAATGAGGATGCCTACAAGACTTCTAAATAAAGATATCCAAAAATCAAGCAGTTATGTGGGTCTGGAGTTCAAAAAAGAGTCTAGGCTCGAGATATAAATTTGAGAGCAATCAGCACTTATCAAGTATGTGATATCACATAGGGAGAGTGTGTAAAGCAAAAGAGAAAAAAAAGACGACTAAAGAACATGAATGTTTTCAAGACAAGAGATAACCACAGAGGCAATGGGAAGTAGTTTTAGAGAAACCAAGAAAAAACTGTTTCCAAAAAAGAGAAGTAATTTGTATTATCAATTGCTGTTGAGCTACCAAGAAAAATGAGGACTAAATATGTCCACCCTAAAATAAGAAATATCTAATGTCTGTAGAATCAGTTCCAGGGAGTGGTTACATATAAGCCAGACAAAAATGAGTTAAGGGGTAAGCTAAAAATAGAGACATGACAGTGACTTCTTTTATCAGATGTTTACAGCAAAAGGTATTTTTTCTGAGACAAGATATTGGAACTATAAAATTAAGCTAGGTAAGAAGTAGATACTCTTCTTGATAAGGACTCTGGCTCTTATCTTTGAAAGTATTCTCCATAGATATCTTGCATTTCTGTGTTAAAAGTAGAGGCACTGACTGCCCTGTTCTTAGACATTCTTCAAGGATGTTTGTATAGCAAACATCCTTGAATAATAGAAAGAATATCCCTCTTCACAGAAAATGGCAGCCATGCTTAATGACCATTAAAAGATATTTGGGTTTCCTAAAGTCAGGGTTTCTCTTGTGTAATATAATACACATCATATGCAGGTATCACCTGGCTCTCTTTACATCTCCTTGTGGAAACTGGGGTTCAAGGATCTGGCACAAAAAACACTGTTACCCTGGGTACTGCTATTACTATGAGTAATACAAACTCCTGTCCAAGAAGACTCAGGTCTTCTGCCAACATCCAAGAAACTGTTTGCTTACAAGTAAGTTAAAATCTGATTCTTCACAGTTCTTCACATTTTGACCATTTGCACCATTGTCCTGGCATTGCTCAGATCTTGGACTTTTCATGACTAATGCCACCTAAAAAGCCAGAGTTAAAAGTGCCACTGTAAAGAGAAAGGGCATACTGTTTTATGTACTATTCTCTCAAATATATATCGTCAATTCCAATGGAAGCAGCAGTATAAATTAGAAAAATGAGACTGCATCCTGCACACTACTGACAAGCTTACAGGGTAATATTTCTTAATTCTGCATTTGGCCACATCACTTAGAGTGCATATTTCTTGCTTGTGTTCACTCCACATACATACACACAGTAAGAACTGCAGTGCTGCCACTTTTATGCCAGGTTACCTATATGACACAGACATATGATTTTGGTAATAATTTCTGAATGATGATGTTCTTTGGAAATGCATTGTAATTTTTTAAATAATGATGTCTAATGTAAAGATGTTTATTTTTTAAAAAAATTAAAATGTAACAGTCTCCTCCTCAAAAATCCTATAGAACCCAACTATGCCTTGAGTGAAATACTGACCGGGTGAATTAAGCATGGCTTGAATTGATGTCATTTATGCTAGCTGAGAGCCTAGTTAGTTAAAGTCATCTAATAAGTCTTCTCTTGGTAAATTAAAATCCCTCAATAGCTTTTAATAGATTGAGTTCCCTTAAATAAGTATAGACTCTACCAAGCTCAAAATTACAGAAAATAAACAGGTCATGTTGACCTGAATTGTATTAAATGTTCAGCAAACAAAATGCCATGAAAACAAAATATAGCAAAACACACCCCGCCACATACACACACCCACACACAAACACACAGAGAGAGAGCAAGAGAGAGAAAAGTGGTATGTGTATATATTTAGCTCAATAGAACATAATAATTAGAAGAAACTAGTTGAGTTTAAATCATAAAGAGCAGATATTACCAGGAAAAAACTAATAAGAAAGATATTTCTATTTTTTGATGTCTATTGAGATCATCATTATGCAGATGTTCTCTATCGGATAGGGCTTGTATCAGGTTTGACAAGGAGAGATGAGCTATCTAGTAAATACTTCATACTAAGAGTAGGATGGAACATTTAAAAAATCATATTAAGCTCCTAGAAACCCTGTGTGTCATCATTGCCAGAAGCATTATGTCCTGAATAAGTAAATCTTCAAACACAGGTTTGACTAAAGTTAATGCAAACATCCCTCCAAGGAGATGTCACAGCTCAGGAGCTGACACAACCAGGAAACAAAAGATTTTCAGTTCTTATTATTACAAATGCTCTTTTTGGAATACAGTAGTTAAATACCATAAATTTCTACTCAATAGAGAGTCCAGGCAGATTCTATAAGTATTGAGAATATCACAACCCTGGGTTATTATTAATGACTATCTGAATAGACTATAGCATTTAACAAACGATATTGCCAAAATAATTACTCATGTTAACATTTTATAGCTTCCATTTATTATAAATATGCTATTATGTCAGTAGGTGAAAATTTGTATAGGTAATCAAATGTCACCTCTTAAAATGCCCTCAGCTCTTTCTAAACTCCAATATAGTATCTTCCAAATAAATTGATCACTATAAGAAATACTTAATGATCACACTTAAGGCAGGTAACATGTTGAAAACTGATTCCAGAGATCGAATAGGTTATTGAGAAAGTAATAGCTCTACTGGCATCTCTTTTAGAAAATTATTGGCTTCAGTTCACAAAACGCAGAGAAAAGGGTAACCTAAGGATGACATTGATAGAAGCTTCCATTCCATTTCACCTGTGACAGTCTCAAGTGGTCCAATTATCTAGTATGTGTGTGCCAAGAAGTTAAAATCTCTACCTTGTTGGATTGAAGGGAAAAGCAAAGTGGCCAGCTTCTGCTTCAGCTGAAAGTATAGTCTGAAGAATCACACCAAAACTATTAAGCTTCCTAAGTGTATTCTCTAAGTAGCTGAGAATTCCAATTTGTTTCTTCCCACTTTGTCCATCTGTTTCACCATCTTTTCATCAGATAGCACTATTCTGAGTAATGGCCAAATGTCACTGGGTTCACCCATTTGCATTGCTATAAAGGAATACCTGAGGCTGGGTAGTTTATAAAGAAAAGTGTGTTATTTGGCATATGGTTCTGCAGGCTGTACAGGCACAGCATCAGCATCTGCTCAGCTTCCAGTGAAGCCTCAGGAAACTTACACTCATGATGAGACATAAAGGGGTAGCCACTGTATTACATAGTGAGAGAGGGAGAGGGAGAAAGAGAGAGAGAGAGGAGGTGCTAGGCTCTTTTAAACAACTACCTCTCACATGAACTAACAGAGCAAGGACATACTCATAACAGAGGGGAAGACACAAAACTATTCATGAGGGATCCCCCATGCTCAAACAATCCCTACCAGGTCCTACCTCCAACATTGGGGATTACATTCCAATATGAGATTTGGAAGGGACAAATATCCAAACTATACTATTTTATCCCTGATCTCTCAAATCTCCTGAGCTTCCCACATTGCAAAATACAATCATTTCTTCCCAATAGTTTGTCAAAGTTTTAACTCATTCCATTCTAGCATTAACTCAAAATTCCAAAGTCCCATCGGAGACTCAAGGCACCTTCCTTTTATCTTTGAGCCTGTAAAATCAAAACCAAGTTATTTACTTCCAAGATACAATGATGGTACGGGAAGTGGGTAAACACTCCTCTTTTAAAAGAGAGAAATTGGCCAAAATGGCAACACATGACCCCACGCATGTCCAAAGGCCCCACGCATGTCCAAAACCAACCAGGAAAGACATTAAATCTTAAAGCTAAAAAAGTCATTAAAATATATTAAATCTTAAAGCTAAAAAATAATCTTTGACTCCATGTCATGCATCCTGGGCACACTGGTGCAAGGAGTGGGCTCCCAAAACCTTGGGTAAACCTCCCCCTGTAGCTTCCCTGGGCACAGCCTATGTGGTAGCTCTTATGGGTTGGAGTTGAGTACTTGTGAATTTTCCAGGCTCAGGGTGCAAGCTCCCAGTGACTCTGCCATTCAGGAATCTGGAGGAGAGTGACTCCATTCCCTCAGCTCCACTAGCCCACATTTGGGACTCTGTGTGGAAGCTCCAATCCTACATTTCCCTTTGGCACTTCCCTAGTAGAGTCTCTCTGTGAGAATTCTACCCCTCTTGCAGGCTTCTTCCTGGGAACCTTGGCTTTCCCATATGTATTAGTCCATTTTCACACTGCCGATAAAGACATATCTGAAACTGGGCAATTTACAAACAAAAGAGGTTTAATGGACTTATAGTTCCACGTGGCTGGAAGGCCTCACGATCATGGCGAAAGGTTAAAGGCACATGTCAAATGGTGGCAGACAAGAGAAGAGAGCTTGTGTGGGGAGACTTCCCTATTTAAAACCATCAGATCTCATGAGACTTATTCACCATCATGAGAACAGCATGGGAAAGGACTGCCCCTATGATTCAATTACCTCCCACAGAGTCCCTCCCAGAACACATGAGAATTGAAAATGAGATTTGGGTGGGAACACAACCAAACCATATCATTCTGCCCCTGGCCCCTCCCAAATCTCATGTCCTCACATTTCAAAACCAATAATACCTCCCCAACAGTCCCCCAAAGTCTTATTTCTGCATTAACTCAAAAGTCTACAGTCCAAAATCTCATCCAAGACAAGGCAACTCCCTTCCGCCTATAAGCCTGTAAAATCAAAAGCAATTTAATTACTTCCTAGATATGATAGGGATACAGGCATTGGGTAAATACAGCCATTCCAAATGGAAGAAATTGGCCTCATGAAAGTCTGAAATCCAGCTGAGCAGTCATATCTTAAAGTTCCAAAATGATCCCCGTTGACACCACGTCTCACATCCAGGTCATGCTGATGCAAGCGGTGGGCTCCCATGCTTTGGACAGCTCCACCCCTGTGGCTTTGCAGGATACAGCCCCCCTCCTGGCTGTTCTCACAAGCTGGCATTGAGTGTCTGCAGCTTTTCCAGGCACATGGTGCAAGCTGTTGGTGGATCTACCATTCTGGGTCTGGAGGATGGAAAATAGTGGCCCCCTTCTCACAACTCCTCTAGGCAGTGCCCCAGTAGGGACTCTGTGTGGAAGCTCCAACCCCACATTTCCCTTCTGCACTGCCTGAGCAGAGGTTCTTCATGAGGGCCCCACCCTTGCAGCAAACTTCTGCCTGGACATCAAAGTGTCTCCATCCAGCCTCTAAAATCTAGACAGAGGTTCCTGAACCTCAATTCTTGACTTCTGTGCACCTGCAGGCTCAACACCACGTGGAAGCTGCCAAGGCTTGGGGCTTCCACCCTCTGAAGCAACAGCCTGAGCTCTACCTTGGTCCCCTTTAGTTATGGCTAGAGAAGCTGGGATGCAGGGCACCAAGTCCCTAGACTGCACACAGCAGAGGGACCCTGGGCTTGGCCCAGAAAACCATTTTTTCCTCCTAAACCTCTGGGCTTGTGACAGGAGGTCTGCCACAAAGGTCTCTGACATGCCCTGGAGACATTTTCCCGATTGTCTTGGTGATTCACATTCAGCTCCTGTTGCTTATGCAAATTTCTGCAGCTGGCTTGAGTTTCTCCTCAGAAAATGGGATTTTCTTTCTATCGCACTGTCAGGCTGCAAACTTTCCAAACTTTTATGCTGTGTTTCTCTTTTAAAACTGAATGCCTTTAGCAGCACCCAAGTCACCTCTTGAATTTGTGCTGCTTAGAAATATCTTCTGCCAGATACCCTAAATGATCTCTCTCAAGTTCAAACTTCCGCAGATCTCTAGGGCAGGGGCAAAATGCCACCAGTCTCTTCACCAAAACATAACAAGAGTCATCTTTACTCCAGTTTCCAACAAGTTCCTCATCTCCATCTGAGGCCACCTCAGCCTGGATTTCATTGTCCATATCATTATCAGTATTTTGGTTAAAGCCATTCAACAAGTCTCTAGGAAGTTCCAAACTTTCCCACATCTTCCGGTTTTCTTCTGAGCCCTCCTAATGGATCCAACCTCTGCCTGTTACCCAGTTACAAAGTCACTTCCACATTTTTGGGTATCTTTTCAGCAGCACCCACTTCTGATACCAATTTACTCTATTAGTTTGTTTTCACACTGCTTATAGAGACATACTGAGACTGGGCAACTCACAAAATAAGTTTAATGGACTTATAGTTCCATGTGGCTGGGAGGCCTCACAATCGTGGCAGAAGGTGAAAGGTGCATCTCAAATGGTGGCAGACAAGAGAAGAGAGTTTGTGCAGGAAAACTCCCCTTTTTAAAACCATCAGGTCTCATGAGACTTATTCACAATCATGAGAACAGCACAGAAAAGACCTGCTCCCGTGATTAAGTTACCTCCCATGGGGTTCCTACCATAACATATGATAATTCAAGATGAGATTTGGGTGGGGACAGAGCCAAACCATATCATCATACATTTTCTGAAATCTACAGAAGATGCCAAGCTTCTTCACTATTGCATTCTGAGACACACAGACTTAACACCACATTATATTCATCAAGGCTTATGGCTTGTGCCTTCTGAAGCAGTGGTGCACTGCTTCAGTGGTGCATAGCAAAATTTCTATGCTTGGGGCTCTTTGAGCCATGGCTAAAGCAGCAGGGATACAGGGAGCAGTGTCCTGAAGCTACTCAAGGCAACAGGGCCCTGAGCCTGGCCCACTAAACCATTCTTTCCTCCTAGGCCTCTGGACCTGCGATGGGAAAGGGAGCCTGAAATGTTTCTGAAATGCCTTCAAGGCCTTTGTCCCATTGTCTTGCCTGTTAGCACTCAGCTCTCTTTTAGTCACGCAAATCTCTCCACCAAATGGTTGCTTCACAGCTTCCTTGTATTCCTCTCCTGAAAAGTCTCCTTCTGTCTCTACTACATTCCCAATCTGCAAATTTTTCAAATTTGTACATTCTGCTTCCCTTTTAAATATTTTCCAGATTTGTCATCTTTTTGCTTCCATATCTGATCTAGGAAGTTAGAAACAGCCAGACCACCTCTTGAATGCTTTACTGCTTAAAAATTTCTTCTGCCACATACCCTGCAGAATCACTCTTAAATTCAGTCTTCCAGAGTACTAGGACATAGACACAGTGCAGCCAAGTTCTTTGCTAAGGCATAACAAGGGTGACTTTTGCTCCAGTTCCCAATAAGTTCCTTATTTCCATCTGAGACCTCCTCGGCCTGGCCTTCACTGTCTATATTTCAATAAGCAGTTTGGTCACAACTACTTACCTAGTCTGTGAAAAGTTCCAAACTTTCTTTCATTTTATTGTCTTCTGCTGAACCCTTCAAACTCTTCAAACCCCTGTCTATTATCCAGTTCCAAAGCCACTCTCATATTTTCAGGTACCTTTATAGCAATGTCCCACTCCTAGGTACCAATTTTCTGTGATAGTTCATTTGTGTTGTTATAAAGTTCATTTGTGTTCCTATACTCACAAATAACTCAGGCTCACAGCTCAGCAGGCTCTACAGGCATGGAACCAGCATCTGCTTGGCTTCTGGTTAGTACTAAAGAAGCTTAAATCATGGGGGAAGGCAAAGGGGAATCTGCTGTGTCATGTGGTGAAACAGGAAGCTAGATAGAGAGAAAGAGAGATGGAGAGAGGAGGTGCCAGTTTCTTTTATACAACCAGCTCTCATGTGACCTAATAGAGGAAGAACTCACTAATACCCACGGAAAGGGCAGCAAGCCATTCATGAGAGATCTTCCCCCATGGCCCAAACATCTCCCATAAGGCCCCACCTTCAACACTGGGAATCATATTTCAACTTGAGATTTGGAGGGGACAAATTTCCAAACCATCTCATTCACCAACCCAGGACCAGCTATCAGAAAGCTGCTATAGTTTACTATTGTACATTAATAAAAGTTGTGTGTGTATGCGTGTGTATGTGTGTGTACATGTGGTATTTGCTACCATGGCATGGGTTTGGTGGTGTACACAAAGAGGAAGAATGACAAACAAAATCTTTTTATAAGTATAGAGAAAAGTTTATGGGGAGCTGCTTAACATGCCTGATGGAGAATCTCATAATTTTAAGCCTGAAAAATGTCTTGGATGAATCATTCAGCCTATGCTCATCACATCTTCCTCCAATTATAGTTATATATATATCCATGTCTTTAAATCTTCAGAAAATAACCCTCAATCATCCCATTATGATGTTTCACAAGTACTGAAAAACAAACATTTTTATCCCAAATTCTAAAATCCTTCTCTGCTACTTTATATGCATACCCCCTTTTCCTGATCTCCAGAAAAACAGAAACAAAATCATCATTACCTTTTGTATAGTAACTAATATATCTAAGTTATCACCAACACAGAGAGACAATATAATAAAAAGTAAACTGGAGGTAAAGGTTAAAAAAAAAAGTTGAATTTATTCACAGATTCAATAGCTGCTAAGAGAACCTGGACAGTGACAACCTAACTGAACCTTATTTTCTCAACTGTCACTTGGGGCTACTAAAATGTCTGTTAGTTATTATAAAGAGATGTGATTTCAAATGAGGCAGTAGAAGTGGCAAAGTTTCTAAGGTCCTATAAAACTTGTAATCTTCCAGCATAGCAACTGCAGCATTATTCCAACCAAACATGCGTTTTTCATCTGCATAATTGTATTAAAATTTCTTCCTTATAAAGTTGTTTTTTAAATTTTATCTATGGAACAAAATATAAAGCAACTAATTCAGAGGGGCTGAGCAAGATGGCTGAAGTCTCCACAGACTATCATACCCCACCCTCACCACCACAGGAACACAAAAAATTTAAGAACTATCTACACACACACATACACACACACACACACACACACACACACACACACACACACAAATATACCTTTATAAAAATCAAAATCAGATGAGCAATCACGGTACCTGGTTTTAACTTCATATTGCTGAAAGAAGCAATGAAGACAGTAAGAAAGACAGTCTTCAACTGCTGATACTACCACTCTCCTATCACCCAGCAGCACCCGCATGGTACAGAGACAGAATCTGTGTGCTTGGGGGAGGAAAAGTGTAGCAATTGGGAGACTTTGCATTAAACTAATTGCTGTCCTGTCACAGCAGAAAGCAAAACTGGGCTGAACTCAGCTGACACCAGCTCATGTACAGAGCATTTAGTACAGCCCAAATGAGAGGGGAATCACCTATCCCAGCAGCCAGAAGCTGAGTTCCACCAAACCTTGGAACTGCAGGCTAAAGTGCTCTGGGGTTCTAAAGAAACTTGAAAGACAGTCTAGGCCAACAAGACTGCAACTCCAAGGCAAGTCCTAGTGCTATGCTGGGCTTACGGCCAGTGGACTTGCATGGCATGTGACCTAGGGAGACACCAGCTGAGGAAGCTAAGGTAGTGTTTGCATCACCCTTTCCCAACCCTAGGCAGTTCAGCTTGCAGCAATGACAGTGAGTTTTTTCTTCTGCTTGAGAAGAGGGAAAAATAAAGAGGACTTTGTCTTGCATCTTGGATACCAGCTCAGCCACAGTAGAATAGAGCATCAGGCAGAGTTATGAGGCTCCCATTCTAGGCCCCAACTCCTGGATGACATTTCTAGACACACCCTGGGCCAGAAGGGAACCTACACCTAGAAGGGAAGAACCCAGTCCTTACAGGATTTATCACCTGCTGACCAAAGAGCTGTTGGGCCATGAAAATCATCCCCAGAGAGTATGCCTATGGGCCTTGTGTGAGACTCTGAGATGCGCATGCTTGAGCTGAGACCCAGAACATTCTCAGCTGTGGTGGCTATAATGAGAGACACCTTCTGCTTGAGAACAGCAGAGGAAAACTAATGGAGACTTAGTCTTGCACCTTAGGTACCAGCTCAGCCACAGTGGCGTAGAGCACCAAGTAAGTGCTTAGAGTCCCCTATTCCAGGCCTTGGCTCTTGGATGGTATTTCTGGATTTGACCTGGATCAGAGGGGAACACAGGGTAAGAACCAGGCCAGGCAGCATTCACCAAAGTTGACTGAAGAGCCCTTGGGTCTTAAGTAAACATTGGAAGTAACCTGGCAGTAATTTATGTGGGCCTATGGTAGTGGTGGCCACAAGGAGAGGTTCCTCTGCCTGTGAAAAGGGGAGGGAAGAGTGGGAAGGACTGCATCTCATGGTTTGAGTTCCAGCTTAGCCACAGTAGAATAGTGCATCTAAGGTTTTTGACTACAGTCCCCAGCTCCTAGATGGCATCTATGGACTCACCTGGGGACTGGGGAATCTTGCCAACCTGAAGGAAAGAACACAAGCACACCTGACTTCACCATCTACTGATTGTAGAACCCTAGAGCCTTGGGTGAACATAGGCAGTAGCCAAGTAGAAGTTACAGAGGGCCTTGAGGGAGACCCAGGCCTATGCTAACTTCAGGTCTGACCCAGCAAATTCTCACTGGTAGTGGCCACAGGAGGGGGCTTGTGTCACCCAACACACAGCTCCAGGCAGCTCAGCACAGACAGACTTCGTTTGGGAGAAAGTGAGGGAAGAGAACAAGAGTCTCTGTCTGGTAATTCAGAGAATTCTTCTGTATCTTATCCAAGACAACCAAGGCAGTACCTCTATGAGTCTGCAAGAGCCACAGCATTACTGGGCTTTTGTTGACCTCCAATGCAGATAAGGCTTAAATCGCAACACCTAAGTTCCTTCAAATACCTGGAATACCTTACCAAGAAAGACACCTTCAAACACATCCAGACCACAAAGACTACAATAAACTTATAACTCTTCAATGCCCAGACACTGATGAACAGCCAAAAGCATCAAGACCATCCAGGAAAACATGACCTCACAAAAAAAACTAAATAAGGCACCAGGGACCAATTCTGGAGAAACAGAGATATGTGACTTTTCAGACAGAGAATTCAAATAGCTGTGTTGAGGAAATTCAAAGAAATTCAAGATAACACAGAGAAGGAACTCAGAATTCTATCAGATACATTTAACAGAGAGATTAAAGCAATTTAAAAGAATCAGGCAGAAATTGAAAATGCAATTCATCAAAGTGTTTTAACAGCAGAATGGATCAAGCAAAAAAAAAATAATTAGTGAGCTTGAAGACAGGCTGTTTGAAAATACACAGTCAGAGGAGACAAAAGAAAAAAGTAACACAAAAAGATAAAGCATGCCTAAAAGATCTAGAAAATAGCCTCACAAGGGCAAATCTAAGAGTCACTGGCCTTAAAGAGAAGGTAGAAAAAGAGATAAGGGTGGAAAGTTTATTCAAAGGGATAATAACAGAGAACTTACCAAACCTAAGGAAAGATATCAATATTCAAGTACAAGATGGTTGTAGAACCCAAGTAGATTTAACCCAAAGAAGATTGCCTCAAGGTATATAATAATCAAGCTCCCAAAGGTGAAGGATAAAGAGAGGATTCTCAAATCAGCAAGAGAAAAGAAACAAATAACGTGCAAAGAAACTGCAATACGCCTGGCAGTAGACTTTTCATTGGAAACTTTACAGGCCAGCAGAGAGTGGCATGACACATTCAAAGTGCTGAAGGAAAAAACCTTTTATCCTAGAGTAGTATATTCAGGGAAAATGTCCTTCAAACATGAAGGAGAAATAAAGACTTTCCCTGGCAAACAAAAGCTAAGGCATTTCATCAACACCAGACCTCTCCTACAAGAAATACTAAAAGGAGTTCTTCAATCAGGAAGAAAAGAATGCTAATGAGTAATAAGGAATCATCTGAAGGTACAAAACTCACTGGCAATATAAATACACAGAAAAATACAGAATATGATAATATTGTACTTATGCTGTGTAAATTACTCTTAAGTAGAAAGACAAAGATCAACCAATCAAAAATAATATTATAACAACAACTACTTTTCAAGACATGAACAGTATGATAAGATATAAGTAGAAACAGCAATAACTAAAAAAGTAGGTGGATAAAGTTAAGGTGTAGGGTTTTTATTAGTTTTCATTTTGATTGTATGTTAGTTTTTTGTTCTTTATGCCATCAATATTAAGTTATCAGTTTAGAATAATGGGTTATAAGATATTACTTGCAAGACTCATGTTAACTTTAAATTTAAAAAATGCAATGAATACACAAAAAGTAAAACGCAATAAATTAAATCATACCATCAAAGAAAATCACCTTCACTAAAAGGAAGAGAGGAAGAAAGGAAAGATGGGGGAGAATGCCACAAAACAACCAGAAAATAAATAACAAAATGGCAGAAGTAAATCTTTACTTATTAATAATAACCAGCCAGGCACGGTGGCTCACGCCTGTAATCCCAGCACTTTGGAAGGCCGAGACAGGTGGATCACGTGAGGTCAGAAGTCCAAAACCAGCCGGGCCAACATGGCAAAACCCCATCTCTACGAAAAAAATACAAAAAATTAGCTGGGGATGGTGGCAGGCACACGTAATCCCAGTTACTCGGGAGGCTGAGGCAGGAGAATCACTTGAACCCAGGAGGTGGAGGTTGCAGTTAGCCGAGATTGCACCATTGCACTCCAGCCTGGGCAACAAGAGCAAAACTCCATCTCAAATAATAATAATAATAATGATGATAATAACCTTGAATGCGAATGGACTAAACTCTTCAATAAAAAGACATACAGTGGTTTAAGAGATTTAAAAAAAAGAAAAAAAAGAAGCAAAGATCTGTTGCCCACAAATAACACACTTCACCTATAAAAACACAAATTGTCTGAAAACAAACGGATGGAAAAACATATTTCATGTAAATGGAAACCAAAATAGAGCAGCTGTAGCTATACTTATATCAGCCAAAATGTACTTCATGACAAAAACTACAAGAAGAGACAAAGAAGGCCATTACGTAATTATAAAGGGGTCAATTCAGTCAGAGGAGTTAACGATTATAAATATATATGCACCCAACACTGGAGCACCCAGATATATAAATCAAACATTATTAGAGCTAAAGAAAGAGACAGACCACAGTGCAATAATAGATGGAGACTGCAACACCCCACTTTCACCATTAGACAGATCTTTCAGACAGAAAAATCAACAAAGAAACATCAGACTTAATCTGCACTACAGACCAAATGGATATAACACATATTTACAAAATATTTTATCCAATGGCTGCAGAATACAAATTTTTTTCCTCAGCACATGGATTATTCTCAAGGATAGACCATATATTAGGTCACAAAACAAGTCTTAAAACACTCAAAAAAGTTGAAATACCATCAAGTACCATCCCTGACCACAAGGAAATAAAATTAGAAATTAATATCAAGAAGGATTTTGGAAACTACATAAACACATGGAAATTAAACAATATGCTCCTGAAAGACCAATGGATCAATGAAGAAATTAAGAAGGAAATGAAAAAATTTCTTGAAACAGTCGATAACAGAAACATAATATACTGAAACCTATGAGATACAGTGAAAGCAGTGTCAAGAGGGAAGCTTATGGCTATAAGTGCCTACATTAAAAAAGGTAGAAAAACTTCAAATAAACATACTTATGAGGCATCTTAAAAAACTAGAAAAACAAGAACAAACCAAATCCAAAATAGAAGAAAAGAAATAACAAAGATCAGAGCAGAAATGAATGAAATTAAAATGAAGAAAACAATAGAAAATAAAATGAAAGTTCATTTTCTGAAACAATAAACAATACTGACAAACTTTTAGCCAGACTAAGAAAAAAGGAAAGAAGAATTAAGTAAATAAAATCAAAGACGGAAAAGGAGACATTACATCTGACACCATAGAAGTTCAAAGGATCATTAGTTGCTACTATGAGCAACTATATGCCAATAATTTGGAAAATCTAGAAGAAATTGATAAATTTCTGGATATATACAACCTACCAAGATTGAACCATGAAAAAAATTTTTAAAAACCTGAATACCCCAATAAGAAGTAACAAGACGAAAGTCATAGTAAAAAGTATCCCAGCAAAGAAAATCCCAGGACCTGATGACTTCACTGCTGAATTCTACCAAATATCTAAAGAGGAATGAATACCAATCCCACTCAAACTATTCTGAAAAACAGAGGGGAAGAGGAAAAAGGAGTACTTCCAAACTCATTCTGTGAGGCTAATATTACCCTGATACCAAACTAGACAAACATACATCAGAAAACTACAGGCCAATATCCCTGATGAATATTGATGCAAAAATCCTGAACAGGTGGGGCGCAGTGGCTCACACCTGTAATCCCAGCACTTTGGGAGGCCAAGGTGGGCGGATCACGAGGTCAGGAGATGGAGACCATCCTGGATAACATGATGAAACCCCGTCTCCACTGAAAATAAAAAATTAGCTGGGTGTGTTGGCCGGCACCTGTAGTCCCAGCTACTTGGGAGGCTGAGGCAGGAGAATGGCGTGAACCCAGGAGGCGGATCTTGCAGTGAGCTGAGATCATGCCACTGCACTCCAGCCTCAGTGACAGAGCAAAACTCCATCTCAAAAAAATAAATAAATAAAACTTTTTTTAAAAGTCCTGAACAAACTGCTAGCAAACTGAATCGAACAACACATTAAAAAGATCATTCATCATGACCAATTGGGATTTATCCCAGGGATGCAAGGATGGTTCAACATATGCATATCAACAGAATGAAGGACAAAAATAATATGATCATTTCATTTGATGTTGAAAAAGCATTTGATAAAATTCAACATCCCTTTATGATAAAAACCATAAAAAAACTGGCTATTGAAGGAACATACTTCAACATAATCTACAAGATGATCTACAGTTTCAATGCATTCTCTACTAAAATTCCAATAGCATTCTTCACAGAAATGGAAAAAACAATTCTAAAATTCCTATGGAATCACAAAAGACCCAGAATAGTCAAAACTATCCTGAGCAAAAAGAACAAAAGTGGAGAAATCACATTACTTGACTTTTAATTATTCTACAGAGCTATAGTAACCAAAACAGTAGGGTACTGGCATAAAAACAGACACATATACCAATGGAACAGAATAGAGAACCTAGAAACAAATCCATACGTCTACAGTGAATTTGTTTTCAACAAAGTTTCCAAGAACATGCACTGGGGGAAAGGACAGTTTCTTCAATAAATGATTCTAGGAAAACTGGATATCCATATGCAGAAGAACGAAACTAGACTCCTATCTCTCACAATATAAAAAAATCAAATAAAAATTGATTAAATAGTTAAAGGAAAACCTCAATCTATGAAACTGCGAGAAAAAAAAATTTGGAAAACTCTCCAGGACATTGACTGGGCAAAGATTTCTTGAGTAATACTCCAGAAGCACAGGCAACCAAAGCAAAAATGGACAGATGGGATCACATCAAGTTAAAAAGCTTCTGGACAGCAAAGGAAACAGTCAACAAAATAAAGAAACAACCCACAGAATGGGAGAAAAATTTTGCCAACTGCCAATTTGACAAGGGATTAATAACCACAATATATAAGAAGCTCAAGCATCTCTATAGGTAAAAATCTAATAATCTGATTAAAAATGGGCAAAAGATCTGAATAGATGTTTCACAAAAGAAGATATATAAATAGCAAACAAACATATGAAAAAGTGCTCAATGTCATTGATCATCAGAGAAATGCAAATCAAGACTACAGTGAGATATCATCTCACCCCAGTTAAAATGGCTTGTATTCAAAAGACAGGCAATAACAAATGCCAACCAGGATGTAGAGAAAAGGGAACCCTTGTAAAGTGTTAGTTGCAATGTAAATTAGTACAACCACTATGGAGAACGGTTTGGAGGTTCCCCAGAAAACTAAAAATAGAGCTTCCATGCAATTTATCAATCCCACTGCTAAGTATAATTAAAAGAAAGAAAATCAGTATATTAACAAGATATCTACACTCTCATCTTTACTACAGCACTGTTCACAATAGCCAACATTTGGAAGCAACCTAAGTGTCTCTCAACAGGTGAATGGATACAGAAAATGTGATATATATACACATGGTATACTGTTCAGCCATGAAAAACAATGAGATTCTATTATTTGCAACAACATTTATAGAAATTGAGGTTATTATGCTAAGTAAAATAAGCTAGGCACAGAAAGACAAACTTTGCATGTTCTCACTTATTTGTGGGAGCTAAAAATTAAAACAACTGAACCCCTGGACCCAGAGAGCACAAGGATGGTTACCAGAGGCTGGGAAGGGTAGTGGAGTGGGTTAGGGGAGAGGTGGGTATGGCTAATGGGTCCAAAAGTAGTTAGAAGGAATAACTAAGAGTGAATATTTGATAGCACGAATACTTGTAACACATTGGATAAATGCTTGAGGTGATGGATGCCTCATTTACCCTGATGTGATTATTAAACTTTACTTGCCTGTATCAAAATGTGTCATGTAACCCATAAATATATACACCTACTATGTAGCCACAAAAATAAATAATTAAACAAAATTTTAAAATAAAGTAGTTAACTCAAAAATCAGGTGCATAGTAGATGCTCAATAAGTGCATGTAAAGCAGCCGTTCCAATACTGACTATATAATAGATGTTCAATAAACAGAAATCATTACTAACAATAATATTAGAAGTGGTAGTATGTTACCACTAAACATTCTTTGCTTTATTTATAGGAGAAAATATTTGGAACAAAAGGCTTAGTGAACACCTTGTGTACCAGGCATTTAATCGTTGATATCGCATGTAAAACTCCAAGATGCCAAATATTAGATATTAGTTTCCCCCATTTTGCAAGTACAAAAATGGATACTTGAGAAGGTTTTATACCTTGCCAAAGACTCACAGCTCAAACTAAGTTATGCTCAATTCCAAAGTTGCTCATGTTCAATTACAATATTTTGCCTCCAAGAAGGTAAAACTTAAGTCCTTACTCTTAGAAAAGCCTGGCTAGTATTGAATAAATATACGTACTAGAAGATAGTCACTCTTCTTCTACAAGCTGTTCAACCATTTATGTAGGCTTTACAATTTTTAACTACCCTTTCAGTTTCCTAAAATACACTGAGGAATAGGAGAAAATGTTAATTTTATTTGTGGAATAGAACTTTAATATTTTGATTTCTCTAATAAATATGAAGAGTTATGGTAATGAATTCAATTAAAATTTCTTTTGTTAAATAATTCCATTACTGTAGGAAATTGTTTTTATTACAGAGAACTACATTTTCTTATATATTTTGACATACGTAAACTGTGTTTTGCCACATCCTCCTTCTCAATATTGTCCTACTAATTATATTCCAAAAATGCTTCTCCCTCAAAATAGCTCACAATTATTTCAAGAATTAAATAGAGAAAATTACCCCTTGAAGTATAGCTTCCTGTGACTCTGCTGCTCTTTTAAATTTGCAAAAATATTGAGATTGAGATGTACATTCAAAGCTTGAAAGATTATGTCAGGACCACTTTCAACAAAAATAACAGACTTGGATCTGGTAATTCTTATTATTCTGGTATCACAAACAGCTGAAGTTTATCTGTATTATAAATGTTTCATATTTTTAATTAAAGTGATGACATTTGTGTTTGCCATTTTTTTCTTATTACTTATAAAGCCCTCACAGTCATAGATTGTTTTCTATCTTCTTTGTAAACTAGCCCAGTTCTTTTTATATTTGCATATTATATTTGAATCCAGAAGTTTATATATATATATATATATATATATATATATATATAGACATTATATATATACACACTGTATATACACATTATATATAATGGGATCTAATTAAACTAAAGAGCTTCTGCACAGCAAAAGAAACTATCAGCAGAGTGAACAGGCAACCTACAGTTGAAGTGAAGGACACAATCAACAGAGTGAAGACATACACTACAGAATGAGATAATATATTTGCAAACCATACATCTGATAAGGGGTTATTATCTAAAATATACAGGAACTCAAACAGCTTAATTATAAATAAATAAATTAATTAAAATAAAAAATTAATTAAAAATGAGCAAAAGACCTGAATAGACATTTCTCAAAAGAAAACATATAAATGGACAACAGGTATATAAAAAATGCTCAATATCATAAATTAGGGAAATGCAAATTAAAACCACAGTGAGATATCCTATCACAAAAAATAATACATCTTGACAAGGTTGTGGAACAAAGAACATCTTTAAATACTGTTTATGGGAATGCAAATTAGTATAGCCATTGTGGAAAACAGTATGAAAGTTTCTCAAAATGTTAAAAATAGAACTACCATATGATCCAACAATCTCAGTGTGTGTGTGTGTGTATATATATATACACACACACACACAAACATATATACATATATACATATACATATACACATAGGCATATATATACATATATATATATACATATATATATATATATATATATATGATGATTAATACTGTCAACCTGATTGTATTGAAGGATATAAAGTATTGATCCTGGGTGTGTCTGTGAAGGTGTTGCCAAAGGAGATTAACATTTGAGTCAGTGGGCTGGGAAAGGCAGACCCACCCTTAATCTGGGTGTACACAATCTAATCAGCTGCCATCATGGTTAGAATATAAAGCAGGTAGAAAAATGCGAAAAGAGAGTGGCTTAGCCTCCCAGCTTACATCTTTCTCCTGTGCTGGATGCTTCCTGCCCTTGAACATCAGACTACAAGTTTTTTATATAAGTTTATGTATATAATATATACATATATATTTCATTAGTTCTGTCTCTCTAGAGAACCCTAACATAACATACAAAGGATATGAATATTCAGTACATCAAAGAGATATCTGCACCTCCACATTCATTGCAGCTTATTCACAATAGCAACAATAAGGAATCAATCTAAGTGTCCATCAATGAATGGAGAAAATGTGATATATATTGATATATATATATGACTATTCTTCAGCTTTAAACGAGAAGGAAATTCTGTCATTCGTGACATCATAGATGAACCTAGGAAGACATTATGTTAAGTGAAATAAGCCATGCACAGTAAGACAAATACTGCAGGATTTCACTTACATGTAGAATCTAAAAAAGTCAAACTCACAGAAATCAGGAGAAAAAATGTGGCTTACCAGAGGCTGGGATGGAAGATATGTAGGGGGAAATGTTGGTCAAAGGATACAAAATTTTAGTTAGATAGGAAGAAGTTCAAGAGATCTACTGTACATCATGATGACTATAGCTAATGGCAGTACATTGTATACTTGAAAATGGCTAAGAGAATAGATGTGTTTTCATCACAAAGAATAATAAGAATGAAGTAATGGATACATTTAGTAGATTGATTTATCCATTCCACGTTGTATATATAGATCAAAACATCATGTTGCAACCATAAATATAGACCATTTTTATATATCATGTTTAAAAAAAAAATGTCCAAAGACTCAGAAACCTTGCTTTGATTACGGACAACTCTGGTCCATTTCCACTCTAGCACTGCCACAGGATCACGAAGGTTTCTTTGCCAATACATCAGTTTCAAATATCTCTCTCCTCATCCTGCTTCCCAGTTTGCTGTTCCCAATATATCTTCTGTTCAACAATGTATGCCATAGGGTCTGTTTGTTGGGAATCTAAGACACCAGGATGTGCTACCACATGGAGAAAGGGGTAAAAGGGAGCCCCATTTCTGTGCACAGGAAGGGAAAAAGGAAGTAGAAAGCATGGACCTCAGTCTTTAAGTCATAACATCCACCTACTAATAAACATGACCCAATAAATGCTGTGTCTTCTCCATATTGGAAACTCTCTACCAAAAGAAGGAATGACTATGGAGGATGCATAATTGTTTTAAGAATACTCAAAGTGTAGAGAAGGTGTTTGGATAGAAGTTCTATCCTTCATTGTACAAAAGGAAAAACGGACACTGAAGGGGAATTATTTTCTCCCTTAAAAATTATTGTCCTTGAATTATAAGAAGTATGTATTCGCATTTTATGGAAAGCAGAAGATAATACTCAGAAAGCCTTTAAGGTTTTTAGAGCAAGTTATTTTTTAAACATTTAAAAACTGTAAAATAATTTCTATAATAGAAGTGGGAACAAGAAGAAAATAATTGATTAAAACCAGCTAGAAATTAAAAATCAAGATACAGCAAGTCCTTAATTAATAAAAGAATTAAGCTCTAAAAGTATAATTGTAAGGTCAATGTTTAAAATTGAATACACTTGCCCTTCAGAAATAGTTTTCTAAGACAGCTTACTAAAACCTTTTTAAACTCATAATATATAGAGTATGTTGTGGCTTTGAGGCAGAATATTCCCATCACCACAATGCCTGTCTATCCTATATTGAGAGTAGCTCTGCAGAGCTAAACCTGCTGACATGACATTCAGCAAAGAATGGGGTAGGACCCAGGTTTCTGGAGTCAAAAGAAGGGTTAGGTATTTCTGTCAATATAACACTTTGGGGAAGACAAATAATTTTCAACCACCTCTTTTTTTTTCTGAGAGATGCAGAAAAAAAATACCGTGTTCCATTGCTACTCACTGTTGCTTTTTTCTAGAGCTCACTTCACCTCAATAAACATTCACTGAGAACCTCTGAAGTAAAAAGCTTTTCTGATCAATTCTGTTTCTGTTTCTTTCCTTTGTTTTTCAACCATTGAGAAACGAAATGTAGGCTCCTACTTTTGCTTGTATTTTCATATCCTTAAGAGAAGTATATATTTTGAGGTTTTCTAAAATATTTAATTATTATGAGTAATGGGAAATAGAAAAAGAGTAAAATGGTAATTATGAGTAATATAGTCTGGAATTTATTCAGACATTTAGTGAGCAACTTTTATGTACTAAGAACTGTGATTTGTGCTCAGATTAATGGAGAATGAGGTATCTTTCAGGGAGTTTATGATATAATAGGAAAGAGAGACAAGAAAATAGAAAGTTGCATAATAGATAGTGCCATGATTGGGTCTACTATAAGGGAATGATTTTCCTCATTCCCATTGTTTCCATCCGGGTGGAGGGAGCTCAATTACTCACACTTTTGGCCCCATATCCCTTTGCTTCCAGAAAGGTGGAGTGACTTACCCTAATTGATAAATTTAAGAACAGATGACATGTTCAGCTCAGCTTCAACTACTTCTTACCAGTTGGAAGACACCAAGGTTTCCTCTGCTCCTCCATCCTGTAAGACAGCATACAAGTTCAGAGACCTGAATAAGTCTGGTTAATTGTGGGGTCCTGTTAGCAGGTCCATTTGGCTCTTACAATAGGCCATATCCTTCAATTTAGCATCTTCCATATTGTTTCTCTTATTTTCTACCCTGGACAATGAAGAATAAGGGTATTTATAATTTTATTTTAAAATTCCCAAAGTGTAAATCTTCTGGATCATGGGAGCATACAGAAGAAACATCTAAACCAATTTTGCAGGTGCAGGAAAGCTTTCCTTCTGAAGAGGAAGTTTGACATTTTAAGTAGGCCATAAAGGTGAATAGCTAAAGAAAGATAATCCAAAGAGAGAGGACGGCATACAAAAAAAGCTCTCGGAGAGAAAGAAATTTGTAAACATCATTCAGATCTTACTTTATTCAGAATTTTAGATTAGCCAACATATTCTAAGATTTTATTGAGTGCCTCCAGTATGCCTTTCTTTTATTTATATCCTTTATTTTTCATTATCCCACATTATCTTCCTACTCTATAATTTTCTTTGTTGATTAAATTTTAATCATGCTTCTTTCAGAATTGTATCTGTAGTAATAGATGTCTTTTTTTGGCTTAAGGCTGTTCTGTTCTCAAATGATAGAATCCTGATATATTCTCTTTTCTCTTCTTGCTATTGGCTTACCTATTTATTCAACACACAGATTTTCTTTAGACTGCCAAATGCTGGCTTACCAAATATCACCAATAGAACCTGGTAGATTGTTGAGTTTATTATTTACCAGCATAGGAGAGAACACCATCTCTGCTGCACTATGGCCATGTCTCAGAGAGAAGATGGCAAGGCTAGAATTTACTGAGAATTGCAAGTTTGATTTAAGGCAGCTCTATCAATGTGAGGTACTTGACTGGGACTATGTTAGAACTATGATACAATAGACTAAGATAGTAGAAACAGCAAACTAACATTTTGAGTCCAGCACTTCTACAAATCTTAGGGCTCTCCCCTTTTCTGGCCTGGGACCCCTCCTCAGGTTGCCCATATTTCCTATGGACAATGTGTGGCTTCTCCAGCGTTAACTCCTTGTGATGGAGAGGGGATAGCTGTAGGCAGTGCTGAGCAAGAAATCATCACCTTTAGACACATGCCACTCAATGCCATGCCAGTTTTCTGGCCTGCATTCTCCACTCTCCTGCCCTCCCCAGCCTTTGGTCCACAGGGGAGAAGGGGGTGAGTGTGTGCATGGATGGGAAGCTGTTAAACACACCTACTCAGTGACCCAGCCTGAGGAGGCATAGCCTGTCTCTGAATTTCTGAGGGAACCCACACTGCCCAGGTGTCTATCAGAGGTGGGAGTGTGGGGGCTATAGCTCTATCCCAGGAGCTTTAGGCTTGAGAAGAGCCAGTCAACAGCCTTCAGTCCTGCTCCCCAAAGGAAGAGGCCCCACCACACAGGAAGAAGAGGGTTTCAAGGGCTGCAGTTGAAGTCCCAGCCTTGAAGCCAGAACCATCTAGATTCTATTATTGGAGCCCTCACTGCAGCATTTGAGACTTTAAATATATTTCTTTTTGTGTCTTCAAGCTCAAGTTTCTTCATTTCTAGAGCAGGATAGTGATACCTCAATTAGGGTCTTGAGGCTATTCTCAACTGTCTGCCTCCCTTTCCTGCCCTTTCTCTTGGACAGCAGACCCTGGGGCCTGGGCCAGGCCACACCTGTGCTTGGGGCTAGGGCTGCAGCTGCGGTAGGAGAGGGCTGGAGTGACACAGCACCTGAGCCAGTCAGGCAGGGCTGATCTTGCTGGGGTCTTGGCTGCAGACAAGTGTGATCTCCAGGATGGGACCCGGTGGAGCCATGACTTGAGTGCCTCTAATGGACTTGGAAGGACCTGAATCTGCTGTCATTCTACCAGCCCAGCACCCAGTCCTACAGCTGTTCAAAGATGCCTCTTCCACTTAACCTGTCTTCAGTGGAATTTTCGCTTCTGAGAACCCTTCTCCGGGCTGGGAACTACAAATGCTCTAGGTAAGAGCCCTGGCCTCAAGGGGGAGCCCAAGGAACCTCTAGAAAACCTTGAGTTCCTGCCCCAACTCCTACACACATTCAGTAGGTCTTGTTTTCTCTGAGCCTGCTTCTGTTTTCTTTACAAACTGGGGCAGTAAAAGCATTTGACAAAGTTCAACATCTATTCATGATAAAACTCAATAAAGTAGGTATAGAAGAAAATTTCCTCAACACAACAAAGGCCATTTATGAAAATCGCACAGGTAACGTCATACATAGTGGTGAGGAGTTGAAAGCTTTTTCTCTAAGATCAGAACAAGACAAGGATGCTCATTCTTACCACTTCTATTCAACATAATACTGAAAGTCCTAGCCAGAACAATCAGACAAGAGAAAGAAACAAAAGGCATCCAAATTTGAAAGAAAGAAGTAAAATTTTCTTTCTTTGAAGATGACATAATTGTATATCTAGAAAACCCTAAAGATTTCACCAAAAAAATCTTACAACTAATAAACAAATTTAGTAATATTGCCAGATACGAAATCAACATATAAAAATTAGTAGCATTTTCTTTGTGTGAGATAGATTCTCAATCTTCACCCAGGCTGGAGGGAAATGGTGAAATCACAGCTCATTGTAGCCTTGACTTCTAGGGTTCAATCAATCCTCCCACTTCAGCCTCCAGAGTAGTTGGGATTACAGGTATGAGCCATCATGCCAGCTAATTTTTGTATTTTTTTTGTTGAGACAGAGTTTCAACATGTTTCCCAGGCTGGTCTTGAACTCCTGGGCTCAAATGATCTATCTGCCTCCACCTCATAATGCGCTGGGATTACAGGCATGAACTGCTGCACTGGACAGTAGCGTTTCTTTATACCAATAATGATTTAGCTAAAAAGAAAAGAGAATAATTACATTTAAGATAGCATCAAAAAGAATAAAGTACTTAGAAATAGATTTAACAAAAGAAGTGAAAAATTTGTACACTTGAAAACTATAAAATATTAATGAAAAAATTGAAGACACAAATAAATGGAATAACAACCCATGTTCACAGACTAGAAGAATGAGTATTATTAACATGTCCACACTACCCAAAGTGATTTACAGATTCAACACAATTCCTATCAAAATTGCAATGAATTTTTTACAGAAATAGAAGAAAACAATTCTAAAATTTATATGGAAGCTTAAAAAACCCCAAATAGTCAAAGCAATCTTGAGAAAGAAGAATAAAGTTTCTGATTTCAAAGCTATAGTATTCAAAACATTACGGTGCTAGTATAGAAACAGACACATAGACCAATGGAACACAAGAGAGTTTACAAATAAACTCAAGCATATATGGTCAACTAATTTTCACAAGTGTGACAAGAATACACATTGGAGAAAGGACAGTTTCTTAAGCAAGTGGTGCTGGGGAAACTAGATATCACTGCGCAAAAGAATGAAATTAGACCCTTATATTTCACCATACACAAATATCAACTCAAAATGAATTAAAGACTTAAGTGTAAGACCCAAAACTTATAAAACTCCTAGAAAAAAATACAGGTGAAAAGCTCCTTTACATTAGCCATGGCAGTGTCTTTTTGGATATGACACCAAAAGGTCAGACAACAAAAGCAAAAATAAACAAGCTGGCCTATATCAAACTAAAAAACTGCTTAGCAAAGGAAACAGAAAAACCTCTGGATTGGGAAAAGATATTTGCAGAACACATTTCTAAAAAGGGGCTAATATCCAAAATATATTATATAAGGAACTCACACAACTCAATGACCAAAAAACAAATCACCTGATTTTAAAATAGGCAAAGGACCTGAATAGTTTTCCAAAGCAGACATAGAAATGGTCAAAAGGTATACGAAAATGTGCTCTTATCATTCATCATTAGGAAAAGGCAAATCAAAACCTGGTATCTATTGAGTTCCTATTATATTTCAAGCAGTTTGGAAAGTGCTTAACATGAATTATCTCTTTTAGTTCTCATGACAATCCCATAAAGTAAATATTATTAGTATCTCCATTTTATAGGAAACTAAGAATCAGAACAATTAAAAAATATATGGCTCAAAAGTGGCTAAACCAGAATTTGAAGTGAAGGCTTTTATCAGATTTCAGAATGTATGACATATTTAGGGTCAAATACTACACTTCACTTGTTTATATATCCTAGGAATTATAACAGTGCCTAGTATACATTGGGACTTTAAGACATATATGTAAAGCAAGCACTATTTTTGATCATCAATAATATACTTCATCAATAATAGATCATCAATAAAATACCACAAAAAATAAACTGGTTAAAATTCGACAAATATAAAAATGCTTATTTTTCATCTAAGTGCTAGCAGAAGTTTCAAACAAAGTTTGACATCTTCCTTATGTAACATCAAGTTAACACTGGCTGAAATAGTTTGTCTGTAAGATGATTGCATCCTTTCAATTACCTTTTACCCTAAAATTTTATAACAAAACGTGTCAAATATGTGTTTTCCTTATCTGATGAAAACATAACTAATTAAAAATATTGAGACATAGTTGCTCTTATCTCAAAGCAAAATACTTTGGTTCTTTCTGGTTCTAAATGCTCTTGCGCACAGAGCTTCTCATGCTGAGTTGAGATTATACCCTTTGCCTTTTGCAATTATAGAGAATTAGTAACTGAGTACATAAACAAATATCTTGTCAGATATGCAATCCTGTTTCTAAAGTAAAATGACAACCAAACAAACAAAATGCAAAGTAATACAACCCCCAACCCAGGCTGGGTCTCAAGATAAATTACACCCAGCAAATATCAAATAATATTTAACTAATAGACTTGTCAGGAAAAACAAACACCCCACCAGGCAAAGGGGCTACCTTGTTAATAATGATCAAACTGGGACACCCATAAATTTCATTCTAAGGACTTTGTAAACTAATCACATTCCCTGTTCATTTCTTTCCTGTCTTGATGGTGGCAGATCATACTGGAAGGTTACAAGGTGTTATTTACATTTTGAAAGTCCTTGCCAAATGAAAATATGAGAAGTTGGCCGGGCGCGGTGGCTCACGCCTGTAATCCCAGCACTTCGGGAGGCCGAGGCGGGTGGATCATGAGGTCAGGAGATCGAGACCATCCTGGCTAACAAGGTGAAACCCCGTCTCTACTAAAAATACAAAAAAAATTAGCCGGGCGCGGTGGCGGGCGCCTGTAGTCCCAGCTACTCGGGAGGCTGAGGCAGGAGAATGGCGTGAACCCGGGAAGCGGAGCTTGCAGTGAGCCGAGATTGCGCCACTGCAGTCCGCAGTCCTGCCTGGGCGACAGAGCGAGACTCCGTCTCAAAAAAAAAAAAAAAAAAAAGAAAATATGAGAAGTTGAGTAGTTATCATCCCTTATAAATTATTTTAATGATTTTTTCTATACTGAAAGAAGAGTGTTGACTGCACAGTGTTATAGTGATGGTAAAATTTACTTGTTTTAATCATTTTACAACTAAGATACTGAACATAGCTATTAAGAAGTAATTATACCATGTATCTTTATTTATTTTCCCATGACATTCTTATCTTTGGCAAATTTTACAAATTGAAGATGCAGAAATTCTTGCCCACCTAACATTATCCTTATTCCTGTTTTAGAGTACCCATCAAAAAAAAAAAAAAAAAGGGGGGGAAAGGAAAAATGCCTAATGAAAATAGGTTAGCCTCTTCCAAAGGGAACAGATAATCCAAGATGTGAATGTAGTACTTAACAAATCTTAGATGCTTTCAAGTCAGAACAAACCACTGAATGACTCATTAGGCTTTAGTAACTTGAAAGCCCTGGATCTTCAACAGAACCTCTTACGAACATGATGTGCCATTTATTTATTTATTTTTATCCAAGTTTTACTATTTATTGTATATCTGATTGTCTAAAATGATAAGACAAAAATAACTTGAGATGCTTCTCTCTTCTCATCTGTATTTATTACTTGACTTGTATCATTACCCTCAAGTAAACAATAAATTTAGCAAGGTTAGGATCCTGAAGCCTAAAAAGATAATAATGCTTCCTTTGGAGCTTAATGTACCACCAGAGAAGAACTTGAACACTGGAATGAAATGGTGAAGTGGTTGGCTACCTCATAAAGCTATTACAATAACTTTTCACACCATAATCTTAGCATTTCACTTCATTCCATTGCAGAAAAGGAATGCATGGAGGGAGGAAACACAGGTGGGGGGAGGACTTTGATAAAAATTCATTTTTAAAAGAAAGCCAATGATATAATAAATAGTAAAATAGATGTAAATCATGGCAAAGTCTTATAATTATTATTACATCAGTAAACCTGTGGTGCTCTTTCATTTTACAGATTGCATGAAAATACCCAGGTATACAACCTCTTTCTGAAGTTAAATAATAAATAATGCACGCAGAATACGGAGAAGGGCAATGTATCAATGGTGTTTCTTCAGTCCACTTTAATGTTATTACAATTAATGGTATCATCAATAGTTATCTGCCTCTGGTAAGAACCACTAAATTATTCACACCATGGCTTTCATCTCCCCACCATCCCTCACACAATTACACTTGCCCACATAAACAGATTCACCCTGCTTCCATGTAGCACCTTATTTTCCTTAGGCTTTTTTTTTTTGAGAAACACTCCCAAAATGGGGATGGTAAAAACACATCATTTTCCCCTTTCCTGTTTGAATTCTATGATTCCCACCATCGTCAAAGACCCAGGACCTTGGTCATCTCTTCCACACAAAGCCTAGAATTACATGCACTCTACTGGCTTTAACTCTCACAAATAATGAAACCTTGATTCCCACTACGTCCTTAAAGTCCACTAAGTCCAATCAAATCCACTAAGACTGCTATTACCTCCTCTGCTGAAGGTTTGCTGTATCCTTGTAATAATATGTTGGCTATTTCAACATAGTGTGATCACACTAAGAGCATTTAAAATAAAAAATCAAAGCACTGTATACTTTCTACCAAAGAGGAAGGAAGCTTATTCTCTTCCTTGCCTTAATGTTACTACATTGCTTGGCTCTTAAAAAATGTCTGCAATATATTTTAAGTACTGATTAGAGTATTTTAGTGAAATAGCCTTTTCGGGTTGTATTTACTATCTTCACTCTCCCTAGGATTCACATATAAGACCACGAACGGGTTTATTAGGACCAATTGGAGTGCCAGTGTTGTTATTATGGTTGCCCTTCTCTTGCGAATACTCCAGATACAGTTGGAGGAACTGTCACATGTCAAAGTCTCACCCTTTCTTCCTATTGGGTGATATTTTTCAAGAAGGCTCCATTTTGGCCAACTCATGCATTCTTCTAGTCAGGCTCACACATGTATTAATCTTAAATGGGCAAAGGTTAGTCTCAAACTAAGAACTTTTTTACTATGTACAAATACATAAAAAGTTGTTATATTCTTTTGTTTCCTCCATTTAAAAATGTTTTTGTCTTTATGTTCCTAATCAATAATTAACCCTAAGTTGAAAGGAGGGAAGAAGTCTGACAAGGTGACAGAGAGAATACGTGTAACAAAACACAAAGAAAAAATATGCCAATAAGTCAGCCCCACTAATGTGAATAAATTATTTCCATGATCCTTTTCTGTAATCACTTCTGTCAAGTAATCACAATGTGCCCTAAAACCTGATAGTTTAAATTAGCAACTTTCATTGAGTGTTGTAGTAATTTCATATTTCCAGTCACAATAGCATGATGTTTTATGCTTGCAGGGCACTCATTTGCTCATCCCTTCATTCATTTAACAGCAGATGTTGTATGCTCATTATGTTCTGGATGGATGTGAATATAAGTAATTGCACTATAGCAGGTTAAGGGAAGATGAGCAGTTTGGACCAGAACCAATGGGAGTACAAAGGAGAGTGTCATCAATTCTGCTTGGTTGAGTCACAGAAAGCTTAACAGAGAAGAACACATAAGAGATTTGTTCTTGAACGATAAAAGTTTTAGTCTATCAAGGGAACAGTAAGAAAGAACATTACAGGCAGAATGAAAGTTTGCGCAAGATACGAAATAATGAAACTTGTCCAAAGAATTATAAATAGGTCCATATACTTGGAAAGCCTTAGAAGCTGCAGACTTTGGTGTCAGAAAAGCTGGATTTGAATACAGCTCCAATATTTACTGCCTTGGTAATTTTGGTCAGGTCGCTTAATCTTCCAACACTTCTATTTTACTCATTTTGAAAATGAGGATAGCAACGGTATTCACCTCAGATTTTTGGGTAAGGATTGAATAACATATGTCATTGTATAGAGTTTTACACTGCTTTTGGCATGTGGAAAATACCATACAATTGCAAGAAGTTGTCATGGTTGAAGCTGTCATCATGGTTGTTGCTGTTAACATAGGAAAAAAGAGGAGATAAAGTTGAAGAGGATTGTGGATGGTCTGCTAAGGCATCTGACACACACATTTTTAAATATTAATTTAAATGTTAATTTCATTAATAACATTTTTCAAAATTGAGTGAAATCCATCCTTAAACCTTACCATCCTTTATAAGTACAAATTAAACTTCTAGTTATATTTCTATATCAACCTTCAATACTTTTACTAATCCCTTCCTTGGCCCACATTCTTTCAATTGGCAATTTACTGTTATGTTTAGCCATGTAATTGTTAAGCATTTTCCCAAGATGCAAAATTAATTTTCATTTTCATCTTCACTTGCAGTCATTTCTGTGAATGAGGAATTAAACTTTTAACTTGACACTTTCATCATAAAAAGTCCTAGACGTCTTTTTGTCAATCTCCATTCTTTTTTCACTATACTCATTTGTTCAAGTGATTATTGGTTAAGAAAACGGAAAAAATACTTTCATCCACATGCTTTAATAGAACTACAAGGCTGACATAATTCTATTAATTTATGGCATATAAATAGAGCTTTCATTATATATTGTCAAAAATCACGTTTTTAAATAAATGTTTTAAATAAATACCTAAAACAAAAATCATGTTTTAAACAAATGTATACAGAATATTTGATTTAAATATCCTGGTTTGAAAATTTTTTAAAAAGCTATTTATGGCAGCTATCAGGAAGACATTTATGCATGAAAATGATTTTGGGTCTGAATAGCATCATGCGAAAGTATACATTTTTTACTGTGTTTCAAAATAGTCATTTCCATAACTCTCACCCATGATATATTTACATTGCCAAATTCCTCCTACTGAACTAGCAAAAAGTAAAAAAAAAAAAAAAATCCTCAGACATAAAGATGTTTAGAGAAAAATATATAATCCAAAGTAGTTACACTTTGCAAGATGAGTATGCAAGAATACTACCTTTAAATTTTGCCCATAGTAAAATCATTTTTAAAAAATTATTTTAAAAATAACATTGTCTTGGGATTAAGAGAAATGAAAACTTAAATATTGAGGAGTGTATAAAGTAGGGACATTTTAGCATACTTACTGAGATATAATTCATGTACCATAAAATTCACCCATTTAAAGTATACTATTAAATGATTTTAGTATATTAACAGAATTATGCAACCACCCCACAATCTAAGTTTAAAACACATCAATCACTCCTACAAAAACCATGTACCAATTACAGACAGTCCTAATACCCTCTCCAGCCCTAGGCACCATTATCTATTTTCTGTCTATGAATTTGCCTGCTCTGAACATTTCATATAAATGGAATCATATAATGTATGGTTTTTCATAATTGGCTTCTTTCACTTAGTGTAATGTTTTCAGGGTTCATTCATTTTGTATCATACTTCAATAATTAATTCCTTTAATTGCTGAATAATATTCTTTGTGTGAATATAGCACAATTTGTTTATCCATTCATCAGTTGATAGATGATATGGTTTGGCTTTAACCCCACCCTAATCTCATCTTGAATTTCAGCTCCCATAATTCCCACATGTTGTGGGAGGGACCCGATGGGAGATAATTGAATCATTGGGGCAGTTTCCCCCATACTGTTCTCACAGTAGTGAATAAGTCTCATTCAATCTGATGTTTGTATAAGGGGTTTCCCCTTTTGCTTGGCTCTGATTCTCTCTTATGTGCCACCACGTAAGATATGCTTTTCACCTTCTACCATGATTTTGAGGCCTCCTCAACCCTGTGGAACAGTGAGTCCATTAAATCTCTTTTTCTTTTTAAATTATCCAGTCTCAGGTATGTCTTTATCAACAGCATGAAAATGGACTAATACAGTAAATTGGTATCAATAGAGTGGGGCATTGCTGAAAAGATACCTGAAAATGTGGAAGCGACTTTGGAACTGGGTAAAAGGCAGAAGTTGGAACAGTTTGGAGGGTTCAGAAGAAGACAGGAAAATGTGGAAAAGTTTTGAACTTCCTAGAGACTTGTTGAGTGGCTTTGACCAAAATGCTGATAGTGAAATGGACAATGAAATCCAGGCTGAGGTGGTCTCAGATGGAGATAAGGAACTTGTTGGGAACTGGAGTAAAGGTGACTCTTACTGTTTTAGCAAAGAGGCTGGCAGCATTTTGCCCCTGCCCTAGATATCTGTGGAACTTTGAACTTGAGGGAGATGATTTAGGATATCTAGCAGAAGAAACTTCTAAGCAGCAAAGCATTCAAGAGACGACCTGGGTGCTGTTAAAAGCTTTCAGTTTCAGAAGGGAAACAGCATTTGCAGCCTGATAATGCAATAGAAAAGAAAAACCTCTTTTCTGAGGAGAAATTCAAGCAAAAATTTGCATAAGTAATGAGGAGCCAAATGGTAATCACCAAGACAATCGGAAAAATGTCTCCAGGGTATTTCAGAGAACTTTCTCGCAGCACTTCCTATCACAGACCCTGAGGCCTAGGAGGAAAATATGGTTTTGTGGGCTGGGTCCAGTGCCCCACTGCTGTGTGCAGCCTAGGGACTTGGTGCCCTGAGTCCCAGCTGCTCTAGCCATGGCAGAAAGGGGCCAAGGTACAGCTTGGGCCACGGCTTCAGAAGGTGCAAGCCCCAAGCCTTGGCAGATTCCCCATGCTATTGATCCTGTGGGTACACAGAAGTCAAGAATTGAGGTTTGGAAACTTTTGCCTAGATTTCAGAGGATGTATGGAAACACCTGGATGTCCACTTAGAAGTTTACTGCAAGGGCAAGGCTCTCATGGAGAACTTCTGCTAGGGCAGTGCAGAAGGGAAATGTGGCATTGAAGCCCCCACACAGAGTCCCCACTTGGGCACTGCCTAGTGGAGCTGTGAGAAGGCCACCCTCCTCTAAATCCTAGAATGGTATATCCGATGACAGCCTGCACTGTGTGCCTGAAAAAGATGCAGACACTTGATGCCAGCCCATGAAAGCAGCCCAGAGGGAGACTGTATCCTGCAAAGTCACAGGGCCAGAGCTGCCCAAGACCGTGAGAACACACCTCTTGCATCAGTGTGACCTGGATGTGAGACATGGAGTCAAAGGAGGTCATTTTGGAGCTTGAAGATTTCAGACTTGCATGGGGCATTTAGCCCCTTCATTTTGGCCAATTTCTTCTGTTCGGAATGGGTGTATTTAACTAATACCTGTATCCCCATCATATCTAGGAAGTAGCTAACTTCCTTTTGATTTTACAGGCTCATAGAATGGACTTGCCTTGTCTCAGATGAGACTTTGGACTATGGACTTTTGAGTTAATGCTGAAATGAGTTAACACTTTGGGGGACTGTTGGGAATGCATGATTGGTTTTGAAATGTGAGGACATGAGATTTGGGTGGGGCCAGGGCAGAATGATATGGTTTGGCTGTGTCCCTACCCAAATCTCATCTTGAATTGTAGCTCCCATAATTCCCACATGTTGTGGGAGGGACCCAGTGGGAGATAATTGAATAATAGGGGTGGTTTTCCCCATAGTATTCTCATGGTAGGGAATAAGTCTCACAAGATCTGATGTTTTTATAAGGGGTTTCCCCTTTTACTTGATGCTGATTCTCTCTTGCATGCCGCCATGTAAGACGTGCTTTTTGCCTTTTGCCATGATTGTGGGGCCTACCCAGCCATGTGGAACTGTGAGTCCATTAAACCTCTTTTTCTTTATAAAATACACAGTAGTAGGTACGTCTTTATCAGCAGCGTGAAAACAGACCAACACAAGGAACAGTTGAGTTGTTCTGATATTTTGCTTATGATAAATGATGCCATTATTAACACTTAGATACAAATTTTGTATGGATATATGTTTTAATTTAGCTTGGTATATACATAAGAGAAGCATTGTCATAAATTAAACCCTATGCTTAACCTTTTGAGAAATTGCCAATCTGTTTTCCAAACCACTGTACCATTTTACATCCCCACCTGCAATGTGTGAAGATTTCAGCTTATTAATATTTTATTAATAAAAACTATCAGTGTCAGCTGGAATAAAGTATATCTCATCAGGACAAGTTTTTTTGTAAGAATTCATTCCCTTGTATTTTTTACATTTTCTACAAGGCTTACTGACTTTGTGATGTGAAGTTGTTGCCATTCACCTACTTCTAACAAACAGTCTGTCTTTGCTTATAGCTATCCTAGTGGATGTAAGGTGGTATTTCACTGGGGTTTTAATTTTTTATTCATCACTTTCCCTTAGAATACATTTTGTTTTTTGATGGGCCAGTAGATATATCATCTTTTATTCCTGATTTTAGTTATTTGAATCTCTTATTTTGTGGCTCTAAATTGACCAATGATAATAGTTTTCAATACTGTTGGTCTTTTCAGGTAATCAACTTTGATTTTGTTGATTTTCTCTGTTATTTTTCTATTCACTATTGATTTATTTTTCCTCTAATATTTATTATTTTTTCCTTCCATTTTTCTGTGTTAGGCTTGGTCTTTCCTGTTTGTTTTTTAATGTGGAACGTTAGGTTATTGATTTGAAATTCTTTTTTTTAACATAGATGTTTACAGCAATAAATTTCCCTCTGATTACTGCTTTTGTGCATCCCATGAGTTTTTGTGTATTGTGTTTGTTTGTTTCTTTTATCTCAAGGTGCTTTTTAATTTCCCTGGTGATTTCTTCTTTGAACAAGAAATTGTTATGTAAGAATATGTTGCTTAATTTCCATATATTTCTGAATTTGCCAAATTTGCTTCTGCTATTGACTTTTTATTTTATTCCAATGTAGTTAGAGGACAAATTTTGTATTATTTCAATCTTTTTAAGTTTAATGACATTCATTTTATGGCCTGAGTGGTCAACAGCCAGTAGAAAACTTATATATATGCAATCCACGTTTTAAAGAAATAGCCTATTTTATAATTTAAATCAATGTAGTTATACTATTTGTAACATCATAAAGTCCTATTCTTGCCTTTGATAACTTTGAATCCATTAACGCTTGTATACATAAATTGTGACTTAAATGCATAAATACCTATCCTTTCTAAATATGTTTATTTTCATTTTATTTTATCCTTTTGATTAACAAATAATAATTGTACATATTTATGGGGTACATAGTAAAGTTTCAATATATTCAATGTATGGTGATCTGATCAGGGTAATCAGCATATCCATCATGTCAAGAATTTATCATTTCTTAGTGTTGGGAGTATTCAATGTCTTCCTTCTAGCTATTTGAAACTACATTAAATAATAGTCTTGACCACAGTCATCCTGAACTGGTATGTAACCCTACAGCTTATTCCTCTTACCAAGCTATAGTTTTGCATTCTTTAACAAATCTCTTCCTATGCCTCTCTTCCCCTGCCCTTTTCAACCTCTAATATTCTCTGTTCTACTTTTTATTTTCATGAGATCAACCTTTTTTAGCTTCCACATGAGTGAGAAGATGCAGTGTTTAACTCTGTGCCTGTCTCATTTCACAGATATATATACACACACATACATATATGTATACACACACATACATATATACACATATATGTATACACACACATATATGTATACACACACATATGTATACACACATACACACATGTATACACACATACACATACATGTATACACATACACATACATGTATACACATACATACATATGTATACACGCATACACACATATGTATACACACATACATGTATACACATACACACATACATGTATACACATACATACATATGTATACACGCATACACACACGCACACACATGTATACACACGCATACACATGTATACACACACGCATACACATACATGTATACACACACGCATACACACATATATATGTATACACACACGCATACACACATATATATGTATACACACACGCATATACACATATATATGTATACACACACGCATATACACATATATATGTATACACACACGCATATACACATATATATGTATACACACACGCATATACACATATATATGTATACACACACGCATATACACATATATATGTATACACACACATACACATATATATGTATACACACACATACACATATATATGTATACACACACATACACATATATATGTATACACACACATACACATATATATGTATACACACACATACACATATATATGTATACACACATACACATATATACATATATATGTATACACACATACATATATACATATATATGTATACACACATACATATATACATATATATGTATACACACATACATATATACATATATATGTATACACACATACATATATACATATATATGTATACACACATACATATATACATATATATGTATACACACATACATATATACATATATATATGTATACACACATACATATATACATATATATGTATACACACATACATATATACATATATATGTATACACACATACATATATACATATATATGTATACACACATACATGTATACATATATATGTATACACACATACATGTATACATATATATGTATACACACATACATGTATACATATATATGTATACACACATACATGTATACATATATATGTATACACACATACATGTATACATATATATGTATACACACACACATACATACATATATATATGTATACACACACACATATACACACAGAGTTGTTGTCACTGAAGAGTTTTCTAGAGGAGAGATGATAATAAATTTCCAACAGTCACCGAGAAGAATAAATGCAAGGATCTTTACTACTATTTATTAGAAGGCTAGATCCTATTGAGTAGGAAATTGGATTCTCTTCTAGCCCTCTCATACTCTCCCAGGTAAATTCTTAAAGAGGAAAGGGGTGGAGGATCACTGGGTACGTTTACTTGATAGGAGTGTTTTCTCAGTGTTAGGTGCTTCTCATAATCATGGGATGCCTGGTAGCCGCCCCTACAGATTCTGATAGAACTGGCTTGGAGCTTGGACTGGGAATCTTATAAGGTCTCTTGTTAATTCAGGTACAGCCTAGATTGATAACCACTGTGCTATAAGAAATTATACAGCTAGACATATATATAGACACTTTTCCTTTAGATACACACACACACACACACACACACACACACACACCCCAGTGAAAGTTCCAGAATTCTTCTACTGGAAATGTCTTAGAGATGGCTATTCTGGTTGGAAGGCAGTCTGGAGATATATCTGGAAGCTGCAATTTTTCAGCAAGAATATTCTTTACTTATATTTTATTTGGAATGGCTGTTAATGGTGGGGCAGGTGATGGCCCCAAAACCCAAAAGGCTTTCTTGGCACCTTTGCTGGTGAACACAAAGACTGAACTCTGGAATGTATCATTCTCTCAACATCTGTCATCTGTCCCTGACAATAAACAGACCAAAGCCTTCATTAGTTCTGGTTTGGAAATTTTGTACAGCTGTATAATATTGTTACACTATTACTTCTTATACTGTTGAGTAATAGTATTTTGTTTTCAAGGTGTTAGATTTGTGTAGCTTTAACCATTTTCTTCTAACTTTCACATCTCAGTTTACAAATCAAACTTGTATTCGGTCTCTGTTGAAATTAGTGAAAAGTTTAAGAATTAAGGCATCAGATAAACTATGTTTAAATCTGGAATAGCTTCCTAATTAGCTGTGTATCTTTGGAAAGTTATACAACTTATTCAAAAGTCATGGTAATATTCTTAACCTTACTATATAGCCATTGATAAAATCTTAAGAAAATGCATAGATGAGAGCATTTTTGTGGCCTATAAAACTCTATATAAATGTAATATATTTTATTATAAACTCTGTCATCAGCAATGGTCTTACTTTCAAAAGTAACAGGTAGTAACAGCATTCTATAATTTGAGAGGTGTTTTTGGAAGAGTGCTCCAAACCACCCCACTCCTGTCAAAAACAAACAATTTTGCTTTTCAGCTTGAACTCATGGTCAAAATCCCATTAAGAGAAGCCATTACTCAGTTATACATATATATATCCCCAGAGAGATGACAGATATTCACTGACAGTGCTATTTTGAGGTTAAAAGCATGGATGCCGGGACAACGTTGCCTGGATTTGGATCCCAGCTCTGTCATTCACTGACTTTAAGAACTGAAGTGAATTTGTCAACCTTTTTGTGCCTTAATTTATTTCTCTGTGTCTGAAATGGTGATAATTATAGTATCTGTGTCATAGAGTTGCTATGATGTTTAAATGTATTAATAAACACTAGGAATTTAGAACAGAGGCTGGCACATCATTGACATTAAATAAATGTTGTAACTATTTGTTATTGTTGTTATCATTATTATTCTTTCGCCCATCTGCCTTACATTAGCTGTTTCTTACCCACCAGCTGCTACCCATCTGAGATAGCCAGCTCTCTCACTGTTATTACCATCAAATATCACTACTTTCAGAAAGCCTTCCTTGATTTCTTACCTCCTTCCTTCTGGAGTAAATACATGAGAAGAGTAGAACTATAGAAGAGAGATGGAAGGGAACAAAGGAAATTTTTTTCTTTGTAACTTTACTTAAGATTTGCCCTACCTATAGAAAATGCCTCAGAAAAACACAATGAATTCCTTTCCTTTGCCTACTCCCCTCCCAATGTGACACTGAGATAGAGTAGAGATGGGACAGAGTAGAAATAGGAAGGACGCCATACCTGCAGATTTCAGGGCCTTGAAGAAACTAAAATAAGAAGCATCACACTTTAACTCTGACTCAAGGGAGTTAGTTAATTCTATCACCTGCATGCACACAAGACTAGGAGGATGACCAATCTTTACACTTTGCCTCATTTCAATATGAAAATCCATGCCCAGGAAAGGGGTATCTGCCATTTTCTGATTACGGGATGTATGTTTTTGCATGATCTCTTACTATGCCTGTGCATCAGCACTCCACCTCACACATATAATGATTCTTCTTAACTCATGAGTTTTTCATGTCACCCTCCTCAAAACACAACAAGAACCTTTGCTCAGGGAACCAGCTGCAGAACGCATCCTCTGGGCTGTCTCCATTTTGCCCAATCTGTCCAGGCATAAGTCTTAATAAACCCTAGCTGGGAAAAGTTTGCCTGGCCTCCTCTCAGTTTATATTGCATGGGAACCTAAGAACCTGTGGTCGGTAACAACACCAAAAGTAGAATGTGAAGAATTATTTTCATCCACAAAATCCTCTCTCCTGCCCGTTGGTTGACTCAAAGCAAAACTTTACTGGACAAAGTTAAATTGATAAAGAAGACTTTATTTCAAGCTACTGCAATAGAGGAGAGAAGCCAGAAGTCAGGCTGTGGTTAACTCTGATAACAAACAAAAGGTGGAAGGGTTTTTAAGTGCTAGTTCAGTAGCTAGTAAAAGTACTGGAAGAAAGACTTTAGTGTGGAGGTTGATGAATGGGATCTGTTGAGCACACGAAGCTTTTCCTGAGTTTACAAATGTTTTTCTCTGTGATTAGGCCATCTGTGTTTGCTAATTGACCCCAAATGAACAGAGCCCTGGAGGTAAGAGGAGTGCTTTCTTCCTTAATGATTACATTTCAAAGACATGGCTCCCAGGTCCTTGAGAAAGACATTCCTGGGTTGGAAAACTAGCAAGAGGCTTTTTAAAAATGTACATATGCAGCTGACCCTTGAACAACACAGGTTCAAAACTGCATGGGTCCACTTATACACAGATTTTTTTTTTCAATAAATATAGCAAATATTTTTGGAGATTTGCAACGATTTGAAACTCACTGATTAACCATGTAGCCTAGAAATATCAAAAACAGATTTGTCATAACTGCATAAAATATACATAGATACTAGTCTATTTTTATTATTTAATACCATAAAATATACATAAATCCCTTATAATAAGTTAAAATTTATCAAAACTTACTTACACACACAGATTGTACTTGGTGCCATTCACAGTGGGGAGAAATATAAGCAAATGTAAACGTGCAGTGTTGAATCACAAATGCATAAAATTAACTGAGTGCATACTGTACCACTGCAATAATTTCATAGCCACCTCCTGTTGCTATTGCAGTAAGCTGAAGTGTTGTATCTGCTTAAAATCCTGTGTGACACTTATCATCTCCATGTAAGCAGTTCAACTCTCCAGTAAATTGTGTACCACAAACAGTAATATCTCTTGGTTCTTGCGTCTTTTCATCATGCTAAGTGTAATACTGTAAGCCATAAATAATACCATGGGAGCCAACAAAGTGCCGCTAATGACGTTGGAAGTGCTCCCAAGAAGCAGAGAAAAGCCGCGGCATTACAATAAAAAGTTGAACTGCTTAATATGTACCATAGATTGAGATCTGCAGCAGCAGTTGCCCATGATTTCAGATGGACAATTTATTTCGTAAACAGATGATGTAAATTTACAGTGTTGATAAATACAGCACAATACTGTAAATGGATTTTCTCTTCCTTATGATTTTTTAATAACATTTCTTTTCTCTAGCTAGCCTCATTGTAAAAACACAGTATATAATACATGTATCATATAAAATATGTGTTAATTGACTATTTGTGTTATCAGTAAGCCTTCTGGTTAATGTAGGCTATCAGTAGTTAAGTTTCGAGGTAGTCAAATGTTATATATAGATTTTTTTTACTGCACAAGGGTCAGCACTTCTATCTCCTGCATTGTTCAAGGCTCAACTGTATCTCAAAGAGATAGAGAAAGAATTTGTAACTACACATTTTTCTAGGGTAAATGCTCTAAGAAAAGGCCAGGGGCCTGTCTAAAGTTTGATGCAGCTGAGAGAAACAACAAGGTTCTCTTGGTCAGTTGCTATTATCATCTCTGCCCCAAGTAATGACTACAAAAGAATGAAAATACTGACATTACCAAATTCTTTTGAGTGATCTGCATTTTATTCTCTACCTCAGCATGTCTTACTATGTTGAGATTTCAAGATTTTCGTTCTATTCAAATGTTGATTATTTTTCAAAGTTCTAGAACAGAGGCATTACCAAGTATAGCAATTAACTGAAATATAAGATCATTAACTTACAATAGTAATATGAAAATAATAATATAACAAGCTTAGGTATGTGTGTGTTTGCATGCATGGGTACAGATACATGTGTGTGTATATAACAATTTACCTTTGGAAGAAAAAAATGTTGGTAAAAAGAAATTAATCGTAGTGAATTTTTGTCAGTTTATTCTATTAACATATTGTTAATATTAATTAAATCAAGCAAGGAATGACTCCTTATATTATGGACAAATTTTTTTAAAGTGGGTTTGGGCTTACCAAACATATAAATTAATGCCTCATTGTCACCTGAGAGACTGTTTCTTTTTTATGTTCAAAACAAGAAAACTAGGATGTTTGTTCACATGTTTCATCTCTGTCAAATAAGGTAATAAATCAACAGAAATTCATGCAGTATGAATTTGTAAAACTCAGCTAAATCTCTCTAGACTTTTGTCAAGTTATAAAGAAGCCACCTGCATCAAGTTCACAACCCAATGGCAATTGAGGATTGAGTCAGCTTTTAATATAAAGCTTTTGAAAATCTAGAAAACAGCATTAATTAATTCTATTTATAGAGAAATTGTTTGCAGGGTGACTTTTTTTTTTTGAAAGCATACATTGAATTCATTCAAATGATATATTACCAGTAAGTCTAAGTATCACTAATTTTCTCTGCCCTGAAAGTAAAAGGCAGCCATATTAACTTTAAAATAGTCAATAAGATGCAAAGTTACTGAGGTTAAAATATTGACCTTGCAAACTCATGTGAAATCTGAATGAAGGGATACTTGTGTAATTTAAGTAAAATATATACGTATATATATATATATATATATATATATATATATAGAGAGAGAGAGAGAGAGAGAGAGAGAGAGAGAGAGTTGTATTAGTCAGCTTTCACACTGCTAATAAAGACTTACCCAAGACTGGGTAATTCATAAAGGAAAAAGGTTTAATGAACTCACAGTTCCACATGGCTGGGGAGGCCTCACAATCATGGCAGAAGATGAAGGAAGAGCAAAGGAATGTCTTATATGGTGGCAGGCAAGAGAGAAGTGCCAAGTAAAAGGGGGAAAACCCCTAATGAAACCATCAGATCTTGTGAGAACTCACTCACTATCATGAGAACAGAAGGAAGGGTGGGGGTAACCACCCCCATGATTCAATTACCTCTCACTGGGTCCCTCCCAGGACGTGTGGGGATTATGGGAACTACAATTCAAGATGAGATTCAGGTGGGAACACAGCCATATCATTCCATCCCTGGTCCCTCCCAAATCTCACGTCCTCACATTTCAACATGTAATCATGCCTTTCCAAATATGTGGAAAGAAATTGGCCAAAATAAAGGGGTTACAGGCCCCATGCAAGTCCAAAATCCAACAAGGCAGTCAAAACTTAAAGCTCCAAAATGATCTCCTTTGATTCCATGTCTCACATTCAGGTCACAGTGATGCAAGGGGTAGGCTCCCACAACCTTGGGCAGCTCTGCCCCTGTGGCTTTGCAGGGTACAGCCCCTCTCCCAGCTGCTTTCATGGTCTGGTGTTGAATACCTGTAGCTTTTCCAGGTGTGTGGTGCAAGCTGTCTGTGGCTCTACCATTCTGGTGTCTGGAGGATGGTGGCCCTCTTCTCACAGCTCCACTAGTCAGTGCCCAGTAGGGACTCTGTGTGAGGGCTTCAACCCCACATTTCCCTTCTGCACTGCCCTAGCACAGGTTCTCCATGAGGGCCCCACCCCTAAAGCAAACTTCTGCCTAGTCATACAGGTGTTTCCATACATCCTCTGAAATCTAGGCAGAGGTTTCTGAGCCTCAATTCTTGACATATGTGCACCTGCAGCCTCAACCACATGGAAACTGCCAAAGCTTGGGACTCGTACCCTTAGAAACTATGGCCCAAGCTGTACCTTGGCCTGGTTTTAGCCACAGCTAGAGCAGCTAGGACACAGGGCACCAAGTCCCGAGACTGCACACAGCAGGGGGTGCCTCAGATCTGGCCCAGGAAACCATTTTTCCTTCCTAGGCCTTTGGGCTTGGGATGGGAAGGGCTCCCACGAATGTCTCTTACATGACCTGGAGACATTTTCCCCATTGTCTTGGAGATTCACATTTGGCTCCTCGTTACTTATGCAAATTTCTGCAGCTGGCTTGTATTTCTCCTCAGAAAATGGGTTTTTCTTTTCTACTCCATAATCAGGCTGCAAATTTTTCAAATTTTTATGCTCTGCTTCCTCTTGGACACTTTGCCACTTAGAAATTTCTTATGCCAAATACCTAAATAATCTCTCTCACATTCAAAGTTCCACAAATCTCTAGGGCAGGGGCAAAATGCTACCAGTCTTTTTGCATAGCAAGAGTGACCTTTACACCAGTTCCCAACAAGTTCCTCATCTCCATCTGAGACCAACTCAGCCTGGACTTTATTGTCCGTATCACTATCAGCATTTTGGCCAAAGCCATTCAACAAGTCTCTAGCAAGTTCCAAACTTTCCCACATTTTCCAGTCTTCTTCTGAGCTCTCCAAACTGTTCCAGCCTCTGCCTGTTGCCTAAACTACTGATTTTTAGAGAACTAGCCCAAACTAAGATCCATTTGACTTGTAATATTTTTGTATCTAAATGCCTGGTATAATATACCTGTAAACTTTATCCTTATCCAAATAGGACTGAGAAAAAAATACTTATTGTCCTCAGGGATGAAACAGAAATAAAATATTATCAACACAATTTCTCTCTGTTAGTTTAAACATGTCAGGAAATATAATATCTTTCTGTAGTGTACAAACCTTGTTAATTACTTATATTATCTTGTTATCCAGGTTTCACAACAGATAGTAGATAAATTATAATTGGCACATCCCTAAAGACTGCAGATGAAGAATAAATACACTAGAAAAAATATATCTCCACTGATTACCTTCAAAATCCTTAATAAATGTTGTTAAGAAGTGATTTAAAAACCTTTTATCTGACAGTAATGAATCATTTGTCAATTGTTACTGTGAAGTGATGATAGTTATTGCACAGCAAAGTGTTTAGCAACCAATGCTGATGTTTTGGAGCTATTTATACTTTGGCAAACATTGGAGATAAGGACTGGGAATTGGCACCAAAACGGAACTCTCAGCTACTTCAGGAGAAAGCTATTTTATTCTGAAATTTTTCATTGAGCAGCACAACCCAACAGTAACTATTGGAAGCCAGAAACTCTGTGTTAACATTCAGATCTAAAAATCGAAGACCTGGGTCAATTCCTGCTGCTTTCTTTTCAGGAACCACAACAAAGTAAAATAAGCTACAGAAATATACTAAGATACTTACCTTTGAAGCCATTTTTCATTTCAAGCAATATTTTATTTATTTTGCAAATACTGATACGTGAACCTGTAAGATCATAAATAAAGTTTGTTTTAAAAGTATGAAGATATTCAAAGTTTGTCCTTCGATAAGGAAGTAGTTATTATTTCTTTTATGTGTAGAAATTTATGACAGGGAAAATTGATATAGATTCCTTTGCATTGTGTTCATGTAATATTTCTTTATTTTATATATGTATATTATAATTTTAATTTTATTAATTTATTTCTCACATCTCAGAACAATCTTATCTCACAGTTAACAGCTTTTTTTCCTGTGAGATGAGACTAACAGATTTTTAAATTTTAAATTTTGTGTTTTTGTTTTTGTACATCCCAAAACACAACTTAACCCCATAGATCAAAAGATTAACACATATATAATATGTATGGGTACATTCAGACCTTCCAACAAAATAGGTAATACCAATATCAAACAGAATATAAGACGTTTTATTTCTAAACTGAGTCAAAATAGCAACATTTTAAAGTGGTTTAGGTAAAATGACAAAGCCAAACTCAACCAACACCTGTGTAAGCATTTCATTTCAACTATGGATTCCAATAGACTAGTGGTAGAAAAATATTTCAACAAATATTCAACATTTCACCTGACTTTTAAACACTAAAATTTTTAAGAAATATGGCAGTTGTTTCTCATGGCCAAAAATTATAGTAGAAAAAAATAGAAAACAAAATTCTAGGTAAAATGTTAACCCTTTGAGAATTCTCCAAGTCAAACAGACTTGTATTCCATTGTCTAAATAATTCACCTTTAGTAGCCTCAGGGGTAAAAAAAAAAAAAAAATAAAGACTGTCTTTGATATATACATGTCACCCAGAGGCAGAATCTCAGAATGTACAAAAGTTATTTCGCTCAATAATAAAAAATGGAAAACTTCCCAAATGATGTTATAAAGCTAACATGGCTTTGATATCCAAACTTGGCAAATACTGTACAAGAAAAAAAAAAACAAAAAACTGAAGCAATTTCATTAGTAAATACAGATACAAGTGCCAAATAAAATATCATGCAAATCAAATCTGACATTTTATTAAATAGATAACATACCAGAACAAATATGTGGTTTGAAAAGATAGAGAGATGCCTCAAAATTAGGAAATCAATTCAGAAAACATATGTTATCAATAGGTTAAAATTTCCAAAAACACACAATTATCTTAATAAATGTTAATAAATAAATAAATCGTGAAAGTTTAATATCAGCCCTGATTTTAAATTCTTAATAAAATAGAGAAGGAAGTTTCCTTACAATGATTATGAAATATATCTGGCCAAAATCCAATAGTAGTCTTTACAAAGAAATGTTAAAGAAATTATAATAAATGGAATAAGGCAAGATTGCCAAGCAGTAACACTCTTTTTAAAATTTTTCTAGCCAAAGCAATAAATAAAAAGAGGGAGGTATAATAGAAGATATAACTGTCTGAAAAGAAGGCAAAACTTTCATTATCTGTAAATGATACTATTATCAACCTAAAAATGATTATCAACCCCCAAAATGATTGAATAATCAATTAAACTTATAAGTGTTTTCTATGTTTAGATTTTGAAAGAATATATATAAATCAGCTCTTCCATAAACCTCAAATAGCTCATTGAATTAATCACAAAGTAATAATAATGTCAAAATGACTTCACATATAAAATTATTTGCAATACTTTTAATAAGAAATATAAAATAACTTTAATAAGAAATATGAAAGAAAACTTTACTTAGTAATATAAGAAAAATAACAGATAAAGATGCATTATTCCTGAATGGAAGTATACAATATTTTAAGGATTATAATTCTCATCAAAATAACTTATAGAGAATTTTAAAAGTACTTCATTAAACAAAACTAAAACTTATTATACATATATACACACAAATATATATATACATATATATGTTTACATATACATGTACCAGAATGAACAGAATATTTTTGAAACAGAAAACTGATGTTGGCTTCTGTATTTCAAATTACTAAAAGCACATTTTAAACACCAACAAGAAAAAAAAAATGCCTGTCATCTACTACTGTCCAACATTCTATTGTCCCTCCTAGCCACGGCAAGAGGATAAGGGAAAAAAAGTGAGAAATAAACATTGGAAATAAAGAATCAAATATTTCACTGTTTGCATGTGTCATGATTGTTTTGCTATGAAATCCAAGACAATCATCTGAAAAACTATTACAACTGTTAGAATATTAGCAAGACACAAAAATGACAGAAAACCTGTAATAGTTTTCTATACACACAAAAATCAACGTATGTAATGAGAAAAAAATTCACAACAGCAATAAATACCCACAAATAATGAAAAATAGTACTTTCAAGAAAAGAGAAAATAGTAATACAGATTGAGTCCTTTCTGCCTAGAAAAAAAATGTATCATAAAAGTCCAGTAAATAAAGGAGCATTGTGTTAGCTCAGAATGAATAAATAGATAAATGAAATAAAAGAGAGATTCCAGAATAAATTATGTATATAGGAGAATACGTGAGCAGTGGCAAAGCCAAACAGGTCTGCGGAAACCTCAATTCTTGCGTCCTCAGAGGAAAAAAATCGACTGAGGAGCATAAGGCAGAAGGAGACCGAGGGAAGTTTTAGAGCAAGTTTATTAAAAAGCTTTAGAGCAGTAATGAAAGGAAGAAAAATAAAAATACACTTGGAAGAGGGCCAAGCAGGCGACTTCAGAGATCAAGTACACAGTGTGACCTTTTGACTTGGGGTTTCACACAGTGGCATACTTCTGGGGTCTTGCATCACTTCTCCCAACTCCTGAGATCTTACTGGGGAGCTGCAGATCACCAGTTTCAGTTTTTTCCTATGTGTTTATTAGGAGACTGCCTTTTCCTAGCACTGGCTGTGACCAGTTACTTTAGAGACAGTTAACAACCACCTGACCATCACTTGATGGTTGCTGGACTCTCCTGGTGTGTGGGTGGGGGGAAGGAGCTCTCTGCTGCCCTGCTTATACCTGACTAGCTACCTACTGTAACAAATATAGTATACAACAAAGGTGAAATTTCAAGTCAATATGAGAAAATGGAGTTTTTAATAAACAGTGTTGGAGCATTTGGAAATCCATATGGAAAAATTAAATCAGAGCTTTACTTCACATCATGCACTCATGTAAATTATAGCTGAATCAAAATTTCCAATGTAAAATTATACAAAATACTGGAAAACTTATAGAAAAATATCTGTATAACGTTATAGAAGGAAAGATATGAAGCCTAAGAATAACCAAAAAATTGGATGGATTCTACTACATATTTTAAACAACTGTGTAATAAAATGGACCATTAATAAAGTTAAAAGACAAGTAATATTCTAGATCAGGTTGAAAATGGTGGCCCATGGACTGCCTGCTAGTTTTTGTGAATAAAATTTTACTGGTGCACACTCATACTCAATCATTTACATATTGTCTGTGGTTGCTTTTATACTCTGGGGAAGGCTGGACTATTGTGACAGACTCCATATGGCCAGCAAACTCTCAAATAACTTGCCAACCCTTGCTCTAGGAGAAAATATTTGCAACTTACATAATAGATAAAAGATTAATCTTCAAAATGGTCACCAGAATAAGATGTCGATCATGCCCGAGTCTACCACTCACAACACCAAAAGAAAATACTGCTTCGAAAGAGTCTCAGTAATGTCTCAGAAGTTGGTAGTGAAGAGTGGATATTAACAGCGTTTTGAAGTCTCGGTTCTAGTGCATAAAGGCAAGTCTTTCAATAATGAAATCTGGTTGAAATTTAAAAAATATACTACTAATAAAAATGTTATTAAAGTATAACTGTCACGTGATAAACTACATATATTTAAATATATAATTTGATGTTTAGACATATATATAAAACCCATGAAACTGTCCTCACAATCAAATAATGAACAGGTCAATCACCCCCAGAAGATTACTGATGGCCCTCCCTGCAACACTCTCTTTCCCCAGTCAACCACAATGGATGTTTCTATATTAATTTAGATCTACTGTGTTTTCTCATAGCAATGTTTTATAGCTTTCCATGTACATGTCTTGCACATCTTTTGTCAGATTTATCTCAAAGTATTTTGTAACTTTGATGTTGTGGGAAAACATGTTATTTATTTAATTATAATTTCCAATTGTTCATTAGTAGTATATAGAAATATAATTAACTTTTCTACATTGATCTTGTACTCTAAAATCTTGCTAAAATTATGTATTAGTTCTAGCAGCTTTTTTTTAAATTTCATTAGGTTTTTTGGATACATGTGATCATGTCATCAGTAAATAAAGATCATATAATTTCTTCCTTTTCAAGGTGAACGCTTTTCTTTTTCTTGCCTATTCACTGCCTAGAAACTCCAGTGTAATGTTGAATACAAGTGATATAAATGGATATCCTTATTTTATTCCTGATCTTATGGGAAAAGTATTCAGTCTTTCATCATTAGGTATGATGTCAGCTGTAGGTCTTTTGTAGATGCCCTTTATCACATTACAAACACCCTTCTACTCTTAATTGGCTTAGAGTTTTTCATCAGGAATAGATGTTGGATTTTATCAGATTCATTTTTTCAGTGTCTATTCAGATGATCAAATGCTATATATAATACTTAAAAGAGCAATCCTGTTTTTCAGAAAGTCACTCTATTGATGATGATTTTTACAGAAGTGATAAAATGTAGATTTTTATATATCTCAGTAACCAAAGCTCTATATTAAGTTCACACAGCTTAACTATGTCCTATTTTTGTTCAAAGTCTAAAACACAGGAAGCATACACTATAAATTATTTTCACTCTTCATCTTACTTGAATCATTCCTTTCAAATAACATTTCTAAACATGTTGAAGAGAGAGGGAAAGAGAATGAGAGAGGAAAAGAGAGAGAGGTAGATAAAGTGGGAGAGGGAAGGAAAAAGGGAGATGAGTTAGATTAAAAACAATCTAATGAAATATAAGCAATGCACAGAAAAAAATAAAATGTCTAATTAACATATGAAAATGGACCCTATATGATTAAAATTTACCTTTCAGAATATTACTTTTCATTAGTATTTACCTGTGGAACCTGTATATAAATTTTGTATTATGTTCTATTAATCTACTCGGTCTCAGGCCAACATTGAAGTACTGTATTTGTTTTATCTTTAAAAAAAGTTTATGTTAATACAAAATAAAATAAATCCCTGGCCAGGCGTGATGGCTTACGCCTGTAATCCCAGCACTTTGGGAGGCTGAGGTGGGCAGATCACCTGAGGTCAGGAGTTCAAGACCAGCCTGGCCAACATGGTGAAACCCTTTCTCTACAAAAAATACAAAAATTAGCTGGCCATGGTGGCGGGCGCCTGTAATCCCAGCTACTCGGGAGGCTGCAGTGAGAGAATCACTTGAACCTGGAAGACAGAGGTTGCAGTGAGCCAAGATAGCACCACTGGACTCCAGCCTGGGCAACAAGAATGAAACTCCATCTCAGAAAAATAATAAAATAAAATAAAATAAATCCCCTTTCATTATTCCTCCTTTAGGAAAGTCTTGTATTTTTGCTCGTTTATTTTTCTAAAAAAGCTTTTAAATGTTTAACTAATTATGCATTTTGCTATATTTTAATTTTGAAAATTTCACAAAGTCTGTGACATCCAATCACATGTTTATTATTCCTGGCAGTGTGGGAATTAAGTACCTATTGCTGGTGAATTAGATATCTAATCCCATTAGTCACTGTTATTCAGTAAGTACTTCCCTGGTTTCTAGCTTAATTTTAAAATGTTGAAAATGTTCAATGATTTCTATTGGTACTGATTTTCAGCTTGAGCAGAAGAGACAAAGAAATCCATTGAGCAAGCAAAACAGCACACCTGCAACCTAAACAAAAATTCATTTTGGCAAGAGAATTCAAGAAAATATTCAACTGTGAGAAATGTATAAAACAAAACCCAAGTTAATTATACAAGTCATTCATAACTTACACATCTAATATATCTTAAATGTTAAATAAATGCAAAAGGAAAAAAATTAACATGGAGACTTACATGAAGACTCTTTGAACATTTGAACGAGTTTTGGAGATGCATGTAATCACGGACCTATTCATTTTCAATGATTTCATATTCTCTTGCCCTTGGCGGCCTCTAGAACCAACTGTGTTTCAGTTTTATATATGTTAATCAAATGATTTCTGAATCTACACATCTTTTATCTTATATTTCCTTGTATCTGTAGACCTTAGTCTGCATTTATATATGCATAGTATGCATAGTCTGAATGCAGGAAATTTAGCATTACCCTGATACCAAAACGAGACAGTTACACAACACCAACAAAAAAGAGATTATAGGCCAATCTTCATGATAAACATCAATGCAAAATTACTCAACAAAATACTAACAAATCAAAGTTAACAACAAATTAAAAAGATTGTTTACCATATTCAAGTGGAATTCATACCAGAGATGAAAAGATGTTTCAACATTATCAAATCAAGAAATGTGATATATCACCTTAACAGGATCAAGGACCAAAAAACAGGATCACGTCAATAGGCACAGAAAAAACATTTGATAAATTTCAACATGCCTTCATGATAACAACTCTCAACAAACTAGGTATAGAAGAAACATACATCAACACAGTAAAGGTCATATATGATAAACCCACAGCTAACATCATATTGAATGGCAAACAGTTGAAAGCTTTTCTCTAAGAACTGGAATGAGACAAGGATTTCCACTCTTACCACTTCTATTCAACATGGTACTAGAAGTCTTTGCCAGAGCAATTAAACAAGGGAAAGAAATAAAGTACATCCAAATAGGAAGAGGAGAAGTCAAATTATCCCTCTTTGCAGAAAATATGATCTTATAGCTAGAAAACTCTAAAGACTCTACCAAAAGAATTGTTAGAACTAATAAACAAATTCAATAAAGGTGTAGGGTACAAAATCAACATACAAAAATTAGTAGTGTTTCTTTACACCAATAGTGAACAATCTAAAAAAGAAATCAAGAAATGAACCCCATTTACAATAGCTACAAAAATGAAGAGTCCTAGGAATAAATTTAAGCAAGGAAATAAAAGATATCTACAATGAAAACTATAAAATGTTAGTGAAAGGAATTGAAGACACACACAAAAATGGAAAGATATCCAGTGTTCATGAGTTGGAGGAATTAACATTCTTAAAATGTTTCTACTACCAAAAGCAATCTACAGGTTAATTGTAACCCCTATTAAAATACCAGTGACTTTCTTCACAGAAATAGAAAAAATAATTCTAAATGCGTAAGAAACAAAAAAGATCCCAAAGAGCCAACATATTACCTGACTTCAAAATAAACTACAAAGATACAGTAACCAAAATAGCACAATACTGTCATAAAAATAGACACATAGACCAATGGAACAGAATAGAGAACCCAGAAATAAGTCCATGCACTTACATTCAACTGATTTTTGACAAAGGTGATAAGAACACAAATTAAGGAAAGGACAGCCTCTGTAATACATGGTACTGAGATAACTGGATACACACAGGCAGAAAATTCAAGCTATACCCTTATCTCTTACTATACAAAAATCAACCAAAAATGGATTAAAGACTTACAAGTAACACTTGCAAGGATAAAACTACTAGAAGAAAACATAAGGGAAATGTTTCCTGGCATTGGTATGGGCAAGGATTTTTTTTGATATGACCTCAAAAGTACAGGCAAAAAAAGCAAAAACAGATAAATGGGGCTACCTCAAACTACAAAGCTCAGCACAACAAAGGAAACCATCAATAGAGTGAAGAAACAACCTACAGAATGGAAGAAAGTATTTGTAAACTATGCATCTGATACAGGTTTATTATTCAGAACACATAAAGAACTCAAACAACTTAATAGCAAATCATCATCATCATCAACTGATTTAAAATGGGCAAAAGACCTTATAGACATTTCTCAAAAGGAGACATAGAAATGTCCAACAGGTATATGAAAAAATGCTCAACATCACTAACCATCAGGGAAATGCAAATTGAAACCACAATGAGATATCACCTCACATTTGTTAGGATGCTGATTATCAAAAAGACAGAGATAGCAAGTACTTGTGAGAGTGTGGAGGAAAAGGGAACTTTGTATTTCATTGGTGGGAGGACACGTTGGTACAGCTGTCATGGAAAACAGTAGGAGATTCCTCAAAAAATTTAAAAAATAAAACTATGATATGATCCAGTAATCCCACTACTGGGTATATATGCAAAGGATATAAAATCAGTATGTCAAAGAGATATCTGTACTCCCACATTTATTGCAGCTCTATTCACAATAACCAAGATATGAATCTACCTAAGTGTCCATCAACAGATGAACAAATACAGAAAATGTAGCCTGTATTCACAATGGAGTACTATTCAGTCTTTAAAAAAGAATGCAATCCTGTCACTTATAACAACATGGATGAGCCTGGAGGACATTATGTTAAGTGAAATGAGCCAGGCACAGAAAGATAATGATCTCACTCAAATGTGGAATCTAAAAGAATTGACTTCATAGTAGATAGCAGAACAGTAGTTACCAGAGGCAGGGGAGGAAAGGAAGGAAAGGTAATAGGCAGAGATTAGTCAATGAGTACAAAGTTACAGTTAGGAAGAAAAAATGCTGATTTTCTATTGCACAGCTGGGTCACTATGATTAACAATACTATATTATATATTTTAAAATAGCTAGAAAATAGATTGTATTAGTTCGTTCTCACACTGCTAATAAAGACATACCCAAGACTGGGTAATTTATTAAGGAAAGAGCTTTAATTGACTCACAGTTTAGCAGGGCTGGGGAGGCCTCAAGAAACTTACAGTCATGGTGGAAGGGGAAGCAAACACATCCTTCTTCACATGGTGGCAGGAGAGAGAATGAGAACTGAACAAAGTGGGGAGCCCCTTATAAAACCATCAGATTTCATGAGAACTTACCGTCATGAGAACAACATGGGGAAAACCACCCCCATGATTCGATTACCTCCCACCAGGTCCCTCCCATGATACATGGGGATTATGGGAACAACAATTCAAGATGAGATTTGGGCAGGGACATAGCCAAACCATATCAGAAGTTTTGAATGTTATCACTACAAAGAGACATTAAATGCATGAGGTGATGGATATGCTAAATATCCTGATTTGATCTTTACACAATGTATACATATACGGAAATATCACACTGTACCACATAAACATGTACAATTATTATGTGTCAACTCTAAAAACTCTCATTACTATATGCTTTTCATAGAATATTTATGATGAGCATTTTAAGCCTTGATGTCTTGATGTTTTCCATGAAGACTTGACTTTGACATGTTGATAGTCTCTTCTAGATCTGAAATTGTGAATTTTACTACGGGTGATTTTAGAAATCATGAACCTCTTGCTAACTGATGTTTCAAATTTTTAATTTGCTTTATATAGGAAAAAGTCTCTAGTTGATTGCAATAGCTTCAGATACATCAAGGAACCCTTGTGAAAAAGGTTAAAAATTATACAAATCATTTAAAACTCAGAGACTTAACGTATCTTAAATATTAAATAAATGCAAAATGGATAAATTAACACAGTAACTTGTATAGAGACTCTTGAAACGCTTGAAAGAGATTTTAAGATGGCCTAACATAATGGAGGACCAATTCATTCCCTATCCCTCAATGATTTCACCATACATATTCTTGCCCTTGGAGCCTCTAGGACCAACTACGTTTCATTTCATATATTAATTAAATGATTTCTGAAACTATATATCTCCCATATCATATGTCCTGGTATCTACAAACCATAGTCTATGAAACTTAAACCATTGTTTTATCATCGAAACCTTTGTTTTCACTTGCCCAATATGCTTACTGTTACAGGATTACTCCATTTACACAGGATGAAACATGTGTCATACATATTTTTTAGCCACTTTCACTCTTCATTACCTTTTCAAGTCTTTGTTTTCTATCATTTTGGAAGCTATAAAAGTGAATCATAAGCTGACCTGCTTTTTAATCATAAAATAGCTATGATTTGGATAGCATCAAACTGTTTCAAATTCCAACCTCACCCTAAAAAGTACACATTATCTTCTATTTAATTAAGATACTAAAACACATAGAATTTGTCACCCCTTCTCATGGGCCCCCTTCCCAAATTCTTTAGCTATTAAGTGGCTTAGCTGGGATTTGGACCAAGGTCTGTCCAACTCCACAGTCCCTGACGTATCCAAAAGAACTGCCATCTATACATAAATACAACAATGACAAAAGTCATTTTCTCTAAGTGCTCTGATATGATCATTCCCTGTCATAGTAATTCATTTTACTTTCAATCATCATTTACCTATGTTTTACTCTCCCCAAGTTGCACTACTCTTACTTAAGTGTGTTTATATAGTTTTGTAGTCTTTACTAGTATCAAGTAAACCTATGTCATTAATTGATTTAACAATGAGTATTAATCTATGTGCTGAGTTCATCCATTACTATTCTTGGTTTCTTTTATTCATAACTTGATTTAAGTTTTTATTTACCCTTTTATGAAACTTTTCTTAATATATTCTAACAAGCTTCAAGTTCATCTATTCTAAACACTCAAAAACCATTTGGATTCAGGAACATAATCTCTGTACAGTTGCAATTGTTTTATACATGTTTGTTCACTTGTATTAATTCTTGCTCCCTTGTTCTCCAGTATTGCTATGTGCATGGAATTTTCCAGAGAACTTGGTGGAGTGGCCCATCAATGAATGCATATGCTTGGCTCTTGCTATATGCTCTGAACATGGTAAAAATCAGGTGTACTCGTCAGGGTTCTCTAGAAGGACAGAACTAATAGGATATATGTATATGTGAAGAGGAGTTTATTAAGGAGAATTGCCTCACATAATCACAAGGTAAAGTCCCATGATGGGCTGTCTGCAAGTTGAGGAGCAAGGAAGCCAGTAGTGAATTGGTCCAAGTCCCAAAACCTCAAAAGTAGAGAAGTCGAGAGTGCAGCTTTCAGTCTGTGGCCAAAGGCCTGAGAGTCCCTGGCAAACCACTGGTGTAAGTCCAAGAGTCCGAAGACGAAGAACTTACAGTCTGATGTTCAACAGCAGGAAGCATCCATCACAGGACAAAGTTGAAGGCTGGAAGACTCAGCAAGTCTGCTGATGCCACCTTCTTCTGTCTGCTTTTTCTAGCCCTAGCCCTAGCCCTAGCAGCAGAGTGGATGGTGCCCACCCAGATTAAGGGTGGGTCTGCCTCTCTTAGTCTACTGACTCAAATGTTAATCTCCTTTTGCAACATCCTCACAGACACACCCAGGAACAATGCTTTGCATCCTTCAATCCAATCAGGTTGACACTTAATATTAACCATAACATCAGGGAAGCCATAAATGCTGAGGATGGTTAAGCAAAGAAAAAAAAATGGTTTATCTTCAAACTTTAATTACCTGTCCAAAATGAGAAGGTAATATATCAGAATACAAAAAGATAGGGTCTCAAACAATTACAGTCTACCTTCTAGTAAGTCACAGATTGCACTGCACCCTTGAGGTGGGGTTGAAGGATTACAATACTAAAATTTAATTTCCTATAGTAATATCCTATAGTACACATGAGACAAAGAAAATTGGCACAGAATTAAAATATGACAAAGTTGGCTAACTCTTGGGAGGCTTTCAAAAAATGTTTATTTATCGAAAAAATGCCTAAAACATTGTTACTTTTTTAGTTTTAATGCTGTTATTCTATTTATACAGAAGTGAGATGGAGTTAAGGTGAAGGGAATTTTGTTCTCTGTAAACCATCCATCCACTTTATCACAAAGTTGTACTATGTAAATAAGTCAGAAATCCAAACTTAACAATTTGGTCATAAAAACCACCAAAAAATTTTTTAATGTCATTGTTTTAGTTCATTTGGGCTGCTATAACCAAATACCTTAGACCGGGTAGCTTCTAAGCAACAGAAATTTATTTCTCACTATTCTGGAAGTTGGGAAGTCCAAAATTCAGGCACTGGCAGGTTCAGTACCTTGTGAGGTTCTAATTCTAGCTGTGTCTTGACAAGGTGAAAAGAAAAAGGCAGCTCTCTGGGGCCTCTTTTACAGAGCATGGATCCCATTAATGAGGGTTCCACTCTCATGATCTAATTGCCTCCCAATATTCCACCGCTAACACCATCACGTCGGCGATTAGGTTTCAACATACGAATTTTGGAAGGACACATTCAGACCATGGCAGACATATAATAAAATAGCATATTCTATATATCTTCTTTATTAACATTGTATTTATTTACAAGGCAAATATAATATTCTGGTTTTATTAAATACTAGTGAATTCACCAAAATATCAATAAATTATATAATTGAAAGTAATAACTGATTTCCTCAATTTTATTGATAAGCATTGAAAATAAATATATTAATGCATTTTAAATATTAAAACTTCAGTAACTGTGTGGTGTTTTGCCCAACCTGCAACAAATCTTTTTGTTATGTTACTTTTAAGCAAAGATTACAATTTCCAAAGACAAAAAACTTGTTACATATTGTTAAACCTGTTTCCTCCCAAAATTACCAAAAAATAAAAATAAAACAATTTTAATGTGCAAAACTGAAAAGTAGCTACTTGTGCAGTTATTACAAAACTTTATTTCAAACGAAAGTTTTAACCCTTTCTATTGCTAAAACTGATAATTTATTATGTGCTTCCTAATTTATTTTCCTTAGTGCACTCTTTAAAACTCAGCATAATATCTTTAACACAGTAATCATTTTTCTTTACAATGACAAAGCTAAAATCTGCTCAAATGTAGGGCTAATTCTTTTATTTTTCTCTTTGGTGAATAATTAGTAAGCACCAGGCCCTGAGCTAGGCAAAATGGTTACAAAATTCACAGTCACCAAAGGATTCCATTTATTAAATAAAGTTTCTTGATTACGAACTGTCCTCTGATTGCAAACACTGACTTTTCTGAAATTTTATTACATTTAGTCAAAATAGTTTCAGATCAGAATCTATAACGTTCAAACAAGAATCATTCAAAATTCTCTTTAATGGGCATATCAGCTTGGATGGTTATAGATTCATCTATTCTTATTCTGTTGGCAAGTTGTATTAATAATTCTCTTAAAAATTGGTAATGATGACTGAGACCCTAAAATATGACCCATCCAATAGCCCTAATAATGCATTTCTTTAGACAGGACCTGCCTGTACCATGAGTGTATGGTCGAAAACAGGGATGCACCAGTAATCACAGTGGGAAAACTGCTAAAGGAATGATTAAAGGACCTTGTTAATCACAACTTGAGTAATTTATCATAGCAGTAGACAGTTTAGGAAGTATAGTCCAGGACAACAACCTTGCACACAGCAATTAGAAGTAGAATAGCATGAAGGAACTCAGAACATTTCAGTGAAGAAAAATGTGTAAAAGAAAACGTCTTAAGTGTTGACTTAAGTCATAATGACTGTGAATATACATATGAGATACTGAGGTCTAAACAAGGATGAACCTGCATTGACTTTGCCTTAGATAATCAAGTGTTCTTAACCACTGTTTTTAGACTTAGGAAAAATTAGAAATTCTAGTATTATAAAAAAGTTCTCCTCTTTAACTATGACACTTTTTTTGCTTGCTTATTGACTGATTAAAACGTCGTGCATTCACATGCCTCAAAATTCCAAAAGTGCAGAGAATAGAGTAATAAATTTTCCTTAACTCCTATCTTGCCACCTAGTTCTCCTCTTCAGAGGCAACTAATAACAATATCATATATAATGCTCAATGCATATATGAGCAAATATATTCCTTCCTTTTACACAAATGATATTCTATTTACCTGGGAGCTTATTTTCCAAGGAAAAAAATACCATGGAACTTATCCCCTAACAGCAATAAATTTACTTTCTCTTTTCAGTAGATAGTATTCTATTGAATGGATGTATCATAATTTATTTGACCAGCTCTATGTTGATAGACATTTAGTTTGTTTTCAGTCTTTTGCTATTTCAAACAATGCTGCAATGACTTGTATTATACATGTCATTTTGTACATAGGTAAGTAATCTCTAAGATAAATTCCCAGAAGTAGAGTTACTAATTTTAAGAGTATGTGTGTTTGTAACTTTGATAAATGTTGCTAAATTACCCTACATAGATTTTTTTAAATGCCTCTTTCACACACACTCACTAATGCTCAGTGTTACCAAGCTTTGTGATCTTTTCCAATTTAATGGGTCAATCAAGATATTTCAGTATAACTTTCATTTGTATTTCTCATTATGAATGAGATTTATACCTTTCCATGTATATTTTAGAGCCATTTATATTTCCTTTCATGTAAACTGGTCATAATCTTTGCTCATTTATCTTTTGGATTACTGGTCTATCTAGAGTTTTTTATATAAGATTCTTTATATTAAAAAATCTTATGTATCTGTTCTTTACAGATACATAAAAGTTGGCACTTTGTGATATGAATTGCAAATATTTTCCTAGTATTTTCAGAGTTAATGAACATTAAAAATTATTTACTGCTTTTATATTTGAATGAAAATTTGGATGATATAAGATACTTGGGTCATACTTTCTTTTCTTGAAAATTTTAGAGACATTTCTCCACTGTCCTCTAGAATTAAATACTACTGTTGAGAAGTCTGATGTCAGCCTGTTTTGTTTTTACTCTCTAGAGATGAATTATTGCTTTTGCCTGATTGTCCAAAGGATTCTTTCTTTATCTTCAAAGTTCAGCAGTTGTATTAGGATATGTCTCCGTGTTGATCATAACATGTTAATTTTTCCTAAGACCTGACATGCCATTTCAAAGTTAATATTTTCTTCAATCATATTTCAAGTATTTATTCTCATCTATTATATAGGAATTTCCAATAAGTGTAGGTTAGATCTCCTTTGTCTGTCTCCCTAGATATCATTTTATCTCTAATCATTTTAAGTTATATTTATTTTCATTCATTTTGATTGCTTTCCTCATAGTTAATCTCTATATTCCTTTTTGCATTCTCATCCTGATGAATCTTTTTAAATTGCCATAAGCACTCTCTTATCTATCTGTACACTCTGAATTATTTTTCAAATATAGGACAAATCCAGGAAAATTTCAGCAAAAAGAGAGATAATGATGTAACGGTTTTTAATTCATGGAATAAAATAAGAATCTGCAAGTCCATAGAGATTTAAATAGGCAGAAAGATACTTATTTACAGCAAAATGCTAACTAATAAACATAGAAGGATTGCAGAAATAAGAAAATCACCTATGGCTTTCAAAGTTAATAGGTAAAAGTTTGGTGAGGAAGTGTATATTTACATGATCTCAAAATAATCTTGGCTTAAAATCTCCTGGGAAAGAGTTCTGGCTAAATGAAATGAGGTACTCATTTTTTTCTAAGGAAATTAGACCTAAGTGCCTTGACACCAAAGTAGAATGAGGTTTTCTTTGTTATTTCACATTTTTTCCTTCCTATCTCTTTCCCTACCATCACCATTTCCCTGCTTAAACCAACAGTCTTGATGGGATGAGAAAGTCAACTTGCTCCTTTTGCATTGTAGTAGAATAAAAAACTAATTCTTAAATACATTAATAAAGAAGACATAGAGCTTTGAGAGTTTCCAAAGCAATGAATATGGAATAATCGGGGTTCTTTGTCTATAGCTGGAAACTTTTGAAGGGGCATGTAATACAAAAAAGTTACGAGTATCAATTTCCAGAGTATCAAGTGTCTTTTGTATTTTTTTCTCAAACACTTGATAAACCAAAGAACTTATGATGTTGGTTCTCCTGTCCCAGTTGTCCTTCTCCCACTTGACAAAAAAAAAAAAAAAAAAAAGACACATATTTCCTACATCCAAAAACCTGTTGTGGTGAATTGCCCCAAGCTCTGAAAACCACCAAAGCAGCAAAGGGTAATTTCAATAGAGGATGCTGAAAAGGCAAAAGGCATTAGTAACTGGGAAACAAATCCATTTCCAAGACAGGTAATTACCAATTATTTGCTTAAGACAAAACTGAAAAACAAAAATGGCCTAAAGCTATTAATCGGTAGAGATCAAACATAATTTTTGATGACAGTTCAGTCTGTGATTTTTAACAAATAAGGTAGGAGTTCAAAGTAACTTATTTATTTGTATCTATTTCTATGTGTTTTTCAGCACTTAATAAAAAAGAAAAACAGCATGGAACTAGTGCTGAATTATCTCATTCTCACATCAATACATCAATTAATTTTTAAAATCATATAAATATAAATTTTGATTATTTATCAACAATTTTAGGTTTCTGTTCTTATGGTCATTTTGAACTGATAATAATTATAATGATAACTCAATGAAGATGTTAACCACTTAGGACATTATTGATCACAAGAAATAACATTTTAATTTATATACATAGTTTTGTTGAATAAAATATATTACTCTGATCTATCAAGCAAAAACATATGTTACATTAATGTAAAATTCTGTTGAGTAAGAGGAATAAATATAAGATCACAGGGAAAAATGAAGTAAAAATTGTTAACTGTTGAAGAATATTCATGTGTGATTTTTTCAACAGCTGATGATGAGTATCAAATTGCTCTGGCATTTATTTCCATTGAAAACTTTTTAAAAGGTAATTTGATGGTTTTGTTTTAAAATATAAACATATGCAATGTGATAAAAGTTACATCTTAAATGAAAGTTTAATATTGTATGTGCGAATATACAGTTTTTCAACATCTTACAAGAGTTGCACAAAGAAAGTTTGAGAATAATCAACTCAAAAACTATTTAGTTGAAATTTGGAGAAACAGATTTTCCATTTAAGAATATGTGATAACTGTTGCCTAGAGCTCATCTAAAGAAACTCTTGTGGAATTAACTATGAGAGTTTGCAAGTATTTGTGCTCACTTCTCATGTCAATATTAAGATTGCATAGCATTTTGAAGTCTGGCATGACTTTTCAAGAGTTGAATAAAGACAGCATTACAGCATTACAAAAAGTAGGACGGAAAAACCTTAATATCTACAAAATTTAGGAAAATTGTTAAAGACTTACAAAGATGAGCAAGCAACTTGCCAGTAATCAATATAGACCAATTTGATATCTGTTGTACTATCTCCACAGTAGGAACAATGTCTTTACACCTTTATTCATCATTGACTGTGATCACTGATTCTATAACCTTTCAATGAATTTATTAGAATTCCTGCTTTTAAAAAAAAGGAGGAGGGTGGAGGAGTGTCTAAATAATTTCACAGTACTTTACTTTTCTGATCATCTTTACAAAAACAAGAGATAGGCTATCTAGCCTTCCAGTCCATTTAAGTGGAGAAGAGGTAAAAGCAAATCTCTTAATACTCTACTAGAACATTTTACAAAATATGTGAATAAAATGTACACATCATGAAGTCACTTACATAACTGAAGAGATATTTGCTCCAATTTTAAACTTTATATTCATGTAATTTCATTTTCTCAATTGCATGTATGATCAAACTAGCAAGTTAATATTGCGTTGCAAATTAAATTGAAGAGTGGAATGGACTCTTTGCACCTGGTCTAAAATATTTATCTTATGATGGTCCAGTAGGCTATTTAAGAGTATTTTCCCTTGGCTTAACTTGTATCTTTTATTTCACACTAGTAGGTTGAGAGTATACATTTTTTTTCCTTTAGTTTAAATAGTGTTCCAGAGAAATAATCCATATGGAAATAATGTTTTGAGCTCAAAGTTACTAATGTACTTAGTAAAAAGTACACTATGAAAATTCAAGTTCCTTAAATTATTGTTAGCTATTAAGTTAGCTACTAAAACAAAAACTGCTGAATGCTGTGAAACCACCTTCACAGGTGCCATAGGGTTTAAGGACCAAAATTAACCCTTTTTTTTTTTTGAGACAGAGCTTTGCTCTTGTTGCCCAGGCTAGAGTGCAACGGGGTGATCTCGGCTCACTGCAACCTACGCCTCCTGGGCTCAAGTGATTCTCCTGCCTCAGGCTCCTGAGTAGCTGGAATTACAGGCGCCCACCACCATGCCTGGCTAATTTTTATATTTTTAGTAGAGACGGGGTTCACCACATTGGTCAGGCTGGTCTCGAACTCCTGACCTCAGGTAATCCACCTGCCTGGGCCTCCCAAAGTGCTGGGATTACAGGCTTAAGCCACCACACCCGGCCCAAAATTAACCTTTCTGAGAGAGAGAGAGAGAGAGGGAGGAAGAGAGAGAGAGATGTAGTTTACATTGACAACAAGGTAAGTATTAACAGAAAAAAAGTTATTATGCATTTCAGGGAGATCAGAAGTTCAGCCTCTGATATTAATGTATTAATGAGGTTATTCTATCTTTGCCTTTATCAAAATTGTTTTGCTGGAAAACTAAATAGGGAAAACGTATAAACCCTTGGAAAATGAAGTATTTAGTTCTTAAAATTCAATTCTTTTTTAATAATATGTCAGTAACCTCAGCCAGTAAGTTGAGGAATTTTTGTGTTTACTTTTCCATACGATCCCTTTTTAGTCCTTCTCTTGGAGAAATTTAATACTGTCAGAGGTGATGTGCTTCGAAGGCTAAAAGGATCTCTTCAGGGAGCAGAAAGTACTTTAAAAGGCAAGCTCTTAACTGGACTGTCTTTCCTAAACTAGGGATTATTTTTCTCCTTTTAAAAACAAAAAAGTTAATAAATTATTGACCAATATTATTAAAATATAAAAATATATATAATAGAAATATTTTTAAAGAGAGAGAAACACTCTCTTAGAAATATACTTTATTGCAATAAAAGGTTAAAAGCTGTTAACAATTCATCAGGCAATGTAGAAATAGAGCTATAATGCCCTTAATTTGAACCATGTTTTGATTTCTTGCCCAAATTCAAGTGGATCTTTTCAAGCTTCGCAAGGACTCTTCCTTCCTCAGGTAGGAGCCTATTGGCTAATCTACTATATTCTTAGTAATTTTTTTTTGACTGCTCTTTCTATCAGTACTAACTTTAATTTCTTTCTACTAGTTAAGATTGAGAAGAGTTCTTTCCACTATAGACCCAAATAAATATTTTGACATAAGTTACGTGAAAATGAATGGAAACCTACAAAATTCTAATTTTAGTCAACAGATTTAAGCAGTTATCATTTTGCCTTTATCTATTTCTTGAGAACTATAGTTAGAAGAGTTACACACCAATAATTTCTTCCTGGGTTATAGATCAGCAATGAAAGCTTCCATGAATATTGATTTGCTCTGACCTAAAGGTAATGACATTTATTTTGCTTATCAGCAGAACTTTGAACTCTATTTCATGATTCTTCACCTGAAAATAGCTACCCACTTGTTCTACTTTGGAGATTCTCATCTTAACTCTATCTGAAATAGTTCTTTTCTGTATTGAATCTCAGACTCACCACTAAAATCACATTTGGAGACATTTTGGTCATTCAGTGTCCTAGCTCATTTTCTATTGCTATAAGTGAATACCACAGACTGGGTAATTTATTAATATAAGGAATAGAGGTTTATTTAGCTCACTGTTGCAGAGGCTGAGAAGTCCAAGAGCACCGCACCAGCATCTGGTGAGAGCCTTAGCTGATCCTAATTATCTCCTAAAGGCCTCATCTCCAATCAACATATGAATTTTAGGATTAGATTTCTAACACATGAAATTTGGAGGACACATTCAAACCATAGCACTCAGTATTCCAGAAAAGGCAAAAAGGTTTCAGCCATATTCTTATATAAACTGGTATTCAGATTGAGGTCACCTTTATGGGAGATTATTCCTTGTAAGTGAGCAAACAATATGCAATGAATTTAAGAGGTATAAAAAAACCAGCTCTGGAAATGATTAACTTTACTGCTTTCAATCAGGTGTGTGGATCAGTATGACAGAAAATTGAATTGGTAGCCAATTCTTAAGAATTGGATGAAACAGGCAGACAAAACCTGGAGAATCTGAGAACAGCAAGTTGGTATAGGAAAACCTCCCCAAAAATGAGAACCAATGAGTAATTCAGAACAGTTTCCAGAAAAAAAAAAAAAGGAGATAATTAGAGTACCTGGTTATATTTAAGAGTGAAAACCCAATGCAGAAAGCTAAACTTTTGAGTATGCCAATATAAGTTGTATTAGCAAAATATTTGGCTGCAAATCACATATATTCCAACTAACAGAGGCTTAAACAAATAAGAGTTTCTTTTCCTCATATAAAAAGTCTAGAGATAGGCAGTTGCTGGAAATACTTTATCTGTTCATGGAAACTACTCTGCTCACTGCAGCCTCCACCTCCTGAGTTCAAGCAATTCTCCTGCCTCAGTTTCTCAAGTAGCTGGAATTATACGTGCATGTGGCCACACCCAGCTTATAGCATATATATATGTATATATATATATATATAATTTTTTTTTCTAGTGGAGATCCCCATCTCTACTAAACATCTTCACCATGTTGGCCAGGCTGGTCTTGAACTCCTGATGATTCACTTGCCTCCCAATGAAACTACTCCTAACCTAGTGTGTTATCATTCTGTTCTGCCATCTTATATTGGCCCCCATTCACATGGGTGTTACCCAATGGTTGCAAGATGGCACTACATCTTCAGACAACATGTCTGTGTTCAAAGTCAGATTAGTGGTATGGGTGGTTGTATCAGCTCATATGTCCCTTTGGAATGTAAAAACTTTCCCAAGAAATCCAGGAGAAATCAATTTACATGTCAATGGACAGAACTGTCATATAGCCACTCCCTAGCTATAAGATAATCTAGAAATTCAGTACATTCTGATTTGCTATGTGTGTTTTTTTTTTTTTTTTATTTTGTTTTTAAAAAGTGGCTATATGGGTGTCTGTTACATAAATTAGCTAATACATGATTGATAAATAAGGCAAAAATGCCATTATAAAACAATTAATATGTTATTTCCTATGTAACTCTCATATGCAAAAGGACCCAAAATATGAGAAGTAAATTCATGTTATATTAATTTTAAAATGTACATTTTTTCACATTTTAACGTTTTTGAAACCAATGGAGTTTATAATTGTTGTGGGCCAGATGGAAGTCATTATAAATTGCCATTTCCTGTGCATGCATATGCAAACTTGGTCATAGTAGTATACATCGTCATGCATTCAAATGAATTATGCACTGTTGGTACTGCATGCCAAGCAATGCACCTGAAGGCAAGAGAAAGTGAAAAATTCCTCAAAGTCAATGAAAGAAATTTCACGACGAGAGGCTGACTGATACATCTATTAATCACGTAAAACTATCATTAAGACAGAAAACATCAGTTTGTCAGAAATTTAATGCTGATTTTGAACAGAAGCTGTTTAATATTCAGTGATGCATGATTTCATAAGGTTAAATGAAGCTATAAATTAATCAAATACAAAAAGAGCAGCTTCAAAATTCATAAGTTAGTAACTTGGAAGAAAACTTCAAAATGCTTTTAAGAAATGCTATAATGCTCTTAATGGCATAGGTTATAATATCATGTGCAAAAATATGGATGACTTTGCTGAGTTGAAACATAATATAAAAGAGTTAGACTCCAAATGTAAAGAAGTTTTAAAAATATTTAACCAATTCTCTTTATATGTAATCATTAGTTTTAGGTATACACAAGAGTGATTTTTTTTTAATTCCATGAGCAAATTAGTCTAAAAAAACTCTTCCAATGAGTATACAACATAATTATAGCTTTGAAAGTAAAACATTGTGTCATTGTTTAATTAGCATGTATCACTCTTTCTTATTAGCTGATAAACTGAGTGTTTTGTCCTACAATCAAGGCATCTTAATGAATTTGATATAATCAGCAAGAAAGCGGGGGGGGAAGTCTTCAGATTAGCTACTCTACTGGAATCAAGGACCCTCTCTGAATATTTTTTAAAAAGATAAAAGTGAGGTCTTCATGAGTTGATCCCTCTCCAGAGACACTCACCAAGCCTTGAATGACTCATGTTTGACTCCACTACCCTCCCTCCTTGGTTTTGAAAATGGCAGCCCCACTAACCCAGAACTCTGTTTTCATCTCCATTGACTCAGTACCTACTACTTTTGTTTTAGTTGATGTTTTGCCATTATTTCCTGTTTCGTTTTTTGTTTTGGGGGGTGTTTTGGGGGTAAATTTTAATATACCCAGTGGTAGCCTCTGTTTGCATCTCATATTCAAATACACAATTGATCACTAATTATCATGGAAATGCAAATCAAAACCACAATAAGATATCATCTCACCCCAGTTACAATAGCTCTAATCAGAAGAACAAAAATAACAAATGCTGGTGAGGATGTGGAGAATGGGGAACATTCAGGCACAGCTGATAGGAATGTAAAGTAGTATAGCCATTATGGAAAACAGCATGGAGTTTCCTCAGAAAACTAAAAATAGAACTACCAGATGATCCAGCAATGGACTGTTTAGTATATAGCCAATACTAGCTTTTCTTTGTAGTTTCTTGACCTTTATGGATTTGGATATATTTGACTTCCTTTTTTGGTATACTTTCTTTTTTTTTTTTTTGGATTGTGTAAGGCTGGTCTCTCCTGGCTTTCTGCTAACATCACTGACTACAGCTTTTCTGTCTCCTTTGCTGAGTCTCAATTCACTTCTAATTGACTTCTAAATGTCAGTGCCCTATTCACAATCACAAAGATATGGAATCAAGCTAAGTGTTCAAGTGTCCATCAATGGATGATTGAGTAAACAAAATGTGGTATGTTTATATACCATGAAATACTACTTGGCCATAAAAAAGAATGAACTTGTGTCTTTTATAGCAACTTGGATGGAACTAGGAGCCATTATCCTAAGTGAAATAACTCAGAAAGTTAAATATGCATATTTTCACTAATAAGTGGGAGCTAAACAGGGTAAACACACAGACATCAAGTATGGAATAACAGACATCAGAGACTTAGGAGGATGGGTGGATGGGAGGGGGATGAGTAATGAGAAATTACCTAAAGAGTGGAATGTACATACACATTTGAGTGACGAATACACTGAGAGCCCAGGCTTCACCACCATGCAATAGATGCATGTAACACAACTGCACTTGTCCTCAAATTTGTACAAATGAGGAAAAAAGAAATCTATATATTTATATATAAATAAAGACCAGTCAGGCAACCTGATTGGAAACCTTTGGTTTCAAGAAAATAAATAAATCAATGAGTGAATGAATGAATGTTGGTTCCCAATACTCTTTCCTAGACCCATTATTTCTGTCTTCTTTTTTAGTCTCATGGTTTGGAACACCATCTTGATCCTAATGAGTCTCACATTTTTCTCTCCTATAATTCCATACTTATTTGATTCTAAATTAGATATGTAATAGGCATGTCTCAGAAGCAAAATCTTGATTTCTTACCGTCTGCATCCACCAAGCTTATTTCCCCCTCAACTTTTCCATTTCAGTAATTAATGCCAAAAGTCTCCCAAGTGTTCAAGCAAAATGTCCAGAAATTATCTTTGTTCATCTCTTAACTCTATCCTTCCCAAAGTGTATGTATTCTCACATATGCACGGACATACACACACACACAAACACACACATGCCATGTAATAAATTGACAAATGTCATCAATTCAGCCTCAAACGCATATCCACAGCCTATATATATACTCCACGTTTCCCATAAACATCATTGTTCAGGCTGTTATTACCTATAGGGTGAACCATTAAAAGACCTCCCAACTGGTTCTGTGTTTCCTTGCTTGCTTTCCTATAATCCACCCACCAAAGAAGCAGAGTTATTTTTAAAATAAAATAATTCAAATTAATATCATTATTCTATTTAAAACACTCTAAGGCATTCCCATTGCACCTGAATAAAATCCCAATTTCTTAATCTGGTTGGTAAGCCCTATACAACCCTGCTGCCTGCCTACCAGTCTGTCTCATCTTGTTCATGCTTCTCTCTCACCCACTGTGCTCCACCTTCTTGCTGTTTCTTGGACACAGCCAGTTTATTCCTGTTTTAGTGCCTTGCACTAGCTGCTCCCTCTGCCTGGAATGACTTGATTCAAGGTCTTTGTGTGGCTGGTTCCATCTCTTCTTTCAGATCTTGATTTATGTCACCTATTCCGAGAAGGGTGATAACCTAATTCAGCCATGAGGTCACTTTATCACATTGATTCATCATAATTCTGTGAAAAAACATTTAACATCTTTTTTATTATATGCTTGTTTGCCTCTTCTAGAATTTAAGCATTTGAGAACAAAGATATCGCCCATCTTTGTTCACTGCTTTATCCCCAGAATCTAGAAAAGTGCCTCTCACAAGATATGAACTTAATAAATGAATTTTTAAACATGTATCCCCAAAACAAAATATAGAAAACATTAAGAGTATTCCCTAAAGTAGCTCAGAGAAACAAAACACAGTGACATTGCAGGTGGCCTTCCTTAATAAAATACCTTGCTTACTTCCTTTTCCATCTGGCAGTAGTTGTTTTAGGGACAGGACTCAACAGGCCCAGTGAGAAGGCACAGCAGCTTTTGCTTAGTCCATTCTGTTAATTCCAGAATGATTTGAAGGCTTAGAGAAGAAATCACAAAACCAAAACATATGACCTCTGACACAATCATCTTGTAGTAACCATATTTCTGAAAAAAAACTGCCACAGGCAATTTAAGAGAAGACCCCGAACTAAGAGGTGGGCTCAGTCCTCATCAGGAAATATCAAGAAGTACCCCTTGCCTTCTCCTTCAATTCTTTTAAATCAGATAAGTAAGAACATTTAAGCTGTGTTTGTGGAATCAGTTGAAAATGGCTTAGACAGGGAAATTATTTTTTTTTCCCCTTTCTAAAATCCTTTTGGTTTTGCTCTGATTTCACTTCTTCTCTCATTCTCTGATGACACTATTCAATGACTGATTTTATTTCTCTAAAAGGTTAAAGCTAGTGCTTGGACAGGGCAATTTGGGGGCATGAGGAGCATCTAGACCAGATACCAGGTGACTTCCGCCCTGAGTTGGCTAGGCAGTGAAAGTGCCATGACACCGGGTTTGACCCTAATGCACAGAGCAGCAGGTGGGGCTTAGAGGGCCTCTCTAAACTGCCTTTGCCCAAAATGCCCAGGGTGAAATGGCCACTTGCAGTGTGGGGCGGTGGGAAGAGGAGAGGCCTGACCACTGTGACCATTAAAGGTTTGCATTTCCCTTCCTTTGAAATGGAAGTTTCAAGAAAACCTAGAAGTGAATACAGGTTAAGGGTCAACTGAAAATATTGATTGTACAAAGTTTTATTCTACATTTTAGATCTAATCAAGTAAATTAGGACTAAGCAAAAGCTGCTGTGCCTTCTCACTGGGCCTGCTGAGACCTGTCCCCAAAGCAACTACTGCCAGATGGAAAAGGAAGCAAGCAGGGTATTTTATTAAGGAAGGCCACCTCCAATGTCACTGTGTTTTGGTAAGGAAGAATGCCTTAAGATTTTTCAACAGAAGGAATAATAGAGCTGTTATGACAATTACAATTATGCTCCGATGATTTTGAGTCCAGAAAATCTTTGATTAAACTGAATCTTCTCCATTGGAAGCAGGAATCTAACGAATCATTCATACATGAAGGTATAACCAATTCTTTACTCACAGAACTTAAGAACTAAAATTATTGACTGCTCTGGGAAGTCCATTATGCATCTTGTTAAAATTCTGCCCTTGTTAAAATTCTCCCCTCTGGTAGCCTGTTTTTGCATTGCTATAATGAAATACCTTATAACATAAGTTATAAAGAAAAGTGGTTTATTTGGCTCGTGGTTCTATAGGCTGTGTTCTATAGGCTATAGGTTCTATTATTGCATTGCTATAATGAAATACCTTATAACATAAGTTATAAAGAAAAGTGGTTTATTTGGCTCGTGGTTCTATAGGAAGCATGGCCCTGGCATCTGCTCCTGGTGAGGGCCTCAGGAAGCTTCCAATCATGGCAGAATGTGAAGGGGGAGCAGGCATGTCACTCAGTGAGAGTGGGAGCAAGACAGAGGGAGCAAGGGCGGGGAAGGTGCCACAGTGTTTTGAACAACCAGATCTCACATGAACTCAGAGCAAGAACCCACTCATTACTTCGAAGACAGGACTGAGCCATGAGGGATCTGCCCCCATGACGCAAGCATCTCTCACCAGGCCCCATTTCCAACATTGGGGATCACATTTCAACATGAGATTTGGAAGAGAAACACATCCAAACCATATCACCCTCTTCACAAGGTCAGGGCCCAGAGTGTGAATTACCTGCTACAATCTTCAAAGTGCCATAAATTGTGGAAGCTGCTTAATTTCCTGCTCTGTGGTCTTCGGGTAAGAAGTACTAGAGGTCCATTCAAAATAGCTTACGCTTAAAAGTAGAAATTCGGTGTAATGGTATGGGATTTGATTACACAAGCTAAGGGGAGAACACATCTGATCCCTAGAAACAAATAGAAGCAGGGACTTAGGCTGGCTTTCATATCCGGACTCTTCTTTTTTGGTGGGGGGCGTGGCTAATTCTTCTCTCTCTTTCTTTAGAGTGGCCTCCTCTGCTTCTCCAGTCACCCAGGTAGAGAAAGTGATCCCAATAGTTCTAAGTTTAGATATTATATTTTCTGCTACTATGTCAGAGAATGATCTCTCTCAGTTCTGATTACAAATTCCTAAGAAAGAAATAAGTGTGCTTTGACCATTTCCTCCAATCTTAGTGTAGCTCCTTACTACGTACCAGCTGATCCTTCTAAAGTTTCTCCCATCTTTGAAAGAAAGCCTACCATTTCTCTCATATCAAGAAATCAGTCAGCTATGATCACTTTAATCATAGCTTCAGACTATTTAATGTCTGAAGAAGGAAACCAATGGTTACTGAATATCTACTATGTGTTTGCTAATTTTATGTGAAGTATCTCATTTAATCTCCACAATAGATACGAGGATAGGCCTTAGGCCTTTGTAATAAATGAAAAAAAGCATTTATACGTAGAGGCCTTAATGTAGCATGCTCAGTAACACGGCCAGCATGTGTCAAGGCTAAGCCTCTCTGTGAAATTCAGAAATTTTTTCTTACATTCTACTCCCTTCAATTTTTAAAATTTTTTTTAAATATAAGGACACCTTATAATCTTTTCTTGAGATTTTTGGTCTAAGAGATCTGGGTTTTCCATATCTCACCAGACTGTGAGTACTTGTGATATTGTAAAATAATTATTTGGTCTTCTTCCCCATTTTCTCACATACAACTCCTAAAATCCTTAGAATATCCAAAGTGATATCTTTTTGTATGCTAATGAATTGACTGATGGCTGGAAGCTCCTAAGTAGCTTCAGTACGGGGCCTGGTCACTGGAAAGACTAAGACAGGGTTAGAGGGTTGGGACTTTTCCTCCCCTCAACCTCCAGGGAATGAAGAAGGGCTAAAGGTTGAGTTGATCACCAATGGCCGATGGTTTGATTAATCATTCTTGTGTAATGAAACCTCCATAACAACCCAAAGGGACAGGGTTCACAGAGCTTCTGGACAGCTGAACACATGGAGGTTCCTGAAAGGTGGCATGCCCAGAGAGGGCATGGAAGCTCCATGCACCTTCCCCTATACCTTGCCCTCCCCATGTCTTTATCTACATCCTTTGTTATGTTGTTTACAATAAACCTGTAAACCTAAGTGTTTCCCTGAGTTTGTTACCCGTGGAAGGTATCCGAGTTGCCAGGAGTGACTCCATGCAGGTCTATGACAACCTCAATTCTTGCCTCCTCAGAAAAAAGAATTCAACTGAGGGACAAAGGCAGAAAAAGAGACCTAGGCAAGTTTCAGAGCAGCAGTGGAAGCTTATTTTAAAAAGCTTTAGAACAGAAAAGAAAGTGTGCTTGGAAGAGACCCAAGCATGTGACTTGAAGAACAAGTGTGGTCTTTAACCTGGATCCTAGGACTTTATAGGCTGGCCCCTTTCCCATGATTCTACCTTAGGGTGGGCTGCCTGCATGCACAGTACCCTCCTTATGCTTGGAAAATGACCACATGCAGTGTGTTTAGGAAGTTGTACACATGCCCATCTGAGGCTTTTCTTCCCTTTTCTGGTGGAGTGTGCCTGGAAGATCATACTCAGCCATTTTGTCTCTTAATGTGCATGCCCAGAAATTTGCTCCCCACTGGCATCTGCATTCAATTAACACTTTAGTGCAACAGGTGTAGATCATCAGGAAGTGGCCTTTCCCTGGCACCGGCTGGCAACTTATCACTTTTAGAGAGGCAATGTGATAATTGCCAAACCATCACCCAACATTCCTAGTAGGTGAGGGAGGACCCTCTCCTGCCCCACTCATGCCTGTCTAACTACCTGTAACAAGTTCTGTGAGCCACTCTAGCAAACTAATCGAACAGGAGAAGGGAATTTTGGGAACTTCTATTTACAGCCAGTCAGAAGCACAGATATAAAAACCTGGGGCTTGTGATTGGCATCCAAAGTCGAGGGCAGTCTTGTGGGACTGAGCCCCCAACCTGCGGTATCTGATGCTATCTCCAGGTAGATGGTGTCAGGATTGAAGTGGAGGATACCGAATGCTGGTGTCCACTGCAGAATTGATCACTTGCTTGGTGTGTGGGGTGCAGCGGAGGACCCACATTTGGTCACAGAAGTCTTCTGTGTTCATTGTTGTGGGATGAGAGCAGAGGAAAATCTATTTTCTCCACAGTTTGTTTTTCCTCACACAGTACTTATGTGCTTATATTAAGTTGAGCAATCCACATTTCATTGGCTTATTAACCCCTTCACTATTCAAATCCCATCAATGACTCTGGCCCACCTTCTCCCTAGTGGCCTCAAGGGCATCTCACCTGAGCTCACAGGCAGGCCCTCCTAGACTTGCCTCCTCCCATCCCCTGAGCAGTGATCCATGGCCCAAGGAGCCCTTTGAGACGGCAGTCTCCAGATTTTCCTAATGCAGACGCTCATGGCAAAAATGCTGCTCACTATGCCATGAGTCCTACAGCTTGCTTTCTCCAAAGCTGCAAAATCTTGAGATGATCTAGAAGCTCTGTTTCAGTTTCAAAGTTAAGGGCACTGAGATATCATTTTGTTCTATTTAGAAGTGGATGGAAGACTCCTCTCTCTCACTTTCTCCTTTTTTAAATGTTTATGCAGGAAAGATGCTATGCTTCACTCATCTTTGAATCCTGTGAGATAGAGATAAACAAACCAAGTGAGCACTAAGTAAATGCTTGATGAATAAATAATATCTGTGGGTGTTAAGTGCCTGATCTCAACTCAGTTGTTGGATTGTTTTGTTTTAATATACCTTCTAACTGCTGCATAAAACCGAAATACCAAAACTGGGAATGGTTCTGTTAGACCCTCGTCCTCAGGAGGCTTGTCCTGGAAACGTGATCCTTATGGACCAGCATTTCTCAAAGTATGTTTCATGGAACATTATTCTGGTAAGATCTAAGCAGATAGCAACTCTGAAACCCAGTAAGAGTTGACTTTGTAAGATAAATGCACGCACATTCCTCTATCAGAGAGCAATGTGTAGAGTAGCCTATGAAGGACTAACTTTGAATAACAAGTTCTTTTCCAAATGCATGTGGCCATAGAAATACTTGCTCACTTAACACCTATTAACATTACTTGTAACTAAAGGCATATTAATAAGGAAATATTCCTCTTAATGTAGTGTTCTTAAAGAGGAAAATATTTCATCAAAATCATATCTGGAGAGCCATGATGCAAGACTGCAGCGCTCAAGGAAAACTTCATTCCCATTCCCCAATGCACGATCCCCTTTGGTAGTTACGTAGTAGCTGGGCCTTTCCCAGATACCTTCTCCAGTGAAACTGACAACCCAGTCAGACTGGAAAGAAATCATGTGTCCATAAATTCCCACTTTCAGGCCCACTGCACCCTTGGCTCTCCGTCTCTGTGGCTGACTATTCATGTAAAACATGGTGCAACTAGAAGGTAAAGAAAGTAAAGATAAAGTGAAATCTAGTTTGCCTTCAGCACTTTTTAATGGTCCAAGATGGTTTCAAGTCTTTTGCTCAATTTTGGAAACATCTATTATCAATGGATCACAGTAATCCTGATCATGGGAATAAAGTCAAAGCCAACAATTTTGGTAAAATTAACAATAATTGTACCCCAGGAAGAGACAGTTACTTATTTTCTTTTTACATGTAGGTAGTCACATTTAAGTTTCTGTAACAGTCATTTTCTAGGAACAAAAGGAATGATTACACCTGAGCTTAGCTATACAGTGATACCAAATACAAGTTTTGGTATCTCTCCAGATTATCTAAACTACTAAACCAAGCTGGTAGATTTAAAGCAGTGGCCTCTAAAATAGGATGTATTTATGTAAGGGGTTTTCAAGATGATGTACTGGGATACTGAGAAGAATTCTAACACTGGAGAAAAATAATAGAACTTTAACTTTTATCCTTTTCCTATTAATGCTTCTACTTTCTTTGTATTTTCTAAGGTACATAGCACCATTTCAGTAAGTTCTTTTTTTTTTTTCAGGCTAAGGAATTCTCTTTTTATGGCATCTACAGCTTTAATGAGAAAGAACTAGACATTGAACTAACATCTGGCCTGTCCCAAACCACACTGAATAAAGAATCAGGTTCTAAAATTAAAGTGCCACCAGTTAATTTTAAAGCAGGTATTCTATGGAACACTGACTGCTAGTCCTATTGTGGATTATTATGCAGAATGCTCGGTGTTCCAAACATCTTTAGAAACTTTGTTTTGTAATTTTTCAATCTGTTAATGATCTTCAGTTCCACATTGTTGAACAGGAGATGTTCAGTTCTATTGACTTTGAACATTGCCTGTTGTTCCTCTGACATTAAATGCAGGCCTGGGACCCCCAAGACATTTCCACAGAAGAGCCACTGATGGTAGTTAGCTATAACTTATCTATAAAGAGAAAGACCTTTAAGAAGACAATAACTGCTGTTTATAAATCACTCTGTAATTTGTCCTCAAATTAAAAGTTGTTATGATTCAACATTAAGATGATAAATTCTGAGTGGGAAAATTGAGACTATTATTAATTTTTTATAATGAAGAAGGTTCATTTTCAAAATAGACTTGGAGTGGCTTTGCTGATTAGCATAATAATAAGATGGTATAGTCTCAAATATCATTATTAACCTTCTAAAAAAAAATTGGAAACCAAAGCATTGTCAGTCTCTATAATTTCACCAGTGCAAGGAAAAAGGTAAGCCATAGGTTTCATGAAATCAATGAATGAGTTATTGTTTCTACAAAACATTCATAATTTGTGTGCATGAGTCTGTGTTTGTTTTCCTTTTTCCCTCATTATTTGACCATGCTGCATGTGAAACAGATCTGTGAGTACATCTGTAACAACATTGCTGGGACTTTAATAAATATAAATAAGACAAATTAAATCAGGTAAAAACTTAATCGAAAAAATGGGATTTGTTCAGTATCTTGAAGGCTTAGCACCTTGTGGAAGCTCAATAAATATTAAATCAAGGTAACAACATTTAAGACCTGTTGAATCACAAGGAAAAACTAATTTCAAAGTCCTCAGCTATCTATAAAGGACCCCCTGCTTCCAGGCACTGAATTCCAATTTTAGGTTTCTACCAGGTATGCTTTAACAGATAAGCTTATAACAGTCTGCATAGGGAAAGATATTATTTGTGATGCAAAGAAGAGTGAAAGCTTTTTGAATATAATGAATAAAACTCCTAGAAGAGAAGACTGAAAACCCCAGGAAGAAAATGATTCATCAGATCAATCGTTGAATAATTTTCTCTACTCTCTAATTGTAAAAATGCTTTGAGAATCTCAAAGCCAAGTTTCAAATCTAAAGCCAAGTTTCAATAACTTCATAGGTGAATTGAGAGCTGTGTGTGGGCTAGAATAACTTGAAGTAAAGCCAGTGAACACAGATTAGCTCTGGATAGTCTTACTCGGCAACTTTCTGGAGCCTCCTCTAGAAAAGTTAGGTTTACCAAATAAACCTAGATTTCATAATATTACTTATATAAAAAGATGCTCAACAACATCCTGTATACTTTGGAGTTGCTTCTAGAAAAGTCCCATAGAGATTTTTAATAAGACCAGGTTCCTATTGTAGATCAGGTGCCCAGTGTTCAAGTCAGGGTCCTGGCCTCGGCATTTAGTAGGTAGTTGTGTGACCTGAGCATTTCCTTTAACCTCTCTGGTCCTCAGATCTATTGTAAGTAAAATAGCGATGGTAACACTATGTCAAAAGGTTTCTGTGCAGATTAAGAGAGAAAATATACGGAAAATAAACTGCATATAAGAAGCTTGGAATAAATAATTGTTAAATCTAAAAGGGATCTAAAAGAATCTAAAATCTAAGACTCCCCAGGTGAAGCAGATGAAAGCCTTTGGCTGCTATATTGGTTAACTACAGAATGCTGGAGAGTATCCGCAAGTAGCATCAGGCCATAGGGTATCTACCACCAGTCCCCATCCATGGATGGGAAGAAGATTTTAGAAAGACTCTGGGATGGTTTCAGAAAGTCCAGAGGGCACTGGACTGAGTCAACACACTCAGGTACACTTTAATGCCCTCTTTGGAAGTCAATACCATATTCAGTTTCCCAACATAGAAAGGCTTTTGAAAGATGAACCAATTCTGCACCACCTACAAAGCTTCGGATTACTTGAAGTACTCATTAATTCCCATGACATTTTCTGCCTGTTGAAATTGTTCAATGCTTACCTCAAACTTGGCTTTTCCCAAATATTTCCCCATATCAAATGTTTGCTTTCCCACCACTGAAAATCATATTGCATTTTGCATCTATAAACATATCTCAATTTATCTTAACTTACATTTATTTGTATGATTGTCTTACTGTCTATGTTAATCTGCTATTGCCATCATAATGCTGCAAGAAAAAAACCCCAAATATTAATGGCTTCCAACCACAACCACTGAGTTTTCTCCTTTTACTGTGTTTGTCATTTTCCTATGACCGGTGACTATCAGGTGCATGTTCTTTCCATGGTGGGTCACAGTAGTATTAGAAGATAAGCCAAACCACACAAACACATTTTGAACCTCTTCTACATCATGCACACTGACATTCCAGGGGCCAAGAGAAGTCACGTGATCAAGCCTAACATCCATTGGGCAGGGGCGTATATTTCATATACACTAGTGGAAGGCTTGTCAATGGCACAAAGGTGTAAAAAATTGAGAACAATTATCCAGTATCATATTATGTATAGCATATAGCAGGCTCTATTATGCCAAATATGTATTGCTCATTTATGGAGTCTAAACAGCTCTGTGCTTTAAAAGCATTTGCTCCCACCCAGATTCATAAAGCAAGTCCTTAGAGACCTAGAAAGGGACTTAGACTCCCATACAATAATAATGGGAGACTTTAACACCCCACTGTCAACATTAGACAGATCAACGAGACAGAAAGTTAACAAGGATATCCAGGAATTGAACTCAGCTCTGCACCAAGCAGACCTAATAGACATCTACAGAACTCTCCACCCCAAATCAACAGAATATACATTCTTTTCAGCACCACACCACACCTATTCCAAAATTGACCACATAGTTGGAAGTAAAGCACTCCTCAGCAAATGTAAAAGAACAGAAATTATAACACATTGTCTCTCAGACCACAGTGCAATCAAACTAGAACTCAGGATTAAGAAACTCACTCAAAACTGCTCAACTACATGGAAAGTGAACAACCTGCTCCTGAATGACTACTGGGTACAGAACGAAATAAAGGCAGAAATAAAGATGATCTTTGAAACCAATGAGAACAAAGACACAACATACCAGAATCTCTAGGACACATTCAAAGCAGTGTGTAGAGGGAAATTTATAGCACTAAATGCCCACAAGAGAAAGCAGGAAAGATCTAAAATTGACAGCCTAACATCACAATTAAAAGAACTAGAGAAGCAAGAGCAAACACATTCAAAAGCTAGCAGAAGGCAAGAAATAACTAAGATCAGAGCAGAACTGAAGGAAATAAAGACACAAAAAACCCTTCAAAAAATCAATGAATCAGAAATAATGCCACATATCTACACCTATCTGATCTTTGACAAACCTGACAAAAACAAGAAATGGGGAAAGGATTCCCTATTTAACAAATGGTTCTGGGAAAACTGGCTAGCCATATGTAGCAAGCTGAAACTGGATCCCTTCCTTACACCTTATACTAAAATTAATTCAAGATGGATTAAAGATTTAAATGTTAGACCTAAAACCATAAAAACCCTAGAAGAAAACCTAGGCAATACCATTCAGGACATAGGAATGGGCAAGGACTTCATGTCTAAAACACCAAAAGCAATGGCAACAAAAGCCAAAATTGACAAATGGGATCTAATTAAACTAAAGAGCTTCTGCACAGCAAAAGAAAATACCATCAGAGTGAACAGGCAACCTACAGAATGGGAGAAAATTTTTGCAATCTATTCATCTGACAAAGGGCTAATATCCAGAATCTACAATGAACTCAAACAAATTTACAAGCAAAAAACAAACAACCCCATCAAAAAGTGGGCGAAGGACATGAACAGACACTTCTCAAAAGAAGACATTTATGCAGCCAAAAAACACATGAAAAAATGCTCACCATCACTGGCCATCAGAGAAATGCAAATCAAAACCACAATGAGATACCATCTCACACCAGTTAGAGTGACGATCATTAAAAAGTCAGGAAACAACAGGTGCTGGAGAGGATGTGGAGAAACAGGGACACTTTTACACTGTTGGTGGGACTGTAAACTAGTTCAACCGCTGTGGAAGTCAGTGTGGCAATTCCTCAGGGATCTAGAACTAGAAATACCATTTGACCCAGCCATCCCATTACTGGGTATATACCCAAAGGATTATAAATCATGCTGCTATAAAGACACATGCACACGTATGTTTATTGCGGCACTATTCACAATAGCAAAGACTTGGAAGCAACCCAAATGTCCAACAATGATAGACTGCATTAAGAAAATGTGGCACATATACACCATGGAATACTATGCAGCCGTAAAAAATGATGAGTTCATATCCTTTGTAGGGACATGGATGAAGCTGGAAACCATCATTCTCAGCAAACTATCGCAAGGACAAAAAACCAAACACCACATGTTCTCACTCATAGGTGGGAATTGAACAATGAGAACACATGGACTCAGGAAGGGGAACATCACACACCGGGGCCTGTTGTGGGGTGGGGGGAGGGGGGAGGGATAGCATTAGGAGATATACCTAATGTTAAATGACGAGTTAATGGGTGCAGCACACCAACATGGCACATGTATATAAATGTAACACACCTGCACGTTGTGCACATGCACATGTACCCTAAAACTTAAAGTATAATAAAAGAAAAAAAAAAGCGTTTTCTCCCTCCATCAATTAATTCCCAGTTAAGTACTGAAAACCCAAAGCAATCCCATTCCTAGCACAGTGTCTGGCACTTAGGAAACACACAGCAAATGTTTGCTGAATTAATTTCTTGAATGAAGAAAAGTTCCCTTAATCCATATCAGGCACTTAAGTGGAACTTCTTTACACCGTTTCTGTGCTTCTTGAAGCCACAAAAGATTTAACCTGAAAACCTAATCAATAGCACTTCAATAGCACTCCCATCAATAACACTCCCAAAACTGTAGGCTCTAAGAATCAGGCAGTGTCTTGAGTGATTAAAAAGAGGATTATCACCCTTATAGTCTTTATTAAATGCAGGGGAGCTGAGTCATTTCTGTGGTTTATTACACAAAGCAGGACACTGCATCAAGGAGGAAGACAAAATATTTAGCTTTGCCTTTTTGTGAATGAGCCTTAGAATAAAGCCAGATCTGCTTTTCTGGAGGACACTTCTTTGCCATTCTCATTTTTTATTTTATAACTTCCTTTCGGCATTTAAAGTCTATGAGATCTGAAGAGTTGAATTTGGTAAGTAGAAACAAAATTATTGAGTCTTCATTTGCTGATTGTATCCATGCAAAAAGAAATTTTACTGCCTTTCTCAGAGCATTGAATTTTTCACTCTTAGGCTGTAGCAACAAAGTGGAAAACTTATTCCTGTCTCTTCCCTATACAGTGACAGTCAAGTTTCAACTACAAAGATGCCTCAAGGCCCAGTGATTATTTAATTATCTCCTGGAAAATAATTTCCGAATGTGACAAGGGCATCAACAATCTCCTCAAGCCTGCTAAATTTACTTCTTCTGTCACCTTGTCGACTGTCTCTTCATATTACTTCTCCTGCAGGGTCATATCTAAATTTCGTGGAGCCTCAGGTTTATATAATTGGGAAGGAGGCTCTAAAGAAAAGGCTGGAAAATTGCCAAGACAACATTAGATTTAAACAAAATCCTGCCAGCGAAGACCCCTGAAAACTTAAGCTTCATTAGCTTCAGGATTAATCCACTTATAGGCTCCCCTTATAACTAATGTTGCCAGGTAAAATACAGGATGCCCAGTTAAATTTGAATTTTAGGTAAACAATAAACAACTTTTTTATTATAAGAATATAGTCTTGGGGACAGATTTATACTAAAATATTATTCATTGCTTATCTGAAATTCATATTTAACTGGGCATCCTGTATTTGTATTTACTAAATCTGACAACTCTACTTAAAACATGGAGAGAAAAGGCAGACACCTAAGTTCCTAAAACAAATCTATAATACCCACGTGGGTCTCTTTAGGCCTTCTCTGACTTCCCTAGATAATTAGGATCTTGGTCTTTATATGAATAAATATTGCAGAATTGAGTTTCATTCACCCCTGGTTAAATGCTATAAATTTTTAATTAATTTTTATATCTAAAAATTCTATGTGGAAGAGATATGGCATGAATGAATGCTTTTCATTCAAAAATAACTTCAGTAGCAAAGAGACAATGGTAATTAGAAATAAATGCCAATAGATTGTCATATGAAAGAAAAGTAACTTTGTCACACTCAAATTCCCTCGGTAACATATTCTAACCTCTCCTAGCCTTTACAGTGAAGATGTGCTATCATCTTCAAAATTTGCAACCTAAACCATCCTGCTTGAATTTAACCCTCTTGTCCTCTCCTTAATTTAATGGGAAATATCACTAATTAATATATGGCTTTCCAGACTGGAACACTGTTGTCTTTCTCAGGCTACTCTTCTCCAAGTAAAACAAACAAACAAAAAGCCTCCATTGCATTAGTGTCTGCTCCAGGGAGTGTCTCCCAGCACTCTCACAGAGCGGACTCCTCCATGCACAGATACTCCCCACACCTCAGGATACTTTAGTTTTAAGATCTGGCCACAGGAAAGAATGTTAAGGAAAATTTTAACTGAATGTTGAATATAATTTGAAAATAATCTCATAGATACAAATTTCTGTACTATTTTTAAGATGTTTTGGGAAACTTCATGTGTATTTCGAATTTGTCCTCATACTGACAATAAAATGGAAGTCCTTGTCAGATAAAAGAGAGCGGAAATGTGTTTCTATGAGCCATATAGTAACCAAAGAATGAAATTCTCTATCGATGAGTCACATGCCTAATAGTTTGGTTAGATATGTATTCAGGTGCACAGAGCAAATATTGAACTGAAAAAATGACCCTGAATGCAATCCAAAAATGTTCACAAGACTGATATTATTAAAAGAAATATAAAATTCAGTACATTCCTTCTGAAGTTACAATTTTGAAAGCAATACACAGTTTATTTATAAGTTCTATTAGTTTCTTTTGAAATGCTTATCTCTTTGTAATTGCAAATTTTTTTCTTCATATGTAAATGGAGAAAATAAAAGCACTTATTTCATTGAGGTGTTGTAGGGATTAAATGAGACTATATTTAAAGCACAACACAATGACTATAATACAATAAGCACTTGATAAATATTTTCTATCAGTATCATTTTCACTACTCATTTTTAATAAGTTACCAAATATATATATATAGGAGATATTCTTTTCTGTCCTTTCTCTTCTTTTAGTTTCTTTCTTTCTTATGCCTCTGAGTACTTGCCATATTGTCAATTATTTAATAGTTGCATGAGTATAAATATAGATTTTTAAGTAGGGAAAATCAATAATTTTGTATTTGATCAATATTTTTATATCCCACAAATGTATGTAATATACCTCAGAATTCTGATAGTATTGTACAATTGATTCTTGAACAACTTGATTTTGAACTATGTGGGTCCACTTGCACATGAGTTTTTTCAATAAATATATATATAAATTTAATATATAAATATATTTCATATGATATATAATACATTTTATATAATATAAAAATATATAAATTTTTTGGAGATTTACAACAATTTGAAAAATGTTGCACACAGAACACCTAGCCTAGGAATATCAAAAAAGAAAAAGGTAAGTATGCATTAATGCACAAAATCTATGTAGATATTAATCTATTTTATCATCTACTATCATAAAATACACACAAATCCACTATACAAAGTTAGAATTTATTGAAACATGCACCCAAACACAAACTGTACATGGCACCATTCATGGTGGAGAGAAATGTAAACAAACGTAAAGATGCAGTATTAAATCATGACTGCATAAAATTAACTGTAGTACATACTGTACAACAGTAATCAATTCATAGCCACTTCCTTTTGTTCTTGCAGTGAGCTCAAGTGTTGCAAGTATCCATTTAAAATACTTCGTGACACTAATCATTTCTGCATGAGGAGTTCATTCCTCTAATAAATTGCAGTAAAAAGGGATCTCTTGTGTTTCTCATGTATTTTTCATTTTGTTTAGTGCAATACTTTCAACCTTGCCTAACAACATGGAACACATACGAAGTGCCACTAGTGATGCTGGAAGTGCTTCCGAGAAGCAGAGAAGTCATGGCGTTGCAAAAAAAAGCTGAATTGCTTGATATGTACCATAGACTGAGATTTGCAGCTGCAGTTACCTGCCATTTCAGAGATTCATCTTGTAAACAAATGACTAAACTTGTGGTATCAATAAATACAATACAGTACTAAAATATATTTCCTCTTATGATTTTCTTCATAACATTTTCTTTTCTCTAGCTTTCTTTATGGTAAAAATATACTATATAATACATATAAATTGCAAAATATTTGTTAATTGATTAATTGGTAAGGCTTTTGGGCAACATGGTCTATTAGTAGTTAAGTTTGTGGGGAGTCAAAAGTTCTATGTAGATTTTCAAGTGTTGAGGATCAGTACCCCAATCCCCATTTTGTTAAAGAGACAATTTTATTTACAATTCTATTATAAAGTACATTCATTTCAATGCTAATCAAGTTGATTTCAAGAATTATTGGTGCTAAATAAGTATAAATATCATATTAAAATTTGACCTTAAAATAAGGTGAAATCTATGCCTCCATAACTTTTATTCATTGCTATTAGCTCTGCCCTCTGAAGAAGCATTCTTTCTTTCATTGAGTAATCCAATACGATTCTTCCTTTGGCAGCTCTTCAAGTACCATCAGAAAATGTCTCCTTAGTAGCTGCCCACATCAGGTCGTGTTTTTCCTCAGTTTAGTTTACTTTACCTTATAAAAACATTGAGAGTCTACAGTACACTAGGAGTTATTCTGCACACTAAAAACAAAAAGAATGAAACACAATCCCTGACTGCAGAAAGATTAATTTAATGGGAAGGCAGATGAAGACAGAGAAACTTAATACAAAATAAAATTATTGAGTTGGGACAGTTCTAGGAATGAGACACACCTACCCTTATTATTCTTCATGATTATCCTTCCCAGCCTTTTACTTTCCTTTTACCTTCTTTTGTATACCCTGCAGCACAGAGGTTCTCAATCAGGGCAATTTTGCCTTCCAGGAGATGTTTGGCAATGTCTGGACATTTTTGTTGTCTTTCTGGGTGGGAACATGGAAGTTCTAGTGGCATCTAATGGATAAAGGCCAGCAACATGCTAAAAATTCTCAGGAGACTGCCCCTGCCACCCTCAACAAAGAATTATCTGATCAAAATGTTCCATAGCTTGAGAAACCCTACCTAGCTTTTTTTTTTTTTTTTTTTTTTTGGGACAGGGCGTTGCTCTGTCGCCCAGGCTGGACTTCATGATCATGGCTCACTGCAGTTCAGCCTCCTGTGCTCAAGCAATCCTTTCTCCTGGGCATCCCAAAGTGCTGGAATTGTAGGTGTGAGCCACCGCACCAGACCCCTACCTAGCTTTTCAATGTCCTTTGTAAAGTGTGGAATTTAGCTTAAAAAAAGGACACATAATTCTAGCTGTCATCTGACCAATTTGAATACGAACAACCTTTATATTGCTGAATCTACGCTTTGCACCTGAATTAATTAGCCTAAAATGGAACTTAAAAAATTGAATATCCATTCACAGTATTGGCACACAAGGAACTTATAAAACTACTACATTGTTCAATTTTTTTCCATATAAATTGTTTTGTTCATTTTTACCTACAGTTCTAGCCTACTGAGAACTTCTGAACCTAATTTAGCTATTGTCAAGTTTCATATGTTCGACTTTTACATCTTTATCCAAATACTGGCAAAAACATCAAGAAGACTAAACCCTATATTATTAAACTGCAAAAGTAACTTGAAAGCTTGAAATTGGTCAAGAAAACAAGACTCCTAGGAACAGATTTTCAATAATGAGTCTGCTACATGACACGAACATTATTACTTGCCCCCATAAACAATGCTGTGGGAGTATGGGTTAGTCAGGGTTCTCCAGAGAAACAGAACCAATAAGTATATATATACACATATATATGTGTGTGTGTGTGTGTGTATATGTATACACACATACATACATATATATACACATACATACATATATACACATACATATATATATATATACACATGGGAATTGGCTTACATGTTGGAGGGAATGGTATAAGTCCCAGAGTCCGACGACCCCATAACAAGAACCTCCTATCCAAGGGCAGGAGAATCTGGATGTCTCAGCTCGAGAAGATAGACTTTGCTCTCCTTCTGCACTTTTGTTCTATTTAAGCAGATTGACTAACGTTGAACCACATTAATGAGAGCAATCTTCTTTACTTAGTCTATTGATTCAAATGTTAATCTTTTTCAGAAATGCTCTCAAAGATACACTTAGGAGGAATGTATACCAGTTACGTGAGCATCCCTTAGTTTAGTCAGATTGACATATTAAACTAACCATCATGGAATAAATAGTATTAGATTCATTTCCCAGCTAAAGACACTGAGGTTCTGTGAGACTAGGGGACACACCGAGGGACACACAGCAAGTAAGTGAGCAGGAAGGATTGTTATACCACCTACATATAATTTCAAACACCATGAACAGTCTTTCTAGTACACTGTTTCAAAAAACAACAACCAGATGCCAATATTGAGTACGTACAACAAAGCTTTACCTATGTAGCTAATCTTCACAACACGTTTGCAATCCAGGCATTACTGCATTCATGTTACAGAGGTGGAAACACTGAAGGTTTAGAACAGCTGTGATTTGACCGTAGGCATGTAACTACTAAAAATCAGACCTACAATTCATGCCTCATTCATGTGGCCCTAACACTGCCACATTGCCTCCCACCAGAGGCCATATATCCACTTACTACACAGCCAGCCGGTCCTCATTTCCCTTTTGTACAAAGAGTTGTCCTGGAGTCTCTTTGCCAGATGTTTTCTAGAATAGCAGTATATTTTGCTTTTGCTTATTGAGACTCTTATCACATTCATGTATTTAGGAAGAATGTAAGTTTATGGGTAGGTGATTTTTAAAAATTCCAGGGAAAACCATAGAAGCAGTCTAGTTCTTCACTCATCATTAAAACATACGGAAAGAAGCTATCAATTTTCCCATATGCTAGAAAAAACAAATGTAAAATCTCTTCTGCCTTTAAATGTTCCACACTTATAGCATTATACTTGGAAAAGTTAAGATTTATTTTATATCTAGTTAAAATTATGCCTTGGCCGGGCACAGAGGCTCACCCCTGTAATCCCAGCACTTTGGGAGGCCGAGGCAGATGAATCACCTGAAGTCAGGATTTTGAGACAGCCTAACTTGGTGAAACCCCGTCTCCACTAAAAATAGAAAAATTAGCTGGACCTGGTGGCAAGCGCCTGTAATCCCAGCTAGTCAGGGGCCTGAGGTAGAAGAATCACTTGTACCCAGGAGGCGGAGGTTGCAGCGAGCCGAGATAGTGCCACTGCACTGGCAGGTGCCAGTCCGGGTGACAGAGTGAGAGTGAGACTCTGTCTCAAAAAAAAAAATTAAAATAAAATAATACTTTAAAAATACCGATGGAGGGTGAGTTTAAAATTGAAGTTCAAAAGAGATAAGGCAAATATTATAAAATATTAATACATTTTAATATAAGTGATGGATATATGGGTATAATGTTATTTTTTTCTACCCTTAGTGTGGTTGAAATTTTTTATAATAAAAAGTAAAACAAAATATAATGTTCATGATTTGATAATACTTGTCTTCTCTTTAGAAAGTGATTTTCTTTAAACTATTTTTATCGTTCATTAATTCAGTTCAATATAATTTACTCCAAAATATTTTTCTCAAATGTAATTTTTAAAAATCATTAGATCTCAACCTTTAAAAGATAATCAGAATCCCAATAAAACCCTCACTAGAGTCAAATCATAAAATCCGCCATTTTTACTTTCAAGACTTACTAAATATGCTGTCTTTGAGTACAACATTAAATTCGTATTTGATTTACTATCAAATGCAGCGTGCTTCAATTTCATTTTAGATCCCTCACATTTAAACCACATTTAACAGGGCTGAAAGCTGTTGCTGAGGTTGACAAGTGTTGGCATAACAAGTAAATGAGACAACGGTCATTTTTACATATATGAATTATTTGACAGTATTATGAGTCAGGCATACCCTGAAATGATAGTTACTTATTGAGCTCACTGTTAAGTAAAGTGAACTACTCCTGCAGTGAGTTCAAAGGAGAGGTATAAAAAAATCTGCCTTTTGGTTTTTCTAAAACCTTTCCAGTTTTTGTAATATTTTCTTTAAAAAGGAAACACTGCCAAAAAATAATAAAAGACCCTTCATAGGTATTTCATCACTAGAGGCTGCTCCAGATGGTAGCAAGGTGTCTGCAGGTAATTCCCCTGTCTCATGCATGTGAGGCAGAGAGCATATTTTCACAGAACCTTGAAATAGGCATTAGCAGAGAAATGACTTAGCTGATCATGCACTACGTAAGTATGACTGCTTCCCAAGACCAAACATCAGACAGAGCGTCACACCAGGAAAGGGCCAAAACTACTGTGTCAGTATTGTAGAGCTCTGATTCTATTCCTAATTCTGAAGAGGGGATTGAAAAATACTTTACGCAAATAATAGCTATCTTTTCTTAAGAGCTCACTATGCTAAGCCCTTTATGTACAATAACTCCTAACATCCTCATTACTATTTGTGACGGTTAATTTTATGTATCAAAGTTGAATGAGTTGACTGCATAAAGCAGATGGCCCTCCATAAGGGGAGTGAACCCCATCTATCCCTTGAAGATCTGAATAGAACGAAAAGACTGACCCTCCCCCAGAGTAATAGAGAATTCCTCCTGCTTGACCACCTTCAAATGTGAACATCGGTTTTTTCCTGACTTAGGACTCAAACAGCATTGGCTCTTGCTGCGTCTTGAGCTTGCTATTTTCCAGGCTGGAATTACTTCATTGGCTCTCCTGGGTCTCTGGCTTGCCAACCTACCCTGAAGATCTTGGGACTTAGCCTTTATAATGATATGAGTTCATTCCTTATAAAAAATATCTTTATTTATTATAACATATGCATTCTTTTGATTCTCTGGAGAACCCTGATAAACAAACCATATATTATAAAGTAATACATTTATTCCTATTTTTCCTGTTAAGAATATTAAGGATTGTAGCGTGTATATTTCTTTTCATAGGTTTCCTTCCCTGCTAGACTATAAGCTCCTCCAGGATAAGTATTTTTGTCTGTTTCATTCACTGATGAGTCCTAAGTGCCTAGGATAATGTGTTTCATAGTAGGAGTTCAGTTTGTTAACCAAATGAATAAATTCACCTGGAAAGTGACAGAGCTAGAGCTGGAAATGAGGTGTGGCTACTGCCCAGATCTGTTCTTTTAACCTGTATTATGAAATGTCTCTTAGATTTCCTTGATATTTTCAGAAGGCAATCTTCAAAAGAATAGTCCTTTTTAGAAAATTACTGGCCTATTTGAGTTCAGTCTTAAAGCTATTAAATCCTGATAGAGGATAAAATCAGGATCCCAAAATATCCCAATGGGTGGAACACTGGACTTGCAAGATGAAATTTAATTAGGAAAAAAAAAAAGTAAAGTCTTTTTATTCCAAACAGCAACTAAACTTATATAGACGTCAAAGGCGTAGCTTAGCAAGAGAATAAATAAAAAAGTCCCTGGAGGATTAATTGACAGGGAGCTTGATATACATCAAGCACTGAACAGTGGTTGCCAAAAAAGCTAATGCAATTCTTGGCTACATTAATAGAATATTTTGTCCAGATCAAGGGAAATAATAATTCCATTCAATTATGCCTCTATATCAAACCACATCTAAGCCACACACTTCAAGAAGAGAGGTAAACTGGAGTACATTCAAAGGAGAGTCACCAAAAAGATGAAGAGATTCAAAGTCATGTTATACAAAGATTAGCTAAAGGAGCAGAAGATGATTGCCAGAAAAGTCAGCAAACATCTGAGATGTCTTCAACATTTGTAAGGCTGTTATGTCTAAAAGATATTATTATTTTTTCCTAACTGGCCCCAGAATGGACTTTGGCCTAAGTAATGAAAAGTTAATGTTATAGTATACTGTCTCATTTTTCCAAAAGTGATATTGACAACATCATGACAATAGTTAAGATCTCACTCTCTGGTTGTTCAAAACTGACAAAGCTACAGTTTATACTTAGTTGGTAGGTTAGCTTCAGATGAACTGCTGGAGTAGAAGACCTTTATGGTTCCTTCTAGACATAAATATTATGATGCTCTAACAGAATATTAAAGCTAAAGGTAAAGTGGTCAGAATGAGAAAAAATACACTGAAATCTATTGTATGGTTAATAGCATCAGCACTGTGTAGAAAGCATCCACTTACATTATGTCATTGAAACTGCATTGTCCCAGAATCAGTGAGTAAGAAAACTAGAGATTCCTATGATTCCAAATATCTTTCCCCCAAAAGGGAAAACTTCTTGTTTGGTGACTGCTGACACTTTTCAGTTGTGCTTATCAAACCATGAGTGATCCTTTCCACAGGGGGCTGTTGGTGCCAATATACATGTAGCCACCCAGGAAAGAAAATGTGCCTCTACCTGAGACCGTAAGGATCACTTGCATCAGAGATACAGCCTGTCTCATTCCATTAGGATCCTCTATATTTTGATCTACACTATGACTGTTAAAAGAAAGTAACATCAATATTATAAAATTATCTGAGTATGACAATCTTTTAAAATTTTATTGCACCCAAGGTTTGCATAAAATATGAGATTTTATATAATCTATTTCTGATAGTAATGCCAAGAAAAGTTTATAATAAAGCATCACTTCAAAGAATTTAGAATATTAGTCTAATCGTACATTCTTTCTTTACTAACTATGATTTATTTAATAAGCCACTGTGTTTAGTTATTCTAAATTCTATATAAGCAACAGTGTTTAGTTAGTCTAAGTTCATTCAGCCTGTATAATCAATGTTCAAAATCCTTCTGGGGCTTTTCACCTCATTTGGAGTAAAAAAAAACAAAAAGTGCTTGAAATGGCCAGGACAGCTTTATACAATGGGCCTCCTTTATACAATGGGCCTCCTCTTTGACCTCTCCTTGGTCTGCTCTACCCTGTCTTGCTCGGCTTCAGCTCCACTGGCCTCTTGGCTAGTTGTTGACTAATTCCTACCTCTGATTACTTGCTGTTCTACTGCATGGGATGCTCATCCCCCCGCAGAGGACTGAATCCTAAGCTCTTCAGGTCTCGAATAAAATGTCACCTTCTCAGTAAAGCCTTCTTTGCTCCCCCTGTTTAAAATTACAGCCCCTCTATAGAAGCTTCCTATATCCCTTACCTGGCTTTATATTTTTCCCCAGAGATTAAAAAAAATTTACATTGTATGTATTTTATTTTGCAGAAGTGCTTTTATTCACTGCTACGTTCCAGAGTCTAGAATGAATGCTTGCTGAATAAATGAGCAAGCAAACAAATGGTGGTCTTTACTTTTGGAAAAAACCTCATGTAACTTCACTCTTAAAGATGGTGTGATGCATTGTGTTTGCTACCCCTGTATAAAACTTCTCACTTAACATTATGTAGACACCTCTAAAAAATGTCTTGGAGACCATAAAGAAAAAATGATTAATATGTAATAATATCTCTAAGATTTAAAAGAAATAATATAATTTGGGTCTTTTCTACATACTCTAACAACATAATTACAGAGATATATGGTGGCTTTCTGTTAAAAAACATTGCTAAGAGATAGACATAGTAGATTAGGTAATGCATATTTTAGCCTTATGATCATAGTCTTTCCAAAGAGTGAGAGAAAAAAAAGTCTTATTCGTTTCCTCACTTAGAAAATGTGCCCTCAGAAATATTTCCACCCTTATTATTAAATGCATTTTCCAATTCCTCTAGATAGAGCCCAGTGCCAGGTGGTAGGAATATAGGTTGAACAAGTGAACAAGAAAGTCCTGACCTGAAAGGGCTTCTGATTCTAGTTGGGGAGAGGAAAAAAAGAAGAGATTCATACTAACAGCTGTCGCCTTGGAGTACGCAGAAATACCGCCAACATTCTTACAGATGAATGATACACAAGAGGATCTGAAAGATTGTAGTGGAAACAGAACTTTGAATAATTGAGAAGGGATTATGAGTGGATGAAACACATCCGTATTCGTTATAACTTGTTCTTAGTTGTTAGCTATTTCCTCTAGTGCCTCTGAAGGATTAAAAAGGTTATCAAGACAGAGTGTCACAACTGATAAGTGTTTTAACCCTTACTGTGACCTGGCTGACAGCAACTGTGAAATCTTAATAGTATCAAATTGTAGTGCTGTAGCATGCTACACTATTTCATTCTTTTATTCCCCATGACTAAAGAACTTGAGGATATTTTTTATTGGTGTCACTACGGTGATAATATGTGATGCTGTGACATTATGAAGGTTTATTTTACATAATTTTCAATCTCTACTTTTAAATCTCTCACTTAGTCATACTTTCAGATCTTCATCTAAAATTCTCACCTTCTCAAGTTCATTTCCTAGTCAATCCAGTTATAGAAAGCAAATGCCTAAAGCACCATTCAGTAAAGCCAAGATAGGCATATTGGTTTTAAGTTACATCCGCTTCTCCAAGGAAATACCAGAATCACAATTTAGAATCAACACATTTTTTTTGTTCATGAATTTAGGTATGCATTTTGCTTGATTGGATCATGCCAACAGGTTGACATTATTTTAGGCTGCTTTAAAATGCCAATGATCTGAGGAAAAAAACATGATTATTTTACCCTTTCATGACATGGAATAAGAATCAATGGTTTAATTTTGTTTGGCCTATCCTACTACACATCCTGTATGTAGCAAACCGTAGTTCCAGGATTTTATAAGAGTCATCAAAGGCTGTGGAGAGAGTAAAGCCAGCCGTTGCTGCTTAACAGCACCTGTCAGGGAACGTTATGTTGCCAGCATATATGCACCTTCCCTGCATTAACAAAGCTTGCAGAGATGAATACAACATGAGCTTCAAAGGTAATAGATGCTGCATTTTGATAAGGTTTTAATGGACATGGACATTTCAACGAAGCTATAATGGGTGACAGCTTAAATTCAGGATCTGAGAAAGCCTTTAATTAAGATTTATAAGGCCAGCTACTGGAAGCAAATATAAAATTATGGTTAGACATGGTGAAAAAGGAAGATGACTGATGGTCCCAGTGCTTTATAACTAACCCTCATGCTAACTTAGATGATTTCATAACATTTCCAAATATGGAGAGTTTTGTAGCTCTGTGTCACAGGAGATAGGGAGGAACAACTCTGAAATTGCCCAGCCCAGATCCAGAGTATTAACAAGTGACAGGCTCTTTGTGTGGGTGATGAATACCAATACCACAGTGTCCCACTGGCTTCTGATGACCAGAAACTATTATTCCCAGCAGCAGCAATGCCCAACAGAGTTTTAGGCTCATACCCTATAATGTCAAATAGGCCTCTAAGCCTCTTCCCTATCCTCTGTTGTCCAAAAGCAGGTTCAAAACTGCCTGTGCAATCACCAGTGGAAATAACACTTCTACAGATCCAGTTTAGTATCAGTGCTGTCACTCTTCTTCAGAGACAGCTCAAAAGAGGTGACCACAGCCTCACTGAAAGAGCATTTAGAGTGTAGTGTTAGCAACATTCACTATACAAAGAGTCCACATGTTTCTTTCTACAGCTGGGAGATCATAAGGAAAAGGCATAATGTGTATACTTTTGATAGGATCATGTTGAATGAGTGGCCTTTATTTCAACCCAAAAGAAGCCAGTGCCAAGAAGGCAAAATGACTGTAAAAACTGAGAAATATAAGTGGGAGCTAAATGCTGAGTATACATGGTCATATAAATGGAAACAAAGGCACTGGGGAGGACTATCAGGAAAGGAGGGAGGGGGACATGGGATGAACAACTACCTCTTGGGTATAATGCTCATCACCTGGATGACAGGATCATCCGTACCCCAAACCCTAGCATCACACAATATGCCCATGTAACAAACCTGCACATGTACCCTCTGAATCTAAAATAAAAGTTGAAATTATAATTTTTTTTGAAATACTGAAAAAATTCTGTGCACTAATTTCCACTATCCTCAAGCTATAGTAAAAGTTTCTTTGTGTATCTTAGAATCATAGAATCTCAAGCTGGGAAGGACACTAACATATCTTGTTTAAAGACATTTTGGATCATAAATAATTCTACAAACTGAAATTAAGTACAATGTCTTAAGCCCATAATATGTTCAATGCAATAGCTTTTTCTGCCAAGATATGGTTTATGTTTTTAAGTAAAATTACGGCTGTGGAGAGGACAGTATAACCACATAAAACAGATGTTAATTGTTAATTTCATTTCAAATAATTAAGGTAACAGAGTTAGATATCAGAATTATAGTGCTTAAACTTGGGCAGAAGTTAGAATTAGTAAATCTAAAGATTAGCATGCAGCTACTCAATATATTTTCATAGGTACAATGAAGATAATAGAATACTTTTATTGTTTATACAGATCAGTTGATAATGAAGACAAAATATTTAGCAAATACAATTTACTTTTTTACTCAACAAGCACAAATTCAACACATTTCCTACATTGCAGTGTCATACACAACCTTCTCTCAGAACATCTTATTGTACTTATTTGCCTACAGACTAATTCTTCAATTAGTCTACAGCTTTGCTGCTATGGTCTGAATGTGTCTCCCAAAATTCATATGTTAGAAACCTAATCCCACTGCAACAGTGTTGGAAGGTGGGGCCTTTGGGGAGGCATTCAGTTCATGAAAGCTCCACTCTCACTTATGCATTCATGCTGTAATCAAAGGGCTTGATGGAAGGCATCTGTCTCTCTGTTCCCTTCTGCCTTCTGCCATGTGAGGACACAGTGTACCAGCCTTCTGGTGGGTATGGCATTCAAGGCGTCATCTTGGAAGTCGATTGCAGTCCTCACCAGATGCTGGTACCTTGATCTTGGACTTTCAAGCCTCCAGAATAATGAGAAATAAATTTTTGTTCTTTGTAACTTACTCTATGGTATTCTGTTACAGCAAAGACAAAAATTAGTACCAGAGAAGTGGGGTGTTACAAATACCTAAAAATGTGGAAGTGACTAAATAATGGATAGAGGCTGGAACTCTTTTGAAGTGAATACTGGAAAAAGCCTATGTTTTCATGAACAGAGCAGTAAGAGTGATTCTGGTAAGAGCTCAGAAGAAGAGGAAAGCTGCAGCCCCAATCTTCTTAGAGATAACCTACATTGTTGTGAACACAATGCTGGTAGAAATATGACAAGTAAAGGATACTCTAATGAGGTGTTAGACAGAAGTAAGGAATATCTTACTGAAAACTGGGAGAAAGGCTAGCCTTGATACAAAATGAAAAAGAAGTTGGCTGAACAATGTCAATATCCCACAACTTTGTGGAAGGCAGAACTTAAGAGCAATGAGCTAGAATATTTAAAAAGAGAAATCTCTAAGCAGCAGTGTTTACTGCTTATAGTCAAATGTGAGAACAGAGAATGATTCAAAGACAGAATTTATAATTAAAAGAGAAACAGTATGAAAAGATTTGGAAAATTCTCAGCCTGGCTTTGTGGAGAATTAAAAACTATGCTTAGGAGAGAAAACCAAGGGTGTGGCCCAATGACCATTTATTAAGGAGATTAGTGTGGACGGAAGGAAGCCAGTGCTACTCATCAAGACAATGAGAAATTGACCCCAAAAGCATTGCGGATATCTAGGGCCTTGAGGGCAGAACAGTTTCATAGGAGGGGCCTAGGGTACCCATGGGTCCTTGGAGCTCACTGCCTATGGCCACCTCAAGTCTCTGTTCCCTACATTCCAGCACAGCTCTTCTCAGGCACCAAGCTGTGACTCAAGCAGGACCAGTACAGCTCAGGCTGTCACTCCAAAGGGCACAAACTACAAAACTTGGCAGCATCCAGACAGTTCTAATTCTGCAGGCACACAAAGTGCACAAACTGTGGAGGTATGGCTTTCTGCACGAATATTTCAAAGGATGCTATAGACAGCCTCAGAGTTCCAACCAGAGACCTGCCACAGAGGCAGAGACACTGCAGAAAGACTGCACTAAGACAATATTTAGTGGACCTGTGGAGCGGGACTACCCTTGAGATACCAAAACTGTAGAGTCCCTGGCATGCAGTACCAGCCTGGGAAAGCTGCAGGCATATGACTTCAAGGTATAAGAGCTGATACGTGGGCTATGTCCAACAAAGCCATAGGGATGGAGCTTCATGGGGCCTGGGAACCTCAACCTCCCCATATCCCAGTATGTCCAGAAGGCAGGACATGAAGATAAGATTATTCTCTAGCCTTAAGATTTAATCTTCTTTTTCCTGTTAGGCTTTGGGCTTACTTGGTACCTGTTACCCCTTTTTTCTTTACTATTGCTCCATTTTGGAATAAAATTGTCTATCCTATTCCTGTCTCACTATTACATTTTGGAAGTACATAACTAGTTTGATTTCACAGACTCACAGCTGGAGAGGAATTTGCCTCAGGGTGAATTATACCTTGAGTCTCACCCTCATATTTAGATGTGAGTTTGGACTTAGACTTTTGGGTTGATGTTGGAACAAGTTAAGACTTTTGGGAATATTGAAATGGAATGAATGGATTTTTCATGTGGGAAGAATATAAATTTGGGGGCCAAGCATGAAATTCTATAATCTAAACGTGTTCCGCCAAATTTTTATGTTGGAAACTTAATCCCCAAAGCAACAGTACTGGAAAATGGGTTTTTGGGGGAAGTGTTTATGTTATGAGGGTTCCACCCTCGTGAATGGATCGATGCCATTATAAATGGGCCTGATGGAGGGAGGTTAGTCCTTTTTTGCCCTCTGCCTTCTGCCATGTGAGGACACAGTGCTCCCTCCCTCTTCCCTGATGCAAGGTTCAAGGTGCCATCTTGGAAGTGGAGACCACACCCTCACCAGACACCAAACCTGATAGTGCCTTGATCTTGAATTTTCCAGCCTCCAGAACTGTGAGAAATACATTTCTAGTTTTTACAAATTATTCAGTCTATAATGTTCTGTTATAGCAGCACAAATGGACTAAGATACTTGCCAAAAGCAGAGGTTGTTTCTTAATGATTTTTGAATTTTAGTGACTAAAGCAGTGCCTGGACCATAACAAACAGATAATAAATGTTTTTTGGATGAAGAAGGGATAAAAGGAGGAATAAATGCCAGAACCTGAGCTAGGCTTCCAGGACAATAAGATGATGAACTAACCTGTAATTCATGTACTGCCTTTATATGTTAGTTGGGAAATGGAAATGTAAAAATATATATGCAATTTATATAGTGAGAAAAATATTTTAATAAATGCATAAGAAATATAATCAGAACACCAAGATCAGCAAATAGTCAAGTCCAGGGAAAATTTTCTATGTTCTTTTTAAATTTATTCAACATATATTTATCAGGTATACGTATATACTAGCATTGTTTAGGATACTGTAAATGTCATACTGAACAAAAAATGTATTTGCTGCCCTTGTGAAAAAGTAGTTGAGATATTGTAAAAAGTTACCTGTGCCTACTTGAGGTGATCTCTCCCCTCCATGTCCCTCGCCTTCCCAGCAGTAGAGATTGGAGGAAAATATGAGAAAGAGACCTAAGATAGATGGTGAGGAAGAGACCTACATTTAACTTGTTTGTGCCATAGTATAAATTTTGAGAAGATTTTGGAGACATTAATATTTATTCCATATCTATGCCAAGATTTTCAATCAGCTTTAGCCATAGTAAAGGTATTTTGATCTCCATGTGATTCTCTCCTATATCTTCTGTTTCAATTGGTTCTAAGTTCTAGACCCTTAAACAATTGGTAGTCATGACAATGGGGAGAAATAGAAATATTTAGATTATTTTCTCAAAGTAGTTCTTATTGCTTAACTGAACCGAGGAAAGAAGAGAAAGGATGCTACCATCACTCCTGGCTCTAGCAGCTTGGTGGATAATGATGTCGCAGTGAGACAGGGAAGGCTGGGAAGCAGACTAAGAGCATGACAGCTTTGTTAACAATGATAAGGAACAAGGAGGAGAAGCAGATTTGAGTGAAAGAAGCCATTTTACTTTTCGGCATGTTAAGGTTGAGACATATAAAGCAGCATTTGCATGTGAAATGTTTTCGTATACAATCAGAAAATAGCTCTCTGGAGCCCATAATACTGACTTAAATTTTTTTTTTATGTATAGGCTATATTTGAAATCACCAGGGTAGACAAGATTGTCCAGGTAAAATACATAATGTGAGAATTGAAATTTAGAACTTAAGAGGTCAGCACTAAGGAATGAATAGAGAGAAAGAAACAAACAAAAGAAACTGAAGAGGTTTATTCAGAGATAAATGGAAAGCCACTGAAGAAATGTGGTGGAAATTAACGGAAGACAAACTTTTAAGAAAATAAGGTTGGTTGGCATCAATGAATGTTGGGACCAGTCACTCAATGTGAGATGCCTAAGCATCACTTTGACTTTTTAATTAGGGAAATGCCAGAGGCCTTAACAAGGGGAGAGATGAGAGTTGAGTAGTGAATGGTGTTAAAGGAATAGTTGAGGAAATTTGGACTCAATCAGGAGAAAATAAGGACCAGACAGGAGCATTTAATATGAAAGTGTTCTTTTCAAGAACACCACTAAAATATCAAATGTTTTTAAAAACATATATTTTAAATACAATTGTCAGTTAAAATGAATATTTTCAATTCCTTAAATATTTTTCAAGTTACTTTTATAATTAAATTTATTTTGTAAAATTCTGTTTTGTATAAAAGGGTTTTCTTATTTTTCCTTTGTCAATTTATCATAACATATATTTTGGAAACCCATCAAACCCACAGAAAAGTTGAGGCAGAATAACTGATGCCAACCATGAAAAAAATTATACATAAGAATAATAAAACTGCAAAATATCAGTTGCAGAATAATATGTAGTTGTAATTAACATTAATGACATTTATATGAGCATTTTGGTTCAAAATAGTTGCTACCGAAGTAGGGAAAATTGTTTAGTGTGAAGAATGTCTTTTTTGAAGATAATATTACAAATAGACTGGAAATAGTTTCAAAGTTATTTCCCTTAGTCTGTATGCAAAATTTCCCATCAGAAGATTAGGCAATTTTCTACCATAAGTAACTGGCTCTTTGCTGCTAATTAATTTGAACTACCTTTTCATTTGCAAAAGTGTTTCATTTTGTTCTAATTAAAAACCTTCTTTATCAATTCATTGTCTATTTTGTCTGAGTATATACACTTCTACCTTCATCCTACTGGGCTTTTAGTTACTACACAGTTTTTGTTAGAGATTACTTACTGTTCAATTTCAAAGGAAAATTAGAATGAAAGTCAGCAATAATAACAACGAATTCACGAACCATGAAATTGGTGCGTTGAAATAAATTGCACTAATTTGGTTGAAGAGTTGAACACTGCCAAATGAATCCTCTTAACACGAACTATAAGATAATAAAAGCCCTCATTTTTGACACTGCTCAAAAGCATAAGGGTTCAGTCTTTGGAAATAAAGTGACATAATAAAATAGAATACAAATTGTAGATAGGGAAGTGAGATTCGGTGTTTGGGCAAGTCTCTAGTAGAACCAGTGCTCTCTATGGCAGCTCAGGACCTTACAGTTTGTGATCAAAGTGACCCCATGAGAAGAGATTCATACATTTCCAAGTAAATCTGCAAAAGACACTCTCATCACATCCACAAGAAAGAGAGAAAGAGAGCACTTCCTAACCCTGGTTCTTGCTGACCACTCTAAAAGTGAAGTTTGATTTCAATTGTCACAAAAGTGAAATGCCCTTCGCTTACTTTGAGTTTGTTTTGAAGAACATCAATGTGGCCTCGGGGAAAGTTTGGCTTGTGTCTGGGGGACCTGAATTTCTCCCACAGATAAATAAATAATTTCCTTTCTAAAGAATTAATATGACTCTGCTGTTCTGGAATATGCATCATTATTGTAAGAAGTAGCTCTGCATTTTGAAAAGAGAATAAAAATGTCTTGTGAAGATATAGAACATTTTTTCCCTTTAAAAACACATAAAATGTGAGGCTGAAACCATCTGTCCCTGCTCCCTTTACCGATTTTAAATCAGCTCTAACCCATTCACTCTCCTCACATGCTAAATTACCAGCAACTCCTCTATTTCTCCATCCTTAAACCTGGAGTCATAACTGATTCTTTTCTCAAGCCTGAATTGATATTTAAACAAATTGAGGCATATGAAGAATATATTTTCCTCTTTTAAAATGTTATAATGTGCATACTTGAGGGTCTGCGATAAAGTTAAACTGATTTCACATAACTCTCCAGATCAGTCTCTATAGGCCTATCGGTGAAGAGAGGCCACTCTGACATCATTCAGGTCTGAAAAATACATAGCAGCACACAATCTGTAACAATTCAGCTTCTTCCCAAATATGGCTATGTCTCACACTCATATGTAGAACTATTTTGAAATGTTGACTTTGAGGCCCCACTCCACATCCACTGGCTAAAAATTTTCAGAATTCTGTTTTTTAAAAAAGATTTGCTAAAGTTCCTAATGCCACGAACCCAGCAACAAGTCTCTAACTACTCTGGGCTAAGGGGAGGCAATTCTGGGAAATTCTCAAGAAGGAAAAGTATCCATACAATGTGAGACCTTGAGCATGTTAAAGAACTTTTGAACTACAATAAGAGAATATCATTATACAGAAAAGGAAACCAAAGCCAAGAGAAGCTGAATGACTTTCTCACTGCAATCAACCTAGTAAACGGCCAAATGGATGATCAGAATTCAACTCTGGGTTGGCTAACCCAACCATCAAATGACAATAAGTGAGTTGAGATAGTAGAGATAAGCAGAAAGCACTTATGAGTTTTGTTGTTGTTGTTGCTGTTATCTTCCAGTTCATGGAATTCATTGCTTAATATCCAACTGTCAAGATAATTTTAATGTGAACTGTACATTAAATGCCTTGGTAGGCGCTATTCAAGTTAAAGGGCAAGATTTTTAAAGGATAAAATGATATTGACAAAGTAGTGTTCTTTTCAAAGCAAGTAAAACTAGGTGCTGTGGGAACATATTGCTGTCTGAATCCTATGGACAAATCAAGAAATAATGCCAGATGCGCCCCACTCCTCACTGCTACGTGGCATAGAGAAGCTCTGGCTGGTACCTGTTTCACCTTCTAACTCATTACTCGATACGCTCTTTCCCCAGCTCTACCTCATGTCATTCAACTCAGGGGTAAGACAGAGATAAGAGAACTGCCCACCCTTGAAAGGTATGTAAGTACAGTGATGACCAGAATGAAACTTTTTTTCCAGAGAGAAGTGAAAACATATGAGAATAATGACTATACTACTCCCAGCACATCCTTAAAAATTTATTTTGACCCAAACAAAAATATATTAGCCCTAGGTCACACCATAGTCTTAGAATAAAGGGACTTTGTATGGTCTGTAATAATGCCAAGATTTAGGGTGGGATGAGGTGAGTGTCAGGTTCTGCATGTCTCCCCTATTTCATATTGTGAAAAAAATGAAATTTATTCACATGTATTTTTAAGCAGGCCACCATTAAAGTGCTATACAACTATTAATAGCAAGATCAGTGACTATAACGTGAACATCTTTAACTAAAGAGCAATTTTGATGATTTTGCTATTAGAATCAAGGACAATTATATACAGCCAGGTGTGCTTTATTTTCTTCCTTTTAATATTTGAATGTGTAACAAGGGACTTTAATAATGACACATTTTAATAAGGTAAGAAGTTCTAAAATAAGTAAGTGATTTTCATTTGTGATAGCATGGTGTGCTGAACCTACACCCAAAAACATTCGTTGCAAATTCTATTTCTATGGAAATCTTATACTTTAAATCACAATAATGCAGCTTTTTATTTTAAAAAATTGCCTTAGGCATTAAATGAGTTAATTTTCAAATGACTCCCTTCACTTACCTACTTAGACTTCACCCAGTAAACATAATCTGGATTGCAGATAAGACATAATATTGTAGTTTAGACATGTCAAATTGTGTATGATCAAATATGAAAGCATTCAATACGATTTTAATCTATTTAATCAGTATTTTATGTCATTTAAAATCTTCATTACTAGTTTCTACATTCTAATTTTTCATTCTTTATTTCAAATACATTTGCTGGCCCCAAATCACAGTGTTTCTTTTACTAATGTTTTTATAGTCAAATAACCAAATGTGGATTTAAAAGTAAAAAACAAAAAAGTACAAAAGCTATAGTAACTGTAGAGAGATTGTGTTTTACTCATAATTTGAATGCTCTATTTGCAATTATTGTTGCAATGTCTTGCAAATAGTAGGTGCTCAGTATAGATTTGTTGAGTCAATTCCCAAACCTTCCAAGAAAGCTCAGCAAGCATTTCAGGAAGAAATTATCTCACCAGGTTGCAAAGTGGATTACAGCATTCAAAGACTAAAATTCTAATTCTCACAGTGTAGAGCCAGGGTCTATCCATCTCCAAAGCCCATGCGCTTTATGGCTATTCTGTTTTGCCTTTAGGAGACATTCCTAGTGAATCTAAAATGTAAAACATAAAATCTTATTCTCTTTTTGACTCTCCTATGCTTTGTTGTGACACCGCCCTCTGTAGTGTAATGTATAATAGATCAAACTGAGAGTCAGCTAAGCTGAAGTTGGCCATGAAATGGCTGTGCATCTTTGAATAAGTCACTTTATCTGAGCCAGGTTTGTCCCATGCTATCATCTGTAAAATGTGATGCTTAAAGTAAATGATCCAGTTTTAAAATTCTATAAATTAAGTAGATAAGCCAATGATATAACTAGATTAAAAATAATTTACACCAGAACAAACAAGTTAGTGAAGCTATTTCCATAACATGTTCATAAATCGGGTCATGTTTGTTATGAGATAGTTTTAGTCACTAAACAGTTCAATTAATATTAAGTTTCTCCCAGTTCAGTAAGTAATTTCTCTCTCTTCCAGATTTCAACAGGAAGGAGTTGTCTTTAGCTAGTTAACACAAGGTTTAGAAGGTTGCATACTACATGGACTTGTTAATATCTTGGTATATATGAAATCAAATCTTTTCAAAGAAATTTAAAAAAGGAAAAAAAGAAATGAGGAGGTGAAAATAACCTGTCATTGGATACAAACATAAATGTAATTCCACTAAATTAGGGCCCCTCCATGAAAAACTTTGCAACACACATAGATTAATTTTCATTGTCAAAATCCAAAAATTTAACAAAATCTCATATTACCAACTCTGGTGCTGATGAATAATCACTGGTGTGTATTTTGTCTCTGAGCATGATTAATCCAACTGTGTAAAATTTTTCAACACAGTAAGAAAAAGAAAGGCAATAATGGTATTTTCCCTGAGAATCCTCCAAAAAGAAGGACTTCCTGAAAACCTCATTTTTCTAAAATTGCCTCCTATCACCTCTGGTTATTTACTTCAAACTCTGTTAACTAACAGAGAATTTATCTTTTCAAGGAATATAGCTGTCCAACTCATGACTAAAATGACAGAAAAGTTTACAGCCTTGTTCAGAGACATGTTTGCCTAAAGGGGATAAATGCCTGATTGTTTATGTTGCTCTTTATATTTTTTTCTAATGCAAACTGAACACATGATGAAAGTCAACATAGAAAAAGATGCAACCTTAACTGGAGATCTTCTGACAGATAAAGGTTAACAGACGAGCTGAGGCCCTACAACTTGATGGGTCAAACTAAAACTATGAACACTGTCAGACACCAAAGTATCTCTAGGATAGATGGCAAGAAACCAGGATCTTGATTCAGCTGGTTAACTTGATTTCTTAACTTGTAGCATTTAGTAAGAGATACTATGCTGCAACCTCATTCACTTATTTTTTTTTTCAACAAATATTAACTGAGCATGTTCTACATGTCAGCAAATGTACCAAAATGTTTATTTTGGGGGGACCACTAGCCTATGGGCAATTTCATGTTTTCAGAAATATTATATTAAAGCATCTCTGAAAAGGTGCATGAAAGTCCAACTATCAGTTTCTATGCAAAAAGAAAGATTCCAGCCCAAATAGCTAAAACATTTTCTGAAATCCTTAATTAAATATTTTTTCTTCACAGTATTTGACAATATATTTCTAGCATTTTGTTCATGTTTTTACATCAGTCTCTTCATTCTCAATTTAATTCCAATGAGCTTTTAGTGAAGCTAAAGATTCGTTACTCTCAACATGGCTGATGACTTCCTAGCATCTTTCATTTACGCTACATATATGAGGTCCCCTTTTTTTTTTTTTTTTTTTTTTTTTATACAGAGTCTCGCTCTGTCGCCCAGGCTGGAGTGCAGCAGCGCAATCTCGGCTCACTGCAAGCTCCGCCTCCCAGGTTCACGCCATTCTCCTGCCTCAGCCTCCTGAGTAGCTGGGACTACAGGCATCGGCCACCACGCCCGGCTAATTTTTTTGTATTTTTAATAGAGACGGGGTTTCACCGAGTTAGCCAGGATGGCCTCAATCTCCTGACCTCGTGATCCACCTGCTTCAGCCTCCCAAAGTGCTGGGATTACAGGTGTGAGCCACCGTGGCTGGCCGGCCCCTTAGAACTATTTTTATCAATTTTATTTTTCCCCTTTTTCTCTCTAAAGTAAGGTAAATGCAATTTAAAAATTCAAGCATATGTGCAAACACTGCCATTTGGACAAAGGTAACAATGGCCTTAAATACTACACTCTTGACAAGCAAGCAGTGCCATCATTCCCAGTCATTTCAGCTACATAGTCATTGGAACTCTGTGATTCAGCTTTGAGGCCCATATAGCCATATTGCTGCTGTTTTGTTCTTTCTGAAATTGTCAACCGAATCTTTCTTTTTTCCAACTCCTCTCCATTTATTTAGCCCCTTAGAAATCCATTATCTGCAATTAGGACTCCTCTATTTCATCTCTTTAGCATCTTTGGATAGGCACTAGACACAGATGTCTCTCCACACCCTCCATACTCCATCATCTATTTCCATCCCGCATTCTTCACCAGGAAAAAAAAACTAATCAGAAAGAGAAAAGGGGTAAATGTGTGAGCATTAATGATTTATCAGACTTCAAAGTAAAAAATGTCTCCTTCCTAAATTGTAGGAAATTCTGAATTCTCTGTATATTTAAGATCCCTACTTTGCTAGCTTTATTGTATGGGATAGTATCAGTGGAATATCAGCAACTAATAAGGCATGATCTTGGAGATTAAAGGGTTGCTATTCCTTCCTATACATTAAGATTCCAGTGACACTGAAATAATTATCAAAGGTTGAATAACCTTGATATTTAACTCATGAGGTGTATGTAAAACACTATTGCTGAAATTCCTAATTTCATTATTCCTCCTTCACTGTATGGCAGATGGCCATAATAAAATGCAACTTCCTTCCCCGGGAGGAAAAGAATCAATATAGCAGAAAGTTTAAGTGGACATGCTATGAAAACAGTAGGGTATGGTAGCAAGTTAAATTGAAAAGATCAAAGAAACCCATACCTTAGAGATACCTTTTTAAGCTCTGTCACTAAAAGTGGTTCTATAGTAGGTAGCAGCAACATTACTTTTTGTTCTCACTCTCACGTGTACTCTTATTTGGTGGATTTGATCTCAAGTAGTACTCTCCACAAAAAGAAACCAGAATTCAGAGGAGGATAACTGCTTCCATGACAAGTTTAGAATATCCTAGTGATGCTAGCAAATAAGTGTGAGTCATGGCCAAAAGGGAAATGGAGTCAAATTAAAAGTGATTCTTCTGGCCAAGTAACAGTCATTTATACATCAAAATATATCCTGGAACCAGATGAATCTGCAAAAGTGCATTAGCACATGGCAACGTTCACACAAGAAAGGTTAATATAAATGGCCCAGATGAATGGTTGTGGGGAAAAAAAGACACATGAATAAGTTAGAATAAATTTCATTATTTATTTTTAAATAGAGGAGGGTCACGTGTGTGTGTTTATTTCTTCCATTAATTATACATTACTATAATATAGACTTGGACTCACTCCTCTTTGCAGAAACAGGAACAAAACAGTAAGGATAAACAAACCAAATAGACTTGGAAAGAGTGGAAATTTACCAAGAACAGAAAACATTGATCAGTTCCATTGATCACAGATAACAGGTGAAAAAAAGGAAGCATTCAACGCAATCAGTTCAGTGAAAAGTAGAGCTTTGACCGTGTGTTCCAAGGTGATTAATAAAATAAATGTACTAATGTATTAGCAGGAACTAAGTCAATCAACTCAATCCTTAATCTCTATGAAATATAACAAAAACTGTACAAAACAATTAAGACACACATATGTTTTTAAAAATAAAGTCAGAAGATCATTTTGATGAAACAGGACTAAAGCCTATATCAAAGTGATGAACTTTGAAACAACAAAAAAAATACCTTGCTGACCTAACAGTGAAAATTTAACAATAAAAAAAGCTCAGTTTGAAAATCAATGGCTCAATTTTAGGTTTTTTTTTAATTCTATTTTTTAATTTTATTGTAAATTGATAAATTATATATATTTATGGGGTACGAAGTGATGTTATGATTTATACACAAAATGTTGAATGATTAAATCTATCTGATTAACATATCTATCACCTTAAATACTTTTTGTGGTAAGAATATTTGAA